>NC_000015.10:73276874-74526874 GCF_000001405.40 Homo sapiens
TCATGCTCTCTGCCTCTTTAAAGAGAAGATTATACTCTTTCGTGAAGATTTTTTATGCTTGTAATAGGAGTGGTTAACATTTATGGAACATCTACTATGTGTCAGTCAGTATTAAAAATATTTTATGGTATTAAATTTCCATTTAATCCTCACAACAGCTTTGTGAAGTGGATACCATTATTATCCCTGTGTTACAATGAGAAAACTGAGGCCCAAAAAGAATAAATAACTTGCCCAAAGTCAAACAGTTGTATATGATGGAGGTAATATGCAAGTGCAGTCTGTCTATTAAACAATGTGCTATATTAACCTCATAGTTAACTTCATAAAACAGCTTTTACTTTGCAATTCTTTCAGACCTCTTTTTCAGGAGAAGTATGATATTGCTTTCTGGGTATAAACCTTAGATTGACACCTTTGCTTTATTGGAAAAAGGTCCTCGTATTTGCTTTTCCCAAGCAGCTTTTCCTATAAATGTGAAGAGCAAAATTCAAGGCCAAGTATAAGAATTTTTTAAAAAACTGATATTTGCACTTTCTGAGGCCTCCTTCTGGGGTGGTCCTAGGCCTGAGGTCAGCAGCCTCACTTAGTATGTTCCCTGATGATGGATTAGGAGACAGTGTCTTTTTGAGCAACTAGGAGGAAGACTGTTTTTTTCAGCCTCTGGAATGTTTAGGTGACTGAGCAGGAACTGAGAACCTGATTTGAACTTCCATTTACCTTCCTGCTCCTGCTTAGCTTAGGGTAACTTTATATTCAGAAGGACAACTTTGTAATTTGAGAAAAGAATCTAAACAATACTAACACCTGCTAGGTCAGGTATTAGTATCCACATAGCCAGGTCCCTTGGAAGAGTATAGTTCTTTAATGTAGACATTAACCTAATTAGTCCCCTTGGTTGCTTTTCTAGGAGAAGCTACTTTTGCTGTAAGTCCTCTGAGCAGTCCTTTGGGAACTGTTTCCTAAGCTAGAGAAATAGCACCTACTGTCCCAGCTTCTAAACAGCAGTGACAGTCAGCTCACAGCCGTGAGACAAGCGTGTCAGTCTTTCAGATGCCTCATTACATAGAAAGCTATACCTTAGTTTGCTTTCCACACATAGACTATAGATTCCCATGATTTATGTGCTACTTTATTTTCTCATGGACAGAATAGACTAAAAATTGTGTTTTTTGTTTAAAACACTCCCTAGCTATGAAGTGGACTGTCACGCCAAATGTGTGGGGTCATTATTGACATGATTTCTTCTCCTTTAGCCTCAGGGTCTGGAGGGAAAGGAAGCCGGCTGCCAGACCTAGGATCCGACTACAAACCTCCAATGAGCGGTAAAGCCTTTCCCATGGCGTTTTTTGCTTACTATGGACATGAAGCACTTTTGCTTAAATTTTTGAAATGTCCTTTATAGCTTGTGTGTGGTGGGTTGTAGCATATTAGCCTGTTTTCTTTTATTGCTAGATTTAAGTGTTTGCCAAATCACTCCAAGCCCATGTGTCGTAGGACCCATAAATCAAATTGTTTCCCCAGTTATCCAACTTAAGATTAATTCCTAAACAATTTGTTCATCCTGTTGCCTACTGCCTCTAGAAAAGAGTTAGAGTTTCGCTTTCAAAAATAAACCCTCTAGTGGGATTAGCCACCATCCAAACCAAGCCAAACAAATGCTTTTAGAATCATTAAGTTCTTCCAGTGCTACTACATACTGCAGTGTTTTTAGTTTAGCAATTCTAGAAAATTCTTCCACTCTCCTAGCCATCCTGAGAGCTGGTGCCTTCTAATTTAATGATGACACCCCCGTCTTTACAGAGCTTCACCATATATAAGCTACTTTCACACATGAAGTCACAATTGATTCTTACAACATGGTGAAGCAGGGAGAACAGATACCGTTATTCCCGTTTAATACATTCAGAAACTAAGTGGAGAAGTAACGTGCCTGGGGCCACGTGCTAATTGTGGCAGTCCTAGGACCAAAACCCAGGGCTTCTCATTTCTGATTGTGCTTTTCCCACTGTCACATTCAGCCTAAAAAAGCAGTGGGTGCTGTACCAGACGTGGGAACCTAGAGTGGAAAGTGTCCACAGAAGTAGTTACTAGGAATGACCCTTACTGTCTCTTCACATGTGGAAGAGAGAGACATATGAGAGAAACGCCTGTCCCCTAGTAACTCATAGTCTAATTGTAGGAATACGATGATGTCTTAATCTCCAGCTATCTATTTAAATCAAAAGTGGAACTGCCCAGACTTTAATGAAATCAGCCTTAAAAGAACCAGACAAACTTAACATCCTTCCAGAAATAATTGTGCTCCAGGTTCTAGGACTCTGTTTATGAGTTTCTTCTTCTCCATGTGTATGTGACATTTATATTGTGTCCACAGTATAATTTTTAAGGCTGTGAGGAAGGTAATTACTCCTTTGTCTTTCTTTCATTCATGTATTCACTCATGCATGCATGTTTTTTTGTTGTTTTGGTTTTGGTTTTTTTTTTTTTTTGAGATGGAATCTCGCTCTGTCACCCAGGCTGGAGTGCAGTGGCATGATCTCAGTTCACTGCAGCCTCCACCTCCCGGGTTCAAGGGAGTCTCCTGCCTCAGCCTCTCGAGTAGCTGGGATTACAAGCGCCTGCCACCACGCCCAGCTAATTTTTGTGTTTTTAGTAGAGACGGGGTTTCACCATGTTGGCCAGACTAGTCTTGATCTCCTGATCTCAGGTGATCCGCCCACCTCGGCCTCCCAAAGTGCTGGGATTACAGGCGTGAGCCACCACGCCCGGGGCCCGCGTGCACGTTTTTAAAGATGCAGGCTCTATGTGACAAGCTGTGGGAGCAAGAGGAGTTAATAACAAACTACCTGATAAAGGGAAAGCTTCCTAGAAGAGGTGCCGTCTAACCCGGATCTTCAAGGATGCTAGAAGATTGCTAAATGTCAAGAAAGGGATTGGACATTCCAGGAAGCAATATCAGCATGTGCAGAGGCATGGCAATATATTAATAAAACAGCCTGCTCTCTCCAGGAGTCACACTGCATAGAGAAAGGATAGAGATTGAGTTGAAAATGCAGGTTGGAATCAGCCTGTCAAAAACTCAAGTACCAGTGCTAAGAAATATGAGCTTTATCCTACAAATAACATGTGAAATATCTGACACCACTGGTACACTATGACATCCATCTTTTATTATCAACTGTTATTACTCTGATAGCAGTGAAGAATAAGTTGGGGGCTAAGAGTATAAAGTCAGGCAAGAGGGGTTAGGGAGCTGTTACAGGCCAGGCGTGGTGGTATGCACGTGTAATCCCAGCTACTCAGAAGGCTGAAGCAGAAGAATCACTTGAACCCGGGAGGCAGAGGTTGCAGTGAGCCGAGGTCACACCACTGCACTCCAGCCTGGGCAGCAGAGTGAGGTTCCGTCTCAAAAAAAAAAAAAGGAAGCTGTTATAGTAGTCCAGATGAGGCATAAAGAAATGGCATATATATTGTCCCTGGTAGGACTGTTCTTTGGCAGCTCACTCTTGCTGTATCTTAGAAGAAAACTTTTGTCCAGCTCATTCGCAAGAGGTCAGATGCGAGTAAATGAGAATTTGTCAGTGAAATGCAGGAAAGAACCACCTCCACCTCTGCCTGCCTCCCATACTTCAGCTCCCCAGCCTCTAATTTGCAATGCCTGCCCTGCCAAGTACCCAACCCTGTAGTTCAGCACTGCTATTAATAACAGTGTTATGGAAAGCCCTACTCTAATATGAACAGTATGGTCCATTTTAGTGGCCCCAGTACCATGGTCTTTCCCAAATATAAAAACATTATTTTATTGAAGGTCAGTATGTACAGTTTAAGTTGTCTGTCTGCTTACCTTTTTCTCATAAATGAAAGATAAAAATGATTGAACCAAATGTAGAATAGGCTCTTAATCCCTTCTAAATCAGCCCCAGATTTAGCACTGTACTTAGATGTAGTCTGTAAAATCAAAGAAGCAAAGTTGGAGGGTCAGTTAATCCGGCGTTGTGGAAGGGATTCCCACAATGAGTGTAAGTTTGGATTAGAACATAAATTTGGGCCGGGCGCAGTGGCTCATGCCTGTAATCCCAGCACTTTGGGAGGCTGAGGTAGGCAGATCACGAGGTCAGGAGATCGAGACCATCCTGGCAAACACTGTGAAACCCCGTCTCTACTAAAAATACAAAAAAAAATTAGCCGGGCATGGTGGCGGGCGCCTGTAGTCCCAGCTACTCGGGAGGCTAAGGCAGGAGAATGGCATGAACCAGAGGGGCGGAGCTTGCAGTGAGCGGAGATTGTGCCACTGTACTCCAGCCTGGACGACAGAGCGAGACTCAAAAAAAAAAAAAACACATAAATTTATAAGCCAGGTTGTTAGGAGAACCACTTCAGGAGATTTTTTCCCCCCTAGACGGAGTCTTGCTCTGTCGCCCAGGCTGGAGTGCATGGCGCGATCTCCGCTCACTGCAAGCTCCGCCTCCCAGGTTCGCGCCATTCTGCTGCCTCAGCCTCCTGAGTAGCTGGGACTACAGGCACCGCCACCATGCCCGGCTAATTTTTTTGAATTTTTTATTAGAGACGAGGTTTCACCATGTTAGCCAGGATGGTCTCGATCTCCTGACCTCGTGATCCACCCGCCTCGGCCTCCCAAAGTGCTGGGATTAACAGGCGTGAGCCACTGCGCCAAGCCAAGAGATTTTTTTTTAAAACACACATTCCAGGCCATACTTTGATGGTAGGAACTTCTTCCACAACATCCCACGCTGGCAGGATGCCTCTTAAGTACTTCCAATAACTAAAGATGCATTTCTTGGCAAGGCAGCTCATCCCATTATTGTACACCTCTGATTGTTAGAAAATTAAGAGAGAGAGTAGCTAGAAGGAAAGAGATTAGATATCCATGGTGGTTAGACATGTGTGGTGGGATTTGCCACATTTTATAATATGAGCATACATAAATAATGAGTAGGGAGGCAAAGAAACATGTTTCAAGAAATGGAAGACAGTAAGACTTAGAGCTAAATTACAAAGCCTAGAGCTCATCCTTTCAGCAATGGGGAAATAATAATAGGAAAAGGAAAAGAAAATCTGAATTTCCTTCTTCAGGGTCCTAAATGGTCCAGCCTCTGCAGCTTTTCCAGCCTTATCCCTTTTTTCCTCCTCACTTCCTTCCTTCTGACTTGCATCTCTCTGCTTAAACAACACTGGCTGCATTTCTCTTCCTTGAGAAGAGCTTGTTCCTGCCTCAGGGTCCTTTCCCTTGTATGATGGAATCTTTCTTACTCAGATCTGAACTCAAATGCCATCTTCTCAGAGAAGCTTTTTCTAACCATTCAATCTAAATTGGCTACCCAGACACTCTGTATCATAACCCCTCATTTTCTTTTTTTCACACCGTTAGTTATTAACTAATAATTTCATATTTATCGTTTATCCCATTCCCCCGCCAAACGTTCACATCTTTGTTGTTCACCATTGCACCTTAGTACCTAGAACAATGACTGACACATAGTAACCATTCAGTATTTGTCAAATTAAGCCATACTTCAGACCTACTGTTTCTTGAAGTTGAACAAGAGAATTAACTCTGCGTAGGCTGTGTATTTATAAAAACAGACTTTACTTTTCATGCAATTTTTATAATCTCAGATATCTGCCTGTTGGGGAAAACTTCTGCTTTGTATGAATGAACATTTTTAAATGGTTTTGAAAACCAGAAAACTAAATGACTTATAAGTGGTGCTTTACAAAATGAGTTTATATATCACATGAGACACCAGAGAGCCAAGACTCTTTATCTGTCTAAGTATATCTCAACCTTTGAAAGCTCTTGAATGTTCAGTACAATTTGAGAAGCTTTAATTAAGTACTATCTTTGAGCAGGCTCTGTCCTGAGCACTGTTCATAGGACAGACTCTTAGCTGTCTAGGAGCTCATCATCTAGAGAAGAGAGCCATGTTCACGCGGCACTTTTATATAAGTCAGAGCAATGAGTGTTATCAAGAAGTTCACGTGAGATATTAATGGTTCTGTAGCTTGATAGTATGCATGTTTTAAATTCTCTAACCCTAACACATGTACCATTTCTCTCTCTGCAGGCAGTAACAGCCCTCATGGGAGCCCCACCTCTCCTCTGGACAGTAATATGCTGCTGGTCATAATTGTTTCTGTTGGCGTCATCACCATCGTGGTGGTTGTGATTATCGCTGTCTTTTGTACCCGTCGTACCACCTCTCACCAGAAAAAGTAAGAAGCCCCAGATGCACCCCTTAGATTTTTGGCATCTTATCTTTTGCTTCCATGTGACTTCTGTATATGGAGTGGTACACAAAGTTAAGACATAAAAATACATGAAAAGGAATTTAAGATATTTTAAAAGAAAATGGGAAGTGGTTCCTCTTATCAGTCAGTGTCCTGGCAGAAAAGAGCTGGCACATTTAAAAGGATTTCAAAAGAGGTAATTTACAAAGTCATAGGTGGGGTTAGGGCAAACTAGGCAGGGATATTCAGAGGCTAGCAGCTATGATAAGACACCATCATCCTTGGGCCTGAAAGGGCAAGAGGAGAGAGCTGTTTTCAGAAATCTGAAGCAGTAGGAGAGGGCTTCCTGACAAAAGCAAAGTGGGTGCTAGAGGCATGCAGCCATTGCCAGCCTCCTCCCAGCGGGCAGTGGCAGGAAAAGAAACACCTCCTACCCTCCAGCCTCTTGCCAGTGTCTAGTATTAGCTATACCCAGCTGGAAGCCAGGAAACCCAGCAGGATTGCCAAGTAATAGTTAATTTAGCTCAACCTCTGGGGTCAGAGGGCCAACTAGAGAATAGATGTGGTGAGAAAAGTAGAAAGTGTCTGGCATTGCTGGTCACCCCCTTTGGAGCACCATCTGTACATGCCCACAGTGAACCCGATGCCCAGGAGTCTGTGGACATTCTTACAGGCTGTGTCACAGCACAAATGCCAGCCCAGTTGGAAGAAGACCATAGGCCTGTCATTCTAAATCTAAGTTTAAGAATATTTTTAAAGAATTGCTACCAAGTGTAGAGTTGGGGGTGGGGGTAGGATTGCTTTAATGAACAGGAAAGGATCATTGATAATCAATTTATCAGTTTCTCAGAGCGGCTGAATGGCTGCTAGCCTTGAACTCCTCTGGGATTTTGAGGGTTGTGGCTAATGGTCTAAGTGCAGATAGCAAGGGGGCTCAGTTATGTAGTGCTTGCTAATACCATACAGTCCTACACTTGAAAGAATCCTTGATCCTAAATTACATTCAACTCAGATATCTGGTTAGCAAAATAGATAGAAAAAAAAAAGGAGATTCCTGAGTTATTCCTAATAGCAGTACCATAATGTGCATAATAAAATGACTTTAGTTGCAATATCTTGAAAGATCATAAGATGGGGGTGTTGCTCCGCTAGAGAAAGAGAAATTCATGTTTATGTGATTATCCATGCAGACTTGATCTGCCCAAGGCAAGAATGCATGTATTTAATAATCATAAATTTGTTCATTTTCACTGTACAGGGTAAGTACAGGCCACCCTGTAACTGCTACTGGTAATGACTTTATGTCATTTTTTGTAAGTTATGTGATATTTTAAATCTCTCTTTCTTTTGCCCAAATGAAATAGCTTTCCATAGCTTGTACTGTATCACTTTTCCAAGAAAAATGGAGGCTTCTTTTATAATCCTTCTGACCACTGCCTCTTATAGCTCTTCCTTTTTTTTTTTTTTTTTTTCTTTTGAGACGGTGTCTCTCTCTGTTGCCCAGGCTGGAATGCAGTGGCACATTCTTGGCTCACTGCAACCTCTGCCTCCTGGATTCAAGCGATTCTCCTGCCTCAGGCTCCCAAGTAGCTGGGATTACAGGCACCCACCACCATGCCTGGCTAATTTTTGTATTTTTTAAGTAGAGATGGGGTTTCACCATGTTGGCCAGGCTGGTCTCGAATTCCCGACCTCAAATGATCCGCCCGCCTCGGCTTCCCAAAGTGCTGGGATTAGAGGCATGAGCCACTGCGCCCGGCCCTGTCTACTTTTAATAGTGGAAAACTATTATTTTTAAAGCCTCAAAGACTACATTTTTTTTTCTACTCTAGAACTTTTCTTCAAGCCTCTTTATTTGGCATTTAATATTTATCTATCTATGAACTTGATTTTATATCAGTTTTAGAAATATTGGGATCTTTATTTTTCTGTTATTGAAATAATTTGAAAACCAAAATGACAGAATTCCTTAGTGCTTTGGAAGACTTCAAATTCAAAGTAAATTTTTTTTTAGACAGGATTTTGGTCTGTCACCCAGGCTGAAGTGCAGTGGAACAATCTCATCTCACTGCAACCTCCACCTCCCGGGTTCAAGTGATTCTCCTGCCTCAGCCTCCCAAGTAGCTGGGATTACAGGCATGTGCCACCATGCCCGGCTAATTTTTGTATTTTTAGTAGAGACAGGGTTTCACCATGTTGGCCAGGCTGGTGTCAAACTCCTGACCTCAAGTGATCTGCCCACCTCAGCCTGCCAAATAAGGTACTCAGTCTTCAGATTGAAAGTAAGAAGATGAGTTGATAATAGGCTCTATTCTCTGTATTGGCACGTCCTACAGATTTGGGTCCCTTTGTTGAAAATCATCATATCAGATCTTCATGGGGTTTTCCCCTCCCCCACTTCCCCAGTTATCTGCTTTGCAAGTATTCCATTGACTGTTGAAAAATATAAGCGAGCTTTTCTTACTACTTTTCTTCCTACTTTTCTTCCTCTGTAATACCTGAGGTTCATTTAGATGGTAGCTGTTTACAGAGTCTTACAACCTCAAAGTTGATAGAGCATTTAGAGAATCTAAACCCTCGTTGGTTCTCAGCACATTCCCCCTTAGCCCCTGACTGGCAACAGGTAAGCTGGGCTTCTCCTTCATGAAGAAGGCAGAAGCTGTCAGATAAGAACAACCTCAGCACACCACCATCAAATCTGACACCTTTCTACACTGGTAATCATCGTTTCCTCCTCCCTCCTAAGTGTACTTCCCCTGTTTGAAGCCCGTTCTACCCTTTACCCCCTGAATCTCATTGTCTTCCATTTTTCTAAGACCTTTTACCTGCTGTTATTCCTCTCTCCAGCATAGCTGACCTCTTACTCGTTATTGGCCGCCTCTTCAGTATTTAAGTGTGCTCTAACTTCTTCCAGCTTAAGGAATAATTATAATTATAACCTCACCCCCACCCCCACCCCCTGTATGGTCCTTTTCACCGGCTGCTTACTAACCTTTCTTCTCCACCACAGAATTCCTTGATAACTTGCTTATACTCTTATGTCTGTTCACTGCCTACCCATGCATCAGCCCTTTCTAATCTTTATTCTGCCCCTACCACTTCACCAGAATTGCTTTTGTGGAGGTCACCAGCGACCTGTGTATTGCTAAAGCCAAAGAACATTTTTCAGTTCTCATCTTAGTCTCTCAGCAACATTTCACACAGTCAACCATTCCTTCCTTCTGGAAACATTTTCTTCTTTTGTATCCATGACAGCATGTTTTGTTTTGTTTTTTGTTTTTTTTCATAGGTCCTCCTGTCTACCTAGCCATCAAATACAGACATTCCTCAGGGCCTGGGCCTGGACTTACTCTCTTCTCCTTCTGTGTTCTCCCCAAGTGATCTCATCTGCTCCCGTGGCTTCAGCATTCCAGCTACTTTTGTATTTCTGTCTCCAGCCAAGGCCTCCCTCCTCTGAGTATCAGACTTGCACACACAGTTGCCTCTTCTACATTTCCTCTTGAATGTCTCAGAGACATTTCAAATTCAGCATGTCCAGAGCAGAATTCATCATCTTTTCAGGCAAACCCGCTTCTGCTCCTTTATTCCCAATATTAAGTGGCTTAAATCAGAAACCTTAGCATCATCCTGTACTCCTCTTTCTTCTTTACTCCCACCTCACCCTACATCCATTTATTTACCAAGACCTGTCATGTCTGCCTCCTGAATAACTTTCAAATCTGCCTCTTGCCTCTACTCCCACTGTCCCATGCCATCAGTTATGGCTGAGATTGCAGTAGCATCCTAGCTGGTCTCCTCTTCTATCCCCAACCCCACAGAGCTATTCTTCACATCACAGCTGGTATAAAGTTTTAACTCAAAAGTGTTCTCCTTACTCTCTTGCTTAAAACCATTTAATGGTTTCTCATTACTCACAAAGGGAAGTTCACACTCTTAGCATTGCCCTAAAAGCTCTTTATGATCTGGTCCCTGACTACCTTTCTAGTATTATTTCACATCATTCTCTGCAGGGTTCACTATGTCCCCACCACTCAGGATTTCTTAAAATCCTTCTAATATACCACCAGGGCATTGCACTCTGCTTTAGGGTTTTGACATAAGCTGATTTCACCACCTGGAATGCACTTTCTGTTCCCTTTAGGTCTTAGCTTAAATGTCACTTCCTCCTCTAGGTTTTTCCTGTTCAGCTTAAGTCCAACTGTTAAGAAGTTACTCTAACACTTGACATTTCAGTAAGCTCAGAACATTTTAAAATAATAGTTCAACGTCTGTATTCCTCACTTTATCAAAAATTCTGAGGGCACAGCAGTCTAGCACAGGGTCTGGCATATACTGGGTACCCAGTATGTCCTCATTAGGGGTAAGTAAGAGAGTGAATGGAGAAGCTAAAACACAGAGAAGTAGACATTGTTGTCCCCATTCTTGACTCCACCTAGTTGGTAGTCCTAGTTTGGCAGTCTTCGAAGTTGTTCCGGCCAGGTACAGTGGCTCACGCCTGTAATCCCAGCACTTTGGGAGGCCAAGGCGGCAGATCACCTGAGTTCAGGAATTCGAGAACAGCCTGGCCAACATGGTGAAACCCTGTCTCTACTAAAAACACAAAAATTAGCTGGGTGTGGTGGTGGACGCCTGTAATCCCAGCTACTCAGGAAGCTGAGGCAGGAGAATCTCTTGAACCCAGGAGGCCAGGTTGCAATGAGCCGATATCTCGCCATTACACTGTAGCTTGGGCGACGAGCAAAACTCCATCTCAAAAAAAAAAAACAAAAAAAGTTTTTGCCTCCCTCCTTTATAAGCCACAGACTTTCCCTCTACTCCATTGTTATGTTTCTACATTGCTCTAATTAGAAACTTGTGGATGAACCTTCTGGTTATGAGATTATATAATGAAAAATGCTATCTTAATCTTTTAACAGTCAAAAAAAGTAGTCACAAGGCAGGATTCAAACATAAAGACCCTGGTAAGTATCTCTAAATATGTGTGGACAAAATAGAGATACATTTACTCTCCCCAGGAGCAAACTTGTTGTTGTTGTTGTTGTTGTTGGGGGCAGGAGGTATGTTTTTAGTTTTTGCTTTTTTTGCTTGAAACATCTCTCAGAAAGGAAGTTTTAATCACTCAAGCCTTTTGACAAATACGTTCAAATGAGTTACTTTTTAAAAGCTCCTCTGAACTTCGTGCCTAGGAAACGAGCTGCCTGCAAATCAGTGAATGGCTCTCATAAGTACAAAGGGAATTCCAAAGATGTGAAACCTCCAGATCTCTGGATCCATCATGAGAGACTGGAGCTGAAACCCATTGATAAGTCTCCAGACCCAAACCCCATCATGACTGATACTCCAATTCCTCGCAACTCTCAAGATATCACACCAGTTGACAACTCCATGGACAGCAATATCCATCAAAGGCGAAATTCATACAGAGGTACCATTTTAAGTGCAGGTTTTTTCTCAAATGTTAGGAAACTATTTTCATTTAAATCTTTTTTTTTTTCCCTGAGTTTGCCTTCATTTGGCAATTCCTATATGAGATCAGATTTAGAGAAATGTGTATGATAAGATTTGGGAACATATGATGAAGAATACCTAGCTTCTTATGGGAGAGAGATTCTGTAGCCATACGAGACAATCTTGCAGATCTTTTAGGTCTCTCATCAGGCTTCAGCAGCGTGATATTCAAGGATTTGAGGCTAGCTAGCCCATGTCTGTGCATTTCATTCTGTGTCTTCAGCTGGCTTCCAGCTTGCATTGTGGTATTCAGAACATTCTTGGTCTGGAGGCTCTTATAGACACCCTGTGAAGTATGGTGGGCAGCATTGTGACATCCACATTGATTCAGCAGGAACTCTTGTAATGCTCTAATGATCATTTTCCTCTTTATTTCACTTCTTACAGAAATGTCTTGTCCCCATTATGCTGTTTGTGAATTCTGAATCCCCTACTAGAAATGTTTCACTGTTGAGGCTGCTCAGTGGCATAGGGCACATGCTGGTAACTAACCTCCACGTTTAACATCTAGGGCATGAGTCAGAGGACAGCATGTCTACACTGGCTGGAAGGCGAGGAATGAGACCAAAAATGATGATGCCCTTTGACTCCCAGCCACCCCAGCGTAAGTAGAAGCATCTCTTTTCCTCAGTGCTACCAATCTGTTCAGTCATGTAGGGGAACAACTATGAATGATCTTTTTGACTTCACTTGATTCTAACACAAAGATAATCTACCAAAGCTTTGACACCTTGAAGGAGGAAGTACCAAACACTTGCCATATTTTGCAACAAACATTATTCTTGAGGCTAGCGTCGTTATGTTTATGGTAAATAAGCTGAAAAGCCAATGTCTCCAGATTCCCAGGAATAGGGGAGTAACTAGTCTCCCTAAAAGTGCATCATATCTCTATGGGAGAGATGGGAAAGCTTCCCTCCTCCAGACTAGAGCTAAGGATGGTCTGATGTTACAAGTTTTCATTACGCTGCCTGACACCAGTGCTGATGAGCACCTGTGAAATTTATTTTTTTAATTAATAGATTTGAAGGCCAAGCAAGATGGCCCACACCTATAATCCTAGAGTTTTGGGAGACCAAAGTGGGAGGATTGCTGGAGGCCAGGAGTTCTAGACCAGCCTGGGCAATGTAGTGGGACCCCATCTCTACCAAAAAAAATAAAATTAAAAATTAGCCAGGTATGGTGGTACATGTCTATAATCCCAGCTACTCAGGTGGCTGAGGCATGAGAATCACTTGAACCTGGGAAGCAGAGGTTGCAGTGAGCCAAAATCGTGCTGTTGCACTCCAGCCTGGGTGACAGAGTGAGACTCTGTCTCAAAAAAAATAAAAAAAATAAAGCCAGGCATCGTGGCACACAACCTGTAGTCCCAGCTACCCAAGAGGCTGAGGCTACCCAGGAGGCTGAGATGGAAGGATTACTTGAACCCAGCGTTTAAGGTTGCATTGAGCTATGATTTTGCACCATTGCACTCCAGCTTGGGCAACAGAGCCAAGAGCCAGTCTCTAAATTAATTAATTAAAATAATAAAATTTAAAAATAAAATTAGTAGACTTTATATTTTAGAATAGCTTTAGGTTTTACTGTGTGGAATTTTTTTTTTTTTTTTTTTTTTTTTTTTGAGACAGAGTCAGAGTCTTGCTGTGTCGCCAAGGCTGGAGTGCAGTGTCACGATCTCAGCTCACTGCAGCCTCCACCTCCCGGGTTCAAGCAATTCTCCTGCCTCGGCCTCCCAAGCAGCTGGGATTACAGGTGCTCGCCACCACACCTGGCTAGTTTTTTGTAGACACGGGGTTTCACCATATTGGCCAGGCTGGTCTCAAACTCCTGACCTCAGATGATCCACCCAACTCGGCCTCCCAAAGTGCTGGGATTACAGGCCTGAGCCACCACCACCCGCCCAGCCGGAATTTTTTAAACAACATTTTTCATTCTTGATTCGTGCCTCACTTTGATAAGCATAAAGGTTTCTGAGCCTCTTTTAATAATAGTTGAAATTCAAAATAAATATCATGATTAAACCAGAAAGCAGTGGGACAAACCGATTCTTTCAAACTACTATGTCCTCTCTCGTCACTGTTTTCAAGGAAGTGAAGCCTTTCAGACTAGCTAGCACAGTGGGGCTTGCAGTTGAGGGAATTCTCAGCCATCTGTCAACAAACGATGCGATTTAATAGCCATGAATATCATACATGCAACGAGGTACACCATGACATCGTGCACTTGGAAAAGTTCCTCAAATCCCCAACCTCTTGGTGGAAGCTTCAAGCACGTGGATGTCTGCACACGCATTCCCTCTCCCACAAACACTGTACACAAACATGTAAGATACTGGATTACAAAAACCATCTTTGAAAGAGTAATACCCTATTTGTTAACAGGTAATTTCAGCTCAAAGTAGCTTATGCTTGTGGTCCTTGATGGAAAGAAAAGCCTGGACTTGGAAATGCAGGGGAAAACCATGGTTTCCCTCTTACAAGAGGTGCCCTGGATGGGGTTCCCAGGTTTAAAGATACAAATGCCCAAGAAGAGTAAATTAATCCATCCCAGTTGCTTCTGATTGATCAAGAAGATGCTAGCACTATACTCTTATTTGTTTGTTTTGTATAAGACTTGAGTTCCTACCTGAACTGGCTTATTTTGAAAACTTGTAAAATTTTACTATCTTTATTTCTAGATGTATTACTTTTAAATATGTTAAGTAAAAAAGATATGTTGTCCAGTTGATATCATTCTTCTTTTTTTGATGTTGGGGAAGGAGTTTGCACCAATATACAATATTATTTAATTTGTGCCTTAACAGTTGGGTGGGTAAGTGGAATCTTTTAAAAACCTGCAACCATAAGATCCACTTGTGGTCTTTAGGTTTTCAGATACTGTTTTTAAAACCCGCATGGCTACAGTTCTGTTTCACAAGCTGGTATTCCCTGAGCTCTGGGCCCTGGAATGCTGCAGGAGCCATATACCCACTCCCCACCTTCCCTGGTCTTAAATGACTGAGCAGTGCCAGGAAGGGTTTGCTGGTGCTGGGACATGGCTCCATCCAGGGCCATGCACTGAAGCAACAAGTTCAGAGTCAGCTAACAGCTGCTGATTTCCTACTATATCCTAGGCAGGCACATTCACACTGCTTTATTTTTTTTTATTTACTTACCTAGAAAGACTGGAAATGCCTTATAAAAGGGAAAAAGTCAATTTTGTTTTTCCCTTGTGAGAGTCCTAAAATGCTTTCAAATTGTACTTTCCTAGGTAAAAATCAGGTTTATTCCCCCTACCCCAGCCTGAATTCTGGAAAACACTGAGTCTGAAGCACCTACTTCTAAAAACTACCTGTCTTCCCCTAGAGTTGCTGACTCCCCAGTTACCTCAAGAGCCCTCCTCAGACAGCTTTCCTCTGTTGTTTTATTCCCGGGCACAACCTGGAGCCTCTGGTCCCCAAGAGCAGCACCTGAGGGAAAGCCCCTTTTTTGTTCCTCAGGCCTTGAGAAGGGAAGGAAGGGTCAGCAGTGCTCAAGGGTCCCAGTCATGCCACCTGCTTGCTTGCATGTGGCCAGGACAAGGGATAGCTGGAAAGTAAAGGCACCCATTTTGTTGACCAGGATTTCTTTTCACCAGAGTAATGTTGAATAGCCCCACAAAGACTTTAGGGAGATCCTTGGGGACAGAAGACATTTCAATAGGCCACTAAGTGTTAATTAAGTAGTATTATTAAGTTCATGAAGCCTTTGTTTGGAGAAAAAAAGATTCCCAGTATTGTTAGTCAGCTTTGGCCTATTTGCCTGTTTGGTGGGGGTAGAGCTGGTTATCTTGATCTTAAACGTGCCATTTCTACAACCACTCCAAGGGAGTTCCTCAGAAAAGTTTATTCTCAGACTCTGGGCTTCTAATTTTATCTGTTTCCATCTCAGATGGATAATGAAGCCTCATAGAAAGTAGTACATGGAATCTCTGTCTTCATAGAAAGTAGTATGTGAAATCTGTGTGGAAATTTCAGATTCTTTAGCTAAACGCAGTTAATTGAATCCTTAGCCAGTGTGGGAAGGAAAGAGCCATTTATTCTCTTACATGCAGATGGGTATGTCTGAGTCCCCAGACTGGAAGCAGTAAAAGATGGTGCCATCAGCCAGTGGTTCATGCTTTTAGTACTAGATGGGACCATCAGAGTTCAATTCCATTTGCATTTATTTTAAGACATGAAAGCCGATTAAACAGCTACTTATTTATTTGGCCTAAATACCCATTAAATGCTTCATTCAGCAGTTTTAACAAAGGCAGAATGAATTAGGAATGTACTCGAAAAAGAAGGGACTTCTTTCTATCCTTTTAGCAGGACAAAATAGAAAATTTATGTGTTGGCTTATGGATTTATATTTTGTGACATATTCAAATAGATACTTGTAATAACTCATGTAATCCATGTTTATTATAGTAGAATTGGAAAATACAGATAAGCCAAAAGAAAAATATTATTTTAATCCTGACCACTCTTCCCTGCAAGATAATAACTGTTAACATTTTAGTGTATATTCCTTTTTTTCTATATATATGTAGACATATGCAAAAGAGTATCTTCATTTTTAAAAAACAACGTAAAAATCAATGGCTAATTGACCAGATCTAGCCAGCTGCCACCAAAAAACCAAGGGAGTGTTTGGATTGTATGGGAGGTGGGAAGGGGGTGACTTTGCTCTTAAACTGTGATTTGTGTGTGTTTGTGCAAGCATGTTAAGCATTTCTCTGTCTTGTGTTCATTCACAGCTGTGATTAGTGCCCATCCCATCCATTCCCTCGATAACCCTCACCATCATTTCCACTCCAGCAGCCTCGCTTCTCCAGCTCGCAGTCATCTCTACCACCCGGGCAGCCCATGGCCCATTGGCACATCCATGTCCCTTTCAGACAGGGCCAATTCCACAGGTGAGAGATGAGGATCAAGCCCAGATGGAAACCATTCCAAAAGAGTCGGCAAGCAGAAATGGGGAAGGACTTGCCCTACTTAGAAGAGGGATTTGGAATTTTTCTGTTTTATTTAACTTAGCATAACATTTCTGTGACTGACTCAAATTTGTTTCTGTAAAATTCACCCCATATTTCTACTTAAGTTTTAAACATTCAGTGCAAGGTTTTCTTTTAGTAAAAACAGTATCTCTAATCACATAAGCATCCCTTGTTCCATAAACTTGCACTTTAACTCAGTCTTTTTTCCAATTTCTTTCTTTTAATCCTCTAGTTTGAAAGGAAAACTCATCCTGGGTGATTTCAGACACTAGTGGTTGCCTTTGCCTGGCAGTCACTGTAACATTGGGTAGGTCCAAAGGTTAACTGTTACATACAGGTTACTTCCACCGTGGACCAAAGTGCAAACAACATCCAAGGAGCAGTGGGGCCACCAGCCACGAGGAGTTGTGTGTATTGTAAACCACAGGGTGCCTGATGTAAACCTCAGGATTATTAAAATTAGGAAGCGATGCACAGGAATAGATCCTCTCTGAAGAAACAGAAAATTACCTCTGAAGTGTATTTAAAGAAATACGTTGCTAGACAAACATGTCCCCAGTTTGGAAATCTTAGGAAACCGCATTATCAAACAGTTTTAAGGAGGAAAGAAATAGTGAAGGTGTGAGGACAGTAAGCGGCATAAATATTCTTCATTAATTGAAAATTAATTTTCATCCTCAGTTTTAAACGGCAAGCCTAGTAACTTCCCATATATTCAACATATTATTTTTCCACCATTTGAAACTTGCCTATTAATAGTTATTATGTTACTGATAGAACTGAGTTTTGCTGGTCTGGGGAATAAGGGAATTTCAAGTGAGTTCCATTTTAAAAGAACCTCAAAACTTTATGCTGGAAATTTGGGTTTCCAGTAATATCCCCATTCTTTTAAGTTTTTTGTTTTTCTTTGGTTTCTTTGTTTGTTTTTGAGACAGAGCCTCAGTCTGTTGCCCAGGCTGGAGTGCAGTGGTGCGATCTCGGCTCACTGTAACCTCCACCTCCTGGGTTCAAGCGATTCTCCTGCCTCAGCCTCCCAAGTAGCTGGGATTACAGGCACACACCACCACACCCAGCTGATTTTTGTATTCTTAGTAGAGACAGGGTTTCCCCATGTTGGCCAGGCTGGTCTCAAACTCCTGACCTCAAGTGATCCGCCTGCATTGGCCTCCCAAAGTGCTGAAATTACAGGCGTGAGCTACCGCGCCCGGTCCCCATTCTTTCAAGTTTTCATCAATCATAAACATACCCAAAACATCAAATGAAGCTTTATTAAGGGGTGCCTAATAATTTCCAACATTAGCTACTCCCAAAGCTATTACCTGATTTGGAGAATGCTGCTTGAACTCACATCTAAATTTGGCCTTCCAGGCTGAGCAGTGTGGCTCATGCCTGTAATTCTAGCACTTTGGGTGGCTGAGGCAGGAGGATCGCTTGAGCCCATGAGTTTGTGACCAGCCTGGGCAACAAGGCAAGATCCCGTCTCTACTAAATATTAAATATATATATATATATATGTAAAAATTTGGCCTTTCTACTATCTCCCTCCAAATCCCAATTTGGAGTTCTGCATTTAGGAAAGACGGTTTCCAAGATGGACAGTTACTCCAGCCAGCTGCATGGAGAGCCAAAGTCTGCCTTACAGACATAGTCTCAAATAGAACAGAGGACCAGAAAGCAGCCTCCACACCTGCTCTTAGAAAGGAGGTTTTGTGCCCAACCCTGTTTCTCCATCTTTAAGGCCAAGGAATCTCACATGCTAGGATGTGGTCCTGCCTGAGTGGATGGCAGGCACCTTCCAATCAAATCAGCCCCTTCCTCCTTCCTCCTGGGTTTGGGGATTGGAGAGAAGCATGGCAGCTCCTACCCAGCCCTCTCCCTTGTGATCTAGTATTGGTAAGCATTCCCTGCTCTACGGACCTAGGCAGAAAGTGAAGAGAGGGGGAAAGAATAATTTGCATTACTGAGAGAGGCCATGCTTTGATGACTAGTTGGATAATAGAAGGTAAAACTAAAGTGATAGACTTACTGAAGACTGATTTGAAATATAGAGCAAGTATCCAGAAATGATCAAAGTTCTTTTTCACGATTGTACTTTGCTAAGCTCCTGTGTCTCTGGAGCTCAGAGTGTTGCCACAGCTTGGTATATATGGGCTAAGCAGGGCCAGTCTCTGCTCTAAGGAGCATTCACTATGTCACCACCACTTGACATTGGAAAAGCACTTTCCTCTTGTCCAATCACTTGGCCAGTGTGAACTCTGTGTGTCTTAACTCTTTAAGAGGCAAGTCAGTCAGGAAGTAGCCCCCTTGCCAAAGCAGGAATTTTACTTACAGCATGGATTCTAAGCAGGCCAGTGATTTTGCACACTGTCAGGGAGCACCCTTCATGATAAAAGCAACGTGCCTGGGGCCCCCGGAGTTGTGCAAGGCAGCCCTGGTCTGTGGTAGCAGGCCTGGGTGCTGACTCATGTAGGCAACCCCATTTTCCTTTTTCACCTTTTGCGCCATCTCTTTGGCCCTCAGAAGCTTATATATCCAGTTACAGACCGTTGAGGCAGTCAGGAGAGGCCGGTTTGCCCAGAGCTGACCTAACATATCTGTCAGTACAGGCTGACATGGCCTGGACATGAGTCTACTGTTCTCTCTCCTCCTCCCTGCTACCCTTCCTAGCCAGCTCCTACCCTGCCCAGCTTCTCCCTGGCCCAGGATCACAGAGGGGGACCACCAGCTCCCCCGCCGTGGGGATGGCTAGCTTGAGCAAGCCTAAGAAGATCCTCAGCACACCCCTTTAAGGGGTGAGGAGTGACCTAAGCCTGGTAGGGCCAACATAGTTAGGCACACTTGGGAGGGTGTACGAGTCCCTCATCCATGGACCCAAGATCAGAGGTGCCACTCGTGACTGGTGTGGCCTGACTTCTCAGAGCCCAAGGGCACAGATTCACTGCTACTTCAGCAACAAAGGCAGGGAAATGTGTTGGATTTCTGCAGATTGCTCATGCTTTACAGTATCCCCATCTGCGGGGATACATTCCAAGACCCTCCCCCTCCCCCCGCAGTGGAGGCCTGAAGTCGCATATAGTACTGAACCCTTTATATCTGTTTTCTCCATCTGATAACCGAGACAGCTACTAAGTGACTCAAGGGCAGGTAGTGTACGCAGTCTGGATAGGCTGGACTAAGGGATGAGGCACATCCCCAGTGGAATGGCGTAAGATTTCATCATGCTACTCAGAACGGTGCAAAATGTAAAACTTATGAATTATTTATTTCTGGAATTTTTCATTTAAATTTTTGGACAGCAGTTGGCCACAGATAATTGAAATCATTGAAAGCAAAAGCATGGATAAGGGGGACTACTGTACTTGTTAAGGTTGAGGACTCCAGAAGTCAGAAGAGGCCTTCAGGCCACCTGGTACAGTCCATTGCCCTGAGCTGTGTCCCCATCCCTCTCCTCACAGGTGGGGAAGCTGGTCACCAGCTCATGCTGTTGGAAGGGTCTTCCTTATGTGGTCTCCCCGGGCCTTGGTGCTGCTTCTGCCCCACAGGGTGGGGGCAAGTGGTAGTCTGGGTGTGGAAAGGTGTGTGGTGGTCCAGAGCATGTGTGTGGAAGTCGGAAGGCAGGGATTCAGATTCCACCCTGCTAGTTCTTAACTGTGCAAATGGGCAATTTGCTTAACCTCCCAGTGCCTTCTGAGTTACTTTGAGGATCTAGTGAACTAATGAATGTAAAGCAGCTGGCATAGTGCTTGGCTTAAAGTAAGCACCCAGTAATTTACAAAGAAAAGAATCTTAATAGATAGATATTCAAGCACCGTGTTCAGCACTTTTCATACATCTCATTCAATCCTCAAAGAATTATGTGTTATTCTCCCTCTTTTGTAGATGAAGAAACTGAGACTCAGAGATATTCAGTGACTTTGTCAAATTCACCCAGCTAGTACACAAAGATTGGAGTCCAGGTCTGTCTGACTCCAGAGTCCGTGCTTTTCTACCCTGCTGTGCTGCCTTCCAGAACAACTCTGCCCCTTCTTATATTTTGAGATTGTTATCATGTTCTTCCTGAGCCTTCCCTTCTCCAGGCTAATCTACCCCCATTTCCTTCTCTGAATCAAAAATGCCCTTCATTTGGTGTGATCTGAAAGCTGTGTGCAGACCTCTGGGCTGCTCTGTTTGTTGTCCAATTCTCACTTGAGCTATGGGTTTTTTGCTGTGATGAGGCCATGCACAGTCCCTGGAGGCACGAAGGCCTGTGGCATTGGCCTCTCCTGCAGTGACCGCCAGGCCTTGTCAGCAGAGCTGGCTACTGTCAGGTACCCGGCCAGCCTTGGTGGTTAGCCATGGTTGTCTATGAAAGGCCACTGTCTAAGATTCCAGTGAGTGAAGTTTTTAATTTTCTTTTATACTTATTTATATCTTAATATCTTAGTCATCTCAGGAACCTTTACAAGTGCTTCATAATAAATAATGAGGAGAACTTTAAATCTACAAAATTGTGACCACTTAGCTGTGAGGTGAAAAACTGGAATAGCTGGTTGAGTACAAAATTGTTCGAGACTCCATTCTTATCCCTGGCAGTGGTGCTAATCCATGTTCTCTTGGACTAGCACTGATCGCAAGTGCTATTGAGCTGGTTTAGGGAACCCCTAGAAGTAGCCAAACTGTGGGACTGTCACATATTTAATGGCAAAAGAAATGCTAACATTTAGACTTTCCTGCTGTAGAATCCGTTCGAAATACCCCCAGCACTGACACCATGCCAGCCTCTTCGTCTCAAACATGCTGCACTGATCACCAGGACCCTGAAGGTGCTACCAGCTCCTCTTACTTGGCCAGCTCCCAAGAGGAAGATTCAGGCCAGAGTCTTCCCACTGCCCATGTTCGCCCTTCCCACCCATTGAAGAGCTTCGCCGTGCCAGCAATCCCGCCTCCAGGACCTCCCACCTATGATCCTGCATTGCCAAGCACACCATTACTGTCCCAGCAAGGTGAGTGAGGATGGCAGCACACCTGGAGGGAGCACACCTGGAGTGACCCTTTGGCTCAAGCTTGGGACAAAGCCACCCCTTCTTTGAAGTATAGCAAAGCAAATATCCTCCAAGCCTATCTTAGCAATTCTGTTAGCGTAGCAGTGTGCCATTGCCCCGCCCAGGAAGTTTATGGCCTCCCCTTTTCTGGGAACACTTACAAACCGGAGAATAATTTGCTGGGAACCAAGGGCTGACCTTTTGAATTGTGTTTTATGTGCAGCACCTTTGGTGGTAAGTCCAATGGCATGGGAATGGATAGCAGATCTAGTCTGCCCAGACCCCTGGAATCACCTCACTTCGTAAGGTCCCTGCAAACTAGAGAAGGGATCAGGGAGGCCAAGGCTTGGACTCATAGGGTGGTGAAAGCAGAAGTAACCTCAGAATAGGGAAAGGAATCCTGTGAAGGGAAAGTCATTTACCCAAATCCACACAGCTCAGTAACAGTCCCCTGACCTCAAAGGCATGCTTGCTTTCTGCTCTTCCAAATTGTTACCTATTCATTTGCTTTAGAATAAGCCAGTGGTTTTCAAAATTTCTGGTCTCAGTATCCCTTTATAGCTTAAAAGCTATTGAGCACCTAAAAGAGCTTTTCTTCATATGGGTTATATCTATCAATATTTACCATATTAAAATTAAAACTAAGAAATTTTTAAAGTATTTTATTCATTTAAAAAAGCAAGTATCTATCATGTTAAGATAAGTAGCATATTTTTATGAAAAACAACTATTTTCCTTTTTTTTTTTTTATTTGGGATGGAGTCTCGCTCTGTCACCCAGGCTGGAGTACAGTGGGGCAATCTCGGCTCACTGCAAGCTCCGACTCCCGGGTTCACGCCATTCTCCTGCCTTAGCCTCCCAAGCAGCTGGGACTACAGGTGCCCACCACCATGCGCAGCTAATTTTTTGTGTATTTAGTAGAGACGGGGTTTCACCACATTAGCCAGGATGGTCTTGATCTCCTGACCTCGTGATCCGCCCACCTCGGCCTCCCAAAGTGCTGGGAATATAGGCGTGAGCCACTGCGCCCAGCCGAAAAGCAACTATTTTCAAAACAAAAATATAGTGAGAAGAGTCGTTTTATTTTTTGCAGATCTCTTTAATGTCTGGCTTAATAGAAGACAGCTGGATTTTCCTATCTGCTTCTGCATTCAATCTGTTGCAATATGGTGTTTTGGTTGAAATATAAGAAGAAAATCTGGCCTAACAGATATGTAATTGGAAAAGGGAAGAGTATTTTTATAACCTTTTCAGATAATTGTGGATATTCTTTTTTGATACTACAGCAAAACTCAGCAAGTTGTAGTTTTTTAAAGGTTTGTTTGTAAAGTGAAATCTGAAACCTTATCTATGAAATATTCATACTTCATTCCATTGAAATTCATTCATCTGTCTTGCATTTAATGCATGATACTAAAATATCACACATCGGTCATTTAGAAAATATTGGTCCACTACATTATGCAAATTCTGCAAATAGTGATACATTTCATTATCCAGTATCTAAAAACATATTCATTAATATCATCAAAATGTGTAAGTATTAAGTTCTCAAGACCATGGTGGCGGATGCAAGTTTTCCAAAATCCTGATTTTTACTTAAAACTTAAATTTTATCATTGGCAAGAAACACTATCCATTGTGTTCCTTGAATTGACAGGCTCACTTTGTTCATTTTCTAAAAGATGTCTCAAGAACCAGTTTGTCTGTCTTTGAACTAACAGTGATATTCCATGATAAAAACATTCAACTCAAAACTCAAAACTATCACAAGTACCTTTATTTAAGACAGCTGTTGGCCGGGCGCGGTGGCTCACGCTTGTAATCCCAGCACTTCGGGAGGCCGAGGCGGGTAGATCACCTGAGGTCAGGAGTTCAAGACCAGCCTGGCCACCATGGTGAAACCCCGCCTCTACTAAAAATACAAAAAGTTAGCCGGGTGTGGTAGCAGACACCTGTAATCCCAGCTACTCGGGAGGCTGAGGCTGGAGAATCACTTGAACCCGGGAGGTGGAGGTTGCAGTGAGCAGAGGTTGCTCCACTGCACTCCAGCCTGGGCAACAAGGAGAGACTCCGTCTCAAAAAAAAAGACAGCTGTCATACTTTGCACACAGCTGAAGTACTTTATGCATACTTTCCATTTTGTCACATACAGTAAGGTCAAGATTTAGTAAAATAAAAAATATGTATTCCTTTATTAAGGATGGTTCTTAGTGAAACTGGCTTTTTTAAACTGCACGTGCGTGTCAGTGAATGGCTTTACAGTTTGGCACCACTGCCTTAATTTGTGCTAAGGCTCCAGCAGCTCACCCACTATTGCCTTTGTATCCTCAGTGCAAAGGCAAACACAGTGGAAAGGCAAATAATGTCTTACTATAAAGAGAGCTTTGGCCTTCCAGATATCCTGCAAGGGTTTGTGGACTACCACACTTTGAGAACCACTGGACTAGGATATTGGTTTTCTAGAGACAGTGGAATATTTTCTCTGGCCTCATGAATGCCCTGCTATCTCCCTCCTTCCCTCTTATTCCAGTAACTTTTCAGAGCAGTATCCCTGCACTGGGTCTGTATGTCTCTCTCACCCCGAAGCAGCACTTGGACCTTAGGGCCTTCATGAGGTCTAGGGGAGGCAGGCTTGGCCACATATCTGATGGTGCCCTTTCCCCTCAGCTCTGAACCATCACATTCACTCAGTGAAGACAGCCTCCATCGGGACTCTAGGAAGGAGCCGGCCTCCTATGCCAGTGGTTGTTCCCAGTGCCCCTGAAGTGCAGGAGACCACAAGGATGTTGGAAGACTCCGAGAGTGTAAGTTCGTGGGGCCATCAGTCCAGCCAGATTGCCTGGGAACATGCCCCAGGGCCTGAGACTGCTGGTCAAGCTGATAATCTGTGCATACCAGGCCCGCCACCCAGAACTATGAAGCAGATACACTCATTCATTCAGTAGATACAGTGTTGAGCATCTCTTCTGAGCCGGGAACTGTGCTGAGGACTTGGTGTGCTTTCTTTCCCATATCCACTCTTTTTTTTTTTTGAGACAGAATCTTGCTCTGTCTCCCAGGCTGGAATACAGTGGCATGATCTCGGCTCACTACAACGTCTGCGTCCTGGGTTCAAGGGATTCTCCTGCCTCAGCCTCCTGAGTAGCTGGAACTACAGGCACCCATCACCATGCCTGGCTATTGTTTTGTATTTTTAATAGAGATGGGGTTTCACTATGTTGGCCAGGCTGGTCTTGAACTCCCTACCTCAGGTGATCCACCTGCCTCAGCCTCCCAAAGTGCTGGGATAACAGGCGTGAGCCACCACGCTCGGCCCCCATATCCACTCTTGAACATCTTAAATTAGCTTTTCACACTAGCCCAGCTAATGGCCCCTTCCCCCACATCCTGCCTGCCTTTTAGTTCTGTCCCTTCTGTCATTGTTCTTTTCTTGGTTTGAACCATCCATACATTCCCTCAGTTCTACTCTGTGACCTTTCCTGAGCAAGATGCTGGAGGAGAAAGTGCCTGAGTGGTTGTTCTCGAAACAAAAATCACCAGGGTCTTTCTTTGATCTTTCACTCTCAAACTCCAGTAAAAATGTTTTGCCTCTGAATTTCCAGGTACAGGATTCTCTAAGCGGAAAGCTTGGGGCCCAGAGATCCAGGGACATACCAACTGTGCTGACTGGGGCAGAGACCTAGAAGGGGCAAGCAGTGGGCCTTCTGGCCTGTGAAGTCATTGTGACCCTGGGGAGTATGTGTTGGGAGAAAGGCATTGTGCATTATCAGGAAACGGGATCCTAGTGACCTTGGGTCTATCCTGCTACTTTCCACTCTTCTGAGCCACCCTGCGTGTTAGTAGCCAGTTTTCTGGGGCCATTTGACTACTGACCACATGAGGCTTTGGCCTCTCTCTGGGCTCTCCTTTCTGAGCTGCTCCCTGGATCCAGCCCAGTAACAGTGTTTTCTTTTCCATAGAGCTATGAACCAGATGAGCTGACCAAAGAGATGGCCCACCTGGAAGGACTAATGAAGGACCTAAACGCTATCACAACAGCATGACGACCTTCACCAGGACCTGACTTCAAACCTGAGTCTGGAAGTCTTGGAACTTACCCTTGAAAACAAGGAATTGTACAGAGTACGAGAGGACAGCACTTGAGAACACAGAATGAGCCAGCAGACTGGCCAGCGCCTCTGTGTAGGGCTGGCTCCAGGCATGGCCACCTGCCTTCCCCTGGTCAGCCTGGAAGAAGCCTGTGTCGAGGCAGCTTCCCTTTGCCTGCTGATATTCTGCAGGACTGGGCACCATGGGCCAAAATTTTGTGTCCAGGGAAGAGGCGAGAAGTGCAACCTGCATTTCACTTTGTGGTCAGGCCGTGTCTTTGTGCTGTGACTGCATCACCTTTATGGAGTGTAGACATTGGCATTTATGTACAATTTTATTTGTGTCTTATTTTATTTTACCTTCAAAAACAAAAACGCCATCCAAAACCAAGGAAGTCCTTGGTGTTCTCCACAAGTGGTTGACATTTGACTGCTTGTTCCAATTATGTATGGAAAGTCTTTGACAGTGTGGGTCGTTCCTGGGGTTGGCTTGTTTTTTGGTTTCATTTTTATTTTTTAATTCTGAGTCATTGCATCCTCTACCAGCTGTTAATCCATCACTCTGAGGGGGAGGAAATGTTGCATTGCTGTTTGTAAGCTTTTTTTATTATTTTTTTATTATAATTATTAAAGGCCTGACTCTTTCCTCTCATCACTGTGAGATTACAGATCTATTTGAATTGAATGAAATGTAACATTGAAAAGACTTGTTTGTTGCTTTCTGTGCAGTTTCAGTATTGGGGCGGGTGGGGGGCTGGGGGTTGGTAATAGGAAATGGAGGGGCTGCTGAGGTCCTGTGAATGTTTCTGTCATTGTACTTTCTTCCAGAAGCCTGCAGAGAATGGAAGCATCTTCTTTATTGTCCTTTCCTGGCATGTCCATCCTTATTGTCACTACGTTGCAACTGGAGTTTGATTTGGATCTGGTTTTAAAATTCTTCTGTGCAATAGATGGGTTTGAGGATTTAGCGGCCCTGATGTCTTGGTCATAGCCTGGTAAGAATGTCCATGCTGAGGAGCCAGATGTTGTATTTCTAACTGCCTGAGTCACACAGAATAGGGTAAGAGCCTGACCCCATTCTGTAAATCAGAAAGCAAGGATGGAGACCCTTTCCTGCTGCTATTATTGGCTCTCTTTGAGGAAGTTGGAGGTTAAGGAAGGAACTTGTTTGTTTCCGTATACGACTCCTTCTTCTCTCTAGTTCAGTCTTCAGCCAGTCCAGCGCTCTCTTCCACACTTCAGAGCCCCTTCAGAGAAAGCATTAGCAGGAATGAGACAAGGCAGAGCTGCAGTGCCCCCTGAGGCTTCCACACATCTTTCTGAATATTATTTTTCAAGTAACAAGGGCAGGGACAGCGGAAACAGCTGCCCACCCCCCCCATCCCAGCAGCTCAGCTAAGCCCTGATGAGAATGAAGCCACAGGAGTTGTCTGAGGTGAACCCAGCCGCTCAGCCACACATGGAAGCCATTGCCTTTGCACATAGTTCTTGGGTTCTTTTTCCTAAAAAGGTAAGGAGCTGAGGTGTGTGGTTTTTTAATATTAAGAATATATAATGGAAAACACACGACTGACGCTCAGGCATCTTCCCCTACTCCCCAACAGATCCCCAGAAGACAGCGTGGAAGGCAGTGTAGACAGTAAATCGGGCTTCAGTTCTATAGCCAAGAAGAGATCAGCTGCTGAAACCACCAGTGGGTACCCCAGGCCACCTGCCTTTGAACTTGGGGATTTGCCATGTTTGATCTTGTCACATACTTGCTTTTTTACAAGATGAACTCTTTGTATTTATGATTTGGGGGGCAATGAAAGGTGCAATGCAGGAACTGCTGCTGCCGAGCTCGCTGGTCACATGGGGGTGCCAGGCGGGATTCTGGAAAACCAGTGCACTTAAACTGATCCTGAAGAGAGCTGTCCCAGCACTCTGGCCACCAGGAGGGCCAGATTCCCCAGAAACTACCTTTTGCCCAAAGAACATGCTCAGTATTTGGGGCATTTCCTCCCACAAACCCTGACTGCTTCTGTTACCTCAGGGCCTTGGTACCTGGATACTGCCACAGAATTGGGGCGGGTGGGGGAGGGGCCTATTTTTAAATAAAATAACTGTTCAAAGTTGGGGGTTTTTTAAAAAATTAAGAAAAAGGAAAGCTATTCTGTATTGCACCTTTTCACAATTTAATACATTTTCTTACATTTTCCTGTGATTTTCGAAACTAAACCATTGTGTGTCCTGTAGTGTCCTGGTTGAGCTGCCGCTCAGCAGCTTCCTCGGGGGGATTTGGAACACCTGTGTCTGTCGCCGCACTGCCTGTGGGAGGGGCCCAGAGGGCTGCTGGGACTGGCGTCTGTACACACTTGTTTGGCCTTTTCTGTAGTTGATGCTGTAAACTCTATGGCTTTTTAAAAACGATTTCATGTTTTTATTTAGTATTGGAAATCCAATACACTTTTTTAATCCAATCAAACTCTGGTCTGGTCAAAGAGTTATTTTCCTTTGTCCTTAAAAAAAAAAAATAACAACAACTTTGGGGCCCCCTGCTTCCCAGCCTCTAACTGACTTCACGGTTGCCTTCACAACTGTAAAGCCAGTAGTCTATGAGGAGACTCAGGGAAGGGTGGCAGGTGAGCCAGGAGGCTGCAGGAGGTGTTTGGACCGTCCACCAGTACCAAAAATGAGTCTTGTCCCTGTTCCCATCCCCCTGTTGCTGCCCTGCAGGGACTGAGCAGCCTGAGGAATCAGAGGGGGCCCCTGGCAGCCGTCCCTGAATGGAGTGCAGGCCATGTCCCTGCCGCGGCAGCGCATTCTGTTAGGGCAGACTGACTGTCCACGTGGGGCCTGGCCTCCCCACTCCCAGCCCCACCACTCATAGGGACCTGAAGCTGGAGCAGATGTCTCCTGGGATGCCCGCTTGCCCCAGGCTGCCTCACCTTACTGTGTTCACTGTGTAAGATTCCTCGTGGTGTCCCAGAGTCTGGGCCAGGGAATAGGGGACCTCAGCAGCCAGAGGCCTGAGCTTGCAATAATAGAATGAGGGCTAAACACAGAGCACAGTGTCCTCACTGCTCCCTTTGCCCCACTGTTCATCTGCTCTGTGGCTAGAGTGTACTTTAGGAAGCCCAAATCCCGTCCTTCCCATTAGCCACACTCCACTGGGCTCAGGATGAAGTCCATGCTCCCATAGCTGCAGGTTGGTGCTTGTCTGCCACAGCCTCCAGGTCCAGACTAATGTTGCCTTGTGTACCAGGGGTGTGGCCACAGAAAGCTACCAGTGAGGCCATTCTCAGTCTGCCTGGAGTGTCCTCTTTACTGCCATTCTGTCTTAAGTGCCGGGCGTCTGCTGCTACTATCCCTCCTGTGCGTCCCTAGGTGGAGCTCTTGGCACATATTACCATGATTTGTTTGAGTCTTTTCCTGGGCCCTGTGGGCTCAGTGGGGACAAGATTATTTCTCACTCCTTTCTGAATGTCTAATGCCAGGGGCAGTTTCTGACAATAGCAGATGCTTGTCTCTTGGATGGATAGACAAACAGTCACGAGGACTCATGCCCTGGAGCGTGCTGAAAGGCTTCACACACGCGCACAAGAAGCCCCCTCCTGGCAGGGATCCTAGTAGGTCCCCAGTGTTCTGGTGCTAGAACACTCCCATTTCAGCAGCCATGGCCGTTTGGCCTCCTGGGGTAAACGTGAAAGATGAAAGATGACAGTCATGAGAAACGATGCTGGACTGGGCCCAGTGGCTCACGCCTGTAATCCCAGCACTTTGGGAGGCAGAGGCAGGCGGATCACCTGAGATCAGGAGTTCTTGACCAGCCTGGCCAACATAGTGAAACTCTGTCTCTACTAAAAATACAAAAATTAGCCAGGCATGGTGGCGGGCGCCTATAATCCCAGCTACTTGGGAGGCTGAGGCAGGAGAATCGTTTGAACCTGGGAGACGGACGTTGCAGTGAGCAGAGACCATGCCATTGCACTCCAGCCTGGGCAAGAGTGAAACTCCATCTCAAAAAAAAAAAAAAAAAAGAAAAAGAAACAATGGTGCTGCCTCATGACCAACTTCAAGCTGGGAACTAACACAAGAATATCTTGCAGATTTGTTCTAAGATGAGCATATGGACAAGGGTGTATACGAAGAAGAAACACCTCTTCCCCTACCCCATTCCTGCCCCATCCATCAACCTCTCCCAATTGCAGCCACCTTCCTGCCAGAAGTGGGGAGAACCATCAGGAGAGACTGGAGACAAGCAATAAGCAAGCCATCAAATTGATGATGACAGGGCCATGGGCAGGGATTGGAGAACCAGGGAGCCAAGAGGAACCACTGCTAACCACAGACAGAACCCCAGACAGCAGGTACCCGATTCTTAACCTAGGGTTCCCAGCTACCAAAGGAGGGAGTTCACCAGGGGTGCAGGAGGAAGAGGTAGGAGACAGTAGTTGAGAGAAAATAATACTTGTTTTTAATAATCTTGTAAATGTACATAATGTTGGAAAAGTGCTACTTAAAACTACCACTACCCTCTAAGCATGGTGGATGATATTCATCTCAAGACACCCTTTTCCTCAATTAGGAACTTGGTTTGTAAAATGAAAGGGACCTAAAGCTGAGCTCCAAAAGGTTGGTGGGAGTACCTGCTGCACTATAGCACAAGAATAATTCGGGATTTCCTGAAATAATTAGGGGTGGAGGGGACACGCAACCGGTATAATCAACAAGATGGTGCAAGAATGAGGGGCTCTGTGGGAAAGCACCCCAGTGGGAACTGGCTGGCCTCAAGGTGTTCAAAGACCTTTCTTAAATGGGAAGATCTTTTTGTTTGTTTGTTTGTTTTGTTGTTTTTGAGTCAGAGTCTCACTCTGTCACCCAGGCTGGAGTGCAATGGCGTGATCTCGGCTCACTGCAACCTCCGATTCCCAGGTTCAAGCGATTCTCCAGCCTCAGCCTCCAGAGTAGCTGGGACTACAGGCACCCGCCACCATGCCCAGCTAATTTTTGTATTTTTTAGTAGAGACAGGGTTTCACCATATTGAACAGGCTGGTCTCGAACTCCTGACCTCGTGATCCACCTGCCTCGGCCTCCCAAAATTCTGGGATTACAAGCGTGGACCACCGCGCCCGGCCAAATGAGAAGATCTTGCCCTATTTGCACTTCTATGGAGTGAACCCCCTCCAGCTCCCCAAATCTCATGTAACATCTGCTGTGTGCACATGGCCTTGAATGTGTTACTGGACACTCCCCCAGTGAAGAAAACAGCATCTGGGCCAACATGGCGGTGGGCAGGCCATGAGTCTGGCATGGCACGGGTGACCCATGAATGGAATTGGTTCGCTAGAAGCAGGAGCTGAGGGCCAGAAGTGACCATAAGAATCTAAACCTGAGAACTCTCAGAAGTCCAGGGGGCAAAGGGGGACACAGGTCAAGAAATGTGGGTTCCAATCAGCCTAATCCAGATTTTAAGAGGCAGACTGACCTCAGCTTGTGTCTGAGTTGCCATCAGTTTACAATTTCTCCCTCCTCGGGGTCCTGGAGCAAAGCCTCATCACCCTGTTACTAGGTGTCAGCCCCTTGCTAATGGGGTCTGCCTTCTGTGGACCCGGTTGCCCAAAGGAGAAATCTGGGAGCCATTCTAAATTCTTCCCTCAACACCACAGCACATTGCTCAGCAAATCCTGCCAGCTCTTACCTCTCAGAGGTCCCCCAGAGTAGCTCTTTGCTGTCTGGTAGGCAAACTACTAATTAAGCCCCCTGCCTGAGTCTCACCAGCAATCAGGGAGCGATCCTCCACACAAGTGTTCAGGTGCTGCTTCTAACGCAAATCTGATGCTTCCCCGCTGCTCAGCACTGTGCGATGAGAGCTCCAGCACCTGCCCTACGGTAGAGACTCCAGTGTGGCCCTGTCTGCCTCGTCCCTTTTATTTCCCACTAACCTGCCCCTTCACCCGAATTTGGCCCTAACCATTGACAGCAATTTACACTTGCAGAATAAGCCGTGATGTCTGGCCTCTACTGTTTCCTCTGCCTCAATTTCTCTCTATCCCCTACCCTGACCACTGGCTTTCTCTGTCTGGTCATATCTATTCATCTTTGAAGGCCCAGCCTAACCATCCAGTCCCCTGATCATTCTTGTTCACGTTTCTGTCTCCGCCAATACACTGTGACCTCGCTAAGGAAAGCAGCTGTGCTTGGATTCTCCACCCGAGCACCCAGCACACCATAGGTCTTCACTAAATGAACTTGCCTCGTGAGGCAGATGGACTTGAAATCAGGTAACTAATACATCATGGCCCGGTACTGAGGGAATTTAACAAAGCCCTAATTCCTCCTAGGAGCATATACTTAAGGTTTTGCAGAGGAACTAAGGCTGAGCTGAGCCTAGGGTGTAATGTGAGGCTTATCTTTCTGGAGGAAGGAGGAGGCCACTGCAGAGCTGTGGAGCTGCCTGCTTCACGTGGCCATCAGTACAGATCCCAGCCATCCCATGTCACTCCTGTGCTCAGCCTCCTGTCACTGCATTCAGTGCAGAGGCCCCAGCAGGCCAGTGCAAAGGCTATGGAGGGTGCACAGGTCTGGCTAGCTGGCTTTCGGGGAGAGAGGGAGCTGGTCCCCCAGATTCCTGGAACACTGCAAGGGCAATACTGGGCCCAGTCAAGCTAAGTTTGGCTGGCCAGATACCACAGCTTGGGGTCAGTTCTAGTGAGACAAGAATAAAGTGGTTCCTTTTGTAAACTCAAAACCCAGGTCTTGCCGAGAATTCTGGGCAGCTCATGGCTTTCTGGAGAGGAAAGAGCCAGGATTTACTTTTGAAGGCAAAATTATGGATCAGGCTCCTGCAGACAAAGTTGCCCATGATACGTAAGGAGAATCAGCCAATGAACATTCTAGACTAACACACAGAAGGGAAATTGACTGTAACCAAAGCCAGAGAGATCTCAGTGTGGGCAGGTGGGATGAGAGAAGGAATATTTGCGGCCAGTCAGAAAAGGGTCTTCCTCACCCAAAAAGCTGGAAATCTTCAATTGTTTCCAAAGATACTTCTGAAGGCCCACTATATGCCAGGCACTGAGGATGCAAAATGAGTACGAGAGTACTCATGAGATGGTAATTTCATGAAAAGAACATGAAAAGTGCTAAGAGACCCAAACAAAGTGATCTGGTAAAGTAAAGAAGGAATTTCCAACCCTAACTGGAGAGTTGCGTGTCACGAAGTAGGTGACACTGAGAATGATGGACGAATTCACCAAAGAAAGGAGTTTCTTCCAGCATTGCTTGAACTAATCTAAAAAGCAGGAAAAATTCCAACACTGGATAAATTACAACAGAAAATGCTTTTCAGTGATTTGCTCCAAAGACAGTAAGGGATGTCCGTAACAGGAACAGAAAATCTGACCCAAGTGGTAGATGAAAAAAGAGGTTGGGGTTTCCTCAGGGAAAAGCCTAATACTAAGAACCAGAGGGAAGCCTGACTGACGCTTATCAAAAAATAAGTAAATGAGTGATCATCATCTTCCCTGAGAATTTGTTGAGAATTTTGTGTCTATATTCATAAGAGATATTGGTCTGTAGTTTTTTTTGAAGGGGGGAGTGTTGTACTTTTTGAGTGGAGGGGTCTGGCTTTGGTATCAGTATAATACTAGCCTCATAGAATAAGGGAAGTGTTCCCTCCTTGTCTATTTTTTGGAAGAGTTTGAAGGATTGCTATTAATTGTTCTCTAAAGCTTTGGTCGAATTCACCAATAAAGCCATTGGGGCTTGGGCCTTTCTTTGTGGGAAGCATTCTTTATTACTAATGTAATCTGTCGACTTGTTATAGATCTATTCGGATTCTGTATTTATTCTTGAGTCAGTTTTGGTAATTTGTTTCTAATTTGTCCATTTTATCTAGGTTATCTAATTTGTTGGTATACAACTTTTTATAGTGTTCTCTTATAATCTGTTTTATTTCTTTAAGGCTGGTAGTAATATATTTTATTTGACTCCTGATGTTAGCAAGTCTCTCTTCTCTCTCTCTCTCTCTCTCTCTCTTAGTCTAGCTAAAGGCTGCCCATTTTGTTGATCTTTTCCAAGAACTAACTTTTGATTTTGCTGATTTTTTATATTGGTTTTCTGTTCTCTATTCTATTTTTTTCTGCTTTCATCTTTATTATTTCCTTTCTTCTGTTTGCTTTGAGTTTAGTTTGTTCTTCTTTTCCTGGTTTCTTCAGGTGAATGTTTAGGTTATTGATTGGATTTTTTTAAGTATCAGAGCATACTACTCTACATTTTCCTATAAGCACTGTTTCTGCTGCATCCCATGTTTTTGGAATGGTACGTTATCTTTTTGTTTTCATTTTCATTCATCTCAACTTGTTTTTTTCGGGGTTTTTTGTTGTTGTTTGTTTGTTTTTGAGACAGAGTCTCGCTCTGTCACACAGGCTGAAGTGCAGTGGCATGATCTCAGCTCACTGCAACCTCTGCCTCCCGGGCTCAAATGATTCTCCTGCCTCAGCCTCCCTTGTAGCTGGGACTACATGTGCCTGCCACCAGGCCTGGCTAATCTTTTATATTTTTAGTAGAGATGGGGTTTCACCATGTTGGCCAGGCTGGTCTCAAACTCCTGACCTCAAGGGATCCACCCGCTTCGGCCTCCCAAAGTGCTGGAATTACAGGCGTGAGCTACTGCACCTGGCCTCAACTTATTTTCTAATATCCTTTGTGATTTCTGCTTTGATTCAATGATTACTTACATATGTGTTTAATTTGTATATATTTGTGAATTTTTCAAATATCTGTTACTAATTTCTAAATGTTGTTCTATTGTTGGTCAGAGAATATATTTCATATTATTTCAATCCTCTTAAATTTATTGAGACTTGGTTTGTGGCCTAACAGATAGTCTGTCCTGTAGAATGTTCCACGTGCCCTTGAGAAGAATACATATTCTGCTGTTGTTGGATGGAGTGTTCCAGAGATCCCTCTTAGCTCTCTTTGGTTTATATTGTTCAAATCTTCTATTTCCTGGCTGATCTTTTGTCTAGTTGTTCTATCAGTTATTGAAAGTAGAGTATTGAAGTCTGCAACTATGACTGTTGAATTGTCTATCCTCCCTTCCATTATGTCAGATTCACTTCATGAGTATATGTGTATGTGTATGTGTGTGTGTGTGTGTGTGTGTGTATAATCCAAATAGATCCATAACAAGTAGACAGATTACATTAGTAATAAAGAACACTTACCACAAAGAAAGGCCTAGGACCCAATGGTTTCACTGGTGAATTCTACCAAAGCTTTAGAAAACAATTAATAGCAATCCTTCACAAACTCTTCCTAATTTTATATATATATATATATACATATATAATTTTTTTTTTTTTAGAGAGAGACAGGATCTGGCTGTGTTGTCCAGTCTGGACTCAAACTCCCGGGCTTAAGTGATCCTCCCACCTCACTCTCGTGAGTAGCTGGAACTATAAGCATGTACCACCATGGTGGCTTAGGAGTTTGGGGGCTCTGTTGTTAGGTATATACATATAATTGTTTAATCTTCTTGATGGATTGACCTTTTTCTCATTATAAAATGTTCTTTGTCTTTAGTAATAATTTTTGTCTTAAAGTCTACTTTGATATTATTAAATAGTATAGCCACTCCAGCTCTCCTTCAGCTAATGTTTGCTTGGTATGTCTTTTTGCACCCTTTTACTCTCAACATATTTGCATCTTTGAATACAAAATCTGTCTGTTGTAGACAGTATACAGTTGGATCATGGTTTTGTATCCATTCTGCCAATTTCTGCCTCTAAACTGAATGTTTAATCCACTTACATTTAATGTAATTGCTGGTAAGGTAGGATTTACATCTGCCATTTACCTATTTGTTTTCTATATGTCTTGTGTCTTTTTTTTTTTTTTTTTTGAGATGCAGTCTCACTCTGTCACCCAGGCTGGAGGGCAGTGGCATGATCTCAGCTAATTTTTGTATTTTTAGTAGAGACAGGTTTTCACCATGTTGGCCAGGCTAGTCATGAACTCCTGACCTCAGGTGATCCACCCGCCTCCCAAAGAGCTGGGATTACAGGCGTGAGCCACCATGCCCGGCCATGTCTTACGTCTTTTTTGTCACGCTATTACTCTATTACTGCCTTCTTTTTGTTAAGTAGATATTTTCTAGTGTACCATTTTAATTCCCTTGTCAAAAAGCATGAATCATGAAAGAAAAATTTGGTAAGTTGGATATCATCAAAATTAAAAATGTTTACTCTCTTAAAGTCATGGTTAAAAAGTGAAAAGTCAGGCTGGGCGTGGTGGCTCACGCCTGTAATCCCAGCACTTTGGGAGGCTGAGCAGGTGGATCACAAGGTCAAGAGATCAAGACCGTCCTGGCTAACACGGTGAAACCCCGTCTCTACTAAAAATACAAAAAAATTAGCTGGGTGTGGTGGCAAGCAGCTGTAGTCCCAGCTACTCGGAAGGCTGAGGCAGGGGAATGGAATGAACCCGGGAGACGGAGCTTGCAGTGAGCCAAGATGGCGCCACTGCACTCCAGCCTGGGCGATGGAGCAAGACTCTGTCTCAAAAAAAGAAAAAAAACGAAAAACTGAAAAGGCAAGCCAAAAACTAGGAGATGATAATCGCAAAACTTATATCTTATAAAGGACTTATATCCTGAATATATTACTTACAATTCAATAAAGTGACTCAGCAAAAACAAATGAGTAAATATTCGAACAGTCACTTTACCAAAGAACATATACAGATAGCAAGTAAACACCTGAAAAGATGCTCGGTATCTTTAGTCATTATGGAAATGCAAATTAAATCCAGGAGTTAATATTACACACTCTCTTGAATGGTAAAAAATCAAGACTGACAACATCAAGTGTTGCATGAATATGAAGTAACCGAAACTCTCATATGATTGCTGGGAGAAATGCAAAAGAGTATTCCAGCTTTGGAAAAGAATCTTGTGAAGTTTCTTATAAAGTTAAAAATATATTTATCAGGCCAGGCATGGTGGCTCACTCCTGTAATTTAAGCACTTTGGGAGGCTGAGGCAAGTGGATCACAAGGGTTCGAGACCAGCCTGGCCAACATAGCAAAACCCTGTCTCTACTAAAAATAAAGGCTGCAGTGAGCCAAGATCGAGGCACTGCACTCCAGCCTGAGCAACAGAGTGAGACTCCATCTCAAAGAAACAGAAAAAAAAGGAATATATATATATATATATATAAAAAATAGCCCAGCAATGCCATTCCTTGAGTATTAAGATAAACAAAAATCTACATCCATCTTGAAAATGACAGAAGTAGATTTTAAGTGTCCTCACCACAAAAAATGGAAAGTATGTGAGGTAATGTGATAAGTATGTCAGTTTAATTATTTCAACGTAGTCATTCCACAATGTATACATATTTCAAAACGTGGTACATGATAAATTTACACAATTTTTCTTTGTCAATTTAAATAATTACCTAAAAAGAAAATCCACACCCAGATAAAGAATTGAACATAAATTTTCACAGGAGCTTTATTCTTAATAGCCCAAAACTGGAAACAGTTCCATGTTCATGAATGGGTGAGTGAATAAACAAACTATGGCATAGCCATCAGAAACATTAGGCTAAAGGAGAGAAATCAGACACAGACCATATGCTTTATGATGATACTGATATGAAATTCTAGAAAAGTCAAAACTTTAGTGACAGAAGGCAGACTGGCAGGGTTCGGGAGTGGGAGGAGGGGATTGACTGCAAAGAGCCATGCAGGAACCTGGGGAGTGATGGAAAGAGTCTATGACTTACTCGTTTAGGTAGTTGTAGTACTGTCTGTCAAAACTCATTGAGCTGTGCACATAAAATTGCTGAATTTGATACATATGAGTTATACCTCAATAAAGAAAATACGAGGTCAAGCTCAGTGGCTCAGCCTGTAGTCCCAGCACTTTGGGAGGCTGAGGCAGGTGGATCACTAGGTCAGGAGTTCGAGACCAGCCTGGCCAATATGGTGAAACCCCGTCTCTACTAAAAAATGCAAAAATTAGCTGGGCGTGGTGGCGTACACCTGTAGTCCCAGCTACTCAGGAGGCTGAGACAGGAGAATTGCTGGAACCCAGGAGGCGGAGGTTGCAGTGAGCCGAGATCACGCCACTGCACTCCAGCCCAGGCAACAGAGTGAGATTCCATCTAAAAAAAAAAAAGAAAAGAAAAGAAAAGAAAGAAAATAGAATTAGCACTAGCAACAAAAATATAAGGTACTAGGAATTAATGTAATGAAATGCAAAAACCTTCATGAAGAAAATGATAAGATTGTGTTGAAAGAATTGGCAGGGACAGTTAATACCCAGCAAAGATTGCAGGTGATCTCCCACACAGCACAGCCTCCTCTGCAGTTACGCTGTGGCCTTGTGACAATGGAATATAAGAGCAAGTGATGTTCACTGGTGAGAGATGTAGTTCAGATGCGGGAATCTCATCTAGTTGTCTCTTCTTCTCCCACAATGATCTTGGAGAATGGGGGTTCAGTTCAAGTTGGTATCAGTGAGGAAAATGCTGCCTGGGCTGCACAGGACTTTACCCAAGCTGGAATAAACCTTTATTGTCTTAAACCTTGAAATTTGTGGCTCTTTCTGTTGGGGCTGTTTGTGCTCATTAATACCAAAGACATTAAAGAAGACCCAAATGTGGGAAGTTATACCCTGTTCATCCATGGGAATACACATTTCCGCAACAATGTCAATGTAATTTCAATCAGAAGCCCACTGGACTCTTCATGTACCTCAACAGATTCTAAAATGTCTGTGGTAGTGCAAAGAGATTGGAGTAGCCAAGACATTCCTTAAGAAAAAGCTGGGGGGCCGGGCACGGTGGCTCATGCCTGTAATCCCTGCACTTTTGGAGGCCGAGGCAGGTGGATCACCTGAGGTCAGGAGCTTGAGACCAGCCTGGCCAACATGGTGAAAACTCGTCTCTACTAAAAATACAAAAAAATTAGCCAGGCATGGTGGTGGGTGCCTGTAGTCCCAGCTACTCAGGAGGCTGAGGTAGGAGAATCGCTTAAACCTGGGAGGCGGAGGTTGCAGTGAGCTGAGATCACACCATTGCACTCCAGCCTGGGTGACAAGAGCAAGATTCCATCTGAAAAAAAAAAAAGAAGAAGAAGAAGGTGGGGGACTTACTCTATATCAACATACTTTATAAAGCTAGTGTAACTAAGACAATTGACTGTTTGAATGGGGATAGACAAGCTAATAGTACAGAATAGAGAGCCTCGACACAGACCCAGATATGATAGAGACGTGACATTGTATTGCATATTAATCAAGCCTCATTCAAGAAACAATGTAGGAAAAATTGGTTATCCATATGCGGCAAAAAAGAAATTGAACTACGCCTTCACACCACACCAAAGTCAATTAGAGTAAGGACTTAAATGTGAAAAGCAAAACTTCACTTCTAGAAAGAATATAGAACACATCTTTACAACATCAGGGTAAGATAGGTTTCTTAAGCAAAAAAGGCACTAAGGAAGTACTAGACATTAAATATATATATATATATATAGCCAAAATTGACCTCATTAAAGTGTAAAGCTTCTGTTTATCAGGGAACACCCCTCCAAAAAAAGCAAAAATACAAACCATAAACAGATATTTGCAATAAATATAGCGGACAAAGGATTTAGTTTTTCAAAAAGATGTGTAAAATTCTGACAAATCAATAAAAAGACAATAGAAAATTGGTCAAAATATGTGAATAAATATTTCTCAGAAAAGGAAACACAAACAGCAAATGAATATACGAACAAGCATCCAACCTTACTGGTAATTGGGGATTTGCACATTAAAACACAAGTAGATATGACTAGATTAGGAAAAATAAGAAAGCCTGATGATTCCAATTATTGGCAAGAATATGAAGCAAGAGCAATTCTCATACTCTGCAGGTGGGAGTGGAAATTGTTAGAACCACTTAAAACAGCTTGGCATTATCTTGTAAAGTGAAGATTAATTTACTCTGTGAGTCAGTTATTCCACTCCTAGATACAGAGCCTAGAGATCCTCTTACCATGTTTTTCAGGAGCCACAAACAAGAACATTTGTCGCAGCAGTCCTGTTAATCACAGGAATGAAAACTGACTGAAATGTCTATGTTCGGAAGAACACATATGTAAATGGTGGACGATTCATATACTGGAATGCTATACAGCAATGAAAACGAACTATCCATGCATTGACAGGATCTCAAAATTACAGTATTGAATGAAAAAAACCCAAATTATTAAAGAATGCATGCAGCATACCATTTATGCAAAGTTTTAAAATTACAAATATATTCAGTGGTGTATGAAGATGGTGGGTATGGCCCACCCCTAATGCAGGTAATAAAAAGGCCCACTGTTTGTAAAGAAAAGAATAATAAAACTGACCAAAATCTGATTTTTATTGTCACCATACATCAGCAATTCTGGACAATATTATTGATAAAAATTCTTGCCACAAAGGCAGCTACTTCCAATCTCCACTCCCCACCTTGGTGTGCAACTGAATACATTCTTTAGAGTCATTTGTTTCTATAGAAAGAGTATCATGAAAAGTAATGATAAAATTCAGGTGAGAGGTTTTCCTTGGAGGGAGGGAGAGGGACACACTTGGGCAACAGCATAGATGCCTTCAAAGGTATTCCTTATGCTCCATTCCTTATGTTCCATTCCTTAAACTGAGTGATTGGTACATAGCTGTTGATATTATTTTTTATATCTGATTTACATAATGTATCTCTTCAGTAGGTACGAAATATTCCACCCTCAAGAGAAAGAAAATTAAAGCAGCAAAATCAACAAGGGGTGCAGGTGGAGGAGAAGGCATGCTTTGTAGTGCACTGGAAGCTGCAAACCCAAGAAAGAATAAAAGGGCCGTGGTCAGTCAGAAGAGAATGAGGGACCCTGGAGCAGCTGCCCAGGCCGAGGCTCAGGGCATGCGGGGGCCTGAATTGGGGTAGGGGAACTCTGGGAAGCTTTTGCTTCCAGGCTGGGGAAGCCACAGGCCTAGGTGAGGTTAACCCCAGGAAGTGCATCTGGAGTGAGAAGACGGGGGACAAGGCCAGAGGCCCAGGGAGCACCAACCTTTTGGGAGAAAGAAGAGCCCTTCAAGCTGAGGCTGAGCTTGAGAAAGGTGAAGCAGTGAGCAGAGGATGGGGTCCCATGTGCTGAGGAGGGCCTGGTGGAGGAGGTCACACCCTGCTAAGAGGACAGCAGGACGCCGGCTGGGAAGGAGGCCCTGGATTTCACAATGTGGGCAGGTGAATTCATCAGAAATTGTCAGAGCCATGCGGTGGAGGAGGAAATGAGGACAGGGAGGGGACACAGCTCTCCGGTGGGAAGAGTGAGGAGTAGCGGCTGGGAAGAGACGTGGAGTCCAGGTAGGGATCTTACGCATCTTTCAATTGTCCCTTAAAAATCCCAGTCGGGTTTAGCCCCACTAGGGAGAAAAAGTGCCTTCAGGCCTTCCCACAGCGCCAGCAGCACGAGCACAGCAGGTGTCCCTTGGGGCTGACGCATAGGGTGCTCATGGTGGGGTGGAGGAGCTGTCTGCCCCTGTGCTGGGAGCATTCTATCACTGACACTGTCTGAATTGCTGGTACATGGTGATCAGAGGAAGCAAACTGACATTTAGTCACTTTTACCGTCTTTTTAAAATTCTCTACAGTTAACACACCCTTTGTTGCCTGCACCAGGGACAGACAGCTCCTACCGCCAGCCCTTGCTAAGGCTCTAGTGGGACGAGACCAGATTGAGTCCCCGGCACCTGGGTGTGCAGCCCCGCTCCTTTCTTCTAGCTGACAGGGCTGGCAAATTCCTGCCTCTCTGAGCCCCTTTCCCTTTGGCTCACTGTAACTGAGGGAAATTCTGACCTCTGGGGTGGTTGGGCAGATGACAGCAAAGGAAAGACCCAGGGCCTACCGCACAGGAGGTACTTACTAGCTGTCCTTCCCGCATCAGGGAACAGAGGAGACAGTGACTGAGGACCCCGCAGCGAATGCCCCACCCACACAGGCTTCCTCTCAGCGGGGCCTGTCCCCACTGCTTCCCCACAGCCCCAGAGGCCAGGCCTCAGCCATTCAGACGCGGGGGAGGTGATCGCAGCACAGGGCCGCGCCCTGCCTCTGCCGCTCCGGGGGTCCCCAAGGAAGCACCAACGCCTGGCCGCAGGGGGCAGTTGTCATGGGGACGCCAGGGCCCGCTGAGCTGCCTCCTTAGCAACGGGACTCCCCGGCCAGTTGCCATGGAAACAGCATCCCCTGGCAAGCGGTGATGGGGAACGGCTGGGTTTCCTGCCCTTTTCCGAGGACTTTCCCCTCCTAGGGCGGGAGACACGGCACTCCCTATACCGGCGGGAGCCGCGAGGACTTGGTTTTTCCAGTCGCCCGTCGCCACCCCAGGAGGGGGCCTCTGCCCGACCCCGCGAAGTCCCAGGGCCCGGAGGAACCCTCTGGAGACAGGGGTGGGGAAGGGGGTCACCCGGGGACCAGGCCTAGCCCCGAACAGGCACAGCAGTGGGAAGTCCGTGCCCTGCCTCCTTCCAGAGGCCCCACATGCTGCCTCTGCCCTCGGGCCCCCACCAACCCACACAGGAGCCCAGCGCTGTTCCCCCACCCCTCGGCCACCCTCTGATGCCCTCCCCCTTGCCCAGTCACCTTGTGTCTCCAGCCACCCTCCCACTTCTGAGAGCTTACCTAAGACGGCATCCCCCTCTATCTAGCTGGATGGAGCCCAGGTGCACATTCACCACCCTCCTCCTCAGCCAGCCCTGGCAGTAGGGGGTGGGAAGGGTCTCACACCTCCCCCACTCCTGCGTTTCTCCCCTCCACTAGCAAAGCACACATGCCCACTCGCTCTCACCCTCCTCAATGATTCTCACCAGTCCATAAGCACGTGCACACCTGTGTCCATAGCCAGGCCTTGCACATCCCCCGTGCACACCTCTATGCACAGAACACAGCTCCATGCTCTTGCAGGCATAGGTTTGCACATACACAAGTGCCCTCTGGGCCATGTCCCCTGCCTTCCACACCCGAGTTCCCAAGACTCCAGGATTTCCCAATGACCTCACCCCCACCCCTATCCCTGGCCCCTAGAAGAAGGTAGCATCTGCTGGAATTTTTTTTATTTAAATAAAATATACAATACGGCGCATTTACCGGTTTCTGTTTTAAAAGTGGATTTGAAAATTCCTTGTAGGTGACTGGGTGTGGGAGGGCCCATTGCCTGCACCTGTCTGTCCCAGTCTCTGCAGAGTGGCCAGGTTGGGTCAGAGCTATTATAAAATGCATGTGTGTGTAAGTAGAGAAGAGGGTGGTTAGGCCAGGCTCTGATGGCAAGGGGGCTCCTCATGGCCCTGGACCCTCCACCTTCACCCCTGCTGCCTCCAGGACAAGACTGTGGGTTTGGATCAAGTCCTGCTGCCTCTCAGAGCTGCCTTCCTTAAGGGGAAGGGGTGTGTGCAGAACTCAGGTTGAGGCTAAGTCCTTCCAGTTCTCAGAACTCCTGAGCCAGCACAGTAGAGACCAGTACTAGGCGGCGTCTAGTCTTTACCTAAGATCCCAGGAACCTTCACCCACTTCTCTCCTGGAGTACTGCCTCCCACTCCCTGCAGCCCATCTATGGAGAAATCGGTTTGTCTCACATCCCAGGATAGCTCAAGGCAAAACCCGATCTTGCCAACATTCTGGCTTGGAGCATGGAAGGTTCTGGATGGATAATGTGGGACCAGCCCTTCTCATTACTTGGGGATTGCAGCCATACCTGCTCTGGCCCTATAGGCAGGGGCAGACCCCTGACCTTGGCTCTGGCAAGATCCCATCTGGGAGGAGGGAGGATGGTGCCTCCAAAGGCATCTGAGCTGCTTTCTCGTTCCCGCAATCTGGAACCTGCTTATGGCTCCTAGTTGCCAGGACTAAGCCCAGACAATCCCTTACCCTATCACCCAAGGCCGTCCCTCTGACCCCTCAGCCTGGGGATCCCCTCCCAAAGCCCTGATCCACCACTCCACATCCACCTCAGGAATCTCCCCACCATACACTCCATCCCACCCACCATTCCCTCCCTCTCTCCCTGTTGAAGTCTTCCCACTTCTCAAGGCCTGGCTCCCACCCACCTCTGGCCACACACCTTCCTTGGGCCCTTAGGGAGGCCCAGCCACCTCCTGAGTCCTGAGATTTTAAGTCTTGGAGCCCTCAGCCAAAGCTCCCTGGGCTCTCACATAGTTTGCTGGAGCAATAGGCTGGGCATATGAGGGGCAGAAGAAATGTGATTTTTTATTGAGCACCTACCATGGTATGTGCCAGGCGCTGGGCTGGGCATTTCACATATAGATTTTTCTCATCTGGTCCTCATAGGTCCTTGTGAGGCAGTACCATAATTATTCCCATTTTACAAATGAGGTGACAGAAAGGTCAGATAACTTGCCCAAGATCATACAGCTAAGAAGTGGCAGGGCTGGGATTCAAACCCAGGCCTGACTGCTGCCAAAATCTGGTGTCTTCCTTCTGTACCATGCTTGGGGACCATCTACCTCAGCCCCCCTCAACACAGTTTTCTGATGGAAGGAACACAGACTTGGGCCTCAAGGAGGCGTGGACTCGAACCTCAAATCAGTCCCCACTCTGCCACTCCTAGTTACATGATTCTGGAAAAATTACCCAAAACTGTTTCTTCCTCTGCTAAATGGGGAGAATCAAAGTACCCACCCCATGGTCTTTGTGAAACTGAAGGAGTTAATGTGTGTAAAGTGCGAAACCAGTGCTTGGCACAGAGCAGACTCAATAAACAGAAGTTCCGCTCACCTCCCACTGTACAGATGGGCAAACTGACGGCCCCAGAGGTGGCGGTGTGTGCTTGAGGCCCTAGGAAAGGGGAGTCTTCCACTTCCGTGTGGTGAGAGGTCAGGCTGGGACTGGCTTTGAGACCAGAGATGGGGAGAGAGGGGGCCTGCTGCGAAGTCCTGGGGTCCTCTTCCCTGAGGACTGGAGAGAGAACGTCCCTAGACCATGCAGTGCACAGCCTGTGGGCCAAGGCGGGTTGCTGGGTGTAAGGTGACCTGGGCATCCTGTCAACATGGGATTAAACTAGACCGCACACGTGTGCGCACATGTGAGTGGCTATCTACATGGCTCTACAGAGCGCTACATAGCTATACATATACACATCTTACATACATATACATATACATATTCATATACAGATCTTGCTACGTTTACAGTAGAAAAAATGCTAGGCCCTCAGGGCCCTGGCCCTTTTCTCCCAAGGTCGCAGGCTTCTGAGGCTCCCCAGGGCACACCCCAGGGCAGCCCCTTTCTGGGGGCAGAGTGGAGCTCCAAGTTACAGCTAACGGGCTGATGGCAGCTGTTTCTCTAAATGAACACAATGACACATCTGCTCTAAGAACCGCCAACACTGGCCACTCCCACCCCTGCCCAGCCCCGGAGACCCCATCTGCCTTTCTCTGGCTTTTGCATTTGGGACCTGCCTGCTCCCTCCTCCCTCCCCCTCCCTCCCTCTAGTGCTGAGTATTAAAATAGTCTATAAAAGCAAGTGACCAAAAATCTATAGCTCTAAGAATACCTGGTTATTTTCTGCTGTCTTTTGTTTTTCTGGTGTGTGTGGTTTTTTAAATAATTATTACTGTTATTGGTATATCTCCTAATCACAGTTAAACCTGAAGGAAGAAGGAAGGGAGAGAAAAGAAGAAAGAAGAGGGAAGGAAGGGCCCAGCTCATAGATTGGATGGCAGTTTGGAGCGCACTGGCTCAGGCCTGGCCCCAGGTTCCCTCTGGGGTCCAGCAGTCAGAGGGGGCCCCCCAGAAGAGGTGGCTCTTGCCCCAAACAAAGACAGAGGGGGTGGCAAAGAACCTGAGGATGTCTTCCGAGGCAGAGTGACGTGCTGGCCGGGGATGGCACCATAGGGCCTCCCAGGGGGACCGAGGCCCCCGCTGCTCCCACTGCCCCCGCTGCCACCCCCAGCCCTGGGGAAGAGCGGGAAGGCAGCCATGGACTCCCCTGAGGAGTGCGGGGAGGCTCTGCGGAGAGTCTGCGCCCCGTCCTGAGGCAGGGCTGGCTGAGACGCGGAGATGAGCTTGAGGTCCTGGGTGAGGCGGCCGGGGGTGAGCGGGGGTGTGCCCCGGCGCTGGGGGACCTGGGGTGGTGGGGGGCTGGATGCAGGTGGCAGGAGCAAGGATCCGTGGGAGCCAGAGGCCCGGGGCGGGGCACTCGGGAAGGTTCTTGGGGGGCCTGGGCTGTGGCCAGGGGGGCTGAGACCTCCTCGGGGAGTAAAGCCTACAGGGGAAGCCCCCCCAGAGGCCCCTGCCACAAGGGACGGCGGCTCAGGCTGCCGTGGGGGTGTCTCTGGCGTGCTCAGTGGGCCAGTGGCCAGACCTAGGGACAACTCCCCGGGAGGCTGGCCCAGCTGCCCGGGGCTAGATGACGGGGATCTGGATGAGGGTGGGGGTGGCAGGAAGTGCTCCGGGAGTCCCAGGCCTCCCCGGGCCCCGGGTGGCGCGGGAGATGGCTGGGCAGCCTGCGGGGAGCGGGCGCCTGGCTGCAGCGGGGTGAGCAGGGGAGAGTCGGAGGAGGACAGGGAGCCACCCAGCGCCTTGTGGAAGTGGCCAAACCCGGCTATGGTGGTGGCGGCTACGCCAGCTGATGGTGTGGGAGCCGAGGGGGAGCCACAGGCCCCGGGGGGTGGGGAGGAGCTGGATGAGGGCAGGAGTGGGCTCAGTCCAGCGGGGGCAGAGAATCCAGCCAGCTGTTGGATGTGGAAGGAGGATGAAGACGGTGTGTCCACCTGGGACGGGCTGCTGGCGGGCGAGGCGGAGCCCAGCGCAGAAGGGATCAGGGACTGCAGCCGTTTCAGGTGCCTTGGCGTCTGCCCGGCACCGAGGTTGCCCAGCCCAGATCCTGGGGGAGGGCGGAAGATGGCAGCAGGCAGGCGAGGGTGGTGGGTGAGGGCTATGGCCACAGAAGTGGTGGCAGCGGCAGCCTGCAGTGGTGCCTGGATCAGCGGGGTCCAGATGACGGGCGTGGGGGTTGGGGTGGCAGAGGCAGCAGCCTGGACGCGGTGCGCGCAGTGGGCCATCTCCCGGTCATGCTGCACAATCTGCTGGATGATCTCATTCTCCTGGTAGTTGAAGACGCCGGAGTTGAGGTCGTGCTGGACTTTGTGGAGGAGGATGGAGTTCTTCTTGCCTGGGCCACAGAACAAGAACAGGCACTCAGGGCAGAGCGGGGAAGGAGATCAGGTGCAGACCTGGCTTAGGCATAAAGGAGCCCTGCCCTCCTCCCCCAACACCCCCCACCTGCCCCGCCTGTGGCCCCTCCCCCTCACCAATGCGGTCCAGGCGGTCCAGCGCCACGGTCTCGAAGGCCCTTCGCATCATGGGGTACTCCTCCAGCACCTCATTGAAGTTGTCCACGCTCAGCGAGTAGAGGCGGCAGTAGGTGTCGGCCCTCACGCTGGCTGTGCGCCGGCCCCGGGTCAGCAGGCAGATCTCTGCCAGAGCATCAGGACTCAGGATGAGGCATGCACAGCCTGCCCAGGCCAGGGGGACTGCCCACCCTGACCTTGGCCCTGACTGCCTGGCACAGAAGCCTTGGCAGGCTCACAAGGCCCTGCCCCCAGACTGCGGCCACACTGGATGCCTCTTCCCCACCAAATGGGGGCTGGACAGACTTTCCCATCTTTGGGACATACCCTCTGCTCTGGACTGAATGTGTTCCCCCAAAATTTATATGTTGAACCCCTAATCCCAGCATGATGGTATTTGGAGGTGGGGCCTAGGGAGGTGATTAGATCACGAGGGTGGAGCCCTCGTGGATGGAATTAGTGCCTTTTTAGGAGGAGGCCGGGGAGCTGGCTCATCCTCCTTCTGCCACATGAGGACACAGCGAGAAGTCAGCAGTGCAGCCCAGAAGAGGGCCCTCACCAGCCCCAACCATGCTGGCCCCCTCAGCTCAGATGGCCAGCCTCCAGAACCATGACACATACATTTCTGCAGTTTACAAGCCACCCAGTCTGCGGCACTTTTGTTACAAGAACCCAGACTGACTAAGACACCCCTACCCTGGGCTCACAGACACCTCCCTCCAGGCTGTGGCCAAGAAGGGTGCTCACTGCCTCTGTCCCCTCGGTATCTCCCCAAACCAGCCCCTGGGAGCAGCTGCCCTGTCCCCCAGGGCCCAGGGCTGCCTCACCTCCAAAGTAGGAGCCGTCGGCCAGCTTGGTCTCCTTGTTGCCCTTGGTGAGCACGCTGACCACGCCATGCTGGATGAAGTACATCTTCTTGCCAATGGTGCCTTCCCGGATGATGTAGTCCCCAGGCTGGAAGACCTCGAAACGCAGCTTGGTCAGCATGGACGTCACGAAGTTGGGGTCCGCATTGGCAAACAGTGGCATGGAGGCCACCAGCTTCCGACAGTTAAAGTTGATGATCTCCTGCCGGACAGGGTGGATTGGGACACGGGAAGGAGGTGGTGAGGGGAGCTGGCTGCCAGGAAGGCCTGGCTCCCCTCCACGCCGGGCCGCCACACAGCTCACCTCCCGCAGGGGCTCGCTTAGCTCGCCCAGGATGCTCTCCTCGTCGAACATCTTGCCCTGGTAGCGGTGCTCGTAGTAGTCGTGGATGCGCTGCCGGGTGTCGGGCGGGAGCTTGTGAAAGGACATGTACTGCTCCACCTGCTTGTACTGAGGCCGGGAGAAGGGGGCGTCAGCTCCACCCCACCAGGGGGCGTCAGCAGCCAGCCCCACCACCTCGGCAGGCACCACATCCGGGCACCCACCCCGGGGGATTTCCTGGCTAAACTTGGTTCCTTGAGATCTGAGGTCTACAGTGTGGAAATGACCTCACTGTGCTCAAAACAACTGCCCGGGCTCCCAGCTGCTTGGCATGGAGGAGGGGCCCCCACCAGCATCTGCTCCTCGCTGTGTTCAATACTAAGGAGGTGGGTGAGGGCGGCAGGGAATGTCCAAAGCCCAGTGACAGGACATCAACTGTATCTCCAGGGAGGTCGATCACATTTCCTTGGAATGTTACACTGGGGACAGGGAGGCCTCACCGACTCTGCGGGGAAAGAAGCTGTTTCCTCCCAGCAGTGACAACTGGCACAGTCAGGAGGCAAGGGTGCGATGGATCAGAACGCTCAGAGGCAGAAGCAAGGATGCCTGGCTGCTCGATGCTATGAATCCAAACGTGGCCTCAGCTGAGACCCCGGGTCATTTCGTTGAGAGCAACTCCAGGTAAGGGAAAAGCAGGGTAGACTAATTTGAGGGGACCTTCAAATAGAGGCTCGGGTACAAAAGATTTGTGAGCCTCAGACCCTGGGGCTCAAACAAATAAGAAACGATCCTGCCCGCCCTCACTGAGAGGAGTGGACATTGCTCCCACCATCCTAGATTGTGGGTGGACAGTGGGATTCCCAAGAGCAGGATGAGGGATGGGAGGTATTGATTAGGCAACAACACAGACTCCTCCCGGATGGGAAGTAGAGGAAGTCCCTATCACCCCAGCAGCAATCAGAAACGGGGCAGCCTGTTTGCATCTATGTGTGCTCCAAAGAGGTGGGAACGCACAACTGCTGCACAGAAACACCCACGGGCAAATGAGGGCTGAGAAATGACATTTCCTAAACTTCTTCCAGCCACCCTGGCCTCTGACTGCTCCAAGTTATGCAAAGTCCCAGGGGACAGTGACTTCCTGGCTGGTTACAGAGATGGAGGCAGCTGGAAAACCTGGAGCTGTGTTTTAGAGAGTCCCTCCCCTGACCCCCAGAGAACAGGTAGGGGTAGGGAGGCAGGGTCTGGACATGGGGCAGGAGTTAAAAGGTTGAAGTGGTCCAGGTGAGAGACAGACGTGGGGATGGAGAGGAGGGAAGACATTTAAGAGAAATTTATTGGGCAGACTTAGATATTAGCCAAAGGACAAACATTTTAAAGTCTCAAATGAAAAGCCACAGACGCCTTGACTCTGGCCCTAAAATAAACTCTGATGCATTTTCTTTTCTTTTTTTCTTTTTATTTATTTATTTATTTATTTATTTTTTTTGTTAAGACAGGGTCTCGTTGTGTTGCCTAGACTGGAGTGCAGTGATATGAACACAGCTCACTGCAGCCTCAACCTCCTGGGCTCAAGCGATTCTCCCATCTCAGCCTCCTAAACAGCTGGCACTATAGGCACATGCCACCACGCCTGGCTAATTTTTGTATTTTTAGTACAGACAGGGTTTTGCCACGTTGCCCAGGCTGCTCTTGAACTCCTGGGCTCAAGAAATCAGCTCGCTTCAGCCTCTCAAAGTGCTGGGATTGCAGGCATGAGCCATCATGCCCAGCCTCCCAGACGCTTTTTCTTTTTCTTTTTTTTTTTTTTTTGAGATGGAGTCTCCCTCTGTTGCCCAGGCTGGGGTGCAGTGGTGCAATCTTAGCTCACTGCAACCTCCGCCTCCTAGGTTCAAGTGATTCTCCTGCCTCAGCCTCCCTGAGTAGCTGGGACTACAGGTGTGCACCACCACGCCCAGCTAATTTTTTTTTTACTTTTAGTAGGGATGAAGTTTCACCATGTTGGCCAGGCTGGTCATGAACTCTTGACCTCAGGTGATCTGCCCGCCTTGGCCTCCCAAAGTGCTGGGATTACAGGCGTGAGCCACAGCGCCCGGCCCCAGATGCTTTTTCTAAACTAATCCCTGATCTTGACCCCAGACTAAAACCTAGCCTTGATCACACACTGAGCCCTGACCCCACTCACATGCTGAGCCCCACCCCAGTCACAGGCTGGGCACTGGTGCTGGCTCCAGAAGGATCCCTCACCTGGCTGAGCCCCACCCCAGTCACAGGCTGGGTCCTGGTGCTGGCTCCAGAATGATCCCTCATCTGGGCCCGGACTAAGCCCTGACCTTTGTAGCTTGATGCCTTCTCTACCTCCCTAGGAGGTAGAGAAGGGTCCTCTAACCTAGGACCCTGTGTTCTAGCCAGGCTAATTTCTCTGCCACCACCCCTATGCTCATCCTCATCCTGATGCCTGGCCTAGAATTCTCTTCCACCTTCTCCTTCCTCTGCTTCCCCACAGTGAGCTCTCCTTGCCTCCCAGCTCTGTAGGCTCTCCTGAGCTCTCTTCTTGGCATCATGGGACCTGGACCTCCACACCTGGGTGGCCCCCACCTGTCAGTCACCCCACCAAAGGACAGTGCCTGGGACAGGCAGGCAGGCAGTGAATCCACAAATGCTGACCCTACTGTGTGCCAGGCATGGGGCATAAAACAGAAAACGACATACTGGGTCCTCCCCTCATGGAGCCGTGGCCTGGAGAGGGAAGGTGGGTTTGTTAAACAGATGGCTGCCTATGGTTAATTACATCACCACAGAGTGCCGAGTGTGGTGAAGGAGGAGAGGGTGCCATGGGGTCACATGACAGGTGAGGGGCTGGCCAGGTCACAGACGGCTTCTCTAAGTGGTGAGGCTGGACGTGGAGAGGGTGTCAGGTGGACACCTGGGGAGGAGAGTTGAGGGTGAAAGCCCGTGTCTGGGTCCCATGGCAGGAGCAGGCATGGGGAGAGAAGTCTGGCCAGGCTGAAATAAAGGGTGCAAGGCCCAGGGCAGGAGCTGAGCATGAGGGCAGATCCCTGGTTATGCTCCTCAAATGCCAGGCTGGGAAAACATGCTGAGGAGTTAATCTACATCTTCAGAGCAACGTGAAGTCCCTGAAGAGTTTCAAGCAGAGGATGAGGCTGACGTGTTTTAGATGCCGCTCCAACTGCTGTGTGAGGTGTGCAGTGGAAGGTGCCAGGGCAGAACCTGCTTAGCTGATAAACACAGGGGAGCTTACTTGCAACCCCCACAGCCTGATGCCCAGTACCACCCCCGCCCTGCAGATGAGGAAACGGGGCCTCACGCTGTGGAGGCACAGGCCCACGCTCAAACAGAGCTCGGCAGCAGAGAAGCTGGGGTAGGGCCCAGGTGGCCTGACTCCAGGCCACAGGACTCATTCTCTGTGGTGAGGGGGCTGCTGTTGAGACCCCAGGGAGAGATGAAGCTGGGGACGGGGGAAGGTGGTTGGGATGCAGAGAAGGAGCTGTGGCTTTGAGGTAGGCATTGATGACAGAGAGAGGCCAGGGATGGCTCCTAGTCTCTGGCCTGGGCATCTGGGAAGAGCAGAGACTTGGAGTAGAGAGAACAGGGCAGCCTTCTCATTACAGACATGAGGGGCGTGGGGTGTCCAGAGAGGGATGAAATAAACCACCTGGAGCTGAGAGATGAGGTGGGGCTGCTGATGCTGTGCAGGCCCCACTGTGCAAAGATGGGCACAGAGCCTGTGGGCCTGGGTGGTGAAACCACAGCACCGGGGCCCCAGACAGAGGGAGGGTCAGGGGCGAGGCCCGGGCCACTGGGGACTCCAGTGGCAGTGACTGGGAAGAGAAGCCAGCAAATGGGGGCAGGGGACTGGCCAGAGGGGCAGGAGCAACACCGCGAGAGTGCGGTCCTGGAGAACGAGTGAGCAGCCAGGAAGGGCGTGGTGACTGTCAAATGCCTACTGGAGCAGCACGGAGGGCACAGGGCCTCAGCCAGGAGCCACAGGCCCCAGTGACACTGGAGACGGGGAAGGTGGGAACAGAAAAAAAGACATGTGGAGGGGCCAGGCCAGGGAGCTGAAACTCAGATTCTCATCTCAGAGGTGTCTCCCTCCTCCTGCTCTTCCCTCACACTGGGAGTTCCGATCCTGTGGGGTGGGAGCAGGGGGCGGTTCCTGCTGGGGGCCCACTGGCTGGTGGCCTGTGCTCCCTCTTGGGAGGGACCAATGTGCGGGTGCTCCCTGGGTAGACCTACCTTTTCCTGGTACTGGCGCCGGGAGGAGTCCAGGGACTGGATGAGGGCAGTGGCGTGGCCAATGAACATGGCGTAGCAGGTGGCACCCACGATCATGCTGAGCATGGTGAGCCAGACGTCGGACATGCCCACGGGCGCCTGCCGCCCGTAGCCGATGCACAGCATGTGGCTCATGGCCTTGAAGAGCGCGTAGGAGTACTGCTTCCCCCAGGAGTTGTTCTGTGGACAGACGGATGGGTGGGGACAGTGGATGAGAGGGAAGGCCCTTCTCACTAGCAAGAAAAGGCCCTGCCACCTCCTCACCTCAACCTAACTTTCTCAGTGGCTGGGCCCAGGGCTCCCTAACCTTGCTGTTGGCTGAAAGCCTTGGGTGAGAAGCAGCCTGTGCTGCCAGCGAGTCCTCCTCTTGTGCCTTCCTCTTGCAATGGGGGCAGAGATCAGACTGGAAGCCCCAGTAAAGGTACGGGAGCCAGCGTGGCCCAGCCCCCATGGGGCAGCTTGGAGCCTCCTGGCTGGGTAGCAAAGGCCCCGGGCTGAGCCACCGTGCTGTCCTTCCCTTGCTAAAACAGCTCCACCCCCCAACCCCCTAAACAGCTGCCAAGTGAAGCCCATTTCCCCACTGACCTCAATTATAAAACCAGATATGCTTCCCTTGGGGGGACAAGCTCTGGCGGACTGAGCCGAAAAACACTGTCCTCATTTTGGATGAGCAAAAGTTAAAGCTGTGAGCTAACGGGCCTCCTGCATGAACCCTGCCCGCCTCTGCTAGGGCTGCGGCCACCAGTTCTCCTCCCACTACCCCCAAGGCAGACTCTCCGGAACACACAAGGCGTGGGGACAGGAGGAGGGAAGCTCTTGGCTATTTTTGTCTACAAAGCCAGTCGGTGTCTCAAGGAAGGCTCAGCGTGGGAACACTGGGATCGGAAGGGCCATCTCTTGAATTTAGTGCATGTGTGGGCCTGCCACCCTCACATAGAGAGGACACTGCCCCAGATGAGGGCCCATTGAACCTGACGAATGCCAGCACTGGCCACCTCCCTGGTGTCTTTCTGCTCACAGGGCAGATGCATGAGCCACAGTGCAGAAACCTACCCAGGCCCACAGAGCACCTGCCAGAGGCCCAGCCCCCAGGGGAAGGCGCAGGAGCCCGTGAGCTTCGAGCCATATTCAAGGTCAGCCAGACTGCCCTGAACAGAGCTGAGCTGGCTCCTTGGGTCTGATGGCTCAGTCTAGACTGGAGTGGGGACCAGGAGGGCTCATCCCCAGGGGTGGAAGAGACCTGGGTTCCCAGCCTTGGGGAACAGGGGTAGGCCCCCAGCGGCCTTTACTGCTGAGCCTCTGGGAACAGGGAATTCAATCCATATGGCTGATTCATTTACACTTAGCTCATCAAAAGGCTGTTTTGTAAAGGCCTGTTTGATGCTGAAAGATGCCTCAGGGTCTCTTTCACCTCTTTCAAAGCCAATTTTTCCTCCCCTGGGGCCCTGGGAATTTGCCTTCAGAACAAACCAAACTGACTGGGAGGAAGCCTGGGAGAGGCAGGGGTTCACCAGAGACACAGAAAGGCTCACAGATCCAGGGTGTCTTCTGTCCTGCCTGGAACCCACCTCATCCACAGGGGGACTGGAAACTCTGCCCTATGGCTTCCGAGGCCCCAAGTTCAACTTCTCTCACCCACCCTGACCCACTTGCAAGGTTGGAGGGATAGGGTGGGGTCAGGCTTCATCCTGCCTGCCCTCCCTATCGGGACTCCACCTCGGATCAGGATATGTTGGCGAGTGGGGGCAGCCCAGCTCTGCTGTTGGAGTAGAAAGTGACCACATATGACCTGGGAGTCTGCGTGGGCTGCAAATAGTACCCTTGAAGGCGTCTGTTTTCTTGGGCTCAGCTTTTTGTTTTTTATTTTTATTTATTTATTCCTTTTGAGACAGGATCTTGCTCTGTCACCCAGGCTGAAGTACAAGCGAGCTCAAGGGATCCCCCTGTACAGCCGGGACACATGTGCTTGCCACCACACCAGCTAGTTTTTTAAAAATAAATTTTATTTATTTGTTGAAGTCAGGGGTCTCCCTATGCCGCTCAGGCTGGTTTACAATTCCTGGGCTGAAGGGATCCCCCTGCCTCGGCCTCCTAAAGCACTGGGATTACTGGTATGAGCCACTGCACCCAGCCTCAGGCTCAGCTTTTAAGGACTTGGCTTCTAAGGGGCAGAGGCAGGAGGCCAGGAGCTGCCAGCCCAGCATTGCCATGCCTGGGGGAGGCCGCCCAGGTCTTAGTCTCCCTGGGTAAAATCAAGATGAAATACTGAGGCTCCCAGTTGCAATGGAGGCTGTGAGAAGATGGAGGTACCAGCTCCCAACCCAGAGCTGTGAATGGATCCCTGGACTGGCAGCAAGCGATTGGGCCTGTACTGGGTAGAGCTATGTGCCCCCTCAGCCCCAGGCAGCACTCAGGGTCCTACATGCTGGAACTCAGAAGTTCCAAGTCCACATCTCGCCACCCTACCTCTGGAGAGCCCGCCTATGGCCCAGAGAGAGGACCGGGCTGGGCGCACTCACCACCATGTTGTTGATGGACACCCAGCAGTCGTCAGGGAAGTCCTGTAGCATGGGTACCAGGAACTGCAGGCAGCCGTCCCAGTGGCAGAGCAGGAGCATCATGCCGATGAGGTTCACGATGCGCACCACGGCGCTGGCCAGGTCGTAGGTCATGTGGAAGATCTGCCAGCAGAGGAGGAGAAATTGGCTGGGATAGGTGAGTGGCCAGGAGGGCCAGCGGCCACTTTCCCTGCCCTGGAGCTGCTGGTGGGCACTGCTCTGCCTGGACTCTGCAGGGCGCCCACTCAGTGCAAATCCAGGCTGGGGGTGGGATGGGAAGGCGTCAGTCTAGGTCTTGGAAGAGGAAGACTGTAGGCTGCAGGGTCCCAGAGGGACATCTCCTGGCATCTATACAGATGGGGGGTCTTCCTGAAAGGTCTAGCCATCCAGGACATGTGGAAGGACACCTGGAGCCCCATGCAGCCCAGAAGTGGGCAGAGAAGCCACTTTCTCAGCTTTCCTGGGGTGTGAGGATACCAGGGAGAAAAGCCTGCCAGCCTGAGGCTCCTCAGGGAACCAAAAGTCTACAGACATGCCAGGGGCGTGTTTCCCTAAATCTATCACTAAATTCTCAAGACTCACACACGGTAGCCACGGAACTGCAGAGGAAGCGGCACAGGCTCACAGGCCCCAAGTTCAGGCAGACCTTGATCCCAAGCCCAGGTCCTACCCAGTTCCTAGCTGTGTAACCTTGAACCTCTCTGATCATGTTTTCTCATCTGGAAAATGGTGATAAAAATTCTTATCTGAGTGGGCTGTCAAAAGGACTAAATTATACATATAAAGTGCTTAGTAATGGGTAGAGGAGTGTTCAATAAATTACAAACCATTATTAATTGATAAGCTGTTATTAATAATTAATCTTCCTGATTGGTTAATACGTATTTGGGGTAATGTTCTCCTTTACAGCACCCTTGACCCCAGCCCACTGGCACCAGCCCCTCTCTACTCCTGCAGCTCGGAGTGGGGGGCTGCAGTGTAGCTGGACAGGGCCAAGGTGGGCATATCCCAGCCCCTCCTCCTCCCAAAGCTGCCATGCTGGGGTCCCCTTGCTGACAGGGCAGTGGGGGATGGAGAGGTGGAGGCAAGTCTAGAGGAAAGTCTCTGGAAGCTCTGGCCTTGCTTCTGTGGCCTGGGAGACTTTGAAGTGGGTCTAGCCACCCAGCCCCCATTCTCATCCCTCCATACTATTCCCAGGCAAAGACACCCCTCTTGGAGGGGGGCTTGGGTCAAATGCCACAGAGACCTAGTTTAAGCCCATTTCAGATGTGGAAACTAGGCCCAAACAGACAGAGCCTAGATATGTCAGCCCCTGTCTACTGGTCTTCCAGCTACAGCCCTGTAGCTAGTGGCAAGCTGTTCTGATACTAGTGACCGAAGATGAGTACTTTTTGTCCACAGCTCATCACCTGCAGTCACCCCCACCTGTGGCCCCCATCAAGGGCATGACCCTGAAGGTTCCAGCTACAAAGCTGGGAGTCTTTCCAGGATGAAGTGGACAGCGAAAGGTTCATGGGGTCCGGTAGCTTAAGCTTGCCCCATCATTTCCCTGTGGCCCTGGTGACAGAGGGGACAATAGTGCCACACCTGACTGTGGACATGAAATTCCACAGCCATCCTCTATTTAAACTCACAAAAATCCTTTGCTGAAGATATTGTTCATCTGTTTTATACCAAGGCTCAGAGAAGTACAGGAACTTGCCCAAGATCACGGTGGCAGTGGAAAGGCCAGATGTTGTAGCCAGGTCTGCCTGATTCTGAGGCCTGTAGCCACCATATTAGATTGTTAGATTGACCTAGTGAGGAAAGGGTAGCTCTCAGCAGTTCCATTTTGTGGATAAAACAACTCAAACCCAAAGTGGCTGAATGAGGTGCCCAGATTCACACAGCAAGCTGGGTCCTAGGCCAGGTGGGAATTGCCAGCTTCTCGCCTCCCCAGCCCCTGCACACAGTGTGATGGTGTAGACGGTGCTGTGTGCCCTGCAGCCCAGTACCACTGGGGCACAGACCAGCTCTGGGGCTGTCAGCGTTTGAGCTCCTGGCTAAGCTGACACTGCTCAGCATCTGCCATGGCCTGGAAGGAATGGTGGGCCCTGGAGAGCAGGCCGGTCTGTGGCTGGGCTGGGGCCTGGGTCTGGGACACAGAGCAGATCTGATTATGAATTTGGGGTCTCTGGTCCATTTTCTGTGGCTGGTCATGTTCAGGCACCTGTATCCTAAGACCGTGAGGCTCTCCCCAGCAGGTCCCTGAGCACCAGAGCCCCCAGCACCAGCCGGGGGGAAGATCCCACTTTTGCCTCCTTAATTAACACTTAGGTGAATGTGACATGTCTATGACCCTGGGCAAATCCTAACCTTTCTATGTCTTGGTTGACCAGGATGCCACTAGCTCCCCAGCTCACCCAACCCCCTGGTGTCTGAGCTAAGACACCAGGGGTTTGGGGAGGGCGAGTGACACAGCACCATTCACGGTCTCAGAGCCGGCCATCCTCCACACCTGCCTCCCCACCACCACAACTCAGCCTCCCCCTCAAACAAGCTAGACATCTGCCCCCTGTTTTACAAGATTGCTTGTGAATTAAACTAGCTAGCAAAGTGCTCTCTGCACACCCGTCATAGACGCAAGGGTGGGGCCATTATTATTAAGCTCCTTCTCTTCCCAGCTGCTAGGGACTGCACCTTTGTGTCCCTCTCAAATTCCTACGTTGAATTCCTAACCCTCGAGGTGATGGCATTTGGAAATGAGGCCTTCGGAAGGTCATCAGGTCATGAAGTTGGCACCCTCATGAGTGGGATGAGTGCCCTTATAAAAAGAGACCAGACAGAGACGATCTCTTTGTCCTGTGAGGGCACAGGGAGAAGGCGGCCGTCTACAAGTCAGAAAAAAAAAAGGCCTTACCAGAAGCCCCCGTGCTGGCACTCTCAACCCAGACTGCCAGCCTCCAGAGCTGTGGGAAGTAGTGTTTGTTATTTCAGCGCCCCCAGCCTCTGTTGTTTATGTTGTCACAGCCTGAGCTGACTGAGACACCAACCTTCAGAACCCAGCCCTCTGCCACAGACAGGAAAGCTGCGCAGGAGGCCAAGGGTACTGGAGGCACAGACGGGGGCCCGTGGGGGCAGGACAGCAGCCTCCCCGAGGCACATGGCTGAGTGCTGAGCTGGGGTAATGAGGCAGGCCTGCCCCAGGGTTGGAGAGTCCAGGACAAGGGGCAAATCAGGTTCCACAAGCCACAGATTTGGATATTTAAAGTCGTAACTCAAGCCAACAAACTGTTAAAGAAAATATATTCTATTCTCCTACCTTGACAGAAGGCACCATCGTAATGCCCTGGAGGGCCAGACTTGAAATGAGAACTCTTACAAAACCACACCAGAGCACAGCCCACCTCCCTTCTCTTCCCTGACTGTGCCCCCCAGCAGAGGACCCTGGCCCACAGCCAAGCCACATCCATGCCACTCCTGCGAACAGCCACTTGTAAGTGGGTCAAGGGGTGGGCACAGAGGCAGAATGGTCCCCTCAGGACATCCTGGGAACGGCCCTGCACAGGCCTTGACAGCAAGCTTAGAGGTGTCTGTGCCAGGAATGCTGGGTACCCAAGTGTGGTCAAGAAAGAGTTGCAAAGAGCCCCCAGACTCCTCACTGTGGGGAGAGGAGCCTTCCGGAGTGGGGGCCAGTGGGGCCCTTCTTTCCTGGGTCTCGGGGCAGTACCCTTAGAAAGACCCAAATGTCTATGCCATGTCCCCTGGAAGTCAGCCTGTGTCAGTGCCCAAGAAAGCCCCCCTCCCTATGGGGGTCAGGGAGGAAAGTCTTGCCCTTGCTTGCCCAGAGCTCATAGTCTGGCTGGGGAAGGAAGCCGCACCCAGGAAAGGGACTTGGGAACATGTATATAGAAACCCAGCAACAGAGGAAGGCAAGCAGGGCACAATGGGGAGGTGAGTAGAGAGGCTGGTCCAGGCTCTGAGCACCCCCAGCCCAGATGCTGCTGTGGGGCTGGACAGCACGGCTGGTAGCAGAGCCCACAGCCACAAGCATGCCGTTCTCCTCCCACCCCTGGCTTGTCAAGGCAGCAGGAATTCTGCTGAAAGTTTCTTTAGTTGAGGAGGGTATCAAAGTCTAGGGCATCTCTGGAAGCACCCTGAGTGGGGTCTCCCTGGCTAAAGGGCTCCCCAGGATGCAACTGTGTTGCCGCCATCACAAGGGGCTGTGGAGACCGGCAATGCTCCTCCTCTGATGAAGGCAACCTTCCCTGTGCTCCTCTTTCAAGCCCTGGGATACCCCCAGTTCCTTGCTTCTGTCATGCCTAAGACACACAGGTGGACTCAGAGTAACACAAATTGGCTCGTATGTCCAGCTGTCTCGGTCTATCTCTACGTGGACACATCCAAAACCTGTTTCCATCTCACAATTGGTGTCGCTGTTCGTGAGGCTGAGCAACAAAAACCCACCAGCCAGCCGTGAGTGAGTCTCTCATCCCTCCCCACATCCCATCAATCCAGGTGGTTTTGGCTCTACTGCCTAAGTGGACATCTCAAAGCCATTTACTTCCCTCCAATCCCAATATGACCCCAATCTAAACACCCGCAAGATGACAGCCCCAACCTCTTGATGAGGCTCCCCGCCCCTCCAAGCCACTCTCAACCAAGCAGCTAGAAAGACCTCTTGGAGACATAAATCAGACCATGTCACTCTCTTACCATAAACCTTCCAATGACTTCCCACTGCACCCATGAATACACTCCAAATGCCAACTGTGGCCCTCGGCATCTCGGCTCCCAACTACCGGCCTCCCTGACTCTGCCCAAAGCCATCTCTGGCCACAGCGGCCTTCCTTCATGTCCTTGAATGCCCCAGGCCAGTTCGTGCTTGCCCCAGGCCCTCAGTACTGGGCTTGCTCTTCCATCTGCCTGCGTGCTGCCTCCAGCTCCTTCTTGTCATCCTGTCTTGGCTCAAAAGCCACTTCCATGGAAAGGAAGGACACTGGATCCCTGTGTGTGACACAGCCAAGGGCTCTCCCTTCCCATTCTCACTGTGACTCTTTGCCCTGATGAATTTCCTTCCTGGAGTTCTCACTATCTGAAATGACATTCACTGACTTGCGTGCTGCTGCACGAGGCAGGGCTCCTCTCTACTTCTCACTTCTGTGTTCCTCCATGCTTAGCACAAGCAGGCATCAAAAATATCTGCTGATTGCCTGAATAAATGCGCGTACATCTAAATGAATGAGTGGGTACCATATGGGAGCTCAAGGAAGCCTCCGGGCATGGCTAGAAAGAGTCCCAGACTGTCACAGGCCACAGTAACTGCTCCTTTGGACAGATCACGCTGGGCCTTAAAGACAGAGCATCGAAGGTGGCATGTTTTCCTGCAATGACCTCCTTTCCTTCTGTATCGCCTTTATCTTTTCATTACTCCTTTTCTTCTAAGATCAGGTCCTTGTCTAATTGTGCCTTTATCGTGATCTCAGCAATGAACACGGCACAGAGCATGTGGTAAGGTTTCAGGAACTGAGAAGGGCTTCGTGATGAAGGTGAAGGCAATGGTGACAGTGACGAGAATGGTGGTCAGCAGGGCTCCTGCTAGTGTAGACAGTGGAAGAACAAAAAGGTACCCGCTCTGGGCAGATGCAGCCCACAGGGAACCTACCCTTGTCCCTGTGGGAAGAACCAAGGTGCCTTCTCCTGCAGGGGACACAGACTTCCGTGTCCTACTGAGAGCATGGTGGTGGTGAAGCCTGGAACTGCGGTGAGGAGGACTGTGGGCACTGGGGTGGTGGGTGCAGGTGGCAGGGCTGGAGAGGTGTGTTTCAGGTGGTTTTTAGACACCACAAAGCTGGAGCGCCAACAACGCACAGTCTGAGCTGCCTGGGAAGAGCTGGTGGGGGCACATCCATTCAGGTTAGGGGGTGCCCTAGATTTGAGGACACTCACCTCACCTGCACCACTCTCCAGCACCTGGGAAGTGGTTGCCGAGAACAAGGCTGGACGTTGCTGGGAGAGGCTGCTAAACACTGGTGTGTCCCCACTGTTGGCTGGGGCCACAGGCCACCGGAGAGTCAGTTGCACCAGGCAAATATTTGCCTTGCTCTTTATATTTCATTAGAACTCCCTCTTACGATGTTGGTTCTGACTGCAGGGGTTGAGCACCTTCATTTCCAGGCCACTACAAGCCTTGCCCGTCAGGCGGTCCAGGCAGCTCACTCTGCCACACATGGAACTTGGGGAAGCCCTGCTCTCACTCCTTCTGCAGTTTCTCAACTGCAGTGCAAGGACAGAGCCACTGCCTTTTCCACCCCGAGCCTCAGTTTCCTCATCTGTGGAATGGGTAATTGCCAGATCTCAGGGCTATCATGGGGGTCAGGTGAGATCATATCCACCACTAGCACATGGTAGGCACTCAGGACATGTTGGTTCCTTTCCTTCCCTCTCTTTCCCAGCCCTCCCAACAAAGAGTTGATTTCTCAGTCCCAAGGAGAGGCCAGAAATTGGAGGTCTGGCTGCTGCTGTTTCCACCAAGGCCTCTTCCTGGGGCCTGATTGAATCCTCTCCTGTGGATTCATTTTCTCCTCATGGAAGAACAACTTCCACCTGTGTCTCAAGAACAAGTGTCTGCGTTGAAGACAGCAACCCCAGGCCTGGCAGAACAGGCTGCTGCATATGCATGCTGGGTGCAGTTTGAAGGCAGCTGCACTGAGGGTCATGCCGGGTCCCATCCTGGGTGCAGGAGACAGGGCCAGTACCCACGCCCCAGGACCTCTCCTTGTGTCATCTCCACTTCTCGCAGATGCCAAGCACCTGATTCTGAGATGAGGCAATCAAGGTCTACAGGATGAGGGGACTCATCAGAGGCCACACAGCAGCCCCAGCTGGCCTTCTGCCTCCAGCCCCTCTTTGGCCACTTCAGGCTGCCAAGGGAGAGGAGAGACTTCTGGGATGGGTCACTGGAGTGCTGAGCCTTGCAGGGTAACGTCCAAAGAAGGGTAACCATGGTTTCTAACAATAGCCTCCATGCCTGGAACAAGCTCACACCTCGGAGGGAGGGAGGAGGCATGGCTGGAGAGGCTCGGGAGGGAGTCTGCTGACCCAGATCGCCCAGGATGGAGGCAAGAGGCTTGCATCCTCCAAGATGGTGGCCCACCTGCGCTGACTCACAAGACTGCCTGACTGCCACCAACACTTAGGAGATCTCCTGGGGGCCTGGTCTGGGCCCGGCTGGGGGAGGCAGTAGAAGCCTGGGGTCAGGAGTCTAGCTTCTTGCAGTGCCAGGCAGCCTGGGGCAAGCTTTCCCCAGTCTGTGGGAGGCAAGCTCCCTAGCCCCAACCGAGGGCATCCTCCTTCACGTTCCGTGAGCTACAACAAGGTCTTCAGAATCAGCTAACATAAACCTTGCCAAGGCAGATGGGAGCTGGGGACTGGGCCCCAGGGAGCCACAGCTTCAGAGAACATCATTATGTGCCTCACAAGTGGGGAAACTGAGGCCCAAAGGAGGAAAGAGACTCATAGAGGGACTTGAAAGAGGAGATTAGGGCAGGGTTTTCTGTACTAAATACTCTCCTCAGCTCTCATGTGGACCTAGGGCTCCAAAGGGTCTTTCTGCTGCTGCCTCTGGGCCAAGCAGAGGTGGGAGAAGCCCCCGGGCTGGAGTGGCCTGCTATGGTCCTGGAGACAGGGTTCCTGGGGCCAGCTGGGAAACCCCAGTCCAATCTCAGGGGTCCAGTGAGAGCCCTAGGCTGGCCAGTGTGCCCGGCAGAAACTAGCTCAAAGCAATTTTCTTCCCAGCTGGTAGGAGAGATAAAGGTTTGTGTGTGGAAGGGTGAGAGTCATCCATCTGGCCTCCTGGGATCTTCTTCCTCCCCACGAGATGGGGCGGCACGTCTAGTTCAGAGGCCTGACTCAAGGCCTCCTGGGGCCTCTGCCTCCCCCAGAGAAAGGCCAGGACCAGCGCCTGACCAGTTCTGGGTGCCCAAGAGGGTGGCCTGGCCAGGGTGGCAGTGGGGACAGGAGCCCTGGGCCTGAGCTCCCAGGATGCATAATGTGGGGACGTGAAAGACAAGCTTAGCTCCAACCCACGACTCACCCTGTCCAGCCACTGGCATCTCTGCCAACTCCTACAAAAGACCACAGCCCTCAGGCCCTGGAGGAGTAAGGTCAGCCCCTGGGAGGCTGAGGCCTGGAGACACGAATGGATGCTGGAGGAGGGAAAGAGCTGGCGTGTCTCTGCTTTTCATGGCAGTCTAGCTGTGGGTCCAAGACATGCAGAAGGTTGGGGGTTTCTCAGGGTCTGAGGGAGCCAACCTGGTCCTACATTTCCACCTGCGACGGAAACCAGGAGACAAGTGTGTCAGAGCATGAGGGGAAACACGCCTCCATCTTTCCTTCACAGCCCCTCAGAGTGGACCCAGCCGCACCCTCCAGAGTCACTGTCCCCTCTCAGCCCTCAGCTCAGACCACCTGCCACATCTCTGCACATCTCTGTCTCACAGGCACCTCCAACTCAACCTGTTGCACAGATCTCCTCCCCTGCCACTGCCCTCCCACTCTCTGCCAACAGTCGTCCTAGTCCTTTGATCCCAGCGCCCACCCAGGCCAGCACAGGTGGGTGCCCGGCAAGCACTTGCTGGACTGAATGAAGTCCAGTCCCCCATGGAGGGGCCCCAGCCATGAAAGGAAACAATCGTAGAATCAAAGTCATTCCCTTTCCATCTGAGAAGGCGGGAAGTGCATGGAACAGGAAGACAGGAGGCCTAGGCCAAAAGCCCTACCACTGGGGCGGCTGGCCTTTCTGATCTTCAGTTTCCTCACTTGACACATGAGGATCATAAATCTTGCCCTGTTTCTCTTGACAGCTAAGTATGGGGAACCAAGGAAATGTTACTAAGACAACTTGGTGGGGAGGGAGGTAGGTGTGTGTGTGTGTGTGTGTGTGTGTGTGTGTGTATAAATATATATATATTATAAATATAAATAACATCTATTTATTTATTTTTTTGAGACGGAGTTTCACTCTTGTTGCCCAGGCTGGAGTACAGTGGTGCGATCTTGGCTCACTCTGCAACCTCTGCCTCCTGGGTTCAAGCAATTCTCTTATTTCAGCCTCCCGAGTAGCTGGGATTACAGGCGCCCACCACCACGCCTGGCTAATTTTTTGTATTTTTAGTAGAGACGGGGTTTCACCACGTTGGCCAGGCTGGTTTTGAACTCCTGGCCTCAAGCAATCCACCCATCTCGGCCTCCCAAAGTGCTAGGATTACAGGCGTGAGCCACCGCGCCCGGCCAGGAGGGACACATATTAAACAGTTCTTCTGCACCAGGCTTCATGCTAAGGCTTTATAAACATCAGGTACAACTTATACCTATTTTGCAGATAAAGAGACTGAGGCACAGAGAGGCAAAGTGGACCCAAAGCTACATGCTAGGCAGTGTGGAGCCGGGATTTTAACTTGGGTCTTAAATGCGCCATTCCACTACACCGGGGTGGGACAGCCCACACTATGTGCTGGGGGCCAAGAGGGCTAGCTGGATTCTGTCCCAGTTCTACCAGAGGTCTAACTGCATGACCTTGGGAGAGTCACGGCCCCTCTCTGTCAGCATAAGTAATGTGAATTTTCCAAGCCAAAGAGAATTTCTGCCATGGAGGGACGCTGCCAAACTGGTGCACACACTTCTCCTATGGCACATGCGTTCATGACGCCTCTGACCATCAGCCATAGGTGCTGCCAGTCGAGGCCCAGGCTGCTGCTGGGGGTGAGCATGGGGGGCTTCATGTCCTGAACATGGGAACTTCTGCCAGGCAAGCAGGGGGTCCTGGAGGCTGGGAAGTCAGCCACGCGGCACAGGGATGGAGCGGGAAATGGCCCTCCATGGAAGCTTGTCCCGCCCACAGGTGGCAGGGATCCAAGGTGGGCTGTCTCACAGAGAGAGTAGGCCCTCCAGGCTGGCCTGCCTGCCGCTGCTGCCAAGTTGTGTAACTTGGGTGGGTGGCAGACACAGACCGAAGCACTTGGCAAGGTCAGCTGCTCTTCCTCCCAGCAAAGCCCTTAGCTCCTCTGCTGCAGATGACTGCTTCAGCCCATGGATGAGTGAGGTTTGTTCACAATGCAGTTGGTCCGCCCAGTTCTTTTTCAATGTTTTATTTTCCTCCTGTAGCCAGTGTTCACAGCCCCTAGGATCCCTTTACAGTTTCTGAGCACAAGACTCCAACTTGCCCGCGTGATTTCACTCTCTACAGCCAGCGGCCGCACCTTTTGTCAGAGGCCTGCCCGGGCTGCTGGAAACTGCTTTGGCTGTGAGTGCTGAGGGCTGGCAGTGCCTTGAACCAATGACTGACAGGTAAGGGGATATAAACATTCCAACTCCCTTGCCCTGACTGGGACAACTCCAAGGTGTGGCGCACACTATCCTCAGATCCCATAGGGCTGAGGCAAACAGCCATCCACAGGACACCCTCCAATGTCCAACCATTGCTTGGCTTCCTGCCTTTCCCTGTCCCTCTCCCCAGTCCCCTTACCAGATTTTCCTGGGAATGCATCCCCAAAACATCCCTTTCATGCAAATCTTTGTCTCAGGTTCTGCTCAGGAAGAACCCAAACTAAGAGAGTTGCCAACAAAATTTGTATAAAAATCCAGATTTCCATTTCTCATAATGCTATAGATCTAGCAACCCTGGGCCCATTCCCACTTGACAAAAATTAGCTGGAGCTGCATAGAGGCCACCCAATATAACGGAGATGTTCTCTAGTTCTTCTCATCCACCACACTGTCTACTGTCCCCCAACTGGCCCTTTTCACCCATCCCTATTCCCTGCCTGTCCCCAACAAGTTTATGGGTTTACAAACCCTACAACATAACGCAGTGGTTAATAATGTGGGCTCTAGAGGTGATCGGCTTAAGTTCACATTCCAGGTTCACAAATTACTAATCATGCAACCTTGTATAAGTCACTTAATATTTCTGTCTGTTTCTTCAGGTGAAAAATGAGTATATACATGTACCTATATGGTTCCCTCTATAGCTGTTACACACTTCATTGAGATACTGCATGTAAAGTATCCAGCACATGATAAGAGGTCAAGAACTTACTAGTATTTGTCCTCTTGGAGCAGGTGTGCCTGCCACAATCTGACAGCCTATGTTCAATTATCTGAGGTTCCCTGCCAGTTCCTCACTCCCTCTGTGGGGAGTGGCCTTTCCCCCAAGAGGTTTGCACTGACCACTTACCTCTTCCCACTGGTGAATATATCGAATGAGGCGGGAGAGGCGTAACAGGCGTAAGAGGCTGAGGATCTTCGTGAAGCGGACAATGCGCAGGGCCCGGGCAGTCTTGTAGACCTCCGAGTCGATGCGTGTCTCCACAATGAGGAAGATGTAGTCCACGGGGATGGAGGAAATGAAATCTACCATGAACCAGCTTTTCAGGTACTTCATTTTAATCCGCTGCGGGTCCAGGATGATCTCTGTGTTGTCCTCCACCACGATCCCTGTGCGGAAGTTGAGGACCAAGTCGATGAGGAAGAATGTGTCTGACACCACATTGAAGACAATCCAGGGTGTGGTGTTCTCATCCTTGAAGAAGGTGATGCCCACAGGAATGATAATCAGGTTTCCCACCATCAGCAGCAGCATGGTCAGGTCCCAGTAAAATCTGCCCAGAGACACAGGGGTCAGTCGCCAGGAAGAGAGAGAGGACAAGTTACAGACTAAGGGAGGAAGATCTGAGGGACAGCATCTGGGACAGAGAAGTCTTGGGAGGTTCTGAGACAGGAAGACAGGCACATGGGTACCAGGGCAAGATGTGGAGATTGGCACAGGGAATGACACAATAAGAGGCTCTTCATTCACTAAGGATACCCTCCGTGCTGCCCTTCTGTGAGTTTCCCCGAGCCCCAACAACAAGCTTCCTCCTCCCATCCCCAGCCCGCAGTAAGAGTCAGGCTGAAAAGCAAATCAGTGACACTCAGAGAGAAGCAAGAGGCTGTTTTAGCAAAAGGAGCAGCTCACCCCACACCACCCCAGGCTCAGGCTAGGCTGCCCCATCCTCCCTGAGGGTCAGCTGTGGCTTGAGATGGGCTGTCAGGGAGACATTCCACAGACCATGACCAAAGAGCAGGGGAGGTACAGACATGACTCAGGTGCCTGGAAGGCAGGAGGCCCAGGCTCCGGCCCCAGCTTTGTCATCAACATGCTATGTGACATCCGGAAGGGCCTCCCTATTCTGGGCCTCAGTTTCCTCACTGTGTAATGAGTCCTATCATTCTGATCTGGCCCTCTCCCAAACTGGTTCTCTGGCATCCACCTTTAGTCCATCCCCTATAATCAGAAAATGTCTGACCATCTCCTTCCCTCAGAGGTTTGCATCCTAACATGGGGGTGTGGAGGGGGAGAGATAGCTTCAAAACAAGAATAATTAATGGGGGGATTTCAGGCACCAGTGAGATACCACTCAATGTGATAGAAAGAGACCAGCCCAGGGCTTCCAGAATCATTTCTCCTAAGGCCTCAGGCACCTTCAAGTCGTTTGTAGAGGGAGCCTCAGGGCAAAGCCTTGGAGAAGTTGAGCAGCATGAGGAGGAGGCACAACACCAACTCACAGGTCTGTGGTGGGTTTCTCCCAACTCACCAAGCAGGGGGCCTTCTGGAGTGTGGAAACAACACAGGTGGCCAAGACCCCAATCCAGAAGGCATGGCCAGTTATTCCCAGGGACCCTGCCCAAGCACCAGCCATCCCAGGGCTGGCCCCAAGACCAAAAACTTGCACTGCAGAGCTGTTTCCCTCTGCTATTAATTTAGACATTTACACAATAACAGATAAAGGTATTAAGTGAGGCAGAAATAAGCATGTCTTCTCCCAGGAGAAATAACCTTTCCACCATCTTTGATTCTTTACTGCAGGGAAGCCAGGAGGAAGGAAGTGGGAAAGAAAGAGATAAGCTTTCCTCGAGTCTTCAGAGGGTCTCACTGTAAACCAAAGTGCCCCTGCCTGCAGAGTTCCAGGTTGCAAAGAAATTACTTCATAGCAAATTGTTTGTTTGTTTGCCAGACTCAAAATGGGGCTGTGATTCAAGGAGAGGGTAGGGCCTGTTTTGCTGAAGGTGGGTGAGATGGCTGTCCTACATCACACTGTGTGGCAAAGGGCAGTTTCCAGAGAGTCAGCTTTCTGCAGCTCCTTTGAAAGCCAAGCTCTTCAGGGCCTCAAGACAGGGCCTTATGGGGGATAAGGCCGGATGCCAAGAGGCCAACTTCAGCTCCTCTCTACCCCATGACCCACCACTCCTTCCTGTGGCCCCAGTACCCATATGCCAGCTGAGAGAACCCAACTAAGGCCTGAGGACCCATCCTCAGCTTCACACTTTACTACAAAGAATGCAGCACACCTGCTAATGAGTCATGGGCCCCAGGAGGATGGTTTCAGCATCTATGGGGTGCCCTAGAGCCGTGCATGCTCTACCCAGCCACATAGACCTCACTCAAAGACAGCTGTGTACACTCATTAGATGCCACACGCAGGTATCCCCATTCACACACACAGTGCACAAACACCCCTCTATACACTCTGCTGTCATCCCTCTTCATTTAATCTCCTGGGAAAAACAAAAGAAAACAAATTTTTTAACTGTGCATAGAAAGGCCACTGAGGGCTATGTGGCCCTCTGTACATAAAGCTAATAATACACCCAGGCTGGAGGAGTTTCTAAAATTAACAGAGCGGGTGCAAGGCGGCTGGGAATGCTGACTCGGGCGGGCCTGCCACTCCAACGGGTTTCTACACTCTCCCCAGCTCTAGTTCCCTCAATTACAGTCCAAATTTGAGAGAGTAATTAACAGGAGAATGTTTGCATTTTGTGGTCTTCATAAAACCAAATTGCATAAGGCAAAAACACCCATTTCCTCGCACTCTGACTAATGGTTTCAATCTTGAGCTTCCAGATGCTCAGGGATATTTCCAGCACTCGATCTGGGCTGGGGTCGGGATCCTGGATCATTCTTTCCCACAAACCACTACCCTGGAACATCACAGAGCTGCTGGAGAGACAGTATAATATGGTGGGAGGAGGGATGGGCCTGAAGTCAGGGTTCGATTCCTGCTCCATGGTTTACTAGCAAGTCACTTTACCATGCCACACCTCAGTTTTGTTATCTGCTCAATGAGGATAACCACAGTACCTGACTAGCAGCACTGTCATAAGGAGGAAATCAATTGATTTCTGTCAAATGCTCTGACCTATGCCCAGCTACATTATGAAATGAGTAAATAAATCATCAAAATCAATAAATTTGCAGGAAAGAGGTAAGAGGGAGGATCAAATCTCCCAGAGAAGAGCCAAAGCAAAACATCTGCTGGGAGTGGGATCACAGAGGAGCCTGTAATAGACCCAGGAAAGCCAGTAGCAGGAGGTCCCTCCAGCAATCAGATGACAGACCTATTTGCCTCAGTACACAGATGCCCTCACCTCCAGAGACTCATGGTCTGGTCAGAGCGCAAGGCTTGGATAGAAGGCAATTGGCAATGGTGTAAGAAACCATCCCTATGAGCCCAGGTATCCGTAAAAAGCCCAGGTATCCATAAAAATGGGATCCCGGTGGCCTAGAAGGGTGAGGCCGGGAAACTGCTTCTGGAGGAGGTGAGAGGAGTTGGGTTTTGGGAACTGCCGTTGGCTTCTGGACTACCTTTCCTTACTCCTTGCCAGATGCTTGCACAGGTCTCCGAAAGCCAGGCCCTGCCAGAGCTAGATATGACGTTCAGCACCACGGACAGCGCCCAGCACACCTGCCAGCCCCGTTCAGTGGGTTTAGCCAGGGGAAGGTGGCAACAGCTTCTACACTGGCATCCTCAGCTTGCTGGCCCCTCTTCATTTCCAATCCTGCTGGTCGAAGCATCTCAAGTGATGCCTTAATATCTCTGAGCATTTTTACTGGGGCTCCTTGGTGACTGAAAAGTCTTTATTCATAAAGACCCCAAAACACTTCACATGTATAGAGAACTTACTTGGGTTTTCCATGCATTACTTCATTTATCCCTCACACTAGCACTGTGGCTGCTGTTATTTTACAGATGATGATCTTGAGGCTGACAGAGAAGTGTCTGCCCTAGACTACACAGCTAGTGAGGGACAGACACAAGATTAGGAGAAGTCTCTGGGACTCCAGAGTTTGAGTTCTTGGGGTTGTGGGTACCCTAGAGGGATGTGGGAGGCAGATATGCCTTTCTGACACCTTTACATCACAGTGGAAAGGCAGCCTACCACAGCAGGTGTGGCCCCTGCCCCAGAGAAAGAAGAGAAGACTGCAAAGAGGATTTGGGGGGCCCATGCTCCTGATGCTAGGGCTGTCTGAGGTAGAGGAAGTAGCACACCTCTCAAGTGCTGAAGGCACCCTGGCCATCAGCAATCACTCGGTCACGGTCACACATGTCCTATAGAAGGGAAAACGAAGGCTCACAAAGGAAGGAAGAGTAACATTTCCGAAGCCTCAAGCTGGATGCCCAATGCTCCCTTATCATCTGGCCACCCCGAGAATCACTCATGAATAAATCTCACAATCCAGGGTGTGAATCCAGGGTGGTGGGTGTAATGCCCTGACAGGAAAGCAAGGGGCAGTCAGGCTCAGATATCCTGGAGTTGGCACGTGCCTGAATTAGGGGCCCTAGTCTCTCCAAATCCAGAGGATCCTCCTCCAGCCCAGTGCCCTTTAAGTTAACAGGAGTCCTGGCCAGCAAGACACCAACTGGGCTCTGGGAGCCCCAGCAGCCCCAGGCTTCCAGACCTGTCTTATCTCAATCCTTACTTCCTACCTGGACCAATGGGTCCACCCAGGCAGGCAGGTGGCCTCTCAGCAGGAAGAGGCAACTTATAGGCTGACACTGGAGGGGCAGGTCCCATATGCAGAAAGAATGGGGGATGGTAAAAAGCCAAGCAGCCCATTACACCGATATCTGGAAATTTCATGTTTTGGTGTGAGAGGAAGTTCATAGCCTCAAGGGAGCTGAGGAAGACATGACAGGAGGTGGCTGATACTGAACTCGGGGACTCAAGGACAAGACTAAGGGCCCTCTCCTTCCCTGGAGGCCAAAGAGGATGGGAAGGGTGACAGAATGAAAGTAGGAAAAGTGGAGGTCCCAGCTAGGGATGACCTCCTTCAGCCTCTTCTTGTCCACACACACCCACGCTTGCCTTTGAGGACATATGCACATATATACACGCATGCACATGTGCACATGCACAGACACGAACATGCGTGCACACACGCACACACACATGCACACCCACATGCAATACCATGAATACATTTTTTGTAAACACGCTCTTGCCTTTTGCCCTCCTACATGCATCCATTTTTACACATGCATACTTTCTTGCATACATTTTGGCACAAATGATATCCACTGGGAATCCTGTCAGCTGGAAGAAGAATGTCATTGTTTTGTCATTAAAATATTTTCCACCTTTCAAGCTAGCTCTTCAACTCTGACCACTGAAGCCTCTGCACAGCCTGAGTCTTGGTTTTAGCTCCTAAAACACCATGGGTTCATGGAGGACAGGGACCTTGTCTCAGACACCCATGTCCCTGCAGTGCTGACTGTAGCCCGTGGGTCTCCACGCTTTCTCCCAGGTGAGCAGCACACTCAGTGCCCCATCTGTTACCCTCTCCAACTTTGCAGACAGCTCCCACTCAGTGCCACTCCCAGCACCAGACCTGCATTCTTACCTGCCTGCAAAATGCATCCACCTGGAGGGCCTGCTGTCTCCTACAGCCAACGACTCCAGAGCTGAACTCAGCATCATCCTCCTCAAAGCTGAATGGCACAGTTTGCATTTCAATAATCTAGGCTCAAAACCTCCCAGCCATCCCTTACTGCTGCCTCTTACCTCCCACCCACCCCTACAGCAACACCCCCAGCAGTCACCATGTCTAGTCTAGCTGCTTCCATGATGGCTTCTGCATCTGTCTCTCAGCTGGACCCTTGCCCCACCTCCTTCCTGGTCTCCAGCCTCCATTCTCATTCTCTCCAACTCATATGCCCTCTGGGTTATCTTTCCCATTCCCTTGGTTTTCCAGACCCAGCAAAGATCCTGACACTGAAAACAGTGAGAATGGAGGAGGATGGCAGTCAATACTTTTTGGACACTTACCATTTGCCAGGCACTAATCTGAGTACCTTATCTGGACTACTTTATTTAATCTTCATTAAAAAAAAACCCCTATGAGGTAGATACTATGATTATGCCCATTTTACAGATGAGGAGACTGAGGTACAAGGAGTTGAGAGATTTGCCATATATGGTGGGCCAAGTATTCAAACCCAAAGAGTCTGACTCCAGAGGCCTGCTTTCTAACCACTCCACAGAAATATCAATCTGGCTGGTGGTATTTTATTACTCCCAAACTCTGTCCCTCCCCAAGCTCCTTGTCTCCCTCCCAGCTCTCTCTCCTGTGCTCTCTTCCATGGCACCTGCATCCTTAACTTCTTCACTCCCAGACCCCACTGCCTCCCCGCTTAAGTGAACCCTAGTTGTGTCCTAAGGACATCACTCTTCCAAATCCCTCATGCCTCAGAATCAGGGGTGAGTCAGCATCCTCCCCTCTCCCTACTGCTGCTACCTCCTGCCTGTGGCAGAAACGTCTACAAGATCTTTTGGGTATCCTTGTCATTTGCTGGCCATCCTTCCAGCACCCATCTGCCATCCTCAAGGACTTTGGCAATGCTGGCACCTGGTTCACAACCTCCCGTTCCACTCCAAATCCTGTGATTGTCCTGGGTGACTTCTACTCCATATCATTGACCCAGACAACACCTTGGCCTCTTGGTAGCTTGCCACCCTGACTCTAACAATCCCACCTCAATGGTCCATTCCAAAGCACACACTTGACCACGTCACCACCTCCGGTGCTGCATCTCTGCAGTCCTCTTGTACACCCTGCCCTTCTTTCCTGCCGGCTCTTCTATTCAGTTGTGCTGCACCTGTTTTTCAGAGTCCTGGGAATATCCAGTCTGCTGACTCCTCTGATCCTCTCATCAGAACCCTCCTACATCCTCCCAACCACCCTTCACCCCAGACACGATGGTCCAGCTCATTCGCCTCTCTAAAACCAACGCCTTTAACTCCCATGCCCCTCCTCCTGGCACCGTCATGAAATCCCAGCCCCAGGCAAGGACCACCATCAACCCTTTTCATGTTCACATGGGAGCTGTGTAGAGAATCCCACAACCTCAGACCAGTCCTACTAAATATCCAAGTTTCTTAGCTCCTCATGCCTCAATGTCATCATCATGGCCTCATTCACAGCCCTCATCTCTGTCCCCTGATCCTTCCAGGAGAACCTAGTAAACTTTCCTGCCCATTCCCCATAGCTGCTATTTCAAATTAATTCCTCTCTCCTCAAAGCTCTGAAACCACCACTTTTTCTCTCAGAGTCAGCAGATAACACCACTTTCTACGTCACAGAGAAAAGCAAAGCCGCCAGTGTCCCCTTCCTCTTTCTGCCACCTTGAAGCATCTCCCCAATCCCATCTCCTCTTCCCAGTCACAGGGGAATCAGCGGCTCTTCTACCTGCCCTTTTGATACCATCCCCATTTTCCTCCCCAGGGACCTTAATCTACAGAAGATTCCCTCTCTCTCTTCCATCTGTCTCTCTCCACTGATCCTTTCCCATCAGCTTTTCCTTTTAAGCTCTCTAAACTTAAAAAAAAATCCCTCCCTGAACCCCTGCTGTCTTATCTCTTACCAAGCTCCTTGAAGGAGGTGTCACCGTCCCCACACTCTCGCTTTCGTGCCCCTCACCCAGCGCTCCTCTCCACTCCACTTGATCTTAGCCAAAAGGCCGAGAAGCGATGCTGCTCTCCACTCCTCAGCACGTCACCAATATGCATCCTGCTGCTAAATCCAATGGTCACTTTCCAGTCCATTTCCTCCCTGGCCTTTAGCATCATCTGGTCCTGTAGACCATTCTTACCTGCAGACAGTCTCCTCCTTGGCTTCCAAGGTGGCCCACTCCACTGACTTTTCTCTGTTCTCACTGCCTCTCCTTTCCCTTCCCTTGAACGGCCTCCTTTCCCTCGGCATGACCTTTCCATGTTTTTGCTCCTTGGGGCCCTCATCTCTTCCCGCTCTGTGCACTCTTTCCAGGTGATTTCACTGACTCCCATGGCCTTGTTATTCTGCTGCCTTGTAAACCATACCCCTCTCTTGAACTGTAAACCCATGCATCCACTTGCTGACTACATGTCTACAACTGGATGTCCCACGGGAACCTCACCCTTGCCATATTCAGACAGAGCTTCACAGCTTCCTCCACACTCTTGTGCTCCCAGAAAATGGTACCACCAGGCATCCAAAAGTATATCCCAGAAACCTCAGAGCTATCCTCAACTCTTCTATCTCCCTTGCCTTCCAACACTTCATCACACTGGATCCAACGTGTCCCATCAACCCACCATGGGGACTACTCCAACAGCTTCCCAGCTGAGCTCCTGGCCAGTCCAGGACCTCACATACCTCAGGGTCAGGGCTGGGGCCAGCACCCTCCTCCAATCGACTCTCCACACTTTGCTAAGCCCCAAATCCTTCTGCGCTTCCCATCACCTCTTAAGTGAAATCCAAATTCCTCACTGTTGTCCCCAAGGCCTTTCCTGGCCTGGACTCTGCCTCCTTCTCCTGCCTTGATGCTCCCCATTCCTCTCCTTGCACACTCTGCTGCAGACAGACTCAGCAGCCTTCGGTGTCCCCAACGCATGGTGCTTTCTTTGCCTCTGGGCTTTCCCACATGCTGTCATCTCTGCCTGGAACTCTTCTCCCCACTTGTACCCACCTACCCCCCTTGGTTCACAGGAGGCATCACTTCTCCTGGGAAGCCTTCTTTGTATCCTAGGAAATCTGGTTAACTGCCCCTCACAGGCGCTGCCCTGGCATAGTACTTATCATGTTATAAGAAACTGTGTGTGTGACAGTCTAACTTGCCATCACTGACTCTCTGAAGTCGGCGCAGTACCTTTTATACGGTAGGTCCTCATAAATACGTGAATGGGTGGAAACATACGAATGAGTGGATGGGGGATGGGTGAACAGATGAGTGCATGCCATGCATGCCTCAGGAGTGCGTGCCAAAGGCTGAGTGGCAGGGAGCCCAGCAGAAGCCACATGATGCGGGCAGCCCTCAGAAACAGACTCCTTCCCACCAGGCTTCCACAAGCCTCCGACAATCAGGGAAGAACTTAGCACATCCAAACCCCCAAGACTCACAGCAACAGCCCTCGGCAGGTGGTCCCACCCAGTGCTGAGGATCATGGTGGAAAAGTGACAGAAAAAGAGCGGAGACATTGAAAGTGGGGGAGAAGGCAGGTGAACAGACATGGGACAGAAGAAACAGGGGGCCTGGGGTCTCTGACAGGATGGGATGAGAGAGAGCTGGTCGGGGGACCTTGTGGCTAAAGACTGCCAACCAGGGCCCTGACTGTGTTTCCAGCCTGAGCTGTGCAGGCGGTGGGAGCAGAACCAACCACCCATAATAAGCCTCTCATTATGGGCACACCCCCTTGGCCCTCCTCTACCCCACCTCCACCACAGGGGATTTTAGAAGTTCTCCCTTCTTCCCAAATAGGCCTAGCAGTGAGACTCAGGAGCCCTGAGGAGGGGATGAAGGAGGCAACTCCACTGCTCTCCCGGAATCCCCTCCATTCCCCAACCAGACAGACCCAGGAGGAGTCTTAGGGCTTCCCCTACTGTGAGCTCCCCAAGGGCAGAAATGATTTCTCTTCCTTTTCCAAGATGGGAACACACAGTTGGGCAAGGGATGGGGAGGAATCTCAGTAACATTATCTTATTGTTAAATGGATGGATGGACAGATGGATGGATGGATGGATGGATGGATGGATGGATGGATGGATGGACGGACGGACGGGAGACTGTTGCCAGAAGAAGAAAAGACTGCCAAAGATAAAACAAAAAAAGAATTCACTAAATCATTAACATTGATGATTTCTAAGGGTGGGAATATATCGTGACTCTGAGTTTCTCCATTTCACCTTTCTACATTTTCCACCTTCCCCAAAACAGGCAGATGTTACCTTTATAATCAGAAACATTCATCTACCTTTAAACAATGGCCAGCGCCCTGTGCTGTAAGGGGTCCTCTAACATGTGTCAGGGGAAAGACACGATCCTGGTCCCCAGATGGCTCCTAAGTGGTCAGCAGAAATATGTGGCAAAGTCATTGCCGTGCCCGGGAGGTCAGGATGAGAAGATGTTTTGGAGATCAATGATGAAGGTGGAGAGAGGGTGGTTGTCTGAAGAGCAGGTGTAATAGGCAAAGGAGGACAGCTTAACATCACACGCATGTCAGTCCATGACACAGACACGTGACACGCATGAGGATGCCTTTCCTGCCTCCCCTCCTCACACCTTGATAACTGTCTGAAAGCACCTATTACTCCCCCTCCACACCCCCTATCTGTCTAGCTCCTCTTTACCATTCTCTGAGGCAGAGCCACTGTCACCACCTTCACCATCCCATACCCTAGAAGGAGCTGCCTCTCTGGTGGTGGGGGAGTGTTTTGTCCCAGGGTGAGCAGGAGTCCTCCCTGCCTGTGTCCTGGGGCTGGCATCTTAGCCTCCCCCTGTACCCTCAGGGTTGAAATCACCTCCCACAGCCTTCTTGAGCCAGGCTGGGTGCTCAGCTCAGGTCTCTGGAGGGAAATATAGCCCCACCCACTGCCCAACCTTCCTGCCCAACCTCCCCTCACTGTTGTTCTTCCCTGACCCCAGGGTCTCCCCACCACAATAGATAAATTGCTGTCTTCCTCCCACCCCCGCCTGGCCACTAGGGCTCTATTTTTAACCCACCTCAAAAACTCTGACTCAGAATCACAGGGCTCCCAGGTAAGCTGCTCCCTTGCCTGCCTAGGGCTGCCTCAGACACAGTCCGATTTAGAGCCAAGGGCATCTGGGGCTTGGTTTACAGGCGGGTTGTTTGGATTTGGGTGTACATTTATTTTCCAATTTTTCTATGTTTATCAATATTTGAGGAACAAAGTTTGTTTCGTTTTGTTTTTCTTAAAACCCAATGATGACCCTTTACCCCTGCCTCTTCTAAGGTACCTCCCCATCCTGGGCTGAGGTCCTGCCTGTCATGATGCAATGAGAGCTGGCCTCAGCCTCTCCCCAAGAAGGTGAGCTGTGTGAGGGCAACAGCTAACCCAGTCTTCTCTTCTTGGCCTGTGATCCTTCAGCCATACAGCACGGCGCCCCTCACACAGGAATGTGCACACACATCACCTGGGGACTTTCTGAGCTGCAGACCTGGTGGACTTCAGTCGGCTGTGGGGTGGGGCCAACATCTGCACTGTTAACAAGCACCCAGGTGATGCTGAGACTGCTGGTGCAGGGACCACATTTCTGTGTGGCCAGGCTATTGTAGATGTACGGTGGCTAGGTGCTCTGCTGTGAGGCCTTGGGCAAATCACTTAACCTCTCTGAGCCTGTTTTCTAATGTGCAGGATGAGAACATTAATCCCCACCTCACAGGAGTCTAGGAAGACCAAATGAGATAATATTTACAATATGCTATATGGCATAAATACTCAATTCAAGTGGGCCATTATCCCCATCATCATCATCCCCATCATCATCATCATCATCATCATTCTATGGCCATTAAGATGCAGGTCCTGGCCTGAGAGCTAGGAGGATCCTGAGGGACACAAATGGTCCCACCTCAAGAAGCCCTCAATATAGAGGATGGACAGACCCACCCCACAGCGGAGCTGAAAATCCAGGCCAGCTCCATGGGCAGATGGGGCCATGAGCCAAGGGAAGGGAGTAAGAGGGTTGATGCAGAATCTCTGACTCTGTATCCCTCAGGCTGGGGATGGCCAGAGGGGAGGAGAAATTCAGCCAGGCTTGCTCCAGAAAGGAGCAGGGGGCAGCATGCCCTGTTGGGTACTAAAGCCTCAAAGAGGATGCAGGCGCCCAAGTAGGTCCGCTGGTCAGGAGACAGCACTGTGGCTAGAGGCCAGGGGTTACAGGAAGGAGGCCCATGCTATGCGATGGAAGGTGTCTGGGTCAGGGGCCTGAGATTCTCAAGTTCTAGTCCCGTCCCTGTCTCTAACTTGCTATGTGACCTTGAATAAGTCCCTTCCTCTCACTGTCTCTTCCTCAGTTTCCCCATTGGCACAACACGAGGATGGAGCTAGACATCTCTAAAGATATGCTGAGTTCCATGAATCTCTGCAGTGCAGAGGCTAAAGAGGTCAGCCAAGGGCAGCTGGCCAGATTGACAGCTCACTCACGGAAGAACGCGCACCTCAGGGAACCCTGACACCTCAGCTCCCAGCTCTGAAGAGAATGTGGAAGACATCCTGAACGCCAGCTTGAGAACTCAGGGCTCTTCCAGGGTACATGAGGGGCTGGGAAAGTTATAGAGGAAGAGAATTCCTTGAGAAAGGGACTGCAACCGCACCTTCTCAACAGCACAGTGAGAACAGGCCTGGGCAAAAGAAACACTTTGAGATGAAAACCCATTGTTTATCTGATGGGCTAATTCCTCCTCTGCAGACCCTATGTTGCATATGCAGAAACACACCAGTGAATATGTACATGCGCACACACACACACACACACACCGCCAAACTGCACAGCAGGGGACATCTGCTTCACAGTGCTCCAAGTTGCCCAGATGCATGTTCCCTCAGGCCAGGGCCTAACCTCTCTGTGCTTCACCCAGTGGACAAGACCACTGGGGAAGATGGGGGAGGTAACAAGCAGTTGGAGAACCTCTCAGTCAAGCTTACAAGAATCAAAGAAGGCTCCAACACCACTCCCCCAGGAACCTTCTGTCCTCCCACTCAGGAGATTGGAGCAAAAATAGAACATTGTTGTGGAGTAGCACGGGAGCACACCCTCTGGGGAAATTAGGTGGGAGAGCTCACCTGCTCACACAGGAAGGCACTGCCAGCAGCGGGAGGAAACAGGCTTGAGGGGCAACATGAAGCACTGGAAATGGATTTGGGGCAGAACGTCTTTGTTTTTTGCTTTTTTTTTTTTTTTGAGATAGGGTCTCACTCTGTAGCCCAGGCTGGAGTGTGGTGGTGCAATCTTGGCTCACTGCAGCCTCGACCTCCCTGGGCTCAAGCCACGCTCCTGCTTGAGTCTCTGGAGTGGCTGGGACTACAGGCACACACTACCATGCCCAGCTAATTTTTCTTTCTTTTCTTTTCTTTTTTTTTTTTTTTTTTTGTAGAGGTAGGGTCTCTCCATGTTGCCCAGGCTGGTCTTTAACTCCTGGGCTCGAGTGATCCTCCTGCCTCAGCCTCCAAAAATGCTGGGATTACAGGAGTGAGCCACAGTGCCTGACCCGGGGCAGAACTTCTTAAGGCAGGCAGCATTGGTCATAGAAGGGGCTAACAAGGAGGCCATAGGAAGGCTTCCCTATAAAGAGTAGCTAAATACTGACTCTGCAAGGGTCTACACCACCCCTTTTTGATGGGATGGAGCTTGGGGCCAAACAACAAGGATTCTCTGGGGCATCTGGGGACACAGAGCTGGAGGGAACGGGCTGCCTTCTCTCCAGGAAAACACAGTCTAACAAGGAAGATGAGTGGGGCCATGTTCTCTGAGGTCCCTTCTGGCCTCAGAATTTTATGATTTTGACTCCTCACAACCCACAAGGAAAAAAAAGGTATAAAAGCTCCCTGGAGAGGGAGGCCTATTACCAATGGGGTTGGATATTGTGCTAAGAAGGCAGGATTTTACCCCAAGCTCTGGGGAGCCACCGTAGGACTAAGGCAAATGCAGAGCAATCAGAGAACTGCAGGCTGTTAGTGCAGATGGGGGCTTGGGGATGCCCAGCTCATTGGCTCCCAAAGTGATGGAGGCAGAATCACCTGAGTGCTTCCTGAAACTCTACCTGCCCGGCCTCACCCAGGGAGCCCAAACATCCATGATCACATAAGCACCCAGATGACTCTTCAGCGGCTGCCAATTCAGGCTTTGGGATCTTGCTAACACCCAACCCCTCTCTGGTCCCATTTTCAGAGGAGGAAAGCAAGACTCAGAGAGGTGAGGCCTCAGTTAAGTCCACACAGCTGGGCAGCACAGAGCCAAGTCTTCTACTGGTAGGATTCACAGGCTTGTCCCCTAGACTCTGTCCCCAGGAGCTACAGAGCAACCCAACAGGATGATGATGCCCCAGAGCCTCTGGGACACGTTGAACGGCTTTTCCTGTTTCCTTCCTCTGCCAATCCCAGAGTAGATGATCCCGCTGGCCTGTCCCACAGGGCCCCTCCACCCACAGTCATCTGGTGTGCCCTGCAGTCTGCATGGGTCCTCACACTCTGAGCTCTTCTGAGGCCAGGTCTGAGCTTCCAGGAGGGGACTGCTCCCTAGGAGGGGAGGCTGGGAGGAGAGCGTGGTTGAGGCCCTTTCCCGGATGGCATTTCAGTTCATTTTCATTAAGCTCCTGCTGCATCACTTCCCGGGAAGGATGCCCCGGAAACAAAGAAAAGAAAGCCTGGCCTCCATCCACGGAGGCCATGACCTAATGGAGGGAGGGCCTTCAAGAGGCCTCACCAATATGACACAACGTGCCAGGAAGACCCCCAGCCCCGCTCCCCAGGACAAGGGCCGACAAAGCCTCCACAAAACAAGGCCCCTAGGTAAGAGATCTTCCACGTGTCCCTGGCCCCCAGGGACTGCAGAACTCTAGGATCATGACTGGCTGGACCTCGGTGACAGAGCCAGAAAGAGGGAGGGAGATTCTCAAAAGCTCTACTGGTCGGCAGCACTGTCCCTGCCCTGCTGGCTCTATTTGTGCTAATGGGGTCAGGATTCAGGGCTCAATACCTATTTGGCCAATTAGCTCTGCTCTCTTCAGCCTCATACTGAGGCCCGACCCTGGACACTGAGAGAAGAGAGGAGCTTGCTGAGGTCACCCAGCAGAACAGGATGAGGGTCAGGAGGGGAAGCTGAGGGTGGGAGAGGTGGGCAGTTCTGGGCAGGCTGGCTCAAGATAGAGGACCCAGGGCTCTGGGGCGGGCCGGCCCCCACACTGCAGGAAGCCAGGCCCCAGGGGCAGTCTCCCCTGCTGGACCAAGTTTCTTCTAAAAGGTGCTAATGGCATGAACGGGACCTGTGGACCTGAGGGTCTTTCCTGTCTTTGGGGAAAGGAACAAGTGCCCTCACATCCTCTGAAGATACTGGAGGTGGGAGAAGCCCATGGCTGACTTTGGCATACAGTGGCTGGGGACTCACATTAATCATTAACAGGGGCTGCTCTAGCCTCCAACGGGGAACTGCAGGGTAATTACTTCTGGGCTCCAGGCCACACGCTCAGTGACATTATTGCAGGCAACACCTGCCTTCTGGGCCTAGTAAGGCAGGAGAAGCGAGTCTTCTCAAAGGCTGTGCACCTAGGACCAGGGTGCACACATACACACAGGCAAACACACCACACGTACTCAGATGGCAGCACAGGCAGCCCGCTCAGAGTCCTCAAGGGTGAAGGGCAGGGACTAAGGAGTACAGGTTAAAGGAGGCAGGTTCTGAATAAGCAGCCCCCAGCACCTGCCAACACCCACCCCAGCCAGGCGGCCCTTAGCTTAAGCTTCCAAGAAAGTGCACAGAGTGGTTCTCTCTTTCCTTCAGATCCAGCTCAGAGTCACTTGCTCCAGGATGCCTTCCCTGACCATCAATCCATATTGATCTATTGCTCATCTGCCCTCCCATAAACCAGAAGTGGAACCCTACTCTCCATTTTGCCACCTCCAGCACCCTTAATAGTGAAAGCAGTCTTGGAATGGGTGATATGGTATTCTGGAGGGCATGACTCCCTTAGCTTGCCTCTCTCCAAGCCCAGAGGATAATGTATTAGCCAGCCCCCATTATGTATTAATTTCTGAAAGCCTCGTTCACGCAGACATAACACATCCACCCACACAGATAAATGCTTAGACAGACACAAAATCATCAGCAGCCAATTATCAGGCCCCCGCAGCTGCCGTGATCAGACCTGGAGGCCCCGCTGCTTGCTCTGCAATTTGTGGTAGCCCAGAGCTGGGGGAGCAGTGGGTGGAGGGAGTCCCCCTATCCAGCCGGCACGGCTCGAGGTCCAGCCCTGACCCTGAGGGCACCTGAGCTTGCTGCCTGGCTGAGAACACCAAACACCAGCCCCAAACGATGAAGAGAGCAGAGTTGGGTGGGGAGCTGTCACGTGTGAGATTTGGTGGCTCTGGCGTCGGCAGTGGTGGCTCTGTTGTTTATTTATAATTTGTACTTTACCTCCCAGAGAGGACCAGAGGCAGCTGGCTCAGATACTAAGAGGTGTAGGAGCTCAGGGAACTTAGGGAGAGCTTCCTAAAGGGGGGCGGGGCACGAAGGTAGAGTCCTGAGCCTTGGTACCTCAGCAAGGGCACCGAAATTGGCTCAAAGGCTTTGCACAAGGATGCCAGTTCCTGACCCTAGACCAAACCCTTCCCTTGGCCACAGACTTAGCCCTGACCCCAGCCACGGACTGAACCCCAATCCTGGTTACACACTGAGCCCCGACCATTGTCAGAAGCTGAGTTCTAGCCATGGTCACAGAATAAGCCCTGATTCTGGTCACACACTGAGTCCTAAACCACAGATCAACCCCACTTCTTGACTTTTCTGAAGTCTAGCATGAATAGATCACGTGACCATTTCTCTGGTGGATCAGAGAAAGATACCACTGGACACTTGCCCCTTCTCCTCTGAACCCCAATCACCGCCATCCATGAACAGGGGCATTAATGGCACCCGGATATGGTCCCCAAACCCCAAAGGTCTCTAGCAGTCAGGACCTGCCCAGGAAGAGGAGGTGAGCTGGCATCCCAGCCCAGCATCCTCAGAAACAGCATCCCCAGATCTGGGGTCAGGACAGCATGTCCCAGCCACCAGACTCTGCATCTTCAGAAAGGGGAAGGCTCCCTTCTCATGGGAGCAGCCTAATTTTGATGGGATCCTGAAAATATCTATCATCCCAGAAAGACAGGTATGAAGCTAGAGTGACAAGAAAAAGCTCCAACTGACAGGACCATTCAGGAAAAGCCTTCCCTGTGAACCCTCTGGCTGGGAAGCTGGGGGTGGACTTAAGCTTGAAGGCCTTTGCAGACAAGACGTTACACAACCCACTTGGTCTCTGGTTTCGCCTCTGACATACTCTGTGACCTTGAGCCAGCTGCTCCCCCTCTTTGCTCCTCTACTCCCCATCTATGAAACAAAGGCTCCAGGCCAGCGGCTTGCTAAGGCCTCTCCAGATCTGATATTCCGACACCTGATCCATTTTCTGTGCCTGCTGACTATCCCTTTCTGAGCCCCTCCTCGACGTTTTAATTCTCAGGAGAATGTTTTCTTGAACTACTTGTGTAATTAAATTTTTTAAACACTAACATAAAAGAAGGAGGAATGTCAAATTCCAGTTCTGATATTCATGGCTGCATGATTTGGGGGACCTCTCTCTCTCTCTCTCTCCTTTCCTCGTCGGAGGCTTATCTGTAAGTTGGGGATATAAAACTATTTGGAGGCCATCGTGAAGAATAAATGAAATGGGAGATATAGAGCTCCTAGCACAGCCTGGCACATGGTAGGTGCTTTGTAAATGGTGGTTACTGATCTGTGAACCCACCTGGCTTTAGTCTCTGTTGATTTGAGTCTAGGGCTATAAAATCCAAAGCCTACAGGGGTCAGGCAGCTAAATGGCATGAATGACGTGGCTGGGTGTAAGACAGTGGCCTTAGCGACAGCTGGGGACCTGCACAACTGCAGAGCAAAAGCCAATGTAAAGGAGGCAGCCTCTAGTGTCTCCTTCAGCTCCCCGCTGTGGAGTGGGAATGTGGGGCCAGGGCTGCCAGGGTTTCCAGTTTTTCAAGAGAAGCCCGAGAGCCATATTTTCATGTTGTATCTTTCCATTTAAAAACATTGGCTCAGATTTGTTATGACCCACTATGCTGGCCAAACAGAGCACATCTGGATGCTGTATTTGGTGCATGGGATGCTGCTTGGCAACCTCTGATCGAAGTACTGCCCAGTCTTATCTTGAGCGCCCACGGTGACGGGGAGCTCACCACCTCTCTGTGCTGCCTCCCACCTCAGATCCGAGTGGGTGCTGATGGTACAGTGTCTCCCAGTGGCTTCCTAGCCCTTGGGACTGCAGACTTCTAGGGCCCTGGCAATGCCTCCTCAGTAAAGAAGCCTAGCTGGCAGAGAACATCCTCTCCAAAGCCAACACAATGCCCCTGCCCGCCCATGGCCCTCTCTGTCTGGGAAACGTGAATTCTTCAGCATCCCCTGGGCGAAAGCAAGACTGTCTGGCCGGCCTCAGTAGCCCTTCTATTAATTAGCAACTGGCAGTCGCAGCTTTGTAAGAGCCCTTGAGCCAAGTGAGTCTGTGCAGGAGCCGGCTGCCTCCTCGGTTCTAAGACAAGCCCCCAGGGGACTGGGGCTGGACCTTCTGCTCTGAGTGAATTCCTCCATGGTGGTCAGTGTTGTGGCAGGCACAAGGGCCACTCAGGCTGCTATGACACTTGTCAGCCCCATCATTTGTATGAAAGCTAATGCCTTTCAGGGTAGGAGGGGGCAGGGAGAAGTGACAAGCAAGCCCAGCCCCCAGGGGCGGCTGCTGGCCATAGCCTGGGGCAGGGAAGAAGGATATAAGATTGGGAAGAAGGCCTGGATGCCTCTGTCCTCCTCTCAGCTGGCCCCTGTCAGAGCCACTGGCTCCCCTGCTCAGTCACCTCTGCGCTCATACCGACATCTGCTCCTTTCCAGAAATCTCATTGCAATGCAGCAGTCACAGTACTCCCTGCGCCTTCTCCCCAGCCAGGCCCACCCCTCTGGCCCTTTGGATGGGAGAAAAGCTGCAAAAGTGGTGGGACAGGATGGATTAATGAGGGTCCTCTGACCACCCAGCTTCTTCCTGTTCACACCCATCCCAAAAGCCAGCATGCGGGACCAGCAGCGTCCAAGCAGCAGTGCAGGAAAGGAGGAAGAGCAAGCTATGAATCCCACATCCCCACACTGGCAGGCAGACCTCTGTGACTTGGCTCAGCCCAGTTCACAGACTTCACCCTGCCACGCTGAGCTTGGGGATAGAGGCCACAGGCTCTGAGGCCAAAGAGATAAAACGGAGCTCTGCCCTCAGGGAGCTCAGTTTGGGAGCTTGGGCTAAGCATGGAACAAGCGCATGAACAGTAACCTCAATACTCCAAGCATGGTCCTGGTCTGGACACCAGCCACATTAGCAATCTTTGGGCGCTTAATGAGAAATACAGCATCTCAGGCCCCATCCAGACCTACTGAATCAGAATCTGTATTGAACAAGATCGCCGGGTGAGTCGGATGACATTACAGCAGGACAAGCTGCATTGTAACAAACACAGAGCTCCGTCCAAATGCCACAAGGTGGTCAGCCAGGAAGAGATGGATGGTGGCCAGGGTGGCCTGAGAGAGCATCCCACAAGGCCCTGGGGACACTGGGCCCTAAAGCATGGGAGAGAAGGGTGGATGGACAGGGAGACAGGTCAGCACAGTTGGAAACTCCCTATGTGAGGCAGGCAGCTACCTGGCAGCCCAAAACCCTCGAAGCTCACAGCAGCTAAGGGAACCAGTGTGGCAGGGCCAAGCAGGGGAGAAGGTAACCCCCATCCTTACCATGTAGCCACCAGACCAGGAACTTGAGCCTTGCAGCAGGGAGAACCTGGAGCCGAGGCCTCTCTAGCCAGGCAGTATGGGGATCCTGGCCCTCTGCCCCTATCGGGTTTTTGTGCACCCAGCATCCTGGAAGCACCTCGGTCCTGAGCTCCAGCAGCCCCTGCCTTGTCAGGTGGGACACATCTCATCCCCAGAGAGAGCCCTGCTGCCCACTGTGCCAGCTGATAGCACAGCCCAGGCAGCTCACCTTGGAATTCCCCTCTGCAACTAGGCACCCTTCCCCCTCCAACACAGCCTGCGGCTCCTTTCCGCCTGGCTTTGCACACTGAGAGTCCTAACAACATTCCTGGGTAATGGCCCCAGGAAAGCCCAGCAAAGAAGGGGCCTCGGAACCCCCAGACCCAGAGTCAGGCTGCTGCCTCTTCCTCCTTGCCACCTCCTGCCAGAACAGTCCTTTCCAGGATTCAAAGTGAGAAAGGTGGGAGCGGGTAGGACTGAGGAAATAGAAAAGAAACCAGTCCCAAGGGAGAACCCCTTTCCCCCCTCAGGCATCTAACTCTGAGCCCTGTTTTTGTTTCCATCCTGCTGGCAATGGGAGGCCCAAGCCCCAGATTGCAGAGGGACCCCCACTGCCAGGCTCCAGAGAAGGTGAGTGTCTGCCTCTCACCAGGCCCAGGCTCTCTTCTGGGATGGCCTAGAGAGGGGTTCACAACCTTGAGCTCCCAGATGGTCCTCAACTTAGGGGGCCACAGACACCAGAAATTAAGTGCCACACTCTATGTGTCTGGACACCCAGGTATCCTTCTGGATGGAGTAAAATGTCTGACCCCAAGAAGGTTCACAACCCCTGCTTGAGCCAAGGACAGAGGCCCTTGTGATCTTCCCAAAACCAAGGAAAGGAAGTTGTGAGGACAGGGGAGGTGTGGTTCACAACAGCATCACGGCTCCTCTGACAGCTCACTGCAGCTTCTCACCTCGGCAGGGCGACCACAGTTGTACAATTTGTGCTTGACATGGCAACAGGCAACAAGATTCCCATTTTCTAAATGGGAAAACTGGGGCTCAAATAAGGCTCATAACCCACACAGGGCTCCACAGCAGTCAGGGTTGGGGAGGTGATGGGAGGTGAGTAATGGCAGTGACGGGGTGCCAGTGACCAGCAGCAGGAAGTCGGCTCAGGACACCCCTGGGACCTGCTAGGCCACTGGCCCAGTTTCCAAGATTTTGGAGCCCAGCTCTTTCTGCCCCAAGGAAAGGACACTTTAAGCACCCCCGTCTTCCCTTCCTCATGGCTTCAGGAGGCTCAGTCTAGGAGAGGGTAGGGACAGGGGGATGAGAAAGGCCAAGCTTCTGCCTGCCTCCATTATTAAGGCTGAGCCAGCTTTGGGGGCGCAGCAGCAATCCCAGAACTGACGTTCCACACAGGGACTTCCCCACCAGCTTCCACATCCACCCACACAGCCCCCAGACACCCACTCAGACAGACACCTAGATACACACACCCAGGCTGACTCCCTGAGCCTGACCAGCTTCCAGGAACACAACCAGCTACATCTGCACTTGGGGTTCCATTTCCTTTCTCTCCTCTTAGAAAAACAAGATTAGCCAGTACCTATGTTTTTTGTTGTTGTTGTTGTTCCAGGTTCTCCAGGACACAGCTTGTGTGGAAGGAAGGACCCATCCAGGACCCAAGAGCCCAGCCAGCCTCGGGGAGGAGCCCGGGGAGCTATGTCCTGAGGGGCTGCAGCATCCTGGCCTCTTCCCTTAACACACCACAAATACAAGTTTCAAAAGGCAGATGGGGAGTTGGAGGGGAGGGGAAGCCAGAAAAGCCCAGGGAGCCTGGGGAAGCCATGGCGGTGGCCAGGGCATGGTTTCTTTTCTATTGGGGGGTGGGATCGGGGGCAGGTAGAGTAATGAGAAGCAGAGGTAGCCCAGAAAAGCCTATGATTAGCCATGGCCCAGGTTATGCTGGTCCCTCAAAGCACAGCCCACCCTTGCCCTGGAAAAGGCACCCAGCCTTCCTCCCCCAGCAATGGGAGATGCTGGAAGCAGCCCATCACAGCCAGCCCTGAACTCCAAACCGCAAACTCAATCTATCATTGTTTGCTGGCAATTCTTTATTAAACCAGTTCTGCTGGATCAATGCTTCCTGCCCGTCAAAATGATGAATAAATCCTCGACTAGCCTGAGCAATGCTTGCAGAAGCTCTTGCGAAGCCTGAGGTGGGCAATGGCGATTGGCTACACATAGAGGCCCAAGGCCAATGGCTAAAACTCTAGAGACCAAGGCTGGGGGTGCTGGTCGGGGTGCGGTGGGTTAGGTGGGGTTGGGTGGTGGGTTTTCGAAGCTTAGAAGAATTAGCTAGGCTCTTGCCTGTTTGACATTCTAAGGATGACACTAGCTGTTTTGGCCTAGAAGCAGGAAAGGTATGGCCACCGCTCCTCCAGACACACTCAGATGGTCTTTCTTGGATTTCTTTCCTTACACCCCACCCAGCTCCAGACAGCTACAAGGCTGTGCAAAGAGGACGTGCCACTTGCAGCTACCAGTCCCTGTTGCTTGTTGCACAAACCCAAATTCAAAGCCCACTCTGACCCTTTTCCTGTTGCCCATTTCACAATTCTGCTGTATCCCCGCTTCCCTATCCCCACACCCTCTCCTGCAGCCATGTCCCAGGCAGCCTGCAGTTAGTGGGAGATTCTGCAGCAGGGGGACTGCAGACAGACATACCAGAATGGGGTAAGACCAGGAAGGGGAAAAGGATCCTATCTGATGAAATCAACCCAGTCCTCACTCTCCAACTTCTAAGGTAAGGGAGATAGGAAGGGCCAGGCCCAGCATCCAGAAGGTCCCCGGCCAATGCTTGCTGCTGAGGGAGGCTGGGCATGCCTGGGGTTGGCCTCTTGTAGGCTCCCCAGGCAATGGGCTTGGTGATGAGAACCCTGAACAGATGCTTTCTGACAACAAAAACAGCAGGGACCTGGGCAAGGGAGGGGAGGGCCCTTCAGCAATCTCGAGGGGTTGGTACTGGAACTGCCTATCACCACCACTGAAGAGTTGAGAGACAGGAGGAAAAACCCAGGACACCCATGGGGGTGGAGGAGACATAGCCCCTGCTCACTCCTCTCTAGCTCGGCCCAGGATCCTCAGGGCCCAGTACTGGCCAGAGGCAAGCCCACTCTTCAGGAACCTGGCACTGGGAACCCAGACACCGTTCCTGATGGGAGGGTCCCACATTTGCTCACACAATTTGATGACTATGGCTGTCTGTTTAGCCTGCCCTCTGGTCTCCCTAGTCTTCTGGGAATGGGAACCCTGGAGATATTAGGGTTAGGAAGAGCAGTCTGTCAAAGGAAAAAAGGGGGGAGGGGCTCTGTTCACTACCTATTTTAAGCCACCGAGTGTTGTCTGACTGGTCATTCCCAGTGCGAGAAATCTCTCTCATTGGATGGAAAATGGCTTTGCTCTCATTACAAACCCAGCTTCCCTGGAGTTTGCAAAGAGGGCTCTGGGTTGGCAAAATGCTCATTTTTATAGGCAGGCAACTAAGGTAGGCAAGGAAGGGAGATAAGTAGGCGGCAGGGCCCAGAGAAAGAGAGAATGAGAGAATTAAACCCAGCTTGAAAAGTGTTTCCCAGACCTTCATCACAATCTCATGCATCACGAAAGCCCAGAGGGGCACTAGGGAACCTTAGGACCTTGACTTAGGTAAAGGCATCCCTGATCCCAACCCTAGAAACAACCAACAATCCCTCTTTTTGCACAAATATGCCCACAAGCTCCCAGTGGTATCTGCTGTTCAGTGGCATCCGACTCAAGTGATGTGGAAGGGGGCAGGGTCCCTCTCCCTGACTGGCAGTCATACCTTGTTTGGGGACCCACGAGTGGCCCATGAGAGACCAAGCAGATGCTGGAGCTTGGGTCTCTGGGGTATGGATGGGCCACTGGACAAGCATGGGACACAGGACAGCTGCTCATCAGTCAGAACACCAGGCATCTTCACCCATCACTATGAGCAAGGTCATTCAGCCCTGCCGCTCTGGATGCCAGCTGCCCAGGGTGCCTGCTCTTGGCCCACCACTCAGCATGAGGAGCTGAGCTCAGGGTTACGGTGGGTGCAGGGGGTTTTCATCCCGGCCTGAGGCCCCAGTGACTTCGGTCCTCCAGGGACCCGGCCGCAGCTTCCCAGGGCACCAGAAAGCAGACATAAATGCCTGCTGTCAGCACCCAAGGAGCTGGCCCGTTGCTAAGAGGTCTGTCTCTCTTCACGGCCCTGCTCTGCAGGCTGAATGACCCGGAGCTGCCTCTAGGATGGCCATCCTGACTCTGCAGCCTTGAAGGGGGAGGAGGAATATGTGGCTTAAGGTGGCAGAGCCCTATCCTGGCTGCCGGCAGGGGTAGGCCAGGCTCAGAACACCTTTTCATTCTGTCTCCAATGCAGCCCAGACCCGAGAAGACCAGTGACTGAACCCAGAGGAAAGTTCCCCCAGCGCGGTGCAGGAGGGGGCCTGGGGGTGTCTCGGAGCCTAGAGGCGCCCTGCCTCTCTTGGAGCTCCCAGCGCAAGGCAGGAAAGTTAACTCCGGCTGGGAGGCAGGGTCAGGAGGAGGCATGCCTGCCACCGCGCAGGGCACCCACAGGATCATCGCTGTGGCCCCTTACCTGAAGTCACTGTAGGGGTGGATAATCCAAAATCCGGCCGACTTGACCCTCTCCTGTTCGCGCTCCACGGCTTTCTGGCTGCCGAACATCCTTAGGGAGAATTTGTTGACCCCGGGTTGGAGCATGGCCCCGAACTGGCGCTGCATGAAGCCGGCCTGGCCCAGGCGCACCTCGGCCTCCGGGAGGATCTGGTCGCCGGCAGCCGCGCCTCCCTCCACTTTGATAGCGGTGTCCACCGAGGGCTGCTCGCAGGAGGCGGAGGCCGGCTGCGGTGGCTGCTGGGGCGGCGGCGGCGAGGCTGCGGGCTGCGCCGAGGCGCCGGGGCGCTCGGGCTCGGCCGCCAGGCCTGGGGGCGTCCTGTCCTCGCCGGGGGACGCGTCGCCCTCGGCGATGAGCCGCCGCTCCTCCGCGGAGTCATGCAGGTGTCCGTGACTGCTGCCGCTCCCCGTGCCGCCGCTGCCGCCGCCCCGGCTGCCCAGCGAGGCCAGGCTCCCGCGGAAGCGCCTGCAGTCGCCGTTCGTGCTGGACTTGCCCGCGCCGCGGGCCGGCCCTTCGCTGTCCGCTGCCCCGAGGGCCGAGCTCCGGGACTCCGTGCCACCCGCGGCCGCCGAGGGGGAGGGCGAGGGCAGTGGCCGCAGCCGGATGCTCCTGCGGCTGGGGTCTTGGCGGCCCCCGGCCCCCTCCTCCTCGGCGTCCTCTTCCTCGTCCATGATCCACGCCTTGGCCCCCACCTGCTGCGGGAGGCTGTAGAGCCGCTTGCGCATGGACGGCGGCAGCTTGTCCATGGCGCCAGGGGCCGGGGTCGGACCGGGCCGGGGGCAGGAGCGCGGCGCCGCGGACGGGCTCCAGGTCCGCCCGCCGGTCAGTCCGCCCGTGGGGACGCGTCCTTTGCCGCCGGCGTGGGGGCAGCCTCAGGCGCCCATGCTTGGGCAGGCTGCGCGCCGCGGGGAGGATCCTAGTCCCGCTCCGAGTCCCCGGGCTCGCCGCGCTACACCTCCTCCCGGGCCCGGCTGGGCGCGGGGACCCCGCGCTCCCTTCTTGCCTCCCTCCCTCCCTCTGGCGTTCAGGGGCGCGGCGCGCCGCCCGGCTCCAGGCGCCCCGCCCCCGCGGGGAACAATGGGCGCCGGCCGGAGAGGCTCTGCGGCCGCGGCGCTCAGGGAACCGCTCCGGAGTGCAGAGCGCACGGCCCGCGCGGGTCCCGGGCGTGCGTCCCGCGGGAGGGCTGGCTGTCCGTCTGTCTCGCCGCCCGGGCTTTGTGGCTGGCCACCCGCGAGCTCGCCTCGCCTCCTCTGCCCCGGCCCGTCCGGCCCGTCCCGGGGCTCCCGCCGCAACCGAGCGGAGCCCAGCGACCCGCCGGGCTTACATCAGCGGCCGCCTCCCCCGAAGCGCCCTCCGGCAGCGCTCGGGCTCCCGCGCCCCGGAATATTCATGAAGCCGCCGCAGCTCGCGGGTTGCCATAGGAGCGGCTCCAGCAGCCGGGCCTGCCTACCTGGGCTTCTTAAAGGGGCAGCGGCGCACGGGCCGGGGGCTGGAAAGGGGCGGGGGGCGGGCCTGGCAAGGGGCCCAGGTTAGACCCTCGCTAGACCTTCGGGGCCGGGGTGAGAGGTATCCACACTGCTGCGCCCTTAAATCTCTTTCCTGGGCTAAGCTGGGAGTGCGCCCCAAGTCTGAAGCTCCGGCTTCAGTTGCGAATTCCCCATCCTAAGATTGAAGGGTGGGGGGTGGCTTCCCAATTTCTCCATCACCAAGCTCTGGGCTCGCCTTTCCCTGGCATTTTTGCCCCTCAGCTGGGTCTCCGACTTTCCTCTTGGGAGGCGACCGGGTTCGTCTGGATGCAGAGTCCCGGCCTTCCCGCAACCCTCCTGGAGAGGGGGCTTCCGGAAATGCGCCGCGTCGGGGAGGCTCCCACGGTTTTCCTGTGACATGGGCAGGGTGCGAACCCCGCGCCAGTCTTTCCCCTGCAAAGCCTCGCAGCAGCCAGGCAAGGAGGGCGTGGGGAAACAGGGAGACACGCACAGGGCGCGCGGGTGGGACCCAGCCCTTCGAGGTAAGACTTCGAGGAAATGCGCCGGCAACAGTGACGGATGCGAGATCCGAACGCCGACCTCCGCACGCGCCTCTCCCTCGGTAGTTCCGAGAAAGGGACAAGCCGGCTGCAGCGGGGAGCGGTTGGGCCGGTTCCTCGGACGCCCCAGCACTCTGGAACTGGCTTTGGAGCCCCTTCTCCCTGTGTTCCCATCCACATTATGACACCTACTATGTGGACCCACGCTGGGTGAGTTCCTGTTCCACCCAGTCCCCTACCTGCACCCCCAAGCAGCTGCACAGCCCCCACTCCCTTCCAGTCTGCAGCCCAGCCCCCTTCCCCCCAACCCCCGCCAAGGATCCAACTGTGTGTCCTCTCTCCCAGTCTCTCCCAGTGTACAGTGTCCGGGCTTATGGACAGATTTCACTAGCTCAGCCTAAGGTATAGCCCTACCCCCTCCAACACCATGGACAGCCTGATACCCCAGATTAGCTCAGAAATGGATAGGGGGACAGATTGGGCATTAAGGGGAGGGGAGTTGTCCAGAGAAGGCTGGAGCCGAGGTTAATGCTGGAGCGGACACACAGCAAAGTCTCACAGGAGGGAGGCAAAAAGGTCCCCTGGCTCTGCCATCTCTCTGAGGAATAACATCAAGTTTTTCTTCAAATGATTTTTTTACTCTCATTCTTAGCCCAATGTGACCACTTTCGCCTCCTCCATCCAGAGTAGGAATTTGGAGAGCAGGATGCGGGGCGGGCAGCCTAGCAGGGGCTCTTCTGCTCTACCCACTGGACCACAGGACCTCCCACAGTGAGAGGAATGACTAGGGTGATGACATCACTGGTAGCTGGCATTTTTACTTTTGAGCAGCTCTGAGCTGACAGTTCTCTGCACAGATGCTGGAAGCCTAATCCCTGAGTGTCCTTGGGTCTCCTTGAGAAGAAGTGTTCTTAAAGAGCTGTGAGCCCAGCCTGCCCTGGTCTACCAGCCACAGGAGGGAAGACCTCCATTTAACACACTTCTTTGAGCTTCTTTGTCTAGCTGGGAGTTAGTCTGCCTTAACCCCGCTCAGGAAGTCAGCCCATATAGGCTTCCCCATGACCTATGGTAGAGACATCTCCTCCTCTGGGAACCCTTTCCTAATCACCAAAACCTTGGTCATGTCCCTGCCTTTGGTTCCCATGGCCCATTAGCTCCTGTGACCCTGAGCACTGATTACACAGTGCAGTCTGTGCCCTGAGGGTGGAGCAGGTCCACCTTATCTCAGGGACCTCTCCACCAACACAAGGGTGGACAGAAAGCAGATTAATAAGTTTCAACTCTACAAATGAGTGAGGGACCCTAGAAGTTAGCTAATGGCATTGGAGGGGATGCTTGGAGGAGATGGAGGATAAGACCAAAATTCTGCTTCCTGGGATACTGCTGCCACAGGCCGGCCAGGGGTCAGGATCTCTTAATTCCACCCTACCAGCACCTCACTCGCCCTCAATTTCATTAGTGGCACCCATTCACGACCATCTAGGACCAACTTTAGGTGCAGCAATGACTATTAGATAAATCAGGCCCTTGATAAACCCTGATGAGATCTGGCTTCTCCTGCCTCCTTTATGTGGAAACCCTAATGGAGGACACTGGTGGTGTGCCAACAGTCCAGGGGACAGAGGAGGAGCAGCCCCAGGTCTTGCCCTTGATGGGCTTCAAGTTGTGAGGAAGCTAGACTCATTCTCAGGAATAGGGCATGAAAATAGAGCAGGAAAACTGAAGACAGGAAAGAAATGTATATTAAATCATGTCCCCAACCATGAGAGATTTCAGAGGGAGCTATTGCTGGCCTTGGAGTAGCTAGGGAGGGTTTCCTGGAGGAGGGGGCCAGACTTGATGAGAGACATATATCTAACACTTTACAGTTTACACCTTTTTGTTGTTAAACCACATGAAATTTTGATTTTTGTGAGCCCAATATTGTCAAATTTTGGCAATTTCACGTGAGTCAACCTGACATTCTTACTCCCATTTGCAGGCAAGAGAACTAAAGCACAGAGAGGTCAAGAGGCTTGCCAAATGCCCCATAGCAAGAAAATGGTGAAGCTAGAATTCAAGGGCTCCACAGGGCAGGCTGTGCTCTACTGCCCATCTGCTCATGCAGGTGGGGTAGGGGGCAGGCACAGATGGAGGAAGGAGAAGGAGAGAGAAGGTAAAGAATGGGGAGAGAATAAATAGGACTCCCACATTCTGTAATCTCCCCATTGCTCCACCTGGGTCTCACACCCTCTCCTTTCCAGCACTGCCTAGAAGGCCTGGGGTCTGCTCTGGTTCCTTTGATAACATGGTAGCCAGGCCCTGGGGACCCCAGCAAGGGGAAGGCCCTGTCTCAGGACTGAAATATATGGAGAAGACCTGCTGCTCTCACCATGGGTGGGGGACTAGGGGACTTTGGAGACAAATGGGCTGCTGCAGTGCTGCAGCGGGCCTGGATATTCCTGGAATGCAAATGTAGAAAACATCTGAGTCTAAGAGAGAAGGGGACTGGGGAGGATGGGTTTCCTTCCCTGGAACGGACACTGAATATCAGTGAAAGTTAGAAGACCTGCTGGGAGTAGAAGTGGAGAATGTAGCTGATTGTATAAATCAACCTCAGACCTTATTTGTGGGGGACCTAGATGGGCAGAGGGGGATGGGAAATTCTGGAAGCTTATTTGCTTATGGGCAGAGGGCATTGTTCTTGCTTGGAGAGGCAGCTCTGGGGTAGGGCAGTGGCTCCCACAGCCTGCAATGCCAAAGTTTTGGCCAGTTCTGCTTGAAATGAGATGAAAACACACACACACACACACACACACACACACACACACACACACACACACACACAGAACAATGTAGGATATTTTAGGTTAAGGTTGCCAACTGTCCTTTCTTAGAAGGCTGTCTTTATTCTAAGGTTATATCCTTGCTACATTCTCTGTGTTAAAATGCCCTTTTATGAAATCATGGTGCTGGAAGATGCTGTTTTTTCAATGTCGTTGGCTAAATAAAAAGTTGGCACTGGGTTCTGTGTTTGTTCCGAAAAATCATTTTTGAAATGTTATTGATCTATAAGTTCCAAAAGTCTGGGAACCCCTGTTGTAAACAATAGAGCATGAAACTGAAAAACAAAAGCTGGAGAATTAAGTACTTCTCTGTCAGTTACTGCCTGTGTATGCCTCGATCTTCCTCGTGTGTAAAATGGGTTTAATGATATGCACCTCAAAAGTTATTGCTAAGACTACATGAGAAAATGAATGCACCTAGCATAGCATCTCATTTGTAGTAAGTTCTCAGTAAACACTGAATGATGAAATGATGGAATGAAACCTGCATTACCCAATGGAGAGGAAGGCTCCTGGCCTTTGGAATCCAATTTAGGTCATATCATCTTAAAACTTTCTGTTGGGATGAAAGGGATGTTTTATACAAGATTCCTTCCTTTGAACTCTCCATCCCTGACAAGCCCTGGCTGGGTCTCCAGAAGGCAGACTTCCTTCTCTCTGGGACAGGACCTTGCTGTGGCCCCAAGCTCTACAGCAAGCTTGTTCAACCCGCAGCCCACAGACCACATGCAGCCCAGGACAGCTTTGAATGCAGCCCAACACAAACTTGTAAACTTTCTTAAAACATTATGAGATTTTTTTGCGATTTTTTTAGCTCATCAGCTATTGTTAATGTTAGTATATTTTATGTGTGGCCCAAGACAATTCTTCTTCCTCCAGTGTGGCCCAGGGAAGCCAAAAGATTGGACACCCCTGCTATATAGGCAGCTGCTAACTCAGAGGGCCACATCGTTGACCCTGTGCTCAAAACCCTCTGAGAAGGCTGGGGGTGGTGGCAAGTGGTATCCATACATACATGCCACTTCATCTTTTTGCTCAGTGTAGATACAGTCCTGCACTTCTGCTCTGCCCCAAGGCAGGTCTGCTCTGTAGGGCTGGACAGGGATCAGGGACATATAGACTTCCTGCTGGGAGTCCTGACCTGGAGACAAGGCCTCCAAGAAAGAATACTGGAATCAGCACCATGCCCTCAGGTTTTCTGTCCTGAGGCTTCCTGATAAAGAAGCTGGAAAAAAAAAAGAAAGAAAGAAAGAAAGAGAGAGAGGGAGGGAGGGAGGGAGGCAGGGGGAGAGAGAGAGAGAGAGAGAGGGAGGGAGGGAGGGAGAGAGAGAGATAGAGAGAGAGAAAGAAAGAAAGAAAGAAAGAAAGAAAGAAAGAAAGAAAGAAAGAAAGAAAGAAAGAAAAAGAAACTAAGAAACTGGAAGGGTGGAAGGGGAGGGGACATGCAGGGAGCAACCAGACTGGATATAGATGTTCCGGGAAACAAACCAACCAGCCAGAGTTGACCAAGCCCTTGGGTGCCCAACCCTGTGCACAGCTACACATGGATGGAGGCCAAGAAGGCAGAGATATGCCCTAGCTTGGGCGATACCTGGTCTGGTCAAAGCAGCAAAAGATCATCCCAGAGGTTTGTAATCAAGAGTCAAAGGGAGTGGTTCAGAAGCTCAGGGCAATGATCCTCTTGAGTAGAGTCAAGTTGGGTTCCCTGGAGGAAATGGAAAGTGGTTAGTGTGTGTGTGTGTGTGTGTGTGTGTGTGTGTGTGTGTGTGTGGATGTGTGCACGCGCACATGCTTATTATGGAGGAAAGAGTGAATGGAGTAGCCGGGCATGGATAAGGCCTGCAGCATTCTCACAGTGGGGTCATCAAGGATAGAGCTGGGGGCAGGTGTTCAATTCACCTGCAACAGCCTTTGCCCTAAGCTAGCCCTGAGAGAAAGTCCTGCTGTATTATACTCAGTCCTTCTGGTCCCCCTCCTCCCAGTACCCTCAACCCCAGTAGGTGACACTTGCTACAAAAAAGCACTGGGAGCCCACATGCCCATCACATCAAGGTGTTAGTGAACAAGAGACCCCCTATAGGCTCAACTTCCTATTGGGCTTGCCATCTGCTTTCTCTTCAGTTCTGCCTGGTTTCTTTAGGATCTAGGAGCATGAGCTATTGTATTGTCCTCTTCTCTATCCCCTGCCTCTGTGCAGGACTCCACCTGTGAGCCCCTGGACCCCAGCAGAGCCCAAAGCCCTTTCATCTCTAGGCCAGCCCCAGCTGCATTGCCCTTGATCTGTCTACTCCACACCAACCCGGATGCTCGACTGTTCCCTGGGGACTCTGCCAGGGCACTGGGTGGGACCTCTTCCCCCTCCCACCTCGGGGAGCCTGGAGGAAGATGTGCTGACAGCTCAGCCAGGTCTGGACTGTGTCTCTGTGTCCTTCTGGGGCTCCAGGACGTCTGGGCCACCTGGACTCAGAGCCAGGCCAGAGAGGGAGGCACTGGGAGGGGGAGGCCCTGAGGTGCCAGCTGAGCAGAGCTGCCAAGAAATAAGTACCACAGACTCCTCTGTTCGAAGTCTGGAATTCACGATATATCAGGGATGAAGTGGGTTCAGACAGGGGCCTCTGGGGTGGTTTCACAGCTTGGGCTGGAGGCGCCAGGAAGGGAAAGAAGGAAGAGACAGAATGGACTGGGAGAGGGGGGAAGAGACTCTGAAAATGGGGCTGGGTGCGGTGGTAGAAAGAGAGGTGGTGGACAGCTGGAGAGTTGGGGCTTTTCCTGGGACCCTGAGATGGCCCAGGGACTGGACTTGGCTCAGTCCCCCACTAACACTGGGCTCCTCCGCTCCACCCAGCCTTGCCCAGGCAGTCCTCCCTGCCATGCCCTCAGTCCTCTCCCCGACTTATCTATGTTTTCTTCCTCCCCCAATTTCACATGATCCCTTTTCTCTGTTCAACGTGTGGAGTACCTGTTATCTGATGCTACATGACCCAGTCCCTAATCTCCAGGCATCTCCAGGCTATGGCAAGGATAAGACAGACTCAAGACTTCACATAAGGAAGCCAGGGACGAGGAGCACGTGATGTGGACAAGAGGCTAGAGGGCCGAGGGGGGAGGAGGAAAAGCGTGAGGAGGGAGCAGGGGAGATGCTCATGTCTGAAGTAGTTTTGATGCAAGCAGGTGTGACTTGTAGAAGTGGAGGCAGGGAGGTGGGGCACGCCAGGTGCAGGGCCCAGTGTGAGCAGGAGAGCAGCAAAGGGAAGCCCCTGCCCTGGAGTGGGTGAGCACCCTGGGAGACCACAGTCCTGGGGGGTCAAGGAGTGGGGAACGCGAGGACATGAGGGTGGGTGGCTCTGGAAGCCGTGAGGAATGCTGAGGGCGACTGGAGACAGGCTTTTGCGAGGACCATTGGGTTGTGCCCTGGGAGCCCAGCGCTGTGCTCAGCTCTGCTCAGAGCGAGCAGGAAAAGAACAAGACACAGTCCCTGCCCCTGGAAGCTCACAGTGGGGTGGCGAAGATGAAAGTAATGCTGTGAAACAAGTCATCCTGCCAGAAGCAGGGGCCTGGACCCCTGACTGCTACAGGGACAGGGACTGAGCAACAGCCAGGCTGGAGTTTAAGAGAGCTGCTCTCTCTGGTTCCCTGCAAAGCACATCTTTGTACAAGCCCCAAGGCCCAGCCTCCCTCCCACAAGCCCCATGCCTCAGGGTAACCTGCTATTACATGAGCCTTCTGCTGGATGCCTTCCAGAAAGAGACACTCCACTGTGTAATGAGAGCTGTGCCCCAGGCCACCCTGCAGGATCCAGAGAAGAGGCAGAGCCAGGGAGAGGGCAATGGAGACTGCCACATAATCTATGACAGATGTGGTGACAGGGGCTGTCATGGAGGCTGTGACAGAGACTGCGGTGTGGACTGTGATACACACCGTGACAAGGTCTGTGATACAGACTGTGACAGGGACTATGACAGAGGCCGTGATAGAGACTGTGACAGGGGCTGTGACAGAGACTCTAACAGACGCTGTGATAGAGACTGTGACAGAGACTGTGATAGAGGCTGTGATAGATACTGTGACAGGCTGTGATAGAGGCTGTGACAGGGGCTGTGACAGAGGTTGTGATAGAGGCTGTGACAGGCTGTGATAGAGACTGTAATACACACTGTGATAGAGGCTGTGATAGAGACTGTGATAGAGACTGTGACAGAGACTGTGACAGAGGCTGTGATAGAGGCTGTGACAGAGGCTGTGACAGAGGCTGTGACAGAGACTGTGATAGAGGCTGTGACAGAGGCTGTGACAGAGACTGTGATAGAGGCTGTGACAGAGGCTGTGACAGAGGCTGTGACAGAGGCTGTGGTAGAGGCTGTGACAGAGACTGTGACAGAGGCTGTGACAGAGGCTGTGATAGATACTGTGACAGAGGCTGTGATAGAGACTGTAATGCAGACTGTGATAGAGGCTGTGATAGAGGCTGTGATAGAGACTGTGATAGAGGCTGTGACAGAGGCTGTGATAGAGGCTGTGAGAGAGGCTGTGACAGAGGCTGTGATAGAGACTGTGATAGAGGCTGTGACAGAGGCTGTGATAGAGACTGTGACAGGGGCTGTGACAGAGGCTGTGATAGAGACTGTGATAGAGGCTGTGACAGATGCTGTGACAGAGGCTGTGATAGAGGCTGTGATAGAGGCTGTGACAGAGGCTGTGACAGAGACTGTGATAGAGGCTGTGGTAGAGGCTGTGGTAGAGGCTGTGACAGAGGCTGTGACAGAGACTGTGACAGAGGCTGTGACAGAGGCTGTGATAGATACTGTGACAGAGGCTGTGATAGAGACTGTAATACAGACTGTGATAGAGGCTGTGATAGAGGCTGTGATAGAGACTGTGATAGAGGCTGTGATACAGACTGTGACAGAGGCTGTGATAGAGGCTGTGACAGAGACTGTGACAGAGGCCGTGACAGAGGCTGTGATAGAGGCTGTGACAGAGACTGTGATAGAGGCTGTGACAGAGGCTGTGACAGAGGTTGTGATAGAGGCTGTGACAGAGGCTGTGACAGAGGCTGTGATAGAGGCTGTGACAGAGGCTGTGACAGAGGCTGTGACAGAGACTGTGATAGAGGCTGTGACAGAGGCTGTGATAGAGGCTGTGACAGAGGCTGTGACAGAGGCTGTGACAGAGGCTGTGATAGAGACTGTGACAGGGGCTGCGACAGAGGCTGTGATAGAGGCTGCGACAGAGGCCGTGATAGAGGCTGTGATAGAGGCTGTGACAGAGGCTGTGATAGAGGCTGTGACAGAGGCTGTGACAGAGGCTGTGATAGAGGCTGTGACAGAGGCTGTGATAGAGGCTGTGACAGAGGCTGTGACAGAGACTGTGACAGGGACTGTGACAGAGGCTGTGAGAGAGGCTGTGACAGAGGCTGTGACAGAGGCTGTGATAGAGACTGTGACAGGGGCTGTGACAGAGGCTGTGACAGAGGCTGTGACAGAGGCTGTGATAGAGGCTGTGACAGAGGCTGTGACAGAGACTGCAACAGAGACTGTGAGAGAGGCTGTGACAGAGGCTGTGATAGAGGCTGTGACAGGGGCTGTGACAGAGACTGTGATAGAGGCTGTGACAGGGGCTGTGATAGAGGCTGTGACAGAGGCTGTGACAAGGGCTGTGACAAGGGCTGTGACAGAGACTCTGACAGCGACTGTAACAGGAATTGTGACAGGGGCTGTGACAGAGGCTGTGTTAGAGGCTGGGACAGAGACTCTGACAGGGACAGGGACAGGCACTGCGATGGGGACTGGGACAGAAATGTGACTAAATCTGGAACCACAATCAGAGTTGGGACAACAGTTCCTGGAGCCCGGGCCCACACTCCCACGGTCGACAGAGCAGTTGGCGGTGACAGCAGCAACACAGCAAACACAGAGGCCCAGCCAGGCCCAGGCATTTGTGGGGACGCCAGCAGGCTGAAGCTGCCGCGGGAAGACAGCGAGAGGGAGGTGAGTGAGGCTGGCGCCCACCCAGCTCTGCCTCGGATGTCTGTGTGTCCACAGGCGAGTTCCTGGCCCTCTCTGGGCCTCAGTTTCCTTGATAGTGCTTACCATGGGGACAGATCAGATTAGAGTGTGGTAAGTGCAAACGTGCACTGACTGAGGGTCCCAAGTTACTCTCAGGGGTCTCTGAATCTCCAGAGTCTCCCCAGGCACAGCCAGCTGATTGAATCCGTAATGCGCCTCCCACACATATGAACAACCATCTACCCCATGTGTGCAGTGCTCTTGTGAAGAACGAAACACAAATTTGTTTTAAAATGTAAGATAATTCATAGTCATGATCGTAACTAACATTTATGGAGCACTTGCTCTGCGCAAGGTACCACACCAAATACTTAGCATGGATTAGCTCATGTAATCCTCACTAGAGCTCTGTCAGGTAAGTGGTATTTTCCCCATTTTACAGATGATTAAACTGAGGCTTAAAGAGGCTGACCGAGTTGCCCAAGTTCCCAAGGCTAGAGGAAGAGCCAGGGTTTGAAGACACTTCTGTCTGACCCAGTCTGGGCTCCTATCCTCACTCACCATGAGCAACTCTCTTAATCACAACTGCTATTGTGTCAGATACACTTGAAGTTCAAAGTCAAAAATGTTTTCATTGAAAAAGGGGTCTTCACACTTGAATTGGCTGGGACCTACCGGGAAGCGTTCCTTCAGTGCGTGGGCACTTCTGGTATTTCTGGAACTCTATCTTCTCTCTGCCCCTGCCTGAGGCACTAAGTTGGGGATAAGCAGGATATGATTTTCTGCCCTAAGAGAGCACAGAATAGCTGTAACGATTTCAAGGACTGTGTTTGTTTTTGCACCTTGTGCTCAGGATCTCACTTTGAGCTGTGCAGAGAAGGCCCTCACACCCTGCTGTCCTTGAGGGTTGGATCCTCATTCTCCCAGATGCTCCTTGGTTTGGAAGTGAGGTGGGGACCCCCATGGCTCCTCCCAGACCATCACTCTTCTACCTTCCCATAAAACTCCTCACCCAGCCGGGCGCAGTGGCTCATGCCTGTAATTCCAGCACTTTGGGAGGCCAAGGCAGGCGGATCACCTAAGGTCAGGACTTCAAGACCAGCCTGGCCAACATGGTGAAACCTTGTCTCTACTAAAAATACAGAAATTAGCTGGGCATGGTGGTGGGCACCTGTAATCCCAGCTACTCAGGAGGCTGAGGCAGGAGAATCACTTGAACCTGGGAGGCAGAGGTTGCAGTGAGCCACTGCACTCCGGCCACTGCACTCTAGCCTGGGGGACAGAGCGAGACTCAATCTCAAAAAATCAAACAAACAAACAAAATCCCTCTTCACCCACCTGCTCCTCAGAGGCTCCCACAGCTGGTCCCCTCATGGCTGTCACCAAGGCATCTTTCCCACTGAATTTCCGCCTTCATGGAGGGGGCTCCCCATGAACCTTGGCCCTGGCTTCTGATTTCAGTGGCCTTCTTCTCACCCCCAGCCATCCACTCCCATGGCCTCAACCTAGAGATGCTCTACCTCTACGATTTAGGCTGACCTCAGCCTCTGCTCCTTCCACCTGCTCTCCGGGCCCTCCCTTTACACCTGCTCATCAAGGGCAGTGAGAGCTGCAAAAGAACTCTCAGCACATAATGACTCCACCTGAACCCTTGCACCCAGAGACTTAATAAAACTCTAGCATCGTTTCTAACAGCTCAAAGCAGCATCACTAGATGATGACTCCAGTGCTTTAAAGTCCCTGCCTGGGAAAGCTCAAGATGGCCAAAAGAATTTATTGTTTGTTCCAGTCGAGGGCCCCTGTCTCCCAGTCTCTGTGGGAGGGCACTTAACTTTGATAAGTGCCAGTCACCAAACCTAGCTTGCCTGGTCATATAGAGCAAACTCCTGTTTTTGCCCTTCAATGCCTGTTGCCTGGCTCATCCCACTTTAAAAAAAAAGCCTTTTGGCCTTTGTTTTGAAGAAGTTGAGTTCAGTTCATGCTGAACCCTTTTCCCTATTGCAATAGTTATCATTGAATAAAATCTGTCCTTACCATTTTAACTAGTGTCTAGGTTTGTTTACCTTTGACAATAGCAAGTTCTGTGCATCCGCCCCTTCCGCCTTCAGTCCCTTCCCTTCCCAGTTTAGATACCAATATCTACCACCACAAGCTTATCTTGCCAGTGTCCTCAATTTCTTTGCCTCTTGGTTCTTTTTGTCTGTCAACCTAGAAACTCCAGCTCTGACCTTCTCTGCAGGCACACCAGCTACAGCAGGCCTGAGAGGCAGCCAGAGAAAATCACATAGCCGCACAGATTTGTTCATTGTCTCTGATGTGCCTCTATGCCTGGCAATCTGACTGTGTTTTCCTTATCTGCCATGTCTTCATTCTGTTCCATCAGTGTCTGAGTCTGCACAGTGTTGCTATGACAGAATACCACAGACTGGGTAATTTATAAAGAAAAGAGATTTAGTTGGCTCATGGTTCTGGGGGTTGGGAAGTCCAAGAGCATGGCACTAGCATCTGGTAAGGGTCATCCTGTGGTGGAGGGCTGGAGGGCAAAGGCAAGCATGTGAAACAGAGAGGAAGGGGACCAAACATATCAGGAGCCCAATCCTGCAATAATGGCATTAATCCATTCGTGAGGGAGTAGCTCCTATGACCTAATCACCTCTTAGAGGCCCCACCTTTTAATACAATGGCAATTAAGTTTCCAACACACAAACTTCAGGGGGACACATTCAAACAATAGCAACCAGTTAACACTTCTCCCCAAATCTCAGCCTTCTGATCAAATCTCTGCTATCCAAAAAAAAAAAAAAAGTGTCCTCCTTGAACTTCACTGTCCCTTTCTCTCCTTCCCATCACATCTAAACCTCTCAAGAGGGTGGGCTTCATTTGCTTTCCTTTCTCAACTCCCACTCATTCCTCAGCCCATGCAGTCAGGCTTCACTACCCATGGTGTCTTCAGCAAGACCACAAATGTCCTCCTGAGTACAAAGTCCACCTTTTTTTCCTTTCCTTATTGACCTTGGAGCACCATGCCATGCTGCTGACCACCTCCCCCTTCTTGAAATACCCCCTTCCCTTGACTTCAGGGACACACACTCTTCTGATTTTCTTTCTACATCTCTGGCCAGTTCTCAGGATCTTTTGTGTCCCATCCTCTTCTACTGGCTCCTCACATGTGGGTGATATCCCTGACTCTATTGTATGCTCTTTTTTTCCCCCACGGGGTCTCTCTCCCTGAACGCCAGACCCTTGGCTTCAGTTGCCATTCATGCCTTCAGCCCAGACCTCTCCTGTGGGCTCCAGACCTGCTTATTTGGCTTCTTGGATGTGTTACAAGCAGCACACACTGAAAATGTCTAAACATTCACACTCTTCTCCAAAGACCCCTGCTCTTCCTGCTCAATGAACGAGACCACCATCATCCGGTGGCTGAAGCCAGAAACACTGGCATTATTCCTGACTCCTTCCTCTGCCCCAACATCCCATCAGTTCAAAAGTCTTATTTCTCCTTCATAAATATCTCTCAAATATGTCCACTTCTTACCATATGCACTGACACAACTTCAGATGATTTCTTGCCTAGGCTATGGCAACAGCCTCCTAACTGGCCTCTCTGCCTCCAGCCTTGCTCTACTATAATCCATTATCCATGATGCTACCAGAGTGGTTTTTCAAATGTAAATCTAGCCATATCTGCTTAAAACTCCTAACAAATATCACTGGCCTTAGGATAAAGTCCAAACTCCACTGGCAAATAAGCGGCTCGGTGGTCTGGCTGCTGTTGCTCCCTCAGCCTTCCCTCCAACCAGTGCCCTCCTGACCACTGCACTGTGTGCTCATGCATGTCCATGGGCTTTCTGCTGGTGGTGATGGTGGCGATGTCATTCATGGCAGTGGAAGCGATCAGATGTCAGTTGTTGGTGATTATGGTGGTAACTTTAAACCACTGCCCATCACATTTTCAAGGCGATCTTTGGAGGCTGACTTCATCCAACAAATATTCCTCGCTCCTATTTCCTGCAGGGTTAATTATGCATGCCCATCTCAGATCCACCTCCATCCAGGACTGTTTTAGGGCTCTCTGTTTGGGGCCCTGGCGAGCTCCCACATTGACTCTTGGTTATCAGCCTGAACCTATGTCCAGCGTTCATCTCTTTCTGGCCTTCAGTTGAGCCCAGCATGTTGGTGATGGGACAGTGATGGCGATAAACATGAAGATCCTGCTGCTATCAGCACTCACTGGGGAGACAGACAAAGTTGCCTGGGGACCCTAGGAGAGGAGCCACTGGGAGGTCCAGCCAGGTGGTGCTGGTTCCAAGTCCTGCTGCGTCCAGCAGTGATCAGCTGATGGGGCTGCTTTGACCTTCTCAGAGGTTTGGCTCTGAAACACTGACCTTCACCGACTTTCTCTGTATACCCAGGGCTGATGGTCTGACCCCCAACACAGGGCACTTGGTTGCCAGGCTGGAGCCCTGACACTTCTGATACAGACAACATCTCTTCCCAATACCAGCATTTATTTGCATCTATGAATATGCATGGAGGCTGTTTTCCTGAACTGGGGAAGGTAGCTGGGAGCTGGGAAGACTGGATATAAGCTGTCTGGGGGGTGATCACAAGGCACTGATCTGCCCCTGTGGTAGGCAGAATGACGGGCCCCAAAGATAACCAGGTCCTAATTCCTGGAACCTATGAATGTTACTTTGCCTGACAAAAAAATATATAAAAGTTTGCCAAGGTGATTAAGGATCTTGAGATGGGAAGATTATCCTGGATTATCTGGGTAGGCCCTCTGCAATCACTGGTGTCCTTATAAGAGGGAGACAGAGGGAGGTTTGACCCAGAACAAGAAGACAAAGTACCCACAAAAGCATGATGATGCGCTGAGGGCTTTGAAGATGGAGGAAGGGGCCATGAGCCAAGGAATGCAAAGGAAAACATCTAGAAGTGGGAAGATACAAGGAAACAGATTCCGCACTGGAGCCTCTGGAGGGAGCGTGGCTCTGCCAACACCTTGATTTCAGCCCAGTGAAACTGATTTCAGGCTTCTGACCTCCAGAACTATAAGAGAATAAATGTGTGTTCTTTTATGCCACCAAGTTTGTGGCACTTTGTTACAGCAGCAATAGGAAACTAATACAGTCCCCTTCCACCCTCCCTCTCTGTCACTCCTCACTTCCTCTTGAGTTGGGTTAAGCTGTGGGTAAGCAGGGTAGCTGAGCGCTGAGTGGTAGAGAAGACAGTCCTCCTCACCTCTCCTTGGGGCCTGGCACCCTCTGGTTCCATTGAATGGTGGCTTTGGAAACATTGGAAGGTGACACCTCCTCAGAGCAGTAGTCACACATGGGTCACTGTCAGAGTGACATGCTCAGGCTACTTCCAGTGGCTTTGCTGGCAGTAGGTGTTGAGCTGGGGCAGAGAGGAAGGATTCTAGAGAAGCCATATGGGGATCGTGGCTGACAGAGCGATGCTTAAGCATATGTGTGCTCCCTTTTTTGGAACTCCCAGAAATACTTGTGGCAGAGGAGGAAGAGGGCAGAGGTCCTGTAGGCGCAAGAAGAGAAACAGCAGGAACTTTGAGTTATGGATGTTAATGGAGCTTTATTTATAGCCACAGACTGGGAGGGTCTGATAACATTTGTGTGATGTTGCTCCTCTCGCTGGCTACTCCCCCACTGCCTTTTCGCATAGGTGGCTGATTAAGCAAACAACGATGTCCAAATGCTTTCATCCCCTTTCCCTGTTTTCATTCAGTCTCCATCTTTTTCTTATTGAGTTGAAGGAGCACTTTCTGTACTGGGGAGAGTATTCCCTTCTCTATCACGTATTGCTACAAATACCCATTTCCCCTAGTTTCTTATTTCCTTTAACTTTTGTTATGCGGTGTTTGCCATGCAGAAGTTTTCTTTTTTATAGTAAAGTATAAAACTAAAAAGTAAAAAAAGTATTTTTTTTTAATTTATTTATTTTTGAGACAGGGTCTCGCTCTGTCACCCAGGCTGGAGTGCAGTGGCACCATCTCGGCTCACTGCAAGGTCCGCCTCCCGGGTTCACACCATTCTCCTGCCTCAGCCTCCCTAGTAGCTGGGACTACGGGCACTCGCCACCACCCCCAGCTAATTTTTTGTATTTTTAGTAGAGACAGGGTTTCACCATGTTAGCCAGGATGTTCTCAATCTCCTAACCTCCTGATCTGCCCGCCTCGGCCTCCCAAAGTGCTGGGATTACAGGCATGAGCCACCGCGCCCGGCTGTAAAAAAGTATTTTTACGATCAAACAATGCCTTTTGATAGTAAAGTATATCAACATTTCCTTTTACCATCTCTGACTTAGATAACACATTTAAAGAGCTCTTCCCCATCTCAAGAAATACTCACTTAAATTTTCTTTCTATAAATAAATGTTTATATACATATATAATCCATATTTCTCCCATTAATTAGCAATGCCTCCTTTCATCATATACTAAATTTCTATACATACATGGTTATATATTTCTGGATTTTATCTCTGTTCCATCGATTTGCTTCTCTATTCTTGTTCCTATACCACTCTGCCCCCCCAAATTACTGTAACATATATTATCTTTAAATAATAAGAGGAGTCTCTCTCCTGTGATACTTATCTCATTCAGAATTCTTTCCTGGGTTTCTTACCAGATTAACTATCTAGTTAAAATAATTTGATCATATTTTAAAAGATCATAGGCTGGGCAAGGTGGCTCATGCCCGTAATCTCAGCACTTTGGGAGGCTGAGGCAGGCAGATCACGAGGTCAAGAGATCAAGATCATCCTGGCCAGCGGGATTCCCAGAGTCTTCAGATTTGCCCTGAATTGAGGGTGAAGGCAGGGATAATGGGTGAAGCTGTGGGTGTGGGTGAAATTCAGAAGGAGATTGAATACTAAACAAGAGGAACTGAAGGTGGAAGACCGTTGGCATGTGTGGGGAAAGTGAATGCTGCGAATGTGGATAAGAGAAAGCACACAGAGGGGAGAGGTGAGACACCAGCAGACGGGTGTCAAATAAGCCGGAGGAGGAGGAAAGCTCAAGACCAGCATAGTCGACAGAGTGCCATGTTGCAGGGCGGAGGGCGGTTGCAGAGAATGACTGCAATGGAGCTGTGGGCTGTGTTGGTCGTGGCTGATTAGCGATGAGGTGGTTATAACATTTAGTGTTTAAACTGGGACTGTTGGAGAAGACTCTGAGACAACAGGGGTAAAGCAGGATTCTTCCTGGAAAACTGAGACACATGGTAACCCCAGTTAGTGGTGACCTCTGAGAAAGTGGTCTCGTTGGAGGGATGGCCAAGGTGCCTAGGTTACATGGGTTGATGGTACACTGTGCTTTGTAGAAGTTTGGCCCAAAAGATAAGGAAAGAGTTGGTGGTAGATGGAGGGGAATCAAGGTTGAAAGGGGTGGGTGTATTTACTTGTCTGTTTTCTAGGCTTGAGAGATTTGTCCATCTAGGGAAGGGTAAGGACTTAGTAAAAAGGGAGAGATAGAAGATACAAGATATAGAAGGGATAATTAACAAAGAGAGAAGATACAGGAGGGCAAGGGCAAGATCAGCAGTGTATAAAGGACATGGGGTTAACCTGGAAGAGGAGGACAGTTCCTGATAAGAAGGAAATAAAAGAATGCATGGCAAATGGAGGAAAGTTGAGGTGCAGAAAAGGGAATTTGAGAGAACTAATAATTTCTCAGGAATGGCTGCTGAGAAGGAGGTGGGCAATCTCTTTGGAGTAAAGAGCCCCCAAAGGAAAGGAGTAGAAGCCTTTAACCCCTTTCTTTCAGTAATTAACACGGCTAGATTCCCTCTAATGGATTGAGATGGTTCTGAATGAGACCCATTAGTGGTAGGGACCTGGCCAGGGTCTAAGCTCAGTGCCAGGCCCAGGCTCTAAGCTGGTAGGGTTCTGGCTGGTGTGTCTGGGCTGGAAGCCTCTCCCATCCTAGGCACTTTGGCACATTGGGGGTCTTCCTCCATTGAAGAAGGACCACAATCCCTGTAGAAATCTGGACCAGTGAGAACATCACTGTCTCGGTGGGCAAGGATGCTCGGACTGTGCAGGGCCAGGTTCTACTGTGACACCTTGGGGTGGCAGCAGAAGCCACAGTGAGTCGGAGGCTCCAGCGCTCTCCTCACCTGGCTTTGGATGGAGGAACCAGCCCTTCGGATTCAGGAAGTCCTCCAATTCAGGGTGGAGGAAGCCCCCAAGAGACAGACACTGGATTTCTTGTTACTTCAGACAGGCTCAAATGGTTAATATGAAATATTAGTCTAATTTATAACCCAATTTCAGTATAATAGAATGGTATGCAGCCATTCAAATATGTTGGAAAATAACGTTTGATTACATGAAAAAAATATTCAGGAATATTCATAGAACAACTAGTATGAACACAATAATCTGATTTTTGAAAAGAATATGTAATATATCTATATAGAGACAGATATAAGACTGTAAGAATATATGCAAGTTAGCAGTGGTTGTTTCTGGGTGATGGAATTATGAGAATTATGAGTGATTTTTCTTTTGACTTACCTTTATTTTCTACAAGGTGCTTATATGGCTTTTTAGTAAGTTAAATAACAAAGTCATTTTTTCAAAGGATTGCCAAGCAGTAACAGGACCCCAGCTGAGCCGGGAGGGGGAATCTGTTGAGAAGCCAGTGCCTGAGCCCGGGTTACTCTCCCCAGCTGCACTCAGCAGGTACAGCTCATGACTGTGTAAACTGAAGGGAAAAACAACGTGGCCAAATTTAGCAATGCACCTAGCCCATGGGACACTTCCAGGGGGAGCTGCCCTGCATTCCCCACCTGGGGCTCTGTAGACCACCTTTGAGCTGGCGACTTCAATCCAGATGGCATCGGTTACACTTTCGCCCTTCTCTTGACTCTGCACACAACTATCCTCAGCCCATCTGTACCCAAGGCCAAATGGGAGAGATGAAGGTGTAAACCAAAAGTGACTGAGACAGGTTTCCATCGAGTAAAGGTTTATTTAGCCAAGGTTAAGGACAGGCCATGCGGGCTGTAGGTAGAGGGTGGGAGGGAAGGTAGGGAAATTCAAGCCACAGGAGCATCTGTGACCCATGCTTTTTCCAAAGGGAGTTTTTGGGAACTTTCATATTTAAAGGGGGAAGAGCAAACAGGAGGGAAAAAAGAGGGAGTGAGGGTAGGCCGTGAGGCAGATGATTACGGTCTTGTGAGGCTCTGATTCACCCCAGTAAATCTACATTTTACATGTGAAAGAGAGCAGAAGAAAAAGTCAATGATGCTTTATCCTGCGCTGAGTAAATCTGCATTTGACATAAGAGAAAGTAAACATGTGAAAGGAGGGAGCAGAGGAAATGAGGCTCTGACAGGGTTGTGAAATCACTGCTGCCTGTTTGGGAACAAAAGGAAAGCAGTTCTTGTGTGACTCAGTTCCCCAGCTTAACTTCCCCTTTGGCATACAGAGTTTGGGGTCTTGAGATCTATTTTCTTTCACAAGGGTTTAGGAAGGCTGAAATAAGCAAGGGGTTCTCAGAAGGAATGGACTACGGTGGCTACAGCTGTGATTCCGGTTATGTGCCTGTCAAGGTCACCGCGCTGCACAAAACTGTGGTTTTTCCACCCTCTGGTGGGAAGAGGGGCAAGGACACTGCCAGCCAGTAGGGAAAGGCGCAAATCAGACCAGAACCCAGCATCTAGAGGGAAGGCCTTACAGCTCTAGCCAGAGTCCTTGATGAGTCCTAGACAGCATCCACCCAGGGGGCACGGTCAGCTCGCTCATCCTGGCCGGGGCTAGTGGCCCATCCTGAGTGTCACTGAGAGGGGCCCATGATACCTCCCACCTATATTTGGTGGATGTGTGCAAGGGGGTCGCTGAGGGGTGTGGACAGGTCTCCACTGGAGGGTGCGGAAGGGGCTGAGCACTAGCCCTTTCGGCTCTTTCCAGATCCCTGAATCAGATATCACCACCTGCCCCATGGGAAGCCTGTTAGCCAGCCGGATCTCTCTGCTTAGCACACAGGGCTGTCTCTCTCCCAGGAGCAAGGCCTTTGCCAAACAGCAGGAGGGGTGAGATGGGGCAGGTGAAGAGGGAGGGGCCTCCCCTGGCCCACCCCCATGCCTACGTGAAGATTCTCTAAGTGAAGCGCCATCCCTGGTACCTACCACTCTCTTGAAGATTCCCACAATGATGGTGAAGGAAACGCAGTTTATCTCTGACTCATAACAGGCATTCCATAAATATTTGTTGAATGAACAAGTAAGTGAGTGAAGTAATTAATTGATTTTGTGGGCACATGGCTAGATAAGGAGACAGACTCTTTTTAGACGAGGGACATATAGATAAAAATACCCATGGTGCCTGGCCATGAGTAAAAGAAAGGCTAAGTTGCCAAGGTTTGTTGACTATGAGTCAAAATTTTTATGTATTAATCATGATACTTTAAAAAGTCTTACATTGAGGCCGGGTGTGGTGGCTCACGCCTGCAATCCCAGCATTTTGGGAGGCAGAGGTGGGCTGATCACCTGAGGTCAGGAGTTCAAGACCAGCCTGGCCAACATGGTGAAACCCTGTCTCTACTAAAAATACAAAAATTAGTTGGGTGTGGTGGCATACACCTGTAATCCCAGCTACTTGGGAGGCTGAGGCAGGGGAATTGCTTGAACCTGGGAGGCAGACATTGCAGCGAGCCAGGATTGTGCCACTGCACTCTAGCCTGGGAGACAGAGCAAGACTCTGTCTCAAAAAAATAAAATAAAAAATAAATAAAATTTTAAAAATAAAATTAAAATAAAAAGGCTTATATTGGGACTAGAACCACAGAGTATCAAGTCCAACCAAGTCCAAGTTTCAGATAAGAAAACAGGCCTGGAAGGAGAAGGGAGTGTCCAAAGCCACAGCTGGTAGAATTTAAGCAAACTGCAGGCCTCTTGCTTCCCGGTCCTGCAGGGGTCTTGTGCCTCATGCTACTTCTGCAATGCAGCTGGGGGCCTTTTCCCCAGGTGCAGGGTGTATGTGATCAGTTTTCCTTATAAATAAATATTGGTTGGGCATCTACTGGATGCAATGTACCTATTATATGCCAAGCAAGTTGCTAGATACTGGTGGTAGAATGGTGGACCAGATATTAACTTGACAGGAAAGGAGATGGGCGATTAATCTGGCAATTTCAATAAGGAAAGTACACCCAGCTTTGGGAGCCCAAAAAAGGAATGCCTAGCCCAGACCTAGGGTGAAGGGTCAGGTGGGAGAAGCTTGAGGTGGAGAGCAGACATTCCACACAGGAGCCTTTCCAGGGGCATTCCCTCACCCTGCTCCCCCAACCCCCGCATTCCTGGCTGATCTGTCTCCTACTTGCCTGGGAGTGCCTGGCTCCAGAGTCCCAGGCACTGCAGATAAGAGTCACACCTCAGAGGCCAAGGGGACAAATATGCAGGACAGGCTGCTCAGATAGAGGGAGCCTCAGGAAGGGGTCAGGCTCCAGAGGGAGGCCCTGGGAAGGAAAAGCTCTTCGGGGGGATGTGGTGGGATGGTATGAACTCAAAGGCAGAGGCCTGACCTGCAGGCCCCTCTCAGCAGGCCCTTCCCAGCCCTGTTGAGTTTTGCTCTTCAACCATGAATCTCAGTCTTATTTGGAGGCCAAAGCTTCTCTAGGAGAAGGAGACCCCTCATCTTTCTGGTCTCCTTTCCACCTCCCTCCTCCCATCTGCCGATGGGACAACTTCATAGACAACTCACCCCTCTTGCCTCATCAGCCCATCCTGAGTCATTTCTTTCATCCCTCTTCATTGGATGGCTCCTGAAACTCAATCTCTTCCAGAGAAGTGTGGAGGCAGAGTCAGAAGTGGAGAGAGAGAGAAACAACCATGATCCTCCTCCTCTCCATCATCCTAGTCCTAGTAGTTGGGCTAACATAGACAGGAGCCTATGTATCGGTCAGAAACCCTGCAGGAAATGGAAGCAGGAGAGCTGTGAGTTAGCATGTTGCTGAGGGGCAAAGTCCTAAGAGAAAGAGGGCAAAGAAACTCCATCTCCTTCCCCACTGGATGTGCTGGTTAAAATCATCAGCTAAGGTAGGTCTGGCTTCTCTGAGATTTCATTGCTACTCCTGATTGGCCTGAGGCAGCCCCTGGGCACTTTTCATGCTTCTTGATGAGGAGTTCTTAACTGGGCTACTGGGGTTCCATGCATGGCTCCAGGAGGTCTCTGGAGCCCCCAAACTTGTATGCAATACACTGCATATTTGCACGTGTCCTTGTTTCTAGAAGGCTCACAGGTTCCATCGGATTCCCAAAGGTGTCCATGACACATAAACGGTACAGAACCCCTCATCCAGGTCTTTGGAGGAAGACACACCTCCTGCTCACCTGCCCTCTCCCGAAAGGCTCCCCTCCCCTCCTCTGGGTTTCTTCCACTCTTGTGCTTCTGTAGACAGCCTGTTCCCAGAGCCAACTGGGGCCATGTGCTTCTCTGCTCACCTGGACACAGCACCACGCCTCTATCGACTGCCCTATTTAGGAGCTGCTGAGCTGACAGCAGAAACCAGGACTGCATTTGCCCCCTCCAGAGGCATCTAGGCTTTGAGGAAGGGTGTGGGCGAAGAGCCTCTGAATCTCTGGACTTAAGGAGCAGGAGTTCTGGAGTCAAAAAGACTTGCACTTCACCCTGGATCTGTGCCACCTTGACAATTTAATGAACCTCCCTGAGATTCTGTTTCCTCATCTATAAAATGGGGTGAATGCCTCCCCACAGGGGTGTTTTGAGGATTGAGGTAATGGCTATAAAATGCCAGGCACTCAATAAATATTAGCTGTTATCTGGCATAATTGGACCCAGAAATTTTCTCTCCAGTGTCCCTGGCTGGAGGTTGTCCAGCTCTTTCTGGGAGCTGCCACCTCCCAAGGCAACCCAGCCCCATTTGGACAGCTCCCACTGTGAGAAACTTCTTACGTCAGTTGGGAACTCTGAGTTGAAGTGACAGAAATTCAACTCACTGGCTCACCAAAATAGGGAATGTATTGGGCCAAGAAATTGGGAAGGGTAGCAGCAGAAGTGACCTCAAGGACTCTGGAGACCTAAACAATGTTGTCAGGACTTTTCTTCTCTCTCCCTGAAACTCTTGGCTCTGTTTCTCCGTGTGATTGGCACAAAGTCACCAACAATTCCCAGCATATCTCATCCCAGCTTGGAGAACCAGAAGATAGAGAATCTTTCTCCCAGTGATCACACATACATTCTCAGGGAGGATTGAGAGAGGCCAGGCGTGGATCACATGCCCATCTCTGAGCCAATTACCATGGACAGGGCCATGGGCGCTTATGACTGGCCAGGTGTTGTCCCACGACCTGAGGCTAGGAGATCGTATACACTGAGTGGTAGCCACGTTGAAACCATATGGAGTGTGGGAGGGTAGGTTCCCCAAAGAAAGGAATGCTGTTTCTAGAAGCCTGGGCAAACAAAACAAGTGGTTGTTCACTGCTCTTTTTCAAATTCAGTCCAGCACCAGTCCTGGCTCTGTCCTTCTGGCCTACACAGGACAAAATATGAAGAGTCATTGTAACCTCCTCAGTCTTCATTTCTCCAAGCTAAGTTCTTCCCTCTCTCTGAATACAATGGGTTTCCAGTGCCCCCTCCCCAGACTCCTGGGCAGAAGGCAGCAGTCTGGTTGGAAGTTGGAATGGGGACTGGATTTGAGAATTATCAACTGAAATGCTGATGAAAATGATGGGGGGCTCTAGTATGCCTTGGAGGCAGCCACTGATCTGGTGTTTCCTTTAGCCACCAGGGGAGTTGACTTGGGAGGAAGGAGAAGTGGTGGTGAGTGGGAGGAAGAGAAGGGGAAAGAGGAGGAAGGAGAGAAGAGAGAAGAGTGGGAGGAGCAGGGAGGCAGACGAAGAGGGAGAAATAGGAGTTAATGAGAGGAATGGGAAGAAAGCTTCAGCTCTCAGGCTGGGAAGCACAATCAATACATCAAAAGGTGCCCAGTGTGGGCCGGGCACAGTGGCTCAAGCCTGTAATCCCAGTACTTTGGGAGGCCAAGGTGGGCAGATCACTTGAAGTCAGGAGTTTGAGACCAGCCTGGCCAATATGGTGAAACCCTGTCTCTACTAAAAATATAAAAATTAGCCGCGCATGGTGGCATACGCCTGTAATCCCAGCTACTCAGGAGCCTGAGGCAGGAGAATTGCTTGAACCTGGGAGGTGGAAATTGCAGTGAGCCAAGATTGCACCACTGCACTCCAGCCTGGGCAACAAGAGCAAGACTCCGAGAAAGAAAGAAAAGAAAGAAAGAAAGGAAGGAAGGAAGGAAGGAAGGAAGGAAGGAAGGAAGGAAGGAAGGAAGGAAGGAAGAGAAAGAAAGAAAGAAAGAAAGAGAAAGAAAGAAAGAAAAAGGAAGGAAGGAAGGAGAGAAAGAAGAGAGAGAGAGAAGGGAGGGAGGGAAGGAAGGAAGGAAAGAAGGAAGGAAGGAAGGAGGGAAGGAAGATGCAGACTATGTGCAGAAGGAGCTCGCGGCTGGGAACCATGCCCCAGGTGATCAGGGCAGGTGTGTTAGTTTGTTTCCACTGCTACAACAAACTACTACAGACTAGGCAGCTTATAAACAACAGAAGTTCATACCTCACAGTTCTGGGGGCTGGAAAGTGCAAGATCAGGGTGCCACCATGGTCAAGTTCTGGCGAGAGCTCTTTTCCAGTTTGCAGACTGCCAACGTCTAGCTGTGTCCTCACCTGGCAGGAGAGGCAGGCAAGCTCCCTAGGGCCTCTTCTATAAGGACACCAGTCCCAATCACTAAGCCTCTGCCCTCATGACCTAATCACCTCCCAAAGCCTCACCCTAATACTATCGCAATGGGGATTCAGTTTCATCTTATGAATTTTGAAGGACAAACAGTCAGACTATAGCAGCAGGCTTCCTGGAAGAGGGAGCTTGAAGGAAGAAGAGGAGTGCAAAGCTAGAGCCTGGCTCTGGGAACCCACAGCAGGAAGCATAGGAGCATCTCTGATGGCCCAGCTGGAGAGTCGGGGGCAGGCTGGCAAGAGAAGGGGCTTCTGCCTCCCTCCCTCCATTCTTCCTTTCCCAATTGGGCTGCTCTGCAGAGGTCACCCCTAGGCTAATGAGGAATCTTCCTGAAGTTTAAAACCAATTAAGCAACAAATGGTTTCTGATTAGTTATTTCTCTTGATGTGAATTTTAATGAACAGCTTCCTCTCCCCGCCCTACCTTCCAAGCACCCTGGGAGCTAGCCAGCTTTGGGTCTGCCTTGAAGAGCCCTCAGGGGTGTCTCAGAAGGCTGGGAGAGGAAGGGGAGAGGGACTGGGATGGGGGGGATGGTGAGCAGGTTTGCACAGCACAGCAAACCCTACCAGTCAGCCTGCATTTCCCTTGACATTGCAGGGTGCCGCTTGTCCCTGAGGCAGGGGCTGTCTCGAGGGGAATGAGGAGCAGGGAGAGGACAGAAAGCAAGTGGAACAGAGAGATGGTGACAGCGACTAGGTGACAGCCTAGTCAAACAGGCTGAAGTAGAAAGTATAAAAAGTTCACCCAGGACAAAAGCTAGAAGAGCTGGAGGAAGCCCAAGCTGCAGGGAGGCACAGAGGTGGGACCAGGGCTACAGGGGAAGGCAGAGTGGTGCAGTAAGCAGAACCAAGTTCTATGGGGATGTGCTGTGGGGCTCTCAGTGGATGGGCCCCCCACTCTGGTGCTCATCCTTCCACGAATGCTGAGATGGTGGTTATCATTGGCCTTCCTCTAGGGACACTTATGACCCTTCCATGAGATGACGCAAGGGAAAGGACACTGGGAGTAGGGTAATGAGTGTGGGGGAGATGGCAGGGCACTGTCTTCTCCACCCCTCAACAGGAGACTCCCCGCACAACAGCTGTTGGACCTTATTCAGTTACACCCCTGTCTCATTCCACGGGCAGCAAACGGGGGCCAGAGTCCTCAGCTGTGTCTCCATTGCGGACAGGAGGGCCAGCTGCACAGTCACAGGGTCCAGCTCTCTCTACCCTAAAATGAGCATCCTCTAGGATCCTTGCCCAGGACTGAGACACCCCTCGGGAGTAGCTGAGACCCAGAAGTGCTGCTCGGAAGCTTTGTGGAATCTTGCTGATCAGCCCTGCACTCCTGACCACTCCTTCCAGCTGAGCAGAAAAGCTTTCTTGAAAGGAGAATGAAGTCCAGATCTCTGCTGGAAGAAGGAAAGAGGGTGGGGGAAGCACCTTGTAGGAACTGCTGACAAAGAAATAAGGATGGATTTTTCTGCAGGTTCCTCTTCACTGTTCCCCTCCTCTCCCCCTCCTCCCCAGTCCCTCTACCTCCCACCTTTTCTTCCCTCCCTAATCCATGTTGGCTCTGAGGGACATCTGGCAGAAGGTTTCTGGAATGATCTGACTAGGCTCTGGACTTCCAGGAAAAGCCCAGTGGTTCTTATAGTGATTCCCTCAGGGTCAGAGGAAAGGCAACATTTCTGGCCCAGGCATCTGAGTGATGACAAATTGAGAGCAGCCACCTCTAAACCCAACCTCTTTGGCTTCTGTTTTGGGTACCAGGAGCCAGCCTGGCCCAAAAGATTGGCTCCTGACCAGGGCTCTGCAGCCCAGAACTGGGGCCAGCTGCTCCAGGCCTGAGCCTCCCCCACACTTGGCCTCATGTCACCATCAGGCACCTGGGCCCCTCTGGTTGGCTTGACTGCCCCAGCTTTCTGGAACATGCTGGCTGTGTCTTCCTCATGGAGCAGTGACAGATGACAGATTGGACTGATTAGGTCTCTTGGTGGCAAGGGACAGAACCCAATTATGGGTACAAAAAAGAACTTTATTGGTAGATAATAGTAGTACCAGGTTGTCCTTTTTGAGGAGCCGGCCAGAGTCAGGTATGGGGTACTGGCAAACACATCCCAACTAGAAGAAGGGTTGAACAGTCAATCTAGGGAAGAGCAGGGCTGCTGCTGGATCCCAGGAACATCTGAACTCAAGACTTTTTTTTTTTTCTTTTGAGACGGAGTCTCGCTCTATTGCCCAGGCTGGAGTGCAGTGGCATGATTTCGGCTCACTGCAAACTCCGCCTCTCGGATTCCAGTGATTCTCCTGCCTCAGTCTCCCTAGTAGCTTGGATTACAGACATGTGCCACCACACCTAGCTAATTTTTGTATTTTCAGTAGAGACGGGGTTTCACCATATTGGCCAGGCTGTTCTCAAACTCCTGACCTCAAGTGATCTACCCGCCTAGGCCTCCAAAAATGCTGGGATTATAGGCATGAGCCACCACGCCCAGCTGAGCTCCAGTCTTGAATGTTGCCAGGAACCTGTCTTCTTCCTTCCGCCTATATCCCTTGTCTCTGCTCCTCTCTGACTGTAGATCAGCTTCAGATGCCTCCTGAGCCTCATCCCTCACAGCTTCAGTTCCTAATGAGAAATGGACTCATCTCAGTAGCAGCTCAAAAAAATCCCAGGGAGGAAGTCAATGGGTTCAGCTTGGGTAGAGGCCCTGCCCCTGGATCAGTCCATGATTAACTGAGGATAGAGTAAAATGGCTCTTTCCACGGGAACCCTGTAGGTGGAAAGGAGGAAGAAGCAGCTTACTAGAAGAAAGGGGCCTCTCCCCAGAATTTGAGAGGAGGGCTGGAGAGACAAATCAGTAAGCCTCTATTTCATCTGCTGTCTCACCAAGAGGACTGTGGGACTTTTTTTGCAAGTCCCGCTAGAGAAGCTTTGTGAGTGTGACTCTCATCATCTCTGGCTCTCAAGGGGGCACACTGCTAGATGTATTTCTTTCCCTCATCCCCAGCTCCCCGCCGGCCAATCCTGACCCAGAGACTGTTCTCATTTGTCACCCCAGACTCTGGCCCTGGTGACCCACACCTGCCATCTTGTCCTGCATTCTCTCTCTCTTTTTTTTTTTTTTTTTTTTTTTTTTTGAGATGGAATTTTGCTCTTGTCGCCCAGGCTGGAGCGCAATGGTGCAATCTCAGCTCACTGCAACCTCCGCCTCCTGGGTTCAAGTGATTCTCCTGCCTCAGCCTCCGGAGTAGCTGGGATTACAGGTACGCACCACCATGTCCAGCTAATTTCTGTATTTTTGATAGAGACAGGGTTTCACCATGTTGGCCAGGCTGGTCTTGAATTCCAGACTTCAGGTGATCCGCCTGCCTCGGCCTCCCAAAGTGCTGGTATTACAGGCGTGAGCCACCATGCCTGGCCTCGTCCTGCATTCTCTTGTCTTGGTCAGCTTTACTTAGTGGTTGAAATAGAGCCCAAAGATAAGATCCCAGGATTTGGAGTCAGGTGTCCCTGGGCTTAAAAGTGCCACCATTTATGACCTGTCTGAGATCCTGTTTCTTCACTTGTAAAACGGAAAAGAGTACCTAACCGACAGGGTTGTAATGAGGGTTAAAAGAGACGGGTGGCCGGACGCAGTGGCTCATGCCTGTAATCCCAGCAGTTTGGGAGGCCAAGGTGGGCCGATCACTTGAGGCTGGAAGTTTGAGACCAGCCTGGCCAACAAAGTGAAACCCCGTCTCTACTAAAAATACAAAAACTAGCCTGGCGTGGTGGGGCGTGCCTGTAATCCCATCTACTCGGGAGGCAGAGGCACGAGAATCACTTGAACCTGGGAGGTGGAGGTTGCAATGAGCTGCGATCGTACCCATTGCACTCCAGCCTGGGCAACAAAGCAAGACTCCATCTCAAAAAAAAGAGAGAGAGAGATGGGGAATATAAGCTCTTGGCACATAGTAGGCACTCAATAAATGGCAGCCTGAAAAATTCCTCATCAAAACATATAGAGTCTCCACGGCTCCTTTGTCAAACAGCAAGATCCCTGTATTTGAGCAGGAGCTATTTGTAGCAGGTGGGGGAAGGGCGGTGAGGATCGTCTTCCTGCTGCAGGCTGAAGGAGAAAACCTCAGTCTCCCCTCCCCAGCTAAGCTCACATATATACCTTTTGGCCAACTCTGGGGAGCTGTCTGTTTTCTGGGAAAATGTCTCCGTGGCTTCAGGGAAAAGGTCAGCTACACTGGAGTGCATCACAAGAGCAGAGTGGAGAGGGAGATGAAGACCCTGCAAGGGACCCTGGACATATCTATCCTGGGGAAACTCCAGCTTCTAAATGTTTCAGGCCGTAGGGAAAACCCAGACACTGGGTCCCTCAGGGCCACGGTCTGCATCTGTGCCCAAATCAGCCTTGTGTATCTGCACAGGCTGTCCTTCCTGAGGAGCTGGCTGTGACTGGTACAGGATATTGGCAAACACATGTCAGCTTTACTCCCCCTTGTTTGGGTCGGCAACCCTGAGCTGCAGGCTGGTGGGCCTAGCAGTGATAGGGAGGGGCAGGGGAAAAATAGGGAACAAGGACAACCCAAGATACAGGTACATGCATGCAAGCACCCTCAGACACACACCAGCCGGCCCTGTGTGTAGAGGGAAACAGATGGCCAGGATCAGAAGCCCTACCTGAGGCCTCCCAGATGTTTAATAATAGTAATCGAGCCTGCATTTACAAAGCACTTACCATGGGCCAGGCACTGGGATAACCTCTTCCAGTTCATTATTTCGTTAAATCCTTTCCAGAATCCCTGGAAGTGGGCAGTAGTACCCCTGTTTTACACATGAGGGACTGGAAGCCCAAAGAGTTAAGTAACTTGCTAAAGACCACATCATCTGATTTCAAAGCCCTGTCATCCTGCTGCCCACATGGGTACTACAACAGACCCAGTTTTCCTACGAAGACATTCACAGAGGACAGAAGATTCTCCAGGCAAATGCACTGGTTCTTGCAGGCAGGCCTGGAGTGGCCCAGTGTTAGAATCTCCTGGGGAAGTTGCTGAAAGTGCAACTTCCTGGGTTCCACTCCCCCTTCAGGCACCCTTTCTTCTCCATACTGATTCAATGGGGTTGAGGGCCTAGGAATATGCATTTTAACAAGCTGCCTATCTCCCATGAAAATAGCTTCCCGCCCCATTATTAAAAATATATACTGTCTGTAATCCCAGCACTTTGGGAGACCGAGGCGGGGTGGATCATGAGGTCAGGAGATCGAGACCATCCTGGCTAACAAGGTGAAACCCCGTCTCTACTAAAAATACAAAAAATTAGCCGGGCGTGGTGGCGGGCTTATATACTGTCTGGGCATGGTGGCTCACGCCTGTAATCCCAGCACTTTGAGAGGCCAAGGTGGGTGGATCACCTGAGGCCAGGAGTTCAAGACCAGCCTGGCCAACATGGCGAAACCCCGTCTCTACTAAAAATACAAAAATTAGCCAGGCATGGTGGCTCATGCCTGTAGTCCCAGTTACTCAGTAGACTGAGGCAGGAGAATTGCTCAAACCCGGGAGGTGGAGGTTGCAGTGAGCTGAGATCGCGCCATTGCACTCCAGCCTGGACAACAGAGCAAGACTCCGTGAAAAAACCAAACCAAACCAAACCAAACCAAAACAAAAAACATATATATACTGTTTATCGTAAGATCTTTGACTCCCAATTGCTACACATGGGGCTCAGGTGCAAATCTACATTTTTCATATATTTGTGGGAAAGAACTAGGTTCACTAACGTTGGAAATGTCTGCTCAGGATTTTGAACACATGGCCTGGCCCGGAATGCAGTTGCTGGGCTTCCCCAGGTCAGTGTCAGTCCCAGGGATCTGCACAGAGGAAGCTGGGAACTCCACAGTCTGGAGTGTGGGAGGAGGGTGCATCCCCTCCAGCTTTCTCCTGGCTCCCTAGGCTCCTGCAACCCCTATCGACTCAGCCTCACAAGCAGGGGTGGAGGAGGCAGCAAGCACTGCTTGGAGTAGGCAACTCTACCAGGCCTTCTCCGTCCACAGGAGAATGCATCAATAACTTCTGCAAAAGCCTCTTTCCTCTGCCCAGGACCCTCTCTCTTGGAAGCCTGGGACCATCCTTGGTTCCCTACTTCCTAAGCTCCTCCCACACCATTCTGCCAGACTTGTAAAGCTCCTCTTCCAAGAATGTCCTCCCCTGGGTAATTGGACCCACAGGCCATTGACATTTAAAGAAATGTTCCTGACCTTTTCAGCAGTTCCATAAAATCGCAAAATAGGTCTCTAAATATTACTGCAGACTCCTACTTGCCCAGACCCTGGCAGAGACTCATTTTCCCGGCTAACTCAGGAATAAGAGAAAAATAGCAATATTGCTAGCAAAAAGAGGGCTATTCTCAAACATCTTTTGGTAATCATTCCGTTATAGATGGCTGTTATCTGCATCAGGACTCCACCATCACCACCCACCACCACCATTACACATTTCGCCATCATCACCTTAATTACTTGATTATATAAAATGTGCAGGATTTGTGCTCTTAAATCTTCACAGTGCAAAAAGTCTACTTGCGTTTTAGCTATTTGATCCAGCTATGTGAGAACGTTTATCTTCTTCTCCCCTTCCTCCATTGGTGTGGGACCAGATGGAACAATGGATATAGAAGGACCAAAGGCTATGGAGAGAGACATAAGAGAAGACAGAACTCTGGGAGGAGGGGCAGTGAATGTGTAAAGAGACATTCTGAGAAATTTGAAAATAGATTAGATATTAGATCAGGACTATCCCTTGCATTAACAGAGCTTGGGTTAAGAGTAGAAATTTACATTTTCCTCCCACATGTTTCCCAAAACAGCCTTATCACTTAAAACAGGAGTTGGGCAAACTCCACTCTGCAGGCCAAATGCAGCCTTTGGCTTTTTGTACGACTCTTGAGCTAAAAATGTTTTCACTTTTTTTTTTTTTTTTTGAGATGGAGTCTTGCTCTGTTGCCCAGGCTGGAGTGGAGTGGTGCAATCTCGGCTCACTGCAACCTCCACCTTCCAGGTTCAAGCAATTCTCCCTGCCTCAGCCTCCTAAGTAGCTGGGATTACAGGCACACGCTACCATACTCAGCTAATTTTTGTATTTTTAGTAGAGACGGGTTTTTGCCATGTTGGCCAGGCTGGTCTCAAACTCCTGACCTCGGGTGATTCACCTGCCTTGGCCTCCCAAAGTGCTAGGATTACAGGCGTGAGCCACTGCACCCGGCCCACTTTTTTAAAATATACAATTCAGTGGTTTTCAGAATATTCACAGAATTGTGCAACCATCACCACAATCTAATCCTGGAACACTTTTCATCACCCCAAAATGAAACATGACCCATTAGCAATCACTTCCCATTCTCCTAGCCCCCAGTCCCTCAAAACCACAAATCTACTTTCTGTCTCTATGAATTTGCTTTTTCTCGACATTTCATATAAATAAAATCATATAATATATGACCTGTTATATCCAAATTTTTTTACTTAGCATAATGTTTTCAAGGTTATTCATGTTGTAGCATATACTATATATAAGTAATATTTCATTGTATGGCTATATGTGTAGTACTTTCTGATAACACTCTGGCACCAAATGTGTTTTTTTTCACTGACACCAAATACCTGCTGTTTTTCCACACCAACAACCAATTCTCCAGCATGACTCTGTGTCCTACAATTCAATTCAGTTCTAACACTAACTATCCAGAGTTAGCACAGACCCCACAGGTTAAGGGCTCAGTCCCACAAGAGTGCTCCCACTTCAGGTGTCAGCCATAAATGGGGTTCCAAGGCTACTAACACTTCTGTCCGTCTGACTCCAAATTCGTGACCCCACCCCCACCCCGACCCTCAGGTTCAGTAATTCTCTAGAATAACTCACAGAACTCAGGAAAGTGCTTTACTTACAATTATTGGTGTATTATAAAGGATACAAATGAATAGCCAAATGGAAGAGATGCGTAGGGCAAGGGATGTGGGGTGGGGCACAGAGCTTCCATGCCCTCCTTGGACACACCACCCTCCAGAAGCTCGTTGTTCAAGAGTTTTTATAACTCAATCTCCAGCTCCCCTGCTCTTCCTGGAGATAGGGAAGGGGGTTAGGGGAGGGCATTGAAAGTTCCCATCCTCTAATCACATGTTGGGTCTTTCTGATGACCAGCATCCTGAAGCTATCAAGGGGCTCCACCATGAGTCACCCCATTAACAAAACTAAAATGTATGCCAGCGCTGGGCGCGGTGGCTCACACCTATAATCCCAGCACTTTGGGAGGCCAAGGTGGGTGGATTACCTGAGGTTAGGAATTCGAGACTAGCCTGGCCAACGTGGTGAAGCCCCGTCTCTAATAAAAATACAAAAATTAGCCTGGCGTGGTGGCACATGCCTGTAATCCCAGCTACCCGGGAGGCTGAGGCAGGAGAATCGCTCGAACCTGGAAGGTGGAGGTTGCAGTGAGCTGAGATCAGCTGTTGCACTCCAGCCTGGGTGACAGAGCGAGACTCTGTCTCAAAAATAAATAAATAAATAAAAATGTATGCCAGGCCCCGTGGTGTGCACCTGTAGTCCCAGCTACTTGGGAGGCCTCATGAGGCAGGAAGATTGCTTGAGTCCAGTTTGAAACCAGCCCCAGCCAAAATAGCAAAACACCATCTCAATGCCCCCACCCAAAACAAAACACAAAAAAACCTCAGGTGTAGTCAAAGGGGCTTGAAATGAATAACTAGATGCTCCTATCACTCAGGAAACTCCCAGAGTTTCAGGAGCTCTGGGCCAGGAACTGCAGACAAAGATCAAATACATTTTTTATTATACCACAATGTACCACATTTTGTTTATCCACTCATCAGTTGGTGGACATTTAGGTTGTTTCTACTTTAGGGCTATTACGAATAATGCTGCTATGAATATACATGTACAGGTTTTTGTGTGAACACATGTTCTTAATTCTCTTGGGTGTATACCTAGGCGTGGAATTGCTGGGTCGTGGGTTTCACCATGTGATGAACCGCCAAGCTTTTTTTTCAAAGAGGCTGTACCTTCTATATTCCCACCAGCAATGTGTGATGCTTTCAATTTCTCCACATCCTTGCTAACACTTGTTATTGTCTGTCTTTCTTACTTTAACCATCCTAGTGGCTATGAAGTGGTATCTCATTGTGGTTGGTATTAACATTTTTAAAGGATTGTAAAAACAAACAAACACACAAAAAAATATAGCACAGAGACTGTATGCCATACATGGTCTGCAAAACCTCAAATATTTACTACGTGGACCCTTACAGAAAATGTTTGAAATATTCTTAATTACCCATTGAATTAAAAGGCAAAATACAAATAATAAGGAATGATTATCAAAAGTTTAAATCCAAATTATTTGACTAAAGCTGAAATTTTTACTTTTAAAAAATTTAATTACATCTTAAGTATTTTTATTAAAAATAATCACAATGTTAGCATTTATTGTCTATCTTTTTTTTTTTTGAAACAGTGTCTCACTCTGTCACCCAAGTTGGAGCGTAGTGGCATGATCTCGGCTCACTGCAACCTTCGCCTCCTGGGTTCAAGCGATTCCCCTGCCTCAGCCTCCCAAGTAGCTGGGATTACAGGCGTGTGCCACCACACCTGACTAAATTTTGTATTTTTAGTAGAGACAGGGTTTTACCATGTTGGCCAGGCTGGTCTTGAACTTCTGACCTCAGGTGATCCACCGGCCTTGGCCTCCCAAAGTGCTGGGATTACAGGCATGAGCCACAGCACCCGGCCTCATTTATTGTCTATCTAATTGCTAATGTAAAGAATCAGCATTATACTTCAGGGACAGGACATCTAGATCTAGCAGATACAAATTTAAAAGTAGTATGAATTGTTTACTTTTGCAAAATGTTCCTCAGTTACCATATACAGCTATTGCAAATTTTTTGCTAATTCACTAGTGTGCCCAGAACTCTGAACTAGAATATGAAGAGAAGCAAGGAAATGGTCTCTTGGCACTACTGAGGCAGACATTTATCATGCAAGAATGTACTGCATTCACATCACACTCTCTAAGAGGAATGATTTGACAAGTTAATTAATTTGTCTTTCTCTGCTTAAGTGCTTCTGCTGCTAAAATCCACAGGCTCCCAGAAGTGGACCCATCTCTAACCTCAAAAACTGCCCAGCTCTGATGCTTACTCAGTATTTGGAGGCAGGCACCTCTTACTCAGAGGCTGGTGGGGCATTGGGGGAACAAGAGCATTTCCCAGAGGCCTGAATGGTGTGAGTCACAAGAGTAGATGTTAGGCTATGGGTCATTTGTGCTAGGGCTGTATGCTTAATCCAGGGTGATAGAGGTACCCACATATTCTTTAATACTTATGTATTTATTTATTTATTTGTTGGTGTTAGAAATATGTAAGAACCTTGGCCAGGTGTGATGGCGCACCCCTATAGTCCCAGCTACTCAGCAGGCTAAGGTGGGAGAATTGCTTGAGCTTCAGGAGTTCGAGACCAGCCTGGGTGACATAGCAAAACCCTGTCTCTAAAATATATTTATATTATTTATTTATATATATAAATGTATATAAATATATATATTATATATTATATAAATATATTTTATAATATATAATATAAATATATTTTATATTATATATATAATATATATAAAATATAAAATATACATATATATATATGAACCTCTAAAGAATGGGGTCTGGCCCAGGTCTAAGAGTAATACTGTATTACTGTGTTGGTAAGATGTTGAGGGATTACTCTTTATTTTGTTAGATGTGATAATAGTGTTATGGTAATTTTATTTTATTTCGAGACAGAGTTTTGCTCTTGTTTCCCAGGCTAGAGTGCAATGGCACGATCTCGGTTCACCACAACCTCTGCCTCCCGGGTTCAAGTGATTCTCCTGCCTCAGCCTCCTGAGTAGCTGGGATTACAGGCATGCACCACCATGCCCAGCTAATTTTGTATTTTTAGTAGAGATGGGGTTTCTCCACGTTGGTCAAGCTGATCTCGCACTCCCGACCTCAGGTCATCCGTCCGCCTTGACCTCCCAAAGTGTTGGGATTACAGGCGTGAGCCACCGCGCCCGGCCCGGTAATTGGAAAAAGTCATCTGTTAACACTGAAGTATTTATGAATGAAATAAAATGACATCTGGGATTGGCTTTACAATACTGCAGACAAAAAAGGAAAACATCAGGAAGATTTATGAAATAAGATTGGCAAGTATTAATATTAATAACTCGTGAAACTGGGAGATGATCTATCACCCAGTTCATTTTACCATTTTCTTGACTTTTTGTATGTTTAAAATTTTTCATACTACAAAGTTAAAAATAATGAAATGAAAAAAGACAGAGGACTGTGGGGGAAGGGGAGGTACAGTGAGCGAATGAGGGAGAGAATCCTGCTTCCTGGGACGGCGGCCACATTCTTCTCTCTGACAGTGAAGGAAGAAGGAAGGACGCCCAGGAAGCAGGCTGCAGCCCACATGTAAGAACCTTTACTAGCAACCAGATCCATGAAAATGGAGTGATAGCATTTGGGCTGGAAGTAAAGGACTAATGAAACCTTCTCCAGCTGACAGTATGGCTATTTTGGTATGGACTGTTCCAACCCTCCCTTCTGTAAGGAAGCATTCCTGGAATAATGAAAGAGTTCTTGAGACAGACAGCTGACCTCCAAGGTAGCTCTTTTCCATATCATTTTTAAAGTTAGGAGATAGTTCAGGCACCAAAAAAAGGTATATGTGACCAGCCCAGCCAACATGGTGAAACCACATCTCTACTAAAAATACAATTGTTAGCTGGGCGTGGTGGCGTATGCCTGTAATTCCAGCTACTCGGGAGGCTGAGGCAGGAGAATCACTGGAACCCAGGAGATGGAGCTTGCAGTGAGCTGAGATAGCACCACTGCACTCCAGCTTGGGTGACAGAGTGAGACCCTATCTCAAAAACAAAAAAAGTTTATGTATGTACCTATCACTCACCTTGTCAAATCTTAGCATTTTGCCACCTTTGCTTCCAACCTTTAAAAACAAATTTTTTAATTTTAATTTTTGTGAGTACATGGTAGGTGTATATATTTATGGGATGCATGAAATGTTTTGATATAGGCATGCAATGTGTATTAATTGCATCATGTAGAATGGGATATCTATTATATCAAGCATTTATCCTTTGTGTCACAATCCAATCATACTCTTTCAGTTATTTTTAAGTGTACAATTAAATTGTTATTCACTACAGTTACTCTATTGTGCTATCAAATACTAGGTCTTGCTCATTTTTTCTGCTTTTTGGTACCCATTAAGCAACCCCACTTTCCCCCAACCTTCCCTATCCTTCCCAGCCTCTGGCCACCATTCTTCTACTCTCTATCTCCATCAGTTCAATTGTTTTGATTTTTAGATCCCACAAATAAGTGAAAACATGTGATGTGTCTTTCTGTGTCTGGCTTATTTCACTTAACATAATGACCTCCAGTTCCATCCATCTTGTTGTAAATAACAGAATCTCATTCTTTTTTATGGCTGAATAGTACTCCATTGTGCGAAGTACCACATTTTCTTTATCCATTCAGCTTCTGACCCTTTTATTTATAAATTGAAATAAAATATTACAGATAGAGTTGAAGCCCTTGTAAACCAGTCTGCAATTCTCTTCTCTTTGCCCTCAGAGATAACAACTAGCTTGAATTTGGTGTTCATCATTCCTACCCAAACTACATGTATAGGTATCTATCAATAATATATAGCATTGTGTTGCCTATTTTTAAACTTTATATAAATTGTATCATACTTAAGTGCCCCATAATTTTATTTTTTCACTCACATTTTTTGAATATTTATCTGTGTTGATCCTAATTATATCACAATTGATTTATTCATTCATTCTCTTATTGATGGACATTCAGGTTGATTACAATATTTTTCTATTGTAAACTATACTGACATGAAAATTTTGTACATGTTTTCTCATGTATAAGTATGACAGTTCCTATTTAGCTGGTAGTAATTAATTGTTGATTTCTAGTGTATATAATCTTATATTTAGTAGCTCCTCCCCAAATTGGTTGTATGAGAGTCCATGTGGCACCACAGTTATTAATTTTTGCCAGTCTGTTGAGTGTGAAATGGTATATCATATTCTCTTAATTTTGCATATCTGACTGCTTATGCAGCTGTGCAGTTTTTCTCCCTTACTGGCCACTTAGATTTTCCTTTTCTGTGAATTCCTTGTTTGACCATATTTTCTCCTTTGCATTGTTAGTTTTTTCCTCAATGCTTCATAGTTCTTTATATATTCTACATACTGACCCTTTGTAGGTTTAATGCAGTGCATAGATCATCTCCCAATCAATAACTTGATTTCTCAATTGTGATTTTTTTGTACAAACTTTTTTTTTTTTGAGACAAAGTCTCACTCTGTTGCCCAGGCTGGCGTGTAGAGGCGCGATCTCAGCTCACTGCAACCTCTGCCTCCTGGGTTCAAGTGATTCTCCTGCCTCAGCCTCCTGAGTGGCTGGGATAACAGGCACGCACCACCCCATCTGGCTAATTTTTGTATTTTTGAAGAGACAGGCTTTCGCCATGTTGGCAGGGCTGGTCTTGAACTCCTGACCTCAAGTGATCCGCCCACCTTGGCCTCCCAAAGTGCTGGGATTACAGGCGTGAGCCACCGTGCCTGACCTATACAAACTTTTTATTTTTAATGTAGTTGAATTTATTTTCCATTGTTGTTGATGTTTTTTTTTCTTAATTTAAGACATCCTTTCCTACTCCAAGGTCATATGAATATGCTCTTATATTTTCCTCTAAAAGGTTTTAAGTTTTGCTTTTTCATAATTAGGTCTTCAATCTGTCCAGAATTTATTTTGTGTGTGGCATGAGCTACAGATCTAACTTTTTATGTGTGAATAACCAATGTTTTCAACATTTCTTACTTCTGACTCAAAATTCTACCTCTATCATGTATCAGACATCCATATAGACTTAGACATGTTTGTGGCCTCTCTACCCATTAGGTTTTTCTATTTGTCAATGTTTATTCCAATATCACACTCCCTTAGCTACCATAGCTTTATATGAGATTTTAATATCTGGCTGGGAAGTCTCTCCTCCTATCATCTTCAAAATTGTGTTGGCTGTTTTTAATTCTTCACTGTTCCATATGAACGTTAGGATCAAATTTTTCATTTCCACAAAAACCCTATTGCCCAAAACTATACTGATTTCATATATTAATTTGGAGATAACTGCCATAGTTACAATTTTGGGTTTCATCACATATGAAACTAAGAGATATATAAAATCCACACTTACTTAGATCTGTTTTAAAATCTTCTAATAGTGTTGTATAATTTTCTCCATTAAATTTTCTCCTGGGATATGTTGGTTGGGTTTATTCTTAGTGAACTTAAGCTTTGTTTTGTTTTGCTATTTTGACAGTATTTTAAATTATATTTTACAAGTATTTCTTGTTGCCATATATGAATGCAATTAATGTTTTCACCTTCTCCTACTCTTTGTTTTAATAATTTTACTATAGATTATTTTGGATTTTTCTATGCATTGTTGTACAAATAATGATGGTTTACTTTATTTCCAATACATTTTTTGACATCTTTGTACTAATTGATTTATGCTTTAATAGAGATATGTATGGGTTTTGTTTGTTTGTTTGTTTGAGATGGAATTTTGCTCTTGTTGCCCAGGCTGGAGTGCAATGGCACAATCTCGGCTCACTGCAACCTCTGCCTCCCAGGTTCAAGCCATTCTCTTGCCTCAGCCTCCCGAGTAGCTGGGATTACAGACGCCCCCTCACCACGCCCAGCTGATTTTTGTATTTTTAGTAGAAACAGGGTTTCACCGTGATGGCCAGGCTGGTCTTGATCTCTTGACCTCAGATGATCCACCTGCCTCAGCCTCCCAAAGTGCTGGGATTACAGATGTGAGCCATTGCACCCAGCCTGTTTTTGTTTGTTTGTTTGTTTGTTTACCAGTATCTTTTTTTTTCCTAGCATGGCTAGGCTCTCCCTTAGCTTATTGAAAAGAAGCGCCATTGTCTTATTCTGGCCTTTAAAGGGAATAGGAAGATGCTAATAGTATTTTATTTTTATTTTTTTTTATGAATGGATATTGAATCAACTGCATTTTCTGCATCTCTGAAGGTCTCCTTTAGTGTGTTGATGTTTCTGAGTTTTGGCATCAGCTTGTAGGGCAGGCTGGATTTATCTAGAGAGGCTGTCGCAGAGTGGCCACCGCTACTGGTAGAACCGGGTGCATTTGCTCTATGTCCTGCTGAGTCAGAATCCCTGGTGATGGCAATCAGGCCCCAGTAAGGCAGTGTCCTTAGGCTTTGCAGCTGCTTCTCCAGTGAGCCATTTTCCCTCTCACTCAGAAAAATGGGAGAATTTCTTTGAGGAACATTCACACAAGCAGAAGACTCTCATCTGGGAGTCTTCCTGCAAGTGGAGGATGCTACTATGTCATGGGAGCATCTACCTCTGAGACATTAGGGAAACTTGAGTTGGAGGAAAGCTAGAATGGCACAAGAGTGGTGTCGAAAGATAGGATGACTGTGATGGGTAAATCAGTAGCCCACCAAGAACAGCAGTGCATGAGAGGTAGGGAGGACTGGCAATGGACAGCAAAAGATGCAAGAACAGTATTAACCACATAGGGCTAAGGACCAGGCCCCAGGGATCTAAGTATGACTCAGTAGTGGGGGAAAAGGAACATAGCACTGGCATGGAAGGTCAGGGCTGCTTTAGATGTTAAAGGGCCAGGGTTCTCAGAGCTGATCTATTTTGGCCTACAAAGATAATGTGAAATTCCTACAACTGAGGGATCATGGCTGTCATTCATACCTCTATATGGGCACAAATTTTTATGTCCTTTCTTCACCTAGAACCCAGCTTAATACACAAAAAGTATTGTACCTTTCCAATATTTGTTAAATGAGTATTTGTTGACTGTCGAACCCACACACAAAACAATTAGCACAGGGCCTGTCACACAGTGATGTGGAAACCATAATGCTGGCTCTGAGTGTTGGTTGGAGAGATGCTGGGTGAATAGAGGCCTTCATGGACTTACAACCCAAGTCTCAGACAGACAGTGTCTCCCTGACCAAGCCTGGAATGAGAGAGCAGAATGACAGTACCTCTAGCCTCCCTCCTCTTCACTGGCCCCCTCTCTAAAGTGCAGTGGAGCCAGACAGAAGAAAAATGACCCAAGCATGTCAACTCACAGAGGCTGCTCCCCTTGGTATGTCTTCCTCAGCTCATCGTTGTCTGTCTACTTCACTAAGAGAATGGGACACATATGAGCATGTGGTCTGCTTTACTCCTTCCCCAGGAGCTGTCTGCATGCCTGTCAGAATTTATATTTGCAAAACCATCAGTGATCAGAAAATACTATGGTTGATTCTCTGTCCTTGCTGCCTCCAACAGAACCACAGGAAAGGTACAGGTTCCATCTTTTCCTCCCTCCCCTTCTATTATCCATCTCCTCTCCTCTCCATGTCCCTACTGCAAAAATTGGCCTCTCAATCTCCATTCTACCTTCTCTTAGTTAGAGGCATTGAAAAGCTACACACTAGGTTTCTGGATTCAAAGCAGCTTTTACCAAATAAACAGTCAGGTGGCATTTGGAAGTAAGAAGTGAGAAGAAGACCATCTTCCTGCTGTTGCTGATAAACAAAGTAAAGAGTACGAAGGCTGTGGCAGCATCTGGACTCAGAGTTCCAATGTCTAGTGTCTTGCTTTGTGGGATGAGGGTCAGCTGTGGTGTTCACAGAGGTAGTAGCAGTAGTGGGTTCCTAACAGTTTCAGTGGTATAATTATGTATTTGATAGCCTGGTTGCAGAACCTTGACTTCCACATCACAAATTTCTTCCAAAAATTTTTTGTATTACATCCCTTTCCGCATAAAATAATTAGAGTGATTTCTGCTTACTTCAGTAAACTGATTGATGCATCTATCCTCTGCTGGGTCACCTAAATAGATAACAGTTTGCCCAGGAGGGAATTCAGTTTCGGTTCAGGTCAACCCAGTTAGTACTGACCTCCACTATATGCCTAGTTCATTTTCTAGGCTTTTGCCTTCAGGAAGTTCCTAGTCTGTCTGGGTAAATGGACTCACACAAAAGGGTCTGTAATCATAGATACTATTTATTGAACAATCACCAAGCACCAAGGTACTATTGGGACTTTACATTTGCTGTCTTTCTCATCATAACCCTGTACGTATGTGTATCAAGAATGCTTTTGGTCATAAGCATTAGAAAATCCTATCACATACTTAAACAAGTAAGGGGTTTATTTTTCTCACATAAACAGATGTTCAGGCTAGGAAATTCAGAACTGTATGGCTTGCCGAAGCCATTATGAAGAACTGGGCTTCTTTTATCTACCTGCCTTACCATCGTTAGTGTGTTTTTACTTCTACAATAGAATAGAATAGAACAGACTAGAATAGAATAGATGCTGTACCTCCAGACATGTCATCCAAGTTCAAGGCAGAAAGGAAGATGATTGAGGAAGGCAAAAAGCAAATAGCAGGCTGGGCATGGTGGCTCATACCTGTAATCTCAGCACTTTGGGAGGCTGAGGCAGGTGGATTGCTTGAGGCCAAAAGTTCAAGACCAGCCTGGCCAACATGGTGAAACCCCATCTCTACTAAAAATACAAAAATTAACCTTGCATGGTGGCACATGTCTGTAGTTCCAGCTACTTGAGAGTGGGAGGCTGAGTGAGGCACAAAAATTGCTTGAACCCAGGAGGCAGAGGTTGCCATGAGCCAAGATCGCACCACTGCACTCCAGCCTGGGTGACAGAGTGAGACCCTGCCTCAAAAAAAAAAAAAAAAAAAAAAAAAAGCAAATAGCAACATTCAGTAACCTCTTCCTTGTCAGACATTGACTTTTTATTCTGGAATGGAAGGCCTCCCTGGGGTCTTCTGTCTGCATCTGATTAGTTAGAGCTGTGTGGTATCATGGCCACCTTTTTCTACAACAGAGAGTGGAGATGTGAGCATGTCACTTGCCAGCCTTTTTTAAAGTAAGACAGTAGACAATATGGTTGAAATAGAGGCTAAATCATCTAATCTACAGAATCTGCCAAGGCAAGTGTTATCTCAGTTTTACAGATGAGGAATCTAAGGTTGAGAGAAGTCACACGATGTGCCTGAATTAGCTAAGGGAATGTGGACCACAGATAATACGGTCGTCTGTCCTGTGGAGCATCTATGCACTGCACTGAGGTGAAGGGGTGCTTTTCCTCAGTGTCCATCAGAGTCTCCTTGGCCTCAATGCCTGCTACAGATGTCCCCTGATCTTGGACGAGGAGTGTAGACTTGGGGAAGTATAGAGTTTTTGACACCATTAAACCTAGAGATTGAGAAACCTACCTTAACATGTTAGGAGCATTTCTAGAGCTGAAGCACTACCATGGGGATGTACAGGCTACTGTGAGAAGACAGGACTCAAGGGAAGTTTCCACAGCAAGAACCACCAACTCATGAAGGCCACTTGCCAGCAATTTGTGTGGCACCAGCAGGGAACATCAGGGCTAACAGGGAGCTGTGTTCACTGTTAGGTTGTTATAGAGGTGAGTAGTAACATTTGAGATAGCTTAAAAAAGAAATGGTGAACAGGCTTAGGAAGGTAAAGGTAGAGGTCTCTGTCCCCTTGAATTGGTGTAGGCTTGAAGAGAAAGTGGAATTGTGGACAGGGAGATCTGGGTGAATGGTGGCACCAGAGAGAAGCACTGAGAAGGTCCTGAGGGCAGTGGCTGCTGTGGATGGTCTAATTTCAAGATCTCAATAAAGGTAACTATAAAATTGGAGAGATTTAAAGAAGGCCAAAAAAAAAAAAAAAATGAGGTACCATGTTCATGGATCAGAAGCCAATATTGTAAATATGTAAAATGTCTCTAAATTGATCAATAGACTCAATACAGTCTCAATTAAAATCACAAGATTCTTCTAGGAAACAAATGAGCAGATTCTAAAATTTATATGGAAATGTAAAAGGTAAAGCTTATCCAAGGTAGAAGAAGAGGTAAGAGGACTTGTTCTAGCAGATATCAGGATTTACTATGAAGTAGAGTAACTAAGTCAGTGTGGTATTGGTACAAAGATAAAAAATTAAACCATTGAACTGATGGAATAGAATAGAGGATCTAGAAATAAATTGCGCATAGACAGACAGTCGATATATGACAAAAAAACAACGCTGTACACTGGGAAAAGATTGTCTTTCTAATAAGAGGTTATCAATGTGGAAAAAAATGACTCTTATTCCATACCATCAACAAAAATCAAATTTCAGATGGATCGGAAAATTCTCAATAGATTGGAGTCCTAAAAATTAAAGACAGAATAGTAAGAAATGTATAAGAGAAGATAGGGGAATATTTTCATGACCTTAGGATAGGTAAAGATTTCATAAGATGCACAACAGTACCAACCGTAAAAAAGAAGATTGTTCTACATTAAGACCTTTGTTTTTAGTTAAGAGCTTTGTTCAAAAGATACCAGTAAGAGAGTAAAAAGATAAGCCATGGAATGAGGCAAGATGTGTTCCACACATATAACCGACAAGAAAGAGCACCTAGAAATCAATAAGAAAAAGACAACATAATTTAAATAATGGTTAAGTAATTGAACAGACACATCACAAAAAGGGAAGTCCAAATGGTGAATACATTTAAGGAAAGTGGTTCAATTTTATTAATTAAGGAAAAGTACAAGATTCTATTACATACCCATCAGATGGGTAAAGTTTTCCTTAAACATCTGGCAGCACTAGGCATTGGCTAGGGTGTAGTGCAAGGGGAACTCTCTTATACTGTTGATGGGAGTGTCAATTGGCATAACCATCTTGGAAAAATGGCATTTGTTACTAAAGTTTAAGATATGCATACTCATACCATAACCCAGAAATTCCTGTACAAGAATGTACATGGGCAAGAATGTTCATAGCAGTATTGTCCACAATAGCCTCAAACTAGAAACAATCCACATGTCCATCAACCATAGTTTATTTATTCATATAATAGATTATATGGCAACAAAAATGAACCCAGCTACGTGCAGCAACATAAACAAATCTCACAAACACAATTTTGAGCAAAGAAGTCATATACAAAAGAATAAACACTACATGATTCCATCTATATGATATTTAAGAAATCAGCAGCCAAACTACCTAGCCTAGACTTGCATACTTAGGTAGGATGTGACTACTATTATTTTCAGCATAGTGTATTCCTCTTGGGGAGGAAGAGGGCTGTGACTAGGAAGAGGCAACTGGGGGTGCTTCAGTGGTGCTAGAAATAATCTCTTTCTGGCTGGGCACGGTGGCTCACACCTGTAATCCCAGCACTTTGGGAGGCCGGGAGGCTGAGAAGCCGAGGTGGGTGGATCAAGAGGTCATTAGTTCAAGACCATTCTGGCTAACACAGTGAAACCCCATCTCTACTAAAAATACAAAAAAAAAAAAAAAAATTAACCAGGCATGGTGGGACACACCTGTAGTCCCAGCTACTCGGGAGGCTGAGGCAGGAGAATAGCTTGAATCCAGGAGGCAGAAGTTGCAGTGAGCCAAGATCGTGCCACTACACTCCAGCCTGGGCGACAGAGTGAGAGTCCTCCATCTCAAAATAATAATAATAATAATAATAATAATAATAATAATGTCTTTCTTGAACTGTGCTGATTACCCAGGTGGTCAGTAAGAAGGATTAAACTCTACATTCATCTGGAACCATCAGTTTTATGTACTTTCCTGGGTATAATATTGCAGAATAAAAAGATGAAATATAATATATATTAGATCTGGAAATAAATTCAAGAGTCCCTCTGGTTTAGGTCCACTCCAACAAGCAGATCAGACGTCCTTTATCCCCATTTTCAGGTGAGGCAATTGAATTTGAGAGCTTTAAATGACTTGTCCGAAGCCATTCAATGGTAACGAATCGAAACCAGAAATAGAACCCAGGCCTCCTGCCTCCCAGGTTAAGACTCTTTCCGGTCTACTTTGCATTTCTCTCAACCCAAACAGCAGTAGTTAAGTTCACAAAGAGTTAAGCAACATCATTGAGGGAAGAATTTCCCAGGTGGCCTGGATCATCCTGGATCCTGGCCTCCTTTTCCCCAGGGTCCCAGCCCTACCTTGATGACCCAGGCAGTGTGAGGAGCTGGGACTGGAGGGTTAACCCTGAAGCCTCCAACAGCTGCCTGGGTGCATCTGAGGCTTTGCATTGCTCTTATTTCCCTGTTCTGCTCCACATTTCCTGGCTGGCCCTTCTGGACCTACAAGCCCTGGCTGATGTGACCAGCTCTTTGAGATTTGTATGTTTTATTGCCTCTCAGTCAAGAAGAGAACTACCTAAAAGATATACAGTTTGAGCTCTGTGAGGGCAAGAACCATATGGGCACAGGCACTATACTCCAAGAGAGGTGGAGCTGAATAAAGGTCTGGTTCCTTATCCAAGGAAGTCGGTGACCAATCCATGGACTTTGTAAGTCATTGATGGTTGGGGAAGGGAGAGATCAATGTGGGCTAACTGGTCCAAGAGGTCACATTTGTAGTGAGTCTTCAGTGATAAATGGAAATTGATACATGAAAAAAGAATGGAGGATGTTCCAGCATGGGAAACTTCAGGCCAGTTTTGAGAAGGGTGATCAAGTTGACCACAGCAAATCATTCATGTGGGAGTGTAAGGTTTGATCAGTTTGTTTCACTGCCCTTTCAGTTACAGCATTCTGCAGGGCTTGTCATCAAACTTGTGAAGCTATTTTGTGGCCCATGGCTCTTCCTCATCACAGTGGAGGCTCCTGCAGGGCAGGCCTATGCCTCCCCTATGGGGCTCAGCCAGAGCGCCATGCTCTGCAGCTTTGCCAAATCCCCTTCTGACCATCAGGCTATCAGCAGTGTTCCTCCCGTGACCATCTGGGTTCCAGGTGATGCTTCTCCCAGACGTTCTGGTTTGCATTTTTTACAGGTTGAAGTAAGTGCATTATTTCATTCTGGCTGTCCCACAGCCCCAACCCTTATGCAGTTGTCCCCCCTGGTCCCCCATATTTTTAGCAACCAATGTAATTAATATGCTGTGTAATGTGTTTTCCTGGAACTATGATTATGCTCAAGGTATCTCAAACCTTTTTACAGTAATTACTGAGAAAAAGCTTGGAGAGTATTAACCATGCATGTGGAGTGAGCTGTAATCTGACCTTGGACACTTAGATATTAAAAATCTCTCTGACTGTGTCTGCCTTCATTTGCATTTCCAAATTTTCAGGTTAGAGGGCCTTTCAGTTGATTGAATAATGGGTTAATGGAATCCTCTTTCTAATTAAATCCAGATTGTCTCTTTGTGAAATTGCACACTTGACAGTCTATCTGGATCATTCTAATTGCATTCTAAAGTTGCCATGGGGGCTGTCTTGAAGAAGCTACTGTCCTGTCTGAGGGTAGAAACTGCACACAGGAGAGTAGCAGGTCCAGGAACACTCAGAGGCTATCCAGTTCCACACAGTGCTGTAATATAAGATTTGGGAGAACAGGGACCCACTTTGCCTTGTTGACCATCATGTATGCTGTGCCTAGAGCAATTATGGCCACTGTTCTCAATGCTAGGCTCTTGATACTGGATAACTATTGCTTGAACACATGAATGAATGAATGATTTGCAGCTGTGTTGTCATACTGACAACCCAGTGGGGCGGGCTGAATGGCCACTTGGATGTAGTTTTAATCCCATGTTTTAAATTATGGGACTAGGATATATTGAACCCAGAGCATGAGAAGATTCTGAATACAGGAGAAGCTAGGCTTGAGCAATTCCCATATCTCCCCAATATATGCCCCCATAATGAGCCTTCTGCAGGGACTGGGTGGCCCATTTCTTTAACAAACTCTATGACTTGCTAATAGCCATCTAATTTCAAATTTCTATGACAGTTATGCCATATGATAAAAACTTTAATATGAAATGTTCTTCTAATACCAATCCTAGCTAATCTAAAACATACTGCTTCCTCTAGCCATGGATTTCTATGCTTAATTCTAATCTTTTTTTTTTTTTTTTTTTTTTTTTTGAGACAGAGTCTTGCTCTGTCGCCCAGACTAGAGTGCAGTGGCACAATCTCAGCTCACTGCAACCTCCATCTCCCAAGTTCAAGCGATTTTCATGTCTCAGCCTCCTGAGTAGCTGGGATTACAGGCACGCACCACCAGGCCCAGCTAATTTTTGTGTTTTTAGTACAGACAGGGTTTCACCGTGTTGAACAGGCTGGTCTCGAACTCCTGACCTCAAGTGATCTGCCCACCTTGGCCTCCCAAAGTGCTGGGATTACAGGTGTGAGCCACCACACCTGGCCAATTCTAATCTTTTAAAAACTCAATATTAATCCTTGATTGCAGAGAAAGTAGTGGGGAAAGTATTCTGGGTCTGCCTATTACAAACAGTAATATAACCAGCTTTTTTTTTTTTTTTTTTTTAAATGCGTGGTTGGCTGGGTGTGGTGGCTCACACCTGTAATCCCAGCACTTTGAGAGGCTGGGCAGGCAGATCACTTGAGCCCAGGAGTTCAAGACCAGCCTGGGCAACATGGTGAAACCCCATCTGTACAAAAAATATTAAAGAAAACTAGCCAGGCATGGTGTCTCACACCTGTAGTTCCAGCTACTCAAGAGGCTGAGGTGGAAGGATTGCTTGAGCTCAGGAGGTAGAGGCTGCAGTAAGCCCTGTTTGCACCACTGTACTCCAGCCTGAGCAAAAGATTGAGACCCTGTCTTAAATAAACAAATAAATAAAAATTAAAAAATAAAGTGCATGGTTAAGCTTATAAGAAAGAAAAGTGAATCTTTCATTGGCCACCAGGAAAATTAAAACCTAAACCACTATGAGATACCATGTTACACCCATTAGGATAGGTGTAATAATTTAAAAAAAAAACCATAAAATAACCAACCTTGGTGAGGGTGTGAAGAAATTGAAACCTTTCTACATGACTGGTAATAATGTAAAATTGTTTTTTAAAAAAAAAACTCCAGGCCAGGTATGGTGCCTCATGCCTGTAATCCTAGCACTTTGGGAGGCCGAGGAGGACAGGTCACTTGAGGTCAGGAGTTTTGAGACTAGCCTGGCCAACATGGTGAAACCCTGTCTCAACTAAATATACAAAAATTAGCCAAGTGTGGTGGCAGGCACCTGTAATCCCAGTTACTCCGGAGGCTGAGGCAGGATAATCACTTGAATCTGGAATGCAGAAGTTGCGGTGAGCCGAGATCTTGCCATTGAACTTCAGCCTGGGCAACAGAGAGAGACTCTCTCAAAAAAATTTTTTTTAACTCCAAAAAGTTTTTTTTTTCTTTTCCTTTTTTTTTTTTTTTGAGACAGGGTCTTTGCACTATTGCCCAGGCCGGAACACAGTGGTATGGTCATGGATCACTACAGCCTCAACCTCACCAGGTTCAAGTGATCCTCCCACATCAGTCTCCCAAGCAACGGGGTCTACACGCGTGAGCCACCATCCCTTGCTAAGTTTTGTATTTTTGGTAGAGATGGGGTTTCACCATGTTGCCCAGGCTGGTTTTGAACTCTTGGGCTCAAGAAATCCACCCACCTTGGTCTCCCAAAGTGCTGGGATTATAGACGTGAGCCACCATGCCTGGCCCAAAAAGTTAAACATAGTATTATCATATGATCCAACAATTCCACACAAGAGAATTAAAAACTTGTACATAAACATTTATAACAGCATTATTTATACAGTTGGTTCTCCATATCCACAGGTCCCACATCCTTGGATTCAGCCAACTGTGGCTGAATAAAAAAGTATTTTTGGGGCTGGGCATGGTGACTCACGCCTGTAATCCCAGCACTTTGGGAAGCCGAGGTGGGTGGATCACAAGGTCAGGAGATCGAGACCATCCTGGCCAACGTGGTGAAACCCCATCTCTACTAAAAACACAAAAATTAGCTGGGCATGGTGGAGCATGCCTGTAATCCCACCTACTCAGGAGGCTGAGGCAGGAGAATCCCTTGAACCAGGGAGTCGGAGTTTGCAGTGAGCCGAGATCGCACCACTGCACTCCAGCCTGGTGACAGAGTGAGACTCCATCTCAAAAAATATATATGTATGTATATTTTTAAGAAATATATATTTTTAAAAACAATAATACAACAATAAAAATAATACAAATAAAAAACAACACAGAACTACCATTTACATAGCATTTACATTGCATTAGGTATTATAAGTAATCTACAGATGATTTAAAGTATGCAGGAGGATGTACACAGGTTATATGCAAATAGTGTGTCATTTTATGTCAGAGACTTGAGCATGTGGATTTTGGTACGGGTGGGTATCTTGGAACCAATCCCCCTTGGATATCGAAGGACAAGTGTAATAGTGCATATCTTGGTATAAACAACCCAAGTGTTTATCAACTGATGCATGGATAAATAAAAGGTAATATAGCCATACAATGGAATATTAATACACTTATCCCAGGCCACTTTTCCCTCCACAAAAGTTGATGGCCAGATATCCTACATAGAGCTCTGCCTTCCAGGAGGATCACAGCCATGGGTGGAGTCATAGGGGGGCGGCAGACCATTTTTGACGCACAGCAACAAATCAAGGCATTCCATTCATGGACCAGACCCAGTTTTTTCCTGCTCACAGTAGCTGGTTGTATGGAACTCTCCACGAGGCCTTAGGTTTGAGCTGAGACAAAGGTATTGGTACAACAGAGGTGGGCGGCATGGGGATTTGGGATACCTGACAGTGTAAATTATTTGAGCTCTTCAGTTTTATTTGGGCCTAATCTCAAACATACCGATTCCACCATATGATGGATTGCTACTGTGTTCTCAAATTTGTGACTTGGTGGATGTGACAGGACCCAACTTATAAGGTTAGCTCCACTCAAACAGTCACCTAGCACCCCATGGTCATGCACTCAGTTTCAGCCAGGGTTCTGGTCTACCAGGGACTGATGTTTAAATAATGGCTATCTCTCTGCTGCAGGTAGCAAATCCTTTCTCCAGGACCTTAGGGATTTGTGCTATGACTCTCCTAAAATAATTTTTCAGAGATGCCACATAGCACCCTTATCTATCACAGGTACCTATAGCCCCATTGTGCTGGATTATATGACCTCCCCACCCTCTGCCCCATGGCAGGGCTGCTTTTGCTGAAGCCTGGACCTGCTGAAGAGCTCACTTTTACCCTAGGCCCAATTCAAAATCAGCTGCCTTCCAATGCATCTGATAAATGGGACTGAATAATATTCCCAACCATGGTATGTGCTATTTCCAAAATTCAAAGAGAGCTTCCAAGTACTCTGCCACTTTTTCAGTGCTAGGAGGTACAAGGTACAATCGTTTGTCTTTTACTTGAAGATATTCCAGCATACCCCAGACCACTGGGCCCCTGAAAACCTCACTGGTATGGTATTCTCCCTAAATTTTTATGGGATTTATCTGTTACCCTCTGGCCCTCAAGTGTCTTGCCAGGGCTTCCAGAATACTTATCATTTCCTCCTTACCAAGTCTGACTAATGTGATTTAATCAATATGGTAAACCAGCATGAAGTTCTTCAGAATATCAAGATAATCAAGGTCCCTTTAGACTATATTGTAACGGGGAGCAGGAGAGTTAATCAAGCTCTAGGCAAGACAAGTGAATGTGTACAGCTCTGTGTCTTAGGTAAATGCAAACTACTACTAACCTCCTTTCCTAATGGAGGTTAAAAATAACACATTCACCAGCTTAATAGATGCAGACTCAGTATCATACACTGTGTTGATCTAGTCAGTAAAGATAGCAAATTTCATATAGTAGCTGGGATTGGGACTACCACTTGCTTAAATTTATGGGAATCCACCATCATTTGTCTTGGTCAATCTGATTTGTAGGTCCTTAAGAAAGAATGGTGGTAATCTCTGCTATTCCACCCAGTATGCAGTACAACTACTTCTAATTTACTATCTTGGTTGGTAGGAGGAATAGTTTAAGGGGCTTCTGTCTGGCCTTTCATACTACAATGACTCTTACCCCACAGGCCAGGGAACCAACTACTAAGTGTATCTATCTCAATAATGCAATCGGGACTGAGAAAATTGACTTATACCAGGACTCCATGTAATACCCAGCCTGCATATACCCCTACTCTAAGTATGGGGACCATGATGACATTTTGGGTCTTTGTGGTATCAAATGTCAGCTCATTTAAAGGCTCTATATCCAATAGCCTTTAAAAGATCTGGACAGCCCTGTGCATCATTACCGTGCTAAACGACTATAGGTCCCTTTGGGATAAGGGTTGAGGGAACACCTACTTGCATACACTTGATGTAACATTATAGGGTCCTTCTTCAAGGGAGTATAGCCCCCTTCAAGCAAGTGCTCTAAAAACTGGCTCATGTCTGGAAAACAGTGAGAGATCATGATGTTTTTCCATTGCAATCAACTTTCTGCTCACCCTCTCTTGATCTATTTTGATCTTGTAAGTTAAGCCACATCCTCATTGACCCACCATTTATCTTGTGCCTAGAAACATCATTGTTTATTAGCCGTTGCTCTGAAGCCATGTGGGTTAGGACTCTTGATTTTCTTCTGGCCTTGCTGTTCATCATGGTAATTACACCCACATTTTCTCTGGCAGTTAAGTGCTGCCCCATGGCTGTGCTATTCCTGAATCCTATCATCTCATTGATATTAGGGACTCCAGTTCCATAGCACATCTTTTACCTTTAACCCTGGCCCACACAGGACAGCCACCACGGAACCCCTCACTAGCTTATTCCTTATTATTTTAATGAAGGAAGTGTCTTCTTGGCCTTTCCAGGGAATATAGTCAGCTGGAGTGTTCTCTAAAATTGCATAATAAATGCGTTCTAACACACTCATTTTTCTGAGGCTTCTTTTTTTTTTCTTTTTTTTTGACAAGAGTGCAGTGGCACAATAATAGCTCGCTGCAACCTCGAACTCCTGGGCTCAAGCGACCCTCTTGCCTCAACCTCTAGAGCAGCTGGGACTATAGGTGCATGCCACCTCACCCAGCTATTTTTTTTAAGAGGCGGGGTCTTGCTATGTTGCCCAGGCTGGTCTTGAACCCCTGGCCTCAAGTGATCTTCCCGCCTCAGCCTCCCAAAGTGCTGGGATTACAGGCATGAGCCACTGTGTTTGGCTTTTCTGAGGCTTTTGACCTCCTCCTCAGTACTCTGCTAAGCCATCTCCCCTTTCTTTCCTACAGACTATCACTGATTCCAAGCTTCAAGGAGCCATTCCATATTAGGATCAGCTCCAGGCATCCTCATTGGGATGTTAAATCCAAAGCCACAAGTGTGTCTCCATATCATTAAATCTTCCATGTCCAGCCTTATCTTTCAACCTCATTAGTCCAGCAATCTTGGAATCCATTCCCACATATGTTTTCCCACAGCTCTTTTGGTGAATAATCCCTTATCTTTAATGGCAACAATCATACTTTTCAACTGAAAGCACGCTGAGACCTGACCGTACTTATCAATCTAGAAGTGGCCAGGTGTGGTGGCTCACGCCTGTAATCACAGTACTTTGGGAGGCTGAGGCGGGTGATCACTTGAGGTCAGGAGTTTGAGACCAGCCTGGCCAACACAATGAAACCCTGTCTCTACTAAAAGTACAAAAATTAACCGGGTGTGGTGGCATGCCCTTGTAATCCCAGCTACTCGGGAGGCTGAGGCAGGAGAATCACTTGAACCCGGGAGGTGGAGGTTACGGTTAGCCAAGATCATGCCACTGCACTCAGCTTAGGCAACAGAGTGAGACTCTGCCTAAAAAAAAAAGAAAGAAAGAAAGAAAGAAAAAATAGAGAAGCAAGGAGGGTGGCAATGGGAGGTTGCCCTCCTAACAAGTGGTGGTGGAGGTGAGAAGGGCACACCTACTGGCTCAGAAGGGTCTAGATTCTTAAAGGCATCTACCCAAATATCCCATGTATCAGTGTCCTGACCTCACCTTATCAGTGCTGTGATTTTGGCATAGGAGATTTGTTAGGGCTATTAATTCATCTTCCTCTGTAACTCCACCACCCTTGCAATCAAATCTTGTCCTTATTTTTAGTACAATCGTCTTTCAGCTGCAGGAGATGCAGGTCACTAACATTGCCACCAGGCCGTGTGGTCTTCACATTGTATCCAGACTTAACAGGACGCTGACATGAATTTGGTATTTTTTTCCCCTGCTGAGCTTTCATTTTATTTCAAGACAGGGTCTCTCTCTGTTGCCCAGGCTGGAGTGCAAGTGTTGCAATCTCTGCTCACTGCAACCTCCGCCTCCTGGGCTCAGGTGATTCTTCCACCTCAGCCTCCCGAGTAGCTGGGACTACAGGTGCATGCCACCATGACTGGGTAATTTTTTTATTTTTTGTAGACACGGGCTGTCACTACGTTGCCCAGGCTGGTCTCGAACTCCTGAGCTCAAGTGACCCACCTGTCTCAGTCTCCCAAAGTGCGGGGATTACAGGCATGAGCCACCGCACTGGGCCCCCTCTTGGTTTTTATGGCAGTTAACAACAGCCAACCAATTCTGCCTTCTCTGTAATTACCATTGCGCCCTTATCTTTCAAGTGCCAGAGCTATTGAATAAGCATTGCATTCCATTCCACCTGTATTCCGCCCCAATCTATAGGCAAGTTTTATTCATTGCAACTAGCATGAGAGCTAATATTACCACCCCAGTCGCTTTTTTTTTTTTTTTTTTTTTTTTTTTTTTTGAGACGGAGTCTCGCTCTGTCGCCCAGGCTGGAGCGCGGTGGTGCGATCTCGGCTCACTGCAAACTCCGCCTCCCTGGTTTGAGCAATTCTTCTGCCTCAGCCTCCGGAGTAGCTGGGACTACAGGGGCCTGCCACCATGCCAGGCTAATTTTTTTGTATTTTTTAGTAGAGATAGGGTTTCACCGTGTTAGCCAGGATGGCCTTGATTTCCTGACCTCATGATCCACCCACCTTGGCCTCCCAAAGTGCTGGGATTACAGGCGTAAGCCACTGCGCCCGGGCCACCCCAGTCACTTCTTACTGATATCTGGTTGGCAAATGATACAATTTCAGAACCCCATATTGAGGGTCTGCTTCATAGGATCACTTTTGGCACCACCCTTCTTAGGATGAGAAAAGGATTTGAATGCAAGGAGCTTATTTGGAAGGTGTTCCCAGACCGCACTGGTATGAAGCTAGAGAAGAGAGAAAAGTAGAAGAAGGAAGTCAAGAGAGGCTCTACTAATGAGCAGATTTTCACCATGGACACCTCCTCCTCCCATTCATCACTGACTAAGAATCACTCCCCAGGATTTGCACTCCCCAGTACTTCTGGTTCAACCCATGGCATGGACCATGTAAAAGCCCACAGGTAGAGAATCACAGGTTTACAATGGGATACTATTAGTGTGTATGGTAATGATGAATGCTGGTGGGGTATGTGTGTGTCCTTAACTGTATATACTATCGTAGGCTAGAAAAAAAATTGTCCACCTTAACCACCTCACACAAAAGGAGATATCAAGAAAGCTTATCTTTTTTTTTTTTGCTTGGGCAAATGTGTGTGTGTGTGTGTGTGTGTTTGTATGTGTATGTGTGTGTCCCCTTTGAGAATCTGCAACCATAGATCTTTACTTGACATAGGCTTGCTATTTGAATTTATACTCCTTGATGGTCCAGAAACCCAAGGTAAGAAATTAATGTAAAATTTATCCCTGGCTAAGTGATACCCATGGAATGCTCAGCAAATGTGCATGAAAAAATAAAAAAAATTATATGACTTTAAACACCCAATAAAAGGAGAAATGATTTTTGATAAAGCCAAATGATGTTACATAATGCAGCCATTAAAATGATGCTTAGAACCGGGAGCTTGGGGGAGAGAGATAAAGAGAAGTTGTTTAATACTTGCAGAGATTCCGTTCTGCAAGATGGAAAAGTTCTGGAGATCTGTTCCACAGGAATGTGAATATACTTAACACTACTGAAGTGGATACTCAATAATGGCTAAGATGGTGAATTTAGTGTTATGTGTTTTTTTACCGCACAGGAAAAAAGAGAAACAAAGAGTTCTTAATGGTGAGGAGAAATGCTTATGGTAGAATGCTAGAGAGAAGGGGGACACAAAATTGTATAGACCATCTTATCCATCTTATCTCATCTGTGAACAATTACATATAATAGTAATTATATATTTTATATATAATATATTATATATATACATATATATGTATATATAACTACAGTGGAGGGAAAAGGTTTAAGAAAATATTTTAAAATACTAATAAAACTGCCTGGCAGAATTATGGGTGATTAATTTCATTTTATCTTCCTTTCTAAAAAAATCTATTTCAGTAATGTATCACTTAGGATGCTTTCAGTTGCAAGAAATGGAAAATCCAATTTGAAATGACTTAAAAAATGAAGGGGATTTATTGGCTTATGTAACTGAAAAGGCCAGAGGTGGGGTAAGCTTCAGGGCTGATTTGGTTCAGATGTTCTAGTGATGTCATCAGGAACCCATTTCCTTCCCTCTTTCTGCCCTGCCATCTCTGGCTCCAGCTTTACCCCAAGGCTGACTCCCTTCATGGTACCAGAATAGCTGTAGCAGTCCCAGGCTGTGCACCCACACACCATGCTGTCCCAGGGAAAGGACCCCTCTCTTGGCGGCTTTCAAAAGAAGAGGAAATTTCTTTCTCATAAGCCACAGATAACTGATGCTTAAGTCTCTTTGGCCATATTGCATCACATTTCCACCTCCGATCATATTATCCTGATCGATCTTAGCTTAAGCAGATAGGCTACAAGGTGCAGAAGATACCTGAAAAAATGTCTGGGCATTGTTAGGAAGGGGAGAGAAGAGAATGAATGCTGGCTGGACAGCTAACAAATACATGTATTTAAGCCTATTCCAAAATTTTAGAATAAATTTGTATTTCTCTGGGAAGTTCAAAAACCACAAGTGTAAAAATGCTCTTTTATAGAATATTATATATAGTATACTATAGCATGTATTACATAAGTTTATATAATATAAACATACAATATGTAAGTTATAAGTTTGTTATATAAATATATATTTATTATAATATATGATATATATTATATATTTTGTACATAATATATATCATAAGTTTCTATAATACATACTATAGTATACTATACATAATATATTTATATATGTACTATAATAGACTATTATATTACAAATATAATATAAATACCATAATAATAATGTTCTTTATGCAGAAAAAGTAACAAACCACCTTTACCAGCCTTTTACATAGACTCTATAGAACGAGGCTAGCATTCTGAAATCAGCTTTAACCTGACATTACAATTAAGGGTGACATTAAAAATATTTAATGAGCAGTATGGCACAGTTATCAATCAATCTGAGTGGGCACCCAAACAATGGGGGAGAGGATGTCACTGGCCATTCCACTGCGTTGGTGACCTCAGCCACAATCACAGTCATTATTACTTAGCAGTCACCATTAGCTCAGAGTATGACATAAAACTGTCCAGTTTACCTTCAGCCACCAGTGCTGGACACCCACTAGCCAAGGGATTCTCACTCACACCCAGTCCAACACTGCCAGGACAGAGGGATCCCCATCACCAGACACACAGTCTCAAGGGAGACTAGGATTATCATTGTCAAACACCAGTGGAAGCATGGGCTAAAGAGAATAAAAATAAAATCCAGCAAAAGCCTCCCTAGTCTTCTGTTGCATTTAATGAAGAGATACGACATTGAAGTCAAGACAAACCAATGTCAAAATGAGCTCAATCATTTACAGCTGTGTCTACTCCACCTGGCCAAGCTTCAATGTTCAATCTACAAAAATGAGTAATACAAGAATTACCTCCAAAATTGGTTATGAACACGTAGAGGTAGTGTAAATAAAGTCATTAATGCGGGTGCAGCACATACTAGGGAGTTAATCAATGGTAAGTATCTTTTATTACCATCTCAAGAGGCTGGTTGAAAAACCTCAGAGAACTGAGAGGCTTATAAATGCCCTTGTAGGGAGATTAGCTCTCTGATTTCTGAAGTAAGGAAACAGCCACTGGCCTCTCCGTAATTTAACCCTCATTTTGGGCTTGAACCATCCATTCATCCACACTGCCCCTGTCTCTATAAATATAATGGGCTGACAGCCTCTAGTGCTGGAAACAGCTCTTCCTGAGCTGGGATTTCTGACAGCTCAACTTCCACAAGCTGTTCATGAGTTATTTCAAGGGACATTTTACTGTCAATCACTTACCCCCGAAGTGGACTGCACAGTCCTGCCATGTGACCAGGATTCTGAAAGGGGCGAGAACAACATTTGCTTCCTGGAAATCAGCATACTGGTTCACGACCCATAAAAGGAAGCTGAGAAAAGGAATGTGATGCTAAACAAGGAAAGGAAGCTATTCTTACCAACAACTCCATATATGTCAACCACTGTGCTATCTTGCTGAATCCCCACAAGAACCCCGGGAGGCAGGTGTTAGATGCCCACCTTACAGGTGAACAAACTAAGGCTTAAAGATGCTAACTAACTTGCCCAGGCTGGTATGGGGAGGAGCTGAGTTTCACATCTAGGGCTCTTTGACCGCAAATTTCTTTCAGAATTTCTCAGAGGTGATGCTGCTGACATTTTGGGCAGGGAAGTTTTTTTTTATTATATGATGTTTAGCAACTCTGGTTCCTGAGCATTAAAGGTCAACAGCATGCCCAGGTCATTGTAACAGCTAAACTGCCTCCACACAGTTTCAAACCTTCTATATCTATAATAAATAGATCTTTTAGATCTATAATAAATCTATTTGTAATAGATAAAAAAACATCTTATTTCAGAACAGGATTCTGGCACAGAGTAAGAAGAGAAAAGGAGGCTGGGCACGGTGGCTCATGCTTGTAGTCCCAGCACTTTGGGAGGCCAAGGTGGGTGGATCCCTTGAGCCCAGGAGTTTGAGACCAGCCTGGGCAATGTGACAAAACCCTGCCTCTACAAAAATACAAAAGTTAGCCAGCCATAGTGGCACACACCTGTGGCCCCAGCTACTCAGGAGGCTGAGGTGGGAGGATTGCTTGAACTGGGAGGGTCGAGCTGCAGTGAGCTGTGATTGCACTACTGCACTTCAGCCTGGGTGACAGAGTGAGACCATGTCTCAGAAAAATAAAAATAATTTAAAAATAAAAATAAATTAAAAAAATTTAAAAATAAGTAAAAAAGAAGAGAAAAGAAGCTTCACAGATGTGGCCATGGGTGATATTGGAAATGCATTTGTGAATCCAAGTGTGTGTGTTCCTGTCTAGAGTTAATAATGCATCTCTGTGCATAGAGTGTGCATGCCACACTATCACTGCACACGTGCATGAGATGTGCTCTTGTGTATGCACAGGCATGCAAGGCCCTAAGTCATCTGGGACCCTTTCTTCTCAATCAGCTCCCACATTCAATCAGTCTCTTCAGTCCTGTTGATTCCCCCTCGTAAATATATCTCACACCCATTTCTGCTCTCCATCACTGCTACATTGGTCTATATCAAACTTCTTCATCTCTCATCTGGACCACTGCACTGACCCTATATCTGATCACAGGTACTACCAATTCATTCTCCACACCACTGACCACCAGCATTATCTGTCTGTAAGGCAAATCAGACCACATCTCCCTCTAGCTCAAAATTCCTCAGTCGTTGCCATTGCCTATAGCAATTTTAGAAGCAGAACCTTGTATCTAAATGAAGTCTTCAAACACAAGTGCAATACGTAAAGCAGATAAATGCAGAAATGCTCTTTTGGATTATGCAGACTCCTCAGCAAGGCATACAAGGTCTTTTATGATCTGTCCTCCAGCCAACTACTACAGCAACTTCTCTGGCTTGGTGGTCATGTTTGAGGGCTCTAGAATTCCCTACCTGCATTCAAATTCTTTGCCACTTACTAACTGTGCAACTTGGGCACATTGCTTTACTTCTCTGTGCCTGAGTTTCTTGTAGATAAAGTGGGACTAACTGCACTTAATGGAGTTCTTTTGAAGATTAGATTCATTCATATTTGTGAAACACTTAGAACAGTTCCTGTGGTTCCCAAAGGAATCTGTGGTGGGATTGAGGCCCACTAGAGTTGCCTACAATGTGACCAGTTAAATACACATCCTTGGATTAGCTTTCCTCTTTCTCTCTTTCATTTCAATTTTTTTTTTTTTTTTTTCAGATCGAGTCTGGCTCTGTCGCCCAGGCTGGAGTGCAGTGGTGCGATCTCAGCTCACTGCAATCCCTGCCTCCTGGGTTCAAGCAATTCTCCTGCCTTAGCCTCCCAAGTAGCTGGGACTACAGGCTTATGCCACAATACCCAGCTAATTTTTGTATATTTAGTAAGACAGGGTTTCACTACGTTGACCAGGCTGGTCTCGAACTCCTGACCTCAAGTGATCCACCCGCCTCAGCCTCCCAAAGTTGAGGGATTACAGGCATAAGCCACTGCGCCCGGCCCTCTCTTTCACTCTTTAGTCCCCCCACCTCTATTTCCTCAGACCACTTCCCCAAATAAACTATTTGCACACAAGATCCTGTCTTGACCTCTGCTTTTGTAGGGAATCTAAGCCAAGACAAAAAAAGGTTCCCAAATTTTTCACTATTACAAAAAAATCCTGCTTTATGTTTTTATGTTTCCTTGTGACCATGTGTGAGTTATTCTCTGAGGTATAAATCTAAAAGTAGAACTGCTGAGTTACATGATGTGTGCATTTTCGATTTTATTAGAAATTGCCAAGTTACTTTCCCATATGGTGGAACTAATTTACATTGTTGTCCACACTGCTGAAAATTCCCATTTTCCCACATTCTCTTCAATATTAATGTTGTCTGGTTTTAATTTTTGCCAGTAACATACAGCCTCATTATTGTTTTTAATATGTATCTCCTTGACCGCTAACGAAGTTGAGCATCTCTTCTTAAGTTCATTGCTCATTTTGTTTTCCTTTTATGTATTTTGCTTATTCACATCTTTTGCCCATTTTCTATTGGGTTTCTTTGTCTTTTTGTTATTGATTTATGGAACTTCTTCATACATTCTAGATACAAATCCTTTATCTGTTAACTAGGTTGTGAATATTTTCTCTGAATGTTTCACTTGTCTTCAAATTTTGCCTATGATACTTAGTTTTTACTTTTAATGTAATCAAATATATTTTTCCCTTTATTGTTTGTTATTTTTTATGTCTTGTTTTAAAAAATCTTCTTTTTATGTTACTTTATGATAATATTTACTTCTTTCCTTTCATAATTTTACATTTTGGTTTAGGGCTTTAATACATCTGGAATTTATTTTTATACATGGTATAAAGAATAACTCTTTTTGAGCTAACAGGCATTGAGAAGTTTTACTTTGCATTAAAAAATGTTTCTTGCAGAGACATCTTGGCATTTTGCATAATGTATATCTGACAGACCTAGAAATGGCAGAAAGGTAGAAAAGAAGGCGAAAGCACTGAGAAACTAGGGATGGTAAAGAAATTTCAATTTCACATTTTATCCAATGTGAGTACTGTGACCTTGTTTGGGCAATCACATAAAAACCACTTTGAAAAGGTTTACATTGGTTCTTAATTATCTAGAGGTGTCATATTATTGAACATTTTTTGATTCCCTCACTTCCATTAGTCAGCTGGAATATGCTCAGAGAAATTGCAAAAGCTATGAAGTGGGAAAATAAGTAGCTTCAGTCTGAACCAAACACAATGAGAAAAGGAGGCCTGCAGGAAGAAAATTACATTTCAAAGCCTAAGCTAAAAAGTTTGGGGATTTTCTGCTATTTTGGAATAGTTACTCACTTTATATTCGTTCACTCAGCAAGCATGTATTGAGCATCTACTCCATTCCAAGGACTATCCTGGGTGTAGGGAGCTGTAGAGATAAATAAGTCCCTCCCCTTGCTCTCAACAATTTCTCTTTTAGGCAAAAAGACAACTATGTAAGAAAATAAATTTTCATTATAGGTGATAAATATATGAAATGCCTACCATACACCATTTAAACATAATACCGAGCAGGAGGAATTAGTTATCTACACTGGGGAGGAGGAGGTGGTCAAGGAGATGTTCCTGGAGCTAACATGTGAGGAACTATTCAGCGGTGAACAATGGTTGACCAGGTAGACAAGGAGGTAGGTATGAGATGACTTCAAAGGACATTCCAATCAGAGGGAGTAGAGAAAGCAGACATGTGAGAGGCAACTGTGCCTGTAGGTGGTGGGAAGGGTCTAAAAATGTCACACAAACAGGATCTATTTTCCCAATTTTCTATTTCTCCTCTTCAGTTTGAGCTTGTCTTAGTTCTGAAGAAAAGGCCCATTTCATCAAAGTAAACAAATATGGGCTGAAATTGACCTTCTTTTGCATATATATCTAGATTTCTTTTATTTATCTAACAATTTTTGTTCAGCACCTACTACAGGTGCTAGCAATACTTAAGGAATTCTTGTGAAAAGACATACAGAAATACAGACATTAGTAAGACAGATCTGCTAATGGAAGGTTGTACCCAGGTCCTGGATGTGAAAACAGGGCACCTAATTCTGCCTGGGAGAGTCAGGAAAGAGAGACAGAGGAAGTGGTCCTTGAGTTGAAATTTGACAGGTAAATAAAGTTTGCCAGGCAGAGAAGTAGGAAGGAGACAATTCTAGGTGGAGGCTGCAGGATGTTACGGTACCAACGTGGTCACTACACCCCTTTCACCTGCAACTGTCTCACCCACAATGCCCTGCTCAAGGAAGAGAAGCAAAGCCATCCTTTGAAGGATGGTGGCTGCTGATTGGACCTCCTCACAGGCAGACAGTGTCCTATGACGTATCCAGATGCAAGGGCTTTACCCAATTAGGAAGCATTGGTAACTGGTCAATCAGGCTGCATCCCCTAAGAATTTAGAGAATACAAATTGGACTGTCTGGTAACAGCAGAAGGATGATGATGCCAGCTCTCAGAGAAAAGAAGAAACCTGGCTAGAGCACCAATTGTCTGTGATTATTTCCCCCAAGGATAGAAGATTAATTCATTTATCCATAGGCTCCCAGCTTCCAGTCATCAAGGATTGCCCTATGGGATGTTAACTCCTTCACGTTTCCAGGTTGCATGTAGGTCAGAATGGCTGAGTAGGACCCCACTGGAGTTGCCAGATTGTTATGTTTTCTTTCATGGGCTCTGTCTCTTTGGCCTTTTTTTCCCCTCCCTCCCTCCCTCCGTCCTTTCCTCCTTTCCTCCTTTCCTCTTTCCTTTCTTCCTTCCTTCCTTCCTTCCTTCCTTCCTTCCTTCCTTCCTTCCTTCCTTTCTTTCTTCTCTCTTTCTTTCTTTTCTTTCTCTCTCTCTCCCTGTCTCTCTCTCTCTCTCTTTCTTTTTTAGATGGAGTTTCGCTCTTGTCACCCAGTCTGGAGTGCAATGGCGCAATCTCGGCTCACTGCAACCTCCGCCTCCCAGGTTCACAAGCGATTCTCCTGCCTCAGCCTCCTGAGTAGCTGGGATTACAGGTGCCCACTACCATGCCCAGATAATTTTCATATTTTTAGTAGAGACAGGGTTTCGCCAGTTAGCCAGGCTGGTCTCGAACTCCTGACCTCAGGTGATCGGCCTGCCTCGGCCTGCCAAGGTGCTGGGATTACAGGCGTTAACCACTGCACCTGGCCGACCTTTTGTTCTACTTTCTAGGAGAGCTCCTCAACTTTATTTTTCAACTCCTGTGCTTTCTTTTATATTTGTCCAGCATATTTTAAAATTTTTAGAGCACTCTTTTTTCTCTAATTATTTGTCTTTTCTGTAGCGACCTGTTCTTGTTTTATAGATATAATAGCTTCTCATGTCTCTCTGGGGATTTTAATTATCTTCTTCTTCTCTCTGTGTCATCTCTGTTCTCTCTGGTTATTTATCCTTTCTTCTACTCTCTTTTATATGTTGGAGATTTTTCTCAGAAGTCTGATAATATTAATTGCTGGTTTTTATTTAAGAGTGAGGTAACTAAAAAGCTGATTGGAACTATAATATTCTGATTGGGCTTTAGAATTGGGGAAATTTGCTTTAGGTAAGTTAGGAAATAAGAAGTTTCCTTCTATTCTGAGTGGCCCCCAAATGCCAGATAAATGGAAGTTATTCCATTTCTCTATGGAAGAACCCTCTGCCTGGGGGGAGATGTCCTGTGGGTAGGTGTTTTACACTCAAGTTTTGAGAATGTGTTCCACTTATAGACTTTCTTTCTTTCTTTTTTTTTTTTTGAGACCGAGTCTCGCTCTGTCACCCAGGCTGGAGTGCAGAGGCGCGATCTCGGCTCACTGCAGCCTCGGCCTCCCGGGTTCAAGCGATTCTCCTGCCTCAGCCTCCTGAGTAGCTGGGATTATAGGTGCCTGCCACCATGCCCAGCTAATTTTTGTATTTTTAGTAGAGACGGGGTTTCACCATGTTGGCCAGGCTGGTCTTGAACTCCTGACCTAGTGATCTGCCCGCCTTGGCCTCCCAAAGTGATGGGATTACAGGCGTGAGCCACTGTGCCTGGCTCCACTTATAGACTTTCAATTAGTCCATCCATTTGCAGCCTCACGTCTCAGTCACGTGTACCCTCTGGGGACACATGCCATCTCTGCCAGACATGATGGCTTTCTTCTATTTTACATTCTCCTTCTAGTATGCTCCAGGCTGCAACTTCCCCTGCCCTACTAACAGTTACCCTTCCTTCTGTAGTTTTTTCCTCCTTAGAAACTTGTTGAAATCTCTCCTTCACCTTGCTTTTTGATCATAGTCTTTTTTTCTAGTCATCTACATTTATTAATATGACGGTACATTTGGTCTTCTTAGTTATTCCTTGGTTTTAAATACTTTTTTGATGTTCTGTTATATTAATGTTTCACTTTATAATCTGTGATTACTTTTCTGGGACGTGCATGCTGTTTTTGTCTGATAATAAGGATTTTTTTTATAGTCTGATATTTTTCTAGTTGATCACTTTTTAGCTATGATTTTGAATAACATAACTGATTCTAGCATACAGCTAGATTTAAAAGTCCAATCTGATGATTTATGTTTTTAATTTGTGAGTAGAGTTTATTTACATTTTTGTAAATATATATATATTTGAAGTTTTAGGACCACCTTATGCATGATTTCTGCTTATTATTCTTTCTTTATTCCTTCTCTTTGTTGATAGACTTTTCTTTATACCAACACTCTTTTTTAGTTTACTCATTTGGAAGCTATAGATTGTTCTATATTTTTAGTGGTTTCTTTCATTTTTTGACATATGCACACTTAACTCCTCATTTTCTAACAAAACTACTGTTATTAAATATTTCAATCCTAACTTTGGACATTGTCACAATTTAACTACTTGTTGAATACCTCTCTCCCTCCATCTTTTTACTCTTTAGAGTTTTAAAAATAGTCAATAGTTTTTTTGATAGTCAATAATTTTCTCTACATTTAAAATCAATTTCTGTGCTATCATTAAATACATCCTCTAATAGTTATTTTAGTGAGTGTCTAGAAGTATCAACTCTCAGTTATTACACTGAAAATTCATTGTTTAAATTTTTAAATGGGCAACTTTTTAATTGAAGTGTAATATACATAAAGAAACCTACAAAAATTATATACAATTGATTCTCATTATTTGTGAAAATCATGTTCCATAAAATCACCATGAACACTGAATTAATAAATACTGAACCATTGCTCCCAGGGGAAATACAGAGTTAGGCTCCCGTGAGCCTCTGGTCACAACATTTTCGTCAGCCGATCAATGTGTAATCTTGTTTTATGTGTGTTTCTATTGAAAGACACCTTATTTAATATGTATGGTTGATTCATTAACATTGAACTTACTGCCAACAGCACTGCAACTCATGCCTGAATGAAGCTTACTAACACATGTATTTTCTCTATAAGGCATACCACAGGCTTATGATAACACTAGGTAACACTTCAGCTGTATGCTTCCAGGCCATTTTAAACAGCAAAATCACCATCAGAAAGCACAAAAATGCAGAAAAACGTGCACTAAGTAGCCTGTGAAAAGGACACTTGAGGCCAGGCGCGGTGGCTCACGCCTGTAATCCCAGCACTTTGGGAGGCCGAGGCAGGCGGATCACAAGGTCAGGAGATCGAGATCATCCTGGCTAACACGGGGAAACCCCGTCTCTACTAAAAGTCCAAAAAAAAAAAAAAAAAAAAAAAAAAAAAAGCCCGGGCGTGGTGGCGGGCGCCTGTGGTCCCAGCTACTCGGGAGGCTGAGGCAAGAGAACGGCGTGAACCCGGGAGGCGGAGCTTGCAGTGAGCCGAGATCGCGCCACTGCACTCCAGCCTGGGTGACGGAGACTCTGTCTCAAAAAAAAAAAAAAAAAGAAAAGAAAAGAAAAGAAAAGAAAAAAAAGAAGAGGACACTTGCTTCTAACATGAGAGCTGAAACAAGTAAGCAGAGAGTTGCTTTGTCCGACTTCAGCTTGGAACATATGCATCCAGTGACTCAAATTTTTCCCCTCAATGCGTATATCTGCAAACGACCACAAAGCTCAGCAAGTATTGATTTTGGGGTTGCAAATAAATTTGAGTGAGTAGGTAAATTAACAAATACAGAATCAGTGAATAAATGAGGATGGATTGTATGGACACACAATGACTTTTCATAAAGTGAAAGCACCCATGTAACAAGCATCTGAGTCAAGAAATAAAGCGTTTCCAGCATTCTCTTTGGCCTTTTTCCAAGGGTAACCATTTTTCTGGCTTCTGACACCATAGATTGGTTTGCCTGCTTTTTCACATTACCTCATGTAAGCATGTGTTATGTACTTTTTTGTGTCTAGCTTCTTTTGTTCAATATTATGTTATTCATCCACGTCACAGGTTGTAATAAATAGTATTGATCATTCTAAAGCATTTTTGTCAGTCTGTTCTATACAATTAGTTTTGTCAGAAGTGAGTTTGTATTCCTAGTGTTGATTTTGTTGATTGTCTTTCCTAGAATTGTATTCCCTGATGTGTTTTAGACTTTTGATTTTCAGGGTCATTTTAAGCAAGAAGCTTCTTGCTTTTCTTCATGTTTCTCTTGCTTTCTAGTAATTGAGTGGTGTGCTACTGCCTTCCCTTTGTCCCCCAGGCTCCAGTCCAAAACTAGGTCTTACAGGGATGTTGATGTGCTGCAACATTGGAGATACCCAGTTCCAGAGTCTGCACGAGCCTTGGCTCAGGTCCTGCTCATGAGGCTGTGTCTGTCCACCTGCCTCCTTTGGGCCCCATGTTGCTGGGAACAGTTACACCGGGCAGCAGAGTGGCAGTCTTTTTGAGCCCCTTTCAATGGAGTAGCATCCCACTCCAGCTCCTGGCTTCATGCAGGGAGCCTGACTCTATTCTGTGCCTTGTGTGGAGATGTTTGGTCCTGATTCCCTGCTACCGCTGTCTGGGTCCAGACCTGGAGCCCAGCATGCCCTGGCTTTATCCTTGCTCACTGCTGGAGATTTATGGTCCCAGAGATGCTTGTCTTCTCTTTGATCCCAGCTATCCATTTTCAGTCATCTCTTCTTATATTTGACCTGTCATTACTGTGTCTGGACATGGGTGAAGTTGTCGAGGAGTGAATTTAACTGTACTATGCTGCCTGGGAGTCTGTATTGTTTGTTTTATCAGAGAATTAACAAGCCATTTTTATCTTGAAATACATAAAGTATTCAAGAGTTTCCTCTCAGGTGGAAACAATTCAAATATCTGTCAACTGATGAGTGGATAAACAACATGGGTATATCTATACAATGGAATATTAGTCATCCATTAAAAAGAATGAAGTATTCATACATGCTATAACATGGACGAATCTTGAAAACATTACGCCAAGTAAAAGAAGCCAAACATAAAAGGCCATATATTGTATAATTTCATTTATATGAAATATACAGAATAGACAAATTCATAGAGACAAAGAGTGGATTGGTGCTTTCCAGGGGCTTGGGGGAGGGGAGCGTGGAGCTGATAACTAATGGGTATGGGGTTTCCTTTTGGGGTGATGAGAATGTTCTGGAACTAAAGAGTGGTGATGGTTGCACAACACATGCCTTCTAACTGCTCTCATTTGAAGGTATCACTCCTTCGCACCAACACAAGGCCAGGTCCTGTCTTTATTGAACATCTTTCACAATATATTGTGAATTACTTGTCTTTGGGTCTGTCCCTCTACCAGACTATAAACATTTTCAAGAGAAGCGTTTTTTCCTATTCAGATTTGTATCTCTGTTACTTTGCTTAGTGCCTGGCACAGAGTAAATCCAAGTAACACTGCTGAATAAATGAATGAACAAATTAGTTGAACTGACATGACCACTTCAAAAAAAGTCATTCTTTTTCTGGGTCCCTCAGTTTATTGTCAGAATCATTTCCCAGGGAAAGATTTTCATTCAGAGACACTGTGATGCCCTCAGAGTTAAAGCATTTGATGTGAGGAAGCAGTGCAAGCAGCCCTTACCATTCCCAGGGTCCCCCTAAAACTTTGACCTCCCAGCCTCAGCCAGTCCTAACCTAACATCTGCTGGAGGTGCAGTTGCAATGGCTGAATTATTCAAAATATTCCCAACAACTAAGCACAAAAATGCTGTTGCTGAGTCACTCCCAGCACAAAGCATTTTCTTTATGATGTCTGCCCTCTGAGGTGTAAATTGCAAGTCTCACAGCCTCACTCTATAGAGGTGAGCTAAATGACTTCTCCAGGGTCAGGGAACAAATGATGGAATAAGCGATGCATCAAATTGGAAGCGATTTCTAGGGATCTATGCTTCTGTATTTGACTATGTATATGTAGGTGTCAGGGTTGGAAAGTCCCCAAATATATCACCTATTAGATTAAGATCTTGAGATACAAAAATTTATTCTTGAATGTTAGTGCCAATTCTTCATGACGTGGTTGAAGGTGATTTCTTCTTGTTCCAACAGTGTGGAGGTAAGGAAGGGAAAGGGTTATTAACCATTTCCCCCCATGTTAACCCTTTATACACTCACAGTGATTTTTAAATTATCCCTTTCTTCCATATTAAAATTTGCAGTCCATTCATTAAAAAAAAATTAAGAACCTATTATGTGCCAGCAATTCTGGATTTCAACATAAAGTATGGTCCCTTTCTTTAAGGTCTGAGTTCATAGTCTTCCTTTAGGGTTTGCTTTAAATTCTTATTTCTGACGCTAATCCAGCTTTGTAAAATATGCTCCCAAATCTACCACCTGGCAAACGTTTTGTAGTAATTTATTATTCTCTGTGCTTTTAACACACGGGAAAATCAGTGTTAATCTCTCTCCATGTTATGCCAATGACCAGCAGCCTGTAGACAAGTTAGGATTGTCTGCGCCTGGTCACATTGAAATACTTTCAATGACCTGCGATGGAGGAGTTGATTTTTGCTTGTGGAAGATACAGAGTAGCAACTTGAAAATAATTGCTTTTTAGCAGTGAGTGTAAAGTACCATGGGAACATCCCCTTCTCACACAGTATACACAGGTCTGTCATAATGTAGACAGTTCATCTGGCTTGACTGATGCAAACAGGGCTTTTCTGGGAAATCTCACAGCCATCAACATTGTTCTGCAGTTCTCAATCACTTTGTGTGTCCCCAGAGCTGTTGCTGAGGGACACAGCAGGCAGAGCAGAGGTGCAGCTTTTCCTGTCGTCTTGTCATCTAGGGGACCCAAGGAGACTGAAGCCATCATTTCCTTTGCTGACTCAATATCCTGGGCAAAACGGATGTATGGGGTCCCTGGTCTGCTCTGAAAGACACATGCTAGGGTTCCAAAACCAGTCCTTCAGCCTGCCTCCAACAGTGATGCTGACTTACTCACACAGCATCTCTCTGTGCTATTTATGCCACCTGCAAAATAGAGTTACACAGTAAAAGAATTTGGAATGAAAACACTGTTCAGTGAAATAAATGACTTTTTCTCTTTTTTTAAAACTTCAGGGGCTAGGTTTTTCTAACTGGTAATAGTCTTCTAAGAGGGGGATGTAGGGATCCAGTGGCTCATGCGAGTAACCCCAGAGGCTGAGGCAGGAGAATTGCTTGAAGCCAGGAGTTTGAGACCAACTTGGGCAACAAAGCGGGACCCCATCTCTACAGAAAAAAAAAAAGAAGGGGATGTTTTAACTCATAGTAACCTGTCATTTATTAGTTCTGCCTTCAAATGCTGTCATTCTGCTGCTTCTAGTCAGCGAGGCATTGGAGGGTCTACTTTCATTTGAGAATGACTTCTCCCTCCTCTGAATGCTGGTTGTAGCATCTTCCTATATGCAACTATATTAAAGCTAAATACATGAGGGTAGGGACGGTCTGTCTTGTTTGTTACTGTCTTGGTTTGAGTTTCCACAGAAGCAGACCCTGGGATAAGCAGACCCTCGAGTGCAAGCAATTTATTTGAGAGGCGATCCCAGGAAACACTGATAGCAGAGGGAGACAGGGTAGGGAAGTTAGCCCAAAATGAATCATTACTAAACAAGTTAGCATCGTGGGTAAGTGGAACTTAATTCCACTGGAAAACTTAGGGAACAGGGTATTACACACATCTCAGAGCTGTCCCAACTGAGGAGTAAGGGAACTTGGGTATTTATATGACAGTTTCCATTAGTCATTGGTTTAGGGCTGCCCCCATTTAACATAACAGTACATCCACATGGAAAAGAATGATCCTTAATCCCTACTTCACTTCACACAAACAATATAATGCAAGAAGGATCATATACCTAGTTGTAAAAGTTAGAACCATAAAGTTTCTGGAAGAAAATGTGGGAGGATATGTGTGCAACCTTAGGGTAAGCAAAGTTTTCTTGTGCAGGACAGAGAAAACACTATTAAAAACACCCGAAAAATTAATTAAAAAGTACTTAATCAAAATTAAATACATCTGCTCTTTACAAAAACATTGTTAAGAAAATGAAAAGGCAAGTAATGGAATGGGAAAATATTTTCATTACATATATCTGACAAAGGACTGGTGCCCAGAATATATAAAGAACTCCTACAAATCAACAACGTTCAACGATTTGAACAGACACTTCACACATAATGTATACAAATGGCCAATAAGCCAATATCATTCATCATCAGGGAAATGTAAATTAAAATCCCAATGAGAAACCACTAGACATCAACCAGAATGGCTCAAACTAAATACTTGGTAAGGCGAATGTCAGCAAGGATGTGGTCATGTCAGCAACTGGAACTCTTATATTTTGCTGATGGGAGTGCAAAGTAGCACAATCACTATGGAGAACTCTTTGGCAGTTTTTTACAAAGTTAAACATACATCTCTCTAAGACCCAGAAATTATATTTCTAGGTATTTATTTATTTATTACTGTTTTTTTGAGATGGAGTCTCGCTCTGTCACCCAGGCTGGAGTGCAGTGGTGCGATCTTGGCTCACCGCAACCTCCGCCTCCCAGGTTCAAGTGATTCTCCTGCCTCAGCCTCCGGAGTAACTGGGATTACAGGTGCCCACCACCACGCCCAGCTAATTTTTGTATTTTTAGTAGAGAGAGGGTTTCACCATGTTGGCCAGGCTGGTCTTGAACTCCTGACCTCAGGTGATCCACCCGCCTTGGCCTTCCAAAGCGCTGGAATTACAGACGTGAGCTACTGCACCTGGCCCTCTAGGTATTTATTATTGAAGATAAATGACAACACACATCTACAAAAAATAAAAATAAAAAGCTTGTACAAAAATGTTCATAACAGCAAAAACAAACAAACAAAAAACTAGAAAGTATCCCAAATGTCCACCAACAGGTGAAAAAAAGCAAGCTGTGAAGTAGTCATATAATAGAATGCTATTTAGCACTAAAAAGGAATGAATTATTGGTACATGCAACAACATGGATGGAGCTAAAAAAACAAAATTACACTGAATGAAATAAGCATATATAAAAGAATATATTCTGTTTTATTTCATGTATATAAAGTCCACGAACAGGAAAGCTAAGGTGATAAATCGACCAGTGGTTGTCCTTGCAGGGTGGTCTGATTTGAGTAATGGAAAGGAGGCACTCACAAGGGAACCTGGTGGTTTTGAAAGTGTTCTATATTTTGTTTTGGATGGTGGTTACATGAGTATATATAGGTGCCAAAACTCGCCTAATTGGATATGTGAGATCTGTGCTTTTTATTATCTAAAATTATACCTTAATAAAGATTACAGACTTATCTTTTAAAAAGAAAACACATTAGCCATTAACAATAGTGGGTGATTTGCTCAGTGTTCTGCCCTCTACTAGACTGTGAGCTTCAAGAGAGCAGAAGCCCCATTTGTTTTGCTCTCTACTATATGCTCAGCACCTATCATAGCACCTGGGACCACTTGAGTGCTCAAGTCATATTTGTTAATATTATAAGTTTGTAAGAACCTCTGTGCATTGAGCTGTGGCTTTATCCTATCTCCCTTTGCAGACATGATCTGTTCTTGGCAGATGCTGGTGGCCCCAGAAGCTCGAGCACAGGTGCACTGTCTAGGAAGGGAGCTTGCAGGTGGGAACCCAGCAGGGCCCTGGGTGTCCTTGGGCACTGACAGGGTCCCAACTGTGAGCACCATCTGCTCCTGTGAAGGGTGTCTGACAGTAGCCGCAGCCCTGGACCTGGAAGGTGAGTACCTCTGAGACCCAAAGTCAGGCTCCCATTCCCATCCTCCCTGCCTGTAGGGAGTCCACGGAAAGTCACTTTAACCCTGGAAATAGAAAGCACCAACATATGTACCACTTTGTAATTTACCAAGTGTTTTCCCACATATGTTCTTATTTTATCTTCTCCATGACCCTGTAAAGTAGTTGTCTAATAACCTTATTTTACAGAGAGGTTAACTGACTTCAACAAGCTCACGCAGCTGGCAACTGACAAACCTGGGATTCAAACCAAGTTTTTAACCATTTATTCCTATATTAAATGCAGTACTGCTGTGTCATTTATGGATCTTCAGAAGCAATTTCTGAAACCTGACCCCTTCAGTAAGCTTTACTGGACTGCTGGAAAGATAAGTAGCAGGCCCCGCTTGCCTTTTATCCAATTTATCCCATATGCTTCCGAGATATTAACCTGCCTGGACCACTACTAGGATAGTGTCATTCTCCCATGCAAATTTTTCATATTCCTCATCACCTACCAAGTAAAATTCACATTCCTTAGCTGCTGTTCAATGCTCTTTTGCCCCAACTCACCTCTGTAGCCTCATTTTCCTTAAAAAACAACTTCGCATTCTAGCTGGTCATGTCATTATCCTCATTTCCACAACTTTACTCCTCAACTTCTCCTTCGTATGGAACAACAGTTCCTTCCATCTTCCCTCGGGAAATTTTTCTCACCCTTCAAGTCCTCACTCAAATACCACTGCCACTCCCTATTGGGAAGATTTTTACTTCATTTGAACCCTGAGAGTACATGGTTTGTACCTTTCCTGTGGCATTAACTGTCAGGTGTCATGGGTATATTTGCATCTTGCTTGTTTTCCTTATTAGATCCTGTGATCCCAGAAGGTTAGATACATGCCTTATCCGTTTCTGTAGCCCCTATGGTGACTAGCATAGCTGTTTGCCCATTGTAGATATTTAATTGATACTTTGTAGAGTGAATACATTACCACCTCTCCAACCATTGTCTATGAATTGAATATCCTTTGGTATGCATAGCTTTAAACATTGTTTGCGTTTTAATTCTATTTTATGTATTTGGTTAGCATAGTCTCTACCCTCTGTATACTTTGCTTCTAACTTGACATAGATTGTATGAATATCTAAATTCTTTGCAAATGAGGTGGACACGTGGAGATTGTGGAGTCCACAGCTCTACTCTGGCTCTGCCGTTCACTGGCTGTGTAACCTTGGACAAACCACATCTACTCTCTGGATTATTTTATTTATTTTATTTTATTTTATGAGACAGAGTCTTACTCTGTAGCCCCAGCTGGAGTGCAGTGCGACAATCTCGGCTCACTGCAACCTCCGCCTCCGGGGCTCAAGCAATTCTTGTGCCTCAGCCTCCCAAGTAGCTGGGGTTACAGGAGCCTGCCACCATGCCTGGCTAATTTTTTGTATTTTAGTAGCGATGGGGTTCACCATATTGCCCAGGGTGGTCTCGAACTCCTGAGCTCAGGCGACCCGCCCACCTCGGCGTCCCAAAGTGCTGGGATTACAGGCATGAGCCACTGCGCCTGGTCACTGGACCTTATTTTGCCTCCATCTATTAGATGGGGGTAATAATCCCTGCTTTACTTCTTTAATTCACTGCAAGTTTGTTGGGAGGATAAAGGAAATAACAGATGTGTAAGTGCTTTGCCGCCTATAAATCACCCAGAAATGTCGTTTCATTGCATCTGCTGTTAAATGCAGGCACATCTTTTGCTGCTGGCAGCCCCCACCCATCTGCTCCTCTTTCGGTGAAAAATTGACTGTCGGGTGGCAGGGAATGTCGAGCGGGCGGCAGGATGGATGATGAAGAAGCAACCATGTCTCCTGAATGGCGTGTGGCACTGGGGCTTTGTTGTGGTGGGTGTTAGGTGAAGCGGGGACATTGTCTTCTGAAAGGCCGCTATGAGGAAGGGAAAAGCCTGTGTCCAGGCAGCCTCGACTACCAGCCTAGTCCCAGGGTGTACGCTACAGGGAGTCAGGCAGTTTGGGAAACTTCTCAGACTCAGAGCTTCAGAAGTTGACATGGGCTGCCTGAGGGAAGGTGTGGGCCCGAATGCTGTGCAAGTGCGACATCAACTTCCACTAATAAGGGTCACAACCGCCCTTCAACGTAGAAGCAACCATCTCGGTGCCCAAGGTCAAGAGAGACACCGAAGCCCGGAAATGCCCTAAGCGGGAATCTTCGGAGCCTGCCCATTGGCTTCTGCTGAACGGGAGGGTGGGCCCTGGGGCGCTCCGCTTACTGATTGGTTCGATGCCAGATTGGCAGGTCCCCGCCGGCAGTGCGTGTGGTGAGGCAGGACATGGCGGAGGCAGGAAAAGTGCCCTTGAGCCTCGGGCTTACCGGAGGAGAAGCGGCAGAGTGGCCTCTGCAGCGGTACGCCCGCTGCATACCCTCAAACACCAGAGACCCACCTGGGCCATGCCTGGAAGCTGGGACAGCCCCCTGCCCCACATGGAAGGTGAGGCCCGAAGGCAGGAATATCCCTGAGGTGCCCACAGCCCTCAGGAGGGGAGGCTCCGCGAATACACTGGGCCAGTGCCCCGAAAGCAATGCCGAGGGGACACCGAGTGACTGCCAGGCCTGTTGGGGAATGGACAGGCCGACAACTAAGATAGGAAATACATACATAGCAGTAGGAGACATGGTTGGAACCCTTTACAGTCTCAAAATAATTATGCAAGGGAGTAGTAAACATTCATATATTCAATGTGTATTTATTGAGCGTCAAGTATGTGCTAGACTCTATTCAGGGTGCTAGGGATGGAGCAGTGAGCAAGATATAAACGCTCCCCACCCTTATTGATGTTTTTAGTTTAGTGGAGGATATACTATTTATCCAAATAACTAATTACAGAAGGGACAACTGAGTCATCCCGTAACCAAGCATTCACACAGGACTAAATTTGAATCCTCGCGTTGCCAGTGAATTTCTGGGACCTTGCTTTAGTTACTTAACCTCTCTGTACCTTATTTACTTTGTCTTAAAATAGAGATAATAATATAATAGTACAGGCCCTCAGAAATATTGGGATTCGGTTCCAGACCATCACAATAAAGCAAGTTACGACCTTTTTGGCTTCTCAGTGCATATAAAACCTGTGTTTGCACTGTACTGTAGTCTATTAACTTGTCTAAAACAATTATGTCTAAAAGAACAACGTACCCACCTTGATTCGAGAATACTTTATTGCTAAAAAATGCTAACACTCACCTGAGCCTTCAGCAGGTCAGTCTTTTTGCTGCTGGAGGGTCTTGCTTCATGCTGGTGGCTGCTGACTGATCAGAGTGGTGGTTTCCCAAGATTGGGGTTGCTGTGGCAATTTCTTAAAATAAGACAACAATGCAGTTTGTCACATGGATTGCCTCTAACTTTCAGGAAAGATTGCTCTGTAGCATGCAATGCTGTTTAATGGCATTTTTACCCACAGTAGAACTCCTTTCAAAATTGGAGTTAATCCTCTCACATTTTGCTGCTGCTTTATCAACTAAGTTTATGTGATATTCTAAATACTTTGCTGTCATTTCAGCAATGTTCACGGCATCTTCACCAGGAGTAGATGCCATCTTAGGAAACCACTTTCTTTGCTCATCCATAAAAAGCAACTCGTCATCTCTTCAAGTTTTATCGTAAAATTATAGCAATTCAGTCCCATCTTCAGGCTTCACTTCCAATTCTAGTTCTCTTGCTCTTTCAACACATCTGCAGTCCCTTCCTCCATTGAAATCTTGAACTCCTCAAAAGTCATCCGTGAGGGTTGGAATCAACTTCTTCCAAATTCCTGTTAATGTTGATATGTTGACCTCCGTCCATGAATCACAAATGTTCTTAATGGTATCTAGAATGGTGAATCCTTTTCAGATGTTTTCTATTAACTGCCCAGATCCATCAGAGGAATCACTATCTACAGAAGCTATAGCCTTATAAAATATATTTCTTAAATAATAAGACTTGAAAGCAGACAATTACTCCTTGATCATGGGCTGCAGAATGAATGTTGTGTTAGCAGGCATGCAAACAACATTCATCTCTTTGTACATCTCTAACCAAGCTCTTGGGTGACCAGGTGCCTTGTCAATGAACAATAATATTTTGACAAGAATCTTTTTTTCTGAGGAGTTGGTCTCAACAGTGGGCTTAAAATATTCAGTAAACCATGCTATAAACAAATGTGCTATCATCCAGGCTTTGTTGTTCTATTTATAGAGCACAGGCAGAGTAGATTTAGTACAGTTCCTAAGGGCCCTAGGACTTTCAGAATGGTAAATGAGCATTGGCTTCAATTTAGAGTCACCAGTGGGATTAGCCCCTAATGCAAGAGTCAGCCTGCCCTTTGAAGCTTTGAAGCCAGGCATTGACTTCTCCTCTTTAGCTATGAACGTCCTAGATGGCCTCTTCTTCTAAGAAAAGGCTGTTTTGAATACGTTAAAAAATCAGATCAGACTTTGGCTTAAGGGAATGTTGTGACTGGTTTGATCTTCTATGCAGACCATTACAACTTTTTCCATTTCAGCAATAAGGCTATTCCACTTATCATTCCTGTGTTCACTGGAATAGCATTTTTAATTTCCTTTAAGAACTTTTCCTTTGCATTTACAACCTGGCTAACTGGCATAAGAGGTCTAGCTTTTGACCTATTTTGGCTTTCAACATGCCTTCCTCACTAAGCTTAATCATTTCTAGCTTTTCATTTAAAATGAGAGATATGTGATTTTTCCTTTCACCTTAACACTTTGAGGCCATTGTAGGGTTATTAGTTGGCTGGATTTCAATATTGTTGTGTCTCAGAATAGTGAGGACTGAGGAGAGGGAGAGAGACAGAGCAAAGGCTGGTGGATGGAGCAGTTGGAATATACATACCATTTATTAAGTTCACTGTCTTCTATGGGCATGGTTTGTGGCACTCCAGAACAATTACAATAGTAACATCAGAGATCACTGATCACAGATCACCATCATATATAATAATAATAATAATGAAAAAGCTTGAAATATTGTGAAAATTACCAAAATGTGATACAGAGACATGAAGTGAACACATGCTATTAGAAAAATGGCACTGAGAGACTTGATTGATGTGGGGTTGCCACAAACCTTCAATGTGTAAAAAATGTAATATCTGTGAAGTGCAATAAAGCAAAGTGCAGTAAAGGGAAGTGTGCCTGTACCTACTTCATAGGATTATTTTGACCATTGCATAAGCTAATACATGTCAATCACCTAAAATAGTGCCTAGTATATATTAAGTTAGGGGTTTGCTCTTATTATCATTTTGTTCTAGTGGTATGCTTTAACACCATGGGTTGCCAGTCATTCAGTTCCCTTTTGTCTGGTTTGACTATTGGATGAGGAACCTGGGATTTTGGATTATACACATACATGTACGTCACATGTGTGCACACATGCATACATGTTTGTGTATTTTGGGCAGCAGTAGATAGGAGAAGAATTAAAGAGAATAAAGGTCCCAGGTAGCTGGGTGTGGTGGCTCATGCCTGTAATCCCAGCACTTTGGGAGGCTGAGGCAGGCGGATCACCTGAGGTCAGGAGTTTGAGACCAGCCTGGCCAACATGGCAAAACCCCGTCTCTACAAAAAATGCAAAAATTAGCCGGGTGTAGTGGTGCCTGCCTGCAGTCCCAGCTACTCAGGAGGCTGAGGTGGGAGAATCACTTGAACCTGGGAGGCTGAGGTTGCAGTGAGCTGAGATCGTGGCACTGCACTCCAACCTGAGTGACAGAGCAAGACTCTGTCTCAAAAAAAAAAAAAATTCCCACAACATGTACAGAGGCCACAACATACCTGAAAAAACCTCAGCATGTAATGTATAGTGAGAAGGCTAGCAAATCTGGTGCTTAGAGAATAAGGGAAATGGTAGCTTGAGATAAGCCTGTCTGAAGATGTAGGCAGGTGCCTTGTGAACATTATTATAAATCCAGTGGGAAGCCACCGAACAGTTTTAAGCAGAGGCATTTTCATCTTTGAAAGATCACTCTGGCTGTGGTGTGAAGATGGAATTGGAGGGGAATATGAGTGGATTCAGAAAGATCATTTAGAATGCTATTGCAGTGTTATAGGCAAGAGATGATGATGGCTTAGACTCAGGGCATGGCAGTAGAGATAGGGATATTGGGAATATATTTTGGAGACCAAAATGAAAAGGCTTGGTGATTGATTGTATATGGGTGGTGAGAGTAAAGGACTTCTGGGTTTCTAGCAGAAGCAACTGAGTAGATGGTTGAAGAATGGGAAACACTGGAGGAGGAACAGTGAGGGAAAAATCCAAGATGTCAGTTTTGGATGTATTGAATTTCATAAGATTGTGAAGCATCCAAGTGGAGATACTGAATAGGTGGTTGGGTATATTGGTCTAGACTCAGAAGGAAGATCTGGGCTAGAGATGTAAAGGTGTGAGTCATCAGCATAAAGGTGATATTTATAGTCATGGGATTAGGTGAGATTCGGGACCAAGCTTAAACGTAATCCAACATTTGTAAGTTGGGTAGAGGGGACAGAGCCCCAAAGAAGACTGATAAGAGGCCTGGCACAGTGGCTTATCCCTGTAATCCCAGCACTTTGGGAGGCCAAGATGGGTGGATCACTTGAGGTCAGAAGTTCAGACCAGACTGGCCAACATGGTGAAACCCGAGGCTACTTGGGAGGCTGAGGCAGGAGAATCCCTTGAGCCTAGGAGACAGAGGTTGCAGTGAGCCAAGATTGTGCCACTGCACTCCAGCCTGGGCAACAGAGTGAGACTCTGTCTCAAAATAAATAAATAAATAAATAAATAAATAAATAAATAAATAGGAAAATACAACAAGATAGCCGAATAGGAACAGCTCCGATCTGCAGCTCCCAGCAAGATCAACACAGAAGGCGGGTGATTTCTGCATTTCCAACTGAGGTACCTGGTTCATCTCATTGGGACTGGTTGGACAGTGGGTGCAGGCCATGGGGGGTGAGCCGAAGCAGGGTGGGGCATCACCTCACCTGGGAAGTACAAGGGTTGGGGAATCTCCCTCCCCCAGCCAAGGGAAGCCGTGAGAGACTGTACTGGGAGGAATGGTGCACAGATACTGTGCTTTTCCCATGGTCTTTGCAATCAGCAGGCCAGGAGATTCCCTCTGGTGCCTACACCACCGAGGGCCCTGGGTTTCAAGCACAAAACTGGGTGGCCATTTGGGCAGACACTGAGCTAGCTGCAGGAGTTTGTTTGTTTTTTTTTTTTCACACGCCAGTGGCTACTGGAAAGCCAGTGAGACAGAACTGTTCACTCCCCTGAAAAGGGGGCTGAAGCCAGGGAGCCAAGTGGTCTGGCTCAGCGGGTCCCACCCCAACAGAGCCCAGCAACCTAAGATCCACTGGCTTGCAATTCTCACTGCTAGCACAGCAGTCTGAGGTTGACCTGGGATGCTGTATCTTGGTGGGGGGAAGGGCATCCGCCATTGCTGAGGCTTGAGTAGGTGGTTTTACCCTTACAGTGTAAACAAAGCCACCAGGAAGTTTGAACTGGGTGGAGCCCAAGACAGCTCAGCAAGGCTGCTGCAGCCACACTGCCTCTCTAGATTCCTCCTCTCTGGGCAGGGCATCTCTGAAAAAAAGGCAGCAGCCCAGTCAGGGACTTATAGATAAAACCCGCATCTCCCTGGGACAGAGCACCTGGAGGAAGGGGTGGCTGTGGGCACAGCTTCAGCAGACTTAAATGTCCCTGCCTGACAGCTCTGAAGAGAGCAGTGGATCTCCCAGCATAGTGTTCGAACTCTGATAAGGAACAGACTGCCTCCTAAAGTGGGTCCCTGACCTTTGTGTCTCCTGACTGGGAGACACCTCCCAGTAGGGGCCGACAGACACCTCATATAGGAGAGCTCTGGCTGGCATCTGGGGGGTGCCCCTCTGGGACAAAGCTTCCAGAGTAAGGAACAGGCAGCAGCCTGTTCTGCAGCCTCCGCTGGTGATACCCAGGCAAACAGGGTCTGGAGTGGACCTCCAGCAAATTCCAGCAGACCTGCAGAAGAGGGGCCTGACTGTTAGAAGGAAAACAAACAAACAGAAAGGAATAGTATCAACATCAACAAAAAGGATGTCTACTCAGAGACCCCACCCAAAGGTCACCAACATCAAAGACCGAAGATAGATAAATCCACGAAGATGAGGAGAAACCAGTGCAAAAAGGCTGAAAATTCCAAAAACCAGAAAACCTCTTCACCTCCAAAAGATCACAACGCCTCGCCAGCAAGGGAACAAAACTGGATGGACAATGAGTTTGATGAACTGACAGAAGCAGGCTTCAGAAGGTGGGTAATAACAAACTCCTCTGAGCTAAAGGAGCATGTTCTAACCCAATGCAAGGAAGCTAAGAACTTTGAAAAAAGGTTAGATGAATTGCTAACTAGAATAACCTGTTTAGAAAAGAACAGAAATGACCTGATGGAGCTGAAAAACACAGCACGAGAACTTCATGAAGCATACACAAGTATCAGTAGCTGAATTGATCAAGCAGAAGAAAGGATGTCAGAGACTGAAGATCAACTCAAAGAAATAAAGCAAGAAGACAAGGTTAGAGAAAAGAGTGAAAAGAAACGAACAAAGCCTCCAAGAAATATGGGACTATGTGAAAAGACCAAATCTATGTATGATTGGTGTACCTGAAAGTGATGGGGAGAATGGAACCAAGTTGGAAAACACTCTTCAGGATATTATCCAGGAGAACTTCCCCAATCTAGCAAGGCCGGCCAACATTCAAATTCAGGAAATACAGAGAACACCAGAAAGATACTCCTCGAGAAGGGCAACCCTAAGACATATAATCGTCAGATACACACCAAGGTTGAAATGAAGGAAAAAATGTTAAGGGCAGCCAGAGAGAAAGGTTGGGTAACCCACAAAGTGAAGCCCATCAGACTAATAGCAGATCTTTCGGCAGAACCCCTACAATCCAGAAGAAAGTGAGGGCCAGTATTCAATATTCTTAAAGAGAAGAATTTTCAATCCAGAATTTCATATCCAGCCAAACTAAGCTTCATAAGCAAAGGAGAAATAAAATCCTTTACAGACAAGCAAATGCTGAGAGATCTTGTCACCACCAGGCCTGCCTTACAAGAGCTCCTGAAGGAAGCACTAAACATGAACCAGTACCAGCCACTGCAAAAACATACCAAATTGTAAAGACCATCGATGCTATGAAGAAACTGCATCAACTAACTGGCAAAATAACCAGCTAACATCATAACGACAGGATCAAATTCATGCAACAATATGAACCTTAAATGTAAATGGGCTAAATGCCCCAATTAAAAGACACAGACTGGCAAATTGGATAAAGAGTCAAGACCCATCAGTGTGCTGTATTCAGGAGACCCATCTCACGTGCAAAGATACACATAGGCTCAAAATAAAGGGATGGAGGAATATTTACCAAGCAAATGGAAAGAAAAAAAAAAGCAGGAGTTGCAATCCTAGTTTCTGATAAAACAGACTTTAAACCAGCAAAGATAAAAAGAGACAAGAGCGTTACATAATGGTAAAGGGATCAATGCAACAAGAAGAGCTAACTATCCTAAATATATATGCACCCAATACAGGAGCACCCAGATTCATAAAGCAAGTTCTTAGCGACCTACAAAGAGACTTAGACTTCCACACAATAATAGTGGGAGACTTTAACACCCCACTGTCAATATTAGACAGATCAATGAGACGGAAAATTAACAAGGATATCCAGGACTTGAACTCAGCTCTGGACCAAGTGAACCTAATAGACATCTACAGAACTCTCCACCCCAAATCGAGAGAATATACATTCTTCTCAGCACCACATCACACTTATTCTAAAATTGACCACATAATTGGAAGTAAAACACTTCTTAGCGAATGCAAAAGAACGGAAATCATAACAAACAATCTCTCAGTCCACAGTGCAATAAAATTAGAACTCAGGATTAAGACACTCACTCAAAACCGCACAACTACATGGAAACTGAACAACCTGCTCTTGAATGACTACTGGGTAAATAAAGAAATGAAGGCAGAAATAAAGATGTTCTTTGAAAGCAATGAAAACAAAGACAAAACATACCAGAATCTCTGGGACACCTTTAAAGCAGTGTGTAGAGGGAAATTTATAGTACTAAATGCCCACAAGAGAAAGCAGGAAAGACCTAAGGTTGGCACCCTAACATCACAATTAAAAGAACTAGAGAAGCAAGAGCAAACAAATTCAAAAGCTAGCAGAAGACAAGAAGTAACTAAGATCAGAGCAGAACTGAAGGAGACAGACACTTGAAAAACCCTTCAAAAGTCAGTGAATCTGGGAGCTGGTTTTTTGAAAAGATCAACAAAATAGGCTGCTAGCCAGACTAATAAAAAAGCAAAAGGAGTAGAATTAAATAGATGCAATAAAAAATGATAAAGGGGCTGTCATCACTGATCCCTCAGAAATGCAAACTGCCATCAGAGAATACTATAAACACCTCTACACAAATAAACTAGAAAATCTAGAAGAAATGGATAAATTCCTCAAGACATACACCCTCCCAAGACTAAACCAGGAAGAAGTTGAATCCCTGAATAGACCAATAATAAGTTCTGAAATTGAGGCAGTAATGAATAGCCTACCAACTAAAAAAAGTCCAGAACCAGATGGATTCACAGCTGAATTATACTAGAGGTACAAAGAGGAGCTGGTACCATTCCTTGTGAAACTATTCTAAACAATATAAAAAGAGGGAATCCTCCCTAACTCATTTGACAAGGCCAGCATCATCCTGATATCAAAACCTGGCAGAGACACAACAAAAAAAACGAAAATTTCAGGCCAATATCCCTGATGAACATTGATGCGAAAATCCTCCATAAAATGCTGGCAAACCAAATTCAGCAGCACATCAAAAAGCTTATCCACCACGATCAAGTCAGCTTCATCCCTGGCATGCAAGGCTGGTTCAATGTACACAAATCAATAAATGTAATCCATCACATAAACAGAACCAATGACAAAAACCACATGATTATCTCAATAGATGCAGAAAAGGCCTTTGACAAAATTCAACAGCACTTCATGCTAAAAACTCTTAATAAACTAGGTATTGATAGACTGTATCTCCAAATAATAAGGGCTATTTATGATAAACCCACAGCCAATATCATACTGAATGGGCAAAAACTGGAAGCGTTCCCTTTGATAACTGGTACAAGACAAGGATGCCCTCTCTCACCACCCCTATTCACCATAGTATTGGAAGTTCTGGCCAGGGCAATCGGGCAAGAGAAAGAAATAAAGGGTATTCAGATAGGAAAAGAGGAAGTCAAAATGTCTCTGTTTGCAGATGACATGGTTGTATATTTAGAAAACCCAATCGTCTCAGCCCAAAATCTCCTTAAGCTGATAAGCAACTTCAGCAAAGTCTCAGGATATAAAATCAGTGTGCAAAAATCACAAGCATTCCTATACACCAATAACAGACAAACAGAGAGCCAAATCATGAGTGAACTCCCATTCAGAATTGCTACAAAGAGAATAAAATACCTAGGAATCCAACTTACAAGGGATGTGAAGGACCTCTTCAAGGAGAACTACAAACCACGGCTCAAGGCAATAAGAGAGGACAAAAACAAATGGGAAAACATTCCATGCTCATGGATAGGCAGAATCAATATCATGAAAATGGCCATTCTGCCCCAAGTAATTTACAGATTCAATGCTATCCCCATCAAGCTACCATGACTTTCTTCACAGAATTGGAAAAAACTACTTTAAATTTCATGTGGAACCAAAAAAGAGCCTGCATAGCCAAGACAATCCTAAGCAAAAAGAACAAAGCTGGAGGCATCAGCTACCTGACTTCAAACTATACTACAAGTCTACAGTAACCAAAACAGCATGGTACTGGTACCAAAACAGATATATAGACCAATGGAACAGAACAGAGGCCTCAGAAATAACACCACACATCTACAACCATCTGATCTTTGACAAACCTGACAAAAACAAGCAATGGGAAAAGGATTCCCTATTTAATAAATGGTGTTGGGAAAACTGGCTAGCCATATGCAGAAAGCTGAAACTGGATCCCTTCCTTACATCTTATACAAAAATCAACTCAAGATGGATTAAAGACTTAAATATAAGACCTAAAACGATGAAAACCCTAGAAGAAGACCTAGGCAATACCATTCAGGACATAGGCATGGGCAAAGACTTCATGACTAAAACACCAAAAGCAATGGCAACAAAAGCCAAAATTGACAAATGGGATCTAATTAAACTAAAGAGCTTCTGCACAGCAAAAGAAACTATCATCAGAGTGAACAGGCAATCTACAGTATGGGAGAAAACTTTTGCAATCTATCCAGCTGACAGAGGGCTAATATCCAGAATCTACAAAGAATTTAAACAAATTTACAAGAAAAAGTCAACCCCATCAAAAAGTGGGCGAAGGATATGTACAAAAGAAGACATTTATGCAGCCAACAAATATATGTAAAAAAGCTCGTCATCACTGGTCATTAGAGCAATGCAAATGAAAACCACAATGAGATACCATCTCATGCCTGTTAGAATGATGATCATTAAAAAGTCAGGAAACAACAGGTGCTGGAGAGGATGTGGAGAAATAGGAACGCTTTTATACTGTTTGTAAGAGTGTAAATTAGTTCAACCATTGTGGAAGACAGTGTGGCAATTCCTCAAGGATCTAGAACTAGAAATACCATTTGACCCAGCAATCCCATTGCTGGGTATATACCCAAAGGATTATAAATCATTCTGCTATAAAGACACATGCACATGTATGTTTATTGCAGCACTGTTCACAATAGCAAAGACTTGGAACCAACCCAAATGCCCATCAATGATAGACTGGATAAAGAAAATGTGGCACATATACATCATGGAATACTATGCAGCCATAAAAAAGGATGAGTTCATGTCCTTTGCAGGGACATGGATGAAGCTGGAAACCATCATTCTCAGCAAACTAACACAAGAACAGAAAACCAAACACTGCATGTTCTCACTAATAAGTGGGAATTGAACAATGAGAACACATGGACATGGGTGGGGGGCATCACACACCGGGGTCTGTAGGGGAGTGGGGGGCTGGGGGAGGGATAGCATTAGGATAAATACCTAATGTAGACCACAGGTTAATGGGTGCAGCAAACCACCATAGCACGTGTATACCTATGTAACAAACCTGCACATTCTGCACATGTACCCCAGAACTTAAAGTATAATAAAGAAAACACAAACAAAAATAAATTAAATAAATAAATAAATAAAAGATTGACAAGGGACAGAGAGTTGAGAAGCACCCAAGAGAATGGAGGTTTATCAGTGCTAAAGAGAGTTATTTCCAGGGGAAAGAGTGATTGATTAACTTTGTTGAATGATGCTGCAAAATGAAGAAACATGATGACTAAGGGATATCTATTCCATTCAGCAGTGTGAACGTCCTTAATGGTCTTTACCAAGAGAAATTTAAGTGGAGTGAAGGGAGTGGAAGCCAGATAGGAGTAGGGTAAAGAATGGCTGATGGGTGAGGAAGTGTAGCCAATGTGCACAGACAGTTCTTCTGAGAGGCTTGGCTGTGAGTATGATTAGAGAAAGGGCACAATGAATTATTCACCACATTCTAGAATATTAGAGCCAGGGGCACTCCTTCAAGATTGAAATCAGTATATCTAGGACCATAAAAAAGACATTAAATTCCTAGTTGTACTGTTCTGAAACCCTGTATCCTGAGAAATGATATAGGCTGAAATACAAAATGAGGTGAAGAAGAGTTAAATATAAGGATGACTGACCTATAATTGGATCTTATAAAAAGCTGGGAATGTTTGGTGACATATTTAATTTTTGAGACTGCTCCACAGGTTCCTTGATACCTTCTCATAAAACACTTTAAACCCTTTCTCCTAAAGCATCTGTGTTGGGTGCAGCTGAATAATTCTTAAATTCTTATCCTGCAACCCAGAGGCCAGGACATTTGACCATTCTAAGGAGTTGATTGTTATTACAATTTTTTTACTTCTCTTTGCAAAGCTCTTCATAATTGCTTATAAGGAACAGTGCTTTTAACAGTTTTCAAATGTTTGGCATAAAGCCACAGCTACAGTGACAAGAGATGAGGTTGGCTTTTGCAGTGGTTTTGAAAACTGAACATTTGTACCTTCCTTTGAATCTGTGCCGAACCATCCTACCCGCTGTGATCAGTTTCAGCCTAGGTCTGTCATTTTTTTTTTGGAAAAAACGAAAGAGAAAACAAGATTTGTTCTATTTTATGGGCACTGGGACTATTGTGCAGTAATAATAATAAAAGATGAGCCATCTAAAGAACTGTACTCTCTAAGTCTCATGTGAATTTTTTATTTTAAAAATATGTGGTACCTGCAGTAAAAAAAGAGGTTAGGTAAAGCATAAAAATATATTATTGTGGAGGATAGAGTCATTCTAGTTGTTTTTTCTTTAGGGAACTTTCAGATTCAATCTTGGTTGAACCTATTTTGAGTTCTTTGATTTTTTCTGATTATAGGAGAATCTGTTCTCCTGGTACTGTTCTCTATAGCTGTTTAATTACAGAGAAAACTTTCATCACAATGGCTCTATATGCTGAGACAAAAATGTCAACTCAAGAGAAAAAATGAATAGTACAACAAGACTCCTAAGACTCGAAGTCCTAGTTGAGAGGGAAGATCAATTCTGAGACAGAAAGAATGTTATGTATAAAATATCTAATATATTTTATAGAATAATATGCTTCATTATGTATACTGATTTGATTTACTTCTTTGAACTGAATTAATCTTGTTAAAAGACACTGTCTAGAGATAAACACAATTCGGAAGCAAATAAACTTTGTAAAACACGCATGCACACTGAAAACCCAATGGTTTAGAGCTGTGCTACCCAGACCTTAATGTGCATAGAAATCATCTGAGGGTTTTGTTAAAAATGCAAATTCTGACTCAGTCAGAATAGGTCTGGTATGGGGAATGAGATTCTAGTTCTAACAAGCTCCCAGGTGACACAGATGCTGTTGGTTCAAGGACCACACTTTGAGAGGCAGGGGTTTAGAATATCTTGAATGAAATGATAGCCATATAGTAAAATTGATAAAATGAATTTATAGAGTTATGAGGTAAGGCAATCAGATTCATAATGACTGTGCAAATGTTTTATTAATAGGGTTAATATTTAAGCCATCTGTCGTCATTTAAGTGGAATGAGCAAATGTTAGTTCCTTAGATCTGTTGGCTCAGCCTTTCTGAAAAGATATAATAACAGATTGGTCCATTTTATGTATTTTATGTCTGAATATAATTTAGTCTACTAATAAGTAGACTAATTTGAAAGGTGATGTTAATTGCAGGTTGCTTTTAAAGTTTTACCATGTTTTTCAGATTTCAAGGATTTCTCAGACATGCCCTAATTGGTTGAACCTGACAACTTCTTAGACTTTTTTTTTTTCCTTTCAAAGGGAAAAAAATCCTTTTTTTATAGGAGGAACTTAAAATAATTGCCCTACTTAGAAATTAAGAAATAGAATGTGAAGTTTGTACTTGAAATGAACTTTTAAATGTGGATTCAACATAAGATATATTTTGGATCTTCTCAACAGTGTTCTTTTTTCTTTCATATTCCTAGTGCCTACATAATACCAAGTATATGATAGATGCTCAGTAAATGTTTGAATGTATGGTGTGGTAATTTTCCTTATGATAATGTGTTAATTATTAAATGATAGCTATTATTTATCATTTGCTTTGGTGTATTTTTTACAAGAGCCCTATGAAGCAAATATTATTATACCCATTTTATAGATAAGTGAACTGAAACTCAGGTTCAGTGGCTTTCCCAGGAACACAAAGATAAGTTGAAAAGAAAGAATTTAGACACTCCTTTTCTTGTCTGTAAAATCTGTGCTTCTAAGCTCTATGCTGTTTGCCTTAAAACTGTTAATATCTTATATGGAATGTAGCAATTCAATTATGTGGATGAAGAATTTTGAGATTAACACACAGGATAAAAATAACAAAAATAACAGTTTTTTAATTTGTTTTTAAGGAAAATTTAAAATAGTAAAATAGTTCTTTGTATGCTTGATAATTTTTTATTGCAGGCCTAATGTTGTGAATTTTACTTTGTTGGGTACAGGGTATCTTTGTATTTCTGTATTTCTGAGCTTTTTTTTTTTTTTTTTTTTTTCCAGATAAGTTATTTGGAAACAGTTTGATCCTTTCAAGTTTTGCTTTTAAGCTTTGTCAGCTGGGACAAGAGTGGCTGGGACTAGGGCTAATTTTTCCCACTTCTGAGGCAAAGCTCTTGAATATTCTACTCAATGTAAATTGTTTTCTCTACTAAGAACAGGCACTATTCCCTGTCCTGTGTGAGCTCTGGGGATTATTCCCTTAAATTCTTTCAGGTGGTCCTTTCCCCACCCTCTGGCAGTTTCCTTACGCATATATATATGTTGATCAGTACTCAGCTGAAGCAGAGGAGGAGGTTCTGCAAGTGTCTGGAGTTCTTCCCTTCGTACAGGTCTCTCTTCTCTGGTGTTTTGTCTTGCAAACTGTAGCTGCACTGACCTCCTAGGACTCGAAGCTTCATCTCCTCAACTCAATTATCACCAGGCTCTGCCTGGGTTTATCATCCTTGCACTCTGACCTGGAAACTCGTGCCAAGAAGTAACCTGGGGCAGTGGTAAGGGCTCACTTCCTTCATTTTCTGTCATTTCTCAGGAATTAACATCCTTTATTACGTGATACCTATTGACTTGAGAGCTGTTGCTTCCTTTGATTTGTTCAGTTTTTTATTTCATTTAGGAGGTATGAAATAACCTGTTAAGGAGGTACTTGTTAATTCCCGTTGGCCAGAAGAGGAAGTCTATAGTGAGTCTTTTGATTCAGTTCCACTTTGTTTTTCTACTGCAGGTCATCAAACAAAGCATTATTAAATTATCTGCTAAGTACTTGACATTCAACTAGGCATTAGAGATTCTATGGAACTGTGTGCTTCACACAGTCTTAAAATGTTATGTTACTTGAGTACAGGATTACAAGGATAGGTGGGGCTTGATCACTGGAGCCAAGATTCCTCCTGGTGAGCAGACAACTTTCATCAGTCTTTTGGGGTGCTTCTTGAAAATGCAGCTTCATTGTTCCTGTGCTAGGCCTACTGAATCAACTTCTGGGGTGGCTCTCTAATTGATTCTATGAGTTGTAATCAGTCTTCATGGCCCAATTCTGAAGAAAGGGTGGTAGGGAAGAGGGGACAATTCACTAAGTGGTACTGATACTATATGGAACTTTCAATTTACAAAGTATTTTCATAAACCTTTTTCCATTTAATTCTCACATTAAGACTTCCTGGGTCTCATTACCATCTTATAGACAAAAAGCTGAGGCCTAATTAGGGTAAATAGTTTGCCAAAGGGTAACATAGGAAGTGGAAGAACGAATTCTAAAACTCAGGTTTTCCTCAAGCCATTGCTTCTTCTGCCATACACCGACACTTACTGCATTAGTTATCTTCTCATATGCAGATGTAGGAGTATCATCAAGAGTTATTATCCTTTCATGTAGCATGCTTTTTTTGAAGAGTTAACAGGTAACATTTTGTATTAGGATTAAGATAGGCTCTGAGTGACATATAACAGTGGATTAAATAAGATGAAAGTTTATGATTTTCCGCATAAAAGTCCACAGCTGGTGTGGCACTATAGTGATAGGTACTGAGGCTCCTTCTTTGTTCTCTGCTGTGCATGGCCATGGTCTCACAGTCTGAGATAGAATCAGTATCCTAGACAGCTTGTGGAGGAGGGGATAAAGAAATGGACAAAGGTATATGATTGCTGTCTCTTAAGGAAGTTTCCTGTAAGCCACCATGACACTTTCCTAGAGCACAGTGGCCAGAACTTAGACCTGTGGCCATCCTAGCTGCACGGGCAGCTGGTATATATGGTCTGTATTCCACAAGTTCATATGTCTAGCTAAAAAAACTAAGGGTTCTATTACCCCATAAGAAGGAAAAATGGATATTGGAGGGTAACTGGCAGTCTGCCACACAGTTCTCTTCTGATCTAGAGACTGCTAAGAAATGAAGACTTATTCTTTGAGCCCCTGGTTGGAATAACAAAAACAACTACTTAATGAGTAATTATTGTATGTTAATACCTAGAACACTGCTTGGCAGATGCCCCCAAAATATTAATTGAAGGAATGAAGGCCAGACATTCTGCTAAGCATCTGATCTCACATACCATTTAATCTTTCAGATGATCCTATAAGGTAGTATTACAATTTTTATTTTACATTTTACAGATGCGGTAATTAAATATACTTTTTCTTTTTTCTTTTTTTTTTTTTGGAGACAGAGTCTCACTCTGGCACTCAGACTGGAGTACAGTGGTGCAATCTTGGTTTACCACAATCTCCACCTCGCAGGGTCAAGCGATTCTCCTGCCCCAGCCTCCTGAGTAGCTGAGATTACAGTTGCCTGCCACTACCGCCCGGCTAATTTTTGTGTTTTTTTCAGTAGAGACGGTTTCACCATGCTGGCCAGGCTGTTTTTGAGCTCCTGACCTCAGATGATCCACCCGCCTTAGCCTCCCAAAGTGTTGGGATTACAGGCATGAGCCACCGCGCCCGGCCCTAATTAAATATGCTTCTAAATGGCAAAACTGGAATTTGATCCTAGCTGTAATTCCAGATATTGTCTTTTATAAAGTAGTAGTCATTAGTGCTGTTCACCAAATATGCTCAGATTGTATATTCCTGGCCTCTTGAAGTTAAGTTTTTTATATGACTGGTTTTGGCCAATGAAATGTGAGCAGAACCAACTGTCATGGGCAGAAGCTTTAAGAACCAGTGCATGATTCATCTTATTCTTTTTCTTTGCCAGTGTTGCAGATATTGGCTTCTCTCTTAGCCTAGGTCCTACAGTGAAAACATAGGCAGTGTGAGGTAGAGTGTGAAGACAGGTAGAATAAGGGTGGATAGGTAATGTAAGTGAGAAACCTTTGCTTTTGGGGGTTAATTTCTGCAGCATACTGTAAGCTACACCTGACTGATATGGAAATTTTTTTTTCTTTTGGTTATGTTTAATTGAATTATGTCATGTACATTGTAGAGTGCATGGGCTTTTGAGGAAGAACCTTATAACTGATGTTCTAACATTTTTTTTCTATGACAAAATTATTAGTTGTTCTAAAGCATTAGTTTATAAATGTTTCCAACTTGGGACCAGTCTTTGTTCTCTTTCTTCAGTAAACAAAATCTTAATTTTATTGTGTAACAGACATAGTTTTCATAGAGGCTATGGATTGTTTATGAAACATGATTTAAGGTAGAATTTATTTGGACAAATAACTGAAGTTTTTTTCAGCTTAGTGGTTTAAGGAGTCTAAGAAGTTACAGTTTAGAATGAGGCCCAAGAGTATTAAAATTCATTCATTTTTAGGATTTATTCTTTATCCACTATGTGCCAGACACTATGCAAGGCTCTGTTTAGAGATGGTTAAAGCATCTCTACTTAAAGAGCTAGCCAATTAAGCTCAAGTACCTGCTTATTTCAATATAGGTGTTTTTGACTTCACAAATGACAGCACTGTATCTGAGAAATAAAGTAAGGTGTTTCCTTAACTCAAATTTGAAATATAATTTGATTACTGGAACTGTTATGAGCTTAAGTGTGCTTTGTGAATGAATAGAAGAGCATGCCTATGAAGATACCAAAGGTGAGTGAGAGTTGCAGAGACCTAGGATAGGTTTGATAATGGGAAGTACCACTTTCTGGTATAGTTAGTGATTTTATCAGATTTAGTAGTCTGGGAAATGTTTAAAGGATACTTTAAACATGTGGGAGAAATGTTGTGGGAGTATTTGTTATAGAAATAACCAGAGTGGCCTTGACTGGTAATTTCAAAGACATAAGGAACTTATTCTTCTGTTACATGGAAAGTGTTTTGAGTAAATGTAGTCTATTTATGGCTACTGATAATTCTTCTGTTACATGGAAAGTGTTTTGAGTAAATGTAGTCTATTTATGGCTACTGATAGAGGTGATGAAGTTAATTCTAGTAATTGGGTTTAAAAAGACTGGATAATTTCATGATCAATAATCTTAGGGATATGTGGTAAAAGGGGAATTACATCTCATGCTTTGATACATGAGATAATTTTTGTACATTGTAAAAGAAAAAGTTCTCTATATATATGATTACTTTTTTGGTGGTGGGGAAGGTCTGCGTGTTATTGCTATTGTTTTTTTTTTATTGTTACAGTTAAAACTTTGTATTTCTGTGAAACACCAAAAAATGCTGAATTTTATTGTCTGGTAATTGGTATTTGGCAGGACCACTTTTATTAGCATAATACACTCTACAAGTTTGTTGAAATAATTTATGAGACTCTTGCTACCAAGAGTCAGTGGGAAGGCAGTTGATAGCCTACTTAGCAATTTTGCACACTTTTCATATTTTATAGTGCATAAAATAGCAACTTGAGCCAATATATAAAGCTGTGACACTTTTTGAGGGGTCTTAAAAGCAGAAAACAAAACCCCTGATCTAGTACATAATTTAATTCATCACAATCTGAATAATACTATTTTCACCTTTCATGTAGATATAATTTAGGGTAAGCACATTTGGAATACTTTTCTGTATTTTCATACTCTTTTGACTTTTTTCTACCTGATGTTAGATTTTTCTTATAGTACTGACTTGCACAAACACATGCATGTAAATTTTGAGAAGATTCTCTGTTTAACCAATATATAGGTTGTGCTATTGTTATTTAACTGATGTATAAGCTTGTGATAGGGAGGTTCCAAATAAAGCTGTGTGTGCTGCTGTGTTGATGGCAACATACTGCCATAGGCGGAGGTCATATTGATGTCAATGTTAAGCTACGTTTAGATTGGCAACTGGAACGAAGAGAAGATGTAAACTTTATGTATGTTCTCTGTGACCCCTTAACATTAATGTCTTCTGTTATGATTTGGTCATTAGAGATAACATTTTTCTTTTTCTTTTTCTTTTCTTTTTTTTTTTTTTTTTTTTTTTTTTAAAGACAGAGTCTTACTCTGTCACCCAGGCTGGAGTGCGGTGGTGCGATCTCGGCTCACTGCAACCTCTGCCGCCCGAGTTCAAGCGATTTTCCTGCCTCGGCCTCCTTAGTAGCTGGGATTACAGGCACCTACCACCATGCCCGGCTAATTTTTGTATTTTTTGTAGAGATGGGGTTTCACCATCTTGGCCAGGCTGGTCTGGAACTCCTGACCTTGTGATCCACCCACCTCAGCCTCCCAAAATTCTGGGATTACAGGTGTGAGCCATCGTGCCCAGCCAACATTTTTCTTTAAGCTTTCCATATTGTGTTAATGTGAACATGCCAGTAGTATAAAGTTATCAGTCATTAAAGGTATTTCCCAAGGGCCAGAAATAAGCAATTTTTTTTTCTCAGATACCTGGATTATGTTAGGTGTTATGATATTGGAATGTCTCGGTAGAATTAGGACATTATATTCAAATCCTAAATACAGTATCGTTGTCCTTTGTGGTAAGCTGAATGCTTTTCTTAACCTTGATTCTACCTAGTCGACAAAGAACATGGAAGCCTCTAACAACTTGTATTCTAAAGCATTTCAAACATAATCAAAGGTAGACAGAATAATATAGTGATACACGTATGCATCATCTAGCTTTAAGAATTACCAACTCGGGCCAGGTGCGGTGGCTCACGCCTGTAATCCCAGCACTTTGGGAGGCCGAGGCAGGCGGATCATGAGGTCAGGAGATTGAGACCATCCTGGCTAACACGGTGAAACCGCATCTCCACTAAAAATACAAAAAATTAGCCGGGCATGGTAGCGGGCACCTGTAGTCACAGCTACTCCAGAGGCTGAGGCAGGAGAATGGCGTGGACCTGGGAGGCGGAGCTTGCCCTGAGCCGAGATCGTGCCATTGCACTCCAGCCTGGGCAACAGAGTGAGACTCCGTCTCAAAAAAAAAAAAAAAAAAAAAAATTACCACTTACAGCTAGTCTAATTTCATCTACACCCTATCCACTTCCTTCTCATCATGTTATTTTGAAGCAAATCCCAGACATGATATCATTTCATCAGTAATTATTTCGGTTCATATCTCTAAAAGAAAAAGGACTTTAAAAAAGCATAACCATAATACCCCAAAATTAACAATTTCATAATATTATCAGTGTTCAAATTTCAAGTAGTCTTACAAGTGTCATAATTCTTTTAAACATGGCCAAAAATTGTGATTGATTGGTGTATCTTTTAATTTTTAGGTTTCTCTGCAGTATTTCCTTGACCTCACCTCTCTCTCTTCCTTGCGGTTTAAGAAATCAGGTTGTTCTACAGAGTTTCTCAGTCTGGATTTTGCTGACCGCCATCTCTGTGGTGCAGTTTAATGTGATCCTTTGTGCTCTGTATTTCTTGTGAACTGGTCATTGAATCTAGAGGCTTTGTCAAATTCAGGTTGGATTTTCTTGTATTTTCTTTATATATCATCTAGAATATTTCTGTAAAGAAAAACATCCCCTTATCTATTAGAGGTTACCCGGTGGTTGGTTTTTATAGCAGAGCTAGGATAAATTCTTGATGTTTTCTCTTCATTTACCACTTAAAAAATGAGTTAAGCTGGGCGCTGTGCTTCACACCTGTAATTCTAGCACTTTGGGAGGCCCAGGTGGGTGAATCACTTGAGGTCAAGAATTTGAGACCAGCTTGGCCAACATAGTGAAACCCCATCTCTACTAAAAATACAAAACTTAGCTGGGTATGGTGGCGCATGCCTGTAGTCCCAGCTACTTGGGATGCTGAGGCAGGAGAATCACTTGAACCCACGAGACAGAGGTTTCAGTGAGCCAAGATCGTGCCACTGCACTCCAGCCTGGGTGACAGGAAAAGGAAAAAAAAAAAAGAGTTGGTTCCCTAGACTCCTTCGGTGTTGGAGGATGTTTTTGTTTTTAACTAGAAGCTTTTAAGATCTTCTTCTATCCATGGAATTCAGGAATTTAATCAGGATATGTCTAGTTATTGATTTTTTAAAACCCCCATCCCCATTAATGCCTGGAACTTAAACCGTTTGTATCTTCAGTCTCACTTCTTTCTGCAGTTGTAGAATATTTCATTCTATTATTTTTTCAATCAGTTCCTTTCCTCAGTCTTTTTTTCTCCCTCTACTTTAGACCCTCTCACTAACATTTTTTCTCCTGGATCTGAATCTTTGCTCCGTGTATCTTGTTACACATGATTTCTTTCTCCTAGTTTTGCTCTATTTTTCTCCTGCTTGCTCTTTTAAACTATTAATTTGGCCTCAATAGTGTCCATCCAATTCTTCAATTAGCTATTGAAATTTGTATTCATAAAATAGTTTTAGCTTCAAGATTCTCAAGTGTGAATAATAATTATATTTATCATTATTTAATAAGAAATACAGAAATATATATTTATTATTATTACAGTTATTATTTAGTTCAAGCTGTTGTCAGTCTCCTCTAGCAGCTTGTTCCCCCGGGAGCCTCGTGTTTTGGGTTTTCTGTTGTTCTTCATTGCTTTAGCCCATTGGGTATGTAGCTATTTTCCTTTGTCTAACTTATGGGTCTTTTCACTCCTGGGTGTCATCTCCAAGAGTGGACACTTTAAGGTGCTGAGTGTTGGGAGATGCAGAAGTCACAGTGCTGTGGGCCTCCTGTAGAGAAGTAGGAAGGATTGAGTTAAGTTGGCCAACTCCTTTGTGACTCCTTGGAGGTTGAGAGACCGCTAGGAACTTCAGAGCACATAGTCTGGTCTGCCCATCTTCATGAGGTCCACCAATTTCTAGGGACTAGGCTCTCTCACAAGAACTGCAGCATTGTCTTTGCCTCAGGGCTCCTTGCTTAGTACCTCCTTTCTCCTGTAGGGGGAAAACGTCCTACTAGCTCTTTTTTTGTGGACCCTGAGACCTCAATCCACCCTTCTGGCTGTCTTGGATGATGTGTTTTTTGTTTGTTTGTTTGTTTGTTTTGAGATGGAGTCTCACTGTGTTGCCCAGTCTGGAGTGCAATATTGCAATCTCAGCTCACTGCAACCTCTGCCTCCCAGGTTCAAGAGATTCACCTGCCTCAGCCTCCTGAGTAGCTGGGATTACAGGTACCCACCACCACGCCCAGCTAATTTTTGTATTTTTAGTAGAGACAGGGTTTTGCCATCTTGGCCAGACTGGTTTCAAACTCCTGACCTCATGTGATCTGCCTGCTTCGGCCTCCCAAAGTGCTGGGCTTACAGGTGTGAGTCACTGTCCCCTGCCAGATGCTGGTCTTAATAATTGCTTAAGGAAAGGTAAATGGCATTTGGATTGGATTTGGAAAGAGAAGACTTCAGGGATGCAATGAAGCTACCATTTTTTCTTGAACCCCTTGGAAGTTCTTAAAATGGATATTTTCTAACTATATGAGCACATTATGTAGACCTTTTGGATGAGGGATTGCAACAGACATCTGAAAAATCATAAGCCTGGAATTCTCCTCCCCCAGCTACCTGGTTAACTTTCATACCTTTGGTCTTTGCTCAAGCCTCACCTTCTCAGATGCCTACCTTAACCTCTCTATTTATATTGTAACATCTGTGTCCTGTCTTTGCACTTTGATTCCACTTGTCCTGCTCTATTTCTTCCCTAGCTCTTAGCATTATCTCATATACTAGATAATTTTTTTATTTGCTATGTTCAGTGATGTGCCTAGAACATCTGACACCTAGAATGAATATTTTTTTAACATCTTCTTCCCCTGAATGATAAAATTATTTTCTGAAATAATCAAGTTAAATGAAAAATATTATGCAGCGGACATTCTCTCTTACTGAGTTTTGTTATAATAATTATGCCAAATAAATAGGAAAAATACAGTATAAGGCAGGAAAAAAAATCCACAACTATTTAGCCCATTGTTTTTATTTTATTTTATATTGTGTTATTTTATTTTATTTTGAGACGGAGTCTCGCTCTGTCACCCAGGCTGGAGTGCAGTGGCGCGATCTCAGCTCATTGCAACCTCTGCCTTCCGGGTTCAAGCGATTCTTCTGCCTCAGCTTCCTGAGTAGCTGGGACTACAGGTGCACACCACCACGCCTGGCTAATTTTTTCATTTTTTTAGTAGAGACGGGGTTTCACCAGTTGGTCAGGCTGGTCTCAATCTCCTGACCTCATGATCTGCCCACCTCGGCCTCCCAAAGTGCTGGGATTACAGGCATGAGCCACCGCACCCGGCCACCAATTGTTTTTATATCTAGTTAACTGTTTGAACTTGGATTCTGCAGTTACAGACTGATATTTTATGAAATTGTTCATTAACTAATAAGTGAAGTTTTTTTAAGTAAAATTAAGCATTTCCGACTGGGTTCGGTGGTGCATGCCTGTAATCCCAACACTTTGGGAGTCTGAGGCAGGTGGATCACGAGGTCAGGAGTTTGAGACCAGCCTGGCCAACATGGTGAAACCCCATCTCTACCAAAAATACAAAAAATTAGCCAAGTGTGGTGGTATGCACCTGTAATCCTAGCTACTCAGGAGGCTGAGGCAGGAGAATCACTTGAACCTGGGAGGCAGAGGTTGCAGTGAGCCAAGATGGTGCCATTGCACTCTAGCCTGGGTGACAGAGCAAGACTCCCGCTGGGGGAAGGAAAACAACAACAACAAAAACCTAAGCATTTCCAAAAGGTACAATTTACGCAACTATTAATAAAATTGTTGATATGTTTTATCCCCTCTTAACGTTCTTTAGTTTCAAAACACTTAATTTGAAGAGAATAAATTTCAATGTTAAAGATATTGTTCAAATTTAGTAAAATATTTTGTGAACTAAAATTTGCACTTATTAAATAAGTTACATCTTGCTATTTACACTTGCAACAGTGTTTTAAATTTTAGACAAATACCAAAAGGTCCCATAAAAATGACAGAATTGGAGTGCCTCAAGTTGTTTCTTGGTCTTTACAATCACTGTGCTATCTTTGTTTTATTTTGAATCTATCATTTAAATGCACAAGAATGTAGTACCACAGGGAGGGAAAAGCCAACTGCATCCTAAGAAAGGGTTGGATTAAGAACTTCATGTTAAGCAGTCTTCAGGTTTAAGAAAGCCTGGTGCACTGCTTTTGAAACAAGTGTATGTGCCTAAGTTTGCATGGATGGGGGTTAGCTGTAACTGGGAGTTTCCCCAATGAACTTATATGTAGACAACAATTTAAGAATAAATAACAAATCTGATATTTTGAAGCTTACATATATATTATTTAAACTCAGCAGTAACTGCAGTAATTATTTGGAACTTAGACCAACAAAATGTTTTTTTCAGGAAGGAGTATTTTTATCACTGACATTGATTAGAATTACTGGCACATGGTGGTAATAAACTGATTTTAGTCAGCTTTTTAATTGTTTATAAATTCTCTACAGACCAAGCATTGCTTTATTGCCAGCACCTGCAGTGTACTGCTCCCAACATCCCACCTTTGGTATGTCACTAATTATATTTGTTGTGTATTGTCTGTACTCTTGCTCTGCATCACCATTTCACACTTGCTCCATTAGGATTAGGATCTGTGTTTTGTTCAGTGATACTGCAATCATATATTTGTTGAATGAAGAATTAATGAAGTTCAAGTTCAGAGACTTTCTATGTCTTTTTTCTTCTCCATATTATAAGAGGGATCAGTACATAGTGGATACTTTGCTATTGTTAACTCACTGACTTAAATGCTTGGCATATAGTCTCTTTGGACTCTTGCATTTCTTGAAAAATTTGGAATTTTGATTGGGATTGGATAGATCAACTTGGAGAATTAGTGTCTGTACTAATTTCTTAGTGCTGCTGTAACAAGCTATAAACTTAGTGGCTTAAAACAACGCAAACATTAGCTTATAGTTCTAGAGGTCAGAAATTTGAAATGGGTTTATTGAGCTAAAATCAAAGTGTCAGGAGGACTGCATTCCTTCTGGAGGCTCAAGAATCTTTTTTTTTTTTTCCTGGCCTTCTCTAACACGTAGAGGTTGCCTGCATTCCTTAGTTTGTTACCCACCTTCCATCCTCAATGCCAGCAATCACATTCCTTCTGACTCTTTCTGCCTCCCTCTTTCTCTTGTAAGGATGCTTCTGATTACAATAGGTTCACCTGGATAATTCAGGGCTATCCCTCCAGCTCAAGATATTTTAACTTAATCACATATGCAAAATCCCTTTGCTATGTAAGATAACATATTACAGGTTCCGGGTATTAGGACATAGACATCTTTAGGGGGACCGTTGTTCTGCCTATTACAGCATTTTAATAATATTAAATCTTCCTATCTGTGAACAAAATATTTCTCTCCATATATTTAAGTGTTCTTAAATTTCTCTCAATTTTCAATGTGCTGGTCTTCTTTTGTCATATTTATCCCTTAGTATTTTATATTTTTGATGTTGTAAATTTTGATGCTTTTAAAATTTCAGGTTCTAGTTCTTCATTAGTGTATGTAAATGCAATTGGTTTTTATTTATTGATCTTCTATTCTGTAACCTTTCTAAAATTCACTTATTCTAGTAAAATCAACTGGATTTTCTACATAGATGATCATGTTGTCTGTGAATAAAGACAGTTTTACTTCTTTCCAATCTGGATGCTTTTTCATTCTTTTTCCTGTCTGATTACAGTGGTAAGAACTTGCGGTAACAATGTTGAATAGAAGTGGTGAAAGTGGACATCTTGTCTTGTTTCTTATCTTAGGGAGAAAGCTTTCAGTATGAAGTTAGCTGTAGTTTTTTTTTTTTTTTTAATAGATGCCCTTTATCAGCTTGAGGAAGTTACTTCTATTCCTGGTTTGCTGAGTTTTAAAATCAGGAATAGATGTTGGATTTTGTCAAATGTTTTTTCTGCATTCTCTCATATTGAGGTGATCATATGGTTTTTCTTTTTTAATATGTTAACATGGTGAATAACTTTGAGTTCACAATATTTCTGATTTCCCTTTTAATTTCTTATTTACCCATGAGTAAATAAGAATATTTGGGGCTTTTTTTCAGAGACCTGTTTTTGATTTCTAATTTAATTCATCTGTGCTCAGGTAACATTCTCTTAAATCAACCAGAACTTGTTCTGTGGCTTAGAATATAGTCTTTGTGAATGCTCTGTGTATACTTGAGAAGAATGTGTTTTGTGTTGGTGTTAGATGGAGTGTTCAATAAATGTCGATCAATCATGTTGGTTGACAGTTGCTCAAGTCTGCTATATACTTGGTGATTTGCTATGTGCTTTTTCTATCAGTTATTGAGAGAGGGGTATTAAAATCTGACTGTAATTGTGAACTTGTCTGTTTCCCCTTACAGTTCTATCACTTACTGCTTCGTGTATTTTTAAGCTCTGTATTGGAGGAATACATGTTTGGGATGATTATCTTTCTTGATTAATTGACCCTTTTATTATTTGAAATGACCTTCTTTGTAACCTTTTGATATTCTTGTCTAATATTAATAAAACCACTCCAGTTTTTATTTTTTATTTTTATCTTTTTAGTGAAAGAGTCTCACTCTGTTACCCAGGCCTCTGGGTGCAGTGTGCAGAGTGCAGTGGTGCAATCATAGCTTACAGCAGCCTCGAACTCCTGAGCTCAAGTGATCCTTCTGCTTCAGCCTCCCAAGCAGCTGGGACTACAGGCGTGTACCACCGTGCCTGGCTAATTTTTACATTTTCTGTAGAGATCAAGTCTTGCCATGTTGCCCAGGCTGATCTCAAATTCCTGGCCTTAGGCAAGCCTTAGACTCTTTTTTTTTTTTTTTTTTTTTTAAGACTCCGTCTCCCTCCTTTGCCCAGGCTGGAGTGCAGTGGCGCGATCTTGGCTCACTGCAAGCTCCACCTCCTGGGTTCACGCCATTCTCCTGCCTCAGCCTCCCGAGTAGCTGGGACTACAGGTGCCCGCCACCATGCCCGGCTAATTTTTTGTATTTTTAGTAGAGATGGGGTTTCACTGTGTTAGCCAGGGCAAGCCTGTGCTGAGATTGTAGGAGTGAGCCACTGTGCCTGGCCTTACTCTAGCTTTTGACTAGCATTAGCTTGGTATATATTTTTTCTATCCTTTTGTTTTTAACCTGTTTGTTTTTATATTTAAAGTGCATTTCTTGTAGGCAGCATATAGCTTGTTTTGTCTTTTTTATCCAATCTGACAACCTCTGCCTTTAATTGAGGTGTTTACATTTAAATGTACTATTATATTTAATATGATTATTGATAGGGTTGGGTTTCAGTCTGTTATCTTGCTATTTGTTTTATAATTTTCCCATCTGTTCTTTGTTCCCTTTTAATTTTGATCTTGCCTTTCGTTTGGATAAATTGAATATTGTTTATCAATATAATCCCATTTATCAGTTATCTTTTAAAGATATTTAGGTAAAATTTTTATGCATTTGCCCATGTAATTATTATTTCCTGCACTCTTCATTCTTTTGTGGAGATCTTAGTTTTTATCTGATAACATTTTCTTTCTTCCTGAAGGACTTCCTTTCACATTTCTTTCAGTGCAGATCTGCTGGTGATGAATTCTTTCTGAAGACATCTTTATTTCCTTTGAAAATTTTGCATCTTAATATGGTGCCTTCATTTAAAAGTTCTTATTTACTTAACCATCCAACAAAATATTGGGTGTCTATTGTGTGCCAGGTACTATCCTAGGCATTTGAATATAACAGTGTCCAAAACGGGGAAAAAAAAATCTCTATCTTCATGGAGCTTAATTTCTGCTCAGGGAAGACTAGTAACAAGTAAATATAACAAAGTGGTAAGAGCTATGGATAAAAATAAAGCTGGAGAAGGGAATAGGAGTAGTGTGGTTTAGATAACATGGGGGAGTTTTCAGATGGATGGTTAGGAAAAGTTTTACCTGAAAACATGATATTTAAGCTAAGGTTTGAAGATGGAGTGAGTCGTGGTATCTAGAAGAAGAGAATTTCAGATAGAACAGCAATTGTAGAAGCCCTGAGGTTTATAATAATCAGTGTGCCTAGTGGGTTCAGGGAGCAGGAAGGAGGCTAGTGTGGCTGATGAGAGTGCACAGTAGGTGGGTGCTACAGGACAAGAGCAGAGAGGCAGTGGAGGGCCTAGACCGTGGAGTGCGTTGCAGGAGCTTCTGAATGAGATAGGGAGCTATTGCAGGGCTGTAAGCTGGAAATGACATGATCTGACTTATATTTTTAAAGGATCACTCTGGCTACTGTATTGAGAATAAACTCTGTGTTGGAGAAGGGAAGCAAGAACAGAAATTGAAAAGCCAGTTAGGAGATTATTATAATAATCCAACTAGAGAGAATGATAATTTAGACAAGACCTATAAGAAGTGGTTGAATTATGGATATTTTGAAGATAGACATGAAGGATTTGCTGATGGATTGGATATGGGTGTGAGAAAAGGAGTCAAGAATGATTCCATGGTTTAGCCAAAGAAATGGAAGGAAAGAATTAATTTCTTAAGTGTTGCATATAGAAACCTGAAAAAGAAGAAAATTATTTTCTGAGGTGAAAATGTTGTGATGTCAAATGTCTACAACAGCCTAGCACAGGGTAGGTACTTTGTAAATAGTGAATGAGAAGGTTAGGAGTTCAAGTTAGGGGCTGTTAATTTTGAGATAACTATTAAACCTTTACATGGAGATGTTGATTGGGTGATTAAATGTAGCAATTTGGAGGGCAAGAGAGTAGTCTAAACTGGGGCTCTCCTGGAAGTTGTTGGCTATGATTTGAAAAAAAAATAATTTGGGAAAAATAGAAATCTTTATAGTGAGTGTTTCTATCCAACAAGAGACATATGTAAGAATGTTCATAACAGTATTATTTGTAGTGAACCTAAACTGGAAAAAATACCCATCAGCAAACAAACAAACAAACAAAAAAAGGGTGGTATCATCATAGAAGGTATTCAAGAATCATGAAAATGAATACACATGCAACAACATTGATGGAGCCAAATGTCAAATAATTCTTTATGATTCCACTCATATAATTAAAACTAAAGTATAGTGTTAGAAGTCAGGATGGGAGATTATTTTAAGGGAAAAAGAAGCAGATAGTGATTTTAAGACAGCAAACACTAGAGGACCTTCTGGAAATCTGGTAATGTTCTATTTCTTCATCTGGGTGATGTATTTGCTTTGTCATTGTTCATTGAGCTGTACACTTATATTTCGGATGCTTTTTGGTATATATGTTACATTTCTTAAAACAAAACATTAAACTATCATGTTAACACATTGCCTTCCAAATAATTCATTGACCAGACTGTAGTTGTGAAAGCTGTACTTGACTCCTAGCTATGCTTCTGGTTCTAACTAGTCATTAAAACACACAGGATAATTCATTTAAACTGTGACAAGAAGAGTGTTGTGCCACTGACCAAGTTCCAAATACTGGGAAAGAGGGAGAATTACAACCACTGAAGGAATTAGTGCAGGTCTTATTGTATCCCCTTTGATATCTAAAATGTTATTCACTTTTTAAGTTTGGAATTTAAAATGAATTAGAGAAAACACAGTAGAAATCTTGGATTTAAATATAGCATTAAAACTCCAAACCCCACGTATGAAACTATAAGAGCATTGTTAGTAGAATGCAGTAACCTCATAAAAACATATCTAAGTTGAATTAGGTATGTGTTAATTATTTTGAACTTTGGGCATTAAGATGAGTCTATAACATCTTATTGTTTATGTAAGGATGTTTACCTTACGGTGTTTATTAAGGATATGAAAGCCACCTATATAGTATAGTCACTTAAGACCCAGATCCCACTCTAATGTATCTATCAGTCATGTCCTTCCCTGACATTTTGATTTAATTTCTTCGGTTCCTCACTATATCTCGATAGGTTGGAACTATAGATCCAATCTAACAAGATAAAATATAATGGGGCTAATCCAAGGTTTTATGTTTAGGTTCAAGATGAATAAAGGGAAGTATGATTTACCAACATAGGTAATGAAGTGTCAGGAGGTTATATTGATTTAAGATCAAACTCTTCAGTGTACTACCCTCTCAAAAAGTTAATGTGATTATAGGCAATAGTATTGCAAGTAATGGGAAATAATTAGACTACACCAAGCAGATTATGGTAAGTTTATGGCACCATATTTTAAGAGTGACACTGACAAACTAGAGCTCATCCAAAGGAAAGCACCAGATGTTAAGGGGTTATGAAAAATGGAGGGCTGGGTGCGATGGCTCACGCCTGTAATCCCAGCACTTTGGGAGGCTGAGGTGGGCAGATACTTGAGGTCAGGAATTCGAGACCAGCCTGACGAACATGGTGAAACCCCATCTCCACTAAAAATACAAAAATTAACCGGGCATGGTGGCGCATGCCTGTAATCCCAGCTACTCGCGAGGCTGAGGCAGGAGAATCGCTTGAACACAGGAGGCAGAGGTTGCTGTGAGCCGAGATCACACCATTGCACTCCAGCCTGGGCAACAAGAGTGAAACTCTGTCTCAAAAAAAAAACAAAAAAGAAAAGAAAAATGGATTACATGGCTGAAGAAATTGGGACTGTGAAGTCTTACAGCAACTCTGTAAGGTGCTATCTCCATTTTACAGAAAGAATACTGAGGCTCAGAGAGAATAAATTATTTATTAAAATGTAACTAAAAAGTGGTTGGCTCAGGACCCACAACTCATGATTCTTAATCTGATATTCTTTCTGTTTCAAAATATTGGCTTTTAATTTTATTTTTTAAAAGTCTGGCTGTTAGCCTATATATATGGAGAAGCTTAAAGTTGTAAGGGAAGGGTTACAGATTAAATGAATGGAAAAGCAAAGAGAATGCTCGGAGTAAAAAGATCAATATGAGAAAACACTTGGTCATCAGTATTGTAAGTTTATCAGTTATAGAAATGTATTATCTTTTACATATTTTTCTCCTTCTCCCTTTCAAGGTTTTTGATTCCAATGAAGAATCTGGATATCTTGTTCTCACCATAGTTATATCAGGTCATTTCTTCATTTTCCAAGGACAGACACTACTGGTAGGTTTTATGCATAACAGTTTAATATGGAAATACATCTTTGTCTTCTTAGCTTTACATGAATTTTTGTATCCTCAAGCTTCTTCAGTCTCACTGTAATTCATCAAGGTCAACACATTAAGCATTTATCGAATGTGCCATAATAGTGGGAAATACAGAAACGTACTGAATATTGCCTGCCCTAAAGGGGTTTAGGATTTTGTTGGGAGTCAGAGTGGATCAAAAGATTGAAATTAACCAGTATGATAAAGGATTCTGTAGTAAGGGAGATTGAGTTAAGATAGGCTTGTTAACAAAGACAAGTGTGGAGGGTTTTCCAGATAGGGAAAACAGCATATGCAGAGGGATAGATTTGCAGAAATAAAGAAAACAAAAAGGTGTTACTGTTAATTGATAGCGTCCTCTATAAAACTCTAATTTTATGGTGATACATGTGTTCTTTATTCTGAATATATGTACACTTTAGGAAATTTTGGAATGAAGAAATATGTAAAGAAAATAAGAATCAACTTGGTTGAAAGTTTAGGTTTTATTTGGTACATAGAAACCAAATGAAAGAAAAAAAACAATTGGTAACTTCCAATCAAAGGAATTGTACAAGAAAGGAACATATAAGGGAAAGTTATTATATCATTTAGCTGTGAATGGGGTCTACATTGACATAAATTCATACAACAAATATTTACTATCTACATGGGCATAATTTAACAAATATTTATTGAGTAATTGTATATGCTAGGCATTTTAGGGGATGCTAGGGATATAGCAGTGAACAGTGAAGACAGAAATCTCTTTCATTATGGGATATCATCATTCTAGTGGGGGAAAAACAGCAATAAGCAAATAGGTCAAGTACATTTAAAAGACATTAATTCTTTTTGGATCACTTACATGTTCTATCATAATATGGTAGGATCTCACATGTGTATGTTGTGATGATTCATATTTCCGCTTAAATATAGCCTTCTCATTGAACGTGAGATGACCTGCAAAGTCATCTTTGTATTCCTCGTGACTTTTAAAACTGCAGCATGCGTTGTACTATTTTGCTTTATCTGCTACTGTCAGGGTCTGCATCAGTTGCAAGAGATAAAGGTTTCTTCAGCTGCTAATGAGTGTTGCAAATGGTAGACTTGAAGAATACCTAGTGCACAGTTAGTTCTCCCTGCCAATATCATGGGTCTTTGCTGAATGGTGACATTAATGCAGTTTGGCTTCCTCGGGCATATTAGACCACCCCATACTGTGTCTCTGCTCCATCTTTTTGCCCCAGTGGTGACTATTATGAACAAATGGATAGAAATTTCTTTGTATCACACATAGAATGATTTTTGCACTGTAGTCACAAAACCAAGTTATCAAATTCCAAGATACCCACTACAGAGAAATGTAAGGATAACTCTGCAATTTGGTGCATGTTGCATATACAGTCATGTGTCTCATCACAACATATTAGTCAAGAGAGGACCACAGATATGATAGTGATCCCATTAGATTATAAGGGGGCTGAAAAATTCCTATCACCTGTGATGTCTTGATGATACTGGCCCTTGTAGGCATAGGCTAATGTGCATGTTTGTGTCTTAGTTTTTAACAAAAGGTTTTTAAAATACAATGATTTTAAAAATGTAAAACTAGAAAAAATATTGTATATGTTTTAAGTTATTGTAAAACAGTCCAAATGTTTTTTAAAATTTTTTTGAAGTTTATAATGTAAAAATGTTACAGTAAGCTAAGGTTAATTTGTGATTGAAGAAAGATACTTTTTAAAATAAATTTATTTATAAAAAATAGTCATTAAGGAAATGCAAATTAAAACCACCATGAGATAACAATACACACTTAATTAGGATAGTTAACTGAGTGTACAGTGTTTATAAAGTCTACAGTAGTGTACAGTAATGTCCTAGGCCATCACATTCATTCACCACTCACTCACCCAGAGCAATTTTCACCTTGCAAGCTACATTCATGGTAAGTGCCCTATACAGGTGTAATGTTTACTGTACCTTCTCTATGCTTAGATATACACATATTTAGCATTGTGTTAGTGTTACGGTTGCCTACAGGGTTCAGTACGGTAACATGCTTTACAGGTTTGTAGCCTAGGAGCAATAGGCTATCCCACGTGACCCACATATGTAGTAGGCTGTACCATCGAGGTTTGCATAAGTGTACTCTATGATAGTCACACAATGACAAGATCACCTAATGACACATTTCTTAGAACATATCCTCATTGTTAAGTGACATATGACTATACATATATAACTTAAATATTGTAATTTGTTTAATCTTTTTTAAAATTATTTTTAAAAATCACTTTTATTGAGGTATAATTTACATAAAATTCACTGACTTTAAGTGTTCAATTTGAAGTGTTTTAATAAATCTATAGTCATGTAACCATCGCCACAATCATGATACAGAACATTTCAATTAACCCAATTTCCTTGTGGCTCTTTGCAGTGAGCTTCTCTGCCCACCCTCAGCACCTAGAAACCATTGATCTGCTGTCACTCTAGTTTTGCCTTTTTTAAAATAATTTTTGTTTATATATATCTTTAATTGACAGATAAAATTGTATATATTTACTGTGTACGTTATTTTGAAGTATATATACATTGTAAAATGACTAAATCTAGCTAATTAACATATGCATTACCTCACTGTAGTTTTGCCTTTTCTAGAATTCATGTAATGGAATCATATGATATGTAGTCTTTTCAGTTGGGCTTCTTCCATTCAGTATAATTTGAGATTCATCTCTGTTGTTCCATGTTATCAGTAGTTTATTCCTTTTCATTAATGAAGAATATTCCATTGCATAGGTAAACCTATTTTGCTTATCCATTCAACTTTTGATAGACATTGGGGTGGTTTTCATTTTTTCAGCTGTTATGAATAACACTACTGAATATTTGTATACGAGCCTTTGGGCATGTTTTCATTTTTCATCGTTAAATGTCCAAGAGAAGAACCGCTGAGTCATATGGTGTGTCTGTGTTTAACTTTATAGGAAACTGCAAAACTGTTTTCCAAAGTTGCATTCTCATAAGCAACGTATGAGGGTTCCACATGTTCCACATCCTCACCAACACTTGGTATTGTCAGTCTTTTTAACTTATCTATCCTAATAAGTGTGTAGTATTATCTCATGGTGGTTTTAATTTGCATTTCTTTAGTGACTAATACTGTTGAGCATCTTTTCACGTATTTGCCATTTGTATGTCTCATTGGTGAAGTGTCTGTTCGTGTCTTTTAACCATTGAGTTGTTTGCCTTCTTATATTCGAATTTAAAAATTCTTACTCTGGTTACAACTCTTTTATCAGAAATGTGTTCTTCAAATATTTCTACCAGTTTATAGCTTACCTTTTCATTTCTTTGTGTCTTTTGAAGAGCAGAAGTTAAAAATTTTGAAGTTCAATATTTTTTTCTCTTATGGTTTATCCTTTTTGTATACTACTTAGGAAATTTTTACCTATGCCAAGATTGCAAAGTCATTTTTTTTGAGTCAGGATCTTGCCCTGTTACCTAGGCTGGAGTACAGTGGTGTGATCATAGCTCACTGCAGCCTTGACCTCCCAGGCTCAAGTAGTCCTCCCATCTCAGCCTCCTGAGTAGCTGGGACTGTAGGCATACACCACCATGCCTGGCTAATTTGTTATAGTTTTTGTAGAGACAGGATCTCACTATGTTGCCTAGGCTGCTCTCAAACTCCTGGACTCAGGCGATCCTCTCACCTCAGCTTCCCAAAGTGTTGGGATTATAGGCATGAGTCACTGTGCCTGGCTGCAAAGATTTTTAAAAATGTTTTCTTCTAGAAGCTTTATGCTTTCAGCTCTTATATTTAGGCCTCTAGTTCATTATGAATTTTTTTAGTATTAATATTTTTATTTTTATTTCATGTAGTGGTCCTTCTTTCCCACAATTAAAGCAATGTGGTATTGATAAAAATTACTATATTATGGAATGTAATCATGGATCTTAGGCAATTTACTTCTGGAACCATTGAATTAATTTTAATATATGGTGACAGTTAAGAATTTGGGTTTATTGGCCGGGCGTGGTGGCTCACGCCTGTAATCCCAGCACTTTGTGAGGCCAAGGTGGGTGGATCACCTGAGATCAGGAGTTCGAGACCAGCCTGGCCAACATGGTGAAACCCCATCTCTACTAAAAATATAAAAACTAGCCTGGTGTGGTGGTGGGCACCTGTAATCCCAGTGACTCGGGAGGCTGAGGTGGGACAATTGCTTGAACCCAGGAGACAGAGGTTGCAGTGACCCGACACGGTGCCACTGCACTCCAGCCTCAGTGACAGAGTGAGACTCTGTCTCAAAAAAAAAAAAAAAAAAAAAAAAGAATTTGGGTTTATTTTTTGCACGTGGATATCGATTATTTTAGTACCATTAATTGAAAAGACTAGCTTTCTCTCATTGAATTACCTGGGTATCATTGTTTAAAATTAATTTGCTAAGTATGTGTTAGTCTATTTCTGGACTCTTTTTTGTTCTGTTGATCTATATGTCTATCCTTACTCCAATAACACACTGTCTTCTGCTTTGTTGTAATTTTTGAAATCAGGTAGTTTAATTCTTCCAACTGTGTTCTTTTTCAAAGTTGTTTTGACTATTATAGGTCATTTGCATTTCCATATAAATTTTAGAATGACATTTCCTACAAAAAAGCTTGCTGGGATTGTGATGGGACTGATTTGAATCTATAAATCAATTTGAGAAGAATTGATTTCTTTTACCATCTTCTAAGTAGTGAGCATATTTAAAACTCTCCATTTATTGATTTCTCTCATCAATGTTTTGTAGTTTTCATAATACAGGTCTTGCACATACTTTGCTAAATTTATCCACAAATATTTCATATTTTTTATGTTCTTGTAGGTAGGATTTTAAAATTTCAATATCTAATAGTTTGTTGCTGATGTTTAGAAACATAATTGATTTTTAAATATTGACCTTGTATCCTGTGATGATCTTGCTGAACTCATTAGTTCTGCAGCTTTTTTGTAAATTCTTTAGGGTTTTCTACATACATGATCTGTGTTCTGTAAATAAAGATGTTTTACATTCTTCCTTTCAATCTGTATACTCTCCCTGCCTGCCTCACCCGCTTCCCACAGATTATGCTGGCTAGGATGTCCTTTTCAATGTTGAATAGCAATGGTGAGAGTTGATGTCCTTGCCTTGTTTCCCCATCTTAGGGGGAAAGCATTTAGTCTTTTCACCATTAAATATAATGTTAGCTGTAGGTTTTTTTTTTTGTAGATCCAATTCATAAAACCAGGGAAGTTCCCTTCTATTCCTAGTTTGCTAAGGGACTTGTTTTTTCCCTTTGAGCTTCTGGTATTTATCTATTTTTAAATAAAAATTATATATATTAATATACATATAATTAAGGTATACAATGTAATGTTTTGATATACATTGTAAAACAATGACTGTAGTCAAACGAATTAACATATCGTTACCTCACAATTACCATTTTATATATGTATGGTGAGAATATTTAAGATCTATTCTAGCAGATTTCAAATATACAATATAGTGCTATTATCTATATTTATGCTGTACATTAGATCTCTAGAATTTATTCATCCTATATAACTGAAGCTTCATACCCTTTGACCAACATCTCATTTCCTCTACCTTCCCTGGCCCACCCCTAGTAACCACTATTCTATTCTCTGCTTCTATGAATTTTACTATTTTAGATCTCATATATAAGTGAGATCATGTAATTTTTGTGTGTGTCTGGCTTATTTCACTTAGCATAATGTATTCCAGGTTCATCCATGTTGTTGAAAATGGTAGGATGCCTTCTTTTTTAAGGCTGAATAATATTCATGTGTGTATATGTACCTATATACATAACAATTTTTTATCCACTTATCCACTGATGGACCCTTAGGTTATTTCTGTATCTCGACTATTGTTAATAATGCTGCAGTGAATGTGGAGTACAGATACCTCTTCAAAATACTAATTTCATTTCCTTTGGGTATATACCTGGAAGTGGGATTGCTGGATCATATGGTAATTCTATTTATAATTTTTTGAGGAAACTCCATACTATTTCCCAAAATGGCTATACCAATTTACATTACCACCAACATTGTACAAGGATTGCTTTTTCTCCATATTCTCACCAATACCTCTTGTCTTCTGTCTCTTTAATAGTAGCCATCCTAAGAAGTATGAGGGAATAATGTCATTGTGGTATTAATTTGCATTTCCCTGATGATTAGTAATGTTGAACACTTTTTCTTATACCTGTTGGCCATTTATGTCATTTGTGGAAAATGCTTATTCAGGTCTTTTGCTAATTTTTTTTATTTTTATTTTTTTGAAATGGAGTTTCGTTCTGTCACCCAGGCTTAATAATAAATAAATTATTTAAATAAACAAATTTATTTAAAATTTTTAAATTTTATAATAAAAATTTTCAATTACTGAATCAACCTTTATTGTAGAAGTATTTGATTTTTTAAATTATGTACATATGTAAGTGTGATAAAAATAAGAATACATATTTAAAATATATTTTGCCCCCTAAATTACAGAATAATTTTCATCAGTTCATGCCATTTATTCATAATCTTTCTTGGCCTCCACAGAAAGCAACACGTAGAAGAGCAAACACATTTGGATTATAACGCATTTATAACATGTGTAATTTTATGTTGGTATTACATTTACACACCCTCTCCTTTCATACTAATCTGGGTCATGATACATTTTTAGAACTTTTTTTTGAGATGGAGTCTCACTCTTTCGCCCAGGCTGGGATGCAGTGGTATGATCTCAGCTCACTGCAACCTCCGCCTCCTGGGTTCAAGCGATTCTCCTGCCTCAGTCTTCTGAGTAGCTGGGATTACAGGTGCCCACCACCACACCCAGCTAACTTTTGTATTTTTAGTGGAGATGGGGTTTCACCATGTTGGCCAGGCTGGTCTCGAACTCCTGACCTCAGGTGATTCACCCACCTTGGCCTCCCAAAGTGCTGGGATTACAGGCCACCGCACCTGGCCTTAGAACTTTTTTCATAAAAGGTAGAGACAGGACAGCCATAGAAAGTTTTAGCCATTTCTGTCTTAGTACAATTATTCAATCACTGGCGTGAATCTAAATATCATATATTTATATTTTCAAAGTTGTGTGGAAGCTGCATCCATAAAACCCCTCCAAAAAGTAGTAACAGCCTAGTAACAGCTTCATGTGTGTGATATGTTTATGTAAAACTCAAAACACGTCAACATGGTTTTGGGCTTTCTGCTTGGTCCTGGGAAGTTATTTAAATTTAATTTCCTTTAACCATCATAGGTCTTTGATTGCCACTCCCTGTGAGATCCATGGGAACTTAATGCTTCAGATTAAACTGCATGCATGGTATCTAGTAATACTACAGATTTCCATCTTGCTTGTTCATATAGCACCTGCATTCAACTGGGGACATCACTGCCAGAGGGCTCCATGGAGACATACCACTAGACTGTTCTATTGTCATTTATGTCAAAGGGTTAATATAGCAAGAAGGCTGAGATATCTTGACCCCATCCTCAGTTTACCTTGGACTTGGGCTCAACTGACTTTCCCTTGCTAGTCTTGAGAGTTTGAACAGATTCTCCCTTGGCCGTTTTGGGTTTCACATTTTTTTTTTCCCTAATTGTGGTAAATACATGTAACATAAAATTTACCATCTTAACTCCCTTTTTTTTTTTTTTTTTTTTTTTTTTGAGGCGGAGTCTCACTCTGTCGCCTAGGCTGGAGTGCAGTGGAACAGTCTCGGCTCACCGCAACCTCTGCCTCCCAGGTTCAAGCAATTCTCCTACCTCAGCCTCCTGAGTAGCTGGAATTACAGCTGCACACCACCACGCCAGGGGCTAATGTTTGTATTTTTAGTAGAGATGGGGTTTCACCATGTTGGTCAGGCTGGTCTCAAACTCCTGAGCTTGTGATCTGCCCACCTCGGCCTCCCAAAGTGCTGGGATTACAGGCGTGAGCCACTGCGCCTGGCCTATCTTAACCATTTTTAAGTGTACATGTCATTGACATTAAGTACATTCCTATCATTGTGCCACCAGCAGCACCATCTATCTCCAGAACTCTTCATCTTGCAAAACGAAAACTCTGTACCCATTAAACAACTGCCCATTATTTTTCCCCCAAGCCCTTGGTAACCACCATTCTACTTTCAGTTTCTATGAATTTGACTATTGTAGGTACCTCATATAATGGTGATATAGTTTGGATGTTTGTCCCCTCCAAATCTTGTGTTGAAATGTAATCCCCAGTGTTGAAGGTGGGGCCTGTAGGAGGTGTATCCCTCATGAATGGCTTGGTGCTGTCCTCACGATAATAAGTGAGTTCTTGCTCTGAGTTCATGCAAGATCTGGTTGTTTAAAATAGTGAGGCACTTCCCCCTTCTCTTGTTCCTGTTCTTGCCATGCGACATGCCTCTTCCCCCTTTGCCTTCTGCCATGATTGGGAGCTTCCGAGGCCTCACCAGAAGCTGAGTAGATGGTGGTGCCATGCTTTCTATATGGCCTGCAGAACTGTGAAACAAATAAACCTCTTTTCTTCATAAATTACCCAGCCTCAGGTATTCCTTTATAGCAATGTAAAAACAGCCTCTAATACAAGAGGAATCATACAGTATTTGTCATTTTGGACTGTTTCACTTAGCATAATGTTATCAAGATTGCTCCATGCTATAGCATATCATAGATTCCTTCCTTTTTAAACAGAATAATATTCTACTATAGGTATATACTACATTTTGTTTACTGATTTATCTACCAATGGATGTTCAGTTGTTAATACCTTTTGCCTATTGTGAATAATGCTGCTGTGAACATGAGTTTACAAATATCCCTTTGAAACCCTGCTTTCAATTAATTTGGATATGTACTCATAAGTAGAATTGCTGGATTATATGGTAATTCTATTTTTGATTTTTTTTTTTTTTTGAGGAACTGCCATACTCATTTCCACAGGGGCTGTACCATTTTACATTCCTAGCAATAGTGCATGACAGTTCCAGTTTCTCCACATCCTTGCCAATGCTTATTATTTTCTGTTTTTTAAAATAGTATTGATCTTAGCGGGTGTAAGGTGGTATCTCCTTATGGTTTTGATTTGTGTTTCTCTAATGATTAGTGAGATTGAGCGTCTTTTATGTATTTGTTGCCCATTTTTGTATCTTGTTTAGAGAATGTCTATTCAGTTTTCTTTTTCAAAAAAATATTTAACAGTTTATTTTCTTTGAGTACTTCTGGTCAGGCTTTGGCAGGGCTCTCTGGATTCCTCTGGTCATGTTTTGAGCTGCCGCTGCTGCTGCTGCTGCTGCTGCAACTTTTAAAGGCTGTTTTTGCTTCTTCAGCTTTTGAGTCTCTTGGAACATCCAGAACGCACAGTCTTCTCAGTCAGGACTTGGCAATGGGCTGCTCCATCAAAAAGATGTGCTCAGTCCCCAGTGTGTCTTCTCAGAGACATCATATTGGTCTAACGAAGGTTTTTGAGCATCTTTTTCCTCTGGACAGTGCCCATCACCAATAGTATTTGTGGGTTTTGTTATTTCAGTGTTTCTGCTGTGTTCTTCATAATTGTGGGCTTTGGTCAAGGGAATAATTCGAGCCTCCAGGAAGCTGGTGTCCTTAGGGTTTGCCACGACTTTGTTCATCAGATGTTCTTACTTGATATTTAGCTTCTCCTTTTGGTTGGTCATTTCCAAAGACAAGGATCTTTTCACTGTATCATTGCCCTTCTCAATTCCAGGGATGGTCTGGTGGTCTTTGAGCAGCATGGAAAGGGGAAGGTCATGGTCCTGTCTAGGCCAGACTGGTTTCTGGATGGTGTATCTGCTGCAGCCTGGAGGAGGAGACTGCAGGCCCCTTCAGTTGGAAGGAAGCCTGGCATTCCCTCAGCCCAGCAGCCCAAGGACTGGGGTCTGGGTCACTGCCTGGGTCCAATAGAACTCGGCACTCTCTATGTGGCCCTCAGCATGGTGACTTCTGACCCCCACCAACTCCCCTGGGGCCTACTCCACAGCCTCCAGCCCCTTCACTGTAGGGACTGGGTTACACAGGCCTCTTCAATTTTCTGATTGGGGTTTTGTTGTTGTTGTGTTGTGGAATTGGTGTTGTTTTTTTAAAATGATAATTCCCCTTTACACACACACATGCATACACATCCTCCACCTAGTGAATGTAGCTTTTAAAACATTTTTGGCCAGATCTCATGTGATCTTCTCCACTCCTGTTTCTTCTTTCAGCTTGGATGAGGTGTAGGATAAGCACTATGAGCCCTTTTTAGGGTAGGGACTAGAAAGTGTGGCTTTTCTTGGAGCACAGAGCTCTGTGCCATGCTGTGCCCTCTCCCCAGTCACCCTTATATATCAAGTTGCTTCTGCCACCTGCTTCTTTGTTGCCTGCTCAATCCTCCTCGGCTTCTTCTGTCCTGGAGCTGGAGCTTCTGATTATTAGCAGGAGGTACACTTACTCTTCAGTGGGCTGCCATCTTTTCCTGGATCTCAAATTCATTCTTTAAAAAAGTGGAATTCGTAACTCCTTTGGGGATATTTCTCCAAATTTAAAAACACATTCTCTTACATATCATTGTAAACCTCTAAAGATCTACCTTTTGTCAGCATCTTCCTTCTCAATCCAGAAGTTGCAGAAGCCAAAGTTTCAAGCCAGGTTCTAAATATATCCAAATGGGAGAAGTTATTTCCCAAGGCTTTAGCCTCTATTTCCAGCCATTCCTTTTTATCTCAGTTGGCTTTGGTCCAGCATGAGTGTCTTTACCTAGATATAATTATGCCTGAAACACAGAATGGTTTTGAGACAATTTTAATTCTGTTTGTCTGGAAAACATGGGTCATTCTAGAAATGATAGAGTTCAGCAAATTTTGGTTTTAGTTTCCTTTTTATTTTTCACACCCGGCCCAAATGTTCTTCCAACAGGAATTGTCTTTCTGTTTACCAGTGAAAATGCTATATTCCTATTTAAGTGAACTCTGAAACCTTTAAACACTAATTTTAACCCAATTAGTTTTTAAAAATGTCCAAAGCAGTCTTAACTACAGAATCTTCTAAAAGGAAAGATTTAGCATAAACTTTTAAAGTCAAGTTATTCATACCATTAAACTATTTATTTAATATTTATTTTGAGATGGAGTCTCACTCTGTCTCCACTGCAGTGGCACGATCCCTGCTCACTGCAACCTCTGCCTCCCAGGTTCAAGCGATTCTCCTGCCTCAGCCTCCCGAGTAGCTGGGACTACAGGTGTGCGCCACTACGCCCAGCTAAGTTTTGTATTTTTAGTAGAGACAGGGTTTCACCGTGTTGGCCAGGATGGTCTCGATCTCTTGACCTCGTGATCTGCCTGCTTCAGCCTCCCAAAGTTCTGGGATTACAGGTGTGAGCCACCGTGCCCGGCCAACTGTTTAAATCAGAACCTGTCTATTCTTTGGCCACTGATATGGTTTGGATCTGAGTCCTACCCAAACCTCATGTTAAATTGTAATCCCCAGTGTTGTAGGTGGGGCGTGGTGGAAGATGATTAGATCATGGGGGTGGTATCTCATAAATGGCTTAGTACTAACCTCTTGGTACTGTCCTTGAGATATTGAGTGAGTTCTCGTGAGATCTGGTTACATAAAGTGTGTGGCGCTTGCTCACCACCTTGCTCCTGCTCTTGCCATGAGATAAGCTCCTGCTTCACCTTCTTTAAGCTCCCAGAGGCCTCCCCAGAAGCAGACGCTGGTGCTGTGCTTCCTGTACAGCCTGCAGAACTGTGATCTAGTTAAACCTCTTTTCTTTATAAATTACCCAGTCTCAGATATTCTTTATAGTAATGTAGGAATAGCCTACTACAGCCACTTTTTCAGGAAAGAATGAGGGAAACAAAGCTCTTCATAACTTTATCACCCCCTCCCACATTTAAAACCACTGTGATCAATTTAATTCCACTTTTGTGTGTTTTGTTATTTCTCTTATAAAGACAGTTGGGTTAGCAAGAGTTAAAGCATTTTACTGTTCTACGTTTATACTGTCCTACATCTAAATAAACTTCAGCTCTTATGCAATACTTGCTTGCAAATTTGCTGATTACTCAACTGGAAGAAATATGAGGCGAGGCAATCTTCCACCATACCTTTTTTCCTTTTTTTTTGGAAATGGAATCTCGCTCTGTCACCAGGCTGAAGTGCGATGGCGCAATCTCGGCTCACTGCAACCTCCATCTCCTGGGTTCAAGCGATTCTCCTGCCTCAGCCTCCTGAGTAGCTGGGATTGCAGGCACGCACCACCATGCCCAGCTAATTTTTGTATTTTTGGTAGAGACAGGGTTTCACCATGTTGGTCAGGCTGGTCTCGAGCTCCTGACCGCGTGATCTGCCCGTCTTGGCCTCCCAAAGTGCTTGGATTACAGGCATGAGCCACTGTACCCGGCCACCATACCTTTCTTATCTTCCTGGCTTTTCAGCTCCCTTTGGGAATCTGCGATGTGAAAAACCAGGGAATAACGCCTTAAGCTATCTTACCTTTCCCTCTTTTACCCATTGGGCTCAATTTGTCAGCAGGGAGTTCTTAGTCCATTTGTACTGCTATAACAAAATACCATAGACTGAGCATTTTATAAGCAATGCAAATTTATATCTTACAGTTTTAGAAGCTGGGAAGTCTGAGGTGCCAGCAGGATTCGTGTCTGAGGTATCTCTACTTCCAAATGGTGCCTTGTTGCTGCATCCTCCATAGGGGAGGACTGCGGTATCCTTACATACAGAAGAACATAAGAGAGGTACTCTATTCTGGCTGGGCGCAGTGGCTCATGCCTGTAATCCCAGCACTTTGGGAGACTGAGGTGGGCGGATCACCTGAGGTTGGGAGTTCGCAACCAGCCTGACCAACATGGAGAAACCCCATCTCTGCTAAGAATACAAAATTAGCCAGGTGTGGTGGCACATGCCTGTAATCCCAGGTACAGGAGAATCGCTTGAACCCAAGAGGTGGAGGTTGCGGTGAGCCGAGATCGCACCATTGCACTCCAGCCTGGACAACAAGAGCGAAACTCTGTCTCAAAAAAAAAAAATACTCTATTCCCTGAAGCCCTTTTCTAAGGACCCTAATCCCATTTATGAGGGCCCTGCCCTCATGACTTAATCACCTCTTAAAGGTTCTACTTCTGTATACTATCATATTGGCAATTAAGTTTCAACATATTACTTTTGAGGAATACATTCAGACCATCAATTCCACCCCTGTTCCCAAAATTCTTGTTCTCACATGCAGAATATATTCATTGCATCCCAGTACCCCCAAAAGTCTTAACTTGTTCCAGCACCATTTCAAAAGTCTTCAAAGTCCAGAGTCTCATCTCTAAATCAGATGTGGGTGAGACTCAAGGTAAGATTCATCCTGAGGTAAATTTCTTTTCAGCTGTGAGCCTGTGATATCAAACAGGTTATATCCTTCCAAAGTACAATGGTGAGATGGGCATAGGATAGACATTCCCATTTCAAAAGAGAAGAAATGGTTAGGAAGAAAGGGATAACAGGTTCCAAGTAAATCTAAAACCTAATAAAGCAAACATTAAGTCTTGAGAGTAATCTTCTTTGACTTCATATCCTACTTTTGTACACACTGGGGTGGAGTTGGGCTCCAAGGGCCTGGAAGGCCCTGCCCGTTAGAACTTTGTGAGCACGGCCCACACAGCAGTTCTCATGCGTTGGAGTTGGGTGCCTGCAGCTCTTCCAGGCTAAGATCACACTCTGGTGGCTCTACAGTTGTGAGATCTCAGGAGTGGTGCTGCTCCCGTGGCCTCACTAGACATTGCCCTAATAGGGAGTCCTTGCAGTAGCCCTGCATCCGTGGCTTCACTAGGCATTGCCCTGGTGGGGGCTATCTACAGTGGCCCCACCATGTGGTATTTTTTTTTGCCTGGGCCCTAAGGCTCTCTGAGCCATCCTTTGATTCTAAGTAAAGGTAGCCATGCCTCCACAGCTTGTGCACCCTACACACCTGCAGAATTAGCACCATGTGGATGCTGTCAAGATTTATGTCTTGTGCCCTCTGGAGTGGTGGCCAGAGCTGAACTTGGGCCCACCTTAGTCACAGCTGGGGTGGTCAAGGAACACTGCACCAGAATTCTGGGAGCAGAGACTTGAGGCAGCCTGGAGCAGTGAGCACCAAGGTCAATGGGCACTCTGGGGCCCTCCCTTAAAACTGTTCTGCCCTCAAGGCTCTGGCATTGTGGACCTATGATGGGTGTGGTAGCCTCAAAGTTCTTTGAAATACTTTTGGGGTTATTTTCCCATTGTCTTAATGAATTGTATCTGGCTTTCTTCTATCCATACTATTCTTTTTATCAAATAGTTGCTTGGCCATACCTTTAGGGTTTTCTTCCAAACACTCTTTTATATTCTTTACATGGCCAGGCTGAGAATTTTCCAAATCTTTATGTTCTGCTTCCATTTGACTATAAATTCCATGCTTAATTAATATCTCTCTTCTTGCAGTTTATTATAAGCAGTTAAGAGAGTCCATACAGCACCTAGAGTATTTTGCTCAGAGATTTCTTCTACTAAATATTCTATTTCATTGCCTTTAAATTCTGCCTTCCTCAAAGCAGTGGGACACAAACACAATTCAACCAAGTTCTTTGCCATTGTATAACAAGAATGGCCTTTCCTCCAGTTTCTAATAAGATATTATTTATTTTTGTATAAGACCTTATCCAAATGGTCTTTACTGTCCATATTTCTACCAACATTCTATTCACTACCACTTAGATTATCTCTAAGACTGAGGCTTTCTTTATAGCCGTCCTCTTCTAAGCCCTCACCTGAATCATCTTTAATGCTGTGTTCATAGCAATATGGGCCTTTTCCAGCATTCACTTCAAAACTATTCCAGCCTGTACCCATTACCCAGTTTCAGAGCCACTTCCCCATTTTCAGGTATTTGTTATAGTAACACCCCTTTCTTGGTACCAATTTCTGTCTTAGTCCATTTGTGCAGCTATAACAAAATGTCACAGACTGGGTAATTTATAAACAATAGAAATGTATTTCTTATAGTTCTGGAGGCTGGAAAATCCAGATCAAGGCACCAGCAGGATTGGTGTCTGGTGAGTGCTGCTCTCTGCTTTTGAGATGGCATCTTTTTGCTACATCCTCCATAGGGAAGGAAAACTAAGTCTTCACATGGTGGAAGAGCAGAAGACAGTGAACCCATTTTCTGAATGCCCCTCCCCCACCTTTTTTTTTTTTTTTTTTTTTGAGACAGAGTCTCACTCTGTTGCCCAGGCTGGAGTACAGTGGTGTGATCTCAGCTCACTGCAACCTCTGCCTCCCAGGTTCAAGCAATTCTCCTGCCTCGGCCTCCTGAGTGGCTGGGATTATAGGCAGGTGCAACCACGCCCAGATAATTTTTGTATTTTTTTAGTAGAGATGGGGTTTCATCAACATGGTCAGGCTGGTCTTGAACTCCTGACCTCAAGTGATCCACTGACCTCAGCTTCCCAAACTGTTGGGATTACAGGCGTGAGCCACCACGCCTGGCACCTGGAGCCCTTTCCTAAGGGCCCTACTCCCATTCATGAGGGTTCTGCCCTCATGACTTATTATTTCTTAAAGGCCCACCTCTTAATTCTATTATATTATTATTAACTTATTATGTAAAGGCCCACCTCTTAATTCTATTATATTATTATTAACTTATGTAAGTTTCAACATTTGAATTTAGGGGAACACGTTCAGTCCATAGTGAGGGGAGAGTCTGTGCACTCTTACATGGCTACTCCAGAAAAAAAAAAAACAAAACTCAACTCTCTAATCACCCAGCCTTCCTCAGGCAGCAGTTCCCTTATTTGCTTCCTAGCAGTCCTTCCAAACTCTAACAACAGTGGTGGTTTATCTGTGCCAATCTCATGTCTGATGCCAACTGTAGCATTTCAGGTAGTGGAAGGAGTGAGTACACTCAAACACAGTAGAGTTCCTTGCTTAATTGTAAATGTGGAATCTTTTGAGAGTGAGGTGACCACCCATGACTGGAATAGGTACAGTGAATCTCAGGATAGCTTTTGCTAACCCCATTTTCTGATGACACTTTGCTAGGCTGTAGCCCTTATATACTTGGGACCTAGGTCACCATTCCAAAAGAATTTCACTAATAGCTTCTGATTAAGAGAATGTTTATAAGCATTGGATTTACATCTGCATTTTTTTCAAAGACAGAAAGTTGTCAGTGCTCAGATGTCCATGAAATTATTCTTTTGCCAAGCTTTTCAGCATTCTGGAAATCCACAGTGCTCTTCACATTTTCTGTTGGGATACTAAGGTTTTGTTATGTATTATTGGAATTATCTCTATAGAATAAGAATATTACGTCTTTGAATATATGTTGAAATAGTTTTGCGTGGTTTGTCATTGACTATTCTTAAAATGAGTTTTATTAGAGTACAATTTATATATAATAATAAAGTATCTGGGCGCAGTGGCCCATGCCTGTAATACCAGTGCTTTGGGAGGGTGAGACAGGAGGGTCTCTTGAGCCCAGGGGTTCAAGACCAGACCTGGCAACATAATGAGACCCTATCTGTACAAAAAATTAGCCAGGCATGGTGGCATACACCTGTAGTCCCAGCTATTCAGGAGGCTGAGTTCAGAGGATTGCTTGGGAGATGGAGGCTGCAGTGAGCCCTGGTCGCACCACTGTATTCCAGTCTGAGCAACAGAGCAAGACCTTGTCTCAAAAAATAAAGAATGTATATATATAATATACTCACTGAGTTCATTGAATTTTGATAAATGTATTCAACTATATAAACCATCACAATCATGATATGAACATTTCTTTCATTCCTTCGCCCCCACCAAAAAAAAATTCCCTCTTACTTGCCCACCTTCATCCCCAGAGAACTACTTTCTGTCTGCTTTCTGGCACTACAGATTAGTTTTGCTTTTGCTGGAAATTGATTAAATGCAATTATTGTAATATGTGCTCTTTTTGTGTCTAGCTTCTTTAATTCAGCATGATGTTTTTGAGCCTTATCCGCATCATGCTGAATTAAAGAAGAACATCGTACATGTTCTTTTTTTGTTGATTTGTATTTCATTTTATGGATGTACCACAATTTGCTCATCTATTAACCTGTTGGATATTTGGGCTATTTCCAGTTTGGGGAAATTATGAGTAGAGCTGTTATGAACATTTATATATAAGTCTTTGTGTATTATCTTAATTTTGTGTATTTGTGTATTATCTTAATTTTGTGTATTATCTTTGTGTACTATCTTTGTGTATTATCTTAATTTTTTGTATTATCTTTGTGTATTATCTTAATTTTGTGTATTTTCTTAATTTCTTTTTGTATATATAAGTATTTGTGTATTATCTTAATTTCTTTGTGTACTATCTTAATTTCTTTGTGTATTATCTTAATTTCTCAATTTGCTCATCTATTAACCTGTTGGATATTTGGGCTATTTCCAGTTTGGGGAAATTATGAGTAGAGCTTTTATGAACATTTATATATAAGTCTTTGTGTATTATCTTAATTTCTTTTGGGTAACACCTTAGAGTAGAATTATTGGGTTGCCCAGTAAGTGTCTTTATAAGAAAGAAGTAACTTCAAAAGAAACTTCTGTACAGTTTTTCAAAGTGATTGTATCAGCCAGATGCAATGGCTCACGCCTGTAATCCCAGCACTTTGGGAGGCTGAGGCAGGTGGATCACATGAAGTCAGGAGTTTGAGACCAGCCTGACCAACATAGTGAAACCTTGTCTCTACAAAAAAAATTTAAAAATTAGCCAGGCCCGGTGGCACATGCCTGTAAGCCCAGCTACTTGGGAGGCTGAGGCAGGAGAATCGCTTGAACCTGGGAGGCGGAGGTTGCAGTGAGCTGAGATCATGCCGCTACACTCCAGCCTGGGTGACAGAGTGAAACTCTGTCTCAAGAAAAAAAAAAAAGTGATTGTACCATTTTGCTTTTCCACCAGCTTTGTTTGGCAGTTCAAGTTGCTCTATAATCTTGCTAACAGTGGTACTGTCAGTCTTTATAATTTAAGTTATTCTTGTGTGTGTGCAGTGGCATGTCATTGTCATTTAGTTCTCATTTTCTGAATGACTAGTGAAGCACATTTTTTATATGCTTATTGGCCTCGTTAAGAAACAGAACATTTTCAGTATCCCAGAAACCTTTCTCATATTCCCTTCCAGTGACTACTACACACCCCACTCCGCAAAGACTAACCACCATCTGACTTCTAATAGCATAGTTTCCCTGTTTATGTACTTTATATGAAATGAATAATACAGGACTCTCCTGTCTGCCTTCTTTTGCTCATCATTATATTTATGGGACTTGTCCATATTATATTTATGGGACTTGTGCAAAATGAGATTGTTCATTCTCATTTTGTGAATATATAACAATCTATCCATTGATGGGTGTTTGAGCAATCTCAAATTTTTAGCTACCACAAATAGTGCTTCTGTGAACACTCTTGTATATCTTTTGGTGGACACTTGTATGTGTTTTTGTTGGGCATACAACTAGGAGTGGAATTAATGAGTTATAGGGCAGCGCTTCTCAAACATTAACATGCATATGAATTATCTGGGCTCTTATTAAAATGTTGATTGTGAATCACCAGGTCTGGGATGTAGTCTGAAATTTTGCATTTCTAGCAAACTCTTGATGATGCCGATTATACTCATCTATGAACACACTTTGAGGGACAAAGTCATAGAGTATGCTTTGGTAGGTATTGCTGGAGTTTTCCAGAGTTATTCTGCTCAATTTATACTCTTACAAATAATGCATGAGAGTTCTCCACATTCTTGGCTATACATTCCTGATATTTTCTTTTTAGCCGTTTTGGTAGGTTTTCATTTATATTTTCATAATTAATAGTGAGTTTGAACACTTTTCCTTATGTTTATTGGCCAGCTGGATATCCTCTTTTGTGAAGTATCTGTTGCAATCTTCTGCACAATTTTCTCTTGGGTTATCTTTATGTAGTTTTTATTTCTGCCATTTTTTTTACTCTTCTTTATTTTTTTTTATTTTTATTTATTTATTTTTTTTGAGACAGAGTCTCACTCTGACACTCTGGCTGGAGTGCAGTGGTGTGATCACTGCTGACTGCAGCCTTGAATTCCTGGGCTCAAGAAATCTTCCAGCCTCAGCCTCCCAAGTAGCTGGGACTATAGGCACATATGCCAACACACCCAGCTAATATTTCTAATTTTTAGTAGAGATGAGATCTCACCGTATTGCCCAGGCAGCTGCTTATTCTTTTATTTCTTCAAGCTCCTTGTTTATTTATTCTTTACTCTTAGTGAAATCTCTGACTGTTGCTTATTATCTGATCTTTACTCTCTTGTTTCAAAGAATCTGCATTTTTCTGAATTTAGTTTTTTTGTGGTGCAATTTTAATTAAAATTTACTTCTATTTCCAGTTTTGTTTGTTTTCAAAACTATGCCCTTTTCTGTATCTTGAGGGTTAAGTTTTCCCCTTTCATTTTGTTGCAGAATGTTTTCATAGATCTATTATTTTTTCTTTTTTTCTTCTTTTTATTTTATTTATCCTCATGCATGGAGATGTCTCATATGTAGAGGCCTGAGGGTGGATTCATCTGCAATAACCTCACTGTCCTTAGAAACTAATAGTTTCCTTTCAAATATTACATAAGAGACCTGGCTAATATAAGTTTACATTTCTGTTCATTGATCTAGAAGCCTGAGAGGAGTGAACTTAGAGCCTGTCCTAGCAAAGGAGTTATCTCTAATTTCTTCTGTAAGGAATCAGTTTTTTGCTAGCCACAATGCCAGTTGAATACTGTAGTTATTCATCCACCCTTCTGGTATATCTGCCTATTATTTCTCACACAAATTTTTTATTTCTCCGATTATTATCTGGTACGCTGCATTACACATTCTAGGGCACAGTTATTTCAGATGATCTTGATTAGTAGTGGTGAAACAGATTCCAGATGAGGGCTTTCTTATTTTTTCTATGGCTCCCCTATTCAGTAGCTCTTGCTCCTCTTGGTAATGGTGTTTCTGCCAGTGTCTTCTCTTTCTCTCTGAGTCACAGAACTCCTTTCTCAGGAAGGTGCATCACTAGTTGGCTCTTGGCATCTTTCTTCCATCACAATACCATGTCTTGCATAAATTCTTCAACAGTTTTGTCATATGAATGGCATCTAGTCCTAGTTTCTAGTATTGATATAGTTCTCTACTATTTTATATTTGTTTTGGCATTTTCATTTTGATAAGATGAAGGTATGAGTTAAAAGTTCAAGATACACCCTGGAGGCAGAGATTGCAGTGAGCCGAGATCTCGCTACTGCACTCCAGCCTGGTGACCTGTCTCTACTAATAATACAAAAATTAACTAGGTGTGGTAGCACGCACCTGTAGTCCCAGCTACTTGGGAGGCTGAGGCAGGAGAATCATTTGAACCTGGGAGGTGGAGGTTGCAGTGAGCCTAGATCATGCCACTTCCCTCCAGCCTGGGTGACAGAACAAGACCCTGTCTCAAAAAAAAAAAAAAAAAATTGAAGATATTTTCTTACCTCAAAGTCTAAAACCCTTTAAATTATTTTTCTTTTTTTCTAAAATGCTTTAAGTATTAAAAAGAAATGTACCTTTTCTCACCATAGGATAACAGTTATGCAGCTTTCTGTGACGTTTGGTTGTTCGTGGTATCTCAGATGATGTTACATTTTTGCAATTGGTTGATATTCTATAAGTGGGCCAGAATATCCAAATATACATCAAGAACATTTATGTAGATGTAAATAATTCACTTTCTATAGTGGATCAGACAGATGAGACACTCTAATTGGGTAGCTAAAATGGAGATCTTTGACCTAAGCCTTGTTATACTAAGTGTTTAATGGAAAGTTAGCGTATATATCTAGCTTCACTAATATGGTAATAGCTCTGATAGGGACCCGAAGGGCTTATCTAGCCTGGTTTGCTTTTAAAACTGCAATTACACTTTTGTTTTGTTGCACTTACATTGTGACTTTTATATGAATTTCTTGTCTCTCTTTCATTAGGGACTAATTCCCGACAATTTTTAAAAGAGATTCTGCTTTGTATTTAGTATGAAAATCTTAACCATGTGAAGCCAGTAATACCATTTTATTTCTTCTCCTCATCTTTTCTCTTCTCTCTAAAGTGAGTCAAGACTTTGGAATAATCTTTTGAAAGGGTACTAACTACTCACAAAGAGTAATTTTGACACTTTAAACCTAACTGCCTTTCCCACCCTTCTTTTTTCATTTCCTAGCATATTGGAGTCAAAGACATTTGCCAGATTGTGTAGACTGTCTTTATTTTTAGAGCTCTTGTTTACTTTACTAGATTTGTAGTTTCGAAAAAAAAGTACCTCTTCGGGGCTAAGTTCTGGTTGGTTCCTTTTGGGTATGTTGAAAGTTTGCATCAATATGTAGCTTACTAGTTATCTCTGATATGTTCTATCCTCAGTGTCGTAACCCAAAACAAAACATAAATACCACAGTCTTAAAATATTTTGCACTGCCAGTCTTAAAAAAAAAAAAAAAGCAAGAGAACTTTTTTTTTGCTGTGACAAAATAAGTCTTGATTTAATTTATATCCCTATTTATCATCTTATCAAATTACAGGCATAAGAAGCTTAGTTATAGTACTTAGCCAGACCTCTAGATTCCTTCTTTTATTAAGAGGCTATAGAATTTAGGGTCTTTTCAAAAACACATCTTTGGTATAAGATTTTTTTCTCACAGTATTCAATTAAGTCTGTACTAGGTTCAATTGGATTAGCTTTACTTGGATTCCTTTAAAATAGTAAATCTTCTTATTGTTGGAGAAAAATTGTTATTTTTTATATCACTAATCATTAATGAAAGGGAAATGAGCACATTTTACTTTGACTATTACTAATTAAACTCTTCTTAAATCTTTAATATTTGGGAATATTTAATCCTTCAGTGGACCTTATTGAGCAGATAAAATTTATACACTTGAAACAAAGAAAGTGCAGTTCCAAAAGATGGGAAAGATGCTCTAGCAGCATAATATTTTTTTATTTAAACTTTTTATTTAGAAATAGTTTCAGACTTATAAAAAAGTTGGCTGGGTGCGGTGGCTCACGGCTGTAATCCCAGCATTTTGGGAGGCTGAGGCAGGCAGATCACGAGGTCAAGAGATTGAGACCATCCTGGCAAACATGGTGAAACTCCATCTCGACTAAAAATACAAAAATTAGTTGAGTGTGGTGGTGAACGTCTGTGGTCCCAGCTACTCGGGAGGCTGAAGCAGGAGAAATGCTTGAACCCGGGAGGCAGAGGTTGCAGTGAGCTGAGATCGTGCCACTGCAAATTCAGCCTGGTGACAGAGCAAGACTCCTTCTCAAAAAAAAAAAAAAAAAAAAAAAAAAAGTTGCAAAAGTAGGCCGAGCGCGTAATCCCAGCACTTTGGGAGGCCAAGGCGGGCATATCACTTGAGATCTGGAGACCACCCTGGCCAACATGGCAAAACCTCATTTCTACAAAAAACACAAAAATTAGCCAGACGTGGTGGCGGACACCTGTAATCCCAGCTACTTGGGAGGCTGAGGCAGGAGAATTGTTTGAATCCGGGAGGTGGAGGTTGCAGTGAGCTGAGATCACGCAACTGCACTCCAGGCTGGATGACACGGTGAGACTCCATCCAAAAAAAAAAAAAAAAAATTGCAAACGTAGTATAAGGAATGTGTTTATACCATTCACCCAGCTTTCCCAAATGTTAACATTTAGCATAGAATGGTAATCCAAACCAGGAAGTTAACACTAACACAATACTACTAACTGATCTACAGACCTTATTCAAAATTTGAAGTTGTCATACTGTGTTTTTTGCTGGTTCAGGATCTAACCTAGGATTCCACGTTGCATTTAGTTTTTATGTCTTCTTGGGTTCCTTCCATCTGGGATAGCTCCTCAGTCTTTATTTTTTTTTTTTTTTAATAACTTTGACACTTTTGAAGAGTACTAGCCAGTTACCTTGTGAAGTGTCTCTGAAAGACAGAAGAGATGTTCAGTTCATTATCTCAGGAGGTATATGATATTGATATATCTTGTTACTAGTAATGTTAACCTTGATCACTTGGTTAAGGTGATATCTGCCAGTTTGCTCCATTGTAGTTACTCCTTTTCCCTTTGTAATTAACAACTATGTTGCCAGAAGATATTTTGAAGTATGAAAATACCTTCTTTCTCACAATACTCTTGTCCACTAATTTTAGCATCAATTGGTGATTCTTGCCTGCAACAGTTACTGCTCTGGTGTTTGCCAGATGGCAATTTCCTATTTCTGTGATTCCTTCTGCATGTACTAATTGGAATTCTACTGTAATAAAGGGCTGTCCCTTTTCCCTTATTTATTTATGTATTTATTTGATTCTATCAGTATGGACTCATAGATGCTCACTTCATTCTGTAGGTTATCCATCACTATCATTATCTATCACTATCACTAATCTCCCACTGATCACTTTTCTTTAGTCTTTTAGTCTCTAGCAGCATGCTATCAGTTAGAATATCAGGGTTCTTACTCTAACTTCCTATGTGCCATGAAATTCACCTTTAGGCAAAATATTCAACTATTGTTACCCTGAGTGCCCTCTCTCATAAAATGGGAATAATACCTGCTTGTGGTATATAAATAGATTTGTAAACTATAGAATGTGATACATATAGTAATATTGTCATTATTTTATTGCTAAATGCCACAATAGGTATTCAGAGAACAGGGGCTCTTTTCAGGGGCTGACTTAAGAATTAATTCTTTTAGAGTGTCCACTTATTTCTATAGGGAGGCCCAAGAATGAAAGTGGAGAGGAACAGTTGTATGGAGATGAAAGGCAGAAGGAAGCCAAAAGTAAGTCACAGAAACACAGAGCAGCATTTATTTTCACATTCTGCTGTGTACAGTAAATAATTACTGAATTCCCTAGAATATCATGCAATAGTAATCTATTTCTTTGACTATTAGTTTTGAAAATTCCCTTGTTTCATGTAACAAAATATTTTTAAATTAAATGTGGCATATGAAAACAACATTAACTTAATTTTTCCTGAACCTCAAGCTATTGTTTGATTTGGAAATGTTATCTCTGGTGTACTTTAAGGATGTGTGAAGCACACAAAACCATAAGGTGTTATGAATGTTATTACTCTTGTTTTTTTTTTTCCGAGTTTGCTTTGTGAGTCTTTTTAGATACCTATGACAATACTGTGTACAGAAGTCCTTGATGTGACTTTTTCCTCATTAAATTTCTGAATCAATACATACATCCACTGCCCGAGATCATTTGTTTCTCCATCCTCTTTGCTGTAGGTATTTGGAGGATCTGTTGAATGCTAAGTTTGTGATTTAAGGTAGGGGTGTGTGTGTGTGTGTTTCCTTTTTTATGTTTTATTTTGTCTTTGGGGATGAGAGTTTTATTTCTTCCTGTCACAACAATTGGGCAAAAAATAGTAGACTAAACTGCTAAGTAGGTCGACCTGCCTGAGCACCATGAGGTGGCAAATTCTAATAAGATTTCCTGACTTCAGCAGTTATCAGTGATGGGAACAGGGAGTAGAAATAGCAGTATTTGAACTTCAAATATCCAGGGAAGAATAAATGAGTTTCTGCTTTGTTCAACATTTGTAACTAAAGAAAGATTTTACACCTTTTTCTATTTCATTTTAATGAATATTACCAAATAAAGGCATGAAACCAGAATTAAAGAATAAGATCACAGTAAATTATTATATTAATGGATTTAGGCTGTGTAGTAGGCACCTTCTGTATTCTCTAATACAGTAAAAGATTAGAAATAGCCTTGCCTCCTTGTTGCATATGTGTATAAAAGTGAACGTTAGGCGTTGAAGCTATTAAGGGATACTATTTTGTGTCAGTTATTTTGGAGATGGATGTTTTGTAAAATCCTCTTAGACATTAAAATCAACAAATGCTTTGAATGAACTTCAGACCTTTGGCTTTAGCTTAGCTTTTGGTCATAGGCTGGAATTTCATTTTTTGTTGTTGTTGTTGGTCTTTGGCTACTGACTTGTTTGCAGAATGGTGCTCAGCTAAACTCTTCCCCATGTCATTGGTCTACCAAGTATCTTAAAACTCTCCAGATAACAATGGCAAGCGCATTGGACACTGTAAAGAAACACCTCTTAAGGCGTTAACACTTCTGAATGAATTACTCCGATTCCTTTAGGTTGGTGCAAAAGTAATTGCGATTTTGCCAGCAGAAAGTGCAATTACTTTTGCACCAATCTCATAATTGACCTGAAACCAGTTATGAGGAGGCAAGTATTATGGAAAAATATTTTTCATTCCTGCAAGGTCATGTGGAGAGTGTTTTAAATAGCAAAGTCAAGTACTTATTCACCAGAATCCAGTTTGATCACTTGCTGTCTAATTAGTCTTTTGTGTTAAATCTTTCAGTTTGGTTGAGGGACAACAGGGTAGTTTTCGACAAATCATATTAAAACCAAGTAGTTTTAACATTTGAGTTCCCTACATCTTTATTACCGTTACCTCAGTTTAGTCCTCATTATCTCTTGTCAGGGTTACTACTGTAATCTCCCACTGATCACTTTCTTTAGTCTCTTATTAAGTCTGTACTAATATCTGAATAATCATTTAAAAATACAAGTCTGGTCAGATAATTTTCTTGCTTCCAGTTTCTTCAAAGCTCCCAATCGCCTTAGAATAAAACCAGGCTTTCTTAGCATGGAATGCAAGGATCTTAGTGATCTAGTCATGGCCTGACTTTTCAGTCCTGTTTCCTTACAACTTCCCCCAAATGACTTGTGGGTCCCTGAAAACTCTGCAGTTTTGCTTTTCACCCTTGCTTTTAATGTTTCTCTGCTTGGCGTGTTATTGTATTACTGACTAGCTCCTATCCATGCTTTAAGACACAATTTAAATTTTAGAAACTTTTAATTATGGATATTGTCCAAACATACACAGAAGTAGAGAGAATAATATAATAAACCCCATGCATCCATCACCCAACTTTAGAGTATCATTTTGCAAATTTTTCAACCATGATTTTTTTTTCCAACTCAGTCTTCACTGGAGTCCTCCATGACCTCTCTAAGCAAAGTGAGCCACTCTTTTCCTGTGTTCTCTTTAGCACCTTGACCATCCTGCTATTAGAATGCCTGCAAATATAATTCCTCATTTACCTGTCTCTCCCTCTACAATGTGAATCCTTTAGGGTAGGTACCAAGCTCTTTTCACCTGTTCTCTATGCCTAGCATAGATGCCAACACATCATAGGTGTTAAATATATGTGAATGAAAGTAATAACCTCTTATCTTCTTCATCCCCACTTGCTGTCACCCTTTCTTTCCTTCACAGAAATAGCAAAAAAAAAAAAAAAACTTGTTTCCCCAAAGAAACCAGATACGACAAAAGAGTGTGTTATGTATGCACATGTGCATTTATTTTTACTTTTTCAAGAAAGGCAAAACTAGTCTATGGTGATAGAAGTCAGGATAGCAGTACCTTTGGCAGCAGGTGAGATGGAGGCATTGTTCACTGGGGAGAGATCACGCATGGAGGAGCCTTCTAGGTTCTAGAAATGTTCTATGTTGATCTGGATGGTGGTTAAATATATGTGTGTATAAAATTGTATCAAGTGGTAAAGTTAAGATATGTGTATAATACTTTGCTGTATATAAGTTACAGCTCATTTTTTAAATGTCTGTTTGTTTTTTAAAGCCTGTTCTCTTCAATTATTGTTTTTTTTTTTTTTTTTTCACTGCTGGTAACATCATTTTCTTGATTACCCAAATTGCAAAACTGGGAGTTTCTCCAGACTTCTCCCACTCCCTCCTCTGAACTCTGATGAATCCATTTTATAAATAGCATTTGATCTTTCCCTTCTTATTCATCCTTAGAACCTCTGCCCCCAGGATATGGACCAGCCTGTGATGGGCCCACTTTGTGTCAGGTGTCCCCATGGTCTTATGTATTTAGGGAGGAGTCATCTGGCTTACTACCCACTTAACAGGAGTTGTGAGTGGGACATGGCTCAAAGGCCTTGTTTGGGAAGGCAGTGATTCACATCACTTATATACAGTATGTGAGAATTTAAGGCATATCCATTAAGCCATTTTTAGTACCTAGATAAGTGTATCCGTGTAAATGAGGTTATGGTATTTGAAGTAAAATAACACAATTTTTGCTAACTGTATATTTTATTGCAGCACATCTATGAAGGTGTGCCATTCAATCTCATTGGATAAATGTTAACTAAAGTTTAAAAGAAACAAGTTTTTATTACATGTAGTGTGGAAACGTGTAGCACAATTTAAGGCAAGGTGCATTTTACCTAAGTATCCCTTGTCATTCTTCTTCTATTGAAGGAAACGTGGTAAAAATAAAAAGCCATAGGAAGGTTCCAAATGGTGATAAGAGTTTATCCTGTGAGCCTTTTCCAGTTTTATCAGCAGCAGCAGCAGCATTATTATTTTAGGCAGAGTCTCGCTCTGTCTCCCAGGCTGGAGTGCAGTGGCACCATCTCAGCTCACTGCAGCCTCCGCCTCCCAGGTTCAAGAGAGTCTCATGTCTCAGCCTCCAAAGTAGCTGGAATAACAGGTATGTGCCACCACACCCAGCTAATTTTTGTATTTTTAGTAGAGCTGGGGTTTCGTCATGTTGGCCAGGCTGGTCTCCGTCTCCTGACCTCAATTGATCCACTCACCTCAGTCTCCCAAAGTGCTAGGATTACAGGTGTGAGCCACCATGCCTGGCCACCAGTTTTATTATTAAAGAAGGACAGAATTGACTCACTTTTAAGCAAGCTGATTTTATGTTTGGTTCTTGAGAATAAATGTCTCATCAAATAATCAGAACAGATACAAGGATGCAACGATCAGAACAGTGAATACTTAAATGTGTGCAGTTCCGGAGTAGAGTTTATTTTCTTATGTAATGACATTTAAGATCATATTCTTCTGAAAATAAACTCAGTATTTAAGAGAGTTGCATTGTGGAAAATGCAACTCAAAGAGTTATGAGCTGGGCACAGTGGCTCTCGCCTGTAATCCCAGCACTTTAGGAGGCTGAGGCTGGAGATAGCTTGAGCCCAGGAGTTGGAGGCTGCAGTGAGCTATGACCACGCCACTGCACTCCAGCCTGGGCAACAGAGCAAGACCTTGTCTCTTAAAAAAAAAAAAATGACAGAATGCCAGGAATTTTAGATACAGAATGTAACATTTGTTTACTTTGTATTCTTCATATCATTGTTAAATAACACATCTTATAGAAAAAAAAATATAAAAGCTGAGGATTAAATTTCCATGGTAACATCACCTTATTACACTACAGTTGATCCTTCAGGATGCAGGGGTTAGGGGCACCAACCCCTTGCGCAGCTGAAAATTCAGGTATAAATTTTGACTCACTGAAACGTAACTAATAGCCTACCGTTGACTGCCTTACCAGTAAAATAATTTTTAACACATATTTTCTATGTTACATGTATTACATACTGTATTCTTATGATAAATTAAGATAGAGAAAATAATCATAAGGAAGAGAAAATACATTTACTTTTTATTAAGTGGAAGTGGATCATCATAAAGGTCTTCATTGTCATCATCTTCATATTGAATAGGCTGAGGAGGAGGAGTAAGAGGAGGGATTGGTTTTGCTGTCTTATGGGTGGCAGAGGCAGAAGAAAATCTGCCTATACATGGACCTGCACAGTTCAAACCTGTGTTGTTGAAGGGTCACATGTAATTAGTTTTAGATTCCATTTAAGTAAGTTTTAGTGCTAAAATTGTTCAGAGCATAAATATTTGAAAATTTTATGTTGATTTTATGGAACCTGGCACATTCTTTAGAATCCTGTTACCTCCAAAACTTATTTGTAGGCTATTATTTGCATAAAGGACAATATTTTTCTATGCATGCTTCAATTCTTACTGAATTGATTGCATTGATTAGCGAAATACAGATTAAAACCCCAATGAGATACCACTATATATCTATTAGAATGGCCAAGATTAAATGAACTATAATACAACTGTTTGCAAGGATGCAGAATAAATGGAGCTGTCATGCTTTGCTGTTGGAAATGCAAAAGGATACAGCCACTTGGCAAAAAATTTAGCAATATTTTGTAAAGTTAAACAGTCACTTACCATATGACCCAGCAATAAAGGCTCTTAGGTATTTATTCAAGAGAAATAAGTTACTTTCACACAAAAATTGGTTCACAAATGCTTACAGCAGTTTTATTCATTATCACGCCAAACTGGGAAACAATCCAGTTCATACGTTCCCCAGTGTTTCAACTGAGTTGTGGCACACAACTCATAGAACTGTATACTAAAAAGGGTGAGTTTTACTGTATGTTTATACCTCAACTTTTATTGAGGTATAACTTATACTTCAATAAATCTGACTTAAATTTTTTCCGTATCTTTTAAGGATGTAACTGAAATATTTACAGGAAAAAAAAGTGATACAATACCTGGGATTTGCTTCAAAATTATCTGGCAGTAGAGATAGGGATAAAATAAGATTGATCATGAATAAATTATAGTTACATTATGGGGTGGGTACATGGATGTTCATTTTATTTTTCTCTCTACTTTCATACATGCTTGAAATAAGCAACATTAAAACAAATTACAGGTTATCTGGCAGATGTGAAATGGGATCTCATGTTTTAAAATTTTATTTTCCTGTTTATAATGAGTTTTAGCATCTTTTCTTATTGGCAATTTGGGTTTCCTCATTTATGAATTTTTGTTTTTGTCCTGTGCCCATCTTCCTACTAGCTTGTTTGGCTTTTACTTATTGATTTTAGACCTTTATATATTCTGAATACCAGTCCTTTGCCAATTACACAGGTTGTAAATCTTTTTTCCCAGTCTGTTATTGGCTTTTCAATTAGTTTATGTTAGCTTTTGTTGTATATAAGTTTTAAATTTTTATGTAGATGAATTATGAACCTATTTATTTATGCTTTTATATCTTAGAAATTCTCCCATAGGAATTTTTTTTTTTTTTTTTTTTTTTTTTGAGATGGGAGTCTTGCTCTGTCACCCAGGCTGGAGCGCAGTGGTGCAATCTTGGCTCACTGCAACCTCTGCCTCTCAGGTTCAAGCGATTCTCCTGCCTCAGTCTCCTGAGTAGCTGGTACTACAGGCACGCACCACCATGCCCAGCTAATTTTTGTATTTTTAGTAGAGACGGGGTTTCACCATGTTGGCCAGATGGTCTCGATCTCTTAACCTCGTGATCGCCCTCCTCAGCCTCCCAAAGTGCTGGGATTACAGGCGTGAGCCACTGCGCCCGGCCTGAAATATTTTTATATTTCTTTGTTTTTCACATTTCTCTAACCCTTCTGGAATTTATCTTTTTGTATAGGAATTCAATATTTTTTTCATATTGATTACCAGTTGTCCTTATACTAACCTTTCCTACTGATTTGGAATGCAACCTACAGTTCTTTACCACTGGGCTCCCTACTGATGTTGGATCCCTTCCTGGACCATGTTCTTGTTTGGCAAGAGGAATCCTAGCCCCTCCTTCCTGCCCATATGATCAGAAGTTGCTTTTTCTCCTCTGGGTTTCTTTAGGAGTAGTTATAGATTTATGCTGCTTTGGCTTTGCTTCTCTTCCAGGTTTGGAAATGGGTCATTTTAAACTTTTTCTCAGGAATATACTTGGTGGAGGTTGGGGTAGAGAGGAGCAGGCAGGCTCAAGCTACAGATTTTATATGTTGAACTGGTTTGGAATGAGTCTTTTAAATTATTTTTGTTACTTATTAAAAAAAATTGACTATTCATGAATTATAAGTTGTATAAAAAATTTTGTGGGTTTTGTTTTAATGGGTTTTGTTTAAAAATATAGATGTTTTATTGGATTCTATTTTAATTTGGGTTAAGAAACCCTGAACCTTGGGTTGCTTAAATTTCTGCAATAATAAACTTGCATCCTCTTCTCTAGCCAAACTAAATTACATTCTATTCCTTGTTCATGCCATGTTCCTCTAGTCCTCTGTACCTTTGCATTTGCTGTCCTCACAAGTGACCTTTTTTTTTCCTTATCTGCTTGGGAAACATGTACATGTTTCTGTTTATCTTCTTCACTAGTCTGTGAGCTCTTACTATGTCTTATTTATCTTTTAATCCCATTAACTGTGCACAGCACCTAAAATGTAGTCAGTGCCCTGTAAATGTTTATGTGCAACCTTAGATTCACTATGTTTGTGATGTTCTTCATGTATAAAAGTTTTAAACCTTTTCTATAATTTAGTTTGACATTTGGTCAGTGTAAATTTACCAGTTTCACACATGTGGATTGTTATTGGTCAGGCTCTACCATGTGTACTCAACCTGTTGGCCCCTAATTTGCTAAATCCACCAAGATTCTTATGAAAACAGTTTTTTGTCCAATTGGCCCGTATGTAGATTTTTCTACGCATCCCTTTGGCACAAGCTAGTTAGGATGCTTTTCTGTTCTACCAATGCCCTTTCCCCTGTGTAGGGCCTTTTCTTATCCAACATTCAACTGCACTTCTCCTTCCTTTTTTTTTTGTTTTTGAGATGGAGTCTTGCTCTGTCGCCCAGGCTGGAGAGCAGTGGCGCGATCTCCGCTCACTGCAAGCTCTGCCTCCTGGGTTCACGCCATTCTCCTGCCTCAGCCTCCTGAGTAGCTGGGACTACAGGCGCCCGCCACCATGCCCGGCTAATTTTTTGTATGTTTTAGTAGAGACAGGATTTCACCGTGTTAGCCAGGATGGTCTCGATTTCCTGACCTCGTGATCCGCCTGCCTCGGCCTCCCAAAGTGCTGGGATTACAGGCGTGAGCCACCGCGCCCGGCCTGCACTTCTCCTTCTTACCCTGGTTATAGTTGGTAGAACATTTCCTGATTACACCCTGATTATTGTAGCTATTGTGATGTCATGCTCTTAGTTTGAAAGGCTCTCTTCTTTTTATTCCTACTAATGGAGCGGTTGAAGAGGGCACGCCTGCACGTGTGGTCTGCAGAGCACATCCTTTCTGAACTGACAGGAATGGAGATGCCCCCTGCTTTTTTTTCCTTTTTGTAAACAAATGTTTTCATATTGATTTAGCCATTTTATACAGAAAGCTTCTATAAAATGTTATTATTACTTATTTATGGAATAGGCTCCATAAATGAAAGGTTAAAAAAAGCTTTGTTATTTCTTAGAAGATAAAAGCTTTACTTTTTTTGTATCTGATCTTTTATCACATATATTTTCTAATAATGGAAGATAGTGAGAACTGAGAAATAGGTTCTGAGTTGTGACCCTTCAATTTTTTAAAAGCTCTGTTATGTTGTCTTGGTTCTGCTTTTAATGTCACTTAGTATTGTCTAAACTGTACTGAAATAGCAAGAGGTGGCATTATACCTAACTCAGCTGGTTCACTGTGCTGTTATAATTACTAATACTTATGAAATCTAAAAATTGAAAGTTTAAAGAGATGCCTGCAGTGCTGATAAAACGTGGCTGAAGTGCCACTAGAAATGAATGCAAGTAGAAGTGCTATATATAATAATTCAGGAATTAGGTCAGAAATTGTTAACTATAAACAATGTAAATATGCTTGGTTTGCTGAGGATTATAGTTTAATGCAGCCATATATATGTTCATCAACACTAAGTGCAATCATTTGTAGAACCATTATTACAACTGTAAATCTTTTGGGGGGATAAGTGTAAATGAATGAGTTTTATAAGTCTCATCTCTATACTCAAGAGGCAAATAACTCTATCAAACTTACAGGACCCTTTGAAGATTAAGAGCAATACAAGTCTGAGAGAAGGTACTTGTATAAATTTGTGTGCTGACATTCTGGCCTTAGAAAGGATTTTTAAATCACCAAAGAAAAGATCAACATATATTAACTACGTAAAAGTAGAAAACTTTGGTATATCAAATAAAATCCATAGCCAACTAAAAAAAATTAAAGTCTTGGAGTGAAAAGGCCTTGTTAAATAAGATAGAAATGCTCAGAATCTGTAAAAGAAAAGATTGATAAAGCTTGCTACATAAAAAAATTCAAAACTTTCTGCATGGAAAAAATACCATAAAGTTTTAAAAAAAGACAAATCAACTCAAGACTAAGTGTTCATTTCCTGTGTATATAAAGGATATCTACAATTAATAAGATAAATTATAACCCAATTAAAAATGGGCAAAGGATATAAACAGACTGTCCACAGAAGTGGAAACTATGTATATATAACTTAAATAAAAATATATCACATATACATTTTTGCTTGCACATGCATAGGGTACATCTAGAACAAGATTGTCCAACATGTGGGCCAGGATGGCTTTGAAAGCAGCCTAACACAAATTTGCAAACTTTCTCAAATTATGAGATTTTTTTTTTAAAGCTCATCAGCTATCGTTAATGTTAGTGTATTTTATGTGTGGCCCAAGACAATTCTTCTTCCAAGGTGGCCCAGGGAAGCCAAAAGATTGGATACCCCTGATCTGGAGGCTTTATAAGAATTTGGTAAAATTTCAGTGGTTATCCCTAGGGAGGGGACCTAGGTGGCTGGAGGACAGAAATGAGAAGAGGATTTACTTTCTAAAATATTTTTTACCTTTTGATTCTGTACATATGTATTAAATATTAAATAGACACTATATATGGGTACACATGTATGTGTACATGTACGTACACATATATAGTGTTTTATGTGTATATATGTATTTTTAATGTTAAAAACCTAGAAACAATCTTTAGAGCACAGAATGACAAATTTTTGTTTTAACAAAGAGCTCACACAAATTAAAAGCAGCAACTTATAAATAAGTAAGCAAATGAACAAACAGTTCACAAAAAGAATGAATAAACAGACATACAGAAGTATGTTCAATCTCAGTAGCAATCAGAATGAAGCTTGGACATAACCTTCTCAGAAAGCCATTTCCAAGTACCTAGGGTCATGAATGGCTTTTATGAATCCTGTCTGTATAAACGAGGTGGATGCTAAGGTCAAGGTTAGCGCCATTTTTGGTGCATCCCTACAGCATCTTGTATTTGCTGTGTTGTGGCACTTAATCATAATCAGTGGCTTTTGTTGGTTGGTTGTTCTTCTTGTTTTCTGTCTTCAGCTCTAAACTACAAGCTCTCTGAGGTCAGAGATTATGTCTTCTGTTATTTTTTCCAAGTCTGCCATCACATCTGGCGTCTGTTTGTTGAATGAATAAATGAATAGAGTAAATAGATAGTAATCAAAGGCATAGAAATTAAAGTAAAATATTTTGGTTTATTTAATAAGGGAAATTAAATTTTAATATATTGTGTGTTGATAAAAATGTAATGAAGTTAGTATGTTCATTTACTGCTGGTGACATAGCACACTGTTTTTCTAAAATGTTTTCTTCATCTGCCAGTATATATATCAAGACTACCCTCTACCGCAGCACAGTTTCTTTTTTTTTTTTTCTTTTTTAATTTTTTTTTTAATTATACTTTAAGTTTTAGGGTATATGTGCACATTGTGCAGGTTAGTTACATATGTATACATGTGCCATGCTGGTGAGCTGCACCCACTAACTCGTCATCTAGCATTAGGTATATCTCCCAATGCTATCCCTCCCCCCTCCCCCCACCCCACAACAGTCCCCAGAGTGTGATATTCCCCTTCCTGTGTCCAGGTGATCTCATTGTTCAATTCCCACCTATGAGTGAGAATATGCGGTGTTTGGTTTTTTGTTCTTGCGATAGTTTACTGAGAATGATGATTTCCAATTTCATCCATGTCCCTACAAAGGACGTGAACTCATCATTTTTTATGGCTGCATAGTATTCCATGGTGTATATGTGCCACATTTCCTTAATCCAATCTATCATTGTTGGACATTTGGGTTGGTTCCAAGTCTTTGCTATTGTGAATAATGCCGCAATAAACATACGTGTGCATGTGTCTTTATAGCAGCATGATTTATAGTCATTTGGGTATATACCCAGTAATGGGATGGCTGGGTCAAATGGTATTTCTAGTTCTAGATCCCTGAGGAATCGCCACACTGACTTCCACAATGGTTGAACTAGTTTACAGTCCCACCAACAGTGTAAAAGTGTTCCCGTTTCTCCACATCCTCTCCAGCACCTGTTGTTTCCTGACTTTTTAATGATTGCCATTCTAACTGGTGTGAGATGGTATCTCAGAGTGGTTTTGATTTGCGTTTCTCTGATGGCCAGTGATGATGAGCATTTTTTCATGTGTTTTTTGGCTGCATAAATGTCTTCTTTTGAGAAGTGTCTGTTCATGTCCTTCACCCACTTTTTGATGGGGTTGTTTTTTTCTTGTAAATTTGTTTGAGTTCATTGTAGATTCTGGATATTAGCCCTTTGTCAGATGAGTAGGTTGCCAAAATTTTCTCCCATTTTGTAGGTTGCCTGTTCACTCTGATGGTAGTTTCTTTTGCTGTGCAGAAGCTCTTTATTTTAATTAGATCCCATTTGTCAATTTTGTCTTTTGTTGCCATTGCTTTTGGTGTTTTGGACATGAAGTCCTTGCCCATGCCTATGTCCTGAATGGAAATGCCTAGGTTTTCTTCTAGGGTTTTTATGGTTTTAGGTCTAACGTTTAAATCTTTAATCCATCTTGAATTGATTTTTGTATAAGGTGTAAGGAAGGGATCCAGTTTCAGCTTTCTACATATGGCTAGCCAGTTTTCCCAGCACCATTTATTAAATAGGGAATCCTTTCCCCATTGCTTGTTTTTCTCAGGTTTGTCAAAGATCAGATAGTTGTAGGTATGCGGCGTTATTTCTGAGGGCTCTGTTCTGTTCCATTGATCTATATCTCTGTTTTGGTACCAGTCCCATGCTGTTTTGGTTACTGTAGCCCTGTAGTATAGTTTGAAGTCAGGTAGTGTGATGCCTCCAGCTTTGTTCTTTTGGCTTAGGATTGACTTGGCGATGCAGGCTCTTTTTTGGTTCCATATGAACTTTAAAGTAGTTTTTTCCAATTCTGTGAAGAAAGTCATTGGTATCTTGATGGGGATGGCATTGAATCTGTAAATTACCTTGGGCAGTATGGCCATTTTCACAATATTGATTCTTCCTACCCATGAGCATGGAATGTTCTTCCATTTGTTTGTATCCTCTTTTATTTCTTTGAGCAGTGGTTTGTAGTTCTCCTTGAAGAGGTCCTTCACATCCCTTGTAAGTTGGATTCCTAGGTATTTTATTCTCTTTGAAGCAATTGTGAATGGGAGTTCACTTATGATTTAGCTCTCTGTTTGTCTGTTGTTGGTGTATAAGAATGCTTGTGATTTTTGCACACTGATTTTGTATCCTGAGACTTTGCTGAAGTTGCTTATCAGCTTAAAGAGATTTTGGGCTGAGACAATGGGGTTTTCTAGATATACAATCATGTCGTCTGCAAACAGGGACAATTTGGCTTCCTCTTTTCCTAATTGAATACCCTTTATTTCCTTCTCCTGACTAATTGCCCTGGCCAGAACTTCCAACACTATGTTGAATAGGAGTGGTGAGAGAGGGCATCCCTGTCTTGTGCCAGTTTTCAAAGGGAATGCTTCCAGTTTTTGCCCATTCAGTATGATATTGGCTGTGGGTTTGTCATAGATAGCTCTTATCATTTTGAAATACGTCCCATCAATACCTAATTTATTGAGAGTTTTTAGCATGAAGGGTTGGTGAATTTTGTCAAAGGCTTTTTCTGCATCTATTGAGATAATCATGTGGTTTTTGTCTTTGGCTCTGTTTATGTGCTGGATTACATTTATTGATTTGCGTATATTGAACCAGCCTTGCATCCCAGGGATGAAGCCCACTTGATCATGGTGGATAAGCTTTTTGATGTGCTGCTGGATTCGTTTTGCCAGTATTTTATTGAGGATTTTTGCATCAATGTTCATCAAAGATATTGGTCTAAAATTCTCTTTTTTGGTTGTGTCTCTGCCCGGCTTTGGTATCAGGATGATGCTGGCTTCATAAAATGAGTTAGGGAGGATTCCCTCTTTTTGTATTGATTGGAATAGTTTCAGAAGGAATGGTACCAGTTCCTCCTTGTACCTCTGGTAGAATTCGGCTGTGAATCCATCTGGTCCTGGACTCTTTTTGGTTGGTAAACTATTGATAATTGCCACAATTTCAGCTCCTGTTATTGGTCTATTCAGAGATTCAACTTCTTCCTGGTTTAGTCTTGGGAGAGTGTATGTGTCGAGGAATTTATCCATTTCTTGTAGATTTTCTAGTTTATTTGCGTAGAGGTGTTTGTAGTATTCTCTGATGGTAGTTTGTATTTCTGTGGGATCGGTGGTGATATTCCCTTTATCATTTTTTATTGTGTCTATTTGATTCTTCTCTCTTTTTTTCTTTATTAGTCTTGCTAGTGGTCTATCAATTTTGTTGATCCTTTCAAAAAACCAGCTCCTGGATTCATTGATTTTTTGAATGGTTTTTTGTGTCTCTATTTCCTTCAGTTCTGCTCTGATTTTAGTTATTTCTTGCTTTCTGCTAGCTTTTGAATGTGTTTGCTCTTGCTTCTCTAGTTCTTTTAATTGTGATGTTAGGGTGTCAATTTTGGATCTTTCCTGCTTTCTCTTGTGGGCATTTAGTGCTATAAATTTCCCTCTACACACTGCTTTGAATGCGTCCCAGAGATTCTGGTATGTTGTGTCTTTGTTCTCGTTGGTTTCAAAGAACATCTTTATTTCTGCCTTCATTTCGTTATGTATCCAGTAGTCATTCAGGAGCAGGTTGTTCAGTTTCCATGTAGTTGAGCGGCTTTGAGTGAGATTCTTAATCCTGAGTTCTAGTTTGATTGCACTGTGGTCTGAGAGATAGTTTGTTATAATTTCTGTTCTTTTACATTTGCTGAGGAGAGCTTTACTTCCAAGTATGTGGTCAACTTTGGAATAGGTGTGGTGTGGTGCTGAAAAAAATGTATATTCTGTTGATTTGGGGTGGAGAGTTCTGTAGATGTCTATTAGGTCCGCTTGGTGCAGAGCTGAGTTCAATTCCTGGGTATCCTTGTTGACTTTCTGTCTCATTGATCTGTCTAATGTTGACAGTGGGGTGTTAAAGTCTCCCATTATTAATGTGTGGGAGTCTAAGTCTCTTTGTAGGTCACTCAGGACTTGCTTTATGAATCTGGGTGCTCCTATATTGGGTGCATATATATTTAGGATAGTTAGCTCTTCTTGTTGAATTGATCTCTTTACCATTATGTAATGGCCTTCTTTGTCTCTTTTGATCTTTGTTGGTTTAAAGTCTGTTTTATCAGAGACTAGGATTGCAACCCCTGCCTTTTTTTGTTTTCCATTTGCTTGGTAGATCTTCCTCCATCCTTTTATTTTGAGCCTGTGTGTGTCTCTGCACGTGAGATGGGTTTCCTGAATACAGCACACTGATGGGTCTTGACTCTTTATCCAATTTGCCAGTCTGTGTCTTTTAATTGGAGCATTTAGTCCATTTACATTTAAAGTTAATATTGTTATGTGTGAATTTGATCCTGTCATTATGATGTTAGCTGGTTATTTTGCTCGTTAGTTGATGCAGTTTCTTCCTAGTCTCAATGGTCTTTACATTTTGGCATGATTTTGCAGCAGCTGGTACCGGTTGTTCCTTTCCATGTTTAGTGCTTCCTTCAGGAGCTCTTGTAAGGCAGGCCTGGTGGTGACAAAATCTCTCAGCATTTGCTTGTCTGTAAAGTATTTAATTTCTCCTTCACTTATGAAGCTTAGTTTGGCTGGATATGAAATTCTGGGTTGAAAATTCTTTTCTTTAAGAATGTTGAATATTGGCCCCCACTCTCTTCTGGCTTGTAGGGTTTCTGCCGAGAGATCTGCTGTTAGTCTGATGGGCTTCCCTTTGAGGGTAACCCGACCTTTCTCTCTGGCTGCCCTTAACATTTTTTCCTTTATTTCAACTTTGGTGAATCTGACAATTATGTGCCTTGGAGTTGCTCTTCTCGAGGAGTATCTTTGTGGCGTTCTCTGTATTTCCTGAATCTGAACGTTGGCCTGCCTTGCTAGATTGGGGAAGTTCTCCTGGATAATATCCTACAGAGTGTTTTCCAACTTGGTTCCATTCTCCCCATCACTTTCAGGTACACCAATCAGACGTAGATTTGGTCTTTTCACATAGTCCCATATTTCTTGGAGGCTTTGCTCATTTCTTTTTATTCTTTTTTCTCTAAACTTCCCTTCTCGCTTCATTTCATTCATTTCATCTTCCATTGCTGATACCCTTTCTTCCAGTTGATCGCATCGGCTCCTGAGGCTTCTGCATTCTTCACATAGTTCTTGAGCCTTGGTTTTCAGCTCCATCAGCTCCTTTAAGCACTTCTCTGTATTGGTTATTCTAGTTATACACTCTTCTAAATTTTTTTCAAAGTTTTCAACTTCTTTGCCTTTGGTTTGAATGTCCTCCCGTAGCTCAGAGTAATTTGATCGTCTGAAGCCTTCTTCTCTCAGCTCGTCAAAGTCATTCTCCATCCAGCTTTGTTCCGTTGCTGGTGAGGAACTGCGTTCCTTTGGAGGAGGAGAGGCGCTCTGCGTTTTAGAGTTTCCAGTTTTTCTGTTCTGTTTTTTCCCCATCTTTGTGGTTTTATCTACTTTTTGTCTTTGATGATGGTGATGTACAGATGGGTTTTCGGTGTGGATGTCCTTTCTGTTTGTTAGTTTTCCTTCTAACAAACAGGACCCTCAGCTGCAGGTCTGTTGGAATACCCTGCCTTGTGAGGTGTCAGTGTGCCCCTGCTGGGGGGTGCCTCCCAGTTAGGCTGCTCGGGGGTCAGGGGTCAGGGACCCACTTGAGGAGGCAGTCTGCCGGTTCTCAGATCTCCAGCTGCGTGCTGGGAGAACCACTGCTCTCTTCAAAGCTGTCAGACAGGGACATTTAAGTCTGCAGAGGTTACTGCTGTCTTTTTGTTTGTCTGTGCCCTGCCCCCAGAGGTGAAGCCTACAGTGGCAGGCAGGCCTCCTTGAACTGTGGTGGGCTCCACCCAGTTCGAGCTTCCTGGCTGCTTTGTTTACCTAAGCAAGCCTGGGCAATGGCGGGCGCCCCTCCCCCAGCCTCGCTGCTGCCTTGCAGTTTGATCTCAGACTGCTGTGCTAGCAATCAGCGAGACTCCGTGGGGTAGGACCCTCCGAGCCAGGTGTGGGATATAGTCTCGTGGTGCGCCGTTTTTTAAGCCGGTCTGAAAAGCGCAATATTCGGGTGGGAGTGACCCGATTTTCCAGGTGCGTCCGTCACCCCTTTCTTTGACTCGGAAAGGGAACTCCCTGACCCCTTGCGCTTCCCAGGTGAGGCAATGCCGCGCCCTGCTTCGGCTCGCGCACGGTGCGCGCACCCACTGGCCTGCGCCCACTGTCTGGCACTCCCTAGTGAGATGAACCCGGTACCTCAGATGGAAATGCAGAAATCACCCGTCTTCTGCGTCGCTCACGCTGGGAGCTGTAGACCGGAGCTGTTCCTATTCGGCCATCTTGGCTCCTCCCCCGCCACAGCACAGTTTCTAACCTTTGACCCAATTCTATTTCTCCAAATCTGTCTTAAGATAATTTAAGATACAAAAAAAAGTATACATTTAAAAATGTCTGTCACAATGTTATTCCTAATAGGGATAAAGTGGAAGTATTCATAATGGGCAACATTAAAGTAATGGTTTTTACAAATCGTTGGTTCTATATGATAGGCATTAAAAATTATAATCCTAACAAAAAGGTAGCAGTTTGAAAAAAACGCTTGTGCTAAAATAATGTTAAGACAGCAAAATTCAGAATATAAGTATACTTTAATAACAATGATAAAATATAAAGAAAGACTAGAAGAAAATACTTTAAAAGGAGAAAACAGGAAGGTATATTTATCTGCTGTAATTGGCATAAGTTTAAGTACAGTGGCTAAGACTCCTTTCTCAAAAGTGCTCTAATGGGCACTACTGCCTTTAACACTCTGATTTTTTTTTTTTTTTTTTTTGAGACAAGGTCTCACTCTGTTGCCCTGTTGCCCAGGCTGGAGTGCAGTGATGCCATCATGGCTTACTGCAGCCTCAACCTCCTGTACTCAAGTGATCCTCCTGCCTCACCTTACAGAGTAGCTGAGACTATAGGCATGCACCACAATGCCTGGCTAATGTTTTGTAGAGATTGGGTGTCTCTCTGTTGCCCAGGCTAGTCTCAAACTCCTGCATCAAGCAACCCTCCCACCTTGGCCTCCCAAAGTGCTGGGATTACAGGCATGAGCCACCATGCCTAGCCAGATTTCTTTTTCTTTAGATATATTTAATACATCCAAATAACTTATTGTATTATCTTTTATCTTTTGGTAGGAGTCTGGGAGATTTCTCCAACAGAACAATCATATGATTATTTTTAAAATAAAAATGTTTACATATTCCAGCAAACATAATATCCATATTCTTACGGGTTGCTGCAGTTATTGTATTGGTGATGTTGCTTACAAATTTTCAAGGTATTTTGGCAGACAACTCTTGTGGGCTTTTAGGGCCTGAATTGTGTCTCTGCCCATATTCATATGTTGAAGCCCTAGCCCACAAAGTGATGGTGTTTGGAAGTGGGGGCCTTTGGGAGGTAATTAGGTTTAGGTGAAGTCATGAGAGTGGAGCCTGTGATGAGATTAGTGCTTTTATAAGAACAGGAAGAGAGAGAAATCTCTCTCCCTTCTCTTGGTGCATGCACTGAAGAAAGGCCATGTGTGAGCACACAGCAAGAAGGCAGCTGTCTACAAGCCAGGAAGCAAGCCGTCACCAGACACTGAACCTGCCAGTATCCTGATCTCAGAACTCCCAGCTTCCAGAAATGTGAGAAATGAAATATCTGTTGTTTAAGCCACCCTGTCTCTGGTATTTGTTATGGCAGCTTCAACTGACTAAGATATGGGCTAACTTTTATGAATATAGGATGTGTTGAAGGCACATGATAGCTACTTTTATATTTTGCGCATAATCCATTTTACTAACAAGGAACTGAACATGAAGGCCAGTCTCTAGCTTTTTCTTTTTTTTTTTTTGGAGACAGAGTTTTGCTCTTGTCACCCAGGCTGGAGTGCAATGGCACAATCTCGGCTCACTGCAACCTCCGCCTCCCAGGTTCAAGTGATTCTCCTGCCACAGCCCCCCAATAGCTAGGATTACAAGCACCTGCCACCAGGCCCAGCTAATTTTTGTATTTTTAGTAGAGACAGGGTTTCACCATGTTAGCCAGGCTAGTCTCGAACTCCTGACCTCAGGTGATCTGCCCGCCTCGGCCTCCCAAAGTGCTGGAATTATAAGTGTGAGCCACCTTGCCTGGCCTCTAGCTTTTAACTATTAATAAAATTAAGGTTCTGATTGTTAGTGTTCTAAGCATCTGGGGGTTTTAGAAAGATACTCGCCACCAGCCTGAAAATAACCCACCAAGAACTTTTATGATCTTCAAAAGTCTAGAACAAGAGAAACAAATTTCACACAGAGTTAAATGGTAAAAATCAAAGCCAAGGTATGGAAAGATCTCCCAAGGAGATAAGATTGCTCCCAGGCTGAGTCCTGAGAAGTAAATTGAGATAAGTCTGCAGAACCTTGGAGGTTGTATTGATGAATGCGGTACTCCATGCTATGAAGTAAGACAGCATTCTGGGCCAAGTCTTACTCAAAGAGAGGTGCTATAAAGCTATAAATAATTTTTATACTCTTGTTACCCAGGCTGAAGTGCAATGAAGCAGTCTCGGCTCCCTGCAACCTCTGCCTCCTGGGTTCAAGCAATTCTCCCGCCTCAGCCTCCCGAGTAGCTGAGATTACAGGCTCCTGCCACCATGCCAGGCCTATTTTTTATTTTTAGTAGAGATGGGGTTTTACCATGTTGGCCAGGCTGGTCTTGAACTCCTGATCGGAGGTGATCTGCTGGCCTTGGCCTCCCAAAGTGCTGGGATTACAGGCATGAGCCACTGTGTCCAGCCATGTAAAGGATTTTTATATGCTCCAAAGTTGGAGTATTTTGTAAAACACTCCATCGATTTCATTCATCCCAAAATGTGTACTGGGGAAGGTGAGGAGGGAGTTGAGAGAACCTCACTAGGACACAGGCTTGTTCTGTGTCCACAGACCCCTGTCTTAAGAGGTTTCAGGTCCTAGAATGTCTTTATGATTTCTTGGCTGTTTATGATCTTCAAGTCTTTTATTTAGCAATTAGGTATGCAAGTGTTTATATACTTCACCCTTCCCACTTCTTTGTAGGTCATATAAAAGATTTAGTCTTTAGCTTGAGAGAAATAGGAAGCTATTGAAGAATTCTAAGCAAGGGAGTGACAGAGTCAGTTACGTTTTTACATAAAAAAGGTATCTCTCAAACAAAGAAAAAAAATTTTTTTAAAAGGTATCTCTCACAGTGTTGTGGAGAAGAGGAAGAGTGGGCAAGAAGATACATGAAGCCTACTTAGGAGGCTGTTTTAGTAAATAAAGAAGATGACAGCTTGGACTACAATGGAATAGATTTATTTAAAAGATATTTAAGAGCAAAAACCAATCGGACTTAGTGGTGTTTTAGAAGTGAGGGGGGGAAAGAGAAGTGAAGGAAAACTTTGAAGTTTCTGGTTTATGCAACTCAACTGAAGGTAGCCTCATTTACTGAAGTTAGGGACTTTAGAGACGAGCCAGGCCTGGCAGCAGGCATGTGTGATGACCACCGCCCTGGTGTCAGACAGTTTGAATTGGAGGTGTTTTTGAGACACTCAAGCAGGGATGTCAGTTCCACTTGTCCTCATTTACTATTTAACAATTAGCCCTTCTGGTTCTTTGAAGGTCAGAGAAGGCTGTGCTAGAGATATGATTTGGGACTCACAGATATTTAAATAGCAATTGAAACTGTGGATCTGGTGACCATAGCCTGGGGGAGGGTAAAAGAATGAACAAGGGAAAGAGGAGGTTGAAGAGAATAAGATCAGAGTAGGCAAAGAAGGAACTGCCACATGTAGGAGGAAAACTAGGAAAGGGTGTGATCATAAAAGCCAAGACAAATGTTTCACAAAGGAAGCAGTGGTTAACTATGTTGAATATTGCCGATGCTGATAAAACATTTAGATAAAAAACCAATTTGTTAATTGCTATGTTAAATGAGGAGATGTGGAGTTTTTAAAATGGCATAGCAATTAGATAGGGAAATTTGGATAATGAGCAGTTAAAGAAATGAATTACGTTTGCTATTATACTTCTTAAGCTGAGTATTAAACTCTTTGTGTTGCAAATAACAGAAACCCAACTCAGGTTCTTTTAAACAAAGTAAATAACTTATTCCTTCATGGATTTGAAATATCCAGGATAGGAGTGGCCTCCAGCACAACTGAGTCAGGGGCTTAACCAATATTGTTAGCTGTGTCTCTCCCTGTCTCTGCCTCTGCCTCTCAGCTCCGTTTTCCTCTGGAAGGATCTCTCTGGTGGTTCCTGGCCACATCAGGCTTTTCTGATCCTTACAATAAATAACCCTAATGGAAAGAGAGCTCCTCCTTCCTAGTTCTAGCAGGAGTCCCAGGATTTACTTAAATTTTACTAATTTAAATCACATCCTTTTTCATAACCTAATTACTTTGGTCAGAAGTAATTAGATATGCTGACAGGCCAGGCCTGAATCACCTGCTCACCCCTGGAGGTGGGCCAGGTGAAAAGTAGCCTTGTCTGAATCACATGGGCTCTGAATAGGGGGAGGGGTGATCTCCCAAAGGAAAACCGAAGAATGCATGCTGGGGATACAAAAACAACAGACAGCTATTTTAGCGGTAAAAAGAAGCCTTTGGCCCAATACATTTGAATAACTGCTTCTGCAATATACTTTATAGGTAATCTTTTGACCTAAAGGATGAATGGATGTATTTGTTGTTATAACTTTAAAAGAGCTACAGGGTCTGATTTTTAAGACTAAAGAAAGGTTGTAATTATTTTTGCTGCATGTGCTGCTACCGTGGGGCTGAATACTAACTAATCTTAAAGACACATTGAGGCCAAAACAAGCCCATGAAAAATGTTCAGCATCAGTAATCATTAGAGAAATGCAGATCAAAACCACAATGAATTATCACCTCACACCCATTAGGATGGCTGCTATAAAACAACAAACAAGCGAAACAGAAAGTAACAAGTGTTGGTGCTATGGTCTGAATGTTTGTGTCCCCCTAAAATTCATATGTTGAAACCTAATCCTCAATGGAATAGTATTATAAGCATTACATAGTATTAAGCACCCTTAAGAGGTGATTAGGTCTTGAGGCCTCTGTCTTCATGAATGGGATTAATGCCCTTATAAAAGAGACCCCAGAGAGCTAGCTAGCCCCTTCCACCATGTAAGGACACGATGAGAAAATGTCATCTTTCAACCAGAGAGCAAGCCCTCATCAGACACTGAATCTGCCAGCACCTTGATCTTGGACTTCCCAGCCTTCAGAACTGTGAGCAATAAATTTCCACTGTTCATAAACCACCAGTGTATGACACTTTTATTATAGCAGCTAGAATGGACTAAGACAGTTGGCAAGGATGTAAAGAAACTGGAACCCTTATACACTGTTGATGGGATTGTGAAATGGTGCAACCTCTCTGAAAAACACTATGGCATTTCCTCAAATAATTAAAAATAGAACTACTATCTGATTCAGCAATCCCACTTCTGCATCTATATCCAAAAGAAGGAAAGCAGGGTCTCAAAGAGATATTCGTACACTCATATTCATCGCAGATTATTCACAGTAGGCAAAAGGTAGAAGCAACTCAAGTGTCCATCAGTGGGTGAATGAGTAAACAAAATGTGGTATTTACGTATAATGGAATATTATTTATCCTTACAAAGCAAGGCTGTCCTGTCATGCTACATAGATGAGCCTTGAGGACATTACGCTAAGTGAAATAAGCCAGTCTCAAAATGACAAATACTGTATGATTCCTCTTATATGAGATGTCTAAAGTAGCGAAACTCATAGAAACAGAGTAGAACAGTCATACTAGGGGCTGGGGGAAAGGAAAAATGGACAGTTGTTATTTGATGGGTATAGAATATTAGTTTTTTTTGCAAGATGAAAAAGTTCTGGAGATCTGTCGTATAACACTGTGAATGCATATATAATATCACTGAACTGTACAGTTAAATATGGTAAAGATAGTTTTATATGTGTATCTTACCACAATTTAAAAAAATTCATGACACATTGACTGATTCAACAAATTACATAAATAGATGGTCCTTATGGACTAATTGTATCTCTTTTTTTTTTCGTTTTGGGTTTTTTGTTTGTTTGTTTGTTTTGAGATGATCCCTGTAGCCCAGGCTGGAGTGCAGTGGCACAGTCTTGGCTCACTGCAACCTCTGCCTCCCGGGTTTAAGCAATTCTCTGCCTCAGCCTCCTAAGTAGCTGGGATTACAGGCGTGTGCCACCACACCCGGCTAATTTTTGCATTTTTAGCAGAGACGGGGTTTCACCATGTTGGCCAGGCTGGTCTTGAACTCCTGACCTTGTGATCCACCCACCTTGGCCCCCAAAGTGTTGGGATTACAGGTGTGAGCCACTGTGCCTGGCCTATTGTATTTCTTAATAAGGATTGGTGCACGTATCCAAAGGCAAGGGGTTTTCAGGGGTTGAATTTGTTAGAAGATGTACCTAGCACCCCATCACGAACCTCCCTGCCCCATTTTGCCCTGGATATGCCTCTGAACTATGTGGTTGTTGTACTTTGCAGTGGTATTAATAGATTTGTATGATTAACCTTATTTTTCCTGGTTCTCTTTTAAATAGTCCATTTGTGTTATCAGTAACTATCTTTTAAAAGAGTATTTCTAAATCTTTCTAGGAGTTTGCAACTCATTATATTTGTTTATTAGAAATTAACCCACACTTTCTTTTGCCATAGATGGGATTGCTGTTCTTCATTTTTTCATTAATTCATCAAACAGACATGCCTATTGAATGTCATTCTTGAGATACAGAGGTTTGTGACATAGACTTTGCTCTCAGGAATCTCACAGACAAGGCAGATATGATTCACAAGACAGGGTAGGAAGTGCTGTGACAAAGGTGTGCACAAGATGTTACAGGGACATAGAGGATGAGTATCTCTTTCAGGATGGGCCAGAGTATAAAGAAAGTCTTAGCAGAGGTAATGACTGGGTTAAACTTTATTTTAGCATTAAAAATACTTAAGAAACGGACAAATCCACAATCCTGGTGAGAGACTTCAACACACCCCTCTCAATAGCAAATAGAAGAGCAGAGAAAAATCAGTAAAGATGTAGAAGATGAAACAAAACAACAACTGACATACTGAACACTGTACCTAGAATGACAGAATTCACATTATTTTCAAGTACACATAGTATACATACCAAAATTGAATAATTGTTGGCCTAAGCTATGCTTGAGGAAATTCTGTAGTTGTACAAGCATATTAGAAAAGATGTAAGAGTGAAAATCAAGGATTTAAACTTCTATCTCAGATTGAAAAAGAACAGTAAATCAAACCTAAGGAAAATAGAAGAAATAAAGAAGAGAAATAAGTGAATTAGAAAGCAAATGTATAACAAAAAAAATCAAGAAAGCCCAAAATTGGTACTATGGAAAGATTAGTAAAATTGATGAACCCTTACAAAGACTAATTTCTTGAAATAGAGAAGATATAATATTAGGAATGAAAAGGGGGATATCACTGTAGAGCCTACAAACATTAAAAGAAGGTATTTTTATCATCTTTATATCATGTATTTGATTGGATGAAATGCACAAATTTCTTGAAAAATACAACTTACCAAAGCTAACAGAAGAAAGAATAGAAAATCTAAGTAGTAAAATGTATATTAAGGAAACTTGTTTCTGTTATTTAAAACCTTTCCACAAAGAAAACTGTAGGCCCATGTAACTTGTCTGGTGAATTCCTTCAGATGTTTAAGGAAGAACTCAGATTTTTCTAGATAATAGAAAAAGGGAATAGTTCCTAACTCAAATTGAACACATAAAATGAACAGTACATTACAATGAATTGGGTTTCTTTAAAGTATGCTAGGGTAGCTTAATGTTTAAAAATCAATGTGTTTCACCACATTGACAGGAAGTAGAAAAAGTAGATGATCATTTTGATATGAATTTTTAGCTTAGCAGAAAAGGCCCTTTTCAAAGAATCTGCCTGTCCTCCAGCCTCCTCTCCTTCCCTGTCATGTATACACACACTCCTTCAGCCATATATGGAATGGTTTGCACTTCTGAGGCATGGCATGTTATTTCTTGCCTCTCTGCTTTCACATGTATCATACTACCTGCTTCTTTACTCAGTAACTTACACTTGTCCTTCAAGTCAGTTTAGGATTCTTGGAAGATGTTGCCAGCATAGTCTTTCCTCCCCCTTTTTCCATCTTTATTGAGATATAATTTACATGCAACGAAAGGCATCTGGGTAACTACCACCACCACAATCAATATGTAGAATATTTGTATTACCCTTAAAAGGGTGCTCCTTCTCTATAAATATTCCCCACATTGATCTATCTGCTTTCCGTTAGTGTAGATTAAATTCATATTTTGTGAGGTTTCATATAATCTGTATTAACTCTTTTGTGTCTGGCTTTTTTCACTCAGTATGTTTTTGAGATTCACCCATATTGTTGTTTGTATCTGTAGTTCATTTTCTCTAACTGTTGAGTTGTATATCACTATATGGATATACCACAAATTGTTTATCCAATACATATTCATGGACATTAGAGTTTCTTCTAGTTTTTATTAAGAATAAAACGGTTATAAACATTAGTATTCAAGTTTTGTGTGGACATATTTTCATTTCCCCTAAGTAAGTACATAAGAGTTAAATTGCTCAGTAATATTGTTGGTATATTCTTAACTATGTAAGAAACCACCAGACTGTTTTCCAAAGTGGTTGTACCATTGTACACACCAATCAGCAATGCATGAGTGTTCTGTTTGCTTCATATCCTCAGCAAGACTTGCTATTGTCAGTCTCTTTAATTTTAGCCATTCTGCTGGGTATTGGTGGTATGTCATGATTTTAATTGATGTTTCTCTGATGAATTATGTTGAGTATCTTTTAATGTGTTTATTGGCCATTAGTATTATCTTCCTTTGTGAAGTGTCTGTTGAAATATTTTGCCTATTGAGTTGTCTATAAGAGGTTATATATATATTTATGTATATATTCTGAATTCAAGTCCTTCATCAGATATGTGATAAAAGAAAAACTTCAGCCGAATTAAATTTAAAGGAGTTTAATTGAGCAATGAATGATTCATGAATCAGGCAGCCCCTAGAATCACAGCAGATTCAGAGACTCCAGCACAGCCACATGATGGAAGAAGATTTATAGACCAAAAAAAAAAAGGGGGAAATGAGGTACAGAAATTGGAAGTGAGGTACAGAACAGCTGGAATGGTTACAGTTCAGCCTGTGCCTTATTGGAACACAGTTTGAACACACAGCAGTGAATGAATGGTTGAAGTCTGGCCGCTGGGACTGGCCAAGACTTAGCTATTGTTACAGGTGCATACTACTAAGTTAGGTTTTCAGTTTTGTCTGCCTATGAAGCTAGGTTACAGTTCATCCACAAGGACACAAATGTAGAAGTATGGAGTCCTTCTCAGGCCATATTTAGTTTGCTTTAACGTATATATGTTGTGAATACTTTTTCTTAATCTGTGGCTTGCTTTTTCATTTTCTTAACGTTGCCTTTGGAAGAGCTGATACTTTAAATTTTATGAAGTCTGATTTATGAAATGTTTCTTTTATGGTTCATACTTTTTGTGTCCTCTGTTTCTACCCCAGGGTGGCAAAGATTCTCTCCTATGTTTTATTTTAGAAATTTTATAGTTTCAGCTAGTACATTTAGGTCTATGATTTATTTTTAGTTAATCTTTGTGTATGATGTGAGGTAAGGGTCAAGGTCCCCTTCTTCCCAACTATGGATAATTTGATTGTCCCAGCACCATTTTTTGAAGAGATTGTACTTCCTTCATTGAATTATTGTGGCACTTTTATTGAAATCAATTGACCTTGTACAAGGGGTCTTCAAAAAGTTCATAGAAAGTATATTGTGAAAAATCTATACAAGGATTTCATTTTTTTTGCACCAAAATAAACATCTACTAACTTGTTATAACATGTCTGAACAGGATCTAATTTGAGGCACTAAGAAAGAGGAGACATCAGTTTGAAAACAACCCCTATTAGAGCAACATGGATTTTGCTAAAATTGAAGAAAGAACAAACATCACATTTATGGTGAAGCTTGGATGGAAGAAGAGTGAAATCAATGATGCTTTATGAAAAGTTTATGAGGACAGTGTTCCCAAAGAAATTGGCAGTTTATAAATGGATAAATCATTTTAAGAAAGGATGAGACAATGTTGAAGATAAAGCCCATAGTGGCAGACAATCCACATCAGTTTGCAAGGAGAAAATGAATCTTGTTCATGCCCTAATTGAAGAGGATCAATGATTAACAGTACAAACAATAGTCAGCATCATAGATATCTCAATTGGTTCAGCTTACACAATTCTGACTGAAAAATTAAAGTTGAACAAACTTTATGTTGATGAATACCAAAACTCTTGTGCCCAGATGAACTGCAGACAAGAACGGAGGTTTCTTTTTATTTTTCTTTTTTTTTGGAGACAGAGTCTCACTCTGTTGCCCAGGCTGGAGTGCAGTAGTGTGATCTTGGCTCACTGCAACTTTCGCCTCCTGGTTTGGAGTAATTCTTGTGCCTCAGCCTCCTGAGTAGCTGGGACTACAGGCACCCACCACCATGCTAGGCTAATTTTTGTATTTTTGAATAGAAATGGGGTTTTGCCATGCTGGCCAGACTGGTCTTGAACTCCTGGCTTCAATTGATCTGCCTGCCTCAGCCTCCCAAAGTTCTGGGATTACAGGCATGAGCCACTGTGCCTGGCCCAAAAGCAGAGCTTTCAATGGAAATTTTTAACAAGTGGGATCTAGATCCCAAAGCATTTCTTCGAAGAACTGCAACAGATGAAACATGGCTTTACCAGTATGATCCTAAAGACAAAGCACAATCAAAGCAGTGGCTAGAAAGAGGTGGAAGTGGTCCAGTCAGAGGAGATGTGGATCAGTCAAGTGCAAAGGTCATGGCAATAGTTTTTTGGGATGCTCAAGGCATTTTGCTTGTTGACTTGCTGGAGGGCCAAAGTGCAGGGATTACAGACATGAGCCAAGTTGTACTATTCTTACTATCTTTTTAGTGCCTGTGGGATCTGTTGTGCCATCTTCTCTTTTATTCTTGTTGTGAATTTGTGTCTTCTCACTTTTTATTCTTGATCAATCTAGATAGAGATTATTATTTTTTCAAAGATCTATATTTTTGTTTCATTAAATTTTCTGTTTTCTATTTCATTTACCTAAGCTCTATATTTATTTCCTTCTACTTATTTCTGGTTTAGTTTGTTATTTTCTGACTTCATACAGTGGAAGCTTATATTATTATTGCTTTTTTTCTAAGTATTTAAAATCATAAGCTTTCCTTTGAGTACTATTTTCACTATATATCCCAATTTTTTTCTATGTTGTATTTTCATTTTCATTCAGTTTAAAATGTTTTATTCTGTGATTTTTTTTTACCCATGGGTAATTTCACATTGTGTTATTTAATTTGTAAATATTTGGAGATTTTCCAGTTATCTTTATGTAATTTTTTTCTAATTTAATTCTTTTATGACCAGAAAGCCTACTCTATAGTATTTCATTCTTCTTTTAAAAACCTACTCTATATTATTTCAGTCTTTATGGAAGGTATGCATATGGTATATCTTTTTGAATGTTTTGTGTGCATTTGAAAATAATGTATATTCTGCTGCTGATGATAGGTATTCTATGAATGTCAGATCAAGTAGGTTGATTGTGTTAAGTGTTCCATATTCCTAATGTTATTCAGTCTACAAGTTCTGTCCATTACTGAAAAAGGAGTTTTGAGGTTTCCAATTCTAATTGTAGATTTATTTCTCCTTTCAGTTGTGTCAGTTTTTGCTTCATGTATTTTGAATAGCTGTTATTGGGTACAAGCACATTCAGGATTGTTACGTTTTCTTGATTAATTTAACCCTTTATCATAATGAGATGTTCCTTTTTATCTCTGGTAATGATCCTTGACCTGACACATGTTTGTCTGAGATTGACATAGCCATTCCAGTTTTCTTATTATTAGAGTTTAAATGCTATATCTTTTTATCTCTTTTTATCTGTTTCTTTACATTCAAAATGAATTTTTTCTAGATAGAATATCGTCTGATCTTGCTTTTAAAATCTATTCTGACAACCTCTTTTCAGGGTTTAGACCCTTTGCATTTAATGTGATTTTCTGTGTAAGTTTAAATCTGCCATCTTGTTATTTTCTGTTTATCACATCTATTTTTGTTTGTTTCTTTTTCCCTCTTTTCGTTACTTTTGGGTTAATTCAGTGTTTTTTTAGGATTCCATTTCATTTTCACAATTGGTTTATTAGCTACTCCTCCTTTATCACCACCCACCATGGCTGTTGTAGGGTTTACAATATACATCTCTAACTTATCACAGTCTGTCTTCAAATATATGCTGCTTCCTGTGTAATGTATGAAACTTAACAATAGTGTACTTCCATTTGTCCCCTGGACAAATGTGCTGCTGTTGTCATATAGAGCATATTCATGAAATAGCTTCTTCAATACCCTTTTCTGCTAATTTTATCATCTCTTAAATTTCTGAGTTTGTTTCTGTTGACTCATTTTTCTCAAGGCTACTAGTCATTGTTGCTGGTTTTTCATATATCTAGTACTTTTTGATCAGATGTCAGATATTGTGACTTTTACATTGCTGCATGCTCACTTTTGTTGTATTCCTTTAAAGAGTACAGAATTTCTTTCAAGCAAGTAGTTAAGTTACTAATAATCAGTTTGACCCTTTTGAAGCTTATTTTTAATCTCTTTTAAGGTAGATCTAGAGTAGCTTTTACTCTAAGGCTGATTTAGCAATACTCCTGATGTATTTTTTTTTTAAATAGAGATAGGGTCTCATTATGTTGCCCAGGCTAGTCATGAACCCTTGGCCTCAAGCAATCCTCCCATCTTGGGCTTCCAAAGTACTGGGACCATAGGTGTAAGCTACCACATCTGGCCCTCATGTATGTTTTCTACTGAATGTCCTGTGTATTCAATGAAGTCTCTCTACTCTAGCTAGTTGTAACTTAAACATTCCCAGACCTGTGGAATTCTAGGACTGTTTGACTTACAATTCCTGGTGATTCTTATTTTTCCAGAAGTTGTTCTTGCTCAGTCTTATGGTATTTCGTTCTGCATATGTACAGATAGCTATTCAGCCAGAGATTCAAGGAACGCATATGCAGGTTTCTAAAGCTCTTCCTCTGTGTTGTCTTCCTCTCTTAAGTGCCCTGCCCTGAAAACTGCAGCATCTTGGCCTACCTGACCTCCCATCTCTTTCTTCTCAACTCACTGGGATTGCAGGCTCTGTTTGGATTTCCATTCTCTGTGCCAAAGTCTGGAAATTAATTTTAGGAAGAAAGCCTGGGTGATGGTAGGGCTCACTTTGTCTCCCTTTTATCAGATATCACAGTCCTGTACTGTCTATTTTCTACTGTCTGAAAATAGTTGCTTCCAATAGTTTTGTCCAGTTTTCTAGTTGTTTATAATAGGAGTATAAATTTTGACCCTCTTATTCCCTGTTGGTCAGAAATGACATCACAGCTTTTGTATTTTCTCCTATCTCCCCATAAAAATAGACAGTTCAAACAGGGCTGCAAAACCAAAGACCCATGGATAACATCTACAACTAAAACTAGATGACTAGGCATTCCTGTGACCTTCCAAATATGAGTGGATGGAGCTACATCACTGACAGCTTGAAGACCTGTGTGATGTCGTTATCTATACGGGGGGGAAAAAAAGGCATTTCAGCTTCTGATACCTTGAGATTGCTAAGGCTATATCAAAAGGACAGGGCCAACTTGAAAAGGTCCTCATAGCTAAAGAGAGGCAATGTAAAGATCAGTAACTGCAAAGGATCGAAACAGCAAATATATTTAAATTTGTAAGTTTCAAATGACACTTTTTTAAAAAAAAACCCTCATTGTAATCTTTGGAGGATACTAGAGAACCACCTCATTATTTTGAAAGCTGACAAATACAAGAAATGAGGGTGAGCATTTATCCCACCTTTCCTATTTTTACCTAGTATAACAAAATAGTTGATGAGGCAAAATTCCTCTTTCGAGATGTATTCTGTCTCATAAAGAATGAATGAAAAAATTTAAAAATTACCATTTTGCAACCCCAGATGAATTAATGAGTGTAGGCAGTGATTATCAATGGCTGCTAATATCACAAAAAGAATAAAAAACCATTATGTACCTACTATGGAATCGAATACCTGTCACTTAGGAAGTAATCTTATAAAATCTGAGAAAAAAAAATCCAACCTGAATCTGCAAGCTTCTTGATCTACCGCTTTTTGAGAATTATAAGACAGAGTTACATATTAAAACACACCATGGAGATACAAAAACAAAATTTAGTGAGGGGACTTTAGGGCAGGGGTTAGCACACAATGCGTGGGACACATCTGGCCCATTGCCTGTTTTTGTATGGCTTTTGAGCCAAGAATAGTTTTTACATTATTAAATGGTTGAAAAAATTCAGAATATTTTGTGAATTATGAAAATTGCAGCGTTCATAAAAAGGTTTTGTTGGAACACAGCCATGCTTATTTGTTTATGTATTGTTTGTGGCTGCTTTCGTGCTACAAGGGCAGAGTTGAGTAGGTGCAGGAGTCTGTACAATCAAAATGCCAAAATATTTACTCACTGGCCCTTAACAACAAAAAAAATTGTCAATCCCTAATCTAGAGGACTAATGGCCTGGTTTCTTTAACAAAAAAATTCCAAGAAAAAGGATGAAAGGAAAAATCAGTAAGACTTAAGAGACATGACAAGTATCACAATATGTGGACCTTATTTGGATCCCTATTCAAAACACCATGTTTAAAAAACCAAGATCATCAGGAAAATGTGAACAGCAACAAAGATACTTGATGATATTACGGAATTGTTAATTTTTAAAGGTGTGATAATGATTTTGTGATTATATTTTAAGAGGTCCTTAGCTTTTTATTTTTATTATTTATTTATTTATTTTATTTTTTTTTTTGGAGACAGAGTCTCGCTCTGTCGCCCAGGCTAGAGTGCAGTGGCGTGTTCTCAGCTCACTGCAAGCTCTGCCTGCCAGGTTCACGCCATCCTCCTGCCTCAGCCTCCTGAGTAGCTGGGACTACAGGCGCCCGCCACCATGCCCAACTAATTTTTTGTATTTTTTAGTAAAGACGGGGTTTCACCATGAAAGCCAGGATGGTCTTGATCTCCTGACCTCGTGGTCCACCTGCCTCGGCCTCCCAAAGTGCTGGGATTACAGGTGTGAGCCACTGCGCCTGGCTGGTCCTTGGCTTTTTAGAGATAGATTCTGAAATATATACAGATACTTGGATTTGCTTCAGAATAATCCAGGGAGATGGGAGTTGTTGAGTGTGGATGTAAGTAAAATAAGATTGGCCATGTTATGAAAATTGTGACTGGAAGATGGGTGCGTAGTGTGATGGCTCATCACACTGTTTTACTATTTTCTCTAGCTTTGAATGTTTGAAAACTTAGAGTTTAAAATAAATCAGTTATTTCAAAATAAGTTTAAAAAATCAGTTCAAAGGCCATTTCCTCTGGACCTAGTAATTGAATGCCTCTTTTCTGTGCTTCTGTAGAATCATGGAACTTACCACATTGATTATTGTTGGGTGGTTATTTGTTTAACTTCCCCTAGACTCCCAGCTCCTTGAGGGCAGGGACCATTTGACTTTGATCTGTAGTGTCAGTTATAGGACATAGCACGTAATCTGGTACATACTTCTGGAACAAATATAATAACTTTTCATGGCATATCATGATTTCTAGATGATAAAAATTGTAAAACACAGTCGTCCTTTTTTGTTGACATTATTTATTTTTATTTACTTTACTCCTTCCAAATAGCCTATAGTTCAGCATGAAACCAAACTGGTTATATAGCTTTTATAAATCAGGAAAAATATAACTCCAAAATAAAGTAAGTTATAGAATGGGCATCTTAGTTTGAGCTATCTCAGTCTGAGATATGATATTAAGTGTGGAATAGGTACTTTGAAGTAAGGCAGGTATTGCTTCTCCAAGCACAATATTGTATGTTTCTGAATATTGCAGAAATATCCATATTCAAATCTAAGACCAAAATCTAATCAAACCAGCTACAAATTATTTCTATCTATCTTATTATTCCCTTTTGTTAGCTTAATACCTTAATTATTAGCTTAACCTAACAACTGGTTATGATTATTGAAAATTTAATTTTTGCCTGGGTGTGGTGGCTTATGCCTATAATCCCATCACTTTGGGAGGCCCAGGCTGGAAGATTGCTTGCGACCAGCCCGTACAACATAGCGAGACCCCATCTCTACAAAAAAATTTAAAATTAGCTGGGCATGGTGGTGCATGCCTATGGTCCCAGCTATTCAGGAGGCTGAGGTGGGAGGACTGCTTGAGCCCAGGAGATCAAGGCTGCAGTGAGTTATCATCGTACCACTGCACTCCATCCTTGGCAACAGAGCAAAACTCTGTCTCCAGAAAAAAGAAAATGTAATTTTAGAAATCCCAATCTTTTGCTTTGTTTTCCCTCTTCACATCGTTGTCTTCATATTTGTAGCAATTCTCTTATCATGGATTTTTTTTTTTCTGTTTTCAGTGAAATTTGATCCTCACAAACTGAGCTCCAGGATAGTGAGTCAGAAACACAACCCTGAAGCTTAAGCCAGGGTCTAATTTTTAAATAAATCACCTGGCACCAAAACACCTTCTCACATTCATCAAGAAGCGCTTTTGGTGTTCTGGGCCTGGGGACGAGGTGCACTGTGAAATGATCAGTCATCCAGTTACTTTTGTAACCTGATTCTCCTATGCTGTTTTCCTCTGAATCAGGGTTTTAACAGCAGGTGTGAACATTTAGAATTGTCATTTTCATAAAAATAAAATGCTGTTTTCTTCAAAGCATTTACAAAATCATAATGGGAAGATTTTAAAGCTAATTTACCTAGCTAAATGCCAGTGACACCCCATGATATTCTCCTGGCTTCCTTGCCCAAACTGGTAGGTGAAGTCAGAACTGAGGGGTGTCTGAGGTACTAATGGAACTAGCTCAATGGCAGAGTCAACAGCAAGGGAAACAGACTCAGTAGGGTTAAGGGCACAGGTAGTTTTTCCCACCATCTTTGGACTTCAGATTGTGTACATCTTATCTGTGCATCCATTTTCTTAGGTACTTTTCTCCCTTTCGTTGATGGCTTCCTTTTTATCTCTATGGCAAGTCTTCATTATGTATGATAGCAGGGGCCACGGAGTGCATGGATGACCACAATTTAGAAACGCACTTCATAATTTATAATGCATGAAAAGCAAAGCTTGAGATTCTCTTTATATGAAGTGTAGTGTGGCGCCCCATCTTGGTGGCATTCTGGCCACTGCCCCTCAGGCTGTGCCAGAACTGGGCAAATTAAGGGATGGGTCAAAGTGTGTTAGGAGGAAATGGGGGTGTCAACCATGTGCCAGAAATTGGCCCTCTTTCATTCAACAGACATGCTGGGCACAAAGATGAATGTACCCCAGTTCTTGATCTCATGAAGTTTGCAGTGAGGTGTAGGGGCTACAAAAAGAAGACAGGGTAGAAGCAACAGCCAGCCATTGCAGGGCACAGCACCTCCTGCTGCTAGACTCCATGCAGATTTGACAGCCCTTATTTCTACTCCATCCCTGTGCATCACCTGACACCATTGACAAGTTTCTCTGCTGGAAACTCTCACCCCTCTTAGCTTCCACATTACTCTGTCCTGGACATTAATTCTTGGTATTGGCTCTTGTTCTTTTGTCTGATGGTAAATTAGCATTTCCTAGAGTTCTCCACTCTTTTTTTTTTTTTTTTAATACTTTAAGTTTTAGGGTACATGTGCACATTGTGCAGGTTAGTTACATATGTATACATGTGCCATGCTGGTGAGCTGCACCCACTAACTCGTCATCTAGCATTAGGTATATCTCCCGATGCTATCCCTCCCCCCTCGCCCCACCCCACAACAGTCCCCAGAGTGTGATATTCCCCTTCCTGTGTCCATGTGATCTTATTGTTCAGTTCCCACCTATGAGTGAGAATATGCGGTGTTTGGTTTTTTGTTCTTGCGATAGTTTACTGAGAATGATGATTTCCAATTTCATCCATGTCCCTACAAAGGACATGAACTCATCATTTTTTATGGCTGCATAGTATTCCATGGTGTATATGTGCCACATTTTCTTAATCCAATCTATCATTGTTGGACATTTGGGTTGGTTCCAAGTCTTTGCTATTGTGAATAGTGCCACAGTAAACATACGTGTGCATGTGTCTTTATAGCAGCATGATTTATAGTCCTTTGGGTATATACCCAGTAATGGGATGGCTGGGTCAAATGGTATTTCCAGTTCTAGATCCCTGAGGAATCGCCACACTGACTTCCACAATGGTTGAACTAGTTTACAGTCCCACCAACAGTGTAAAAGTGTTCCTATTTCTCCACATCCTCTCCAGCACTAGCAAGGCAGGCCAACGTTCAGATTCAGGAAATACAGAGAATGCCACAAAGATACTCCTCGAGAAGAGCAACTCCAAGGCACATAATTGTCAGATTCACCAAAGTTGAAATAAAGGAAAAAATGTTAAGGGCAGCCAGAGAGAAAGGTCGGGTTACCCTCAAAGGGAAGCCCATCAGACTAACAGCGGATCTCTCGGCAGAAACCCTACAAGCCAGAAGAGAGTGGGGGCCAATATTCAACATTCTTAAAGAAAAGAATTTTCAACCCAGAATTTCATATCCAGCCAAACTAAGCTTCATAAGTGAAGGAGAAATTAAATACTTTACAGACAAGCAAATGCTGAGAGATTTTGTCACCACCAGGCCTGCCTTACAAGAGCTCCTGAAGGAAGCACTAAACATGGAAAGGAACAACCGGTACCAGCTGCTGCAAAATCATGCCAAAATGTAAAGACCATTGAGACTAGGAAGAAACTGCATCAACTAACGAGCAAAATAACCAGCTAACATCATAATGACAGGATCAAATTCACACATAACAATATTAACTTTAAATGTAAATGGACTAAATGCTCCAATTAAAAGACACAGACTGGCAAATTGGATAAAGAGTCAAGACCCATCAGTGTGCTGTATTCAGGAAACCCATCTCACGTGCAGAGACACACACAGGCTCAAAATAAAAGGATGGAGGAAGATCTACCAAGCAAATGGAAAACAAAAAAAGGCAGGGGTTGCAATCCTAGTCTCTGATAAAACAGACTTTAAACCAACAAAGATCAAAAGAGACAAAGAAGGCCATTACATAATGGTAAAGAGATCAATTCAACAAGAAGAGCTAACTATCCTAAATATATATGCACCCAATACAGGAGCACCCAGATTGATAAAGCAAGTCCTGAGTGACCTACAAAGAGACTTAGACTCCCACACATTAATAATGGGAGACTTTAACACCCCAATGTCAACATTAGACAGATCAATGAGACAGAAAGTCAACAAGGATACCCAGGAATTGAACTCAGCTCTGCACCAAGCGGACCTAATAGACATCTACAGAACTCTCCACCCCAAATCAACAGAATATACATTTTTTTCAGCACCACACCACACCTATTACAAAATTGACCACATACTGGGAAGTAAAGCTCTCCTCAGCAAATGTAAAAGAACAGAAATTATAACAAACTATCTCTCAGACCACAGTGCAATCAAACTAGAACTCAGGATTAAGAATCTCACTCAAAACCGCTCAACTACATGGAAACTGAACAACCTGCTCCTGAATGACTACTGGGTACATAACGAAATGAAGGCAGAAATAAAGATGTTCTTTGAAACCAACGAGAACAAAGACACAACATACCAGAATCTCTGGGACGCATTCAAAGCAGTGTGTAGAGGGAAATTTATAGCACTAAATGCCCACAAGAGAAAGCAGGAAAGATCCAAAATTGACACCCTAACATCACAATTAAAAGAACTAGAGAAGCAAGAGCAAACACATTCAAAAGCTAGCAGAAGGCAAGAAATAACTAAAATCAGAGCAGAACTGAAGGAAATAGAGATACAAAAAACCCTTCAAAAAATTAATCCAGGAGCTGGTTTTTTGAAAGGATCAACAAAATTGATAGACCGCTAGCAAGACTAATAAAAAAAGAGAGAAGAATCAAATAGACACAATAAAAAATGATAAAGGGGATATCACCACTGATCCCACAGAAATACAAACTACCATCAGGGAATACTACAATCACCTCTACGCAAATAAACTAGAAAATCTACAAGAAATGGATAAATTCCTCGACACATACACTCTCCCAAGACTAAACCAGGAAGAAGTTGAATCTCTGAATAGACCAGTAACAGGAGCTGAAATTGTGGCAATAATCAATAGCTTACCAACCAAAAAGAGTCCAGGACCAGATGGATTCACAGCCGAATTCTACCAGAGGTACAAGGAGGAACTGGTACCATTCCTTCTGAAACTATTCCAATCAATACAAAAAGAGGGAATCCTCCCTAACTCATTTTATGAAGCCAGCATCATTCTGATACCAAAGCCAGGCAGAGACACAACAAAAAAGAGAATTTTAGACCAATATCTTTGATGAACATTGATGCAGAAATCCTCAATAAAATACTGGCAAAACGAATCCAGCAGCACATCAAAAAGCTTATCCACCATGATCAAGTGGGCTTCATCCCTGGGATGCAAGGCTGGTTCAATATACGCAAATCAATAAATGTAATCCAGCACATAAACAGAGCCAAAGACAAAAACCACATGATTATCTCAATAGATGCAGAAAAAGCCTTTGACAAAATTCACCAACCCTTCATGCTAAAAACTCTCAATAAATTAGGTATTGATGGGACGTATTTCAAAATGATAAGAGCTATCTATGACAAACCCACAGCCAATATCATACTGAATGGGCAAAAACTGGAAGCATTCCCTTTGAAAACTGGCACAAGACAGGGATGCCCTCTCTCACCACTCCTATTCAACATAGTGTTGGAAGTTCTGGCCAGGGCAATTAGTCAGGAGAAGGAAATAAAGGGTATTCAATTAGGAAAAGAGGAAGCCAAATTGTCCCTGTTTGCAGACGACGTGATTGTATATCTAGAAAACCCCATTGTCTCAGCCCAAAATCTCTTTAAGCTGATAAGCAACTTCAGCAAAGTCTCAGGATACAAAATCAGTGTGCAAAAATCACATGCATTCTTATACACCAGCAACAGACAAACAGCCAAATCATGAGTGAACTCCATTCACAATTGCTTCAAAGAGAATAAAATACCTAGGAATCCAACTTACAAGGGATGTGAAGGACCTCTTCAAGGAGAAGTACAAACCACTGCTCAAGGAAATAAAAGAGGATACAAACAAATGGAAGAACATTCCATGCTCATGGGTAGGAAGAATCAATATCGTGAAAATGGCCATACTGCCCAAGGTAATTTACAGATTCAATGCCATCCCCATCAAGCTACCAATGACTTTCTTCACAGAATTGGAAAAAACTACTTTAAAGTTCATATGGAACCAAAAAAGAGCCTGCATCGCCAAGTCAATCCTAAGCCAAAAGAACAAAGCTGGAGGCATCACACTACCTGACTTCAAACTATACTACAAGGCTACAGTAACCAAAACAGCATGGGACTGGTACCAAAACAGAGATATAGATCAATGGAACAGAACAGAGCCCTCAGAGATAACACCGCATATCTACAACTATCTGATCTTTGACAAACCTGAGAAAAACAAGCAATGGGGAAAGGATTCCCTATTTAATAAATGGTGCTGGGAAAACTGGCTAGCCATATGTAGAAAGCTGAAACTGGATCCCTTCCTTACACCTTATACAAAAATCAATTCAAGATGGATTAAAGACTTAAACGTTAGACCTAAAACCATAAAAACCCTGGAAGAAAACCTAGGCATTACCATTCAGGACATAGGCATGGGCAAGGACTTCATGTCTAAAACACCAAAAGCAATGGCAACAAAAGACAAAATTGACAAATGGGATCTAATTAAACTAAAGAGTTCTCCACTCTTTCCTGTCCCACCCAGTACTATCAATTCTGAACCTCAATTTTTCTGCCTCAGCACTTTCCTGGGTTATGACAGACTCTCATCAATTAACAGTAACTTCCTTTGGCAGTGATTCTTGACCTGGTGGGGGAACAGTATCCAAAGCTCCAGTAGCAGAAGCTCCCTTGGTGATTTTGACACATTTCCCCCTCCTCTTGGACAGATTCTGTGTCTTATATTTTAACCCCTAGCACAGTGGCCAGCTGTGGTAGGAGCTCAGTGATGTTAACCGCATGTTTAATGGCAGTAAGCACAGCATGCTATGAGAACACAGAGCAGGTCACTTAATTGTGAGAAAGTCAGGAAAAGCTACAGAGAAGCTATCAGTTGAGCCAAACTGAATTCTCTAGATGGATAAGCCTTAAAAGAGATTCAAACAGGTGGATTTTCACAGCAAGGCAGATCAGTTATTGAAATTTATGTATGGCAAGTGGTTAGACACACAGGCTTCTTTACTAAATCTCAGCATTAGGAGGAAAGAACTCTTTCTGAATTTTGAACATTAGCATAAGTCAAATAAAAGTAAGATGTTCTATATCATTGGATAGGTAATAGATTTGTGGTCATCACTGCTCCCAAGAAATGATACTGGTCCTGGCATGAAATAGTCTAATTAATTTTTAAAAATAATTTCAATTTTCATTTTAGATTCAGGGGTACATGTGCAGGTTTGTTACCTGAATATATTGTGTGATGCTGAGGTTTGGGATACAAATGATCCCATCACCCAGGTAGTGAGCATAGTACCCAATAGATAGTCTTTTAATTAATTGTAATAAAGTGTTTCATTTATTCACTCAATAAACTTATTGAAGCACCTTCTAGTGTTAAGCACTATAATAGGTGCTATATATTCATTAGCGAGCAAAACGAACTTAGCCCCTTCCCTCTTGGGGCTTATAGTCTAGTGAAAAAATAGACATTAAGGAAATCACTACAAACACACAGACACAATGATAAATGCTATGAGAGAAAGTGGAATGTTGAGGGAAAGTACAACAGAGTCACCTAGTTGAGAGACTAGGCAAGAAGTGAACAATGATCAGAGGTTAATTAGGCAAAAAAATTAGGGGGAAGAGGCAGAAGAGATATAGGAAACTCCATGGCAAAATGGTTTGAACAAATCGATGAAGAGCCATAAAGCAGCTCAACTAAGAGTTGCTGTTGAGGAGGAAGGGCACACCCCTTCTCAGGTCCTGCTTCTGCCTCTTCCTTGAGTTCATGCCATATTGTAGTGGGTATCCCCCCCTGAATCAACTCCAGCGACAGTGGTCTCCTTGCAGGTTCCCAGACAGGCTATGCTGTTTCATGCCTTTTTAAAATTGTGGTAAAAAACATGCGACATGAAATTTACCCTCATTTTAAGTGATCAGTACAGTATTGTTAACTATAAGCACAGTGTTGTCCACAAATTTAAGCATTATGCATAAGCATTAAGCATAACATTAAACAATAATGTTGTCCAGCACAAATGTTTGCACAAATTTTCTCATACATGCATAAGAAGCTTACACAGCTCAAAAATCAGAGCAATGTAAAAAGGCATAGAGAAAGCTTTTATTCCCACCCCTGCCACATCTGCACTGTTCGCCTTCACTCCCTGCAGATAATATTTTTATTAGCCTCTTGTGTATTAGTCCTCTAGTTCTTTATGTAAAGAATATACATTGTTATGTTCTCTCTTATTAAAAAAGTAGCATATGATGGACATTGTTATGTAGCTTGCTTTTTTGCCTAACAATACGTGTTAGAGTTCAGTTTATATAGAGCTGCACTGTCCAAGATCAGTAGGAGTCATATGTGGCTGTGGAGCACTTGAAATGTGGCAGGTGCAACTAAAAATGGAATTTTAAATTTAATTTAATTTAAATTTAGATTTAAAAAATGAAAGCAGTGAACAATATTTTCCTATTAATCTCAACTTTATTGTTTTAGTAGGACTACATTTCACTTTAACTATTGAAAATCCAACATCCAAATTGAGATGTGGTATAAGTGTAAAACACACACTGGATTTCAAAGACAGTATAAAAAAAATGCAAACTGTCTCATTAATGTTTTACATCATTTACAATCTAGTCATCAATTTGTTCAGTGTTTTTTGATATAGTTGGCTAAATAAAATATTAAAACCAATTCTGCCAATTTATCTTTTTTTAAAAGTGATACTAGAGAACTTTAAATTACATATGTGGCTCAAATTCTATTTCTTTTTTTTTTTTTTTTTTTGAGACAGAGGCTTGCTCTTTCGCCCAGGCCAGACTGCAGTGGCGCTATCTTGGCTCACTGCAAGCTTTGCCTCCCGGGTTCACGCCTTTCTCCTACCTCAGCCTCCTGAGTAGCTGGGACTACAGGCACCCGCCACCGCACCCAGCTAATTTTTTGTATTTTTACTAGAGACAGGGTTTCTCTGTGTTAGCCAAGATGGTCTCGATCTCTGACCTCGTGATCCGCCTGCCTCGGCCTCCCAAAGTGCTGGAATTACAGGCGTGAGCCACCGCACCTGGCTCAAATTCTATTTCTACTGGACAGTGCTGATACATAACATTTACTACTTTTTACACCTGTATAGTATTCCATTGTATAGAGTACCACAATTTACTTAACCAATCCACCTTTGATGCATACCTGAGTTGTTTCCAATCTTATGTTTAAAAAAAAAAAAAAGCAGAAATGCTTACCCTTCTCCATGCATCACTTCATACATGGGCAGGTTGATCTGTAAAATGAATTCCCGGCATTGGGATTGCTGGGTCCAAATGTAAATACATTTGTAATTTTGATATTGCCAAATTGCCCTCCGTAAGCATTGTACCAATTTGCACTCCCACCAGCAATGTGTGTGAGTGCCAGTTTCCTCATACATTGCCACTTGAAACTACAATTAACTGTATTTTTGGATGTAATAATCAACATTTCTTTTTGCTAATTCTGAGAGGGTTTTAAGAAGAAATCATAAATGGTTTGTCTAACTTCTCTTTCCATTTGGAAAAAAAACCTATTGATAAAATGCTTAGAGGTAGCATTTCAGAACTGATTTTTTTTTTTTTTTTTTTTTTTTTTGAGACGGAATCTCACTCTGTCCCCCAGACTGGAGTGCAGTGGCGCAATCTCGGCTCACTGCAACCTCCGCCTCCTGGGTTCATGCCATTCTCCTGCGTCAGCCTCTGGAGTAGCTAGGACTACAGGCACCTGCCACCACGCCCGGCTACTTTTTTTTTTTTTTTTTTTTTTTTAAGGAAAGCATCAAAGAATTAACCCTCACTGTTTCCCAGGTTGTAAATTTCTATGAAAGTTGCAACTTTCACCATACTGAGATTTAGGCAGAGGGATTTTGTGAGGGTTCAAATGGATAAGGGACTACATTTTCTTCTGTTTTTTTAAGAGTTGGGGATTTCTCAGATTACTCCAGCAGCCTTCCCTGGCTGTGGTGGACTAACATTTAAGGGTAGACTGGCAGTTTCCATGCAATTTTTGCATATTGTCAGTTAATCTCCTGGATTGGTTTTACTGTATGCTAAACATATTCTAACTCAATGGGTTGCTTAACTGAGGAAACCAGTGACAACATAACTGGCGCTTAAGAGCTGCCATAATCATCAGATAGTTCATTCCACTGACTTTATTAGTAAATGGCAGAGAAAGTTTATCTTTTCACTTTATGGATCCAACTGTTGTCCCTCATTTGAGACTTGTGTGCCCTCTACTGCCCTCTTTGCCTTTTTTTGTTTTTTCAGATGGAAATGAAGAAGTAAACATTCAGTATCCAAAAGAAAACTGCTTTAAATTTTCCATTCATAGGAATATGAAAATAAGATTCTTATGAAGAGAATTCTTACTATGGAGTTAGAGACGTGCCAGATAAGTTAATAAATCAGTATAATGGAACCCTTGATTTGGGGGAATATAAAATATTTTGGCAAATCCTAGAGGCATAGAAAGGCATTTTATATCAAATATGACTATGGACACTTAACTATCTTTAGTATTGTATTGATTTTCAACATAAAAAGATTAAGAAAAAAAAGTTGTCTTACGTTCCTCATGCAGGAAAAGCACCAGGACATTGAGGACTTAGTATAAGGGTCATCCTTGGCAACTGGTTTTATTGAGTCATTGCTACTATGTTTGAGTTACACAATAAACAAATATACAACTTTCTAACAGGAAGTAGCTGCAGCCATAGCTATTCTTCATATTTTTGTTTCTGTTGCTAATTTTTGCCTAATTTTGTTTCAGGAAGGGTTTTCACTCATTGGTAGCAAGGACTGGTTGAAGATTGTAAGACGCGTGGATTGTCTGTTGTTTGGAACAACGATAAAGGCAAGATTTAAGCTAATGATCACACTCTTCTCATCTTCTATGTGTGTATGTTGGGGAGGTATTTGGGGGCATCTCTTGGTAGGTGACGGGTACTGGGAAGAATACAAATGTTTAAGAAAGGTTTGTACTATGAGAAAAACATGAAACAAGGACCGTAGAGAGGCAGAAGCCTCATTAGCAGGAGGACATTGCTAAGGAGTCAGGCTCTGATGGATTTCTCAGTATGCGTCTGATGGAGCTGTGCAGCCATTCTCTATCCCCCAAGCACAAATTGGAAGTGGAGTACATCATTTGTCTTGCGATTTGGATGTTTAAAAAGGTGTATACCTTCAAATGATTCAGTGAATATGTATTTTCATTTTTTCTTTTTAATATTAAAAAATTTCCCTTTTACTTGCTTTCTAGCTGTATTAAGTGTAAAGAATGATCTTCATCAAAGAAACAGTCATATTAATCACCTGGATCATTTTCCTTCAAAAATAACTATGAAAACCAATCTGTTAACATTCATGGAGTAGATAATATTGAAATTTAAGTGAAAGATACTAATTTTTGAGGGACTCAGACTCTGAGAGTTAGACGATTATCTAGTGGAGGGGTATTAACCTGGGGTACACAGACCCCAGAGTCTCCATAGAATTCAGGGGGTCCATGAACTTCCATGGATTTTCACTGACCTCTAATTGAAATGTATCATTTCCTTCCACTATGAATGTAAGGCCAGCAGACCACAGTAGTTTTAGACCTTCTCACTAATGGAAATCACAGATACTTTCATATCACATTTCAGTTGTTTCTGACATCTCAAATGTTTATGCTCATCACTACCTCAAAATTAAGGTGTTTATTAGTCCTCCTACTAGATCTTTATTATCAAATACATTAATAAAGAAGCATATATATTAGTTCACAAATTAGTGCCTTAATATTGTAATAAACTAATTCAGTATAATTGGTTTCTTTGTAAACTTGTGCATTTTGTGTGATTAAAAACATTGTTCTGAGAAGGGGTCCACTGGCTTACCAGATTGCCACAGGGATCTGGAGCACACACTCCAAAATGTTCAAGAACCCCTGTTTTGTTTCCCATATAAGGAAATTGACTTAAGCCAATAGCCCAGGTTATGACTAGCTATCAGAGAACCAGGCTGCCCTTTGATCTTTGGACTTAGCTCCAGACCATATCATACTGAATGAATGTATAGATCTCTGAAAAAGTTATACATGCTGTATGTTTGATACTTGAGTTTTAAATTTTTCTAAATATACATTATTACTAAAATTTTAAACTAACTACAAAGAGCAAAATAAAAATCAACCATAATTTGACCACTCAAAAATAATTATTAATATTCTGAAGGTTTTACTAAGCATATATACTATATCAGTTAGGATTGTGTTCAGATGCATGTAAGAGAAAAATCAGCTATAATGGCCTAAAAAACCAGATTTCTTTTTTTTTCACTTAAAAGGAAATCTAGGCTGGGCATGGTGGCTCATGCCTGTAATCCCAGCATTTTAGGAGGCCAAGACAGGTGGATCACCTGAAATCAGGAGTTCAAGACCAGCCTGGACAACGTGATGAAACCCCATCTTTTTTAAAAATACAAAAATTAGCCAGGGGTGGTGGTAGATGCCTGTAATCCCAGCTACTTGGGAAGCTGAGGCAAGATAATTGCTTGAACCTAGGAGGCAGAGGTTGCAGTGAGCCAAGATCGCACCACTACACTCCAGCATGGGCAACAGAGCAAGACTCTGTCTCAAAAAAAAAAAAAGAAAAAAAAAAAGAAAAAAGAAATCTAGAGACAGGCCCTTGCTAGCATCCTCCAGCAACTCAACAGTGTCCAGGTTGGCATCTCGGTAATTCTCCTGGCCTCTCCCTCTTGGGTGCAGAATGGTTGCTGCAGCTCTACTATATTTCCATTGAAGGAAGGTCAGCATCACCTGGCCCTTTTATAAGGAAAGCATCCACTTTCCTATATAGCTCTCCACCACCCACAACCCCCAGAAGATGCCTGCTTATGTGTCATGGACCAGTGTAATATGGCTGTCCCAAACTGCAAAGATTAGGAAAATGAGCGTTTGACATTTCCAGCCCCTCTTGTGGATTGGCTTGTGCTAATTGAGTGTCCACCATATAGATAATTTATAAAATGGGGATTGTAGTACTTTGTATCCTGTTCTTTTTATCAGGAACATTATACCAAGTCATTAGATAGTCTCTGAAAGAAAACACTCATAATGGCTTGGTAGCGTGTTATTGTTTGGATGCACTAGGGTTTAACTCATCGCTAATTTTTCACTATTATAAAAATGTTCTGATTTTCATAAGGATTTATTTACAGGGTTCTTGAGATAGAAGTCCTAGAAGTATACACTTTTTTTTTTTTTTTTATATAAATTTGCCCTCCCGATAGGTTGTCCCTGCTTCTACTCTACTGGCAATGTGTAAGAATGTTCATTTATCCAAATCCTCTCCAACGTGGTGATACAATTTAAATTCAAAAACTAGTTTCTAATTTGACAGGCAGAAATAAGCATATTCCTTTAATTTGCATTTCTTGTTAAAACTGATGAGAATGGTAATGTAACATTTGTATTTCTTCTGTTAATCACCTGCTTCTTTTGCCTAGTTTTTCTCTTCTTCAAACTACGTATAATTTGTGTAGCTATATAATTTTATATATTTGTGTATATACTGTATGCACAGACTTTTTAAACATTTAAAACTAGGAACCATTTGCCTGTTATTGTCAATGGTTTTTTTGTTTGTTTGTTTTTGAGACGGAGTTTCACTCTTGTTGCCCAGGCTGGAGTGCAATGGCGTGATCTCAGCTCACTGCAACCTCCTCCCGTGTTCAAGCGATTCTCCTGCCTCAGCCTCCTGAGTAGCTGGGATTACAGGCATGCGCTACCACACCCAGCTAATTTTGTATTTTTAGGAGAGACGGGGTTTCTCCATGTTGGTCAGGCTGGTCTCAAACTCCCGACCTCAGGTGATCTGCCCGCCTCGGCCTCCCAAAGTGCTGGGATTACAGGTGTGAGCCATCACACCTAGCTGTAAATGGTATTCTTTATCCCAAATATATTTTCAGCCAGTTATTATTGGATTTTTTTCTGAATTAGTTTAAATTTAACCTCCTTACTAAACTTTTATTAACTGTTTTTTAATTTCTAGGAAAGTGTTTTTATAATTTACAGACAATTGTATTTCTTTCCAATGATTTATATTTTTTATTACTTTCCCCACCTTACCGAATTGTCTAGATCTCCCAGAATGCTGTAATCATAGGGTTATAGTATCTTTGACGTCTTCCTGACTTGCATGGGAAGTAGTGTTTAGACATTAACTCCATCTCTGTCTGTTAACTGGCTTTTTTTTTTTTTTTTTTTTTTTTGAGAAGAGTCTAACTCTGTCCCCCAGGCTGGAGCAGTGTTGTGATCTCTGCTCACTGCAGCCTCAACCTTCAGGGCTCAAACAATCCTTCCGCCCCATCCTTCTGAGTAGTTAGGACCACAGGAGTGTGCCACCATGCCTAGCCAATGGTTCGATATTCTTTATCATGTAAGGCAGATTCTCTTTCAATTATAGTTTATTTAATACCTTTATCAGGATTACATATCATTTTATCAAATGCTTTTTGACAAGTATTAAGATCATGGGTTTCTTCCTCCTTTGATCTATTGACTTGATGTAATATGTTGACATTGAACCAACAGATTCTTCTTTTGCCCTACCTGGCAAAGAGTATCTGATGCATCTTGGCTTGGATAACTTTTAGTTTTCAAGTATTATGCCAAAACACTATTATTTAATTGACAAATGGAAGAAGTAAAATTTTCATTCCTTTTATAGCAATTTAATATAAATTCTATGAGTAGTAAACATTATATTTCTTTTCTCTCTGAACTGAAATAAGTAGGTTGAATAAATTCTGCCTACTTATAAGGTAGGCTTCCCTTTTTCCAGCAATTCTGATCAAATAGGGGGCTAACAATAGACATATAATTCCTTATCTTAAGGGCACTTTGGCTCAAAGAAGGAAACCCAAACAACCACTGTCCTCTTTACTTCTCACTCCCAGTAACTCACGGAGGAGTTTTTAAAATGATTTCGTCTAGCCAAGGCTTTGAGTATTGCCTTTTAGTTTCAAAGCAAAGAATCAAATAAAATGCTGAAGTACCTTCTCTGTTTAAGACCTTTTTCTGTACTTCCACATTTTCTATAGTAGAGGAATTCACAATTAGCGGTGGGGAAAACTGCTTCAGTTGGGGTCTTAGTGGTAATGGAAAATTTCTTACCAACCTGGGTGATGAATCTAAAACCAGCGGGAAAACCCACTGGGTTTTTATGAGGCCTCTAGTGTCTCCTTGGCTCTCTATGTCATGTTAACTGGGCTCCACATTTTCCAGGGCATGACGATGCCTTGGAACACCTACTGTGGAGCCTGTGGCCTAAGCATCTCTGTATGGAGATGCTATTCATACCTGTGAGCCAGCACTTAGTAGGCCTAATCCCTTTGTGAGTACACGTAGATAAGTGAAAAGAGATGAGCACTTATCCTTAAATTTGCTTCCTTGAGTCTGTATTAGTTGTTATAACTTGAAATTAAGTGTTCTGAAGGAGGGCAGGTGCAACTTTACATGTAAGCCACCACTTCAGATACAGTAATTATGAGCCCATCTTCTTAGGTGATAGAAACTAGAGACTGTATATTTGGCGAAGTTCGTGATTGTTGGTATACTTGAGAACTTTTCACTTCACAGCAAGAAGCTCTTTCTGACTTTTAATTATGGCATAAAAATAAATCTCATCAAGACTTTCAATCTTTAGCAGTCCCTCTGGTTAACCCAGTGGAAAGTTTTCCATTATGGTAACCTATGGCATTGAGGATATAGGATGGAGATACAACTAATTTTCAGATTTTTCCTGATGTACCTGGGTTTTATCTTGGATCCACATGCATTGAAGTGGTATTTCTGGCTTTAGATGATAAGCTCAAATTCTAAAATTTTTACAGAAGCAAACATGGAACAAGACTTCAGTTAGGCTATTAGACATGTAAACTACTCTGTTGCTTTTTTGGAATTATACTCCAAAAAAAACCCTAGCTATCCAAACTGATTATTATATACATTCACATATAGATACCTGTAGACTTATATAACTGGTCTCAGGTTTTTGCCCTGCTTGTATGCTTAGTGTCTGCTTGTGCATACAGCTTTTTAAAGCTAGCTATGAAATACAGTTGCTGATGTCACTGTCAGAAAGTTAATTGCAGAATCCTAATAGCTAATATAAGGGTACTTCATATAGATGTCTTCATATAGAGTCTGTTGGAAACAGCTAAATAACTGTAAACAAGAAATCAGTTTAATTTCACAAAAGAAGATTCATAGTAGTATTATAGATTGAATGTATAGGTCTCTTATCAGTTCTTTTCCCTTCCTCAGGGAAGGTAGGCTTTCAATGACTCCTGATAATCTGGGGATTATCCATCCAAGAGGAAAATGGCTAAGGGCATGAATAGGTAATACACTAAAAGAAAAAATACAAATGACCAATAAGCATAAGAAAGATAGTCAACCTCACTTGTAATCAAAGAAATGAAATTTTTAAAAAACTATGTTAACCTAGTATGTTGACAAAAATTTAAAAAAAGAATCTTCAGTGTCGGAGGGAAATGGGCACATAGATTCTTGGTGGGAGTAAATAAGCCCTGTCTTGCCACAGGGGAGTTAGGCATTATGTACCAAAATATGAATTACACACATCCTTTGACCCAGCAAATCTGCTTTTAGGCATGTATACACAAAGATGTATGTATAAGAGTGCTTGTTAAAGCTTTGTGGTTTATAATAGGAACAAAGGCTGGAAATAACCTAAATGTTCATCCATAGGGGGCCAGTTAAATAAAGGAATACTCTTCAGCCATTGAAAGTAATGAGGTATACTTCTATTTTTATATATTTGATGTTAAATTAAAAATTATGTTATAGAACAGCAATGTATTTTACATATACACACACAATATATATAACCTATAAAAATATATTTATCAGTGAACTCATTTTTGATAAAGGTTACAAGAACATACCCTGAGGGAAGAGACAGTCTCTTCAATAAAGAGTTCTGGGAAATTGCTGAGGCAGGAGAATCGCTTGAACCCGGGAAGTGGAGGTTGCGGTGAGCCGAGATTGTGTCATTGCACTCCAGCCTGGGCAACAAGAGCAAAACTCTGTCTCAGGAAAAAAAAAAAAAAAAAGAGTTCTGGGAAACTGATATCTATGTGCAGAAGGATGAAACAAGACTCCTATCTTTCACCATATACAAAAATCAAATAAAAATGGATTAAATACTTAAATCGAAGACCTCAAACTATGAAAACTACTACAAGAAAACACTGAGGAAACTCTCCAGGATGTTGATCTGGGCAAAAATTTCTTCAGTAATACCCCACAAGTGTAGACAACCAAAGCAAAAATGGACAAAGGGGATCACTTTAAGTTAAAAAGCTTCTGCACAGCAAAGTGAAGAGACAACCCACAGAAGGGGAGAAAATATTTGCAAACTACCCATATAACAAGGGATTAGTAACCAGAATGTATAAGGAGCTCAGACAACTCAATAGGGAAAAAAAATCTAATAATCTGATTAAAAAATGGGCAAAAGATTTGAATAGACATTTCTCAAAAAGCAAATGGTAAACAGGTATATGAAAAGGTGATCAACATCACTGATCATCAGAGAAATGCAAATCACAACTACAATGAGATACCATCTCACTCCAGTTAAAATGGCTTTTATCCAAAAGCCAGGCAATAACAAATGCAGGAGAGGATGTGGTGAAAAGGGGACCCTGTTAAATGGTTGGTGGGAATGTAAACTAGTACAACCATTATGGAGAACAGTTTGGACGTTCCTCAAAAAACTAAAAATAGAGCTACCATATGATCCAGCAATACTACTGCTGGATATGTACCCAAAAGAAAGGAAATCAATGTATCAGGATATCTGCACCCCCATGTTTGTTGCAGCACTATTCACTATAGCCAAGATATGGAAGCAACCTAAGTGTTCATCAGCAGATAAATGGACAAAGAAAATGTGGTACTTATACACAATGGAGTACTATTCAGCCATAAAATAGCCATACACAGAATGGGTATAACTGGCTAGCCATACACAGAAATACAAAAATTAATTCAAGATGGATTAGAGACTTAAATGTAAAACCAAACGCTATAAAAATGCTGGAAGACAACCTAGGCAGTACCATCCAGGACACAGGCACAGGCAAAGATTTCGTGACAAAGATGCCAAAAGCAATTGCAACAAAAGCAAAATAGGATCTAATTAAACCAAAGAGCCATGCACAGCAAAAGAAACTATCAACAAAGTAAACACAAAACCTATAGAATAGGAGAACATTTTTGCAAACTATGCATATGACAAAGGTCTAATATCCAGCACCTACAAGGAACTTAAATTTACAAGAAAAAAACAACTCCATAAGAAAGTGGGAAAAGGACATGAATAGACACTTTTTTTTTCTTTTTTGAGATGGAGTCTTGCTGTTGCCAGGCTGGAGTGCAGTGGTGTGCTCTAGGCTCACTGCAACCTCCACCTCCCGGGTTCAAGTGATTGTTCTGCCTCCGCCTCCCGAATAGCTGGGACTACAGGCATGCGCCACCATGCCCAGCTAATTATTGTATTTTTACTAGAGACAGAGTTTCACCATGTTGGCCAGGATGGCCTCGATCTCTTGACCTTGTGATCCTCCTGCCTTGGCCACCCAAAGAGCTGGGATTATAGGCATGAGTCACTGTGCCCGGCCTGAATAGACACTTTTTAAAAGTAAGACATACATGCAGCCAACAACTATATGAAAAAAAGCTCAGTATTACTGATCATTAGAGACATGAAAATCAAAACCAGTGAGATACCATCTCATACCAGTCAGAATGACTATTACTAAAAAGTAAAAAAATAACAGATGCTGGCGAGTTGTACTTATATACTGTTGGTGGGAGTGTAAATTAGGTCAGCCATTGTGGAAGACAGTGTGGCAATTCCTCAAAGACCTAAAACACCATCTGACCCAGCAATCCCGTTACTTGGTATATAATCAAAGGAATATAAATCCTTCTGTAATATTCACACATGCATGTTCTTTGTGGCACTATTCACAATAGCAAAGACATGGAATCAACCTAAGTGCCCATCAATGATAGACTAGAAAAAGAAAATATGGTACATGCACACCATGGAGTACTATGCAGCCATAAAAACATGAAATATTTTTTGTAGAGATGGATGGAGCTGGAGGCCATTATCCCTAGCAAACTAACACAGGAACAGAAAACCAAATACCACAAGTTCTCACTTATAAGTGGGAGCTAAATGATGAGAACACATGAATACATAGAGGGGAACAACACACACTGGGGCCTTTTGGAGGTAGAGGAAGGAGAGGATCAGGAAAAATAACGAATGGGTACTAGGCTTAATACCTGGGTGACGCAATAATCTGTACAACAAACTCCCATGACACAAGTTTACCTATGTAAAAAACCTGCACTTGGACCCTTGAACTTAGAATAAAAGTTAAAAAAAAAAATTATGAGATCTTGTTACTTACAACAACATGGATGGAACTGGGGGTCATTACGTTAAGTGAAATAAACCAGGCACAGAAAGACAAACATCACATATTCTCACTTATTTGTGGGATCTAAAAATCAAAACAATTGAACTCGTGGAGATAAAGAGTAGAAGGATGGTTGCCAGAGGCTGGGAAGGGTAGTGGGGATGGTTAATGGGTCCAAAAAAAGAAAGAATGAACAGGACCTAGTATTTGATAGCACAACAGGATGACGATAATGGAAATTTTTAAATACACGAGTATGGTTGGATTGTTTGTAACACAAAGGATAAGTGCTTGAGGGGATGGATACCCCATTTTCCATGATGTGATTATTACTCATTGAATGCCTGTATCAAAACATCTCATGTACCTCATAAATATATACACACCTATGTACCTAAAATTTTAGAAATTAAATATACATGAGTGTTTGTATATATTCTTTTATACACCCACAGATATATATGACTCTTCATATTTTTTCCAATGTTGGATAAGATAATGATAATGGATGACTTTTATATTCAGGGGGAAAAATTAAATGAATTAAAATATAAAGAGTACCAAATACTGGCAGTGAAAAGGGGCAGTGGTGCCTATTCTTCTAAACATGATAGCTTACCATTATCTCAGCCATGCCAAGAGTTTTCTGTAATCTAAATATATGGCTTTACTTGATGGGTTTATTTAAATAGTGTAAATTATGAACAGGAAAATCAAGGACTATTTATTTGCTTATAGGAACTTACAGGATTTTGTTAACTGTAGTTAGGAGTGTTTTCAAGGAAGCAACATGGTATATATATTTCATGAGGGAAAAGGACTGTCACTGTGCTAAGCTTAGCATCTACATTTCTTTACAGAAGAAACTGATGAAAGGTATACAATATATACAGTCCTGTTTCGGGAGGCTTTTATGTAGGTTGACTCCTCTAAACTAGGCAGAGTAGTAGACTAGAAAAAAGGGAAACTATTCTAAAATGGTTTTATGTTATTGTTATAATCTAGATGTTTTTACACTTAGATGTTTTTATACTTGTAATCAAATAAGTTTGATGTAGTTGACAGATTTTTAAAATTTTTTAATTGCATCTGTCCCACATTTGCTAATTTGCCAAGGGATGTGACTCATACAGCAAATTAAAGACAGCCTTTCACTATGCAACTTGTATGGTAGTCTGGCCTCTTTAAGGATAAAGGGTACTACAGATCATTAGCATGAGATCTATTAGCTTTGAGCATCTGCCTGTCACTCTTCCCCAGTATTGTTTAAGCTCACTGCCTTGTTTAACATAGTTATCTACCTGGTTTGGTATTACTCAGTTTAGAAAAGTTTTGAGCAGGACTATGCTTGCTGTATTATTATCCTCACAGATTTTTCACTTAGGGAATTAGAAGCTATGAAATCTTTATTCCAAAGCACGATAAAACACTGATCTGCAATCAGTATAGTGATCTTCCTGTCTTTATGATATGAGCTTTTCCACTGTTGCTGATGTCACTTCCCAGAGGGAAGTGAATTTTAGTATGATGAACAACTCCCAAAAGGGGGAAGAAAATGAATTATTGGCTTTTCTATGCCTGCATCAATAAGTGAAGATGACTGTTCCCTTATCTATACCTCTTCCTCCGCCAAGCAAAGGAAACACTCAGTGGAAGACCCCAAAGTAAATAGTTATATGATGAGGGTCTCTCATGATAACTTTTGATTTGTCAAACAGGACAAGAGTCGCCTGTTTCGAGTACAGTTCAGTGGAGAGTCAAAGGAGCAGGCGCTGGAACACTGCTGCAGTTGTGTTCAGAAGCTGGCACAATACATAACCGTGCAGGTGCCTGATGGAAACATCCAGGAGCTTCAGCTGATTCCTGGCCCACCCAGGGCAACTGAAAGTCAAGGGAAGGATTCTGCAAAGAGTGTCCCACGGCAGCCTGGAGTAAGTAGGCTGATGTGTTGGTTATACAGGAAACATGACAATGCAGTGCACAATGAGTGGCCAAAATGACAGTGGAGTTTGTCAAGTCTGTTAGGTTTGTAGTTTAAAAAACATCTATGTTCGGTGACTTTTTAAAATTGAGGTCGATACTCATTGTAGCTCCCTATTCAGAAATTAGGCAGGGAGGAGTTCCAGCTGCATTCTGGGTGTCACTACAGAACAGTGGTTCTCAAAGTGTGGTCCACGAACCCCTCCCTAGGACTCTTCCAGGGGGCCCACAAGGTCAAAATTATTTTTCTTAATATTTAAAGAAAGAGTATCACTTGCCTTTTTCACTGTGTCAACATTTGAATTGATGACACAAAGGCATCGTAAGGCTGCTGTCATCTCATACAGATCAGGCAGTGGCACCAAACTGTACTAATAGTCATCATGTTCCAATCATTCGCAGTAAGAACAAACTAACGAAATAACCCTGCAGTCTGCAGTACCATGGCTGTCTCAAGGGAACGCACCTGTGTGACATTTGTATTTTGAACTAGCCTCTTTTTTCATAAAATACCATCATTATGTGAGAGAACAACAGACTATGGTAATTCAGATTTGGGTATTTGGCAGACATTTTCTCAAAAATCAGTGAAATGAACTATCACTTCAGGAAAACAACTGATAGTATTTATTGAAAATGATAAAATTTAAGCTTCCAAGTGAAAATTAGAATCTTGAAAAACTTGTATCTGCCACATGAGCTTCACAACTTCCCAACCCGGAAGACTTTTCTAAAGGTGCTATTAATAAATGTGATTTACTTGTTTATAAGTAATTACCTGATGAAATGTGTCAATATTTGAAAGACAGTATATTCAGTGAATCAGTATTGTCCAGATGACCGATGCCTGAATGCCACAAAATTATACGTGGATAAAGAGCTATTCAAAAGTGTAAGATAGGCTAAAAGATTGTAATATAACAGTATAACAAGTTTATTGCCATGGTTTCAGATTCTATATTGCAACTTAACTTTAAGCAACTCACTCGTTGAGTTTTGGTGTTGTATCAAGGAATATCCACAGTTATCTGAACAGGCTATTCTAAAATACCCCTCCCTTCTCCATCTATAATTTGTGTGAGGCCAGATTTTCTTCATGTCTTCAACCAAAGCAGCACATTACAGCAAACTGAATGCAGCAGCAAATATAAGAATCTAGTCACCTTCTACTAAACTAGGTAGTAAAGAGATTTGCAAAAATCATTATTTTGTTTTAGAAAAGTTATTTTCCATAAAATGTTTTCAACATTAACGTAAAGTGGGTTTATTATTTTTAATGAACATTTTTAAATTCCGTGTTAGTTTCTAATATGATAAATACCAGATAAATGTAACTCAGATGAAAGTTCTTTGAAGGCCTCATAAGGGGTCTTGTGATAAAAAAGTTTGAGACTCATGACTATAGAATTTCTCCCAGAAATATGTGTTCTGCATTTCTTTGGCAGTTTCAAATATTATTGGAATAAGCACCTACCTCTGTTCTTGAGATGAGATACTACTTTCAAGCTGGGTTTTGCATTTGCTTTGAGAAGTGATTTTTCCAAACCTGGTTTTCCATTACTTCATCATGTTAGTTTTCCTTAACCAAAACACCTCATTTTTGCTGTTTTGTCACTATGTTTCTTTTTTTTGAGACAGAGTTTCGCTCTTGTTGCCCAGGCTGAAGTGTGCAATGGCACGATCTCGGCTCACTGCAACCTGGCCTCCCAGGTTCAAGCCATTCTCCTGCCTCAGCCTCCCGAGTAGCTGGGATTACAGACATCCACCACCATGCCCAGCTAATTTTTGTATTTTTAATAGAGATGGGGTTTCATTATGTTGGCCAAGCTGGTCTCGAACTCCTGACCTCAGGAGATCCACCCTCCTCGGCCTCCCAAAGTGCTGGGATTACAAGCATGAGCCACCGCACCCAGCTGTCACTAAGTTTCTTGTTACTCATAATTTGTCTAAGGTGAACATAAATTTTCATTATTTATTATACAATCTTTTTCTTTAAGCAGGTGCTGCATGATTTCCTCTTGAATGTATTTAGTTTACCAAACAGATTTTGGTGTTTTCCTTCCCTTCGTTTGATTTTTGTGAAGATGTCTTAATGCTGAAGCTGCTTGCCTCACAAACCCTGGATCTAGTTTCAAACAATAATGCTTCGTCTATATTCAGCTCCTGCTATATTCCTTAAGAATCCCCTCCCTACAAATGGGTTGGTTGTTATAAGGTATTTTATTGCTTATGATCCTTTGCCCTTTAGTTTTTCATGTTTCACTGCCTGTTAGATTCAGATGATAGTATAGTATACCCAGTGTATGGAGTGTAACAAAAAAACCCAAAAGGGTTCCAGATTTTGGGAACTCAGTCTGGAGTTCCTTATAAAGGTAATGAAGTCACATCACGCTAGAACCTCATCAGGCTACACAATTATCTAAGTATTACAAATGCAAATAAATTGAAGTTGTAACATGCAGTAACAAATGCAGGCTGAGTTGTGAGCTACAGCCCCAGATGAAGGCTCCAGCTCTCTGATGTTAAAGACTGGTCCCAAATGTCTAGGTAGGAATACCTGAGAAGTGGTTAGGAAACTTTCATGCCTTTCTTGATTCTATTTTCAGGGACTCTTCTGAACTGTAATTGGGTGATTTGACTAAGATAGCATGATGTTGTGCAAAGACTACAGGCTTTGGTATCAAAATGGATCTAGGTTAGAATCCTGGCCCTATTTCTTAGTAGCTGTGTGATCTCACGGAAGCCAATTAGCCCCATCTGTAAAATGGTGAGATTAAAATGCTGTATAGAAAGTACCCAATACAATGCCTGGCAAATATAATCACAAAATCCATCATTACTATTATTGCCACCAATGTTACCCTTTCAGATGTGCCTTCCCTTGCAAATGAACAAATCAGCATCCTAGTCAATTAGCAAGGATCAGAACCTCCAGAGCCAAGAGAGGGCATGATAAGACAGTGTCTGAAGCTGCAGAGCAGATGATAAGTTAAAGCCATTGGATTAAATTCCACCAGGGTACAGACCTTGTGAGGCACCACCTAGAACATTCTAGTTTTCCTAATGGCAAAACATAAGGTTTGCCCTTAACTCTGTTGTACAAATTTTGGTAGCATGTGCTCTTTCTCAGAATCCGTCTTAAGCGGCACAAGCCATGGCCAAGGTTCTGGTCATTTTGCTGCTCTCTTACATTCAGGTGTGTCATTTTTGTAGTACCTATATATTTTTTAGTATAAAATAGTTATTTCCTTCTTTGCAAATAGAGATAATTCTATTTCAAGTTCTTGAGTCATTTACTGGCTCATATTTTAGTTTTTGCTTTTCCTCAGCCTTGTAATTTTGTTAATTGTGGCTTAACCAGGCATTTCTCAACCTTAGCACTTCAAAGGCAACCAGCCCACCCCAGGGAGGGGGATGGGAAAGACAGTTAAGAGGATCGCAGTTCCTATGTGGACTCTTTCCTGTTAGCACAAAAAGTCCAGAAGAAAGTAGCTAGGGGACTCCAGCTACTGTGTGCACAGACTCTTCCATCTCTATGCTGTTGCAGAGGTGGACCATCTAATCCTAGAGCCCGCTAGCCTCAGGTGCTTCAGTTCCACTTAGCTATTTTTTAGTGTTTATGGCAGACAATTTTGGTTGACATTAGTTCTTTGTGTGAGCTGAAATGATAGGTATTCTAGGAAAGCATCATATGTCATAGCTGAAGAAACACTAGGCACTAGAGGCTGCCTTGTTTTTACAGAGGAGAAAACTGAAGAAACTGAACAGAGAAATGGGGCTTGTCTAAGGACTATTGATTATAGAGTCCTTTGGCCCTTTGGCCATTTTGCTCGTTTTTTGTTTTCTTGTCTTTGTTCTTTCCTTCCTCACTGTACCTCCACCCCTCTTTTTTGTTGTTGTTTGATGCTTCCAGGTCTGGTTTCCTGCTACCTACTGACTAGCAACCATCAGATTCTCTGTAGGACAGAAGACAGAATTTGGCATCTCCTGCCTTCTGGTAGTCAGACTTGTTGCTGAAGGACAGAAGCGCCCTCCAAAGAGTGCCCTGTTTCCTCCCTGTATTGCACCATGAGCTCATACCTAGTGTAGGATCACCACTGCTCGTCTGGAGATTAGCACTGCAGCAACCTCAGGTACCCAAGGCATATTGGGGCCTGCAGACATGTGGCTAGGAAGGAACGGAGGTAGGGCCCTTCATGCCTCCAGACCTCCTGCACCTTGTTCATTCCATTTGCCTGGAAAGCATCCCATGTCCTACCCGAGAACAACTTATTACCATAGATTCTCTCCAGATAGCATGGACCTTAGAGCATCCCTGTACTTCCTGCTTAGCATACAGCCCTCCAGTTTACCCACTTCTCTGTGAACCTCTAGCACTTCCTGAGTTGCAAGATAATTCATGGTTTTACTTGTTAGGTTCTCACTGGGTTGTGGGCTTCCAGAGGGCAGGACTATCTTGTTCTTTGTCGCTCCTATCCCCGTACCACCCCAGTGTCTAGTACGTAGGAGGTATAAACAGTTGTTGAAAGAAGATATCTGTAAGTTTTACTTACAGAAGAACTGATTCTTTCAGAATATCTAAAATGAGATTTAAAAAAATCATTTTATTGAAAACATCAGTTGTCTTAAAATTATAGGAGTTTCCCCCCATTTTGCATTTCTTCAATGAACATGTATTACTTGAGCAATAATTTTTAGAGTGTGACAAATCATCAGAAGCTGGGGTCCGTCCACTGCATGTAGGCTGCCATGGTAACAGCACCGGGCCCACCCTCCAGCACCTGGTCCTGAATCCTAGGCTGGGCCTCTAACAACAGAGGAATGCCCCAGTGTCTGACAGGAAGAAGCACTAACAGCCTGCCAACTGCTGAGGAACATCAAATAGAGGTCAGGAGCCGCAAATTTAAACTCAGTACTTCTGCTGTGGTAACTCAAGTAACCCTCCGTTTAAACCAGGACAGACCTATGCTGACAACCATTTTTATCACTCTTAGTGGTATTTTCTTTCTTTGAACATGAATGCATATTTCTGCTCTTTAATGGCCTTTGGTATTTAAGATTACATTCAGCTAGTCTCCTTATTGCATGTTGTTTTATTCCAGTCCCACCAGCACTCAGAACAACAGCAAGTGTGTGTAACAGCGGGCACAGGCGCTCCAGACGGAAGGACCTCACTGACGCAGTTAGCTCAGGTAGAGCTTATTTCTGTGTTCAATTTTCTTGTCATGAGAAGCAGTGACCCCTAAGAATTTGTATCCCTTTGTTCAATTCTTTGTTTTAGGAGAGAAACTTCTAAAGCATTACTCTAAAAGGTGATAGAGACAGAGACGGGCCATTTTCATCTACCCCTTGCAGAGTTAAGTTTTATTACAGTAAGTTGTGAGGTGAGACATGATGGCTGCAGGCACATAGTCAAGATCTACCCTCCTAAGGAAATAAAACGGGGAAAAGTGGTTGAATGTCCAATATAGAAAATTTAATCACCACTTTCCCAAAAAAGAATAAATGGAGGACTCCATTGTAATTATGGAAATGAAATTTGGGAACTATTTTAAGACAAATATCAAAATGAATGTGGATTCAGATCTACAACAATTTCTATATGGGTAGATTGTTAGTACTCAGCTAAGGATGTGAAACCCAGGAGGATTCAGCTGTTAACTCAGACTTGCTTTCAGACAGCCCCTTGCCCCCTGCTGCAAAACCTCTTCATTCAAAACTATGGTTGTGTGACGTCCACTCTCCTGGGAGCTCTGCAAGGACTTTGTCTCCCCCTCACTGCATTCCTCATTGCAGGTGTTCAAGCCAGCAGCTTCTGCTTGCCACAGAATTCTGTGTGAAGTTCATCAATCTTCAAGTATGATTTTTTTTTTTTTTTTTGAGGCAGGGTCTCACCATGCCTCAGCACCCAGCAGGCTGGAGTGCAGTGGTGCGATCTTGGCTCACTGCAACCTCTGTCTCCTGGGTTCAAGTGATTTTCCTGCCTTAGCCTCCTGAGTAGCTGGGATTACAGGCGTGTGCCACCACGCCCAGCTAATTTTTGTATTTTTAGTAGAGTCAGGATTTCACTGTGTTGGCCAGGCTGGTCTTGAACCCCAGACCTCAAGTGATTCCCCCACCTTGGGCTCCCAAATTGCTAGGATTACAGGTGTTAGCCACTATGCCCGGCCACATTTTCTTTTAATCCCTCCACTAAACTGTACTATCAGTAGTTTAAAAAAAAAAAAAAAAAAAGAAAAAAAGGGTTTTCTCCATCTGGCTTGCCACTAACTCAAAATAAATGGACAATCATATAGAATAAAAAACTCAAGAGGTAGGAAGACTAAGAATTCATGTTTATTTCTTTTAATAAACCCCTAACTATGAAAAAAATTATTTGTCCAGCAGCAGGACTAATGCCCATATTTGCATTGGGGTTAGGGGCTAACTGAATCAGAGAAGCTGAGGAAAACAGAGCTGCAATAAAACAATAAGCAAGGCAGGGTGTGATGTCCTTATTTAGGAAATATCAATTGCTAGAAAAGGCATACCTTTGCCCAGTTTATTTACGTAGTATGGAAGAACCATATACAAATGAGAAAAAGCATGAAGCTTGGAGCTCAGATACATTACTTACTTGCTCTTATCTTTTGGACATGTCATTCTATGTAAGTTGGTAAAACCTTTTGGAAGGCAATTTAGCAGTACATATCAAATTTAATATTATGTTAGCTATAATTTCATTTCAACTACACAAATATACATATGTTCATCACAATGCTTAAGAAATTGGAAACAACATAAATGTTCATTTAATAGGATATTAAGTGAGGTATAACCACAGATGGGATAGAAATGCAATTAATACAAGGGATGTAGGCTGCACATGGTGGCTCACACCTGTAGTCCCAAGCACTTTGGGGGGCTGAGGCAGGAGGATCATTTAAGGCCAGGAGTTCAAGACTAGCCTGGCCTAACATCATATTGAGACCCCCATCTCTAAAAATAAACAAAACAAGTGCTGTATATCCCAAGTAAGTTTCTGTTACAGAGAGTTCCTGGAGAAATACCAGTTATGTACTTACACACTAAAACATGCTATCCACGTAAAGAATAAAACCACCTACCTCACAGAATTAATGTGAGGAGTCAATAAGATGACCAAGTCAATGCACCAAAGTAAGTGGACCACACAGAACTGGAGCCCATCATCGTCATGTGGGACTGTGGATCCGGTGTTGCCAGATCTTCCAAATTGTCAAGATTTTTATTTGAACTCTCCTAATATTTAAACGTTGACAACTTATTCAACTGGTTTTAAAACACTGCAGGTTACCAAAGAAAACATACAGATGACAAATAAGCATGTGAAAAGATGCTCAACATTATTAGTCATTAGGCAAATGCAAATTAAGACCACGATGAGACATCCTGCAAACTTATTAGAATGCCTAAATTAAAAACAAAAAGAAAAACTGACAATACCAAACCCTGGATGGGTGAGCAACTACAACTCTCATCTACACTGCTAGTGGAATGTAAATGGGACAGCCACTATAGATGACAGTTTGGCAGTTTCTTACAAAGTTAAATATACACTCACCACATGACTCAATCCTAGGTATTTACTGAAGTGAAATGAAAACCTGTGTTCACACAAAAACCTGTAAGGGAATGTTTATAGCATCTTTATTCATAATTGCAAAAAAATAAAACCCAAATGTCCTTCAACTGGAGCACAGATAACCAAACTGTGGCACATCCATGCAATGTAATACTTATTCAGCAATAAAAATGAATTACTGCTATACTCAACATCATGGATTAATCCCAAATGTATTCATTATGCTAAGTGTAAGAAGCCAGATTCAACAACGTATTATGATTTCATTTATATGACATTCTGGAAAAGGCAAAACTATATGGAGAAGAGATCAGTAGTTATTAAGGGTTAAGGGTTTGACGGTAATGGTTAGCACAAGGGTCACATAAAGGAATTTTTTTGGGAAGTGAAAGAAATGTTCTGTATTTTGATTGTGGTGACAGTTACACGACTATTTGTCAAAACTCACAGATGGCCAGAAAAAGATGCGTGTGAACTAATGTCCTTTGGGAGTCTGTGGCCTCTTTCTTACATTCAGAATGCAGCTAGCACATAGTAGGCTGCTCACATCCACTCTGCCACCTATGCTGTGGCGAAGATGAACTGAGCTAGTGGAGCTCATTCATTGATAGCATTGATAGGTTTGTTTTCAATCCACAGGTTATCAGCACAGTATTCTTCATTAAAGTAGAATCTCAACTTTGCAAACATTTCATCAGTACATTTGAAATTCTTTCCTTAGGGCAACAAGATTATCTCACATGCTATGTGTATTCAGAATACATATTAATATACAAAATTGTAAATGTAACAGTAAAACTATGTAAAGGAAGCCTGTAAAGCTAATTAACACTAATTTTTTTGGTGTGTATTTCGCTAATCTTTCCTTAAAGCACTATTTGCCTGTGTTCTATTAGCCAGGTATTGCTTTTACCTGTAATCTGTAACGACTTTTCTGGTATCCCTGCAGACTCTTCTGGCATCGGAGGAGCTGCCCCATGTCTATGAACAATCTGCATGGGGTGCAGAAGAGTTAGGCCCCTTCCTACGTTTGTGCCTTATGGATCAGAATTTCCCAGCATTTGTGGAAGAGGTAGAAAAGGAACTGAAAAAGCTGGCGGGTTTGAGAAATTAATGCTCTATATACATATATAACTAAGGAACTTCAAAGTATTGAAAAATGCTTCCTCCTAAAATTAAAGAAGATATTAGAATAAAGAGTATTATCCAAACACCTTTTATCAATGTTTTATTTTTAAAAACAGGTGAATCCACTTTTTTATACATCATTGCACTTCAATAATTACACAAAACACACAAGTACATGCATCTACAATTACGCACCGCATGAGAACCGTTAGGTTATAAAATCTATCATCAACCAGTAAATCAATGTGAAAAAATACAGTGTCAAACCAAAAAGTATAACTATAGTTGCATAGAATATTACCATGCTATAACATTTCAAGGTCATTGGAAACAAAAGAAAAATTATAAAAGTTTGCCTTGATTGAATGAATGTACAAGAATAAGGTTCAACACATCAGTGCAAAAGGATTTATGAATTTACATGACTTAACAGAAGAAAAGATAATCACTTAAAAAGCAATCATACGTATATACTGCAATTCATTATACCCATTCAGTGGACTGTTCCAGCTTATTAAAGTCACAGGTTAAGCCCTTAAAATTATAGATTTCAGTTTATATTACTCATCTTTATGTACCAGAACTGCACAATTTCCTCATCTGACAACATACAATAAGGAATGAATATCAGCAGCTTAAAAATGAAACAAGCATTTACTTTATTTTGGATTTCTCCCACCCCCAAAAATATAAATATATATATATATATATTTATATACTGTATATATCTGTAGGTTTTGCTGTACTTTACAAAAGTGTATCACTAGATGGCAGCAGTGCATTTTAGAGCTTTGCCAATTTAACAGCTGCATTAAGTAAAAAATGGCGCATGCATGATCTGATCCTCAGAGGACCTTTTCACTTCTATTTAAATATTTTAACAAAGGAAAAAAAAAAGCAACATTCACAGCACATCAAGCCCAAAATAGTTTACACCTTCTACACTGAAGCATTGTTTAAAATGTACCTGGCTAGATCACCCTTACAGGAGAGGCTAAATAAGGCATGCTTTAGACAGTCATTGTGGTGTTGCTCACTTGAAAGGGGAGAGAACCAAAGAGGTCCAAGCAGAAAATTTTAGCAGGTCATGTTGCCACCAGTTTCAGGAACCTAAAGATCTGTAAAGAAATATGTATTTGGAAATTATAAAGGGATTATGCACTGTCACTCACAACTACACCGTGTGCCACACAAAACTTTGGTTCAAACAGCACGCTCAGGGATGTGGTGTGAAATTCTGATCTCCATATGCCTAACAAGATGACATTCTGGCCCTGCTGCTACCTGGCCATTCTTGTCTTGCCCCCAGACGTGAGGTAAGACTAGTAGGCCTCTGGGAATAAGCCACCTAAGAAGGTGACAATTTTCACCTCTTTGTAAAGATATAATAGTAGTGAAAAGTGTTGATTTTAAAATATGTCTTCTGAAATGGCATTTATATAAACATGTGACACAATGCACCTGATGGCGGGGCACACTGGCTCATGCCTGTAATCCCAGCACTTCTGGGAGGCTGAGGCAGGCGGATCACTTGAGGTCAGGAGTTCAAGACCACCCTGGCCAACATGATGAAACCCCGTCTCTACTAAAAATACAAAATTTAGCTGGGCATGGTGGTGGGCAGCTGTAATCCCAGCTACTTAGGAGGCTGGGGCAGGAGAATTGCTTGAACCCGGGAGGCGGAGGTTGCAGTGAGCCGAGATCACACCACTGCACTCCAGCTTGGGCAATAGAGTGAGACTCCATCTTAAAAAATCCAAACAACAACAAAAAACAACGCAGCTGAAAAATGTTCCTTTCCAGTCCCTAAACTGGGCAGACAGAACTGGCTTCATCAGTATCAGCTGCTCTGAAATGAACTAAAATATCTTATAACACCAATTACTGAAGAATTTGTAACAAGGTCAATAGAGGCACATTCATTTGAATATAATTTTTAAGACTGCTACAGAAGGCCATACTTACATTGTAAGCAGTACTTAATTTGTGTTTCTCTGGCGCAAGTTTTTATCTTTGTGATTGTTGGTAGAGTTGGTTTTCCTTTGGAGGAAAAATTGCATTACATGAGTTAAACTCAGTCAATAACTTTTCAAAGTATAACACATGGAAATACAGGGACTCTTTCACTTACTGCCATCCCTGGTGTAGTGAGAAATTTTGTGGCACAATATGAGTGCATAAAAAAACATTCCTTAAGTAGCTACAGGTTAAGTATCCCTCATCTGAAATGCTTGGGATCAGAAATGTTTCAGATTTTGAATTTTTTTAGATTTTGGAATATCTGCATTATACTTACCAGTTCAGCATCCCTAATCTGAAAATCCAAAATTCAAAATGCTCCAATGAGCATTTCCTTTGAGCCTCATGTGAGCACACAAAAAAAACTTCAGATTTTGGAGCATTTCAGATTATGGATTTTGGTAGTAGGTAGACTCAACCTGTATATACCTCATTTTATCCTCCTTTTGACCCCCAAGGCAGACGAGTACTTTCCCTTCGAATCCGGAACTATAATTACGATACAGGTGAGAATATGTAAAACTTTTCTCCACTGAACACAACACCACTGTCCCTTCTTGATAAAAGGTAATCATAAGCTGGCAGTGCTGGGCCCTCTGGTACTTAACAAATTTGGGTGCTGTTTGTCTGCTTCTCACTCTTTAGTCCAACTCTAGGAGATTCTGCCGATCTTAGATTGATTCCATACCTGCAGTACCCTCTCTCTTGGATACGAGCAATTGTTAATGGGGCTAGACAGTTTATCCAGGCTATAGTTCAGCCTCAAATTGCATTACATGAGTTAAACTCGGTCAGTAACAACTTTTGAAAGTATAACACATGGAAATACAGGGACCCTTTTACTACCATCCCTGGTGTAGTGAGAAATTTTGTGGCACAATATGAGTGCATAAAAAAACATTCCTTAAGTAGCTACAGGTTGAGTATTCCTCATCTGAAATGCTTGGGATCAGAAACGTTTTAACATTGACAAAACCGGGAGCCTCAGATATACTGGCCATTTCCCCCACATTTTAAGTATATCAAATACACAAAATTTGAAAAAAAAAAAAGTTTTTTGCATGGTATTCCACTTTGTATGGCCACTGGAAAACAAGACTGCATAACCTATCCTGAGAATCAAGTGGTTTTTAGTCAGATCTGTGTCAAGCTAAGAAATCTACACTGCAACCTTCATTTCCACTCACTGTCTTCCCCTCCAATCTTAGCTACTCCATTTGATTAAACTGCAAACACAACATCATTCAATCAGATACTGTTGAATCAATGTCCAATAAAGTACTTACATTGGTCCAGCTGGTTCATCATCTACATGGTGTTCAGTTTTTTAAAAATCCATGAGAGATAAGAGAAGAAAGGAGAAAACTGTTAGATTCTGCATAAGGATTAACAGAATAGCAAACTGCAAGTGGCAATCATGGCTACTCACAGCATTTATTAAAGGCCATTCCATCTGGAGGTGCAAAACACTCATGGAGTTATTATTTCTAGATTCAAGTTTAAATGGCAGGTATGTTGTTTCAATGGTTTTAGTTAACACTTTGAATGCTTGTCATGAAAAACTGCAACTGTAGCGGACAGATAGGCTGCAACATTGTTATACTCATCTTGTCCCCAAGTTCCAGTGGTTCACTCTTAAATAGATGAGAAGACAAACCAACATTTCAGTTGTAAAATCCTGCTGTTTGTTTTCTTGTGGTGAATGCATGCAGTTTTGGCTCAATCCTGCAATGTGAATGGATGTGTACCATCTGTACATTTAGCCACACATCCTCACTTCCCCAAAGGGCACTCTGTTTTTCTTGCTGTTTTGTAATCTTTAGAAGAGTCTTTAGTCTGGAGAATGAGATTGAGAAGAGGCAATCACAATAGTTCAACCTAAATTGGGTCAGCCATGCTGGGCTATGCCAGCAACAAGTGTATGTATACCAGAGGATGTTCTGTGACACACCGAGGAAAGCTGAACAGTGGTGACATCCCTCTAGAAAAGACTTCAGAAAGACAGGCTCACTCCTGTGCCCTGGCCAAAACCAGAAGCCAAACCCAGGGGAGCCATGAGATAACTTTTTTAAAATCAAAAAGCTGACATTATATGAGTTTAAGCCTTCTTAAATTGATACTTTATGATTCTGATTTATAAGTCTTTCGTGTTTCAACTAAGTGCAACTTGATCCCCTTTAAGCAGAGATACACATTCACAGAGAGAGAATGTTTTAAAAAGACCCACAAGGGGAAGGGAACAAGTAAGTGCTCTTAGTTTGTTTTTATTATACAAAAGTCAGGTAAACTAAATGATTCAGAACAGTTTGATTTCACTGAAGGCTTCTAGAAAAATTCTCAGCAGGATTCCACAAGGGGGCTTGGTGCACATGAAGCAGTTATGGAGATTACAGTCTCAGTGTAGGCATCTGCAGGAGCACATGTCGGGAGTAATGTCTGTCAGAGGGAGACATTGCTCCACCTGTTCCTTCGAGGCAACGGAGAGGCAAAGCCACCGCCAGCACACACAGTGACTGGAGCAAAAAAGGATTTCAAAAAAAAGAACTAACCACAAACCAATGACTCATCAGCCAAAACAATAGGCTAGCGACACACTAGTGTCCACAGGAGTCCACTACTAACAACAGTATACACTATCAAACGGGTACAGAGAACAAACTAAGACTTAAGGACACCCAAGACATCTGTGTGCTGTGTATGCAGTGGAGAGATACAAAGACATACCAGGTACTAAGACACAAAAGCCCAGCCTAAATTCTCCCCTCACAACATCCTAATGCTCAGCATCCCGGCCAAGCCAGCTCAGCTACATGCTAGGAACTAAGCACTTTGGGGATTTAAATGAAAAGACATAGGAGCAAACTTGGAATACTTTTAGTGCTCTGGCTGTGCACTCGAAAATACAAAATTCTAATGCAAGAGAGCCGAATCAAGAATACACCAATCTACTCCCAAATTTAAAATAAAAAGCAGGGGAGGGAGAATCGCAATAGCCAGGCTAATCTTTTCAAAGCATGACACTGTAGGCACCAACCCAAGCACCTCACACCACGGGCTGTTTTTCCTTTTGGAGTGTGGGTATTCCCTGGTGTCTGATTAGTAATGTCACTTTCCAGCCCAACAAGCTGGTAACATGCAAAGGGTTGCATGGAGGTGTTTTAGCGACAGTGCCTCCGGCATAGCTGCCATGCCTGCAAGTGGGAGCAGTTGAGATTCACAAGGGGGCAAAATCCCAGGAGCCCTCTTCATCTGTCTCCCCAAATCCACTTTCACACTGACAAACAAAAGAGCCTCATGTCTCCCCACTCTCCTGGACTGAATCACTATCTGCAGCACCACTCTCCCCTACAGGTCAGACAAAAAAACGACTTGACCCCTAACAGGGAAGTCAGGGGAGAGGGAAAGAACAGAATTACAGAAAAAAGATACAGAAACCAAAGTAAATGAGGATTAAACAGCAAACTGAAATCCAAATTAGTTGTGAAAGTGAATGAAGTAAACTTGAAGAAAAGTGTTAACATTATGAACTGTGCATCGTATAGACTGAAGCGGAGATTAAACAAACTCCAAAAGCATGCATATCGCTCACTTACCACCATGTTTTAAGGGTTTGATGCAATTGAGGGGGGAAAAAAAAGAAGTCATAGTAACCGACAAATATCAACATACCCCAAACCCTCAGGCCAAAAGATAGCCAGCTTAAACAATGACTGTTCTCTCCACCTCAGTATTACAGCCACTGGCTAGATGAGAGGAAGAGGACTGGGGGGATAATGGAAACAAGATGCTTCTGGAATCCACCTTATGAGAGTGAAGTTACCGGTGGAACTGTAGCACACACTGATTTATCTGCGTGTTCCATCTTCCCAACCGAATGGACCACAGCCCTCACTCCCCCTATATCCGCCTCATCATCTAGAAGGGGTGCTCTGCAATGTCTAGTAAATAACGGATTGCCTAATACAATATCACCTCCAAAAAGATGGCTTTAAAGTCCGAATAATGAAGAGTTGACTCTCTGGTCAAAGGTCCTTTGTCACTGCATTCATCTCACTAGAAGGTTTTATGGTTTCTAAATCCACTTAAATTTTGCCTGACCTTAGCAGGTTAGCATTAAACCCAAGAGAGACTGAGTTACTTCCTATTTCCTTCCTTGTTTGGTCCTATTGCATTTTCTCCATGAGGTAACTTGTTATTGACCCAGATGGCCCCTAGTTAACAGACCAGACACCGAATGCATGTTTTAGGTGTCATTTTAAAAGTCACATTTCTTTTCCAATATCCCTAGTCTGTATAAAGCTTCATATGCTACCAAATGTTTTGACCAACGAATAGATTTTGGAACATTAGAACAGCTCTTCATTCTAAAGTGTCTAAAAGAGCTTGGATATATCAGAGCCACTAAAAATGGCCCCCCAAAAAACCTCAAATATCTTCTCCATCAGTAACTTAAAGAGAGTCCCTTTGACTTGCTTATAAAAAATTATCCCAAGGTAAAAACAGAAAGTTCTTTTTTGGTACCAGCACTTCTTTTCTTAAATCAGCTCCTGTTTTAATTTGCTGTCTGTGAGGTCACTAAAATATCCAGAAGAACTGCAGGCCTCAGCAACTAAGTGGGTTCACTCCCCATTCCTCCAGGGCCTGGGGAGGGGAGACTCAGGAGCACAGGCTGACTGCTCCTGGAGTGCAGTCCGCAGGACACCAACACAGAAGGTGCACCCAAGCAGGTGCCCAGCTGTGACATGGATGGAAGCCTAGAGGCTGCTAGCTTGACCTGGTCTTTTTAGAGAACTATCATTTAACATTTTCAGGGAATACAGTCAAGTGGTGAGTCAAGTGAACAAAACAAAGCTCTTATTTGACTCCATGATTCACTTGTTCCTGAAAATACTGAAGGTAAAGGTGATCTGTAGATTAGTCCACCTACAAGACAACCTAGTGGGCACTGATCCTCAAAGAGACCATACAGGGGACTAAAGGAATGCAGGTGGGTGTTTTCATGTAGGAAATGGTCTGAGAATACTCCAGTAGGTAAAGAAAAAAGACATGGGGCTTTTTTTTTTTTTTTTTTTTTAAAGGAAGCAGCTAAACCTCAATCCTAAGCATTTTCAATGTGAGAAATCTAAATATTTGATTTTCTAGTGAAACATACTTAAACTAAACTATGTAAGTTCAAATTTGTGCTTTTATACTTTTGTATTGTTCACTTAGTGCTTTTGTAGTAAGGGGATGAGTTACCAAGAACTCACAGACTGCCCAAAATATGACGACTGTGCATTCATATAAAAAAAGTTCAGTGAGTCTGAAATGAGCCATGGGTGTATCTTGATAATAAAGTGCTATTTGGCAAAGTAGAAGTATGGCAGGCCTATAAAAAAATTCCCATTTTCCTAATGGTATAAAAAAAATCCAACACAGAGCCACAGATGGTTATCTGATAGGTAAACACTTATGACCTCTTAACACTCCCAAGTTTGTGTCAAATATAATGTACCTCTTCGTTTATTCCAAAAGGAGTGTACGTATATATCTATATGAAAATTTGGGGAGAAGCACATGGGAAGGAAGCAGACAGGTAAGTTTGTCCTTCCTATGGAGTGCACAGGGGTTGAGGGGAACTGGCTAAAGAAGGAAAAGGCAGAGAAGAAGGAAACTCACCAAAGAACATTCAACTTTTTCTTTTGTTTAATGATTACTTCCAGGAAAGGAGAAGAAAAGCGGGCAGGGGTGGAAGCAGGATGGAGTTTGAGAGAAAGACAGAAAGAGACAGAGGAGAAAAACAGAATGGAAATACTGGAGCAAGGGCAGGGTGTGAAGATGGAGAGTGGAGCCTGGCCCACACTGGCTGTCAGGAAGGGAAGGAGAGAAGGCAAACATTGCCATCATTCCAGCATCTCAGATTTTTCACCCCAATGCAACAACAACGAAGTAAACGCTGCTTTCATTACAATACTCTCCCAAGAGACTAGAGCAAGGAGGTTTTACTTTGCACTTACCCTGCCGTCATCTCTTTTAAGGGTAGGATTCATTCACTGTCTATAATAACTTAGTTTAAAAGAGGTACTTTCCCTCTAGGAAGCTGTTCAGATTTGCTGGCCACAGATGTCTCCTATAACAAACTGGTCCCCCATTTGATTTCAGTAACCAAGAAAACTCTTACAAAAAAAGAGCTGCTTCCCTGGGCAGGTGTCTGCACTTATCCAACAGAACAATCCTAACCATTTCTCAAATCTAACCTACCACATGCACTGTGATAGCAACCTCATAAGCGCGGTGACTTCTTAGGGCAAAGACTAGACCTCTGCTGGGAACACGCTAGGCTGCTGCATCACTCTCACCAGTGGCAGCCAGCCTTGCCTTAAAATTTAAAAATCAGGTTCTGAAGTCCATCTCTGCCTTCTCTTACCTGACTTTTTAGCTTCTCAACCTTTCCAAAAGGCAGGCTGAGGAAGGTGGTATTGGCAAAGCAAAAGCATTCTGGGGGGATAAAAAGGCCCTTTTCAGGAATGAGGCATAACTGATCCCACAGAGCCAAAGCTGAAAACACACGAAAGACAGGCAACTCTTTCCCTTTACTCCCAGGTCTAAATAAAGGTGCACTCTTGCCTTGGGAGTCCTAATATGTAGCAGGAAAGAAATACCTGGAGAGAAAAAGCATTAGGAGTACATGAAATCCCAAAGAAAGCAGGTTCACTTCATAAAGTAGGAAAGTAAAACTCATGGGGACACTCCCAGGTTGCAGGAAACTAGAGATTCATTTGCAGAGGCCGTCTGCTCCCAGCCAACGTCCTTCCCACGCCTCTGCCCAGCTCACTGCTGAGTGCACATCTGGAGGGAGTCACCAGATATTGTCAGTGTCATCAACAAACCTCCTCACCAGCCACTCACTCTACTTACTGCAGGCAGAGAGATTTATAACTGCTGAGAAGAAAGGAAAAGATGGGGAAGGGGCTGTTGCTCTCAAACATGTCCTCCCAGAGAGTCTAAAGCCACTGGCATGCCTCTGGGGCCACATTCTTTCTGAGGGAGCACCAGATGTCACTTTGTATTCTCCACTGGACAGCCAGCTCTGTGGGGCAGGATACAGCACCACAGGTGCACAAACACAGGCCCCAGAACAGCTGGACTACAGCTGGCAACCCCACCATCACCCCGGGTAGGCTACCACTGAGCCCAGGGGCACACCCATCTGTCTAGTCTAGCCAGGGACAGACTAGTGGTGGTAACAGTCGGCCAATTAATTTCTGTACGCCGGTCATGTTATAGGGTGGGGATGGGGAGCCAGCTGGGAACCTGAAGTACTGCAGATACAAGTCTCCATCAGCAGCTTCCCCCTTCACAGGAAAAATCGATCACCAAAAATTTCCCAAGGCTTTTCTGACTCTAGGCATATCCAATAACCTAAGATTTCAGCTCTTGCTCTTTCCAGTGCTCAGTGGTGTGCTGTGGTTCTGCTGCTACCATCTCCTCCCTTCTCTGACCCTAGGCCAGCTTGAGGGCACAGCCTCGGGGCATGGACTCCATTTGTTCCGCCTTTGCTATCTCTGTCTTACACTAGATGGGTGGATACATCAGACTCTCCTTTGTCTGTGAGACACAGATGGAAAGCCACCCAGCAGAGAGCGCTGGAAACCTATCAAAGGGACCAACCAAGGAACCAAAAGCTGGCTTGTTCCAATGGCTTTTCTGAGAACAGTCTGACTGGGCTGGGGCAGTTACCTACAGGGGCTACACCAGGCAACCATGTGACAACCAGTTAGATACCTTAAATCTGCCTGAAAGGCCAGGTGGCCTGCCATCTTGGGGTGGCTTCTAGGCTTGACTTGGATTCTCCTCAAGCTCAATCTGCCTGATGATCTGTATTGAAGGAGGACAGAGCTGAACAAAGAGACTGACAGCTGCCCATTCACCACATGGGGCCTGAAAGGCAGATGGGACTAGGGTTTGGAAAACACCCAAACAGAGGGAGAGAGCTAAGGACAGCTCTAGATGGCTAATGCAAAAAAAATAAAAATAAAATAAAAATAAAAAATAAAAATAAAAAACTCTTACGGGTAGGGGGTTAGGAACTGGTATAAGAATTTTCCTTCTTTCCTTTAGGGATTGAATCCCAACATCCCTATAGTCCTCTTTGGGTACTTGGAAACCACCCGAAGGAACCAACCCCAGCAGTACAGCTATTTTGTAGGGATGCTCTTACCGTCAGGAACCTCATCTGGCCTCTTCCTCTTCTCATACACAACAATGATCACCACAAGGATGATAATTTCAGCCAGAATTCCCAAGAAAGGCCAGAGTGGGGCCAGGTGGCTCCGCACCCTGAGGACAGTGACAACAGAGGCGGAGCCAATGGCGTTGGTGGCATTACATTCATACTCGCCAGGGTCTTCCGTGATCTGCAGGTTCACAATGTTCAACTCAGTGTAATTTTCCTTGTTGATGATGAAGAAGCGGCCAGAGGTATTGACAATGTCCTGCAAAAAAGTGAGAATACACAAAGGTGAGAGTGAGTAACTGAGCTAATGTTCAAGAGAGGGTGACACTGCTCTCCGTTCTTTTTAGGCACCAGCCAGAATGAGGAAGCAGTGTCTAGGAACATTTCATTAATGATTTCCCTTCAGTATCAACAACAACAAATCAACTTCTGACAGAGCCAGGCAAGCCTCCCTTACCATCGGTCCTCCAGACTTCCCCGACTTCCACGAAGTGAGTGCAGGTCCTACTGCCTGGAGACTCAGAAAAGTCCAACAACCTAGTAAATGCTGCCTCCAACACCAGGTAAGAAACCACAGCAGAAAGAGGACGGCAGAAGGAGGGGTACAACCCCTACAGTCAGGCATGCCTCGGGGACCTCAGGCCTCTCTGATGACCTCAGAGTCAGCACACTGACTTCACACTTGGTGAGTTCTGAGGAAGTCTCCTTAAACTTCCTCCACAAACAATGCTAAGAACTCACTCCTAGTCAGACTGGGGGAAATTCATAACTTTCCTTTCATTTAAGGACTAGAGGTTAGAGGAAAGGTTATTCAATCAATCAACAAATATTTGTGGCTGGGCACAGAGGCTCATGCCTGTAATCTCAGCACTTTAGGAAGCTAAGGTGGGAGGATCGCTTGAGCCCAGGAGTTCAAGACTGGCCTTGGCAACAAACTGAGACCCCATCTCTACAAAAAATCAAAAATAAAATTAGCTGAGCATAGTGGTGTACACCTGTGGTCCCAGCTACACAGAAGGCTGAGGCAGGAGGATCACATGAGCCCAGGAGGTTGCTGCACTCCAGCCTGGTAGACAGATCAAGACCCTGTCTTAACACAAAACAAAACAAACAAATAAAAGAGAACAAATATTTACTAAAATATGCTGCATGCTTTATATCCTACTAAGGGCAGGTGGGAGTGAGAAGGTGAGATAGGGAGAAGACAGACCTAGAAATGAATAAGGAGCTTGGCCTCAAAAGGGAACCAGACATCCAAAAAGGGATGACTGATTTCAGGAATGTGTTAAGAAGCCCCAACAGAGCGTGTGTATAGAGTGCTGTAGGGCACAGTGAGTGGCCACTGCTGGAAAGAGTCAGGGAAAGCTTCACACATGAGCTAACATTTGCACTAGACTGTGGAGGAGGACAGCTGATCAAACAGGGAGGAGCAGTGCAGGCAGGGATTCGCATGGGTGTGAAGGCAGAGGTGCAAGAGTGCACAGGCAGAGGTCGGGACTCAGCGGGATGGCTCACTGCACTCAGCTCATGAGATCCCGGCAGGGAAAAAACAGACTCATGTGTCTTTACCCTGCAACAACTAAAGCACAATCAGAAATAGGAGAGAAAAAGGGGAATATTATCCTGGAAATGATTCTAGATATGGCATACAATCTTGTCAGCATTTGAGTGCAGGTACATCTGAAATGGGGAACTCGTAAGCTTTTAAAACAGCTAGTCTGTGATGCCTCAAGCTTCATCTTTCAGATTAAAACACATACTGCGTTAATTCCAACCTGCTTTGGCAAAAGCTCAAGGGCACTCCTTCCCAGTGACCAGCAGAGAGAAGTGGACATTTCCTCTCCAGTGCCTTAGAAAGTTCAGTGTCTTGTAAAAAAGACTCAGCATCTTCACCTCGGCAATCCTCATCCTGCTCCTCGTTAACGGGTCTCTGAAATCATCGCTGATGTTGGAGTCATTATCACAACTCAACATTTTATTATCAAGATGTCATGAAGTAGGAAGAATAATGGACTTGAAATTTAAAAAAACTAGATACAACTCTTGGTTTTGCCACTAATTTATCTTGGCTACTATGGAACCCTTCCAAAGAAGATGGATTAATGATCTTTAAGGTCCTTTTGGATTCTGAAGACTGATAATCAAAGAGGATCCATGGGATCAGAGGAACGCTTGACACGCTCTCTGACAGAAAAGGTAATGGGTCAACAATCATAATGAGAGAGAAAGTGAGGTTCTAAAGCTCTGACTCTCCAAACAACATCATGAATCATCCCACTGATCGGAAAAGATGTTCTCTTTGACATTTTCTGGGGCAAATACCGTCAGGTTCCCAATGTCTAAGGCTGCCAAGGCTGCCCTTGGGCCTCCTCAGGTTGCCCCGATTCCTTATCAGTATGTTCTGTGTTGCAGGAATGTACTAGTAATTGCCCTCAGTACCTTGGGCCTCCTCAGGTTGCCCCAATTCCTTATCAGTATGTTCTGTGTTGCAGGAATGTACTAATAATTGCCCTCAGTACCTTGTTTCCTACTAAAAAAACAAGGCAGGTTCTCTAAGACCACTTCAAAAACAGTATTTTCTTCAGGATAAATGGACGAGAATTAGGCTCGGTTCTTTCAGTGTCCTATCCTGAAGGCAAGTGATATGGTTTGGATTTTGTCTTCACCCCAATTTCATGGTGAATTATAATCCCCAGTGTTGGAGGAGGGGCCTTGTGGGAGGTGACAGGATCATGGGGGCGGATATCCCCTTTGCTGTTCTCCTGACAGTGAATTCTCATGAGACCCGGTTGTTTAAAAGTGTGTAGCATCTCCCTCCTTCACTCTCTTCCTCCTCTCCAGCCACCTAGGACCTGCCTGCTTCCCCTTCACCTTCCACCATGATTCTAAGTTTCTCTACTTACAGGGATCACTTAAGAAGAAATAAACAGCAACTGCAGTCTAAAAAATAGGTAAGTTTCAAGGATCAAAGAAGCCTGAGGGGGAGGCTAATTCTTTGGATTTAGCTTTATCTTAACTATATTACCTGTCAATGCCTCACCTTCAGTTACAGTAATCTGAAAGCAATAAAACTCAAAGCAGGCCAGATGTCACTCTGTTGTCTAAGATAGGAAAGATCATCTTTCCTGTGTTTCCTGAGGCCTCCCCGGCAATGCTTCCTGTAAAGCCTGTGGAATCATGAGCCAATTAAACCTTTTTTCTTTATAAATTACCCAGTCTCTGGAAGTTCTTTAGAGCAAAGTGAGAATGGACTAATACAGTGAGCAATCTAATCTCTTACCAGAGGGACAGCTTTAACAAATCACGTACAGGGATTTTTGTGCTGGAAGAGACTGTCAATGACCTCTTGATTCATGCTGTAAACCGTGACTCTAGAAAGGGTGACCCTCGCCATGCACACATCCGAGGATACAGCTACTACAGTAACTGACCCACGTGTCTGGACCTCTGCAGGGAAAACTCCAGCAACCAGAGACCCGGGCCTGCCTCCTACTCACCATGGGCATCCCGTTCTCCTTCTTGCGCCATATCCAGTCTGGGTGGGGGTAGCCAACTGACTTGCAATACATAGTGGCATCCTGCCCTTCATTCTTGTTCTCACTCCGTTTATGGCCAGTGATGTCAGGAGCGGCTGTGAGAAAGCGTTAGACGCAGTTACCACGGAAGTCTACTCCAAACAGGATACAAAGGCCCCACCTTCTGGCTCAGAGCCCTGCTTGTAATGTAGTCAGTCTTTATGCTTACTGTCATACTCAGCTTTGATGAAGAGCATTTCAGGTCAGAATAGGGTAAAGGGACCAAACCCATCCTCTACCCCCCACCCGCTAAAGATGCCCAGGCAGATACCAGGGTTACTAATATATGAGGCTCTACTAATGTAGGTGATTCTCCAACCTACTGGAAAAGGATGCAGGTCCAACTGCCCTCAATTAAGCCTACCTTTAAAGAAAATGCAAACAAACACTATTATCTCTTCTATCGGCCCAAGTTTTTTCTTAAAACACCTGCATGAACAACAGTTATGCATCCTGTCAAATATCACACATTCCCTTAAGGAAATGAGATTCTGAGATAAAACAACTACAATCAAGTCCTATTACAAGGTATGTAAAAACAATGAATGCTTGGAGAAGCTACTCAATAAGTAACAATGACCAAGGCTCTCCCAGGAAAGAGGGAATCCAGAAACTGGTCTTCACAAGGAGGAAGAAAGGAATGAACAGGAAATTCAACCAGTGTCCCAAGAGATTTTTTTTTTAATTGAATGACTGATTGAGATGGGGTCTTATTCTATCGTCCAGGCTGGAGCATAGTGGCATGATCGCTGCTCACTGTAGCCTCAAGCTCCTGGGCTTAAGTGATCCTCAGCTCCCGAGTAACTAGAACTACAGGCACATGCCACTACACCTGGTTAATTTTTAAATTTCTTGTATAGACGGGGTCTTACTATATTGCCCAGGCTGGTCCTGAACTCCTGACCTCAAGTGATCCTCTCACCTTGGCCTCCCAAAGTGCTGGGATTACAGGTGTTTGCATCTGCACCTGGCCCTAAGACCTTTTATTAACAACTTAAGAATCTGCCTTGGACACCTGATTTGCAACAGTTTCCTAGACTGAACCCAATATAGAAGGAATTTCAAGACATGCTAGAGGCCGTTGGTCTTCTCTATTTATAGGGATCACTTAGGAAGAAATAAACAACAACTGTAGTCTAAAAATTAAGTAAGTTTCAAGGATCAAAGAAGCCTGAGATAAAAGCGAATTCTTTGGATTTAGCTTTATTTTATCATAACTATATTACCCGCCAATGCTTCACCAGTTACAGTAATTTTTTTGGAGACAGAGTTTCGCTCTTGTCGCCTAGGCTGGAGTGCAATGGTGTGATCTTGGCTCACTGCAACCTCCAACTCCTGGTTTCAAGCGATTCTCCTGCCTCAGCCTCCTGAGTAGCTGGGATTACAGGCATGTGCCACCATGCCCAGCTAATTTTGTATTTTTAGGAGAGATGGGGTTTCATCATGTTGGTCAGGCTGGTCTTGAACTCCTGACCTCAGGTGTTCTGCCCGCGTTGGCCTCCCAAAGTGTTGGGATTACAGGCGTGAGCCATCACGCCCGGCTAATTTTGTATTTTTAGGAGAGATGGGGTTTCACCATGTTGGTCAGGCCGGTCTCGAACTGCTAACCTCAGATGATCTGCCCGCCTCAGCCTCCCAAAGTGTTGGGATTACAGGCGTGAGCCACCACGCCCAGCCGGGTTACAGTAATCTGAGAGCAATAAAAGTCAAAGCAGGCTGGATGTCACTCTGTTATCCAAGATAGGAAAGAGAATCGATATGCCTTGGTCCCAATTCCAGTTTTGTTGGTTCTTTCGTTATTCTGGGCTTTGCTGCTACAGCCATTATCAAATGGAGACACCTCGTGTCCTTGTCTACCTCCCAGTGTTCTTGGGTAGATGAACAGGATGTCAAAACATTCATCTTGAGACTGTAGAAGCCTGTACTATTGCATTGGGGCTAATCTCATGTTCCACCTTTGACTGGCTTGGTTTTTCTTGGCTTAAAAACAATGCAAAGTCCTACTAGTCACAGAATGTGCTTCCCAGGCACAAACTGGTTTTAGACTCACCCTCCAGAGGCACCTGGATGGGCATGCACTGGGCAAGGCCCCAAGCTGTCTCTGTAACCAGTCCCTGCCAAACTGAGGCCTGCTGAGTAACACTCAGTGTGAAGTGTTTTCTAGATAGTACGTTTCAAAGGAAATATCTTTTTTTTTCCAGGCAAAGTTTCTTACTACAGAAGGAAGTGGTCAACCTGGCTCTATCTCATTCCCACAAAGCCGAACTTTTCCCACAGCTACTCAGTCACTTCTTAGGCTGACTGTTCAACCTGGTCACCCTTTCTCAGAGCTTACTTCAGTCCATAAATTCCAAGCACTCCAAGGAGCAGGCTCCATAGCCACACAGGACCCAGCATGCCCGAAGGGTTACCATGTGCTGCTCCAGCCAGCCATGCTTCATTCATCTGGCAAACACCTGCTGAGCACCCACTACACACCAGATATGTCAGACTGGTTGGGTAAGGCTTTTGTGATGAGATGAACTTTAGCATGGTCGTGAAGAAAATAAGGGAGTATATACAAGGTTCCTGACCTGTGGTAAGTAAAGAATGTATTTTTTCTTTTTTGAGATGCAGTCTCTCTCTGTTGGCCAGGCTGGAATGCAGTGGTGTGATCTTGGTTCACTGCAACCTCCACCTTCCGGGTTCAAGTGATTCTTCTGCCTTGGCCTCCCAAGTAGCTAGGATTATAGGCATCTGCCACCATACCTGGCTAATTTTTGTATTTTTAGTAGAGATGGGGTTTCACCATGTTGGCCAGGCTGGTCTCAAACTACTGACCTGAAGTGATCCACCCGCCTCAGCCTCCCAAAGTGCTGGGTTTACAGGTGTGAGCCACTGCGCCTGGCTAAGAATGTCACTTTCTAACAGGCCAGGAACCCCAAGTTATCTTGGGACCTCAAGAGGAGAGGAATTTGCCCAACTCGTAAGTATTTGAGGGTACAAACCCATGGCTGGGCTCGACTTTTTAACAGTCTTATCTGAGATTCTTCATGGAACAGAGTTCTGTCAAAGCCAATTTAAAAAGCCTAAGTGAAAAATAACTACTCTTGCTGCACTTTATGCAAATAATCAGGCCAAGTACAGTAAGAATAAGTTTATTTTATAAATAAATCAGTTCTATCATGATTTGTTTTTAATAAAAATGGGGACTGGAGAGAGAAAAATTACGCTTCAAAAGAAAAACTATAGTATACTGTTGTTAGCTGTTCTTGAGGTTTTTTTCTGCAGTTTAGATGAAATTCTAAATTCTTTGTGGGTTGGAAGTCCCCAAACTAATGCTTTCAAATCTTTGCTTTTAAAATTGGGAATTGTACTCCTCATCCTAGGACTCGTTATTTACCTTACAGTAGGCTGTTCACTTAAACACTGTAGTAAAACTATAGATGAGAGTAGTAATGTTTTTCCCACACAAGCCTTGGAATCCTAGCCAGGCCTGCATGAGTACACTCAGACAGTTACAAGGTGGTTCCACTCTTCTCACCTTGGGGTTCACTCCCATTCCCACAATGTCCCCTATCAGCAGGAAGAAGCCAGAGTGATCTACGGCCTTTTGCCATCTTCAGAGCCTACACCTTAAGATTAAGGTGTTATAAAACCCAAAGGGAGAGACTGAAACCGTCTTTGCAAAATTATGACTGAGACAGGGAAAGAGATCGAACTTAACTGCTTCATCTTACTTCTAACCTCCAAGCTGTCCTTGTTCACTCCTGGGCGCAGGCTGAACTAACTTTGGGAGAAACTTATAGTTTAAACAAAGATGGTAACAACCCTTTCCCAAAACAGACTCCCTTCTTGCCTGGGGACTAGATTGCCTTTGTAGAACTAACATTAGACACAAGATTAGAAATTATGGTTTAGGAGTCATGCAGCTGGAAGCTACAAGATTCTGACCCTCCCTAAACTGCTCCTAAGATCAGTGCTTGAGATATTTTGCAGACCTTGCACTTGATGGATCAGCTGGCCCCACCCAGATCAATAAACTGGCTCATCTGATCCTGTGACCCCCACCCAGGAACTGACTGAGCACAAGAAGTCAGCTCTGACTCCCTGTGATTTCAGCTCTAACCAATCAGCACTCCTGGCTCACTGGCTTCCCCCAACCACCAAGTTATCCTTAGAAACTCTGCTCCCTGAATGCTAGGGGAGACTGATTTGAATAGTAATAAAACTCTGGTCTCCCAGCAAAAAAGAAAAGAAGGGAGTAGGTCACACATATCTGTAGGAAGAACACTCTAGGTCGAGGGAAATGCAAAGGTCTTGAGGTAGGATTGTGCTTGTTATGTACAAGGAACAGCAAAGAGGATTTGATTGGAACATAGTAAGCAAGGAGAAGAGAGCAGGAAATAAAAGAAATCAGAGAGACTGGGGACCCAGATTAGACAGGACTTTGTAGGCCACCATAATGACTTTGGCAGTTACAGTGAGTCAGCCGGGAAGCCACTGGTGAATACTATGTGCAGGTATAAAATGATGGGTGTGTTTTAACAGGCTCCCCGTGGCTACTATGTGAACAAGAACTGCAGAGACAGCAGTGGAAGCAAGACCAAGCAGGAGGCTATTACAGTAACCCAGGCAAGGGAGAGGCTGGTTTCCATGGGGGCAGTAACAGTGGAAATAAGGAGAAATGGTGAGATTCCAGGTATATTTTGGAGGTTGAGTTAACATATTTGCTAATAGATTGAATGTGGACTGTGAGAAGAAAAGGAGTCAAGGATGACACCAAGGTTTTGGCCTGTGTAACTGTGAGAATGGAGTTGACAGTTACTAAGATGAGGAAAATTGCAAAAGAATAAGAGTGTTTTTTGTTTGCTTAATCTTAGTTTGTTTTGTTAAAAGACTGAGAAACAGTGGTGGTAAAAACCAGAAGGTCAAGGTCTAGAACATGGTAAGTTTAAGATACTTATTTAACATATGGCTAGGTGTGGTGGCTGGCTAGGTGCAGTGGCTCACACCTGTAATCCCAGCACTTTGGGAGGCCGAGGTGGGCGGATCACCTAAGGTCAGGAGTTTGAGACCAGCCTGGCCAACCTGGTGAAACCTTGTCTCTACAAAAATACAAAAATTAGCCAGGCATAATGGCAGGTGCCTGTAATCCCAGCTACTTGGGAGGCTGAGGCGAGAGAATCGCTTGAACCTGGGAGGTGGAGGCTGCAGTAAGCCAAGATCATGCCATTGCACTCCAGCCTGGGCGACAGAGTAAGATTCTGTCTCAAAAAAAAAAAAAAAAAAAAGATACTTATTTAACATCCAAGTATTGGGAAGGCTGAGGCAGGCGGATCACGAGGTCAGGAGATCAAGACCATCCTGGCTAACACGGTGAAACCCCGTCTCTACTAAAAATACAAAAATTAGCCAGGCACGGTGGCGGGAGCCTGTTGTCCCAGCTACTCGGGAGGCTGAGGCAGGAGAATGGCACGAACCCAAGAGGTGGAGCTTGCAGTAAGCTGAGATCGCGCCACTGCACTCCAGCCTGGGCGACAGAGGGGACTCCGTCTCAAAAAAAAAAAAAAAAATCCAAGTAAAAATATCAAGTAGGCAGTAAAAGAGCAAGTCTGGAGTTCAGGGAAATGTTCTATGTTAGGGATATAAATTTCAGGTATCAGCTTATATGTGGTACATTTTCCCATTTTCATTCTCCTTTGACCCAAAGAAGACACCCACTTTGGGCCAGTTATTGGCAATAGTACTATGAATTCAGTACTATCAGCTTTTGCTTTGGGGACTCATTTCCAAGACTGTACATTAGAACCATCTAGAATGCTAAAAGTTGAGTCGGCAGCTGCACTGCCTCTGAAAAGTCACTATTCTGAAAGGACCCAGACTTAAAGGTCAAGATTGGGAAGGGGGCTAGGAACAGTCTTCACTCCTGCCTTGGTGTGTGGGAGGAGGAGAACACCACTTCCCCTCTTTATTTGACACTCTGGGAAAGGGTGGCCGCCATACTGGGGGACACTCAACCAACCAATGGAGAGGGGCACACTGAGGAACTGAGGGCCACTGCCAAGAGCCATGTGAGTGAGCTGTACACATGGAGTGGATCCTCCAGCTCTGGTCAAGCTTTCAGATGACTGCAGCTCCAGCCAACAGCTTGACCAAAATCTCAGGAAAGACCCCAAGCCAGAACACCCCACTAAGCTGCTCCCTAATTACTGACTCAGGAAAACTGTGAGGTGGTAAGTGCTTAGCATTTTATGCCACTAAGTTTTGGGGTAATTTATTATGCATTTTTGTATGTATAGATACAAATATACCAATTGATGAAGCAGACATTACCCCACTTTTTAAAATTGGAAAACTCAAGTTTGGAAAAGTAATTTAATGTTTAAATGGTAAAGCCAGAATCCAAGTTCAGGGTTGTGTGAATCCAGAGACTATGCTTTTTGTACTTTAACATACTGAGGGGAAAATAAACTAGAATAGAGTCCACAAAAATAAAAATATACAACATGCGAGGAGGGAGACCATTAGGACAAACACCTAATGCATGTGGGGCTTAAAACCTAGATGATGGGTTGATAGGTGCAGCAAATCACCATGGCACAAGTATACCTATGTAACAAACCTGCACGTTCTGTACATATATCTCAGAACTTAAAGTAAAACTTTAAAATATATATATTATATATATAATATATATATAATATATATATAATATATATAATATATATGTATATATACAAAATATATTTATATATACATAAATATATATATACATAAATATATATATTATATATAATATAGTTATATATGTATATATTTGTTATATATGTATATATGTATATACATGTTATATATGTATATACATGTTATATATGTATATATGTATATACATGTTATATATGTATATATGTATATACATGTTATATATGTATATATTTGTTACCATGTATTACTGGTAACTGCAGAGCAAAGAGCCCAAAAGTTATCTTTCCTTGTAGATGTGCTAAAACACCTTAGACCCAAAGCAGAACCAATTTACCTTAGACCCAAAGCAGAACCTATTTACCTGTCAGACTTTACTCTGTATTAGTGTAGCGTAAAGAGCAGAGCTTCAGACCTGAAAACATGGAAATCTGGACTTGATCTCGACTCTATTACTCACCAACTGAGTAACCCAGGGCAGATCACGTCAAATACTCTGAGTTTTAGTATTGTAAAATAAGAGTAATACTCACATGTTTCAGAGGTCTTGTGAGGATTAAATTACATCTCCATACTAATCTAGAACATGGTTGGAACTCAGGGCCAAGCATTTAAACATCAGTCAGGGAAAGGAAAGGCTAAGGCTTCGACTCTGTCATTAGTTCTAAGAAATCAAAGATACTGATTACTATGTGCTCTCCCCATTTGCTGATACAAACAGGACTTTTGTTTGTAGCTCTAAAAATAAGGTTTAATCATGTCAGATACTGATAAATTATCTGATTAATGGCCTATTTTAGTGCCTCACCTTCTATGGTCTTGCCTTTTAATAAGGGACTGCTTAACCAGATTTTGTTGGTCTAAAAGCAGGTCTGAGCGTCTAACTAAGCCTTCATATCCTGAAGGAGACAGAGACAATACTCTGTGCTTCTCTTTACCCTCTTAGGGGGGCACAGACTAAGTGGCAAGAGCAAGGGGTAGGAGCAACAAAGTAACAAAAAGACCCTTAGAAGAGAGTTCTGATCCACTCAGGAATTCATTCATTCTCTGGCCTTGTTAGTCACATATTCTAGTCACACTGGTTAATGGCTATCCCTCCAGTATCCTAATAAATAGCAACACAGGGGTCCCAAAAGAGTCTCTGTTACCCAACAGCACCTGAACCAATTTCATTATCTGGGCAGTCTGGGACTCTGGCTGAGGACGAATGCATGTTCCTTAGTACCCTCTGCTACCCAACCTGATGCACTTAGAGCAAAGGGTCAGCTTCTAGGCCAGGCTGGATGCTGTAGAAACTGTCAACTCAGGCCATGGAGGCACGTTTCAGATGATATTAAATAAAGTTAACAGAACAGACTTAAGAAAGTGATCAAGATATAAGGCCTCTTTACAGACACTGCTTATATGGTGCTCTTTTTTTTTTTCTTTTTAGACAGAGTTTCGCTCTGTCGCCCAGGCTGGAGTGCAGCAGCGCGATCTCAGCTCACTGCAACCTCCGCCTCCCGGGTTCAAGCGATTCTTCTGCCTCGGCCTCCTGAGTAGCTGGGACCACAGGCGTGCACCGCCACACTCGGCTAATTTTTGTATTTTTTAGTAGAGACGGGGTTTCACCACCTTGGTCAGGCTGGTCTGGTCTTGAACTCCCGACCTTGTGATCTGCCCGTCTTGGCCTCCCAAAGTGCTGGGATTACAGGCTCAAGACACTGCGCCTGGCCTTGGTGCTCACTTTTTAAAGCATGTTCATAACCCAGCAACTTATCTTCAAAGAAAATCTATCCTTAAAGGTGTTGTCAATGACTAGCCTGTTTCCAAGTAAACACAGAGATTCTGCATTTACGGTCTATTTGCTTCCTTCATGCAACCTATCAAATCCCAAAAACACCTATCTTTGTGGTGGACAAAATGAACACTTGGCTGACGGCAGTGGGAGAGTGAAGATTTACTGCTTGCCAAGAGCTATGCCCAAGAAGGAATATGAGATCAGTCAAGACAGAAGCAAGAAGGATGCAGGCTTTTGGCTCAACAAGCATTCTCCACCCACAGCAGATTTATCATTGGTTGTGAACACTAGAGCAGTCTAGGACAGGTGCCTCCTTCTGCAGGTGAAACCACTGTGTAAGAGGTGTAGAAGTTTCCTTGAAGACAGTGACCCTCAACCCTGGCTGTACACCATAATCACCTGATGTGCCTTAATCTGATGCCCGAGCCACAGTTCATATGAATTAAATCAAAATTGAGAACCACTGTTCTATCACCTTTCCTGGCACCAGTACTAGAGGTCAGATACCCCCCACAAGACAGGGAGATGAGTGGGTAGAGGTGTGGGAGTCATTCAGGTGACTTTTCCAAGCTGAGAAACTGACAAATTGAAATTTTCCAATAACACTAGGAAAATGGGCTTGGAAATCACTTCCTGCAATAACCAACCTCTCCCAGCCTACATCCTTCTCCCGTGCTGGATGCTTCCTGCCCTCAAACATCGGACTCCAAGTTCTTCAGTTTTGAGACTCGGACTGGCTCTCCTTGCTCCTCAAGCGTGCAGGCAGCCTATTGTGGGACCTTGTGACCATGTAAGTTAATACTTAACAAACCCCCATATATGTATCTCCTGTAAGTTCTGTCCCTCTAGGAAACACTAATACACAACCTCTCATCTCTGTCCACATAAGGGAACCTAGACCGTCAAGAGCCACACAGAGCAAAGGAACCTTAAAGATGAGCTATCTCATTCTACTTCATCATGCACTTGAGGAAGCTGAGACCCAGAGAAGGGAAGTGACTGGTCAGAGTCACTGTGTTTAATGGCAGGACCACGATTAGAACACATTTCTCCTAACTCTTAGTCAAGGCCTTTTAAATGTTACATGCTCAACAGGGCACCATGGCTTGGTGCTTAGGAGCACAGGATCTAGTGCTAGGGTGCCTGAGTGAGAACCCTAGCTTCACCAGTTAACTCTGTGACACTGGGCCAGTTATTCCCTCAAGCCTCAATTTTCTCAACTGGAAAGTAGAGATAATAATTGCACTTATCCCATAGAGTTGTGGAGACTAAAGGAGAGAAAAGGAACAAATAATGCACCTAGCACAGTGCCTGACCCACAGTAAGTGTGCAATAATGTTAGCTATTCTTATTCTTATTAAGGAAGGTCAGGGTGGCACCCTGAAGAGAGGAAAAGAAAGTGCAGGTGTGGTTTTTGGGCTGAAGTTAATGTTCAAAATGCCCTAGCAGCTTCATGATATTATTATGCCTTCAAAGACTTCTCAAGTCACAGCAATTCTGAGTCAGAAGCAGGTTGCTTTGACATCAGTTCTCACCTAAAGGATGTCACAACCTCTACGCATCCTCACCTATCACACTAGCTGCCTTTCCTGACTGTCAGTGAAGAAAGGACGGTGGAGATGCTGTGCATGCTGAAAGTGCCGTGTGAATGTGGTCTGGGTATCACTGTTCTTCACAGTGATCTTCATCCCCACCACACTGCCTTAGCCAGTCTGGATTAATATGTCACTTGTAATGCACCATGACAGAATAGGAAATAGGAAGGCAGGGCAAGGCCACTTATAGAAATCCTAACCTTTATTCTTAATAGTCAAATATAGAGAAAGCTAAGGAGTAGGGAGGAGAAAAACAAGATCAATCCTGGCTCTCTCAGCAGCCAAAAGACTGAAACTCATTTGAAATGTCCAATAAGGAGGGTGAGATGAACCTAGTAAGACAACAGGCTCAACCCCCTTCTGGGCTGGGAAGTGCCTCTCACAAGAGGCAGTGACATATTTGTTGCAAAGGATTGGATGACCAACAAAATCCTCTTCCAAAAACAGCAATAAAATTCAAACTCCTTCTTTCTTGTACTAATCAAAATGGTTAAGGGATAAGGATACTGCTTGGGAGTCATGAGAGCAATTTTTTTCTTTTTACTTTGTAAATGATACCGGGATTTTTAATTTGCTTTTTTGTGAGCACTTTTTAAAAAAAAATTTTAGAAAAGGAAGGAAGGAGAAGAGGGAAGGAGTAAGGGGCAAAAGGTTGAAAAATTATAGGGGTAGAAAATTTCAACATCTATTCATTCATGTATTCTCTGTAAGGTGTGCACTCTGGTACCACAGCCTCTGAAGAGTCACAAGCTGAGGACAGAGATGCCCTCCTCAGTATTAGCTGAGTGGATCCCAGGGAGGTGGGGCTTTGGGCTCCATAAGGCCTCATCACTGCTGTCTTCCCTCTCCTGACCGGCCCTGCTCCATCTTCCTTCTCTCCATCTGTGCAGATCACCTGCCGAATACCTGAGAAACGTAACCCTCAACAGTATCTTCCTGTTTATACTATGCCACATTGTGTCCTTTAAAAAAAAAAAAAAAAAAAAGGGAGAGAATTTAAAAACCTGCTCCAGATACAAGGCCTCCCCCACTACATGTAGATACTCCTATCCTCCAAATTCCTTTCTTGACGGTGATCTACAGGCTTTGGTTAAAAAACATGATCATCTTGGCTCTGTTCCCAGGCCACTGTCCCTCTGTCTGGTTCCTTCAGCCTTCTTTTCTTTTGTAGACCACAGATAACTCAAGATTTGGTAATCTGACAGATAATGCCCAGTCCCTGGCTAGGCTAAATGCTTCACTTCCCACAGTGCTGAGCCCAAACAACACCCCAGAAATGTTCTGAAAGACAGGAAAAGGCAGATGGGAAAGAAACGGCTGAGAGCAGAATAGATGATGAAGAAATATATATGCATGGTCTGAATTACATGCCCTGTTGTGCTGATTCAGTTAAAGCCACACAGGAAGATTCTCAGAGACTCCTTTCAGCCAAGAGGCCACTGATGTTCTCGGAACCTCTCTGTTCTCAAGTACAACCACCTCTTAACTCTCTATTACTCAGCAGATTTTTCAGATCACTACAGCTATAAAAAGATAACTGTCTCTTATCCCCACCCCGGAGACACTAAGGGAATAAAATGAGAGTTTCTATTAAAATGTTTTGGGAACATACACACATGTACTACTCTAAATGCAAGGCAGTTTTTCTACCCCAACCACAATTGGAGGTTAGCTTAGAATATGATCCTGGGCCTATGGCAAACCTTTTAAAACTTATACAGAAAAAGCGAAGTGTTCATAGTCTTTACCATACTCAACTATCCATAACTGGGAAGACAAGACATTAAACATTGAACTCTTTTCTATCCAGGTGTTGGGGGGAGAAGGAAAGACAGACTAGAATTCTTTTACAAATTTTCTTGAGAGATAAACACACAGTATATCTATCCAAGGTGGTCCAGAATATGGTTTAAGATATTTATAAAACAGAATTCCCTCAAGGTCTACTTCTGTAAAACCAAGATACTACCACCTGCCTCACCTTCCACACAGGGCTATTTGTACAGTGAGAATCCAACAGTGCACAGTAAGCACCTTGAATATAACACGTAAGTTGTAACTTGCTCTGAAAATACTCCTGGCCTACAGCGTCCTATTCTCTGACCCTGGCAACTGCTGCTTCCTACCTGCTGAAGAGACTATGAAGAAAGATGCCTCTAGGGCCACTAAACCCCACCTTCGTAAGCAGCCAAACAAATGGAAAAACCATTTTGATTTCCACTCTTGAAAGTGCTTTTTAGAAATCATTAACTCAAAGTCACTAACGATTACAGTTAGTTAGGACTAATTATCTCTTAGGCTTGGGGAGCACAATGAACTAGACACCCCACTCTTTCCTTCCCTCACCCACCCTGCCTCTCTGCACTTGGACTTTGTGCTGAAGGCTCAGCCAGGAATGCTGCACGGCCTCAAGTCTCACAGAGAGGTCTCACCACAAATTTGGCTCACCTAGGCTGGGGAAAGCCCTCACTGGCTTAGAGAAAATGTTTTCCCACATCCTTCATTTTCATGTTGAATACATGTGGCATTCTTCTAAAATGGGTAGAAACCAAGGTTTCTCCAAGAAAAGCCACTAAAAAAATCAAATGCTAAGTTCTCTGGCCCAGTGTGACCTGTAACTGTAACTCCTTTAGGCATTCAGAATTAAACTGGCAGCTGGAGGAGGCAGTGGCCATCCCTACATCAACTCACAAGTTCAGGGCTGTGTCACCAAGACATTACTTTCTTTTGATAACACCATATAATGGAAACTTTGAATGTGTCTAAGCCTTTCTTGAATCTGCATTTTTAACCTTCCAAATATTTTAGGAAGACCTGAATACCTATTATACGGGCCCTTCCTTCTCCTAAATTTGTCCTTCTAGCTTCCAGGGATAACTCTATGGATTTAAAGAACAAGTCTGTGTCCTTACTAAGCAAAATGAGAAAGACTGAAAATAAAAAATCTGACCTCAAACAGTAGCCCTGCCTTCTCATGATAATTTTGTGAGAGTAGAAAAAACATTGGATTGGGGGTCAAGACCTGTGTTCTAGACTAGCTCTGCCACAAACTCACTGTGTGACAGACAGCTAGAGGTTTCACTTTTCTGGGTCTCAGATGCTTCTTTGAAATAACTTAGGAAAGCTGAAATTTATGATGTTGGGTAGCTCCAACTTTTATAGTTCTGTTTGCCCATCTTGGAACTTTCTGCTACTGCCTCATCTTTCAAAGGTTTCTATTAAAATTCTAATGAATTATCCACAAACAGCTGATGTCCACTCTGCACACTGTACTTTCCCCTCAATCCTGCTGGCCCACAGAAGACCTATGTAATCATACTTGTAAGGCACTGATCTAAGAGCTTTACAAAGCCTTGGGCCATAGGAGCTGCCAGCATTCAAACATTTTTGACATATAAAAACAGCAATTTTATGCAGTTCAATCTATTAACTTATTTAATCCTCCTAAATAACCCATGATGTAAGTACTGCTGATATCCTCATTTTAAAAATGAGGAAAAGGAAGCAAAGAGAAGTTAGTAAACCACCAAGGCCACACAGCTAGTAGATGATGGGGTTTGAATTTAAACCCAGGCAGCCACGATCCTGAGCCTGTGGCCTAACCACAACATTATATTGTGTCTCGACATGGAAAGAAGAGGAGCTTGAAGACTGGGACTCCAGACCAAGGTACTGTCTTGGAAGGAGAGTGAGAGGCTCACACCACAGCCTCTGCTGGGTTGTACCTTTCACTTCAATGGTGGCGTTTGCTTTAGGAGCGCTGACAAAGTGATATACGCAGTGGTATTCGCCTGAATCCTCAGCTCTCGGCTTATTGATCCTGCAGAGATGAGAAGAAAAACCAAGTGAGGAAACTGGGAACGGTCAAAATATAAAACAGAAGGAGAATCAAAGGGGCAATCAGGGATCCTGCTCTCCGAACCCTTAATGCAACTCACCTCCTTCTAACTAAAAGCAAAAATTCCTCTCTGTGCATCCTAAAACATTAATGTCTTGCTCTTTTCCAGGTGCCAAGAATACAAAGATGGAATGGCAACATGGTCCCTAACCTTAGAATGCTCTGGTCTACTGGGAGAAACAAAATGCAAAAGAAGTAATCAAAATAGAAGGATGTCCAAAGTACTATAGTTTATATTCAGATATACAATATAAAACCATCACGGCTGGGCACAGTGGCTCACCCCTGTAATCCTAGCACTTTAGGAGGCTGAGACAGGTGGATCACGAGGTCAGGAGTTCAAGACCAGCCTGGCCAAGATGCTGAAACCCCGTCTCTACTAAAACTACAAAAATTAGCCGGGTGTGGTGGCACATGCCTGTAATCCCAGCTACTCGGGAGGCTGAGGCAGGAGAATCACTTGAACCCAGGCAGCAGAGGTTGCAGTGAGCCAAGATCATGCCAACGCACTCCAGCAAAAACAAAAACAAAAATCACTAAAAACCTCTTGTTCACCTGGTGGTTCCAGTTAGATAAACAAGAGAAACAAACAAACAAACAAAAACAAACAAAAAGCACAAGCTTTCTGAGCTTCTCCAAAGACCTTGTTTTGGTAGTTCTGTTCTTCCTACCTTGTCTTTTAGGAGCATGCGTTTCCACAAGTCTACTTGCTAACAGGACCCAGGCACAGTTTAAAGAAAAAGAAAAAAATCTGCCATCAGAGCATCAGCCACAGACATGCAGCAAAAAGTCTGGTGATAAATCCCAGGGCCCTACATGATCTGGCCCCTGTCTATATCCCTAGCTCCATCCCATGCCACTGTCCAGATCTTCTGGTCTCTCTTCAGTTTTTCAATGCACCAAGCTTGTTCGCACCTCAAAACCTCCACACAAGATGTTCCTTTACAGAGAATGCTCTTCTCATCACTCTTAGTCTACCTAACTCCTTTTCCATCAGGTCTTGGCTTACGTGTCAGTTTATTCCAGCCCCAATCTAAATGTCATCCCCTTCCACAACATTCTCTCTCACACTACTCTGTGCTTCTTCACAATACTTATCATGTGTGTGATTATATATTTATGTGATTACTTGATTAATGTCCGGCTTCCCAACAGACCAAGTTCTATGTGGATAGGCACTGTTTATTCAGCATACTATCCCATACCGAGTACCTAGCCTGGTGCCTGGAATACGGCAGGGGAATGAATAAATGAATGAATTACTGAGTGAACACAAACACAGAGTGAATATCTATGTACAGATTCAGATCAAGTTAAGCAGAGTGACAGGAAGGACTGTAAGAAGAGTGTATGGGTCAGGCGTGGTGGCTCACACCTGTAATCCCAGCACTTTGGGAGGCTGAGGTGTGTGGACTGCTTGAGCCCAGGAGTTTGAGATCAGCCTGGGAAACATGGCGAAACGCTATCTCTACAAGAAATAAAAAAATTAGCTGGGCATGGTGGTGCACGTATAGTCCTAGCTACTCGGGAGGCTACGAGGTGGGAGGATCACTTGAACCTGGGAGGTCAAGGCTGCAGTGAGCCATGATCATGCCACTGCACTCCAGCCTGGGTGACAGAGTAAGACCCTGTTGCGAAAAAAAAAGAAAAAAAGAAAAAGTAGTATATATGGCCAGAACAGCACTTCATTTCAATCACACAGGGTGATCCCAAACAAGCTTTCTTGCCCCCGAGGGTCAACTACACATCAACTCAGTACACTCTGGCCTACAAGCACATACACCAAACACATGCAGAAAGGTTAGTGAGTAATTACAGAAAGAAGAAAAACATCAGCCTCCAGATGAGAGGATAAATAGTTATATAGGGCTGAGTTCTAGCTCTTTTGCTTAGGGGTTAAAATATGATACTTGTGATGGTCAAATCTCTACTGCACTATTTAATGTCTAAGAAAAACTCCTAAACTCGACCACTCTGGCCTAATGCATTTATCCATCTTATATTGCTCATTCCAAAAAGGAAACACAGGTTAAGAGACTATGGACGAGGAGAGACATAGCCTATCCCCAGAGCTGTCTCAAGATATCCACATGGCGGCACAATATTCTGTGAGAAGCAGTCAGTGTCTTCTCAATGTGACACCATGCCTCTTCTTAAATCATTATGCTCCCAATTGGAAAACAGACAAGTCAGCTGCTCTTATCAACAAGTGTTCCAGAGTTTGAGGAAGGAGCAGCAGCTCTTTCTTCAGGGCTTAAACTGAAGTTCTTTGAGTCCAAGCTCTGAAGAAAGACCTGCTGTTCCTTCCTCAAACTCAGCCCTGAACTTAAGACTGAAGTTCTTAGACTTCTAAGTTCTTTGAGAAATACTTGGGAAGATAACTCCCACACTTGAGTCCATGCCTATAGGCTGAAAATCTCCCCACACCATTCCCTTGGACTAGCTATTAGGAAGAAATTAAAGCAAAGGGAAAACGTTCCCTACAGGCTGGGCAGAAGCAGGGTTCTGAAATCGCCTCTTCAGGCTAACTTATTTGGTAGCCCAAGGAACTCATCAGTTGTTATTTCACGAAATGTAGAATCCCTGAAAAACTCTAGAGATACACAACACCCTTGGAGAGCTTCAAATAAGCTGAGGGGAAAAAAGAAGCAGCATTTTATAAAGTCAGGCTGAAACTTCATGAAGTTAAAGCTCAGCACTTTGCAGGCAATAGTACAAGACCCAAGAGAAACATGATTGGATGTCTGCTATCTTAAAGGAGGTATCATAAAAAACAAGTCTAAGGCTGGACACAGTGGCTCACGCCTGTAATTCCAGCACTTCGAGAGGCCAAGGTGGGGAGACTGCTTGCACTCAGGAGTTCAAGACCAGCCTGGGCAACATGGCGAAACCCAGTCTCTACAAAAAATACAAAAAAAAAAAAAAAAAATTACCCGGGTGTGGTGGTGTGCACCTGTGGTCCCAGCTACTGGGGAGGATGGCTTGAGCCCGGGAGGCAGAGGCTGCAGTGAGCTGAGACTGTACTACTGCACTCCAGCCCGGGAGGCAGAACGAGACCCTGTCTCAATAAAATAAAATAACAACAAAAAATCAAGTCTGTAAAACTAATGGACAGAACAAGAAAAAAATGCTTTTCATTCCACCTAACAACTTTATTTGATTAATCCTTTCCAAACTATGAGGAAAATTGCTGAGGCTAAATTTCTAATTTTTTTTTTTATCAGAAGAAACTACAGTGGAGATAGGTTAACTACCTTGCCACTAAGTGGATGGCATAGCAGGGAAAAGAAAAACAATTCTAGAAAAAATTCTAGAAAATCAGAAGACCTGGAACCTAGCCTTGGTTCTAGAACTTATTAAAATACAGTATTTGGCCTTAAAGCAGCCAAGAGTCACTCTTCAAGTCCTAGTTTCCTTGCTTGGGAAAAAAAGGATCCACAAATTCATTTGGATCAACTAAATAAGGGGTGTGAAAAGATCTCAATGCTGCAATATCCTGCAGAATGCCCTTGCTATCACTGGATACACAGGCTTTCCTGGTCTCACCTCAGTGCTCTCTTTCTTTGCACTGCATTAACCTTCTAAGCAGGATTAGCTGATTCTTTTCCAGACAGCCTTCAACCAGGAACAAACTATTCTGCAAGGTGGGGTGCCATGTGTTCTAGATATTCCAAAAAGCACCAAATATTTGGGTGCTGGGTAACTCTAGCCAGCAAATATCCTTCTTTTTTCAAAGGATATTTCCAGGCTACCATCCTCAATCCAGATCATTCAAGAGCCCTGCATCTGCTGGTCCTTATCAGGTTACAGTGATGTTACACACTCCTAAAAGGGAATTCACAGGAAATCTACCCAGTGGAAAGATGGCTTAGGGAGATGTCTTGCTCTACAGTCACAAAGCAGACTTCAATCTGTTTCTTCAAACCTAACTTCAATCTGACTGGATTAGGTCAAGAGACTACATTCTAAGTGTGACTCTCCTATTGACTAACATTGTTACCCTGAACAAATCACTACTTCACAGCCTCAGTTTCTCTATGATTATAGTGAGGGGATCATCTATGATTCTCCAATCTGGCTGCTCATTAGAATCCTTTGGGAATCTTTTCTAGACTACTGGGCCTTACCTGAGATACTGGATTGGACTCTCAAAGGGAGAACCAAATATATCTCATGTCCCTTCTGCATGGCGCAACTATGGATTATGAATGTCAAGTAAGCTCAGCCACACTCCCTCCCACCTTCCCAGGAGCTGCCCACCACTCTCACCTGTACTCCATGTTGCTGGCATTCTTACGAGTGGCACTCAGTTCCACCCCATTCTTTGTCCAGTAGCTGTATGTAAGGGTGTGAGAGCTGGAGGTGAGGTTACACTGCAGGGTGACAGGGAGAACAGGGCTGTCTCGAATAATGACCTCTTCACTGGTGACAATCCTTGGCTCTGTAATAAGAGTGCACAATGATAGGGGGCAATAGCCTTCCATCCTCTGTAGCCCTGGCCTGAGAGTTGGACGGGGTAGGAGGGGGAAACTAGAAAAAGAGGGAGGGCAGACAGGACCACATGAGGAATTTCACTTTACCACTTTGGAGGAAGTCAAGAAAGGAAAAACAATGATTATAAGCAAATGACCACTAGCGCAGACAACAGCCTGAAGACCAGTTGGCCTAGACGTGAAAGAATGGGAGTATTACGGGTGCTTGTACTGGTAATAATCCACTTACGTTTTTGAATACCACCTTTTTATAAGAACCACCAAACAATTCGGCTTCAATTAGACAACCAGGCTCCACCTTGCCATTCTGAAGACAAAGGCCATATCATTTATATACCTATTATAATAAACTCCCTATTGTACCACTGGGCCTTGGAACAGTAATAATTACATAATACATGTATAGCTTTCCCCACATTTAAATGTTAAACCTATGGCAAACCATAGGCCATTATTTATGCAGAAAAAGACATTGTGGATTCTAAAAAGCAAACTTCCTATTGGAAGTCACTTGCATTTTCCAAATTTTGTGGAGGCAAAATTCTTGAGAAAGCATCATCAGTTCCTCCTCTCCAGCCATACCTATTCCCAAAACAAGTTGTTGTTTTCAGAATTGCACTTTAAAACACATTCCATTCTGAGAAAATATAACTAGAGTGCAATATTGTGTTGGTATTATGGGCTCCCAGAATTTTAGAAAGGCCCTTAGAGTTCATTGAATCCCACTCTTTTTTTAAGAGCTGGAAAAGTGAAATGATTTGTGCAAGGCCGTAAGTATTACTAATGGCAAAGCTGGGCCTAGAAGACATATCTGACTGAATTCTCTATCCTTGCCCCCCATCCCCAAGACCACCCCCACCACCTTGTGTCCTGGGCAAGGTATATATACTTCACCTTCTGATTCTATTCTGCGCTTAGATAACCTGGGATCACTAGCTTATCTACAAAAATAACCTACTTGAGTCAAATATTATAATACATTGAACAAAAATGTTTAAAATCACTCTATATTATTCCTGGAAGCTTCATCTTTAAAGCACTTTGAAATCTATCACTGTATTAAAGTCAAGACATTTCTATGTTTGTTGTCTTTTGTTAATGTGCTTTGTCTTTATTATTTCCCCAGGCTTAGTTTTCTCTACTTTTGATCAAACATTTCCAGGTGAAGTCTACACTAACCATCTTTTCCCAACCACAATAAGAGGTATTTGCTGTTTGTTTGTTTTCCAATTCTCTCTCAGAAACCCTTGACTGACTTCCCATTTCCCTGTGTCTAGTCACTTCCTATCTACAGCTTTGCAGCAGCTCCCCTCACCATTTTATACAGTATTGTGCTGAGCCTTAACGTGAGGAAAGAACTCTCTCCCTCCATGGGAACTAAGTTGCTTGCTGTTCAGGGAGGGGGAAAGCATGGGGAAGTCGTGGGATACTTGGGAAATGTAATGTCTTAAGGACCTCCTAACCGATGTAACATTTCTGACTTGTAGAGTTAATGTCTTTGAAGAAACTTGTAATAATGCAAAACCTTAAGTTTGCTCAATTAACAAATTAGTTCTATTTTCCAACTCTGGCAAAAGGATAACGGTTATCTTCCATTCAGCACTGGTCCTTATCAGTAACATCAAACAGGGTCTCTATGTACAGATAATGGAGGCATAGCAGCCACTAAGACAGAAGCAGATGCATGTAAACACGTTAGCGCAGTGGTGTCCCATGGTTTCCAAGACACACTGGACAGAAGCCAAATCCCTGGGCCTTAAGAAGTCGAGCAGAACGGCTGCAAACCCTGCAATGGAAGGCGCACACACACCATCAGCAGAAAGCATCACAATTCCAAGAAAAATCAAAACCAAGCAAAAACAAAAGAGAAAAAGATAGAACCAGTACTCCACAGAAGAGAAATTAAAAAAATATAAAGGCAACATTAAAACCCAAACACACTTTTAGGTTTTTACTTAATTTTTATTATCCAATTTCATTTTCTGTCCCACTTGGGACTCTCGTTCTGGGTATTCCTCTCAGACTGCACTGAGAAAGGGTAAACTCTGAGAATGAGGCCAAGAGCTTCCAGATGTTTAAATACAAGGAGGCCAAAGTAAATGCTACTCTTACCTGTGGCGATGCAAATGACCACTGCAGCTCAGGGAGATTAAGAAGTTGATGAAAGCAACCTGGTAGACTTTCTGCCAAGTATTCTTTGAAGGCAAAGGAAAGCACTTTTTCCCTTAAGTGTTAAAGATCCAGGAGAGAGTCACTGGGAGCAAGTGGATAATTTAAATAGGTTTAAATATGATTCTGCACCATAGGAGGGTTGTGGGGTAGGGTAACCTGCCTCCTGTGATTGCTGTATATGAAAAACAGTGCTACACCAAGTTCCTTGGCCATGGTGCCTCAACTGCATTCTGCACCAGGATGAAGGTGGGGCTTTTATTTTTGTGGCCAAGCGCTGCCCAAAGTCCAAGAGAGATGAACATTTAGGAGAAGTTCAAATGTGTTTACCTGCCACTGATGTCTATTTAAAAGCAGTGGATAGGAGACCCTTACCCCAGCCATCATGCATATATAAAGAACATGCTATGGCCAGAGAGATACCTAAAAACTGGGCACACTTCTCTTCTTGCCTTACATACTCAATGAGCTTTGGGGAAAGTACTACCAGGAGGTCATTCTTAGATAGAACACCTGATGTCCCCATAGAGCAATGTCTTTTGGGACGCTGAGATCATAAAACAGTCCAATTAGAGTTGGATCCAGGGTGTTTTAAAAAAAAAAAAAAAAAAGCAGCAGCAGCAGCAACAACCTCCTGGCTCTCCAAAACAGCTAACTTGGGTTAACTGACTGATGGGGAAGTCTGAAGAGAGTCTAGCCAGGATTTGGATTTGATTCAACCACATGCAGACAATTCTAAGTAAACTGGGGAATGCTATGTATTCTCGGGATTGGTAGGTAGGTACCCCAATGCCTCATCTTTTTCTAGCCCCTTGGCATGGCCATTCTAGCTATGAGTCAGGCTCTTGGAAGTATAAGTGCAAATGCCCAGCCCAGTCCATACCTATAAACTTCCACAGACCTTTGTGGCCATGTAGGTAATTCTGCTTTTATAAGGAAAGGAGCAAGGGGGCAGGAGAAGGAGGCGTGCAGGGTAAAAATATTGTTAAAAAAAAAATCACTGGGTTAATGTTCCCCATTTTCACATAGACAAGGTTTTCTTTTCCTCTTTCCAGAAGCAGGTTCTTTGATTCAACAGTGCCAACTGCAGCAGCCTCTCCTACCACTGCCCTACAAAGGACTCTTTTTTTACCCATAGGATCTTCAAGTGGCTACAAAGAACAGACACTAATTTGCTATTTTCCATCTAAGTATATAGACTCAAGGCCCATGTCTTACTACTTTATGTTATTACCAAATTCCTCATCAAAGTAAGATTTTACTATTCTTACTTTCTCTAGATCAATCAGCTCTTTAAGCTGGAACTGGCTATAGATCTCTCATTGTGTCCTCAAAGAGAAGGTGAAAAACCCAGAGGATCTTTCCAAAAGTGAATGTCCCCTCAATTATAACCAGGTTTGATGTGGGGCCAGAACTCTTCTTGGCCAGGAACGTTGGTTCTGTGGTGGCTTCTCCCTCTCTCTGCTTCTCAACATAAGGTAGCAAGTCACTTTCAAGAAAGAGAGAGAAGTGGCCACAAAAGTCCCGGTGTCATATGTCTCACGCATACCTGCTACAAGGAGAGGATTCTGAGCCAGCTGGTCAGCTCACCCCATCACTATGAGAAACCAGGTTGGAAGTTAGTTTCCTCTTTTTTCAAGACACAAAGAAAAGGCCAGTGTGAGTGGTCCCCACACTATGTCTGGAGTTCCCATGCTCTGGGATAAGGTACACTGTGCCAACAGCTACTCATCAGAGTCAAACCGTGAACAGGAATCAACTGCAACTCTGACTTCCAAACAGTGTGATGGGCTAAAAAAATAATAATTTGCAGCTTAGTGTCACCTGGCTCCTAACAGCAAAACATAAGAAGGAAGTCCCAGGCTGCTGCTTTTAAAGAGGAGACTAATTAGCAGGCCCAGTGAGGAGTACACTGCTGCAGTAGAGGGCTGTTATCAGAGAAGCACATGCCACGGTTTTAGAAAAGAAAAAGAGCTGGAACTATGAAAATATCCAAGCTTACATGCCACCCAACAACCAAAACACACCACCACACTGCACCCATGGCAACATTCCCATCACAACAAGATGACACCAAGTCACAGTTAAAGGAAGAGGCTGGGCAGACACAAACTTAAAACCATAGAGGTGAAGGCAGCTACTTAGAGAGCTTCAAACAGAAGAACAGAAGAAATAAAAAGTAGTTAGACTGGGGAGAGAAACAAAAATAGAAAGGCACCAGAGAAGAAATCAGCAAAAGTATAGCAGGAAACCTACTACAAAATCAAAGGGGAGGGAAAACCATTTCAACACTACCCTCCTTGGACTGCCTGGTTTTATGAGTTTTAATTTAAGCTTCCCAGTTCTCCCTCCCCAACTCTTCCCAACACAGATGATTTTGGACAGTCACGGATTTCCTCAAGTTCTTTGTTCCTGAGAAGAAAGACACAGAGAAGGGTTGGGGGATAAGGGAGGCAGAGAGAACGGCAAAGAAAAGAAGAAAAAAAGTTGCCACAGATGTTTTCATACACTACAACCAGAAGGGTCATGGGATTGAAAAAAAAACGAAGACAAGGGGTGGGGTGAGTGATCATACTGGGGAAGAGGGAAAGGATGCAGAAGGGAAGGGTCATTGGGCCACCTCTAATGACTACAGTACTACTACTGTAGGGTGCTGGACTCACTCTGAAGGACGCTTATGGTGGCCTGGGCTCGAATCCATGTTATGGAGGGGTTTTGCCTCAAGTCATTCCTCTTGGGGTCGTTGCTGGCCCTGCACTCGTAAGTCCCAGAGTCCTCCAAGGTGAGCCGGGTTATTCTCAGCACACTCACGCCGTTTGACCCGTAGGCGGTGTTTACGGTGACACGGCGCTTCCGAGCACCGTCCCACAGCTGTCTGAAAGACTCTGCCCGGTTGACTTCTGCGTACCACCACTGGATCTCTGGCGTGGGGCTCCCGACCACGTCACAGTACAGCTCAAAGGCGTCCCCCGTGAGCTTAGTTTCTGACATGGGCGACTTGACAAACCCAGCTAGAGGGAGGGGGAGCAGGAATGCAGTGACAGGCCAATCAGAAAAAAAAAAAAGAATCAACAGGTGTTAATAGTAATTTAAAGAAAAGAAAAGAAAAAAGCAAATGAGTTGCAAAGAACAAAAAAGGATTCATTTTTAAACTATAAAGAGACAGTACAGCAATTCATACAAGCTTTTAGAAGAAGAACCACACCCTGGGAAGCTTATGAAGCAAAGGCAGGCTAATTACAAGCTGGGGCAGCCCAGGTGCTGGCCAGGCAGAAGCAAGCCCACTGGAAAGCATTTTAGCAATGGGCCCAGCTGGTAGGAATGAGAAAGCCTCAGGTCTTGGGAAGAGCCTCTTTCCTTAGAACACAAACCATTTATTACCTTTTTAAACTCAGGCAAGTGATGAAAGATAACCAGAAGAGGCAGTAGTTTTATATGCCAAATCAGGATCTCTCTTTTGGATGGGCAAACGCTTTGTTAGAAATGCAGTGTCTTTTGCAAGCCTCAACAAGAAGTATTAAATGACCTACTGGTGCCTTCTCTTGGGATTCAGAGTTCAAATTTCAACTGAAAGAGTAGCAAATTTCTCTCTCACACAGGATTCTATCCTGGGTTCGATTAGACTTTCTCCACCTCCTATTCTTCCCTGGGCCTATGGCAAACAAACAACCCAGTTGTTTAGCGTTAGGCAGCCTCTTCCTGAATGCAGACCCTCAGGAGAACAAGACAGTCTGTACTTCACACCACAGTGAGATATTAATACTTTGTGGGTCAGCTCAGAAGTGGGACCAACAATACCAGCAACCCAACTCACTGCCAGCTAATGGAGGGACTGTGCCCTCCATAACCCCATAGATCCATTACCTAGAAAAATCTGAAAAGCTATGGTATTTGACAGGCTCCATACAGTTGAATTGCCTGGCTTCTAGAAGCCAGCTCAGAAGAATGAGAAATGTACCCTGATGAATTAAACTAAACACTAGGGTGAAAGCCAGGCCTCAACCAACACTCTTAGGAACTGCCCAGGAACTAAAGTTGATGCCTACCTCTAATTGCCCATAATTTGCTTGAGGTTACACTTCCATAAGACAAGGTGGAAATGGCAGAAAGAGTTAAAAAAAAAAAAAATCCAGGCTTAGTTTAAAAACTTGGAGTTAGGTCCATAGGAAACAAAATCAGAGTGCAAGCATACTCTCTCTTACCCTTCCACCCCACCTAGGGTTCATTCAGCATTTCTACTGATTCAGACAGTATCCGAAGGTATAAAGAGAGACACTAAAAGAGGGCATTCTGATTGGCTTGGAAACGTCCCCTGGGAGGCCTGCTGCATAAGCCAAGCCAGCCCCTGTGCAGTAAGCAGGGAGTGAGGTCAGGATCTGCCAACATCAAATTAAGAACATTCCAGAGGAAAGGATGAAATAAATGGAACTGTTTTCCTACAGTCCAGAAGCCAAGGATGTTAACAGGGCTAGCTGAAAATGGAGGTTACTAAGTGGAAAAATTCCTGTTTACATCCATAGCAGTATTTGCCTTTGGTGATAACCCCACACCATGGACTAAGAACATTAATGGAGGTACTATACTTACTCAAGTAGAGGCCAAGACCTCCAAATTCATACTAGTCTTTCAATTCCTGACATTTTCAGACTCTGGGGAGCACAGGAATGCAGTGATTAACAGGCTTAGACTAAACGTTCTGCCTTTAATATGCCATTTTAAACTACCTCTTCAGATCCAGCATGCATTCCTTGTAAGGAAATATCTACCAGAGGCCCCAAGAAGCCCAACAGATGTCATTCTCAGATGCAGGAGAAGCTTTAGAATTACAGAAAGGAGCCCCCAAGCCCCTGCATGAAGAGCTGAGCTCACTGCCCAATAAAGTGGTATCCAAGGAGCCATGTCTCGGTCTCACAAACTACCACCTGCCCACCTGTCAAAGTCAATGCCAGCTAATATAAACAAAGAAGTAAAGGAGGGCCGGGCGTGATGGTTCACACCTGTAATTCCAGCACTTTGGGAGGCTGAGGCGGGAGGATCATGAGGTCAGGAGTTCAAGACCAGCCTGGCCAGTATGGTGAAACCCCGTCTCTACTATAAACACAAAAATTAGTTGGGCATGGTGGTGCTCACCTGTAGTCCCAGGTACTCGGGAGGCTGAGACAGAAGAATCACTTGAACCCAGGAGGCGGAGGTTGCAGTGAGCCAAGATCGTGCCACTGTACTCTGCCCTGGGCGACAGAGCGAGACTCCGTCAAAAAAAAAAAAAGAAAGAAAGAAAGAAAGAAAAGGAAGGGAGGGAGGGAGGGGAAGTAAAGGAAGTTGGTTTTATTTATTTTACTACTGGCTCAATCACCAGAGAAAACTGGATATCAGTAAATCCCTGAAATGCAGTAAAAGTATTATTCTGTTTTAATCATATTCTTGACCATAAGTGGTAATCACAAATGGTCTTATCACATTATCTGTGAACTTGGGGAGTTACAGCCTCTCAAATGCGGTAATTATGTACTCGATTATGCCCTAGAACTGTTAGTGGATTTCTTTTGTACTTTTTCCCTTCTTCTGTATTGTACTTCAAAGCAGCCTTAGACTTAAGCCTGTTTATCAATCTGTTGACAATGCTAATGTAAAAAAGATGCCTGAAAGTATCCTTTCACCAAGAATCCATCCAATTCCACTGTAACCCCAAGTCCTAATAACACACAAGTCACAGGTAGCTGAGAAACAGTCTGACTATGATTCCCACTGCACACAACTGGGCGAGTCACTCAGCCAGATCATGCCACCCTGGGCAAGACTTCCTGCTAAGAGTAAGGAATGCTGATCTGAGTCAGTTCAATTTTCTACCTGTATCAAGGAAAATGGGACCAAGACAAAAATGTTCTTTGCATTAGTAAATTATAGGATGTATATTTAAATGAACTTTTAAAACACAAGATAAAAAACCCTTTAAAATGCCAACAATGGTCTTTGAAGGCCATTATTGTTATTACCATTATTAGACATATAGAGTAACAGTGACATTTTCTAAGTATGCATTATATGTTTAGGCAATGTGCTAAGCACTTTATTCATTATCATATTCAAAATTCATTTATTCATTATGATAAGTGCCATTATAATTTTTCTTAAAGATGTGGAAACTAACGTCCAAAAAAGTTAAATATTTTGCCCACGGTCACAAGCTAATAACAAAGAGTCTGGCCTGGAATCCAAAGTGAAAGCATGGTCTCTTAACACTTACCACAACTGTGGTCAATGTGTCTCACTGGCCTGAAAAGGTTTTTGTAGTTACTTAAGTTAAAGATATGCTTTGTCACCACTTAGTTTAATTAATAAATTAATTAATAATAATTCCTGGCCACAAAAAGCCAGGAACCTTTGACCAATTGTGCAACATACTATGATCACTAACTCCATAAAATTATAATCTTACTAGAGAATGGAGATAGAGAAGCACTGGGTCAAAGAGTTCTTAAAGCAACTGGGGGGAGGGTGAACAGTGTGAAAAGATAAGATGATTCTGAGGCAAGACTGCCTCTAGTTCTGATGATTCCAATGCCCTGCTCTGGAGAAGGCTGGCTTCAGAGAAGGAAGGAATTTACAAGACACTGGAAAAATTTCTCTGATGCTGTAGTCAGGAGCCAAATTAATAAAGGGCAGCACCTGAAAGTTTTATAAAACTCCGCAGTTTGCAAAGAGCTTCCACATACATCACATCTCATTTCATTCGCACAGTTCCACAAGGTTCATACATAGGGCAGGTGCGGAGACAGGTTTATGACTTGCCCAAAATCACTTAGGCAGTTAATCCTGAGTGGGGCTGGGACTAGAATGCAGGTCTTAGCTTAGTCTAGGGTTCTTTCCAATAAACTGTGCTGCCTCTAAACAAACTAAGGAATTCCTTGATAGCTGAACACTCATCAAAAACCATGAAAAGAGATCTATTCCCCCTCCAAACAGCATGGAAAAGAAAGAAAAGAAAAAGAAAAAGAGAAAAGAGAAAAGAACCCTCTTTACAAAGTACTGTGAAATCACAATTAGCAAGGGAAAGTTATTAGCAACCATCCACCTTATTATCCATCCAAAATTAGCTTCAATTCAGGAAAAGAACTGGCTCTCAGCAGCAGCAGCAGGAGGTTCAGAGCCTGACTCACTGCCCTGCCTTTCATTACTAAGGGCTTTCAAACAAATATGTACCTTCAACAAGAAAGCACACACTGCCTAAAGTTGGGAGGCCAACAGAAGCATCTGTTTGCTCTCTAGGTCAAGGGTCATCCAATATTTTGGAAAAACCCTAAATTTTGTAAGACAACCTCCTACCCCACCCTCTTCCCCACCATCGTCTCCACCCACTATCTTAAGTGACTGGGCCCAGATCTGCAAGAGTTTTGGGAAAGTATTAATATCAGTGCATTCAGAGCAACAGTGATAAAGAGGGAAACTGAACAGTGGTTACTGGCTTTGAGGGAGGAAGAGACTAGAAGCTGATGCTGGAGGGGGTAGCAGGCAGAGCATTAAAAATGGAGGCAGCAAACCCAAGAGAAGCGTAATGTAAAATTGCATAACTGGGGATGGGGGATGGGAGGCAAAGATGACAGCTGGGACTAGCAGCCGGAGAAAAGGAGGAGCTTGCTGGCAGGAAAAACTGGATGTGTGGATATGTAGCAGAGGGTGAGAAGAAAAAGGAAACACAGAAGAGCAAGTTGAGCCCAATCCCAGGAAAACTGCTTTCATATATGCCCTAAGGAAGTAAAAAAAGCTAGCCTAGCCCTATATAGGAGAGACTATCATGATTTTTCACATTTACCTCCAGGGCAACCCACAGAACAAGAAATCAGACTAACTTTCTCTCTCCCTCAACTGACTACTGCCAAGGCCAGGCCTTTAAGTCTTGCCTGCTTTTGTCACCTCTTTTAAAAACAGCTGTTCCCTTCAAACCCCCTCTACCTCTAATTCCCTGTGGCTGGCTCATGCTGTTCTCTCCTTCGTTCCTCGCAATAAAGAGAAAATGACAGCCAAGATCATAAGAGCGTTTCTCTCCTCTGTCTCTCTCACACACACACAAATTCAAATCGTCTACCTCAAAATAAAGACTGAGCAAGACCCACTGACATCTAAACGTGAATACAGGAACTATGAGTATTTCAAATGTCTAAAGGACCCTTAACTGCTGTGAGGCTGTCACAGACTTGAGCCTACACAAACTACTGTAGAGCCTGCCTATCCTTCCTGTTAATCAGGAAACAGATCATTCATCACTATTCCTTAACACCAAAGGCAGGTCAGAAGTCTATATGCACTCATTCTGTGTGTACTGACCAAGGGTAAGGCAGGCTTGAAGTCCTGGGAGCAGAGGAAATGGGGTAACCTCATTCTCTGCAGCAGGAAGAGGTACCACAGATTAGTCTCATCTCTAGGTAGAGATGGCAGCAATTACAAAACATTTTCCAAATTCAAACCTGCTCCTTCCACAGGTACCTTGATCAGGCAGATATGACAAAAGTTTGGAAATTAAGATCATCCCTATCACTAGCTTCTAAACCAGGGTCCACCCTTTATTCTGAAATTATACCATTCAAAATGACCAAAGGCATCTATACCAGCCAGCCTTCTGCTTTGGAAAAATAGGGGAATCTAGTTCATGCCAAGAGAAACTACATAGTTTAGTGACCAAATGCAGCAAACTCTAAAATCAGTTGTCTGGATTCACATAAGGCTCTGTCACTAACTGTATGACTGTAAGCAAGTGACCTAACCTCTCTGAGCTTCATCTCCCTAATCTGTAAAACGGGACTAATAATAGCAGCTACCTCACAGGGTTATTGTGAGGATTATATGAGATAACATAGCTTAAAACAGTACCTGACACATAGTAAGCACTCAATAATGTTAGCTATTATTATATGTCTCCATAGAAATAAGTGCTAAACAGGCCACGGGCAGCAGCCTGCAGCACTGCTCCACAACAGGCTGGGAAGCAGAACTTCACATCCAAAATGAGCTTAACTTAAAATCCAAGTTCTTCAAGAAACAACAAAAAACTAACCTTAACCTTCCAAATAAAATGAGAACCAGAACGGAAATGTTAACTGCAGAAGGGAATGAAAAAGAAGGGAATTCTTCATTCCTTCCTATCTTTAGAGCAAACTGGAATGAACAAAGTGATAATAGCAGACACATGTATGTGGACTCAAGGAATTAGCAAGTGTTTTCAGAGTTATAAACCATTAAATCTAAGATATTATGAATAATCTGGAAAGTCCAAGAATAATAAGAATAAAGAGAGGCAGTACAAATTCTCCTTTTCAAAAAAAATTCTTTTAAAGTAGAAAATAATCCTATCAATTATAAATCAGGCTGCTTAACAATATTTGGGAAGATACTGGATATTGAACAGGCCAAACTGTTAATTTACAAAATATAAGATGTAGTTATGGAATCTGAGATCATGTCACATTAGCTTAATTTCAGCCTAAGAAAAGGTGTCAGGTTTTGAGTCAGCACCTCCACAACACAAATTCTCTTAACTTTAAGCAGTTTCTTCAAATGGGAATGATGCCACTTTCTTTATAGGGTAGTTGTGAAAATCATGTTACATTATGTGTAAGAGTTCTGTAAACTACTCTATGCAAATGTTAAGTTACTTTAGGACAGACAAGAAATAAGCATTTGGTATGACGGATCTCCCTCAACAAAAACTTTCATTCAGTCCTGTTGCCAATTCCTACTGACAAGCTAAACAAGCATGATCTACCTAGATCTACAGGTTTAAAAAAAAGTCAATGACAAAAAAGAAAAAAATTTAAAAGTATGATTTAAAAAAAAACATGGGCCGCTCACACTCATAATCTCAGCACTTTGGGAGGCCAAGGTGGTCTGATCGCTCGAGTCCAAGAGCTCGAGACCGGCCTGGGTAACACGGCAAAAAACTGTCTCTTCAAAAAATTAGCCAGGTGTGGTGGTGCAAGTCTATGATTCCAGCTACTCAGGAGGCTGAGGCAGGAGAATCACCTGAGTCCAGGAAGTTGAGGCTGCAGCATGCTGGGGTCACAACATTGCACTCCAGCCTGAACGACAGAGGAGACCCTGTCTCAACAAAGAAAGAAAACAAAAATTATGGGAATCTCTCAACTCAGAAAAATATAACCAAAGTTTTGCATATTTCAGGGGTCTTCCAGACCCTGAGTCTAGATTGTACTACTGTTAGATGAGTGAACAGTTAAGGGTCTATTAAGATGAGAGCTCACCTTATAGGGAAATGAGCCATGGTTTAAAAAACTTGGGATGGATTTTTCCATTTCTTCAACCTCAGTTTCCTCATCTGAAAAATGGGGACAATGATTCCTATCTTCTTCATAAGGTCATGGCAAGATTCACATGAACAATGTACATAAAATTACTTTGTAACCTGTAAAGCTATAAATGTAATAACATGTCAGTTTTATGCAAGCATTCTACTCTATTAGGTAAAGAATGATCTAAGGCCAGGCGCAGTGGCTCATGCCTGTAATCCCAACACTTTGGGAGGCTGAGGTGGGAGGACTGCACCAGTCTGGACAACATGGTGAAATCCTGTCTCTACCAAAAATAGCTGAGCATGGTGGTATGCACCTCTAGTCCCAGCTACTTGGAAGGCTGAGGTAAGAGGATCAATTGAGCCTGAGAGGTTGAGGCTGCAGTGAGCTATGATCATTCCACTGCACTCCAGCCTGGTGACAGAGTAGAGACCCTGTCTCAAGGGGGGGGGGGGAAAAGAATGATCTAAACTAGTCCTGAGTGTTCTATTAACATACCTCAAAAGCAGTGTGGAAGAAACTGGGGGCAGGGCTCACACACATCCATGAAGGAGGGGGATGTCTACTGGACTGACTGTTTCCAAATCTTTCCATTTTCCAAAAGAAAAAAGCACTGCAAACCACTGATCCAGAAAATTAACATGTTTCAAATAGAAAGTGACATTAAATGAGGTAAGGCTGCCAGAAATTAATAAAAATGATTTAGAATAAATTCTGGTTAAAAAAAAAAAATCTTACAAAAATAGAACCTGACATCAGACCTGAGAAACAGAAAGAATTGGAAAATGTAGGTCGGGTGCGGTGGCTCATGCCTGTAATCCCAGCACTTTGGGAGGCCGAGGCGGGCAGATCACCTGAGGTCAGGAGTTTGAGACCAACCTGAACGACATGAAGAAAACTCGTCTCTACTAAAAATACAAAACTAGGTGGGCATGGTGGCGCATGCCTGTAATCCCAGCTACTCGGGAGGCTGAGGCAGGAGAATGAGGTGAACCCAGGAGGGGAGGTTGCGGTGAGCTGAGATCGCACCACTGCACTCCAGCCTGGGCAACAAGAGCGAAACTCACCTCAAAAAAAAAAAAAAAGAATTGGAAAATGTTAAAAGCAAAGAGAAGAATCAGCTCACAATTGAACCCCTCTTGCATTCCTTTTGTACGTCTGTCTTCCAGGGTTCCTTCCTATGATCCTGAATATCCTCACATGGACTCTTAACAGATTGAAAGCTCTGCCTGTATGTTACTTATCAGAAAATACTATGGCCATCATGCGGTGGCTCACGCCTGTAATACCACCTACTTGGGAGGCTGACGCACAAGAATCGCTTGAATGCAGGAGGTGGAGGTTGCAGTGAGCCAGGATCACACCACTGCACTCCAACCTGGGTGACAAAGCAAACTACTTCTCAAAAAAAATAAAAAGAAAATGCTAGCCACTTGCAGGCTTTTACAGTACTCAGGTAAACAGCTTCATTATCAAAGACACTGCTGGAGACTAACAATGTTTCTCCTTCACCCCAGGGAGGAAAAAGGCATTTAATTTACTCTTGAGCAGTCAGATCCAAGAAAGTGTGGCCAAATACAATAAATCAGGGCCCATTTTGACTTTGACATCAAAATGACCATGACTTTTTTAAAACTAAGGATGTGTCTGTCCAAGGAGAAAAATGCAGCAGCCACAAACTATTGTCAAGCTAGTATTTTCAGGGGAATTTTAGGTAATTCACTTCCCAACTTCACAAATAGTACTTAAGCTGCTGGTCCCTAAGAGAAAAAGCTGGTTTTGCTAGCCATTAAAAACCAGGAATGTCTCATGCAGGGGAAACAGAAAAATGCACACAAATAAGCTATATCTTAAAGAGAGTTATTAATGAAAGGTCTGGTTCAAATATGTAAGTGAAACCCTTACATATTTAAGCAAATGCTCATAAAAGCTCTCTTATCCCAAGAGATTGTCAAAAGTAGCTATGGGCAGATCTAGAACTACATCCAAAATGGAGCTTTGAGGCCAAAAACAATTTTAATTAATTAAAAGAAAAATAATACCAGTTACAAAACATTTAAAGAGTGTACTTCAACTGACTCTCCAGTTAGCATTAAAGCCAAAATGAAAACAATATACTAGAAAGCTTTAATACTTCAATTCGACAAAGATTCTTTGCTTGACCAATATGTAGGCTTCTGAACCTTCTCCTAGGCCCATCTGTGAACTTCCTTGTAAAATTCAGTTTTAGCAAAGAACCTTGCTAAGTCAGTTTAGCAAGAACCCCCATCTTTGATCATCCTCAGTATCAGATCAGGTTCTTCAGCCTCCACCATTCCCTAGCTGAGGTCTGATCAACCTGGCCTATCCTCAGTGAGAATGTTTAGGTTGGCTTAGCCAAATCCTCCTTACCCCTAATGTTTCCTCTTAGTAATTTTCCATCCACTGACCCCCACCTGCCTATGCTGTATTCAGAGCTGAGCCCATCTCTCTCCCCAGTGCAGAATCTCACTGCAGTGGTCTGGTCCCTACATCTATCACCATGTTCTAAATAAAGCCTTTCTTACCATGCTTTAACACGTTATCATTTTTTTTTCTTTAGCAAGTTGAATAAACCATTCTCAAAAGCCATAGGTAATTACTGCTCAAAAGCTAATCTTTGCCAAACTTTTTCTGTGAAATGCACCTGTCTATAAATTCAGCGTAACTTCTGATAACAAGCTTACTTTCTGTCTCTGACAACACAGTAACAATCAGGACTTAAATGTTAAGATACCAAAATTCATCTCATTCTTCCATCATCATATATCGCATGAATATGACAATGAACACAAGCAGTCCAAGCTGATAGTCTAAGTATAATCTAGAAGACATTTTAACTGAAAGAGGTAGTAAGCTACTTCTCCCCACCTTTTTTTAAACAGCCATTCTCAGAAACCACAGAGTCAAAAACTCTGACCAGAGGGAAATTCAAGTTTTGAATCACATCTCAGGATGTTAGGTAACCGTAGTCCTAGTCTTCCCAGCTGATGAACTATTAATATTTCCAAAGCATAAATAGCTTATAGCAGAAATCACACTGAGAACTTTGTCATTACATACAAAAGGCAAAGCTTTCCTTAGATGACAAAATTCTAAAGCAGTAATTCTTAAATTTTACCATGCAGCAGAATCATTTGGAGGGCCTGTTAGAACACAGACTGAGGCCTGAGACTGCACTTACAAGTTCTCAGGTGATGCCCGTGCTGCTGCTCCAGGGACCATACTCTGACAATATCTTGGAGAATCTGAAACTGTGCAAATATTGTGCAAATTTTGAGCTTGTTTAAATGGAAGGAAAACAAAGGCATAAGAGCCACACAGATGTTTCTGAAATCATATAAAGATTCTCCCAACAGCTGGGTCTGTGATCCATGGCCAAAAGAAGTAGAGTAGCAAAAACAGTTGCTAAAAAAACTGTGTCACTATGATTTCAAAACAATGACTTTTATCTTGGATTTGTTCAGTTTTCCAGTGTATACACTGACAGGATGCTTCAATTTACCATTTATTGAGGTCCTGTTTACCAAGGACTGTGCACAGGGATAAACTTTGTTCCTAAACAGATTTCAACCTTGCAAGACACAAGACAGAATAATCAAAATACAATACCACTGACAACAGCACTTCTATGACAGGTATGTACAACAGGAACATATATAAAAAATAATTTTGTTGGACTAACGTATACCTAGAAAGCTCATGCATTGAAATCTAAATCTAGCCTTGTCAGTTGCGGGGAGAGATGGTCTTGTTCTAGGCAAGAGGAAACACCATGAGCACAGTATTACAATTAGTAGGAATGAGTTCTAGATAAAGGTGAAAAAATTCAACATTTTTTGAGTGCTATTATATGTCAAGCACCTATTAAGTGCTCATGCTATTCAGAAAAATATCCTCAAGACCTCACAATATAGGGAGAATGACAGGTATCCTGTAAGCTATGAAGAGCATATTGGGCTTCTTTCCATAGAACAAGGGGTATGACTGCTCTGACTGGTGGCAGTACAATGGCTGTCAGAAATAAGGAAGTCAACAAGGAGTTAAGAAGCTCCTTCAATAATCCAAATGAAAAATAGTCTGAACTAATTAAGAGTGGCTGTGGGAATGGTGAGAAGGTAACAGACATGAGAAATGTTTACAAGATAGAATCAAATGAACTTATTGACGTGGGGTGGGCAGTGATACTATAACTGTAATAAGGGAAAGCAGGCTGAGCTGGCTTTACAGACATCTGGAGATATCCAAATGTAGTTAAAAATAAGGATCTGATATGCAGGAGAGAGGTGGAGGCTGGAAATATGCACTTGGGAATCATCAGCTTATGGACGTTGAAGCCATGGGAGGAGATGAGCTGACTCAGGGAGGATGAAAAAGAAACTGAGAATGGAACTTTCTACATAATTATACTTCTTTCCAAATGATTCACCACTGAATGCAATGCACTTTCACTAGGATAAAATACCCCAAGTTAGGAACTAATTCCCTTCCCATATCTAGACAACACTTTTAATAATGTCAAGTAAATATTTTATTACTTTGCTTCAGAAGACTTAAAACTCCATGTCAATGACTCAGATATAAGGCACAGTATCCATACCAGAAGGTCTCAAAGCAGCATTAGACTTCGCTTGAGTAGAGTGTGTAATGCTATTAGCCTTTACAAAGAATCCTGGCCGGGCGCAGTGGCTCACGCCTGTAATCCCAGCGCTTTGGGAGGCCAAGGCAGGTGGATCACCTGAGGTGGAGTTCAAGAGCAGCCTGGCCAACATGGTGAAACCCCGTCTCTACTAAAAAATACAAAAACTTAGCTGGGCGTGGTGGTGGGGGCCTGTAATCCCAGCTACTCGGGTGGCTGAGGCAGGAGAATCGCTTGAACCCAGGAGATGGAGGTTGCAGTGAGCCGAGACGGCGCCATTGTACTCCAGCCTGGGTGACAGAGCGAAACTCCGTCCCTGAAAACAAACAAACAAACAAAAAACACACACAAAGAATCCTTACCTTCTGAGAAAAACAGTATCCATATGGTTCCAAAGATTACCTTTGGAAATGCTTTTTTCCCCTTACTTTTTTATATGACACATAAAAATTATATTTATATGACACATAATAAGTATATATATTTATGGGATACATAGTGAAGTTTCAATATATATACAATGTGTAATGATCAGATTGGGGTAATTAGCATATCCATCATCTCAGACATTTATCATCTGTGTCGTGAACACTCAGTATTTTCTATTTTAGCAACATGAAAGTATGTATTACTGTTATAGTAATCCTACTTCTAGTATTTTCTAGCTATAAAACACTACAACTTATTCCTCCTATCTAGCTTTAATTTTGTGTCCTTAAACAAATCCCTCCCTATTCCTTTCTTCCCTCACCTTCCTGTTCTACTTTTTACTTTTTTTTTTCTTTTTTTAGAGACAGGGTCTCGCTCTTGTCACCCAGGCTGGAGTGCAGTGGCATGATCATAGCTCACTGTAACCTCGAACTCCTTGGTTCAAGCAATCCTCCCACCTCAGCCTCTAGAGTAGCTAGGACTACAGGTGTGTGCCACCCCACCCAGCTAAGTTTTTTAGTTTTTTGTAGAGATGAGGGTCTTGCTACGTTTTTTGTACAGTATGCTAGTCTCAAACTACTGGCCTCAAGTGGTCTTCCTGCCTTGACCTCCCAAAGTACTGGGATTACAGGCATGAGCCACTGTACTGGCCTACTTTTTACTTCTATGAGATCAACTTTTTTTTAAGCTTCTGCATATGAGTGAGAACATGCAGTGTTTAAATTACCATTCCTGGGTTATTTCACTTAACATGGAATGCTTTCTGTGGAGAAAAAGCTAACGCATAATCCCAACCAAATTTTCTCAACTTTTAAAAAGGAAAACAAGCGGAATCTCAGCCTAAAGCCCAAAGCTAAACCAACTCCCACTCTGCAGTAAAGAGTACTGAAAAGAAACAAAGCCAATATGCCACGGACCAGTGATTCTAGAGAAAATATTAACAGAAATAGTAACCCCTATTTTAGACTGTGATAAAAGTTCATGAAATATTACAATGTTTATGCCCCTTTTCCTACCCTTCTGGTCCCCTCCAGTATTTCTGTAAAGATTAAACAAATATGATTTTGGAAAATAAGGATATGATAGTGATACACAGGCAACTGAACAAGAGACTCTTCACTTCCACAATGGCATGAAATGGGAACATTTTCCCCCCTCTAGGCCCCAGTGGTTTCTCAATTTAAAAAAAATTGAGGATGCTCAGCAGAACTTTACTGAGTCTTATTTTGAATCTTGAAAAATGAGACAAATTTGACTCCGTTACATATGGACCATATGGACAATGTGCTGAAACTGCAAACATTCCCACTACTTAAGTTGTGATAGTAGCAAAAATTATTTATACAGTTACACTGAGCCAGAGTCCAAAGAATATTTGATATTTGGTATGACACAGTTTATGAAGATCCTGTATTTGTCCCTGAATTCTCAACAACTCATATAATTATTGTTCATTCAGGAAGACAATCATTCTTAAAGTAATACGCAATTTCACTCCCATTAAATGGGAATTTATCACGTATTCAACTCACTGTTAAATAATTAAAAGTTCCCACTTGTGGAATTTAGTATGCCAATCTCGAAACAGACTATCAAGAACATTTTCTTAAAATTAAATATGCTCCCAAACAGTAAAATACTATTCAATGCAAAAACAAAACAAAACAAAACAAAAACAAAACAAACTCTCAAGCCATGAAAAGCCAAGGAGAGACCTTAAATGCATATTACTAAGTGAAATAAGCCAATCTGAAAAGGGTACACAGTATGATTCCAACTACATATATGACATTCTGAAAAAGGCAAAACTATAGAGACAATAAAAAGATCAGTGGTCCCAGGAGATAAGAAGGAAGGAGGGATGAAGAGGTAGTACACAGGGGATTTTTAGGACAGTGAAACTATCTGTATAATACTCTAATGATTAGCGTATGTAATTATATATTTCTCAAAACTCATAGTATGCACAACATCAAGAATGAACCCTAAACTCAAAGTCCTAAACTGTGATCTTTGAGTGATGATGTGTCAGTGTAGGTTCATCAACTGTAACAAATGTACCACTCTGGTGGGAATGTGATAGTGGGGGCTGTATGTGTGTGGGGACAGGGGGTACATGGGAACTCTCTGTACTTCCTGCTCAATTTTGCTGTGAACCTAAAATTGCTCTAAAAATGCAGTCGATTTTTTTAAATTAAAAGTATCAACTGAAAAATACTTATAATCATGTACTGAGGTTTATTTGCACTTGACACTGAGCATATCTGATTGGAATTTTTTAAATGATACATAAATGCAAAGCTACTTTTGAGCAAGCAAAAATAACTTCTGCTCGGACAAGCTAGTAATGGTCACCTATCTTGTGTTTCTGATGCAAGCACAGAAAACATGGGACAGGTTGGGCCTAGTGGCTCATGCTTGTAATCCCAACACGGGAAGGCCAAGGCAGGAGGATCGCTTGAGCCCAGGAGTTCAAGACCAGCCTGGGTAACATAGGGAGACCCTGTGTCTTACAAAAATGTGAAGAATTAGCCAGGCATGGTGGTATGTACCTATAGTCCCAGCTACTCAAGAGGCTAAGGTGGAGGAACACCTGGACCCAGGAGGTCGAAGCTGCAATAAACCGTGATCACACCACTGCACTCTAACCTAGGCCCACAGAGCGAGATCCTGTCTCCAAAAAAAAAAAAAAAAAGGAAGAAAAGAAAACATGGGACTCTTAAACCTTAAGATCTATCAGACTGGCCAGGCGCAGTGGCTCATGCCTATAATCCCAGCACTTTGGGAGGCCGAGGTGGGCGGATCACGAGGTCAGGAGATTGAGACCATCCTGGCTAACATGGTGAAACCCCGCCTCTACTAAAAAAAATACAAAAAATTAGCCGGGCGTGGTGGCCAGTGCCTGTAGTCTCAGCTACGTGGGAGGCTGAGGCAGGACAATGGCGTGAACCCGGGAGGCGGAGCTTGCAGTGAGCAGAGATGCGCCACTGCACTCCAGCCTGGGCGACAGAGCCAGACTCTGTCTCAAAAATAAATAAATAAATAAACAAATCTATCAGACTTCAACTAGGCTATCTTAATTAATGCTCTCCTAACTCCATTAAACAGAAATCTCCCATCATAAGGAAAAGAATGTCATAGGAGGAAATCTCCTAAGCCTTTATCACGTTAAATGCCCAGGAGAATAAATTACACTTATGGGTAAGGTAACCATATAATTTGTCATCTAAACCTGAATCCTTCTGAGAGTGAAAGGGGTGCTGTTAATAATTCTGACAGGGCAACAGGCACAAACTGAGAATTATGATTACTCAACTTACAGGGAACCTGGAGGATGTATTATGTAAGATTAAGCAATTAGAGTGGAGATATCCCAGAATAAAATTCTAGGTCAATAAACTTCCAATTCTAAATACAGTATATTTGTGATTTAAAAACCTTCCCCAAAACCTGGAGCAATAATTTTCCAAGAATCCCTTTGATTGTTAAATATCTGAGTCTCAGATTCAAATGTATCAAGTCCTCCAAAGCACCTCCAAAATTCCTATTTTATTTTTATCTATTAAAATTATAAATCTTCCACCTTATTCTTCTACATTCAATATTAATTGGTAACTATACCACCCTTAGCTAATTTTTCCATTAACTAGAACCTATTGTCTTAGAATAAAGTACACAATTCAAGGCCCTACTGCTCCAAAAGAAAATGCCTCTCTTGATTTTAAATGGTAGTATACAAAGATCAATGAACAGTAATATTTACAAAAGGTAGTTCTCCACTTAGTAATTTCAGATTATCATATTTAGTAAAATCATAAACTCTGGTTAAAAAAAAACAGGCCAAGATTGTGTCAGCTAGCAATGATGCTCTAGAATTTATTACCATATACTCTCTAATAGTGTCTCAGAAATGAATACGAAGCTACGCGGTAACAAAATGCTGGACATATCTTTTTTTTTTGAGACAGAGTCTCGCTCTGTCGCCCAGGATGGGGTGCAGTGGCACAATCTCAGCTCACTGCAACCTCTGCCTCCTGGATTCAAGCGATTCTCCTGCCTCAGCCTCCCAAGTAACTGGGATTACAGGCGCCCACCACCATGCCTGGCTAATTTTTGTGTTTTTAGTAGAGACAGGGTTTCACCATGTTGGCCAGGCTGGTCTCGAACTCTTGACCTTGAGTGATCTGCCTGCCTCAGCCTCCCAAAGTGCGGGGATTACAGGTGTGAGCCACCGTGCCTGGCCTGGACATACCAATTTAAATTGTAACTTTTTGAAAAGTATATTTAAGCCAGGTGTGGTGGCTCACGCCTATAATCCCAGAACTTTGGGAGGCTGGCGCAGGTAGATCACTTGAGCTTAGGAACTCAAGATCAGCCAAGGTAACCAGACAAAACCTCATCTCTACAAAAAATACAAAAAAAAAAAAAAAAGCTGGGCATGGTGGTCCACACCTGTAGTACTAGCTACTTGGGAGGCTAAGGTGGGAGGATCATTTGAGCCTCGGAGGTGGAGGCTGCAGTGAGCTGAGACTGTGCCACTGCACTTCAGCCTAGGCAACAGAAGTAGACCCTGTCTTAAAAAAAAAATGCATATTTATAGAAATCATTCCATTTAATAAATACATACACATATATTAAAACCTGAAACCTCAGTTCCCTTGTGTATATAACCAGAAGACTGGAATGGACAATTTCTAAGGTCCTTTCAGCTTTAATATTCAGCAAATCTATGTATTTGTAGATGTAATTGATGAATTAATTCAAATGCCATATTCTATGAATCCATGAAGATGCACAAGGTAAGAAGAAAGAATATATGTTAACAGATTATAAATTATTTGGAAACCAGGATATGTCTCTAATTTTGTTTCCCCACAGTGCCTTGCTGCACACATTATACTCAATATTTGTTAAAAGAAAGGTGAGGAATAAGATTCTTATTAATGAAGGATTAAGAAAAAAATCCTTTCATTAAATTGCAACCTATTAAAAACTTAAAATGTACTAGTCATGTTAATAAATGTATAATAAATGAAACCATCTTTCTTTGATTAGTGGAGTTTTTCATAGAAAGGTAGCCATCAGAGCCATCTTTCTTAATATCAACAGAATCATATTAATACATTCTAAAAGACTAGACTTTGTTATATTTGAATTTACCACAGATACCTTAGAAGTTACCTTTTGTTTAAAAAAATCAAATCCCTAATGTCAGTTTGTTTTCTAACAAGCAAGGGAATAAATTTGAGTTTAAAATAGATTTCTTATTTGAGTTTTTACTTTACAGTTAGGTTTCAACTTAACCACTGTTTTCCAAGTTAGGTAGTGATGCTGCTCATCACTAGGTCTAAAAGAGATGGATGTTCACAGTTTCTGTGAAACTCCTAGCATCAAAAACAAACAGCTTAACAATCTTTTTTTTTTTTTTTTTAAAGATAATCTTGAAGAAAACCATGGTGGGCCAGGGATGGACAGGGAATAGGACACTTTTTAACTATTCTTAAAAAATAAAAAAGAACATTTCAAAAAGATTACTGAGCACATAACTAATGTCTCTGAAAGGAAATTCATTATAACAGCAGCTAGCCTTTATTGATCATTTGTGTTAGACATAACGCAAAGTATATCATAATTTAATTTGCTACATAAAGATACAGTCTACCTCTTAAGGTTGCTTTTGCCATTCTACACAGTACAGAGGAATGATGCACACCTTGGCAGTATACTTCCAGAGCTTGCAATCACTACACTATACTGCCTCACTGACAGCAATGCTTTTACTATAAACAATCAGAACTAAACAATATCCTATATACATTATTTAATCCAAACACATTTTATCTTAGAAAGACTGTACACAGTGAGTTCCACTTCTCTGTCATCAAGGTTAACAGTTCAGGCCTTTATCACTACACTTTCATCCCCGATCTGAATTACCTATACAAAAAGTCTATGTGGGCCTATGAGTTTAAAAGGCATTTGGCATTACTAACAAAGACCGATTTTTAAAAGCTGATGTTCCTAACTAGTAAACTGGAACTTGGCAGTAGGTTTCCAGTTCTTACTGACAGATCTCCAAGATGGTTACTAAAATGATACGCCCCTAAGATTTTCTTCCCACCAAGAAGAGATGAAAATAGCAGGTTCATCCTCTTTCCAACCAGAGACTTAACAGCACATTTCTGCACTCTATCATGTACATATACCTGGATTTCAAAACTCGGGTAAGTGACAGGTAGCTCTTTCTTCCCCAGAGGTTGGCAAGCCTTGTAATAAAAATTATTTTACTGAATCCATTTTGCATAGGGTAATTATATTTGTGCTATTTTATACATTCTATCTTAAATGGGTCATCTTTTCTGTTGGTCTTATTTCAACAATGGACATATATATAAGTATCTTAATTCTCAGTTTTACAAAGTATGCACAGGACCTCTTCCGTGCAGGTATCAAGACTGACCAAGTACATTATGAACCAAAGGTACAAAACACTCTTATGCAAAAACTTTAAAAGTAGGTCTACAAAGGGGTCATCCATTTTTCAATTTAAAAACCCGGCTCCACAGACCCTAAAGATTCTTTGGAACACTTATGGGACTCCCTCTACCCCTCAAACAGCTCTACTTGTATCTAATTAACAACAACAAACTTTCTGCAGCTAAAGGTTGAAAACTCCTAAATCTAATTCTTGCCCCAAATTAACACTCAGATATACCACGGGCCAAAGAGGCTATACTTTAGTTGCAGAACCCTTAGCTAGAATTCAAATATTCTGACTCCTGTTCACTAATGCTCTATCCACTAAAACCTGCTGCCTCCTCAGTCCCTCAGGAAATCCCAAAATTCAGCCAATTGTCCAAATCTATTCTATTCTCCCTTCACAATTACTTCTTATTTCTACTCTCCTCAACTTGTTTCAGGTCTGTATTACCTCGTAACTACATGATTAAGTAGAATTTTCACCTCTGCAGTGAGGTAGAGAGTCAGGTTATACTACTTACCTAGTGTCCCAAACACCAGTAAAAAATATTGCTGCTTGTCTTGAAAAGGGACAGCAAAATTGTTTCCAGAATGCTTTCGCTAAAAATTAGCAGAGCTGTCCCAGGAGTTACCCACATGGCTAAGATATTAAATGTGTGAACACTGAAGACTTCAGCCAAAAACTGGATAAAATTGAAGTAGTATATTTTTCTATTCCATTTAATGAAGCTTTTCCCTGCTTCCCTCTCAGTAGGCCAATTTCAATATCAAGAATGCAGTCACTATCAACATAATTCCCTTTGGTGACAATTAGTAACAACAGATGTATTCCAGCAGTTCCATACGTTTACATAAATGAAAATATCTGTCACTCCAATTACTATATTCAAAAAAAGACTATAAATACCAAGATGAATTGTAACATACTACTAAATGCAAAGCATCACAGTATGTAAATGACATGCCTACATAAACCAAGCTTTGAAAGGATACACAACAAACTACTAACACTGCTAACTAAAAAGCAGGAATATCAAGGAGTAAAAGGAAGAACTTCAACATTTTAAACACCAAAGTATTATTTGAAGTTATCATGTAAGCAAATCCTTTCATAATTTTTAAAAATCCAATAACTTTTTCCTTCTTTCAAAAAGCTGAATGAAATAATTCAGTATCAAAATGTTGGCTAACCACTATCCAATGCAGGAGGATTCATCCTTCCTAACTAACCACTGGTATTCCCTCCTGTGGTTAGTTACAGCTATTCTTTGGAAATTTGACCTGATGAAAACTTCACTAAATTCTAGGCACAGATGGCTGACAAGCTTATGTATCTGGTTACCTCAGGCTCACCTACTACTGGGCCTGTCAAGTTTTTCCAGTGGTATATTTTGAGAGTTCAAGACTTGACACAATTCTTTAGTTCTTTCTGTGACAAACAGATAGTGTTGCAGAATGGTAAGGTGACACTCTACTAAGACACTACTAAAAACACATTCCACTCAAACTCCCATTCGGCTTTACAAAGCTGCTGAAATACACACACGTGTTACTAAAATACAAATGCCAGGAAAGCTCATTCTTCTGATAACTTCTGAGCAATTTTCACTATAACCTAATGTTCCTACAGCAAGAACTACTACTTTATATACTCTACTGGTGTTTTTTTCTCCCTTTAATGCATATCAAAATTTGCCCTTTCATCCTCCAGCTGTAAAGTCTGACTACCCCTAGCACCACTCCACCTCATAATTGAATTTTTAATGTCTACTTGCCACTGAGTAGCAAATTCTATGCTCCATGGGCAGACATTTCGTTTCACAACGTTTCACGTATGCTACTCCACAGTAAGTGGTAGCTCTGCAGGGAAGCAAGTACCACATAGCTCACAATCAATATTCATTACTAGCCGCCTGCCTGGAATTCTTTCTGCCTCGATGTCCTCACTTCCATCAGGAATTAATTTCCTTTGTGACTAGGCCTTGAAGACCAGCTGAGCTGTTTCTGAGAAACATGGGCATTATGACCCTTTGGGGATTAAAAGAGTTAAAAAAAATATATGTTAGAAAGATCTCTACCATACAAAGAAAGTCATTAAACAGCTATTAGGAAATGCAAAAATACCCACTCACAATATGGAAACACTCCTGCTCAATAAACACCAGTCATCTAAACTTTTATATTACACTTAGAATATGGAACCACTACCTCTCTGTCTAAAAAGGATTAAAATAGAATTTAAAAATTTTAAGTGGCAAATGTTTATCTAGAAACAACTGAAGATACCAGAAGAAACAGGATCAAGAAAGTATGTGTAAGAAGAGAATAAAATTAAGATAGGAAAAATAAAATAACTTTATAAGAAATTACAGGCTGGGTGCAGTGGCTCAAGCCTGTAATCCCAACACTTTGGAGACCAGCCTGAGCAACAGTGAGACTCTGTCTCTATGAAATATTTTTAAAAATTAGCTGGGCATGGTGGCACGCACCTGTGGTCCCACTACTCGGGAGGCTGGGGTAGAAGGATCACTTGAGCCCAGACAATGGAGGCTGCAGTGGGCTGTGGTCTCACCACTGACTCCAGCCTGGATGAAAGAGCAAGATCCTGTCTCAAACAAAACAAAACAAAAACACCTCCCTGGGCAACAGAGTGAGACACCATCTCTACAAAAAAGTTTTTTAAAAAATTAGCCGGGTGTGGTGGTGCACACCTGTAATCCCAGCTGCTCAGGACACTGAGACAGGACGATTGCTTGAGCCTGGGAAGTCGAGGCTGCAGTGAGCTATGATCATACCACTGCACTCCAGCCTGGGCAAACACAGCAGCAAGACCCTGTCTCAAAAAAAAAAAAAAAAAAATAGTAACAATAAATTAACTTAAATTAAAAAATTTAAACTAAGGCATAGAGGTCTTTAAAAGGATTCCAAATCATATTGTAGAGGAAAACAAAGAGGGACAACAGAATTATGGTGATGGGAATAAAGCTTCTATTGCTTTAACTATTTAGATCATTGTCTTAATTACTAATGTTTAAAAAGAAAACTTTCTGCTGCTAAAAGCTGAAAACAAGATGTACAGCAAGCTATGTACGTCTCTACAAAATTTTACAAGAAGCAAGAAAATGTAAAACTTTCAAAACATTCACTGGAAAACTGGAAGAAAATAATATATCATAGTTTCCTAGTAAAACTCATGCTGCTAAATTTCTAAGTCAAGCAACAACTACCAAAACATGTCACTTCTATGGAACAACTTAATTTTGATGGTGCAATACATTACTGTAGTATTAGCAAAATTACCTGCTGCAAGACGGCTTCAAAAATAAAGACCACTGCTACCTGGATACATTAATGTTAAAAGCTAACCTGAAAGACCAAGGAGGGTGATCTACTGAAATAGTTTGGAATAAGCATATTTAGCGTTATAAGCATCAGGCTTCACACATCCTAAATGGTAAATAAGTTGTGTGTTAACCAAAAAAGTTCATTGTAATTACTTTCTAGCTTGTTAAAAATAAGAAGGGACTAATATCCTCTATATTAAAGATTTCAAATTTTATAATCATTTTACTATAGAACACATAGCTAGCTTTAAAACAACAGATTAAAAAGTAACCAAGATAACTGAATGGGTATTAGGGCAAAGAGAAAAGTTCACTAAGCACATGTATCTTGTGTCATGTACTGTACTGGGCATTGTATATATGCAGTCTCATTCTAACCACCATCCTGTGAGGTATGCGTTATGTCTAATAAGCGACTGAGAAAACAGAGGCTAAGAGAGATTAAGAGATTTGCCAAAAATCAGGGTTTCAACCTAATCTCTCAGGCTCCAAAATTCATAATATAATCCTTTGGTGAAAGGGACACAACTTAGAGGCCCACTGATAATTTTATTTCATCAGCACAGTGTTTTTAAATCCAACTTTCAGTGTTTTCAAAGCATGTATTCTCTAGTTTAGCAAATGGTACTTGTTTAGCTCTTGTGGTAAATGAGTTTGCAAACCCTGCTTTAATGCATGTCAACAAAAAGAGTAAAGGCAAGTCAACAGCTGTTCTCCTTGCCTTTCCATTCCTAGAAGGCATGTGGCTTTGACTACTGATAGTCCTAGGGACTAAGTACTATAATCCTACCTCAGAGGACACTTACAAGTACAGGAACAAAATGAAGATATTCTCAATGGGGGTTGCCCTGCCTTTTATAGGGCATTTTGGAAATTTCTCTATTTTTGGTTGACACAATGACTGAGGTGAAACTACTAGTCTTTAGTGGGCAGGCACCAAGGATTTGCAACATCCCACAAAGTAAGGAAAAGTCTTGCACAGTAAAGAATTGTCCCGCTTCCTATACCACTTTCAAATGACATTCAAGATGAAAAACTTGTTCTGAGCCCAGAACCCAACTCTGTTTTAAATATAACACAAAGTATTCTTGCATGATTTTAATCATCACTTAATTTTCCAGGAATGTAATTACTGTGTAAAGTGAGAATAGACTGTTCTTTCGTTCATTTGGAACTCTACCAAGAGCTGTTCACCTTTTCAGAAAATCACATTATCAACAGCAACACTGTCTATAGTATTCAATTCACCATTACAGCACAACTGTATCGGTCTGAATTTGTAGCTTGGTTTTTCTAATATAAACAATGGGCTACTTCAATGTCTTTCTGTCCAGCCATCTCTTAGCACTTACAGACTGATCTAAACATTGTATTATTAGAGTTACTTACCCTTATTTTCTCCTTTATATTACATTTAGGACATCAGATTGTTTTTTCTTCAATAACATGTAGGTAGGTCAAAACATCTATGAATTTTATTTCAGGATAGTAAAAGGGAGCTACAAAAATTTGCTATAAAAAGTTAACACAGATAGACATCTGATTTCACTTTCAGTCACCTATCTCGGGGAGGAGAGAATGGGGATGAAAAATAACAAGGGTCCCTGTGACTAAATTTAACTTGAAGTGAGAGCAGTGAGCACACTACAAAGATTACAGAAATTCGATATTAACCTTCCCTAGTAGAGAGGAATAATTAATTCAATGAAAAGACTGGCCTATTAACAACCATCTAAAATGCACATTTTAATGATATGCTCATCATTTGTCAAAAGAGCCAACCTTGAAATAATCTGGCCTTTCTCATTAGTACTTTATTTTTCCTCTTAACTTTCTTATGAACTACCAGAGTTGCAGTTAACCTATTAAGGGTAAACACTATAAATACCATGCCCTATAACTCAAAGCTAAACAAGCATGCCATTTAAAAATATAGCAGTTTATTAAGCACTTCAGCATACATTGTAATTTAATCCCATAAAACTCTATGGGTTAAGTATTACACTAATTTTTAAAACAGAAACCAGAGTACTAAAATGCAAACAGACAGTATTACAGGGCTACTGCCAAATCCAGTGTTCTTTCTACTTAACTTCATTACCCAACAAGATGACCTTTTCAGTATAGTTCTTATTCACATTTTATATTTACAATGGTAATTTCCTACTTTCATAAAAACTACAAGTTACTTTTAGTACTTTTTAAAATTACCTTAAATATATTTCAAATAAATATGGGTAAGTATAACTAGGGTTATGTTTCATGTTCCTTAATATCATTCTCCCTGGAACCTATTCCACTGTTCGAGTCCTCTTATTCTTATAGGCACCACTCCTTGCCTTAGCCCATAACAAAAGGACAAAAGGGAGAGCTCTTACAATGAATTACTGATAAACAGGGACAAACCACTACTAAAAACTCATCAAACCATGATTTTCTTAGTACTGAAATTTAGGTATAAAGTAATCACATCCCATAGGAGACTGAGGCAGGAGAATCACTCGAACCCGGGAGATGGAGGTTGCAGTGAGCTGAGATCGCGCCACTACACTCCAGCCTGGGTGACAGAGTGAGACTCCATCTCTGAAAACAAACAAAAAAAACCAAACAAAAAAACAAAGTAATCACATCCCTAGTCTGTCTGCATTGTTAACATCCACTTTCTGACTCTCTAAATCAGGTGGTTACAATTCAGCAAGTGAAAATTATTTTGAACCCATTAGAAAGAAAAGGGTGTGGTCAATCACATCTTCATTTATACCTTTTTCTTCTTCCAAACCAAGAATACAAATATATTCCAAGCCCCCAGGCACAAATATGGAAAAGGGCAATCCTTAAACGAGAAGTCCCAGAAACATCCTTATCATATACCCTTTAGGCAATAATGCCCTAAATTTTTAAATATTTTAGGTAAGAAGAGGGAGAATTGTTTTAAAAAAAAAAAAAAAAAGCCTGACGCCCTCAGCCCACCTTCTTCTCGAAAACAGCTTTAATTTCAGAGAATAAATGAAAAAAATTACTGTCAGATATAAGGTAGCTGAACTGAAGAAAACACATATAGAAATGTGAGGTTATCAAAATAAAACAATGCTACTCTAACCTATATTTTCTCATACAAAATTTGCAATGCAACATGATTTTGTCCATATTAAATCTACTTTAGGAAGGTTTCTTTTAATACACAAAAACCTCACCAAATTACAAGGCTGTCTTTTAAGTTCTAACTGGAAGGCCAAAATAGCAAAGATACATTCTTCCAGGGTTGCCATATTACGTAAATAAAAATTCTTCATTTTTGATCTGAAATTCAAATATAACTGGGCATCCTATATTTTATCTGACAACCCTACACTCTTCAAACTAAAGTGAGCTCCCACCTCTACCAAGGTATTACAGCACCAGCTCCCACTTCTAAAGACAGGCTGTGGCTTCTATCACAGCAGGATTTTAACTAATGAAGTCTTAGGAGTTAGGATGAAAGTGTCCTTTTCCAGGTTTTTAATAGCATACATTTACCATATAAAAGAAAAAGCTTAATTTCTAATGGCCAAAGGTTATACTTTTACTAGGTTTCATATAAAGTCTAACGGGCTCTTTATTATCTAGGCTTCTTTGTATTCAACACGTATTGGAAGGATTTCATAGTTTAGCTTTTTGATAACAAAAAGAAGTTGCTTCTGAAGGTTATAGTAAGCAAAATTCTGTTCTAATATCACAGGCAAGTCCTAAAAGCTACCTTAATGGATTCCAAAGTTAATCTACCATTTTACTTGGATTCATAATCATAGAAGTTTAGAGCTAGAAACACTAATTTCTGATCTTTAAAAACTTCTGGCTGGCAGGGGGGCTGTGGCTCATGCCTGTAATCCCAGCACTTTGGGAGGCACAGGCAGGAGGATCACTTTAGTCCAGGAGTTTGAGACCAGCCTGGGCAACATAGGGAGACCTCATCTCCACAAAAAATTCAAAAATTAGCCAGGCATGGAGGTATGCGCCTGTGGTCCCAGCTACTTGGAAAGCTGAGGCAGGAGGATCACCTGAGCCTGGAAGGTTGATGCTGCAGTGAGTAATGATCACGCCACTGCATTCCAGCCTAGGCAACAGAGTGAGACCCTGTTTCAAAACAAAACAAACAACAGAAAAACACACTAACTTTTGAAAAGTCCATTTCATTTCATATTCATTTCCATATTTTTCTCTCATTGAGCTTCTAAACAAGCACAGTACTATGTAAGAAAGAGATCATTTCTGTTTTTGAGTACCCTCTCAACCAGCTCTTTGTCCTACTTATAATGGTTCTGACGATGAGTGCAAATAACTCTATTCTTCCGCTAGTTTCATTAAAATCATCTTAATACTAAACCTATGCTTTCTTCCCTGTGCTCTAGGCCATTGCTCTTTGATACAGCCCATCCATCTTTGGAGACTGCCTAATTCCCTTACTTCATTTACACTGCTACCTTGAAAGTATTAATAGATAATCACATCCCCCTAGTGCTCCCTGTTCCTAAGTTTAGCTCCTTCAGGCTTTTCTCCTAAATCTTAAGCTACCATCAACATAGATTCTATGTCTCTTCCAAAATGTGGTTAGAAAGTATTCTTATTTGGAGTTCAATCCTAGTAGAAAACAGTAATGCTGTTAGGTTAGCACCATACTTTTGATACGTGATCACTATGTTATTTGTGTAAGGGTAATTCAATGACAGTTCACTGCAAGCTATTTGAAACCTCTTTATACTTGCTTTTTTCCAGGTAGCAGTTTCCTGGTTTGCATTAAGGCCATTTATTTCATCTCCCTTGATGCACGATTTGAGATTCAGCATTAATGAATATAATTTCAATGCTGGAGCTCCTTGTGCTATTTTTTTCCAGTTGTTCGGCAATGATTCCCAAACCTGCTAAACTCGTATAATCAAAAAAATCCCAAGTTAAATTTAACACATTCCTTCAATCTATGAATTTAGAAGTTTTTCACAGATAGTTGCCAACAAAGGAGGACATCTTGTTGCCTTTTTTTCCTCCAGGAAGCAGTGTCTAAAAACTAGGAAATAATCCCACTACTCTAGGATCTTAAACATGAACGGCAGATGATTCTTTAGTGATGGTTCTGCTTACCCTCTCTCTCTCTTCCCTTGGCCAGTATTCAAGTCAATCTGTACTCAACAGAAATGTGCCTCAGACTACAGCAACCAAGTAAAGCATTTGGCTTAGAATAAACATTAGTACTCCCAGCCCTGCAAACTCAAAGGCTCAGGAATAAGGAACACAAGGTCTAATTTAAAAGGAAGGTCAACTGAATATACTGGAAAAGTTATGTCTTGATTATATTCAAATTACTGTGGCTTCCCCTTTTTCTAAAGTTCTAAAAGGAAAAAAAATCGCTATATATAATGGCTAATGTATAAATCCAAAATGTTTTATTTTCTTTACTCATAATGACTAATAACAGTATATGCTGATATTACTGATAAATGTCTAGTGAAAATCCTTGTGTTAACAAAAATCATAATTATTCCAGACTAACATGGCATGTAAAAAATAAACAAAAGCCCCAAACTACTCCATACCTGAAAATGCTGTTTTTCAAACTGAGTTTCACGGCCCATGAATTGTGAATTCAATTTAGAAGGTCACTATGGTTCTCTTAACTACCTCACACAGATTAATAATAGGTAATGTTTCACAAGATATTACATATTTGTGTAATTTTGTTATAAATTTCTATTAGTCAAAAACTACTTCTCTATCTGGGTCACAGACAAAAAAGTTTGAAAGCCTTTTTCTAAAGAGCTTTTTTTTTTTGAGACGGAGTCTGGCCCTGTCACCCAGGCTGGAGTGCAGTGGCATGTTCTCGGCTCCCGGGTTCACGCCATTCTCCTGCCTCAGCCCCGAGTAGCTGGGACTACAGGTGCCGGCGACCACCCCTGGCTGATTTTTTGTATTTTTGGTAGAGATGGGGTTTCACCGTGTTAGCCAGGATGGTCTCGATCTCCTGACCTCGTGATCCGCCCACCGCAGCCTCCCAAAGTGCTGGGATTACAGGAGTGAGCCACCGCGTCCGGCCAAGAGCTTTATTTTTCAAGTAATTTCAACATGATTACATGTGAACCAAATATTATCTTTTACTCATATAAACTAACCCCTACTGACTACATTTCAGGTCCTAGAAAATTCTAGTTTGCAATGTAATTTTTAGGTTATTTTTAAATTAATAAGTAGCAAGGGTGTAGCTGAAACTAGATGATGAATACACAGGGGTTTATTCATTACTTAATCTATTTTTGTACATGTTTGAAATTCTAAAGATCTAAAAGAAAAAAAGGAAAAGAAATGGACCTAACAGATAACAAAGTAGTACCATGAATGTTTACAACTTGAGACCTTTAAACACAATGTTTCTAAGGAATAACAATCAAGGAACTTGCTAGGATTTAATTCAGTTAACACTTGGGGTTGCCTTCTTCGACTATAATGGACGGATTTCCAGGTCTTAAAAAATGCATAAGGGACTGCAGAAACTAACTCATATATAGAAAACAAACTTTCTCGAAAGATAACATAAAAATACAAATAGTTAAGTGTGTTTCATTGTCTCTTTATTAGTCAACCACTTTCAGCCAACAGAAAGATCATAAAATACCTACCTACCTGGCAGGAATATTCACTTCTTTATTCACACTGGCAATTTTCCCAGCAAGTTTAATATAAGATCTCTGCATAACAGACACGGTTCTGCCTCCCTTGAAACAAGAACTGCAAGGGTTGTCTGAAGTAGATTTAGAGGCATTTAGATTTCAAAACAGTGCATGCCTCAAAGTTAATTTTCATTATATTCAAAAGTAAGTTTCTAAAAACTTTTAAACAGAAAGTGTTATCATCTCTGAGCCTTTAACCTATTGGAGACAGTATCTAAGCTATAAGGGCAAGATATTTAGTAATTTTTAGAACTGAAAGGAAATTTAGACATCATCTAGTCCAATGGTTTCCAAATCCTACCATCAGGAAGAAAAGAATCTCAAAGGCATAACAATTTATATATGCAAAACAAACTCTTACTTGTGTGTTTTCCTGTATCTTCCTGCACATGAAATACTATGCCTTATTAGTATTCTATCAGGAAAGGATGTGACATTTCGTTATGCATTTTATATTTAATCACATTTAGTATGTGAGTATCCATTTAGATATGATTAAAACTATTGGTACGATTTGGGACTTAATGCTTTCTAATTATAGAAACTTACATAATATATCCAACCCTAATACTTTCAGAGTGATTTCATACCATCTCATTTATATTTCACTGTCTAGTAAATTTGAAGTAATACCTGGGTGACCGATGATTTTTAATAAGGCAAGAGAAGGATATCCAAATTGGCATATTTCAGCCGGGCACAGTGGCTCACACCTGTAATCACAGCACTTTGGGAGGCCGAGGTGGGCAGATCACCTAAGGTCAGGAGTTCGAGATCAGCCTGGCCAACATGGCGAAACTCCATTTCTACTAAAAATCCAAAAATTAGCTGAGTATGGTGGCTGGCGCCTGTAATCCCAGCTACTCAGGAAGCTGAGGCAGGGAGAATTGCTTGAACCCAGAAGGTGGAGGTTGCAGTGAGCTGAGATCATGCCACTGCACTCCAGCCTGGGCAACAGAGCAAGACTCCATCTTTAAAAAAAAATTGACATATTTCTGGAAAATACCATAAAGTATATCATAAAGCTCCAGTAGTTAAGATTATTTGGTAGGAAGGCTAGTCTTAAAACATTCCATAATTGTTTCAGAAATGCAAGAGAATACCATTTAGTGCTTTTTAGTACAAGAAACTCAATACAAAATGTTTCCCTCGAGCTGACTACATTCTATTTTAATGAACAGATAACACTCAGTTTATTTATTTGAAAAACAAGAAACACAACAAGAAAACAGCAGGTATCTGAGGAATATTAAATGTCTCCCCTAACTTACTGTGTGCAAGTAAATTTACATACGTAGGAAATTCTTTAAATATTTAGAAAACCCCATTTCTATACAGATAGACAAAAGTTCTGAGCAATCAGGTCAAAATAATCTCAAATTAATAAGAGTTGATTGATAAATGTTTGCCTTTGTACATACACAAAAGCAAACAAAAGTTAGGCCTACTTTCAGTTTCAGACAATATAATAAATTGAAATTAAATACAAATTTTGACTCTCCTTCCTAAACTGAATAGATCCTTAAAAAGCAGATATATTTTACTTGTGTATTCACTCTTTTAAATTTAGACATCAATATCACTAGAATAATGTTTTTACACAAGATCACTTTTAAATTCAGTAAGAAGTTTTGTTATGTATATAAGCCTAAAATATGTAACCATTTATAACCAATTAATTTTACTGGAGGGGTTTCCTGTCTTCCCGAAGTTAATCCTTACCAACTAAAATTAGGAATTTTGAAAAAAAAAATCCATAAAAATTTCACAAACAAGCTTACAAATGCATTATCTAAGGTGCTTAAAATTAAACTCCATATTATGAACAACATTTTAAAAATTTGTATAAAATGATAATGTTTTGTTTAAAGAGGCATACTGAAAGCTAAGCCAATTTTTCACAGGAGGTGATTCTCCAACATTATTTTAACTTTGATGTGTGAATTTACTTTAGAGGTCCCTGGTCTATTTACTCTTTCTGACAGCTTATATTTTTCCGGATGCTCCTCAAACAAAGATTCATTCCTCATTCTTGCATCCTGCTTTTCTCCTTGTACTACTGCAGCCTTTCTTCTGTCTTTCCCTTTCTCTTACAACTTCATTCTCTACTTCTGATCCTGTCCAGATTGTACTCTCACTGCAAACAGTAAATTGAATAGAATACATCAGAACGATTTTCATAAAATTCACTTTTCCAAAACTACTCTGCATAATTTTATTCAAACTTTTGTTGAACATCTCTTGTATGGTATCCAACATGGTCACTCACTGTTTCTCTACATACTTCATTTTAATAGATATTAGCACTTTATCTCCTTCCCGAATCGTTGTAAAAAACCTTTACACAGACCCAGCAAGTTTCAGAGTTTACACACAAAACATCTTACTTTTAAAAAGTACCTCAGACTAATGAAAAACAATGTTCAAACTGACAGAGCACTTTTCTAATTACATTTGGTCATCTTTCAAGGCCCAATTAAATCTTTTTTTAATTTAAATAATTATTTTTATTTAAACTTTATTTTAAAGTTAAAATAAAGATAATATAATGTTGCTTTTTATTAATGTCTAAAGGCATATTCCACAAAAGAAACTGTTTCACATCAAATCTGTATTAATGAGAAAAAACAATGGGATTCCCTTAAAACAGTCTAATTTCTCATAAGGATCTGTATTAATCAAGCGAAGTCAGACCTGTAATGAATTCCAACCTCACATCTAAGGGGTTTTATTTCCTTTTGTGGTTTTAAATCTTGGTATATTCACAAGTTAAGCTCTACTGCGTCTGGCAACACAAAAACCCATCTGTATCTCTTTCTAATTTGGATCCAGTAACCTTGTAAAACAAACCCAGGGAATGGGTCCTGATGTAGTAACATGGCCTATCCTCCCAGACCGAACCAATTTCTCATGCCTGGGTGCTGCATTATATCAGTAGTGACATTTTAGCCAGTAGCCTGAGAGACTGAAAGCCTGTGATCTCCTTAGGAAGGGCTTTATGTCAAGGCAAACTATTTCTTCTGGTCAAATCTTATTTGGATTATTTCAAAATTTTTTGCTTGACATTCGGCATGTCATTTGTGCCACAGCTGCCATAGATAAGATGTGTCTTCTGTTGCTCATTTCAGTTCAAAGAGGAAACACGCAATCAATTAGCAAATACACCTCTAAAAATGTACTCAGTGAGAGAAAATTGCTAAACCACTGAAGCAAACAGCCCTTGACAGAAAAGAAAAAGATCCATGAATCATCTAATGCAAATACTGGCATTATTACAAAGCACAATGTTCACAACTATCTAGTATCACCCAAACAAAATGGTTTCTAAAATTTAGGTCGTTAAAAATAAGATTCATTAGATTCCTTATTTTCCTCCATTGAACAGTGTTAATTTTGTGATGTCATATTTTCCATATGAATATATTACGTTTTTACACACCACTCCACATTCATTAATTCAGCTAACATCTATAACACTCCCACTGTGTGCCGGGTACCACACTCTATTTCTCTTATTCACAACAATAATACTCTATGAGAAAGTGATACCTGGCCCACTTGAAAGATTTGGTTCACAGAAAAAAAAGAAAAAAAAAAGCCATAAAGTCTCTCCCAGAAACTCAAATAAAAATATTAACTTCCTCACCAGAATTGGCAATTGCAGACACAGTGCAGCTGGTCACTTTTCTGAGAAAGTTACATAAGCAAAAGCACAAATCTCTATGTGGGGCCTTCAAATGGCCTATTTACCATGACAGCAGCATTAACAATCAAGTTTTCAATATACACATGAAGAAAAATAAATAAAAAATAATGCTCCTTTTTAAAGGATAGTAGTAATAGCTAACATGTACTGAGACTCAGGCTGAAATCTAAGCGGTCATTATCTCATTTAATCCTCACATCATCCCTAGGGAATGGACATGATTGTAATCTCCACTTTACAGATGATGAACTGATGAAACTGAAGTTTGCATTACTCAAGATCACTCAGCTACTGACAGCTGGAACTCAAACCTGAGTCTGTCACCGTCCAAAGCCTGCACTCTTGATCATCACATTATACTGCTTTGTTTACACTCACTCAATTGCAGTCTAATGCTTTTGAATGTCTTATAAGGTTACTTTTTAGAACAAGTTCCTCTTTAAACTACCATTTTGATGATACATATAGAAGTCAACAAATAAGGATTTTACTTGGAATTGGTCTTACAAGTTTAAATTCTTGGATGAGAAACAAAATCCATCTGAATGAAAGCCCTGAATGTCCACAACAATGGGTCAGAAACTCACTGGAGCTTCAAGAGACCTTGAGAGTCATACAGGCCAAATTCTTCATTTTAGGAATAATGAAACAAATGCCTTTTGAAAAACATCTATATTCAATCTAAACTACTACATTCCCAATTCAGAGATACTTGTGAGTTTTTTTCTCCAGTCATTTAAATAGAAAATCTAACATTTCTAACATTTCAACATCATGCACAAGCAAGGTATCCCTTTTTGAAAGCACTGTAAGAAAACACAAACTCCATGACATGAAGTCAGATCACTGCAGGGCTATTTATTACCAGCTGAAAGCTTGAATATTATAATAAGACATGTTATATAGAAAGCTATAAAATGGCATCCATAACTATAGGAACTCAAACTCAAAAATAGCCATCTCTTCCTTGAATTAAATTTACATTCATTTGGGTCAACCAGCAGCTCAGCTTCATTTCATCGGTCATGTCATGTGACTGAATTCAAGCTCATTTCAAGGGAAAGGCCGTTCTATGCTGTATTTAGAACACATATCACTGAGCAGACAGATGAGTCTTTATAGGCCTATCCAGAAACCTTGCTTTAGTTGCTAAGAAACTACAATTTTACCGTATTATAAATCATTGGAAAAAAGCTAAGCCAGCAGAGATTAAACATGTTAAGATCAAGAATCTCTCACCTATTGTGCAAAATGAAACTATGCTATTACCATAAACTGAATAGCTAAAATTAGCATTAGGCTTCTTTAAGTCATGTTGACACAGTCGAAAAACTGATAAGACAAATAAGACTAACTCTACCCTGCCTTCCACAGTGGACTCATGCTTAGAGGAAAACAGGAAAAATACCCAATACACTTAGCATATTCAATGCTAGAGACAGAAAAAATGTTTCCTTCCTGACCCCTGCAGTGATATCCAAGGCCATGAAGCACACATAAAATTTGGTACTACGAACACATATTTAACTGATGGATATTGTCAATCCTTTATTCGTTTTAGGAATAATGAAACAAACTCTAACATTCAGCATTTTAAACCCAGTTTCTCAAAAAACTCCACTGGCTCTATCACTGATTTTTTAAAATTTAAATTGCAGCCTCTCTAATAAGAGTAATCATAAATTGTTCTGGCCTAACAATAAACAATGAAAGATTAGCAAAAATAATTTATAGTTCACTCTCCAGTACTGACTTCTCATAAATTCCTTCACAGAAAAAATATTCTTTAACCTCTTAATGGCTGTTTCCACAAGGGCAGAAACAGGTTCACAATCCTAGACTCACTTGTGAAAGATCAATTCAGCAGCTGAATGCTAACACATGTCTTCAATCAGAATCTGCTCTGTTTAGGTCCCTATGCCCATGATTCCCCACCACTTCTCCATCTTCTCAAAGGAGCTTCAATTCAAAACCCAGTAATTCTCTGCTTTCTACTGTACCACCTCCCAGGGGCCACTTTCATGTTCCTCGGAAATAACGTCTCTTCTGTCTTGAAACTTTTAAATCTCAAAAATCCACTTCCCCATCTCCCTGTCGCCAGTCACTGCCCTCAATCCCACCACTGCAATTAGTTGCAGCTATGTGTCCCTGTTTTCCCAAAGGCCCGACCAATATCATACAGCATTTGCCACATCCCAACTCCTCCCTTCCCTAATTTATCCTCCACACTGCAAACCAACATTACACCCCCGACTTCCTGCATTTTACTCCCTTCCCTTATTTTTCGTCTTCCCCCACCCCCATCTCTATACCCAGGCCTCCTTACTTCTCTAATAAATATTCCCCCACCTCAGTTCCAACCCTTTCCCTCCATCCTCTGCTCATTTTCCTCTCCTTATTTAGAAACTCCTTTTTGCTCTCCCAACCACTACCCTAGAATGCCCAGCACTCCACCCTCTTTAGCAAACCCAGCCCTCTTCCCCCAGCTCATTTGGAGACACTGCTGCTTCTCTCTCCAGGTCCCCTACTGCAGTCAACCCACTCCCTCATCTTCCCACCCACCTTCCCTCTATCCCTAGATCCAAGGTTCCCTGATTCTTTACCCCCTCCTTTGGTCTCTAGTACTCAGCTCACCATTAGTGTTCCTCAGGACTCTCTTCCCCCCAATTTCCCCCTTATTTTTAAGGATGTCACCAGTCCTACGGGGCCTCAGTAGAATCCTGGACGACCCCAGCTCCCGGGGGGCCTGACGGACACCACCATCCCCGTCGCCCGGAACACAAACGCCGGTCTTGTGCCACCCTCCCTAAGAGCTGCGCCCCCTCCTCATCCGCCCCCGCTACTCCAGCTCCCCACGTCGGCTTCCTCCGTGTCCCCTCGCCGACCCGGCACGACGAGCCCCACGACGTGGAGCCTCCGAGTGGGCAACACCTCGGGCTCACCCCGGACGCCCCCGCCGCTCGGATAGGAGCCTCCGGTCCTCACACCCGCGCCTCCTCAAACCCGCAGCCGGTACCTCCTCTCGGACCCGCAGCCCCTCAGACGCCCACTCGGCCCCCTTCCCCGAGCTCCAGCGTCTCCTCAGGCCAGAGCCGGGCCCCCTCCGGCCCCGGCGCCCCTCAACCCCCGCCCGGCCCGCCCCCGGCGCCCCGCTTACCGTTCTGAGCGGCGCCTGGCCCTGGGAGGAGGGAGCCAGAGACCAGCAACAGCGAGAGGGCCAGGGCGCTGGGCAGCGACGAACCCGACATCCTCCCTAGCAGAAGACCCAACAGCGAATGGGCCGGGGCCAGAGCCGGGGCCGGGGAAGGGAGGGGAGGGAGGGAGGGGGCGGGCGAGTGCGCGAGGGAGTGAGCGAGGGAGGCAGCCGCGGCTCGGCTCCGTCCTTCCCCGTCCTCCTCCTGCCGCCGCAGCGCCCAGGCCTCGCGAGACCTTCGCTCCGGGTCGTGGGCGGCTGAGGAGCGACCGCCGCAAGGATCGCGAGAAGAGGCGGCTCCGACGGAGACTCCCGCCCCGCGGACTCGGTGGCCCCGCCCCTGCAGAGGCTGATTGGCCTAGCGCGAGGTAGGTCACGTGCCGAGGGCGCCTCTGGCCATGTGACGGGGCGAGGCGGGACTCCGCTAGCTCTCTGGGCAGTGGGGAGCTGGGAAGTCCTTCAGTTTACTCCTCTGTGGCCCGGGAGCACCCATAAATAAGAGGAAGCTTTGGAACACAGTACATTTCCTCCACCCATCCTGCCTTTCATTTGTTAGCGCTCTTGGCTACAGAGTTTCATACACCGTGCCTCCTTTCCTCCTTCCTCTCTTTGTCCCCGTCCTGCTGTTTCTTCCTTCTGGACTTTGAACATAGACCTCTACTGGTAACTGGCTCCAACCTCCTTCTCTCATCTGCTGTTTTTTCCTTCCAGGAAAAGTGGTGCGCCCCCTGTGCCCCCGTTACCTTGTGCTTTCCTGCCTGGACATCTGCTCCCTTTGCCTGAAATGTCCTCCTTTGCCGCCTCTGCCTACTCCCCCTCCCACCCCACATCTGGGCCTTATTTTAGCTTCATAGACTCTCAGGGCCTGAAGTTCAGCTAGCCTAATTGCATGTTCATTGACACAATTCTACAAGGAAGTCGTGTATGAACTTACATGAAGACTCCTAAGAAGCGTCTTAATGCGGAAAACATTTATTGAGAACGTGCTGTGTGCCAGGCACATAGTGAAACCCACATGAAAAGGTAGTCCCCGTCCTCATGGAGTGCACTGCCTAGGCTAGCAGAGGAGTGAGGAAGGGTCAAATGGCCCCATAGGAAAGGATCTAGCAAAGCACTCTGGAGGGTGATTGGCAGTGTGGTTACTACTGTTTGCATAGAAGTTTGGGAAATGCTCTTTTTAGGGGTATTTTTTGTACTACCCTCAGGGCTTGTGGTTGGCAAAGGAATTTCTATGGCTTAGCTCATCCCTGACTCACAGCAGACGTCCTGGGAGTGTCTGTGGAAACTCTGAGGGGCCAAGTAAACAGTCCTGGTGGCCTGACTTGATTTAAAGAGAGGGTTTGGAGGACCTGGAAGAAGGAGACCCTCGCAATCTCTATCAAGCTAAAGTGGTCTGGAACTTTCAACAGGAACTGAACAGCTGGTGGTTCCAGACCAAAATTTCTAGCAAAGGCCAGGACCACTATGGCATGTTGTTGATTGAAGTGAAAACTATGTCCTTCAAAACCTCAGGTGTGTGAGTGACAAAAAGATTGGCATGTACCTTCATCTGGACAAAGGCCATTCTGCAGACAGCCCAGTAAGGAGGGCTACAGGGCTGCCTGTGGTGGGATCAAGATTTTCAGCTGATGGAAGCTTTGGTTGGATGCAACCATTCTGCCTCATTATAGCTGTAACAAATGTGGCTCTTTGATCCTTACAACAAGAGATTCTTACAAAATGATCATGGTCTTTTTGTGGATAGGGAAGCTGAAGCCAAAGGAGGACACGAACGGCTCCAGCTCTCAGAATGTTTGTATTAATCATTAATGCCAACAATCTGGTTTGCTTGTTAATAGACTCATGGTAGAAGTGCATTTTCTTGTCCCCTTGAAGTCGGGAGTGGCATTGGATGTGCTTGGGTCAGTGAAATGTGTAAAGTAACATGCATTGCTTCAAGCAGAAGCATTTCATTTCCAGTTTAGACTCTTTCCCATACTCTTTCGTCTTGGTAGTGATTACTGATCATGACGATGAAAGCATATATCAAAACGAACCTTGTGTCAGCATTAGTCCCTGAGTTAGCATAATAAGCTTAACCCCCCTGCTAACCCATACAGAACAGGTACCCTCTGTTGAATTAAACTGTGAGATTCAAGGGGTATTTGTTCCTGTGACATAACATAGACTGTTCCGGCTAATGGAAAGATGAAATTCAAGTCCACAACACCAACATTACCATCCAGGAGCTCTGTCATCTTAGGCAAATGACCTAATCTCTCTGGACCTTATTTTCTGTCAAATGGTGCTAATGATAGCACCTACCTTCCAAGATTATAGAAGGAATAAATGAGTAAATTTATGTGCAATGTTTAGAACAGTTTCTGGTGCATAGTAAACACTCATGTTGATGTTGATGCTGCTACTACAATTCTGACTCCAGCTTTGTATTCTTCTTCTTATCTCATGCTTGCAAAAAGTGATCTGGGAAGAACATTTTTAAGTATGGGTGTTACCAGTCAACTCTCAAAACCTGCAGTTATGAAAAAACCCTTTTACCCAGGGAGAAATGTCACCAAATTCCACATGATAGTAGCTGTACTTTGTCACTTTTCATCGAGAAAATACATAATAACTAAGACCTTTTAATAATTCTGTAATTTTTTTTTTGAGATGGAGTCTTGCTCTGTTGCCCAGGCTGGAGTGAAGTGGCGGGATCTCGGCTTACTGCAACCTCCGTCTCCCGGGGTCAAGAGATTCTTGTGCCTCGGCCTCCAAAGTAGCTGGGATTACAGGCATCCGCCAGCATGCCCAGCTAATTTTTGTATTTTTAGTAGAGACAAGAGTTTTGCCATGTTGGCCAGGCTGGTCTCAAACTCCTGACCTCAGGTGATCTGCCTGCCTCAGCCTCCCAAAGTGCTGGGATTACAGGCGTGAGTGAGCCACCATGCCTGGTCTAAGTCAGTAACTTCCTTTTTTTTTTTTTTTTTTTTTTTTTTTGAGACGGAGTCTCGCTCTGTCTCCCAGGCTGGAGTGCAGTGGCGCGATCTCGGCTCACTGCAAGCTCTGCCTCTCGGGTTCATGCCATTCTCCTACTTCACCCTCCCGAGTAGCTGAGACTACGGGCTCTTGCCACCACGCCCGGCTAATTTTTTATGTTTTTAGTAAAGACGGGGTTTCACTGTGTTAGCCAGGATGGTCTCGATTTCCTGACCTTGTGATCCACCTGCCTCGGCCTCCCAAAGTGCTGGGATTACAGGCGTGAGCCACCGCGCCCGGCCTAAGTCAGTAACTTCTTTAAAAGAATTTAGGAATTTGTATTTTTTTGTTGTTCAAGATTTACATACACTGTAAAAAAAAAAAATCTCTGCAAGTGTGTGTGGCTGTGCCAGAGGATGGCTGAGCTCTTTGCAATACCTTAGAAGAGCCCTAGGGGTCCTCAGAGCTCAAGCTGAGACACACTTACCTGGCCTCGAGGGACTGCTTGTAGTTAGGCTCTCCGTTGCTGATCGCGCCCCCTGGTGGAAAGGTCTGGAATACAGCATTCCCAACTGAAAGGCTTCGCGTGGTTTGGTTTGAACGTGATTCACTCAAGGATGTTAGTCAAAAGGCTTGTACTGTTCCTAGAGTTGACCTTGAACTTCCTAATGGTTTCCTCCCTCTTGTAAATATCTCTGCCCCTTTAAAGCTCTTGCTATTCAGATGACCACCCCACTCATCTTGATTGTTGTCATCCTCCGACCTCCCAGTCAATGTAATCTTTTCCCTGCCCCTTCCGATGCCTGCTGGCACCATCCTTGAACTTCATCCTTGGGTGAGTTCAACATCCATGTTCGTGACCTATTCAGTATCCTGATCTCTTAATCCTTTTACCTTCTCACGTCCAACAACTTTCTCCTCAATTAAACCAACACTTCTGAGCTCACACTGTCAACACTTTAATCACCCAAAAAGTACTTCATCTTTGAAATATGAAAATGTAATACCCCACTGTCCATTCACCAACACCTAGCCTTTCAGTTCCTTGTGCTAATACCCTATTTGCTGTAATTCTTCAACCTCACTGAGACCACTAATCTGCTAATACCACCAATTTGTCTTTATCCATTCTTCATTTCTTTCTTGGTCCAATTTAGAGCCCATGATTCATCATTATAATCATTCCCTTGCCCACCTCAACTTTCAACATACTTTCCTGGAAAAACCACGACCTGACTGAGCACTATAGTCTGAAGTAAGGTACCATGCCTGTACCTGAGCAGCTGAGTGTTGCCAGAGAAAAATCATACAAACCTTCTAAATGACTTCATTTTAAATTCATGATCTCAAACTTCAAAAGGATATTCAACACTACTCAGCAATCCTACTCTTTCATATGCGATAAGCATGAATTTGCAACTACAATGGTCACTTGCCAGAAATGCCTCATTTTTTTCTTTCTATAAATCAGATTTAATCTAGTCTGAGTACCTTTCTGCTGAGATGACAAGAAATTCAATGTTGGCTTTTATGAGCCTCCGTGACTACTTCCCAGGATAATATGAAATTCCTGGTGTTTTACACAGCCTAGGACATTCCTTTTTATTTGCTTTTTAGTTCACCATGGTGACTGCTGGTAGGAACATTGAGCAGATCCACGTGATTCCTTGAAGGTGAATGGCTCAGTGCTTCCCACCACTTCCCCCAGCAGCCTCACCCCACACCACATTCCCTTTCAGTTCTTTGTGATGGTTCTGCTTCATCTCACCTTGGGGGCCTTTGCATATTTTGTTCTCTTTGCCCCAAATACTGAACAACCCATCTTTTTTACCTGGTCTACTTCTCATCCTTTAGATCTCAGCTTCAACTCATCTCTCCTAATATGAAATTTTAAACCACAGTGAAGTGCCATTTCACATGCACATATTTAATTCAATAATTTTTAAATGCTGGGCACAGTGGCTCATGGCTGTAATCTCGGCACTTTGGGAGACCAAGGTGGGTGGATCAATTGAGGTCAGGAGTTCAAGACCAGCCTGGCCAACATGGCGAAACCCCGTCTCTACTTAAAATACAAAAATTAGCAGGGCATGGTGGCGCACATCTGTAATCCCAGCTACTCAGAAGGCTGAGACAGGAGACTTACTTGAACCCAGGAGGCGGAGGTTGCAGTGAGCCAAGATCACACCACTGCACTCTAGCTTGGGCGGCAGGATGACATTCTGTCTCAAAATAATAATAGCAATAATAATTTTTTTAAACCTGAAAATACCAAATATTGATAGGGATGTGGAGCAACAGGAACTCTCATACATTGCTAGTATGCAGATAAAAATGGCAAAATTACTTTGAAGAACTGCTGACAGTTTTCCATCAAGTTAAATACATATCTAATCTATGACCACCAATTCTACTCCCGAATCTCAGTGCCCAAGAGAAGTGAAATATATGTCTACAAAATGAATTGTACAAGAATGTTCATAGCAGCTTTATTCATAATAGCCAAAACAGGAAACAACCCAAATACTCATCAACAGATGAATGGATAAACAAACTGTGGACTAGTCATATGATAGAATACTACTCAGGAAAAATAAATAAGTAAATAAATTATTGACACACAACAACACGGATGAATCTCAGAAGAATGATACTGAGTGAAAGTGAGACAAAAAAAATGTATGTATATATATAGCATAGTTCTACAAAGTTATAGAATAGGCAAAACTAATTTACATTGACACAAATCAGATCAGTTTCAGTGGTTTCCTGGGACAGGGAGGGTATTGACTGAAAGGGACACAGGGGATGTTCTGGGTGATAAAAATTTTCTGTATCTTGATCTGGGTGATAGTTACGTTAGTGTATACATTTGTCAAAACTTATCGAAGCTACACCTCAATTTAAAAATGAAAACAAAAACATCTCCTTATCAAAGCCTTTCCTGGGCTCCACAACTCAGTTAAACCTCATTCTTTCTTTCTTTTTTTTTTTTTCCAGACAGAGTCTCGCTCTGTTGCCCAGGCTGGAGTTCAGTGGCATGATCTCAGCTCATTGCAACCTCTGCCTCCGGGTTCAAGTGATTCTCTTGCCTCAGCCTTCCGAATAGCTGGGATTACAGGCATGCACCACCACACCTGGTTAATTTTTGTATTTTTAGTAGAGACGGGGCTTCACCATGTTGGCCAGGCTGGTCTTGAACTCCTGACCTCAGGTGATCCACCCACCTCAGTCTCCCAAAGTGCTGGAATTACAGGCACGAGCCACCATGCCTGGCCTAAATCTCATTCTTAAACACACTGATTGTTCCATGCATATCTTCATGGCTCTTATCACAGCTGGGATTTTACATTTATTTGTGTGGTTATTCAACTTGCATCTGAATCCTTCTCTAGACCTCCAGGAGGAGGGAACCATGACCAATGGTATCAGTATTATTTACCACTGTATCTCTGTTGCAGGCTGAAAGAATGAGGGTCATGATCAACTCAGTATACCACTGGAGGCTCTGTGAGTAAACAGCAAACTGTTTTCATGAAAGCAGGATGTTGGCAAACTGACAAACTGCGTCTGCCGCCCAGAAGGAATGCTGAGGGCAGTCACGCCCCAAGCAGTGTTTCTTGTGGTTAGGCACATCTGAAGCCTGTTAGCAGTAATGTGAACCTGTGATCAATTAAGCAGCTGACCAATCGTTACCTCCTCCTCCCTGCTCTTTCTACCCAATAAATACGAAGGGCTGTAGAAGCTCAGGGCTGCCTTTGCTCACTAGAAGCAGGGAGCCTTCTTCTTCCCCGGACCCCTTCTTTAAAACGGTTTCTTTTGTTTTAAGTTTTCATTTCTGTATTCATCCTCCTTCGTTCAGTCCTGTGGTAACCATAGTAACCATGGCAAACTGCAGCATATCTCCAGTACCTACTACAGTGCCTGGCAGTGGGCATTTAGTGAATATCTCCTGAATGAATAGACAAAGCATACAGCTAGACTCAGAATCTCAGACTCTTGCCTCTCAATCCAGTGCTCCTTTCAGTCTGTCACTATGATGTTGGAGTCCAGTTCTGCCTCAAGGCCCGACTCTAATTCCACTTATTCTGGAAAACCATCTCTGTTCACCATTCATTCAGTCCTCATTAATTTCACAAATGTTGGGTGCATAGTCTGTGCAAGGGTATGGTATACAATGATGACAGGGAACATAGACATTGAACAACAATGATACCATTGCTTACTTAATGATAATTTTGGTCCATGATAAGAGTAGACATATTGGATGCTAAGGGAATATGTTACAGGGAAACCTAACTATGTCTGAGGTGGGAGGAGTGGTCAAGAAAGGCTCCTGGAGGAAGGGACAGCAAAGCTGTGCTCTGAAGGATGCTTAAGAGTTAGCCAGGCTGTCAGGCGCAGTAGCTCACGCCTGTAATCCCAGTACTTTGAGAGGCCAAGGTGGGCAGATCACCTGAGGTCAGGAGTTTGAGACCAGTCTAGCCAACTTGGTGAAACCCCTTCTCTACTAAAAATACAAAAATTAGCTGCACATGGTGGCACACACCTGTAATCCCAGCTACTTGGGAGATCGAGGCATGAGAATCACTTGAACCCAGGAGGTGGAGGTTGCAGTGAGCTGAGATCACACTACTGCACTCCAGCTTAAGTGACAGAGCATGACTCCATCTCAAAAAAAAAAGTTAGTCAGGCTAAAAAATAATAAACAACAAAAAATTATATCTAGAGGCAAAAATAAACTAAAAAATAAAAAACAAATGAACAAAAAAGAATTAGCCTGGCACAGATAAGGTAGGCCTAGGTAGGGGAGGTCTGTTCCAGGCAGGTTTAAAGGGTTGGAAGCAGGAAGGAGATTGTCAAGGTCTGCGGAGGATCCCAGTGTGCCTAGAGCTCAAACAGCAAGGAGAAGCGGGGCAAAAGGAGCTGAGGCTGAAGGAGGGGCATTGGGGCCATATCAGGCAATGCCTTGAGGACCATATTAAGGGTTTAAGATGTTGATCATCTATGAGGTAACCTGTAGCTTTCTTTAACAAAATCTAGTCCAGAACCTCTTTATTTGTCAATAAAAGAAATCTATCTGTAAATACCGTAATATATTAAAGCAGAATGAGTCGTTAAGCTGTGCTACCTATAAGCCTGATCACATGTTACTCTCCATCATCATTTCCTTCTATTAGTAACGTTTTACTTAGCTGTTCCTCCAGGCTCAGCTGTGCTGCACAGAATTAAGGGAAGGGCCATTTGTCCTTTGGGTCAGAACATAAATGGCCAGGAAGCCTCCCCTAAGGTCATGGTGTGGTGGCTGTTGTCTCCAAGTAGAAAGTGAATGCAGCACAGAGAACAATGCAATGAATTGTGAGGGAGGACCAGTTCTCCCTCCACACAAGGAGACTCTCTAGCAATTGCCAAGGCTGCATGTCCAGCCCTCAATGCTTCCTTCTGCCTCCCAATACCTATAAAGCTCCTCCCTATACCATTGAAAAATGTTACCAAGCCTTGCATGACGGGCTAATTTTGCACCTCTCCACATCCAGTCTCCCCATCTAGAACACGAGTTCATTATAACAACGTCTTACATGCTACAGCTTTTCACAGTTTACAAAGCATTTCCCACAATAGGAAAAATAAAGCATTCATTATCCCATTATTTCACTTGGTTATCACAACGACCAATCATGTTCATTTCATAAACAAGATAACTAGGCTTCAGAATGGAGAATGCCTTGTTCAAGGTCCCCAGCTGGCAGGTAATAGAGCCAGAATTTGAACCCAAGTCCTTTGGACCTCAAAGGAAATATGCTGAGGGTGGCTGAGTCACTTTCTTGGGGAAGATGATCTCTTGCAATGACCCTCCTCAGACACCATGAGTCTTATCTGAAGATAAAGCACTCTCTTTGGGCAAGTTCTCCATTCAAGATCTGCTAAGGCTGGTATAATGTTGTTTCACCTCCTGGCCCCAGAAGTTTGAGGTGCTCATAATTTCTTCAGGGAGCATCTTGGGTACCAGCTCTACTATGATGGCCAATGCTCAAATGGGGCAGGGCAACTAAACAGCTGAGGTAGGCTCTCTCCACTGTTGGGGTTGGGGTTTTAGTGGCTAATACAAGGCATTCTTTTAATCCCTTCTCAAACTTGGAAACAACTGAGAGACGGACACAGGAGTCAGGCATATGGAGGTCAAAATGGTGGAGAACATGGCTTAGTCTGCTGGCCAAGTGAGCTTGCTAACACTTTGCCCCTGAATTTGGCAGACTTATTCAGAGATGTTGGTAGTGCAGGAAAACCACAAGTCTCCCATGGCCACTGGAAAACTTAGGGCAGCATGGAGAAGCAGAACCACTCATCTGCTCTCTGTAGGACGCCGGTCCCAGGCTTGCTCAAGTCCTTCCGCCTCAGTTGTCCACCAGAAAACTCATTCCTGAAGCCAGGAGGGGAAGCAAGTAAAAGGAGGCCACACATGTCACAATAATGAAGTGATTCTCTGCCCCAGCTACACATTAGAATCAACTAGGGAGCTTGAAAAAAACACCAGTGCCAAAATAGATATACACAACAATGTCCAGGTTCCAGCCCCAGCGATTTAAATGCAATTGATCTGGGGATGGGGCCCAGCTTGCATAGCAGAGTAATGCACTTTAATGTGCTGTAATGCACTGCTTCTCGAATGTTGATGCACATTGGATTACCTGGGGAACCTTAAAAAATCCCAACCCTAGACCACACCAATTAAATCAGAATCCCTGGAGGGGAGACCCAGGCATCAGTATATTTTTAAGACTCCCCAGGTGATTCCAATATGCAGCCAAAATTGAGAACAGGTGCTCAAATGTGGTTGTGTTGTTGTTGTTATCGTTTCAAATTTGAGTGTTCAGCAGAATCACAAGAAATGTTTGTTAAAAGATGGACTTCTGGGCCTCACCCCCAGAGTTTCTGACTCAGTAGGTTTGGGTTGGGGGCCTGAGAATCTCCATTTCTAACAAGCTCCCAGGTGGTGTGGATACTACTGGTTTGGAGACCACACTTTGAGACCTGCTCCTTCACAGGGTGTGCAGAGAAGCGTTTCCTTCATCAGCTGAGAAAGCCATGGTAAGACCTGATGTGATAACTTTCATCCCTGCAGGTCCACAGAAAAATATGCCAAAGTCAGTAGCATTGGCCTACATGATGTTTTAAAGAGGGTTCATAGATTCTGACTTTAAAAAAGAGCTGCCTCATCGTGGCTAGTGTCAGAATGCCCAAGATGCTCTTTATTTTGGTGCTCTCCTTCTCACAGTTGGGAAACTCATTTCTGGTTTTTACCAGGTTAATGGTTGGTTATAGTTGAAACAGAGATGCCTTCTGAGTATTGACATTTTCTCTTGAGAAGTGCTCCCATCTACGTAGCTCTAATTGGACCACTCCATTCTTACAAGTCCCTGTTTCCCTGTTTCGTTCAGGGGTGGTCACCAGACTCAAGCCAGGCCATCCAGAAGCCCTGGAAAATTTTTGGGTTAAAACTGAGGAAAGAGAGTCAGTTTCTCTCTTCTCCGTGTTATAAGCTATGAGATGTGAGACTTGGGGTGAAACTAGGTTTCCTCTCTACTGTGAGCTCCTCAAGGACAGAGTGTTATTTACTGCCATATTTCTCAGTGTTTAGCATAGTTAGTGGCACAAAGCAGGGCATCAAATAAATATTATACACAGTTTTGATGAGGTATAAGTGACATACAATGAACGGTGCATATTTAAAGTATTCAATTTGATATGTTTTGACATATTTATACACTCTAATAAACAGATTTTCAGATTGAATTAAAAAAATAATACCCGACTATATGCTGTCTCTGAGATAGCCATTTCAAATATGAAGCCACAAATAGATTTAAAGTAGGAGAATTGAAAAAGTATCCCATGCAGACATTAATTAAAGAGAAGCCAGAATGACTGTATTCATATCAAAGTGGATTTCAGAAGAAGAAATATTATCAGGGAATCATAGTGATATTACATAATGATAATGGGGTCAATTCACCAGGAGCACATAACAATCCGAAATGGTGTGTACAACAGTGCTTTATTATGCATGAAGCAGAAACTGAAATGCAAAATAGACAAGTCCTCAATTATAGCTGGCTATTTTAACACCTTTCTTTCAGTGATTGATAGAAAAAGTAGACAGAAAATCTGTAAGGATATGGGAGACATACAACACAATCCATCAACTGGATCTAATAGCATCGTCTACCTAATAATAGCAGAATATGCATTCTTTCCAGGTGCGCACAGAGCATTCACTAAGATAGGCTGTGTTCCAGACTATAAAATAAGTCTCAACAAATTTAAATTTATTGCCAGGCACGGTGGGGCATGCCTGTAGTCCCAGCTATGCAGGAGGATCCCTTGAGCTCAGGATTTGAGACCAGCTTAGGCAACATAGTGAGACCCCCATCTAAAAAAAAATAAATAAAAAGTAGTGAAATCATGCAAACTATGTTGTCTAACCACAAAGGAATATACTACTAAAAGTCAAAAAGAAAAAGATATCTTGAAAATCCTCAAAGAATTGGAAATTGAACAACACACTTCTAAAAAGAAACCAAAGAATAAATAATAATGGAAATTTAAAAATATTTTAATAGTCCATTACATTAAAGAGATGTGAAAATAAGAAAACATATTTAGGGCCAGGCGCAGTGGCTTATGCCTGTAATCCTAGCACTTTGGGAGGCCAAGGCAGGTAGATCACTTGCTCTCAGGAGTTTGAGACCAGCCTGGGCAACATGGTGAAACCCCGTTTCTACAAAAAATACAAAAATTAGCTGGGCGTGGTGGCTTGTGCCTGTACTCCCAGCTACTTTAGGGAGCTGAGGCAGAAGATTCCCTTGAGCCCAGAAGGCAGAGGTTCCAGTGAATGGAGATGGCGTCACTGCACTCCAGCCTGGGTCACAGAGTGAGACCCTGTCTCAAAAAAAAAAAAAAAAAAAGAAGAAGGAGGAGGAGGAAACATATTTAGTATACTTATATTCACATTTATCTTTTCTCTTTTCTTTCTTTTTTTTTTTTTTTTTTGAGATGGAGTCTCAGTCTGTGGCCCAGGCTGGAGTGCAGTGGCCCAGCTCGGCTCACTACAACCTCCACCTCCCGATTTCAAGCAATTCTCCTGCCTCAGCCTCCCAAGTAGCTGGGATTATAGGCACATGCCACCATGCCCAGCTATTTTTTGTATTTTTAGTAGAGATGTTGTTTTGCCATGTTGGCCAGGCTGGTCTCGAACTCCTGAACTCAGGTGATCCACCTGCCTCGGCCTCCCAAAGTGCTGGGATTACAGGCATGAGCCACTGTGCCCAGCCACATTTATCATTTCTATACTCTTCATTCTTATGTGTGGATGCAAATTTCCATCTGGTATCATTTTCCTTCTGCCTGATGAACTCTCTAAACTTTTGCCTGAGAAAGTCTTTATTTCACCTTCTCTTTTGAAACATATTTTGGCTAGGCACAGCGGCTCACTCCTGTAAACCCAGCATTTTGGGAGGCCAAGACAGGAGGCCCAGGAGCTTAAGACCAGCCTGGGCAACATGGTGACATCTCATCTTAAAAAAATAGAAAAAGGAGAGAAAGAAAGGAAGGAAGGAAGGAAGGGTATTTTTTTTTTGTCAGGTATAGAATTCCAAGTTAACAGATTCTTTTTTCAATTCTTTAAAGATGTCATTCCATTATTTTTTGCTTGGCATAATTTCGGTGAAAATTCTACTATAATCCTTGCCTTTGTTCCATTGAACATAATACGTCGTTTTTTTTCTGGCCGCTATTCAATTATTTTATTTATCACTGGTTTTTCAGCAATTTGATTATAATGTGCCTTGATGTTTATTGTTTTCTTTATATTTGTTCCATTTGGAGTTCATTGAGCTTCTTGGATCTATAGGTTTATAGCTTTCCTCGAATTTGGAAAATCTTATGCCATTATTTCTTCTCATAAGTTTCTATTCTTCTACCCTTCTGCAACTCTAGTTACACTTATTTTATTTTATTTTATTTTATTTTATTTTATTTTATTTTATTTTATTTTTGAGATGGAGTCTCGCTCTGTCGCCCAGGCTGGAGTGCAATGGTGTGATCTTGGCTTACTCTCCACCTCCCGGGTTCAAGTGATTCTCCTGTCTCAGCCTACCTAGTAGCTGGGATTACAGGCTCCCGCCACCATGCCCAGAAAATTTTTGTATTTTTAGTAGAGACAGAGTTTCACCATGTTAGCCAGGCTGGTCTTGAACTCCTGACCTCAGGTGATCCACCTTCCTTGGCCTCCCAAAGTGCTGGGATTACAGGCGCGAGCCACCGCGCACAGCCTGTCACGTGTATTTTAGATCACTTGTTATCATCCCATAGAATCACTAGGCTTGTGTTTTGTTTTTGTTTTGTTTTTGAGACAGAGTCTCACTCTTGCCCAGGCTAGAGTGCAGTGGATCACAGTTCACTGCAGCCTTAACTTTCTGGGCTCAAAGGATCCTTCCATCTCAGCCTCCCAAGTAGCTGGGACCATACGCTTACGCCACCACACCCACCTAATTTTTGTATTTTTTATAGAGATGGAGTTTGGCCATGTTGCCAGGCTGGTCTCAAACTCCTGAGCTCAGGTGATCCACCTGCCTCGGCCTCCCGAAGTGCTGGGATTACAGGCATGAGCCACTGTGCCCGGCCACATTTATCATGGAGGAGGGGGAGGGGGAGGGGGGAAAGGGAGGAGAAGGATCTGCCCACTTCAGCCTCCCAAAGTGCTGGGATTACAGGCGTTCACTTTTTTTCATTCTCGTTTTTCTCTGTTTTCTTCATTTTGGGTAAATATTGCTATGTCTTCACATTCACTGACCTCTTTTTTCTAGTGTTTAACCTGCTCTCAATCCAAACTTGTATAGATTTCATTTCAGATAATTGTGTTTTTCATTCTAGAAATTCCATTTGGGTCTTTTAATATATTTTCTTTGTCTCCTCGTTATTTTTATGTTTTCCTTTTCATCTTAAGCATATTTGTAAGATTTAAAAATAGCTTTAAAATCCTTGTCTGCTAATTCTATCATCTTTGTCATTGCAGGTTTTTGGCTTTTTTTTTTTTTTTTTTAAGAGACAAAATCTCTGTCTCACTCTGTCACCCAGGCTGGCGTACAGGGTGACACAATCATAGCTCACTGCAGTATCCAATTCATGGGCTCAAGAGATCCTACTGCTTCTGCTTCCTAAGTAGCTGGGACTACAAGCATGCTCTACCACACCCTGCTAAATAAAAAAAAATTTTTTTTTGGACAGGTGGGGTCTCATGATGTTGCCCAAACTGGTTTTGAATTCCTGGCCTCAAGCAATAATCCCGCCTCAGCCTCCCAAAGCGCTGAGATTACAGGCATGAGTCACCGTGCCCAGCCCATTTCTAGTATTTTCTAATGATGCATTTTTCTCTTCACTATAGGTCATCTTCCTGCTGATTTGTATGCCTGGTAGTTTTTCACTGGATGCTCTACATGGTAAATTTTACCTTGCTGATTGCTACCCTTTGTTGCTTTTCTTTAAGGAGTATTGGGCTTTGTTTGGCATGCAGTTAAACTATTGCATATCAGTTTGATCTTTTTGAGGCTTGTTTTTCTGCAGTTACGGAATCAGAACAGCCATTTTTCTAGGTGTATTTATGTCTTCTGTCAAGGCCTTCTGCTTCTGAGAATGCCCTCTATTTTACAAAGTCTCTTTACTCTGGCTCATGGGAACAAAAACGAGTTCTAGCTGTGTGTGAGCTCCAGGAATTATTTGAACAACTGTTTTCCAGTGGTTTTTACCCCACCCTCCTGGAGTTTCACCCCAGGCATGTACAGATCATCACTCAGCCAAAGACTAGTTTAGAGGATCCTTTTGCAGATCTCTAGAGCTTTCTGGTGTGCAGCTTCCTCCTTCCCTGTAGGCTGCCCCACAGGTTCCACCTCAGCCTCCCCAAATTCCAGTCTCTGTCTTCTAAACTCAACAAGGCTGGTGGTTCTGGATGGGTCCCTCTCCCTGCGCTAGAGCCAGAAAACTGCCTGAAGGCAGCAATTGCAGAACTCCCAATACCTGTGCCCCTTCACTCAGGGATTGCAGTCCTGTGCTGCCCACGTTGTTTTATATATTTTGCTTGGTTTACTAGTTGTTTATAATGGGATTGCAATTTTTGTAGCACTTAATCCTTCATAGGAAGAAGTACAAGTTAGAGTTAACTACTTTTAACTGTTTCTCTTTTAGTTCTTCTACTAGTTGCTTTCATAAGGTTAAATAATATTCTGAAGCCAACATTTTTTTAATCTTTCAACTTCCTGCTATGAATGATGAAGATTCAGCCTACCCTCCACTTTCTCCATCCCTCTTCCCAGTTTGAATAGTTACGTGATGTTTTTGTTGTTGTTCTTCATTTACTGTGTTCAAGTATTCAGTAGTATACTTGACAATGTATTTCTCACGCCGTCATCTTTTTTTTTTTTTTTTGAGATGGAGTCTCACTCTGTCGCCCAGGCTGGAGTGCAGTGGTGCTATCTCGGCTCACTGCAAGCTCCGCCTCCCGGGTTCATGCCATTCTCCCACCTCAGCCTCCCAAGTAGCTGGGAATACAGGTGCCTGCCACCAGGCCCAGCTAATTTTTTTGTGTTTTTTAGTAGAGATGGGGTTTCATCATGTTAGCCAGGATGGTCTTGATCTCCTGACCTCGTGATTCGCCCACCTCCACCTCCCAAAGTGCTGGGATTACAGGCATGAGCCACTGCACCCAGTCACTCCATCATCTTTTGATAATATCTTTGGATCTTCAATTACTGTGTAAGATGAGGTTATTGGCTGGGCAAGGTGTCACGCCTGTAATCCCAGCAGTTTCGGAGGCCCAGGCAGGTGGATCACCTGAGGTCAGGAGTTTGAGACCAGCCTGGCCAACATGGTGAAACTCCGTCTCTACAAAAAATACAAAAATTAGCTGGGCTTGGGGGCGCACGCCTGTTATCCCAGCTACTTGGGAGGCTGAGGCACGAGAATCACTTGAACCCGGGAGGCAGAGATTGCAGTAAGCCCAGATGGCAGTGAGCCAAGATCACGCCACTGCTCTCCAGCCTGGGTGACAAAGCAAGACTGTCACAAAAAAAAGGTTTTTTGAAAAAAAAGATCTTGAACCCGGGTGGCAGAGGTTGCAGTGAGCCGAGATCGCACCACTGCATTCCAGCCTGGGCAACAGAGCGAGACTCCGTCTCAAAAAAAAAAAAAAAAAAAATGAGGCTAACACCCTACCCTTCCCTTCATTTCTATTTCCTGACTTCCAACTCCCTGCTTATTTAATAACCTATACCCTTTATTCCCACATTGCTGTAGTTCCTACCATTTATATTTTGCTGTGTAAACATATTTAAATCTTCTGTGCTTTGCCTAGGGATTACTTCCAAAAGTTGAAAACTAATAGAAAATAATGTATATTATTGTCATTAAGAAAATATTTACTGGCCAGGTGCGGTGGCTCATGCCTGTAATCCCAGCACTTTGGGAGGCTGAGGTGGGTAGATCACCAGGTCAGGAGATTGAGACCATCCTGGCTAACACAGTGAAACCCCGTCTCTACCAAAAATACAAAAAATTAGCCAGGCATGGTGGCATGTGCCTGTAATCCCAGCTACTTGGGAGGCTGAGGCAGGAGAATGGCTTGAACTTGGGAGGCGGAGGTTGCAGTGAGCCGAGACCACGCCACTGCACTCCAGCCTGGACAACAGAGCGAGACTCCACCTCAAAAAAAAAAAAAAAGAAAAGAAAAGAAAAAAATATTTACTGCAGAGCCAAGCTGTGTGATCAACTTACAATTCCTTCTTTATGAGGTCAATAATACAAACCCGTAATACTTGAATGAGTCGAGGTCCAATGGATTCTATTTTGCTTCATATTTGGACCATGACTTTGTTGTACACATTCTTTCCTAAAATTTCTAATTACCTTCCTCTTGTCGAGAAAACTAATGTAAGACTAAGCCACTAAGCTCTTCCAGCTTCTTATCTACCATTTTTGCTGAGAATCAATTCTACTCTTCTTCCTGAAGACATTCTTGTTGGATTCTACTGATCTGTTTTTCTTTTTCTTTTTCTTTTTCCTTTTTTTTGAGATGAAGTCTTGTTCTTTCTCCCAGGCTGGAGTTCAGTGGCACAATCTCGGCTCACTGCAACCTCTGCCTCCCAGGTTCATGTGATTCTCGTGCCTCAGCCTCCACAGTAGCTGGGACTACAAACATGCCTGCCACCACACTCGGCTAATTTTTGTTTCACCATGTTGGTCAGGCTGGTCTCAAACTCCTGACCTCTGGTGATCTACCTGCCTTGGCCTCCCAAAGTGCTGGGATTACTGGCATGAGCCACTGCACCTGGCCAACTGATCTGTTTTTCTGATATGAAATGATTGGCTTCTAGATCTGTTACAGTATGGTCTTAGTGAAACTCTTTTCCCCAGATGAGCACTACAGGAAGTATTGTAATGAACACTGGTAGATTCCCCAACTCACATCCCACTCAGAGGATTAGTCTAGATTAACAATAATAATCCCATTCATTTTGCTAGCGATTGGTTCAGAATTGTGACTCAATTCTGGCTAATGAGACACAAGAATAAATTAGCAAGGGGACTTCTGGGAAAGATTTTCGTCCCTAAGACGGGAAAAAACAGAAAACACAGTCCTTTTTCTTTGTCTGGACATTGTCATATCTAATTAGATATGACACCTGGAATTGTGGCAGCCATCTTGCTGTCAGCTTGAAGCTGAAGCCAACACTAAGGTGGCAGAACAGAGATATGGAAACAACCTGAGCTTCAGATGATATCATGGAGCTAATGACTCAACTAATTCTGGAAGCCCTGCATCTGGACTTTCTGTTTCCTTATTGCTTAAGCCAGTTTCCTGTCTCTTAGAACCAAATATTTTGTATGTAAAAAATTCTGTTAGTTTCTTGCACAATACTTTTTCTCCTCTTCTTTATTACTAGGAGAACCTCATTTTTTCCCACAGAGAGGCATTATACAAAAGAAAAGAAAGAAAGAAGGCAAGAAGGCAAGAAGGAAGGCAAGAAGGAAAGAAGGAAGGGAGGGAGAGAAAGAGGCTTTGCCCTTCAGATTCCTTTTTTCAGCTAGAGATGACTCTAAGACCCATCTAATTCTAGCGAATGAGATACAGATACAAATTTCTGAGTAGGGCCTCAGGAAAACCTTTTTAATGGGAATAAATTTGGTCTTCATACTTCCTCCTTCCTTCTCACTGAGAATGGAGATTTGATGCTTGGAATTACTGCAGCCATCTTGTGATAGGGAGGGTGAAGACCAAATGCTAGGGATGGCAGAAATGGAAAAAGAAGATGTCAGGAAAACTTAGGACATCCCTGAGCTGCTAAGCCAGTCATAAAATGCCTGTGACCAGACATTCTGTGATGTGGGAAAAATAAAACCTTATTTCTTTAAGCTGCCATTAATTGCAATATAGATAATACATCAAGAATCCAACCGCTTCCTCTTCCTTGGTTTTCACCTTCATTTTGCTTGATGATATCCTCAAGATTCTCTCTCTTAAAAAGTATGTGAGATAGATGCTTTCTTAGCCTTTGTCTGTCTGAAAATTCCTTATTTTGTTCTCATACTTGATTGATAGTTTGGATGTATTATACAGTGCTAGCTTAAAAACAATTTTCTCTCACAAGTCTTAAGACATTGCTCCATTTTCTTCTGGCATTTAATGTTACCGATGAGAAGTCCACTATTAATTTGATTTTGCACCAATGCAAGTAGTTTAAAAAATTTTGGGGGGGAGCTTTTAAAAAATTTTATTTTTGGTGTTCTGAAATTTCACAATGATATGTCAAGGTATGGGTCTTTTTCACTCATTATGTGCAATACTTGCTGGGCTCTTTCAATCTGAAAACTATTATGTCTTTATTACTTGAGATAAATTATGACCTTCTGTGCTCTTTTATTCTCTTTCTGAATGTTTGACTTTCTGTATTGATTGTCTCTTATATTTTCTATCATATTTCCCATCTCTTTTGCTTTTTCCTCTATGTTCTAAGAGATCTCCTTTATCTGCCAATTCTTCCATTACATTTCTAATTTCAGCCATTACAATTAAAATTTTAAGAACAGTTTCTTGGTTGGGTGTGGTGGCTCATGCCTATAATCCCAGCACTTTGGAAGGCCAAGGCAGAAGGATTGCCTGAGTCCAGGAGTTTGAGACCAGCCCATGCAACAAAGTGAGACCTTGTCTTCTTAGTAAATAACAACAACGACAAAATTAATAATAACAAGGAACAGTTTCTTATTCTATGATTGTTCCTTTACCATAGCAATCTATACTTGTTTATGGATATGTTATATTTTAAAAGTCTCTCTGGAAATATAGTTTGTAACGGTTTTCTGTTGTCTGCATTCTTTATTCCTTTTGAGCCAGTTTTTTAAAAAATATATTTTTATCATGATCTGTTTCTTTTATTTGTATGTGCAATGATATACATTTGCTTTTTTATATTTAAGAAAGAGAGGCCGGGCGCGGTGGCTCACGCCTGTAATCCCAGCACTTTGGGAGGCCGAGGCGGGCAGATCACGAGGTCAGGAGATCAAGACCATCCTGGCTAACACAGTGAAACCCCGTCTCTACTAAAAATACAAAAAATTAGCCTGGTGAGGTGGCGGGTGCCTGTAGTCCCAGCTACTCGGGAGGCTGAGGCAGGAGAATGGCGTGAACCCCGGGGGGCGGAGCCTGCAGTGAGCCGAGATCGCGCCCCTGCACTCCAGCCTGGGCGACAGCGAGACTCCATCTCAAAAAAAAAAAAAAAAAAGAGAAACCGTGTTGATTTTTCTGGGTACCAGTTTTGAGTTTCCTGGGTACTGCATGAAGCTAGGTCTGTTTTCCCATTTAGTATCTCCTGGAAGGAAAAAGTTGGCCAGGCATAATAATGAAGTTTGTTCATGAAGTTTGTTCCGGGCATAAGATGAAGTTTGTTACTATAGTGAGACTGGGCTAGGAGTTGACTTTTAGCACTGGGGGAAGGGTATTCTCTATGGTTAGTCCCATCTAGCTGAGCTCTACATGACTAGAGATAGCAAAGGGCGTGGTCTAAGGAGGGCACCTTGGGAAGTTGTTATGGAAAGACTTCCACTTAATCTCTGCTCTCATAACTTTTCTTTCCTCACCAGCCAGCTCTTGGGCTCTGCTGGGTGTACCTGCCCCTCAGCTTCCTTCACTTACTCTGCACAGTGGGCCCACTTCTACTTCTCATCCATCAGCGGCTTCTCTCCACTTACTATTTTCTGCAAATCTCAGAACGTCTCTTTTTGGTGATGGTCTACTCTCATTCTCTGCTCTAATCAGATCATTTTCTTCTGCTTTTTTTTTTTTTTTTTTTTTTTTGAGAAGAAGTCTTGCTGTGTCGCCCAGGCTGGAGTGCAATGGCATGATCTTGGCTCACTGCAACCTCCACCTCCCGGGTTCAAGCCATTCTCCCACCTCGGCCTCCCAACTACAGGCGTGCACCGCCACGCCTGGCTAATTTTTTATATTTTTAGTAGAGACGGGGTTTCACCATGTTGGCCAAGCTGGTCTTGAACTCCTGACCTCAAGTGATCCGCCCACCTTGGCCTCCCAAAGTGCTGGGATTACAGGCGTGAGACACCACGCCTGTTCTCATTTTCTTTTACTGGCATTCTAATTGAGTTTCAGGAGGGAGAGAAGGCAAATGTTTGTGCTTGGTCCATCATCTTTGCTAAAATTTTATTTTTAATTTTTCATCCATCTTCATAAATGAGATTGTTATATAGCTTTTCTTTTCCTTTATGTCATGTTTCTTTGGTTTTGGGTTCAGGGTTACAGGAACTTTAAAGAATGGTTGGTTCACATTCCATGTATTTCTATGCCCTGGGATAGTTTAAATTCATCCACATATTGATCCAGTAACTTACTGCATTACAGTCACCTGGGAATATATTTTAAAGTACATATTTCACTTGTCTTCGTATAATCACAGGAAAAATATGGAAGGATGTATATAAGTTGTTACATTTATACACAAACTAATAAAATTTGTTTCAGCAGGAGTAAGATCAGGGAGAAAATGGGGAGACAATTTTTCTTTTGTATATTGTTGGATGTTTTTTACAACCACTAAATGTAACTTCTGAAATGAAAAAAAAAAATCTTTATGAAAAATATAGATTCCCAGGCCAAATTTTGGAGACTTAAGTTTGTTGAGTCTGGGAAGCCAGGAAATCTATATATGTTTTTAAAAATGTACCTAGGTAATTGTGATATGCAATCAAGTTTAGAAACCCCTAGTATAGATATTATAGGAATTAGTTTTTTCTTGAAATTGTGAAGTACTTACCTATAGAACCCCACAGCCCTGAGGCTTGGTGGGGGAGGGCAGGGCAGGTGGACGGAATGTCGTTCTTTGACTCCTTTTTACAATTTGTCTTGTAGAGATCAAAATATGCCACTCCAAAACATGCCACTTTGGCATACAATTATTTCAGATTCAACAGATGCAGAAAGAAGCCATCTCAGAGCTTCCCTTATCTCATGAGAAGCAGAAACTTCTGAGAAATGAGGACTGCTGTAAATCTCCTCTTCTAGGGAAGTTTTATGGCCACAGAGAAGATGAAGTTGGCGCCAAGATGGATCTGCACAAACAAACCTTACTCCATTAATTTCCCTCATATATTTACTTTCCCATGGTTTACTGCCTTTGGGAGCCTAAGATTTTTTTTTTTTCCTTTGACTTGTCACTTCTCTACGAATTTATTGTTCTTTGTTAAGATGCATAAACCCACATTCTAACCACCTCTTTGAGTTTTTCATCATATCACTGAGTTTCTCCTGGGTACACGCCCACTGTACATGCTAATAAACTATTTGTTTTTCCCTTGTTAATCTGTTTTTTCTCAGTTAATTTTCAGAGCCCCAGCCAGAGAACCTATGTGGGTAGAGGAAAAAGCTCCCACCCTCTTACCGTCAATTTTGGTATTTTATGCATCTCCTGGGAAATCATCCATTCTATTAAATTTATTAGTGAAAAATTAGATCTACTAATTTTTTATTAGCTGTACACTTACCCTTTTTATCTTTATTTTGAACTCCTTTCTTATTCTTAGTATTTGTGATTACTCTGTTTTTCAAAAAAAAAGTTTTATTGTGGTAAAGTATATATATATAACAAAATTTACCATTTTATCCATTTTTAGGTGTGCAGTTTAGTGCCATTTGTTCACTCATAATGTTGTACAACCATCACCACTATCCATCTTAGAACTTTTTCATCGTCCTGAACAGAAATTCTGAACCCATTGAATAGTAACTGTCCATTCCTTCCTTCCCTAGCCACTGCTAACCTCTGTTCTACTTTCTATTCCTATAAATTTGCCTATTCTTGGCACTTCCTATAAGTGGAATCTTAAAATAATTATCCTTTTGTGTCTGACTTATTTCACTCAACATAATATTTTCAAGATTTATCCATGTTGTATCTGACTTTCATTCTTGTTAAAGGTTGAGTAATATCCCATAAAGTGTGTATATATCACATTTTGTTTATCCATGCATCTGTTGATGTCCGTTTGAGTTGTTTCCACCTTTTGGCTATTGTGAATCATGCTGCTATGGACATTGGTGCACAAGGATCTATTTGAGTCCTTACATTCAATTATTTTGGGTACATACCTAGCAATGGAATTGCTGGATATGGTAATTTTACATTAAAATTTTTGAGCAACTGCCAATTGTTTTCCACAGAAGTGACATCATCTTATATTACCGCCCACAAGATACAAGGGTTCCAATTTCTTCACATCCCCACCAACACTTATTTTCTTATTTTTTTTTTAAATAATGGCTATCCTAACCGGTATGAAGTGATATCTCATTGTGTTTTTGATTTGCATTTCCCTAATAGCCAGTGATGTTGAACATCTGTCATGTGCATATTGGCCATTTGTTTATCTTCTTTGGAGAAATTTCTATTCAAGTCCTTTGCCTATTTATTTATTTATTTATTTTTCTGAGACAGAGTCTCCCTCTGTGGCCCAGGTTGGAGTGCAGTGCGCAATCTCAGCTCACTGCAACCTCTGCTTCCCGGGTCCAAGCAACTCTCCTGTTCCAGCCTCCCGACTAGCTGGAACCATAGGCACCACCACCACCACCACGCCCGGCTAATTTTTGTATTATTAGTAGGGATGGGGTTTCACGATGTTTGCCAGACTGGTCTCAAACTCCTGACCTCAAGTGATCCACTCACCTCAGCCTCCCAAAGGGCTGGGATTACAGACGTGAGCCACCGTGCCCGGCCGTCCTTTGCCCCCACTCCCCTTTTTTTTTTTTTTTTTTTAAGACGGAGTCTCGCTCTGTCGCCCAGGCTGGAGTGCAGTGGCGCGATCTCGGCTCACTGCAAGCTCCGCCTCCCAGGTTCACGCCATTCTCCTACCTCAGCCTCCCGAGTAACTGAGACTACAGGCGCACACTGGCACGCCCGGGTAATTTTTTGTATTTTTAGTAGAGACGGGGTTTCACCGTGTTAGCCAGGATGGTCTCGATATCCTGACCTCGTGATCCGCCCGCCTGGGCCTCCCAAAGTGCTGGGATTACAGGCTTGAGCCAACACGCCCGGCCTGCCCATTTTTTTAAAATTGAGTTGTTTGTTTTTTTGTTATTGAGTTGTAAGAGCTTCTCTATTTTTTTTTCCTTTGGAGACAGAGTCTCGCTCTGTCACCCAAGTTGGAGCGATTCTCCTGCCTCAGCCTCCCCAGTAGCTGGGACTGCAGGCACGTGCCCCATGCCCGGCTAATTTTTGTATTTTCAGTAGCTTCGGGGTTTCGTCATGTTGGCCAGGCTGGTCTCAAACTCCCAACCTCCAGTGATCTGCCTGCCTCGGCCTCCCAAAGTGCTGGTATTACAGGTGTGAGCCATTGCACCTGGCCGAGTTTCTCTATTTTTTATTATTTATTTATTTATTTATTTTGAGATGGAGTCTCACTGTTGTCATCCAGGCTGCAGTGCAATGGTGCAATCTCGCCTCATTGCAACCTCTGCCTCCGGGTTCAAGCGATTCTCCTGCCTCCGCCTCCTGAGTAGCTGGGATTACAGGCTTGCGCCACCACACCTGGCTAATCTTTGTATTTTTGTAGAGATGGGTTTCACCATGTTGGCCAGACTGGTCTTGAACTCCTGACCTCAGGTGATCTGCTCACCTCGGCCTCCAAAGTGCTAGGATTACAGGCATGAGCCACCATCCCCGGACTATTTTTGAATGACCTGTTTATTATTCTGTGTCTCCTGGATTTCTATGAAGCATCCATTGGCTCTTCTACACTTGTGCTGTTCAGTACAGTAGCCACAAGCCACAGGTGACTATTAAGATTTAAACTTTAGTTAATTAAAATTAAGTAAATTAAAATTTTAGTTCCTTGGTGACATTAGCCACATTTCAGATCATCAGTAGACACACGTGACAAGTGGCTGCCATATTGGACAGCACAGAATGAACAGTCCTGTCATCACAGAAAGTTCTATTGGACAGCACTGTTCTAGCTCTACCTTCCACAGCTCTTATTTTTTCTCCAGTATTCTGCATCTCTATTTTTATGGTCTTCATTCTGAGAGATGTCCTTGACTTTATTCAGACCTTTAATTGGCATTTAATCATGGCCATTGCATTATTGGCTTCTAATATTTAATTTTGAATTTTATTTGGCAATTAGCTTTATAAATGCCAACGTTTCTTTTGTTTTTCTATTGCTACCTTTTCACAGCAGCATATTCTTATTTTATTTTTTATTTTTATTTTTTCATTTTTTTTTTGTTTATTTGTTTTTTTGAGACAGAGTCTTGCTCTGTCACCCAGGCTGGAGTGCAGTGACGTGATCTCAGCTAACTGCAACCTCTGCCTCCTGGGTTCAAGCGATTCTCCTGTCTCAGCCTCCTAAGTAGCTGGGATTACAGGCGCACGCCACCACACCCGGTTAATTTTTGTATTTTTAGTAGAGACGGGGTTTTGCCATGTTGGCCAAGCTGGTCTCAAACTCCTGACCTCAGGTGATCCGCCCGCCTTGGCCTCCCAAAGTGGTGGGATTACAGGCATGAACCATCACTCCTGGCCAGCATATTCTTATTTTGTAGGTGAAGTTTGCTCTTGATTATCCCCAAGGACACTAATTCACTTTAAAAACTATTTTTAAGGTCTTCTGTTTTCTGAATTAACTCTGTTTCCTCCATAATTAAACATCCTGTTTGTTCATCTTGGATTTTCTCTTCCATACTGTTGGTTTCCTAAAATGTCTATTGATTCTTAATTGTCCATTTATATTTTATAAATACAAATCTAGGCTGATTCATAACTTACATTCATTCTCTTAACAATTGAAACTCCATTTCCACAGCTGACATTTCTCCTTAATTATAAGATTGATGGGAGGCTCTCAGTGTGCCAAGGTCAGTAACAGTCAGATCAGCTCCCACAATTGCTATAAAAGGAAGGTTTTATTTTAGAGGTGAGTGCTTTATTTCAATCATGGGTGAAGCTGCCTTTCTATTTTTCCCTTTCTTCCACTTACATTTTGAATTTACAGAATTATCTGGGTCCTGATCTGATTCTCTCATCTCAAGACCTAAGAGTCCCCCAGGCAGATTCTCCAAGTAATCAGAGAGTGGTAATCATGGCTTTATCCTGCAGTGAAACATTGCAGCCAACTGCTTTATATAGAATGATGACTGGCTCAGTTGCTCCAGGGCAGACCTTTAATTTGTGACTCCAAGTTCCACTTCTGCTCCTTGCCTTTGCTGACTCCTGGAAACTCTTTGAGGAAAAAACATCTCTAACTTATATTTCAAATCTCTGCTACATCTATTTCGGATGTGAATTTCTCTGCTGTGATTTCTCCACCAATTAAATACCACCTTCATTAATTAATCTTTGCTTTTATGGACCTCTAGTGCATTAGATTGAATTAATCTTCATAGCAATCAATTATCATCAATCTATAATGTTCCTCTCTGATTATTATTACTAATACTATTACTTTATTTATTTTGGTCTTCATGCATGACAAAGGCAGTCTCTTTTCACCAAAATGTTAGTCAGACTCCCCTGAGTCTTCTGCTTACCTGGCCCGTCCTTGGGCTTTTCTCTCTGTCATTGAAGAATCCAGTTTGAGCTAGAATCCTCAAGTCAGTTTAATGAAAATTCACCATCCCTGATATCTGACCACCCTGGCCTATCTTCAGCAAGAATTCTGTTGAGTAGCCCTGATGTTTCTGCTTAGTAATTTTCAATTCCCTGATCCTCCACCCTGCTCCTTGGTTATAAATTCCTGCGTGTCCTTGTTGGAGTTGGGGTTGGGTCCAGTCTCTCTCCCCTACTGCAAGACCTCATTGCGGTGGTCCCTATACCTATCACCATGGCATCCTTGACAAGTGTCATGGATCATCTCTTCTTTAACATGCACCATCGCAACTCCTGCTCCTCTTCTTAGGATGAATGTATTTTTGCCTCATGTATGTTTGTATTTTTAACTAGTATAAATGGTACTAAAAGCCTTGTTTTCTTTTTTAGTCAACATTGTGTTTTAAATATACATCCGTGACATCTTATAAATTTCTAATTAATGCTTTAAAATGTACAATCCTACTGTGTGTGCAGAAGGAAAAAGGCCTGGAGATATTTGGGGAACAGCACTAATAACAACCATTGTTTGTCCTCCTGGTCAACAAATATTCAGTTTGCTTTATTTCCCCTCAGAAAAAATACACTCCTTCTGTATCTAAGGGAGTTGTCTGAAACATCACATGGAGTCCTCCCCACCTCCTCTCCTCGGGATGCACATGGTTCTTGCTTTGGCCCTGATTTCCTGCCCTGGGAGTAGCTACTTTGTCCTTTGTTCTTCTTCTTGTTCCTCTGGCTCTACCTTCTGGAAGATTCTTTCTTCTCCATTATCTGAAGAAACCATCAGCCCATTTCCTGCCCACTGGTGGTTGGGTGCCCTAGCCCCTTTAAGACTCAAATTTAAACTTTTTTTCACTCATAATTTCTTTGGCAACACTCCTAAAATTTAGTAGCCTTCTTATTTATTTGATTCCAGTCAGTTCCATATGGCAGAGCTCATCTATAGTTATTTTCTAGATATATTTCCTGAATTTGCTACATTTCTTGTTTCTTCCTTTCCCCAACCCTTCCCCTTCACTTAATTGCAGGTAAGGTGTTAAGCTTATCAGGCTTTGGGGGAAAAGCCACACATTTAGTCTCTTTTCCCAGAACCATTTTGTCAAATTAAAAGGAATTATTGAATATCTCACCCTTAGTTGACATTCACTTTGAGACATCTTCATCCATTCAAAGGTTTTTATCACTGGATGAAACAGCCATAAATTTGATCCTTGTTGAAAGCCTGAAATTTTAATTGGTCTTTGTCCTTCAAAGTCCTGCTCATTTTTCCTTTTACTTGTTAGGGTTGAGAAGCAGTTATTCACAACTTCCAACTTTGCAAGACTCCAGTTTTCTAGTTCTTCTCAATTTCCTTTCATTGCTACTTGGAAACTTGCCAATTATTTTCTGAGCTTATCTCAAATACAGTCAATAAAAACTTATGCTCTCTCCTGTCTTCCTTTTCAGAGCTACCTTCCAAGTTTTTGCAGATCTACCTTCCAATATTTTGCCACTGCATAACATGAATCACTGGCCAGGCACAGTGGCTCATGCCTGTAATCCCAGCAATTTGGGAGGCTGAGGCAGGCAGATCACCTGAGGTCAGGAGTTTGAGACCAGCCTGGCCAACATGGTGAAAGCCTGTCTCTACTTAAAAATATATATACACAAAAATTAGCCAGGTGTGGTGGCACACGCCTGTAATCCCAGCTACTCGGGAGGCTGAGGCAGGAGAATTGCACTTGAACCTGGGAGGCGGAGGTTGCAGTGAGCTGAGATCGTGCCACTGCACTCCAGCCTGGGAGACAGAGCAAGATGCCATAAAAAAGAAAGAAAGAAAGAAAGAAAGAAAGAAAGAAAGAAAGAAAGAAAGAAAGAAAGAAAGAAAGAAAGAAAGAAAGAAAGAAAGAAAGAAAGAAAGAAAGAAAGAAAGAAAGAAAGAAAGAAAGAAAAGAAGGAAGGAAGGAAAGAAAGAAAAAGAAAGAAAGGAAGAAAGAAAGAATGACAAAAACATGAATCGCCATCCTTTCAACAGTTGCTAACAGTTTCCTTGCAACCTGATGGCCAGCTCCTAAGCCTTCAAAGCCATATTTTTGATTATATTACGGCAGGTAGGACTCCACTTCTGTATCAACCAGGATAGATGGATTATGCTGTGGTGACAAACAACCTTAAACAACCATAAAATCATAATGGCCTAACACCCCAAAGAGTATTTCTTGGTCATTGCAAGTCAGCAGTGGTCTCCTTTCATAGCCACTCAGGGGCCCAGGCCAATGGAGTGGCCACCATCTCTAACATTGCTTGTCATCACACCAAAGGGAAAGAAAATGTGGTAAACAGCACATTGGCTTTTAAAGCTTCTACTTAGAAGTGATACTTGTCACTTAAATTTTATGGACAAAGCAAGTCCTATGGCCACACCTAACTTCAAGGAGGCAGGCAAGTGGAAATATGGCCGCTAATCATAGCCATGTATCCAGGAGGAGAAGAAGAAATATTTGTGGAATGGTACTATCTCACATAATTTGCCTATTTTTTATTGTTGTTTCTGTCTTTTGTTGTTGATTGTTAGAGTTCCTTGTAGGATCTAGAAAATGTTATGTACTCCCTCATCAGGGAGTACATTTGTTTTGTTTTGTTTTGTTTTGTTTTATTTTGAGACAGAGTTTTACTCCTGTCGCCCAGGCTGGAGTGCAATGGTGCGATCTTGGCTCACTGCAACCTCCGCCTCCAAGGTTCAAGTGATTCTCCTGCCTCAGCCTCCCAAGTAACTGCGATTACAGGCATGTGCCACCATGCCCAGCTGCATTTTTTGTATTTTTAGTAGAGACGGGGTTTCACTATGTTGGCCATGCTGGTCTCGAACTCTTGACCTTGTGATCCGTCCACCTTGGCCTCCCAAAGTGTTGAGATTACAGATGTGAGCCACTGCGCCCAGCCCCTCATCAGTTTTAAACATTGAAAATATCTTCTCTCCATCCTTCATCTGTTAATTTTGTCCATAGCATCCTTCCTTCACTGTGTAGAAATCCTTTATGTTGGTGTAGATCCATTCACCAATTTTTCCAGATGAAAGTTTTTGCTTTTGGGGTCTTATTTTAAAAATCCTTTCCCCATCCCAAAGCCACAATATGTAATTATATACTTTCTCCTATTAACTATGTATTTTACTTTCCATATCTAAATTTTAATACAGCTAGAGTTCACCTTTTTCTTAAGGTGTGAAGTAGGGATCTTTTCTTTTAATCCATAAAAGGAGCGAATATTCTTAATACCATCAACTATAAAATTAATAATTTCTCCACTGATTTATGGTTCCATTTTTATATTTCAAATTTATGAAATCTGTTTTTGTCCCACTAGTCTATATGTTTGTTCCAATTCTTTCTAGTATAGTACTATATTTTTGTAGAATATTGAAACAGGATATTTTCATGACCCCTTCCCAGGCCTTGCGAAAGGGGTGTTTCACTTACTCAGCCCGCAGTGCTCCACCGCTCGTAGGAAGGGGAGCACATGTGAGCAGGTGCAGGAGCCAGGGTGAGTGCTTTTGGGTGCTGATAGGAGCAAAACTCCATGTGGGCCCTGTAGCAGTGACTGGGGGTCGTCCCTGCAACCTCTGAAGCCCCAGAAGGAGAGTTACAGTGCCCTTTTAGCTTTGCCATCTGTGGACTGCTTAAGAGTTAACAGCTCAGTGGAGGGTCAGTGTGGCAGCCTTTTGCACCCACACTTGAGGCACCCGAGTTCTCGTCTGGCATACAGGAGGAATGACGTTGCACAAATGAATTGAATTGAAGGTGGTAAATGCGGGGAATTTTATTGCCAATGAAAGTGGCTCTCAGTGGGTAGGGGAGCTGAAAAGGAGACAAAGTGGGAAGGTAATCTTCCATTGAAGTCCAGCTGTCCTTGGCTGGACTCCTCTCTGAAGCTACACTGTCAAGCTGTCCCTCTGAAGTCAAGCTGCTTCTCTCTGACTTCCAGCTGTAGTCTCTGACATTCAACTGCTTCTCCTCTCTCTACTGGCTGAGCCTGGAGTTTTTATGTGCACAGGATGGGGGACAGTGTGGGCCATGGGTGGTTTTTGAAAAGGCAATATTCAAGCAGGAAAACAGGGATGTAAGTTTTCATTTTGGGCTGCAGGTTCAGGCAGAATTTCTCTGCCTCCTGTCGCTATCAATATCTTTGCTTTGTAGAGAATCTCTGCTCTTCTTCACAGTTGTCTTAATTATCTGTGAATTTCTATTCTTCCCTATGTATTTCAGAATATTTTAAGTTGCTAAAACCTTTTGATATAAATTGTACTAAATGTATAGATGATTTTGAAAGACAATTAACGTCTTTGTGATGTTAAAATTTTCCATTCTTTTTTTTTTTTTTGAGATGGAGTCTTGTTCTGTTGCCCAGGCTGGAGTGCAGTGGCGTGATCTCGGCTCACTGCAACCTCCGCCTCCCAGGTTCAAGTGATTCTCCTGCCTCAGCCTCCCAAGTAGCTGGGACTACAGGTGTGTGCCACCACACCTGGCTAATTTTTGTATTTTTAGTAGAGACAGGGTTTCACCAAGTTGGCCAGGATGGTCTTGATCTCCTGACCTTGTGATCTGCCCACCTCAGCCTCCCAAAGTGCTGGGATTACAGGCATAAACCACCATGCCTGGCCCATTCTTAGTTTTTTTTGAGATGGAGTCTTGCTCTGTCACCCAGGCTGGAGTGCAATGGCGCGATCTCGGCTCATTGCAACCTCCGCCTCCTGGGTTCAAGCAATTCTCATGCTTTGGCCTCCCAAGTAGGACTACAGGTGCCTGCTACCACACCCAGCTAATTTTTGTATTTTTAGTAGAGATAGTGTTTCACTATATTGGCCAGGCTGGTCACTCCTGACCTCAAGTGATCTGCCCCCGTTCAGCTTCCCAAAGTGCTGGGATTACAGGCGTGAGCCACCGTGCCCACCCCAAATGTTCCATTCTCTAACATGACATGTCTTTCCATTTTTTCTAGTCTTTATGTATTTTATTAGAGTTTTAAAACTTTTCTTGTATATTCTTTGATAGGCTTATTTATATTGTTAAAATAGATAATTGGGATGTCATTAGGATGAGACCCTCTAATGCATGAGGTTCTTACCAGAGAAACCAAACCCCAACTCACTGTAAACTGTAAAATGAAACTTAGGCTAAACCAATCAGAAACTGTTAGCTAAACTTCTAACGGACTTTCCAACTTTAACCAATTAAATATTTTCTTTGTCTTGCTTTCATGAGCACCTTATAAAATTTCTCCTTTGTATCTTCTCAGTAGAGCACTGACCTGCTTATAGTCTGGTGTTGACTGATGAATCGCAGAATGCTCAAATAAACTCATTAAGATTTTAAGGTGTCTAAGTTTATCTTTTCTTTTCTTTTATTTATTTATTTATTTATTTTTTGAGACAGAGTCTTGCTCTGTTACCCTGGCTGGAGTGCAATGGCATGATCTTGGCTCACTGCAAACTCTGCCTCCCAGGCTCATGTGATTCTCATGCCTCAGTCTCCCGAGTAGCTGGGACCTGCAGGCTTGTGCCACCACACCTGGCTAATTTTTGTACTTTTAGTAGAGATGGGGTTTTACCATGTTGGCCAGGCTGGTCTTGAACTCCTGACCTCAAGTGATCCCCCCACCTCAGCCTCCCAATGTGCTGGGATTACAGGCATGAGCCACTGCACCTGGTGGTCGTGCCTATGTTTATCTTTCAATGCTATATAGTATAGATGGGATTTTTTTTTTTGCTGCTGCGAATGGTATCTCAGTTTATATTATATTTTCTACTTGGTAATATCTGATGTAGAGGAATGCTACTTATTTTCAAATATTTTAAAAGATTGCAACTGTGCTTATTTTTTTTAAATGATGTTCTGTTGAGTTTTCTATGCATATGATCACATCTGTCACCTGAATATAATGACAGCTTTGTCTCTTCTTTTCAAATCTTAAATCTTCATTTCTTATTGTCTTACTTCAGTGTCCACATTGACTAGGGGTGGGGATATTGTCCATCCTTGCCTCATCTGTAACTTTCAAGGCTTTGTGCCTTCATCAAGCATGGCATTTTTTATTGAGGTATAAGTTCCATGCAGTGAAATTCATAGATCTTCAGTAAACTCTGTACTCAGTTTGGTGGACACAGAGCATCTTCTTTACCTCAGAAAGTCCCCAGTGCTCCTTTACAGTTAATCTTTCTGCCCTCCAGAAGCAACCACCACCCTCATTTCTATCATTATTACGTTAGTTTTGCCTTTCTAGAGTTTCATGTAAATGGAATTACAGCAGAATGTACTTTGATGTGCCTGGTTGTTTTCCATCAGCATAGTATTTTTGAGAACCATCCCTGTTGTTACTTGCATCAGCAGTTTGTTCCTTTTCATCGCTTAGTAGTATTTCATTGTATGAATACACCACTGTTTGTTCCTTCTCCTTTGGATGAGCATCTGGATTGTTTCTACTTCAGTACTATTATGAATAAAGCTGCTATGAACATTATTATACAAAGCTTTTTTGTGGACATATGCTCTTATCTCTCTAGGAATGGAAATGTTGGGTCATAGTGTAGATGTATATTTAACTTTTTTTCTTTCTTTCTTTTTGTTTTTTTTTTTTTTTTTTTTGAGATGGACTCTTGCCATGTTACCAGGCTGGAGAGCAGTGGTGCAGTCTTGGCTTGCTGCAACCTCTGCCTCCAGGGTTCAAACAATTCTCCTGCCTCGGGTTCCCAAGTAGCTGGAATTACAGGCACATGCCACCATGCCCAGCTAATTTTCATGTTTTTAGTACAGAAGGGGTTTCACCACATTGGCCAGGTTGGTCTCGGACTCCTGACCCCAGGTGATCCGCCTGCCTCAGCCTCCCAATGTGCTGGGATTACAGGCATGGCCACCACGGCCTGGCCAACTTTTTAAGAAACCATTAGTTTTGATGTAGTGTGGGCAAAGCCTCAAATTGGGGCTTAGCCCAGGAGGGTTTGAGGCTTCGCCCAGGAAAGAATTCAAGGTTGAGCTGGTGGTATTCGCAACTTTTATTGAAGCAGCAGTGCACAGCAGCGGCAGAGGTACTGCTTCTTGCAGATCAGGGCTACCCCACAGGCAGTGTGCCCAGAGTAGCAGCTCAGAGGCCGTTCTGTGGTCATATTTAGACCCACTTTTAATTACATGCAAATTAAGGGGCAGAGTATGCAGAAATTTCTAGAAAAAGGGTGGTAACTTCTGGGTCGTTGGGTAGTTGTCATGGCAATGGTAAGCTGACATGGCACACTGGTGCGCATGTCTTATGGAAAGCTGCTTCCATTCTCTTTTAGCTACTCCTCAATTTGGGCTGGTGTCTGAGCTCTGCCTTCGGAGTTGAGTCCCACCTCCTACCTCAGTTTTCCAAAGCAATTATTTCATCTCACACTCCTACCAGCAATGTATGAGAGTTCTAATTGCTCTACATCTTCTCCAGCATTTAGTGTTATAAATCTTTTTCATTTTAACCATTCTATCAAGTATGTAGTGGTGCCTAATTGTTGTTTTATTTGCATTTCCTTGATGAATAATGATTTTAAGCACTTTTTCCATCTACCTATTGGCCATTTGTATATCTTCTTTTATAAAATGTCTGAGTTTTTGCCCATTTAAAAATTGTGGTTTTTTTTTTTAAATTACTGGGTTGCAAGAATTCTTTATATTTTATGGATGCAAGAATCTTCATTAGATATATGTGTTGTGAATATTTTCTCTTGGCAGCTTTCTTGTTTATTTTCTTGATGGTGGTTTCTGATGAAGAGAAGTTTTAAATTTTGATGAAGTCTAACTTATTAATCTTTTCTTTTATGATTTATGCTTTCTGGATCCTCCTTAAGAATTAACTGCTTACTCTGAGATCACAAAGATATTCTTCTAGCAGTTCTAGTAGCTTCATTATTATTTTAGCTCTTATGTTTAGGTCTGTGATCCATCAAGTTGGATTTTGTGTATAGTGTGAGACAACGGTTGATGTCCTTTATTTCCTATACGGATATTCAATTCTCTAAGCACCATTGGTTAAGGATATTTTCCTTTCCCCATCGAATTGTTTTGATACTTTTATTAAAAATCATTTGATTTTATGTGTATAAGTCTGTTTCTGTGACTCTCTATTTGATTCCAGTAGTTTATTTGACTATCCTTTCACTAATAGCCCATTATCTTTATTGCAGTTTTGTTTGTCTGAAAGTATCTTCATTTTGCCCTCATATTTTGAAGGGTATTTTTGCTAGATATAGAATATTTGCAGTTTTTTTCTTTGAGCATCTTAAAGATGTCATTCAATATCCTTCCAGCTTCTAAAGTTTTTGATGCAAAATCATCAAATCTTACTTTTTCTTCTTTGAAAGTCATGTGTCTTTATTCTCTAGTTGCTTTTAAGATTTGCCTTTTAGCTTTGGTGTTTGGCTTATTGACAAGGAAGTGCTTAGGTGTGGTTTTCTTTGTAATTATCTTGCTTGGGTTTGACCCAGCATCTTGAATCTGTACATTGATGTCTTCGATCAGTTTGGGAGGGTTCTTGATCATTAGCTCTTCCACTTTTGCTGCTGTCTTATTCTTTCTCTCCTCTGTTTGGGACTCCATTTACACATATATTCAAACTTTTGATTGTTTCTTGTATGTCTGATGTGCTCTGTTATTTCCATCCTTTTTTTCTCTGTGGGCTTCAGTTTGCATAATTTATATTCAAGCATGAACTTTTGAGTTCACTAATCCTGTCTAATGTTAAATCCATCCAAAGAATTTTTATTTTCAGATACTGTATTTTGCAGTTCCAGAAAGTCCATTTGCTATATTTATAGATTACAATTCTCTGACAAAGTTTTCTTTTTAACTATTTTGTTGCATTTTCAATTATCATATTTAAACATATTTGTAATAGTTATTTAAAATGTTTTTTCTGCCCTACAATATCTGAGTCATCTGTGGGTCTTTATTATCTTTTCATCTCCTGAGAAAGTGAGGTTATATTTTTCTGCCTTTTCACACAACTTATACATTTTTTTTTTTTTTTTGAGATGGAGTCTCGCTCTGTCGCCCAGGCTGGAGTGCAGTGACACGATCTCAGCTCACTGCAACCTCTGCCTCCTGGGTTCAAGCGATTCTCCTGCCTCAGCCTCCCAAGTAGCTGGGGTTACAGGCACATGCCACCACGCCTGGCTAATTTTTTGTGTTTTTGGTAGAGACGGGGTTTCACTGTGTTAGCCAGGATGGTCTCGATCTCCTGACCTGGTGATCTACCCACCTCGGCCTCCCAAAGTGCTGGGATTACAGGCATAAGCCACTGTGCCCGGCACGTTTTACCCTTTTCTTATTAGGCAGGTAAGGTAAGAGGCCAATCACAACAATATGATCAGAGAATAAACTAGATTGAGGTTGAATTGTAGTTCTGCTAGACTCAGTCTCTGGTTTGATGGAGAGCTTGTCAAGTCTACCTCCTCAGACATATCACACGACGGAACATTCATTTATGCCTCTTAGAGGTTTGAGCTTGGCTCTTTAGCTTCCCACTTAACACGACTTCAATTTTGGCAAATAGGAGAGCGGGACCAGCTGTGCGTTTGACACAAGTCCCCCTTCCTCTACAGATTGTTGTCTCCTAATTACTGTGAGGGTGGAAATTTTCACTTTGTTATTCTGTGTCCCTCCCACAGCCTTCCATGCCCCTCAGGCACTCGGCAAATGTTCCATGGGAAAAGCTGGCCATGCTTCAAGGGCTCTGTTCAATCTGAGACCCTACATCTTTAATTATGAGAAATAATTGGACATTGTGTCTTAAAATATTTTTCTGGTTATTTCTTTTTCTGAGACTCCTGTTAAATGGATGTAGGCCCTTATACTTTTATCATCCATATAACTTTTCTTTTTTTTTTTTGAGACAGAGTCTTGCTCTGTCACCCAGGCTGGACTGCAGTGGCACAGTCTCAGCTCACTGCAGCCTCTGCCTCCCGGGTTCAAGTCCCCCTGAGTAGCTGGGACTACAGGTGTACGCCACCATGCCCAGCTAATTTTTATATTCTTAGTAGAGATGGGGTTTTACCATGTTGTCCAGGCTGGTCTTGAACTCCTGACCTCAGGTGATCCACCCGCCTCAGCCTCCCAAAGTGCTGGGATTACAGGTGTGAGCCACCACAACGCCTGGCCCACTTTTCTTTATATTTTCTATTTTTAGACCTTTTCTGTTTTTTGTTTTGTTTTGTTTTGTTTTGTTTTGTTTTTGAGATGGAGTCTTGCTCTGTTGCCAGGCTGGAGTGTAGTGGCACAATCTCGGCTCACTTCAAACTCCGTTTCCCGGGTTCAAGTGATTCCCCTGCCTCTGCAGGCTCCCAAGTAGCTGGGGCTACAGGCACGTGCCACCACGCCTGGCTAATTTTTGTATTTTTAGTAGATGGGTTTTCACCATGTTGGCCAGGATGGTCTCGATCTCCTGATCGCGTGATCCACCCGCCTCAGCCTCCCAAAGTGCTGGGATTACAGGCATGAGTCACCTGGCCCCAATATTTTTGATTTTGGTGATTGTCTTCTGCCTGATCTTCCAACTCTCTAATTTATTTTTTGGCTGAATACATTCTGCTATTTACTCCATCTACTGAGTTATTTGTTGTAACGGTTATTAAATGTTGTCATTGCCAACATTTCTAGTTATTTTTAAATCATTGCTTATCTTGCTTGATATTTACAGTGTCCTCCCTTATGTCTTGGAGGATGTATATTGTCCTTATGGTAAATCCCTCTTCTGCCTAGTCTGTTCATACGACTTTTTAAAATTTTTTATTTTTTTGAGACAGAGTCTTGCTTTGTCACCCAGGCTGGAGTGCAGTGGTGCTACCTCGGCTCACTGCAAGCTCCACCTCCCAGGTTCATGCCATTCTCCTGCCTCAGCCTCCCAAGTAACTGGGACTACAGGCGCCTGCCACCACGCCCCACTAATTTTTTGTATTCTTTTAGTAGAGACGGGGTTTCACCGTATTAGCCAGGATGGTCTGAATCTCCTGACCTCGTGATCCGCCTGCCTCGGCCTCCCAAAGTGCTGGAATTACAGGCGTGAGCCACCACACCCGGCCCATACTACCCCTTTTGCTAGTCATTCATTTGGTGGTTGTTTTGGCTCTGAGTTCATCTTCCCTTAAAAGTGTCAGCTATCTTGGTGAATAATGTATACTCCGTGGGAAGGAGTGAGGTTAAAGACGGGGCTCCAGCTTTGGCTCCTCTAGGCAAAGGTATGAGGGGAGTGCCTCAGGGTGCAGAGCCTCTGGCAGCTATTCGCCATTTGCCACCTGTCCACAGACAAGCCAGAGTGAAGTGCCTCACCTTCCAGAGACCCTCTGCCCTAGTCGCTGCTCTTTTCCAAGAGCTGCCTCACTCTGCTTTGTCTTTTATCCCAACCAAGGGTAGAAGAGGAAGGAGAGGCTGCTCCATGGCTCCTGGCCAGCCTTCATCTATTGAATCTGTTTTCCACCAGCCAGTTCAGCTGGCCCCAGAATTGCCTTGAGGTTACCTTGCTATTTTCGGCTGGTGCTGTGTTGATATTTTCTGCCCACAGAGGTGAAAGGGCAGGCTACCCTCCACCCAGAGAAGTATGGGGGACAGAAAAGCAATAAGAAAGCCCTCTCCCAGATTTATATCGACCCATGACCTCTGGCTGTCACCACTCTAGGCTGCAGTGCTCAGCCGACTGGGACCCATCTACCTTTTGTTTCTCAGGGTCAGATTCTGGGTACATCATCCCTCTCTCCCTTATACAATATCTCTAGGGCCAAGTCTTGGGGAGGGAATCTGCAGTCCACTCCATCCAGCACCAAGATAAAAATCTGAAGCCCCATCTACTTTCTGTCTTCTAAAAATTCTCCAATATTTCTGGTTTGCTAATGGTTCTTCATTTTGTTTTCTAGCCCTGTTATGTTTTGATTGTTTTTAAAACTATTTGTTTCTTTTCTGCCATTTTCAAATATGAGAGCATGTTCTGAGACCCTCCCTTTTCTTCTTAAGAAGAATCCCCTTGGCCAGGTGTGGTTGCTCACGCCTGTAATCCCAGCACTTTGGGAGGCCAAGATGCGTGGATCACCTGAGGTCAGGAGTTTGAGACCAGCCTGGCCAACATGGTGAAACCCCGTCTCTACTAAAAATACAAAAAATTAGCTGGGCGTGGTGGCAGGCAACTGTAATCCCAGCTACTCGGGAGGCTGAGGCAGGAGAATCTCATGAACCTGGGAGGCGGAGGTTGCAGTGAGCCGAGATCACGCCATTGCACTCCAGCCTGGGCAACAAGAGAAAAACTCCGTCTCAAAAAAAAAAAAAAAAAAAAAAAAAGAAGACAAAGAAGAAGAAAGAATCTCCTACTTAGTAGAGGCAGTGATTCTTGTGCAACTTTGTAACTTTCATTCATCCCATTCACTCTTTCCTGTTTTCTTGTCTGTAAAATGGGAATAGAGGAGTAGGTGATGTTTGAGGGCCTTTCACCCTCCCCGTGCTGTGGCTCCAAGGATCAGGCCCAACTGTTGTTTGGCTCATTTTCTGCTGTACATTCTGCATTAGTTCAGAAACGTGAGTGGTGGCACCGCTTTCTTTCTAATTTCATTCTGGTCATTGGTATTCAGAGAGCAAAATGTAGAGCTGAAAAATGAAGATTGTTTCTTCTTAGAAAAACAAAAAGCACAAACCATCTACAGAAACCTGTTCCTATAATGAGCAGCTGAGGCAGGTGGACAGAAGATTGTCCTGAGAAATGTGAATGAACTTGCCTCCACGGAATGGGGTATCTAGAGTGGGGGATGGTGCGAGGGTTTTTTATTCCTTCCCAAAGCAAAAGCAGACTTCTAATCATTTTTATCTTGCACTCTGGCCTCTTTCAAATCCCATGAAGCCCCCCAAAGTTGCCAATGACTAATGTGAGACTATAACTCTCTAGGAAATAGGGATATCTCTGCCTCTGATGCCAGAAAACAAGGCAATAGACAGAATGACCTCCAAGAACCTTGCCTATCAAATACAGCATCCAGTCATGTCTCTTTGTAGAGGCAGAAACCATTCATGCTTCTGGGAAGAGCTAAAAACCATTTTGAGAAAGGTTGGAGGAGTTGAAAGGAACACTGGGATGCTGGCTTCCTCTTCACCTTCCACCATGATTGTAAGTTTCTTGAGGTCTCCTCAGAAGCTGAGCAGATGCCAGCTTCATGCTTCCTGTACAGCCTGCTGAACCGTGAACCAATTAAACCTCTTTTCTTGATAAATTACCCAGTCTCAGGTATTTCTTTATAGCAATTTGAGAACAGCCCAATATGCCATCCATGATTTTAGGTACTATAAAGCCATAGACTATTGGGCAAGGACTTCAGCTCGACCCTCATATACAGACAGGGAAATAGCCTGAAAGAGCTCAGAGACTTCCCTGATATCACCATAGTGAGTCAGTAGCTGAACTAGGAGTAGAACCCAAGGCCTCTTACTGCTGTGTAGGAGTCTGATACCTGTACCTGGATGCCTCAAGTAAGTTCCTGAAGCTTCTAAGCCCCCCACTGCTTTTGAAGGAAACGCTAGGTCAGGCATAGAATAAGGGCTAATTAAATGTTCAGTACTGTGGCAGATGCTGTGGATCCCCATTGTGGTTGAAGGACCTAGCCCTCCAGGTGCTAGAAAGACTGCAGGAAGACAGCTCACGGCTGTAAATCCTCTTTGGGAATTGCATCTGCTGAAGAAAGCAACCTGGATCAAAATAACTTCCCCCTTTCTAGAAGATCCACATCCAATGACTGATCTGTGCTTGAGTATTAAAGGCCAGATCTGTCCCTGACACAGGACAACTCGAAAGAGGTTGTTCCAGCTTCAGAGTGCCCCATGCGGTTGGCCAAGGTCTTTGCTGAGTCTATACTGTGGCCTAACTTCTCCCCTGCCCAATTCTATTTTTCTCCCTTTTCTTCCCCAGGTGTTGAGCCACAGAGCACTCCCTATTCTAATCTCAGAGTCTGCTTCCTGAAGAACCCATCCTGCCACACTTGGATTGAATTACAGTCATGAGAAAGCCTGAACTTGGGAAGGAGCCAGGGTCTGGTGGCTTCAGTCGTGGTGGGGGAGCAGCTGAAGAGAGATGGGTCATGAGGTGGGGCATAGACCCTGGACCTGGAGGCCTGGATTCCCGCCTCTCCACAGCAGCTCACCTGCCCAATTATGATTTTGCCTGCAACCCTCCAAGCAGAGCTGGGAGAGGCTGTGTGATTATTGCTGTTCCAATCACTGCTTAAAATCAATGTTATGTGTCCCAGAAGATCAATCTCCCCCATTTCTTAGAGCCATTCCCCTAAATCTTCACCCCTCTTCTCGGGCTCTGCTCACTCTCACCTCCCTCACTCTCAGCAGATGATCTTGCCTCGTACTGTCCTTTACAGAAAAAACGAAAATGAAGCCATTGGGAAGCTTTCATCAGTTTCACATCTCATATCCTTGTTACCCTATCCTCACCTCCTCCCATCCAGCCCAAGAAAGGGTGGTCTCCCCAGGCTCTGGGCCCTGCCCCTTTCTGCTTCCTTAGAGATCTCTGCATGTCAATTATCATACCCCTTCTCCCTCATGGGACTTACCTGTTTCCTCTCTCCTGCTACCTTCCCATGGGTACATAAATATGTTTAGGTCTCTCATCTGGAAAAAAGCACCAACCACAGATAGAAGAAAATATTTGCAAATTATATGTTTAACAAAGGACTTGTATCCAAAAATATACAAAGAAGTCTTAAAACTCAACAAGAAAACAAACAACCTTATTAAAAAATGGGCCAAAGACCTTAACAAATACCTCACCAAGGAAGACATTTAGGTGGCAAGTAAGCGTATGAAAATATGTTCCACATCAAGTGTCACTGGAGAATACAAATTAAAACAATAAGACATGACTACACACCTATCGAAATGGCCAAAATCCAGAACACTAACAACACTAAAAGCTGGTAAGGATGCAGAGGCACAGGAACTCTCATTCATTGATGGTGGGAATGCAAAATGGTACAGCCTCTTTAAAAGACTGTTTTTGGCAGTTTCTTACAAAACTAAACATACCTTTACCATAGAATCCAACTTCCTTTGTTAAATACCGAGGAGCAATCATGCTTCTTGGTATTTAACAAAGGAAGTTGAAAAGTTACACCCCAACAAAAAACTCTGCACGTGAATATTTATAGCAACTTCATTCACAATTGCCAAGGACATCCTCTTGTCCTTCAGTAGGTGAACAGATAAATAAACTGTGGTACATCCAGACCACAGAATATTATTCAGTGCTAAAAAGGAATGAGCTAGCAAACCATGGAAGGACTTGAGGAGACTTTAAATGCCTATCACTAAGTGAAAGAAGTTAATCAGAAAAGCCTAGATACTGTATGATTCTAGCTATGTGCCATTCTGGAAAAGGCGAAACTATGAAAACAGTAAAAAGGTCAGTGGTTTTCAGGAGTTGAGGGGAAGAGATGAATGAATAAGTAGAACACAGGATGTTTAGGGCAGTGAAACTACCCTATATGATACTGTAATGGTGGGAACATGTCATTATGTATTTGTCAAAACCCATAATTTGTATAACACTGAGAATGAACCTTCATGTAAACTACAGATTTTGGGTGATGATGATGTGTCAAGGTAGGTTCATTGATGGTAACAAATGTACCCCATAAATTGATTATGGGGGAGGCTGTACCTGTGTGGGACCAGGGGGTATATGGGAAATCTCTGTATCTTCTGCTCAATTTTGCTGTGAACTAAAACTGCTCTAAAAAATAAAATCTATTTTTTAAAACAACACCACAACATTTTCTATCCATGTACTTGTCAACTTCTGGTCTTTTCATTTAGCCACACTCATGCCACAAGCAGTTATTAAGCAATATTCTAGGTGCAGAAATACAGCAGTGGACAACAAAGTCATGATTCAAATTCTATGGAGGGAGATAGACAATAAATGCATAACCAAGTAATATATAATATTATCAGAGGGTAAATAAGTGCTAAGGAAAAAAAATCAAGCAGAGTAAAGAAGTTGGGGATGACCAAGGCTGGGGATAGTGGGCACCACTTTATATAGGGTGGTCAGGGAAGGCCTTCCTGGAAAGGTAACACTTGAACAGAGACCTGGAGAAAGTAGGGAATGAACTCTGTGGACATCTGGGGAAACAGTGTCCCAGTGAGAGGGAAGGGCAAGAGCAAAGGCCCAAAGGCAAGCATGACTGGTGTATTTAAGGAGCAGTAAAGGAAGCGAACGCAGAGTAGAGGAAGCAAGTGGGGGAGAGATGAGATCAGAAGGAAAGCACAGAGCCAGATCATGTAGGATCATATAGAACAATTGAAGGATTTAATTTTTACCCTAGAGAATTCTGAGCAGAGGAATGACTTGATTTGCTTGCATTTAAAGAGGTCACTGTAGCTGCTGTGTAGAAAGTAAACTATAGAGAGAAGTGGAAGGAAAGAGACTAATCAGAAAGCCACTGCAATACAGGTAAATGAGGATGGCTTGGATTAGGGTGGTAGCAGTGGAGACCAGAAAGGTGGTTCTGGTTCTGGATATATTTCGAAGGTAGGAGCCAGTAGGATTGTTGGTGTGGGTTTTGCAAGAAACAGAAAAATCAGCTGGGTATGGTGGCTCATGCCTGTAATGCCAGCACTTTGGGAGGCCAAGGCGGGTGGATCACCTGAGGTCAGGAGTTCGAGAGCAGCCTGGCCAACCTGGTGAAACCCCATCTCTACTAAAATACAAAAAATTAGCTGGGCCTGGTGGCAGGTGCCTGTAGCCCCAGGTACTCAGGAGGCTGAGGCATGAGAATCCCTTGAGCCCTGGAGGCGGAGGTTGCAGTGAGCCGAGATTGCTCCACTGCACTCCAGTTTGGGCTACAGAGTGAGACCCCATCTCAAAAAAAAAAAAAAAAAAAAAAAAAAGGAAAAGAAAAAAAGAAACAGAAAAATCAAGGATGACCGCAAGGTTTTTGGCCTGAGCCAAAAGAAGAATGAAGTTGCCATCGCCTGAGATGGGGAAGACTGCAGGATAAATGGTTTGTTGTTTGTTTTAGTGGCAGTGGGTAGGCAGGAGGATGAAAATCATGAGTTTGATTCAAGACAAGTTAGTGAAGATGTTGAGTAGGCAGTCGGGTATACAGAATTAAAAGATACAGTCCAAGCTGGAAACTTGAATTAGAGCGTTCTCAGCACATAGATAGTATTAAAGCCGTCAGACTGGATGAGATGACCGAGGGAATGGGTCTAGACCCAGAAGAAAAGAGTGTGAGTACTAAGTCCTGGAGTTCCTGTACATTAAGGGGTTGGGGAGAGGAGAAGGATCCAGCATAGGAGACTAGAAGGAACAACCAGCAAGGTGAGAAGAAAAGCAAGAACTTTCTGTTCTAGAGGCAGAAAGTGTTTCAAGAAAGGTAGTGAATGATTTGGAGACAGTGAAAAGATTGATGATGCAGGAGAGGAGAATTTCTGGCGTGATGTCCTTGAGTAGGCAAGTTGCGCAAAAGGAGGGCTGACCTGAATGGTAGCACAAGGAGGGAAGGCAGAGGGTGTGGCCCAGGTGCTCTTTTCTCTGCTCCCAGACCTGCTCTTCTTGAGGTGGCCTTCCCCTTCTGCCCCCTGCACTTGACCCATTTCCTGGTGCCAGACTCTGCAAGCAGCACTACCAGGGTAATTAGATCGATGTCTTCCCAAGTGTGTGTTGTCTTAGAGAAGGTCAGACCTGGGCAGGTCCCTGATGCCTTTCACTTATTGAGTTCTTCCCATCCTTCAAGGTCAGCTATAACCCAGCTCCTCTGCGAACCCTTCCCTGACCTCCACAGCCTCAGTCCACACAGCTTTCCCCTCTCCTTCCATCCCATTTCCTTCTTCAAGCTGGGCATTGAGGAGCATCCTTGGAGACCTAGGACAGGTGAGGACAGGAGCCCATTTCAGCTGCATTTCCACTTATCACCAGGAGGTGGCTCAGAGTAGCAAGTGCCTATGTCAACCATGATGGAAAGAACTTGGAAAAGGAGTAGGGAAGTTGGAGACTGTTAGTTCCTTTCTGGCTCTGCAGGCCGCTTGTCCATGGCGCTAGCCTGCTTCATTAGTCCTGTCTGCTGCAGGGCCGAGGAGGAAATTCTGATGCTCTCAGTGAGAAATGGTGGCTCAGGGCTGCAGAGGAGCTTTAGGAGGACTCTGAGAGGAAAAGGCCCAGAACGGTTAAGCTACCTCCTCCCGCCACATGGTTAGTTTGTGGCAGGGATGAGAGGTGAGTCCTGGTGTCCTGGTTTTCAGCCTGCTGTACTGTCAATGCCCCTTCCCGCCAGCCAGGGTCAAGCATTCACTCCAGAGTTCAAGCCTTCATTCAGCTATAGCATCCCAGGTGGGAGTGAGGGAGCATGAGTGAGGAGCCTGGAGGAGAATGAGCCAGAGTTCCTGCCCTAAGGGAGCCCTCAAAGTGCCTGGGGAGATATGACATGTGGCTTGGGCCAAGTGGAGAACACTGTGGGCAGCACACATCAGAACAGACCAAGGCTGAAGCTGGCACCTGCTCCTTGGAGGAGGCTTAGGGAAGTAAGTGGATTGGTCCAGTTTGAGAGGACAACCTCTGATAGACTCCCTCCTCTTAAGCTGGGAGGAACTGGACTACATGAATATTTATGGAGGGGTGGAGGGTGATGGAGACGGGCCACATTTTGACAGCAATGCTGACCCTAAAGAATAATGAAGGGCTGGTCAAGGAACTACTAGGGTGAGGGGAGAAACTCCAGCTGGAGTCACTCCTCAGAAGCCACACATCTGGCTGCACATCTCCCTGAGTGGACGGCATCAGTGCTGCTGCTCAAGTTCCTGTTTGGAAACCCAGAGCCCATCCCTGTTTGCCTGTGAAGGTGCCAGGTTCCTGCAGAAAGTCTGCTTATAAAGGATTTCTTTTGAAGTTATGTTTGTGATGGTCTCATCAAGAAAACTGAGGAAGGAACAGGAGCCACACATGTCATTTAGCTGAAAGTCCTGTTTTAAGAAAACAAACGCAAGGTTGTATTCATGAGCAACTGCTAACCACAATAATGGAAGAAGCAGTTAAGCTAATAAGATATAATACCCCATACTTCATGTAGTAACCTTGGGAGAGGTAGGCCAGTGGGCAGGAAGCCCCATGTCTGGTGGCAGAAGCAGGGTGGGAAGGAAACTGCAAGAGAACTGAGCCTTGGTCACTGACTGAGGATGTTGCGATTCACACATCCTGCTTCGTGGCCTGGATTGTCTCGAACTGGGTTCTTCCCTAGCACCAGTAACCCAAGTGGAGACCTAGCAGCAGCCAAGACATGTTCCCAAGAAGGGTCACTTTCACTGCAAAATGCCTATCTCCAGGAGAAGAGGGGGAGTGGACTGAGAGAAGCCAGGGAGAGAGAAAGGGCAGGGATTTGCAGTCAGTTGTCCTGCCTCAGGGATTAGGGTTGACATGAAGAACTGCAGGTTAAGAGTGCTCCATTAAGGAAGATTAGATAAACTGTTCTCACCACTGGGGCAGTTAAACCTTCCCTTGAGTCCCTTTGGTAAGGTGCCCTGAAGATGCCTAGGCATAATGTCACAAACCCAGCTGAAAACGAATACCACAAAGAGACCCTGTGACTCTGAAAACAGCAATATTTGCACTTAAGATTCAGCACCTGGCTTACTCCTGTAGTCCTAGCTACTAGGGAGGCTGAGGAAGGAGGATTTCTTGTGCCCAGGGGTGAATTCAAGGCTACAGTGAGCTACAATTGCACTACGGCACTCTAGCCTGAGTGACAGAACAAGATCCCGTCTCTTAAAAAATAAAAATAAAATAAAAAAGGATTAAACTCCTGGATTGAAATTCAGATTTCTGGATTCCATATGGTTTATCCACTATCTTCCTTAAGAGGGCCATCACCACTGGCTTGTGAGGCAGGGCCCCTTGTTCTCCAAGCCAGGGGCACTCGATCTTATTCATCTAGCAGGAACCCTTAGTTGTTCTGGTCAGTGCCTGCTTCTCTGAGCCTGTCTTGGGGCAAGCCTAGGAGCAGGGCCAGGACGAGCATGAGGTACCTGCACCTATGATGCAAAACTGAAGGAGGTGCTCACTTTCAGGTCAGCGCAAGGGTGGAGCCTGTTCAATTATTTGCATGTGAGAGCTATTAGAAAAAAACAACTCCCAATGAGATAGAAGAGTTCCCCTGGTAGCATGGTGCTGTTTTTAGTTTGTTCTGTTGTTTTGTTGTTTTGTTTTTTAAACTCTGTACAACCCTCCTATTTGGAGGACCTGCCACCTTCCTTCCGACTCACCAGCAGCAGGACACAAACTCTGAAATGGCTTCCCGGTATTGGGAGTGTTGTCAGCCAAGATTATAGTAAAGAAATTGGAAAGGGAAAGGGGATTGAATGGTTCAGTTTCACCGGGGATGGGGAGGAAGACAGATAATGGAAAGGGTGAACAGGGAAGAAGAGCAGAGGCTGGTGAGTCAGATAGAAGCAGCTAGTTAGAAAAGACTGCTTAGAAGCTCTTTCGTTATGTTGTTGTGTGTGTATTAGGGCCTTAGGGTTACGGAGTGTTCCCAGGCGATCCTCCCTGGAGGACCTGCTCCTCTTTCATTAGGCTGCTCCTGTTATTTTGCTTGCCAGATGCTTCCAGCTGGCAGTAGTTGGTTCTAGACATTTGAAGCCTATTCCAAGACTCAATTCCCAGGACTAAGAAACTAGGAAGCCGGAACCTGCAGTGGTTGCTATGCACCATATTCAGTTTTACACCGGATTCAGTCATTTGAGAGAAATGTGGTTGCCTTAAGTCTAGGCTGGATGGAATGGTTCCTGATGGCACCCTATGAGTCCTAAGTGAGTGGGCAGAGTGGAGTGCGGGTGGGTGGCTTTTGCCAAGACATCAAGGATTTGAGGCCTAAAAATGCAAACAACTTGGGAAGTAATATGCACCAACCAGCCTGAGGGAAGGGAGGCCAGTGCCAAGGTATTGGCTTAGTGTCGCAGGGATCCTCGATAAAATCCCCAATCGCCACTTGGGCCTTAAATCCCTGACACTGCCAAGAATTGATTTTTGTTTCTTATGGAAGCAGTCAAAATGAATACATTTTCAGTATCATTCTTAGGAGAGGCATCTCAATGTTTCTGAGCCGCTTTCTATGAGATGGACTGCTTAGCTGCTCTAAAAAGACAGAAATATCTCCATAGCTTACACTGTACAGTTTGCATTATCTAAGTGTATTTAAATAGATGAGAGAGACACTTTCCCTTTTGCATGTCAAAGGAGGCAAAAGGAAGTTTTCTCCTAATTTCAGTCATAATTTCTGCCCTGAGGAAAGTTATAATGTTCTACTGTATGGATACACCACATTTTGCCTATCCATTCATCTGGAGATGTAGACACTTGCGTTGCTTCCACATTTTGCCTATTGTGAGTAATGCCACTAAGAATATGAGTGTACAAATATCTCTCTGAGACCCTGCTTTCAATTCTTTGGAGGTATGCCCATAAGTGGAATTGCTGAATCATATAGTAGTTCTATTTTTATTTCTATTTTTTGAGACAGAGTCTCACTTTGTCACCCATGCTGAAGTGCAGTGGCATGATCTCAGTTCACTGCAACCTCCGCCTCCTGGGTTCAAGTGATTCTTCTACCTCAGCCTCCCAAGTAGCTGGGACTACAGGTGAGCGCCACCATGCCTGGCTAATTTTTGTATTATTATTATTTTTTTAGTAAAGATGGGGTTTCACCATATTGGCCAGGCTGGTCTTGAACTCCTGACTTCAGGTGATCCTCCCGCCTTGGCCTCCCAGAGTGTTGGGATTAGAGGTGTGAGCCACCTTGCCTGGCCTATTTTTAATTTTTTGAGGAACTACCAGACTGGTTTCCATAGCTCAAGGCTGCTCCTTTAACAAGCTTTCCCCAAAGCCTCAATCAGTGAGTTTCATTTCCATCTCATTTGCCACACTGGGTCACGTGACTGCCTCTAGCTGCAAGGGGGTCTGAGAACCCACGTATTTTCAACTAGGCATAGAACTTCTTAGAACAAATGCTACACTCTGTTGGTAAGGAAGAAGTAGAGAATTAATTTTAGTGGACAACTAGCAGCCTAAGGGCAAATGAGAACACTGAAGGGCTTCAGGTAAGCAAGAGACATTGTGGGAGGATTTGCGCTTTAGAAGGCTCTCTCTGGCAGCTATGGACTGAGGAGTCACAGTCAGCAGAATTAGTTAAGAGGCTTCAACAACAATCCAGTGAGGAGTGATGGGGGTTCAGATGAGGATGGTGTGGCAGTAGGGTATTCAGGAAAGGGAGGGATTCCTAACATATTCTAGGGCACCCCTTCAAGCCTGCCTGGATATTGGCAGTGGGAAGTGGGGGGAAGTGGGAGGGAACGAGGGATGAGTCCAGGTTTTGAGCATAGTCCTTCCTGTATATCTAGAAGGGGAAACAGGTTTTGGGGACATGTGATAATTCAATTTTGCACATGTTGAATTTGAGGAACCTGCAGGATGGTAGGTAGATAAAAAGTGGGATAAGGCTTGTCCCAATCTGGGTCTTTTGGGATTGGTTTGTGACCTCCTTGGGGAACTTGAAGCAAAACTGGAGATAGCACATTCTGAGTCATCTACTACTGTGCTGACCTAGGAAGCAGGTTGTGGGGAGGTGGGGGGTGGGAGGGATAGAGGTGAGAGGGGTAGGGCTGCTGTCCAGAAAGAATGCATGAAGACAACCTTCCATCCTGAGTTTTTCTGGTTCTGACGGGAATCTCTGTGTAGCACCTCCATTCCTGAGTTCCCAGGGACAATCAGGCAAACATTCTCTGAACCAAGGAGACCCCTGCATGATGGGATGGTCATTCTAGCTATCTGTGTCCAGATCCAAGTGTCTGAGTCTCAGATGAGCTGGTCCTACACATGTGCTATCTGTGCCCTGCCCAAGCTGTTTCCCCCTCCTAGGGGATCAGAGCCCTCTCAATCTGCTGCTTCCAGGAATGAGAGCCAATACACATTTCCTTCCCTCCTGACCTCTGCTCTTGAATGATTATTTTAAAATCTCCCCCCATAGACACACTATAAACTGCTCTGTGATGTTCCTTCACTGTCCACCATGGCTGAGTCATGCCAGATTATAAATCCCTTAGGACAGGACCAGCGTCACCACCGCAAGGCACAAGGCACAGGACTGACTCTTTGTGAAGGGAAGGAAAGTAAGTTTCTCTAGATCTGTTCAATGCCACCTCCAGGGTCCTGCAGCAGGGCTCCTAGCTCCCTCAGCCCAAGGACACCTCTCCATGTGATGCTACTTCCCCAGGTTGCTGGGCCAACTGGAGGCTACTCATCCTGAGACCTGTAAGGCCAGACCCAGGCTGGACGAGGCTGGTCAGGGCCTGGCAGGGCAGTGGGGAGCAGCGTGGAATGGTCCAGAGTTCCTGGAGGTGGTCAGGGACAAGACAGCTGGGCCTCTCTGCTGTCATCCCTAGGAGCAGTCAGCAATTACACAGACACAGCTGCTGTGTGATTCAAAGACACATATGCACGTAGACTCAAATACAGAGTTGCTTGAATGTGTTCACAAATATACACACCCGGCCGGGCGCGGTGGCTCACGTTTGTAATCCCAGCCCTTTTGGAGGCCAAGGCGGGTGGATCACAAGGTCAAGAGATCGAGACCATCCTGGCCAAAATAGTGGTGCGCACCTGTAATCCCAGCTACTCTGGAGGCTGAGGCAGGAGAATCGCTTGAACTCAGGAGGCGGAGGTTGCAGTGAGCCGAGATTGAGCCACTGCACTCCAGAGCCAGACTCTGTCTCAAAAAAAAAAAAAAGACAAAAACCCCCCACAAATATACACACCCATGCACCACCACCCCTACCCATACACCACACGCACACTTAAATTCAGAGGGCAAATCCCGGTTCCTCCCTTCATAGCTATGTGTCCCCAAGTTACTTAATCTCTTTGTATCTTAATTTCCTTATTTCCGATCTGTAAAAATGAGAATAATGGTATTCACCTCAATGAGTTGTTGTGAAGATTAAATGAGATAAAATGGTAAAGAGCTTACAACAGTGGCAACACATGCAGAGAGACGCACATGTTTTCATACTCATTTCCCAAGCCCTGCCCAGTACTGCCACTGGCACTGGTGGTGAGCCTGGCAGCAGTACAAGGTTGGAGTCCCTTCATCCCTTTGAGCCTTGGTTTTCTCATCTGTGAAATGGGAATAATAATATCTAGCCGGCGGGGCTGTTTGGAGGAACTAAAGAGGCCCAGCATGGAAAGCTCCTAACCTAACTCTGGCCCACAAAAGTCTCCCTACGTTTTAGCTGTCACTGTCCCTGTGAGGAAGAACAGATCCAAGAACAGGTGCAGGGATGGGCTGCACCACAGCAAAATCTGGACAGGCCCGACCCCCATCTCCTCCCAGGCTGGAGCGGGGCCCTGTAAGGACAGAGCCCAAGGCCACTAGGTGTCAGGCCTGTTGGAGCCAAGTCCGGCCAGCAGTCTGGGGTGGGGCTGGGGGCAGGGCTGGTCGGATGGCCGTGGGTGGAAGGAAAAGAGGAAAACCAGCTCAGTGGAAATTGTCCTGCGGTTGGCTCAGGCGCCCACGACACTGTATTTATAGAGAGCTCCTTGCAGCTCTTAATTCCTCGCAGTCGAGTTAACCCTTTCTGGGCTGTGGTGCCAGCATGGTGTGGAGGAAGAACCCAAGACTGGGGTTGGACAGCAGGATTCCAGCCCTGTTCTGCCGCCAGTCGATGACCAGTCAGTCACCTATCCCCTCTCGCAGAAAGGAAGATTCGGCTCTTGGAAGTGTGGGAACGGGGTGGGGGATGGGCAGCGCCCTGCTCCGGGAGCCGAGGGTTTTCCCCGCCAGGGTCAGGCCTGGGGGCGGGGCGGGGCGGGGGCGGGGGCCAGGCCGTGTGCTCTGCCCAGCGGGCTGGCTCAGGCCTCGGTCAGCAGCCGCCACCGCGGGGCCAATCCGGCCTCAGGGACGCACCGGAGCCGCCTTTCCGGGCCTCAGGCGGATTCTCCGGCGCGGCCCGCCCCGCCCCTCGGACTCCCCGGGCCGCCCCCGGCCCCCATTCGGGCCGGGCCTCGCTGCGGCGGCGACTGAGCCAGGCTGGGCCGCGTCCCTGAGTCCCAGAGTCGGCGCGGCGCGGTGAGTGCTGGCGTGGCGCGGGCGGCGCGGGGTGGGGCGGCCTTTGTCTGCTGCGGGCCGGGCCTGGATCCCGCGGAGGTCCGCACGTTCCCGCTCAGGGCTGCAGGAGCTGAGCAGGGCGCCTTCCCTCCGGGCTCCTGCTCCCCTGCCCTCCCCCAGGTCCGGGCGGCCCCCCTCGCACAGGAGTCCCGGGAACCGCGGGCGCCCCTCCTGCCCTGGGCTGTGGGGCCCGCGGAGAGCTGGGGGCTCCCGGATCCTACCCCGCCCCCCTTTCCTCGGGTTGAGAGGGGCCCGGGCGCCGTCGGACCTGCAGACCCCGGAAGCTGCGGACCGGGCCGGGTGGGTGAATGCGCTTTTGCAGGCCCCGGGTCTGGAGCGGGCATGGGGGCAGATCTGTCCCGTGTTGAAGCTTAACGAAGCCACCGGCCGGCGCTGGGAGGTTAGCGGGGTCTCGGGTCCTGCAGAGGAAAACGCCCAGCTCCGGGAGGGGAGCGGCGGGGAGGGAAGGCGAGTGGTTAGGCGTGTCCACTCTGCAGGGCCCAGCAGGGCGAAGGTGTGGGCGACTGGTGCACTTCCACAGGCAGCCGTGGGCAGCATGAGGGGTCAGATTCCGGGAAGGACAGGTAGAGACGGCTGGCAGGGGCCACGGGGTGAATAGGTGTTGGGGGTGGGGAGGGAATTGGGATGGGCAGTTTGGGCTTGGGAAGCCTCAGGGAGGTGGGGGGTGAGGTGGGATGGAGAGGAGATGCGGGCGACGGTGGAGGGAGGTGGGGACCCCGAGTGGGGGCACACTAGAAGGGAGGGGATTGAATTCCAGCGCCCAGGGCCCTCCCTGCGACCGTTTAGCTAGCGAATTGGCAGGTTTGGCAGCCTAAGGCAGGGGATTTATTTCTAAGCCAAACCTGCTCTAATGAGAAAAGCGTGATAGATGACTCAGATATGGGATCTATCACTGAGGGAAAACATTAAGCAAATAGTAAAGCAAAAAAGATTTGTGTGTGTGTGTGTGTGTGTGTGTGTGTGTGTGTGTGTGTGGCGGGTGGGGGGGTGTTAGTTGTCTTAATTTAGAAAAACGATTTACCTTCAAATTGGATGTGGATAATTGTAAATGAGTCTGATCTCTTCATTAAAGCCCGGGGTCCTTTTCTTATAAGCATGTCTTCAGCAGTTAGTTTCTATATTAGAAAGTAATGAAGCTGCTTTGTCTTTAAGAGAGTTCTTTATTTAGTGCGGCCTCCTCTAGTTCCCTCTGGCCTCCCAGAAGTCCCTAGGAAATCTGATGCTGTGCAGCCTTCCTTGTAGTGTGGGGGACTGCAAATAGGTGGGACAGTTTGAGGCTGAGGGGAACTGAAGTCTAAACTTGAAGTCTAAACCTGTCCGATGGGTTGAGCTGATCTGAGTGCAGGGCAGGATGGAGGGCTATGGGGCTGTAGGGTATGAAGTGGCTCATTTCAAGGGAGTATTTTGGGTGAGTACATTTTCCTGATATCTGGAGTTCTTGAGATTAAGCACTAACACTTAGGGTAACTGTTGACCGTGGAAATTTACATACGTCACCGTCAGCTTACTGGAGTATCCTGATGTGAATGAAATTTTCCTTCATGACTTTGGGTCAGCCCTGTGGACCTCAGTTTTTGTTCTGAGGGGTTGTATGGCAAGGGGACGCTGGCGGGAGAGAGCTTCGTTCCTGCATTAAGTGGCCTCAGTGATGCAGTCAGGGTCCCATGACTGACCTTTGGAGTTCTTCCATGTCCTTATGGCATTACTGGTGGTTTCTCCTGCCTGCAGTAAGCTTTCCAGCTTACTCTAGACTCCTGTGCTGTGAGACATGAGCTTGTCAGAGGTAAGGAGCCTGTGTTAATGCAAGTCTCAGGTGAGAAGGGGTGTTGGAATCTGAGGACCCTGTTTTCCTTCCTGTCCCCTCTTCAGCTCTGTCCAGGCACCACCCGATGGAGGGTTGGCTGAATGTCTCATGTTCATATACCTGACAGCTGGCTTCGGTGCTTTAATATTTATGGAAAGGACAGTTATAGAAGTGTGGTCCCTTCAAAGTAGTCCTCTGGGGTGTCTGTGTCCTTATTAGGTTGACTTCTGAAACTTCCTGTGAGAATTCCATCATTAAACTTTGGCTTTCTCTGGAGGGGTAAATCTTTGTTCTTTGGAGTAGGATTTGAGTTTGACAAGGAGCTGGACAATGCTGTTTGGAGTCAGAGATGCAGTGTGATAAGAGAGCTGTGAGTTGGAATTCCACAGCACCTAAAGAGACTCCTAGAAAATGTTGTAGAACAAGTGGCTGGATGGTACTTGGTTGCACATACGGGGTTTGGGGTCTGTGCAGAAAAATGACCAAATCCAAGCAGCCTCTGAGATTATGACCACATGGGGGCTGTTAAGCTGTGGATCTGAGTCATAGGGTCAGGGAAAGAGGAAAAATGGCAAGGAGGATGACGTTACTGCCCATGAGCTTATCCTCTGAGTGGGTGGCGACTTCTCATTGTCCTTTTCCCACATCCCCAGGGCAGGAGTGTTAGGGAAGTCCACCAGCAAAAGGGGGAGGGCACACCCAGGGCCTAGGGGAGGGGGAGAGGGGTGAGGACTGGTCCACATGATTTTTGAGAAATTGCCTTTGGTCTTGTTGGCTCAGAATGGACCCCACACCTGGAAGGGGGCCACGTGTACAGTTATGCAACCCTTGCCTGCCACCCCCAGTTCTACCGCCCTTGCAGTGTGCCAGATAGGAGCATTGGGTTTTCAGGTTTGGGAGTGGGTAGGGTTGTGCTGGAGGCTAAATAGACATTATCTCATGTAATCCTCATAGTAATCCTATGAGGTAGGGTATCATTAACACCATTGTACAGTTGGGGAAACTGAGGCCCAGAAAGGGTAAGTCACATGCCCAAAGACACACAGCCGGCAAATGGTGGAGCTGGGCTGTTGTCTGCTTCCAGAACTGGCTTTTTCTGCTGCTCTGGAGGTAGGCACAGGTTTTACCCCTCTTTCTGGAGCCCGGTAAGATGTGCCAAGGGTCTCCTTAGTAAGTCAGGGAAGACTCATCTGGGGAACCAGAGAAGGGGCAGGCCTGACCTGGGTGACCCAGTGACTAGTGGCCTTCACAGCATAGTCAGGGCCTTTGCTGAGAGTTCTTCTCTTCCAGAGCCCTGGACTTTATCATGCTGGGGCTTCCAGGAGTTCCCCCTCCACCCTCCAGTTCTGACCAGTGCTCCCAGCCAGCTGCCCCCTTTCTCCCTTTCTTTCTCTTTGTGGTCCAGAGAATGAATGCCTGCTCCACACACCTTATGCCATTGGGAATCTGACCTTCTCTAGGCATAGGGAGCTTAATCTGCGGGAAGTGGAGTGAGAAGCATTTCTTGCTGGGAGCCTTGGAGCAGGGAGAGATACTGTCTCTGGGAGGCAGGGGTCCCAAGTTACCCTAGAGGCAATGCAGGCTCCTAGGAACTGGGGCTGCCTTGTGGGAGACATTGGAATGTGTCCCTGTGGGAATGCTCTGTGCTAGGGGCTATGGCAGCAGGACGGTAGGAGCTCATGGTACTTGGAACTGTGACCAAGCATCTGCGAAGAGGAAGGGGCCCAGGACCACTAGAATGAGTCAGAGCCAGAGATGGAGTCGAGTTGTGCATTTGCTACTTTGGAGCTGGGGCACTGATAGGGCTCTAGGTGAAAAGTAGGGATACAGAAGGAGTAATGGTCCCAGAGGCCCAGATGTGTGGCCTGACAGAGGAGGTCTTGGCCAGGGAGAGTGGGGTAGGGGCAAAGTGTTCGCTCAGTGCAGAGGCCCCATCTAGGAGGCCTTGTCCCCATGCTTGCGGCAATAATAACAGCAATAATAATAATTATTACTGCAGTTTTGGTACTGGGCACTTTCCTAAGTCCTCTCTCTCTATTGTCTTATTTTATTCTCACAGCAGCCCTGTGGGGTAGGGATTGTTACCCCCATTTTAGAGATTTGGAATTGGGTCTCAAATAGGTTAAGTCATTTAAACTTGGTCATGTGTTCAGCAAGGCATCGGTGTCAGGATTGAAACCCAAGGCTGCTGGCTTCTGAGCTCATGCTGTACCCTGGGCAGGCAAGGCAGCCTGGTGATTCCATTCAATAAGTGAGGAAGAGAGATAGGAGCATCAGCTGGCTCTTAGTCACTTCTGCTGGTGGCTGATAATTGAGTGTGGGCCCTTGGCCAGCCGGCCACCACTCTGGGTCCAGATTTCCATCTGTACAATGGGCCTGGAGCTAGGCGCTGGACCAGGTGTACCGTAAGAGGCCTTCTAGCTCTGAGGACTGGTGGAGATTGCTACACTCCGAGAGGGGTCTGGTGCTTAGATGGAGAGGGGTCGGCAGAGTTGTTCTGCTAAGCTGAGCCTCTTTCAGGGTAGAAACCAAAGGAATTTGGAGGCAAGGAGGCATTTAGGCAGATCACATCTGGAGAAAATGCACCCTTCCTTGAGTGCAGTCTGGAAAGGCTTCTGGAAAGGATAGGATTTCCAGATATGTTTAGGTGGGCACCTAGCAGGACTCAGCAGATATTGAGTGAATGCAGATGTGTGTGCCCTGGGCCTGCCAGTGTCTGACCCGAAATCTGCGCTCTGATGTGGTCTCATGTGCTCTCATCCCTTTCCTTCCTCTCCCTATTCTCCTTGTTGCCATCCCTTCTTTTGGCTGGACCTCCTCTGGGCCCAATGTAGCTTTCACTTTTTTCAGGGCTCTGTGCCTCCTGTGTGTGTGTGTGTGTGTGTGTGTGTGTGTGTGTGTGTGTACACATTTCCACATGCATGTATAGGTCAGTTTTGCAGCCCCTGCACATGCCTCTAGTTCCAGGGAGACCTTAGCCCTGCTTTGCTGGCCAGCCCTGATGACATACTACTGTCCTGACTCACACAGAAATCGCTTGGAGAGGAAGAACTGATTCCTGCTCTTGGGTGGGATCACGGGACTGGGGAGTGGTGCCCAGTGGACAGCCTTGAACATAAAAGGCCCAAACTGACTCAGATTATCAGGAAAAAGGAAGGCAAACAGGGAGGCTGTTCCCAGGGAACTCTAGGGACCCTCCCATCTCTTTTCTGAGGCTGCTGCCCATTTATAGAGCACCTAGTATTAACTAGGTCAGTTTTGATAATTTTGCTCATTGAGTCCTATAATCATCCTATGAGGGTAAGGTTTATAATCCCCATTTTACAAATGAGCAAACTGAGGCTCAGAGAGGATATTTTCATAAAGTTTCATTACTAGGAAGTGACAGAGTCTGGATTTGAACCTGTCTCTCCAACTCCAAAGTCATCTTCTTAAACACTAGTGCTAACTTCTTCCATGAAGCTTCTTGTGATTACACCAGCCCAACATGCGATATGGTCACAGCATGGGATGGTGGTCAGGACCCTTTGATGGTTGAGGAGATGAAGACCCAGAAAGGCAAGGGGTTTGGCCTAGGGAGCCTGGCAAGTGAGTGACAGAGCCTGGTCTAAAGTCCAGGATATCTCTGTTGTTGCTGTTTTCCTTTTTTCGTTAATTGCAAAAGAATTTACATGTTCATAGTTAAAAACAGAGAAGTGTATCAAGTAGAAAACAGTAGCAAACTCTCACCCTTATTCTGACACTCCAGAGTTGCATTCACTCTCAGGCATCCAGATCCTTTCCCCATATACAAACATCCATCCATCCATATATCTATCCATCTCTCTATCTAAACACACATGCATTCATTCGTTCACTCATTGAATCGTGCATTGAGAACCCATTATGTGCCAAGCCATTGCTAGAATTAAGGATGCAATAGTTAAATAAAGCAGATGTGGTTCCTTCTCAGGGAGGTTCTCATATATCATGAAGAAAACAGACTGGGTGCAATGAATGACAGGGTCCTTCTTAGAGTGGCAGATCTCTTACCTGGCTTTTCTGTCAAGGTGACCCTCAGAATATGGAGGTGTTACCTTTTATCTTAGTCCATGTTTTACTGCTATAACAGAATACCACAGCCTGGGTAATATATAAAGAAAAAAAGGTTATTTGGCTTGTAGTTCTGGAGACTGGGAAGTCCAAGGGCATGGTGCTGGCATCTGGCGAGGGCCTTCTTGCTGCATTATCCTATTGTGGAAGGGCATGTGAGCGTGCAGTACAGACAGTATGGGGGCAGCACTTACGCTTTTATCAGGAGCCCACTTTTCCTGTGATAACAGCATTAATCTCTTCACTTCTTACAGGCCCCACCTCTTAATACTGTTACAGTGGCAATTAAATTTCAACATGAGTCTTAAAGCACCCATGTCATCTAGGAAGAAGAAACTGTATTTGCAGCAACACTGTGAGGTAGGAAAGGGAGTCCTATGTTGTAGGAACTGGAAGCAGCCCACTGTGGTGAGGGGCAAGTAGGAAGAGGTGAGGCTGGGCAGGTGGGCAGGGCCAGGGCAGATGGGGCTCTGTAGGCTATGGAGGAGCTGCGATCTTATCACAAGGAAAGTGAACAGCCCTATGATTAACTATTGAAGGCAGTGATATAATTTATGCTTTTATATTAATAGCAATTATTCTGGCTGTTGTATAGAGTATAGATTGGAGAACAGAATTGGGTGGGGGAACTAGAGAAGGTGAACAGACTGGTGAAGAGGCTTTTATAGTTATCCAGGCAAGAGATGATGGTGACTTGGAAGACCAGGAAGAGAAGCAGGGGTAGAGAGAAATGGAGATAGTGAAGATATAGCAGACATATTTGAGGAGTCCTTCAGTTACAGATAATAGAAAACTAGCTCAAGCACATTTAAGAAAAAAAAAAAAGACTTGTTTAAGTACCTAGGCAGTCTATGTGTGCAGCTTGCTTCAGGAATAGGGGCTTAAATGATGGTTTTAGGGCTCTATATCCTTCTAGCTTCCATCTCTGCCTCTGTTCATTTGTTTGGATCAATTCTTTAGATTGTTGGTAGCAGACACATTTATTGCTAACAGTCCCAGACCGTATCCTTCTTAGTAATCTCAACAAGAAAGAGTCTTTTTTGATGGCTGCAGCAGCAAGGCTCTGGGGAAGTCTCTGATTGGGTGTGGCTTGGCTTACAGCTCATTCTCGAACTAATCACTGAGTGGGGGCAGGGCAGGTTTCTCCATGAGCCAGGTCTTGTAACATGCCCAGGCCCTAGGCTGGGAGGACAGCTCCACCAGTACAGCATGGACTGGGCTCCCTGCAGGAGTGCGGAGCCTTGCTACCAGAAGGGGCCAGCATAGACCAAGAGAAGGGCACTGTAGAATAAAGGACATGGAGCAAAATAACTGTGTTAAGACTAGCTACCAAAGACGGAGACGATCTGCTCGGCATTGAATTTGCCTCTTTGTCAAGGAAAGAAGGAGCAGAAGATGTTAAGAAGGAATTGAAGTTTAGGCCATACGGGGAGGTGCTCATCTGTTTTAACTGTATTTGTCTTCTGGCCCCTGGGATTGCCTGTCCTGGTGTGGGGTGAACTTGGAGACAGAATCTCTGAGAAGCTGTCAGGGATATTTCAGGCCAGTCTAGGGTAGAAGAGGGTTGGACACGTGGGTCACAGTATTCCACAGTTTCCTGCTGTGCACAGATTCAATCCGAGTCCCCATCTACGTCCCTCACTACCTCCCTTGCCTCCTCTCCTGAGTCTCAGCCTCTCCTGGAGTCCCATCTTCCCAGAATATGCTGTGGACATCTCCTCTTCTGTGACTTTTCATGCTGTCCCCTCCGCCAGATAGCCGAGATGTCTCCTCCTCTGTGCAGTCCTTACTGAGCCTCCCCAGCCCCCAGTGAATGGCTTGACCCTTTCATCCAGGTTTAAGCCTACTGCCTCGTCCATTCCCACAATACCTTGTATAAATGTGTACCAAAAAACTGGTCATATTCTATTTTAATGATATATTTGTTTCCTAAACCTTTTTTCTATTTTTAATATGAAAATGTGGGATTTTAAATATGCCATTTAGCAGCTCTGTAATCTTGAGCAAGTTATTAAATCTCTCCATCCCTGAATTTACTCCTCGGTGAAATAGGATAATAATAGTACCTACTTCACAGAATTGTTGGGAAGCTTAAATGAGTTAATATGTGTAAAAGCATTTAGAACAGAGCCTGGTGCATGGCTTTCAACAAAACTGGCCTATGTTATTATTATTTGATAAAAGCAAAATAATATATATAACATGGGTAACTTTTGAAGCATAATAATAAACATACCTCCCAACTTGAGAATGAGAACCCCTGTAGTTGAATATTTATATGTACGATTCTTCATCTCCATTCATATTGCATGCATGGCCAATGCCTGGCATGTGGATCATGAATAAGCATTTGTTGAATGAATAAATGAACAAATGCCAGAAGACTTGAGACAGGGAAATAACCAGTTTTATGGGGAAGATGGTAGATTATGGGAACAACAGATCGATAATCTTGTTCTTAATCCTTGACAAAGTCCTGGAACCAATGAGCACTTGAAGAAGAGCCCACTAGTAGGCACTTGCATGGCTTCACTGGGGTTTTGAAAATGCACTTCTTTTCTTGTTCTTCTCCAGTTGATTGGTCCCCAGCCAGAAGCAGTGAAGCTTCTCATGACAGCCCTGGGGATGAGATGGGTAGATGGGAGCTGGGTAGCAGCACAGGTAGGAACACTCCTAACCCCGGTGTACTGAATGGTGGATGGACATTGATCATCCAGGGACAGATGGTGCTGTGGGCTTTCCTATTCCTGTCCTCTCCCTGAGGACCTTGATGACACCCAGACACCAGCAGAGAGAGGAGAGTAACCTTTTCAGATGATATTCATTCATTCTTTTTTTAATCCACCAACAAATTATTGAGCATTGTCTATGCACCAGAACAGTCAAAAGAGTACTTCAAAAGATCACGACAGGGTTACACAGCATTGTAAATATAGTTAATGCTGCCGACTTATACACTTAAACCTGGATAAAATGGCCAACTTCATGTTATATATATTTTACAACAATGAAAAAAATGTTGTGGCAGTTGGAGGAATGGACTCAGTTTAACTGGGTGAAATGGAATAGTAACAAATGAAATATCCTGTAAAACTCCTCCCCATTCTGAACTCCATCAGAAGAGGATGGCAGAGGTGTGGATTAGCAGCAATGAGTGTGAGTGACTTCTGATGGTTGGCTACAGATTTGATAGTCTGTTATTTTGGGTTATTTTGGTGAATGGTGTGACATGGCTGCTCAATGGTGACTTCGTCAAGGAAGATCAAATACTTGCAGGGCTTTGATAAGGAAGGGGGCAGACTCATTCTGTGTGGTCCAAGGGGTCACATGAGGACTGTTGTGGGCTGTATTGGGAGACAAATTTGGGCTAAGTATAAGGTAGAGCTTCTCACCGATGAACGCTGTCCAAAAGCAAGTGGATAGCCCATGCAGGCCATGGGTGCCCATCACGGGAGGGCAAACAGAGATTGTGTGTATGCGGTGGGTGGGGGGAGGGGCAGGGAAAGGTTCCCTGTTCTGATACTTGATCATTAATTTCTGCAGTTTCCCCAGAATTTGTTCTCATGGCATCATCTCCCTCAGTGACCCCACCTTTGGTTCTGTCACCACCACTGCACGAATGACTGCCATGTCCCTCTGTTCTGAGCTGCAGCTCAGTGTGTCTGGGAGTCCATAGGACATTTTGGTGTGGATGATCCATAGTCGAGCTCAGTAGGAACTGATCTTCCCCCTCCACGTGCTTCATCTCCAGGTCTCCTTGTTATGTGTGTCCATGTTTGCCCATTGCTCAAGCCTTCAGTGCCCTCTTGACACCTTCAGCCCCTCCCTCAATACAAACAGTCCCCAAGCCTGGTCACTTCTACCCTTGACATTTGTCCAAAGCTGGGCTCAGGCATCACTCGGTGACTCTGATGAGATAGTCTCCTGTTCGTATTTTGAGATACCTATTTTAGATGTGGTTTCCTTTTGTGGCTCTGAGCAGTGGCAATGCTCATCGGGTACGGAGACGGGGAAGAGAAGGAGGGAAAGTAAGGGTGGGATGGCTCCTTAGTTAGTTCAGATGCTGTAAGAAAGGCCCAAAATAGCAATGACTTATGCTGGAAGAGATGTTTATTTCTCACCCATGTGACCATCTGGGTATATCCAGGGCTGATACTACAGTCCCTCAGGGTTCTTCTGTCTGCTGCTCTGCCGTCCTCAGGGTGTTGCCTTTGGCAGTATGATCGCCACACACACCACATCTATGTTCCAGCCAGTGGGAAGGGGGAGGGGAAAGGGAGGGGAGGGCATGCTTCTCTCTTTCAGGGCATGACCCAGAAGCTGTACACATCAGTGTACACATTGCATGGCCACACTCAGCTGCAAGTAAGGCTGGGATCTGCAGTCGTTAGCTGAGTGGCCGTGTGCCTAACTAAAAATGCTATGGAAGAAGGGGAGAGCTGGGTGTGCTGGCAGCACCTGTAGTCCCTGTTACTCGGGAGGCTGAGGCAGGAGGATCACTTGAGCCCAGGAGTTACAAGGGTGCAGTGGGTTCTGATTGCACCACTGAACTATGATGGTACCACTCCAGCCTGGGTGACAGAGCGGGACCCTGTCTCTTAAAAAGGGAGAAAATGGGTGTAAGTGGACAACAACTAGCAGTTTCTGCCACAGTCACTTTGTGCATTTCAGTGGGAACTGTGTGGCTGTGAACTGGTTAAGCCTTAAGGATATAGTCCCTGAAAGCTTCAAGTACTGATAAAGTTCCACTAGCATCCACAAAGCTTTTCTTTTATAGGTAGGAACACTGAGCTCAGAGAAGTTGCCTAGTTAAGATTGCATAACAAAGTGTCAGAGCTGGGACCAGAACCCCACACTTTGGGCTCATTTTCTAGAATTCCAGGGTGATCTGGCTGAGGGGCAGACAGGCAGTGTCAGGAGGACGGGTCTCTGGAGTTCAGGAAAGGGTTACCTTTCCCAGCGCGGCTACCTGGGGAGCTGCTCATGACTTTTCAGGGATCATCTCTGGGGTTATCATGCCTCTGAGGTGCCTCCAATTCGCCCTGACCATATCATAAATAGTATACTATACCAAACTGCAGTGATCTAACTGCATGTCCCCCTTCCCTATTAGAATCTGCTCCTTGAGGACAGACGTGTACCTTAGTTATCTCTCTGCCCCTAGTACGTCCCTACCAGGAACTCCGTAAGTAGTGAAATGAATTACTAAAGACATGAATGCATGTGGATTCAAGGACTCCTTCGGTTGCAGACAATAGAAACTTAGTTCAAACTGGTTTAAGGGAAAAAAAATGATTGGCTCAAATATCTGGGCGGTCTAGGTCTGCAGCTTGCTTCAGGCATAGCTGGATCCAGGGACTTGTCTGACATTTTCAGAACTTTGTGTCTTTCTGACCCTTTTTGTCCCTTTGTGGGAAGTGTTGCCCAAGGAGCCCCTGCGGGGATTGGGAGGAAGTAGGGGGTTAGGAGGAAGTGGAGTGATGTGGGTGATTATGGTGGGGGGCAAGGAGACCCTCTTGGGCATCCCCAGGCCCAGGGCATTTTGGCCCTGAGCCCAGGTGCAGTCTGGATTTGTTGTAGCTTTCTGAGGGCACATCTTGGGTCATCTCTTGGGAGCCTCCCTGTGGCCCTGCTTCTGCAGGGTTGGATGCCCTTGCTGTACCTTAGGCTGAGGACAGCCTGACCCCTCTCTCCTGCTGCTCTGTGAAAGCCGAAGGTGCTCTGTGGTTTTGGGATAGAGCAGGAAGGAGAAGGACGAGGAGTGGGCACTGGCAGGTGACTCACCGGGACGGGTGGCACATGCTGACTCCAGGGCAGGTCCCGGCTGGGGATGAGATTCCCCTTTGTGGAAAACATGGGTGGAGGGGGTGGTACGCAGGCAGCATGAGGCCTGCGTGGCTCCACGTGGCTCTGGGTCCCGGGCCGACCAGCTCTGTGTTCACAGGACACTCTCCCATTCTCCAGGGAGCACTTCCTTTCTGAGCTCTGTCTCTTTCTCCTGTCCTCAGCTCCTCCAGGCCCAGCTGTCAGCGTAGGGGTCTCTGGGTGCCGTGGACTCTTCTGGTCTCTTTGCTTCTGGGCTGTCAAACTGCTTCTCTCCAGGGCAGGTTTCCAGGATCCAGAGTCTAGGAAAGGAATGAAAGGGAGCAAGTCCAGGGCGCAGCCCTGGAAGTCCCTCATCTTCCCTCTGGAGGGAAGCGCAGCTCGGCCCTGGGAGAGCCTGGGTAGGTCTGATCAGGGGAGGTGCCCTCTGCTCCCTGTACCTGCCCAGAGTGGCAGGAATTAGCCTGATATATGAAGGAGACAATTATATGAAGAGTCTTGAGTACCAGGCAGAGGAATGGGGTCTGACTTCTATAGTGAATGGGGAGCCATGGGAAGTTCTTGAGCAGGGGAGGGACATGAGCAGATTCCTGTCTTAGGTCCTAAGAGAAGGCACCTTAGAGAATGGGGCTGGCAGGGAAAGAGAGGAGCAAGCAGGGCCAGTGAGGGGGGTGATGGGTCAGGGTGGGAGATGGAAGCTTGAGAAGCAGTGTGGAGAGTGAGGGAGGCGGCCCAGGAAGAACCCACAGGCCTTGGTTCTGTCTGGGGTTAAAGAGAGGCAGGGAGATGTGGAATCTGGGCGTTCGTTCATCCTTAGCCCTGGTGCTTCCCGCAGGGGTTGGGCAGGTCCTGCAGGCAGCTGCCTGCTGGATCTTCCTGTGGGCCTCAGGGTGGCCCTTGTGGGGCAGGATGTGGTGCCTGCCAAAGGTGCTTTATGAATGGAGCCGGGGAAGGCTGCTGACTCAGCAGGCAGTAAGGCTTTGAGGCCGGAAGCGTCTGGAAAGGAAGTGGCTGCTCAGGGCTTCCCCACTGTAGACAGCTGGGAGAGAAGGGGGGCTGGCCAGGATGCACATGGTTTGGCTGAGGGACTCCCTTGGCCCAGCTGCTGGGGGTGTGTGTGTGTAGGAGTGGAGGGTGGCGGGGGGCGGGTGTGCCTGGCTGGGATTGGAAGGATTGAGGCTGGGCGCCTGGAATGGAATTGAGGCTAGCAGCTGTTGATGAGGTTTGCTCCGTGGAAGGGTGGAAAGGTGTAGCAGAATTGGACTCTTTTTGGCTGTGCTGACTGGCAAATTACTTGACATTAACAAAGTCACTTATCTGGGCTTTAATTTTTTTTTTTTTTTTTTTGAGACAGAGTCTTGCAGTATCGCCCAGACTGGAGTACAGTGGCGCGATTTCCACTCACTACAACCTCCGCCTCCTGGGTTCAAGCAATTCTCCTGCCTCAGCCTCCTGAGTAGCTGGTATTACAGGCCTGAGCCACCACGCCCAGCTAATGTTTATATTTTTAGTAGACACAGGGTTTCACCATGTTGGTCAGGCTGGTCTCAAACTCCTGACCTCGTGATCCACCCACCTCGGCCTCCCAAAGTGCTGGGATTACAGGCATGAGCCACCACACCCAGCCATGGGCTTTAATTTTTTAAAGTCCTGCAAAAATAGGACCAAGTGTTACAGCCTATCTCCCAGGGTATTAGGAGGACGTGAAATCATTTCTATTCTTGTTGATCAGTGTTGGTTGGCATAGATGTGGCTTGATCAGGACATGGCACAAATGTTTAGGCAGCAGCTGTGGGACTCAGGGACAAGGTGTGTGCAGCCTGGAGGGTGGCTGGGATTGGGAGCAGGGCTGGATTTAGGGATGTCTGCCCTTCTCATCCCCAGCTCAGGCCTGACCTGCAGCCACAGACTTGCCTCTTACTCAGTCCTGACTCCAGCCTTGAGGTCATCCCCAAGTCCTTGCCTCTTCCACTTCTGATCTGTCTTGGTCACTCAATACAGATGTGTTAAGCTAGCAAATGTTCTCTCTCTGCATTCCCACACTCATACACCTAGTCGCCTCCTAAAACTCTGTCCTAGAAGCTTCTTTGCAAATACTGCTGATTTCACACAAGCTATACTGAACCCTTCCATTTTCTCTGCCTCAGTGAATGCTCCACCCTGTCACTGAGGCTCAAAACCACGGCCAACCTGACTGCTCTTTCTCTCTACCCAAGTCCTCAGATACTGTCACTTTTACCCAGACATGCTTTGTCTCCTGTCTGGCCCTTCATTTATTCCACCACTATACCTTCCTACAGGGATGGCTATATTAGCCTCTTTTTTTATTTTTATTTTTTGAGATCGAGTCTGGCTCTGTCACCCAGTCTGGAGTGCAGTGGTGCAATCTTGGCTTACTGCAACCTCTGCCTCCTGGGTTCTAGCAATTCTCCTGCCTCACCCTCCCAAGTAGCTGGGATTACAGGTGCCCACCACCATGCCCAGCTAATTATTTGTATTTTTAGTAGAGATGGGGTTTCACCATGTTGTTCAAACCGGTCACAAACTCCTGACTTCAAGTGATTCGCCTGCCTCAGCCTCCCAAAGTGCTGGGATTACAGGCATGAGCCACTGCACTCAGCCTGAAATAGCCTCTTAACTGGCCTCTCCCTTGCCCTGATACAATCCAGTCTATGCTGAGGAGCTAGAGTGGGTTTTAAACATTGTTACCTAGATTATGTGTGATTAAAATGCTCCCCAGTGATTCCCATTACTCATAGAAAAACCCAAATTCCTCACTGGTCTCTCAAAGCCCTGCTTGATCTGGCTGAAACATACCCTCCCATCAGATAGCGGGTGGAGGTGCTGTCAGATTAATCTTCATGAAGCTCAGCTCTGACCGTGTATTTCCCTTATTCAGGAAGCTTCAGTGGCTCTCAACTGCCTTTAGGATACATTTCACACCTGTCAGCCCATCTCTAAGTCTGGCCCCCACAGGAGCTCCTGCTCTGCCCTACCAGCTACTGTCTGCCAAATTGATCTGCACACATCCTAGCCCCAGAGCAAGCCAACCTTGCCTTCACTTGCCGCCTTGCCTCCTCTTCCTTATATTTGGATACTAACATCTTAGCTGAAAGGGTGGATCCCAGCTGCCCCCTACCCCATCTTCCCTGTCAGGCCTCCCCAGGGACTCCCTGCCAAGCATCTGTCACCAAGATTCCTCAGCAGGGGGCCCGGTGGGATATGGGAATGAGGACCTCCCAGTGGGCAGTTGCAGCCTTCCCCACTCTGGTCCAGGAGAGATGAGGCAAGAGATGGTCTGGGGAGAACCTTTGGAGACAAAGGCCTTGCGTCCTCTTTCTCCCAGGCAGGGGCAGCCTTCCACCACGGGGAGCCCAGCTGTCAGCCGCCTCACAGGAAGATGCTGCGTCGGCGGGGCAGCCCTGGCATGGGTGTGCATGTGGGTGCAGCCCTGGGAGCACTGTGGTTCTGCCTCACAGGTGAGGGTAGCAGCATGGGGACGGGAGGGGAGGGACAGTGATTGTGGCAGTTGGGGAGGGGGTGCCCACGCCTGTTAGGGGTCCTGCCAAGCCAGCTCTGGCTAGCAGGGCCATACCTTACTTCCACCTGTGGGATCCAGTAGGCAACTCACGTTACTGTTCTTAGCCTCCATTTCCTTGTCTGTAAAATGGGAACATGAGTGCTAAATGAGATCGTGCTATTTCTTGAATACACTGTGTGCGCCCCCTCCCAGGACCTTTCCACTTGCTCTTTCCTCTGCCTGGAACTTTCTGCCCCTAAACGTCTGCATGACTGGATCCCATATTTTGTGGAGGTCTTTGCTCAATGTCACCTCCTCTCAAGGCTCTCCTAGCTCCCTTGTATAAAATAGCACACCTCCGCTCCTCCCTCCCTATCCCTGGCCTCCCTGCGTTATTCTGCCTAGATTCGCCCCCACCTGGCGTTTGCTTGCTTCCTCCCTGTTCAAAGAGCAGGGTCCATCTCAGGGCCAGAGCGGCTGTTGCATAGTAGGTGCCCAATAACTGTGTAGAATAAACGATGTGACTCTCCCCACACGGTGCTTGGCACACAGGAAGCACTCAATAATAATAGCTACTTTAATAACAATATCCTCATCACATTTCAAATTCTCATCAGCATCTCTGCTCTGAGACGGCTTCCTCCGTGGGGAAGACAAAGCTGAGGGTCTGGCGCCATCTTGTGGCCATAAAGAAGTGCCTGTCTCTACCCACGGCTGCTCTGATTTCTCTAGAGCAAGAAAGGGTTTTGTCTGGGTGACTTACCAGGTTTCATTCCCCCAAATGTCCCCTCCAAGGGGCACCCTGGTTCGACTGACAGGGCATGAGAACTGGCCTGGGGCACCAGGGGTTTCAGCAAGAGATCCAAGGCTAGCTTAAGAACTTTAGAGATCTCTAGGTACTGCAAAGATTATGATACTGAGTATGATTCACAATAAAAATAATAACCATAAAGTCAATGTTATTTTTCTAAATGCAGGAAACCTTTAATGAGTGCTGTATTCAATTAGCATTGTTTCAAGGTTGATCTTCCCACATTTTGAGTGTGCCTGCTTTGCTAGTGCTCGAAGCACACAATCTAACCATTACCGGAGAATGGTAGTGCCAGGGTGGGGGGGTTCGCTTCCCCTCCTCCCCTCCTCCTCCTCCTCTTTTTTTTTTTTTGAGATGGGGTCTTGCTCTGTTGCCAAGGATGGAGTGCAGTGGCGCGATCTCGGCTCACTGCAACCTCCACCTCCCAGGTTCAAGCAATTCTCCTGCCTCAGCCTCCTGAGTAGCTGGGATTACAGGTGTGTTCCACCACCCCTGGCTATTTTTTAGTAGAGGTGGGGTTTCACCATATCTGCTAGGCTGGTCTCGAACGCCTGACCTCAGGTGATCCACCTGCCTCGGCCTCCCATGCCGGGCCTTTTCCCCTCACTTCTGACTCATCAGCAAGTCCTGTTGATTCCCTCCTAAATAAACCTTGAATCTGATCCCTCTCTTCTTCTCTACTACCACCCTTTGAAGCCACACCACCCTCACCTCTTACAGGGACAGCTGAAACCGCCCCTAACTGGCCTCCCCCTTGCCCTGCCACAGTCCAGTCTCCACAGAGGAGCTAGAGTGAGTTTTAAGCATTGCTACTCAGATTATGCGTGATTAAAACACTCCCCAGTGATTCCCATTACTCATAGAAAAAGTTAGATTCCTCACTGGTCTCTTCAAGTCATCTTTGGTCTGGGTGGGACATGCCCTCCCATCAGATGTGTCTGCCACACTGGACGCTCCCCGATATTTTCACACAGCAAGGCCAGTCTTGCCTCAGGGCCTTCCACCTGCTGTTTCCTCTACGGGGTTCTCTGTATGTCAGCTCTTTTTCATTCCCTATAAATTTCAGCTTAATTGCTTTAAAGAGCATGTGCCTCACCACCATATTTAAAGGTACGGGTATTCTTTCTTGTATAAAAACAAATCGTGTTTCGTTAGGAAAAGAAAAAAAAAGAAAAAAAGAAAAAGCACTTGTGATTCTCTCTCCTCCAGAGAAACCACTATTGACATTTTTGGTGGATACTTTTTTGGACTCCCCAATTTATAACATTACTTACGCTCATGGGGAAATGCACATGGTGCAGGCAGGTGTAAAGTACCTGCCAGATTTTTGAAAAGCTGTTGCTTTACTTACTAACCTGCTGGCTCCTTTTCCTCACATACCTTAGTCACATGCTGACGAGAATCTGTGTGCCCATTTGTCTCTCTCTCCCATTAAAATGTAAGTTCTGTGGGGATGTGACCGTAGTATTGCTCTCTGTTGCATTTCTGACTTTTATGCTTGGCACCTGTAGGTGCTGACTATATTCTTGACTGAATGAGGTCCTAAGACAATAAATTACTTTGGGTCTCAGGCCTAAAAGGAGGGGTGGACAGGGCCTGGGGTTAGCAGGGGCAGGGAGCGGGACTAGGGAGGCCCACCCCTCCTCAGTCCCCCTTATATGTTCTCCACTCCCCCTACCCCCAGGAGCCCTGGAGGTCCAGGTCCCTGAAGACCCAGTGGTGGCACTGGTGGGCACCGATGCCACCCTGTGCTGCTCCTTCTCCCCTGAGCCTGGCTTCAGCCTGGCACAGCTCAACCTCATCTGGCAGCTGACAGATACCAAACAGCTGGTGCACAGCTTTGCTGAGGGCCAGGACCAGGGCAGCGCCTATGCCAACCGCACGGCCCTCTTCCCGGACCTGCTGGCACAGGGCAACGCATCCCTGAGGCTGCAGCGCGTGCGTGTGGCGGACGAGGGCAGCTTCACCTGCTTCGTGAGCATCCGGGATTTCGGCAGCGCTGCCGTCAGCCTGCAGGTGGCCGGTGAGCACCAGGAGGGGGACGCCTTCCCCTTAGTTCACCCTCCATTCCCCCTGCAGCCCACCCCCTGCTGCACCACTGCTCCCAGAACCCCAGTGCTGATTCCTGTACTCAGCCCCATGCATCCTTTTCGTCCTCTGCCATTGCCCTGCCCTTGACCCCTGCCCTCTGTCACCTCCAGCTCCCTACTCGAAGCCCAGCATGACCCTGGAGCCCAACAAGGACCTGCGGCCAGGGGACACGGTGACCATCACGTGCTCCAGCTACCAGGGCTACCCTGAGGCTGAGGTGTTCTGGCAGGATGGGCAGGGTGTGCCCCTGACTGGCAACGTGACCACGTCGCAGATGGCCAACGAGCAGGGCTTGTTTGATGTGCACAGCATCCTGCGGGTGGTGCTGGGTGCAAATGGCACCTACAGCTGCCTGGTGCGCAACCCCGTGCTGCAGCAGGATGCGCACAGCTCTGTCACCATCACACCCCAGAGAAGCCCCACAGGTTGCTTTGCTTAAATGTCCCCTTGGGGGAGGGGGGTTCTGCTTCTGTCGGCAGGGGTTGGGAGCTCCGAATCTGGCCCCACCTTCAATCTCCCAGAACAGCAAGTTGCCTCCTAATGATAGGGAGAAAGATAACGGGGAGGTGGGGATGTTCACTGGAGGGGTTGGGGGCGGAGAAATCACAGGCCTTCTTAAGGCTCTCCTGACTTCAAGGCTCTGGAAGCCTCTGGGAAGAATGGAGCCACATCTGGGTCAGCAGAGGGGTGGGCGAAGGAAAGGAGTCCTGATGGCAGGATTCACCAGGGCTGGAGCTGGTGAGAGTCACCTGCCCCAGGCCTGGCCCTGGGATTGGTCTGGTCAGGCCAAGACCCACCTGCTGTGATTGTTCTCAGAAGATTGGGGAGACTCCATATCTGAGAGTCCTCAGACTTAATCTGCTTTTGCATCTAAGAAGAAAATAGGAAGATGGAACAGGGTCTGGGAATTGATGGGGGAAGAGTTTGGGGGACTCGGGTGGTAGCCTAGAGAGTCCCATTTCTCCTCACCACCCTGCCCCTCTGACCCCGCCCCCAGGAGCCGTGGAGGTCCAGGTCCCTGAGGACCCGGTGGTGGCCCTAGTGGGCACCGATGCCACCCTGCGCTGCTCCTTCTCCCCCGAGCCTGGCTTCAGCCTGGCACAGCTCAACCTCATCTGGCAGCTGACAGACACCAAACAGCTGGTGCACAGTTTCACCGAAGGCCGGGACCAGGGCAGCGCCTATGCCAACCGCACGGCCCTCTTCCCGGACCTGCTGGCACAAGGCAATGCATCCCTGAGGCTGCAGCGCGTGCGTGTGGCGGACGAGGGCAGCTTCACCTGCTTCGTGAGCATCCGGGATTTCGGCAGCGCTGCCGTCAGCCTGCAGGTGGCCGGTGAGCACCAGGAGGGCGACGCCTTCCCCTTGGTTCACCCTCCATTCCCTCTGCAGCCCACCCTCTGCTGCACCACTGCTCCCAGAACCCCAGTGCTGATTCCTGTACTCAGCCCCATGCATCCTTTTCCTCCCCTGCCATTGCCCTGCCCTTGACCCCTGCCCTCTGTCACCTCCAGCTCCCTACTCGAAGCCCAGCATGACCCTGGAGCCCAACAAGGACCTGCGGCCAGGGGACACGGTGACCATCACGTGCTCCAGCTACCGGGGCTACCCTGAGGCTGAGGTGTTCTGGCAGGATGGGCAGGGTGTGCCCCTGACTGGCAACGTGACCACGTCGCAGATGGCCAACGAGCAGGGCTTGTTTGATGTGCACAGCGTCCTGCGGGTGGTGCTGGGTGCGAATGGCACCTACAGCTGCCTGGTGCGCAACCCCGTGCTGCAGCAGGATGCGCACGGCTCTGTCACCATCACAGGTAAGGGCAGATGAACAGCTGGGGAAGGACGGAGCGAGTAACTCCCTCTTTACTGGACCCTAACGTGGAATTTCCATAGGTTTGGGTGGCCAGAAGACTTTCAAAATCCCTTTCATAGACTTCAGGTGCTCACACTCTTCCCCACAAGTCCTTAAGGGACTCGAGCTGATAAGAACCATTTATAATGTTTGCCTTCCTAAGAGTGCTTTTCGTGGCACTTATGCTTCTTATGCAGAGGACAAGGTACCTGCCCGAAATTTGGAGGCATGGGCAGGAATTCTGGGGCAGCCACAAGGTGTGGCCCAGGGGACTTGGTGTGGGTGTGCTTTCCAGCAGGAACTCCTCTGAGTGGTAGGAAGGTATTCTGGGTCAGTGGGCGCCATCTGATTCTGAAGCCTGAGTGACAGCTGGCCCTCCCTAGTTAGTCCCCAACACCTGAGTCAACGTCAGCTCTTCTTCCTGCAGACTTGCGCTCCACCCAGGCAGCCGTTGGATGGGCAGGGGCTGTCTCTGCTGCCCCCGTGTGGTCAAACACCAGATAGAGGCCACCCCTTTAGTGATTGTTAGTCTCTGGTTTCCAGGTTCTAGCCTCGTGGGCACCTCTTGTGCCTGAGGGTGTGAAGAGGGTTGAGGTCAAGAGCCGCAGTCTCCATCTGTGTTTGGCCCTGAGAGGCCTCTGGTCAGTCACTTCCTGGGCCGACGTGCTCAGTCTGGCTCTTCAGTATCTCTCCCTGGCCAACTGAGCTTTCCCAGGGACCTCGCCCTGGTGCACAGTGAGGTCAGGACAGCAGGTTTTGTCTGTCTGGTTCTCCTCTTGTCTTCTGATGACTTCCATCTGCCCCTCAGCCCATCCAAGTTCTGATCTCACCCCAAGTTTCCAGGTCTGCATGCACCTCAGGACTCACTTATTCCTGTCCTCTCCCTCTTGAGACCTATGTGGTCCCCACTTCTGACAAGCTCGGAGCCAGGGCCCGTCACATCGTCTGCTTGGAGTTCAGGCTCACTCCTCCTTCTCTCTTACGTGTTTCCTTCTGGCAAGGTTGTGCTCCTTCTGCCCACCCCTTCCCCAAGATGGAAAACACTCCCTTCCTGTGCTCTCCAGGAGAGAGTAGCTGCCCTGAGCTCTTGAATGTTCTGAGACATGTCCTTGACCTTTTAGAGAACAGCATATGGTTTGGTGGTGAAAATGCTGTTCACAGGCGAAAAGAAGAAATAGAAGATAGAGTGATCTTGGCAGAGGATATGAAGCTTTCAGAGGAGGGAGGGTGGTAGTGAGGACACCTCCAGGGGCAAATGGGAGCTGAGAAGGCCTTGAAGGATAAGGGGTCTTTGTGGTCATTTGCACCCTGGGCTGAGCTGGATATTTGCGATGCTGTGCAGAAAGGACTTATGAGTATAAATGTGATTGCAAAGAGAATGTTTATCTCACCTAAGAGAAAATTCTCTATTTTAAACTTGAGTAGCTAACATTTAAAGTGATTTCAAAAAAATTTAGGGCTGGGCATGGTGGCTCACACCTGTAATCCCAGCACTTTGGGAGGCCAAGGCGGGTGGATCACTTGAGGTCAGGAGTTCGAGACCAGCCTGATCAGCATGGTGAAACCCTGTCTCTACTGAAAACACAAAAATTAGCTGGGCGTGGTGGCATGCACCTGTGGTCCCAGCTACTTGGGAGGCTGGGGCAAGAGAATTGCTTGAACCTGGGAGGCGGAGGTTGCAGTGAGCCGAGACAGTGTCACTGCACTCCAGCCTGGGTGACAGAGCAAGACACTGTCTCAAAAAATAAATAAAATAAAAATAAAGTGATTTCATTGAGGCCATTGTTGCCAAGCACATTTCACAGACGAAGAAACTGAGGTCCACAGAGAAGGGGGAACTTTCCCAAGGTCACAGACTGGCACAGCGGCTCTCAATCTTTGGGGGTCAGACCCTTCTTTGAAAATTGGATAAATGATCAATGCAGCAGTTTGCACATAACTCTGGAGGGTTCGCTGCCTCTCTAAACTCCTCCGTGGGTCTGTAGACCTGGGCTCCAGTGCCCTGCAGTGAGGAGATGAGCCATGATCAGAATCCAACTTTGGCCTCTCAGCCTAATTTCCTCTCCTTCCCACCAGCCAGCCTCCTGTTTCTGTTAGAGCAGGTCTGGCCTACTTTGGAGCCCTTGGCCTGTATTTTGCTTCGGGCAGCTTTGTATCATGTCAAACATTCTGGGATTCAGACTTTCAGTCCTCCAGCTGGTCTCTCCCGTACCTGATGAAGTTAGTGAAGTTGTGTGCTGTGCAGAGCCTCTTGGAGGGGGATTTATGGAGCAAGCCCTAGAGACGTGGCCTGAGCCTGTCCTTTCTTGGGTGAACAGGGCAAATGTAATTTGTGTTCCAGGGACACCACCAGTTAAGGGGGAACATAGAGACCCTCTGCTTGAGTATTTCCATGGCTCTGCCCCCTCCTCTGCTGTCAGAGCCCCATGATGGGATTTCCAGGGTGGTTATTGTTTTTTAATGTGTGCTCTGTGGATGGGCCCTCTTGGCCACATCAGCTGCTGCCCTCCTTTTCTGCACACCTCTCTTCATCACTGGGGTGATGGATCCCTGTGCTTCCAATGGCCAGAGCAGCAGTTTTGCCAGCAGTGCCTATTGAAGGTGACATCTGCAGATCCATGCACGAGGTGCATCTATGCTGGGGTCTCTGCCGCCAAAGGGTCCATAGCACCGCGCACTGCACTGACAGGGCCTCCTGCAGAAGCTGCTGAGGCCCTGGGTGTGCATCGTCTCCAGACAGCAAAGGAAAGCAGCACTGTCTTTTGTCAGGCTTTTCCTCTCAAGACTTCTCCCTAGGACCCAGCTGGGTGCAGGGGCTGGGCTAGAGGATGGTATGTAAGATGGAGTCACACAGGCTGTGCTCAGAACAGCTCCTGGCCCTACCCAGCTTTGGGTCCTCAACTTCATCCCTCTTGACGTGACAGCTCTAAGAGGAGGGGCCTCAGTGTTTCATGTTAATATCCCCCTGGCAAGGCCCCTGCAGACCTACCTGACTCCTTGGGGAAACTCCAAGCCCTCACTCCAGCCCCGTCAGTGACCTCATCTGTATGTAGGACTCAGCGAACATTTTCTGTAAATGGCCAGGGAGTAAATGTTTTTAGGCATCGTGGGCCACACACCATCTCTGTTGCTGCTGCTTCTCCTTCTGTTCCTCCTCCGCCTTCCCCCATCTTTTTTTGGTAACCCTTTACAAATGTAAAAACCATCACTAGTTTGTGGACTGTACAAAAACAGGCCACAAGCCAGCTTTGGCCCATGGGCTGTAGTTTGCTGCCTTCTGATCCATAGAATGGGAGATGTCACCAGGTAGGGCTGAAGCAGTCAAAAGAGGGCCTCTGGAGGAGGTGAATATTGAGCTAAGCAGAGAATTTGGGAAACTGATAGCATTAGTGCAGAGGCTGGAAGGAGCCAGTTGCTTCTGGAGAGAATGGTTAGGACACCAGTTTGGCTGAAGCTGAGGCTCCTACAGTAGAATTAGAAAACTTAGGGGAGGGTAAGCAGCAGCCAACTTCTAGAGGTCCTTGAATCACGCTTGAAGCTTGAAGCATTATTCTAAAGTCACTAGGGAGCCATAGAAGGTACTTGAGCATCAATTCAACCACAGGCTCTTCAGCCCTTCCTGGTTGAGGCGTGTCCACATCAGCCAGGGTTGTATCAGGGTTTGGGGAGTGTATGGCGAAGGGACTGTAGGAACTTAAGTGAGCTTTATTCATAGTGTTAGGGCCCAGTGAGGGTGGGAGCCCCTGTTCACACTTGGAGCCAATGGTGCTGTCCTCCGGGACATGGGGCCAGGCATGACAGTCTCACTGTTGCTACTTTTCCTCTCAGGGCAGCCTATGACATTCCCCCCAGAGGCCCTGTGGGTGACCGTGGGGCTGTCTGTCTGTCTCATTGCACTGCTGGTGGCCCTGGCTTTCGTGTGCTGGAGAAAGATCAAACAGAGCTGTGAGGAGGAGAATGCAGGTGAGTGTGTGTGTATGTGTGTGCGTGCGCATGCACACTTATGTGTCTTGGGGTATGTTGCTGTCTTTGATGTCAATAGAGTGTCACTTTCTAGTGACAGAACGAGTGTGTGTGTGCAGATGGGGCTGGATTTGTCTGTGTGTGACCTTGAGTCTACGTCTTGTGTGTGTGAACAAGCGTGAGCCTGTCTGTCCATGTGCAGATACCACAGGATGAATGTGGATGAGTGTGACTGGAAGGTGGTGGGAGTGTAAGGCCAAGTGCTACAAAGGGATGAGTGTGTGCCAACAAGTGTGCCTGTGAAAGTGTAAGTCAGTCACGTGTGTGTGAGAGAGCAGGCCAGAGCATGGAAGCTGTGCGGCACAAATGTAGGCATGCCAGGGGCGTGCATGGCACTGGGGGTGATCGTGCCTGCCTTGGAGTGAGTTTGAAGCAGCTGCCATTTGCGGGGCTGAGGGTCAGCCCGAGCTGGCATTGGTGACTGGTAAGTGGGTGAGAGGACATTGGTGGGTGGTGAGTTGACCCTGGTGGGTAAACAGATGCATGAGAGTAGATGGGTAGTCAGAGGCTGGGGATGGCTGGAGGTTGGGAAGGAGAGGGAAGAAGAGTGGTCAGTTGGCAGATAGGTGAGTACTTGTGAGGTAGACAGGTGGAAGGATGAGCAGGTAGACGGCTGGTTGGTTACATCTGTTGGAGGTTGATGGTTGGCAGGGCTACTGAGCGAGCGGATGGGTGAGGTGATGGGTGGGTGGGCTGGTGGAGGGTAGGTGGATGGTCTTTGGCTGGGTGTGTGGCGGGGGCTCCAGGTTGAGTGGATGGTCTTTGGCTGGGTGAGTGGTGGGCTCCAGGCTGGGTGGATGGTCCTTGACTGGGTAAGTGGTGCACTCCAGGCTGGGTGGATGGTCTTTGGCTGGGTGAGTGGTGGGGGCGCCAGGCTGGGTAGTTTTTGGCTGGGTGAGTGGTGGGCTCCAGGCTGGGAGCCCCTTCATGTTGTCACAGGCTCGGCTCTGCTGTGCTCTGCTCTCGGGCTCTAACCCGTGTCTAGCATTTGGTCCGCAGGTCAGGCCCACTCAGGCCCTGTTCACCAGCTTCCTGCACTCTCAGGTGGGAAAGTGCTGGCATGAAAATGGGCTTGCAAAAGATTTTTGTTTATTCTGAGTTCTTGCCTTTGCAGGAGCTGAGGACCAGGATGGGGAGGGAGAAGGCTCCAAGACAGGTGAGTCTGAACTTGGAGCTGGCCCTCTTGGCTGGGAGAGGGACATATGGGAAAGGAGAGAGGACTCTAGGATCTGGAGGGGCCAGATTTGCTGTAAGGTTTGAATGAAATGTGTTCTGTGGACTCAGACCTCCCCACCCCGGTGAGTCTGCTCTTTGCCCAGAGTTAGGCAGGAAGTGGATCACCCAGTTCCCTCCCAGGTGTGGCTTCATTTCTCCTGCCAACCTTTACCCATCTGCCAGGGCCGATTCCACCTGATTGGCCCCACACCGTGGAGTCTGGTGGCTTCCTAGGGGTGGGAGCAGGGGCTCCGGAGATAGGGAGTCTGGGTTTAAGTTCCTGCTCCATCTCAGGTAAACAGAGTGGCCTTGAGCAAGATGCTTTGCCTCTCTGGCTTCGGTTTCCTCTTATGTAAAATGAGGATAATCACAGATTCATAGGTTGTTTGAATTATTAATTGAGATAATGTATATAAAGGACCTAGTATCATATCTAGTGCCAAGTGCTTAATACTCTGGAGTCCTATTACTATTAGGCAAACAGCTTAAGACAATACTGTTCTAGTTACAGACTGTGTAGCTTTGGGCAAGGTGCCTTGCTCCTCTGGGCATCAGTTTCCCATCTGTAAAATGTCATCCTGACCCTGCCCTGATGGCACCAGAGGGCTGTTTTGAAGCTCTTTCAGGTGACTGGAGAGGGAGGTACTTGCAAAGGACATAGGAGCATGGCACAGTAAGCTGGGGGCCCAGCTTGGGTGGGTGCCAAGGCACTGGTGCCCATGGCCGACTCCCAGGGGATCCTGGGCTGGGAGAGGCAGGTTTCCGCTGAGCCATTTGGGATGGTTCCAGTTAATGCCAGTTCCCTCCCCACCCCCGCAGAAGGAAGGGCAGGAGATTGACACTTGGGGACTGCTATAAATTATGCCAATTAATTCTTTGCCTGTTGGTGCCCAGCGTGGCAGGCGTAGAGACAGCTCTGGGATCAGACCTCATTCTTCATGCTCAGAGGCAGATGTAGTTGGCAGAAGGGAGGGAGTGAGGAGAAGAGTGTGGGTGATGGAGTTGGTCAGTCTCATTCCACATGGTCCCAGGCCCACCTGCAAATCTGCCAGCCTCCTTTAGCTTCTCACATCACCCTGTGTGTACATTGGGCTCAGGGCACTTCCGCATCTCCAGCTGGAGGTGGAGGGCTCGAGGGTTGTCCCATTCTATAGATGCAGAAAACTAAGGCCCAGAGAGGAGAATGACAAGCCACAGAGTGGAACTGGGACCTGGGACTGGGGCTTGGGACAGCAACCTAGGGCCCCTTCCCTTGTGCTATGAAGTGGTCCCACTCTGCTGACTTGTCCCGCCCCTTCCAGCCCTCACTCCTCCCTCTGCCTGACTCCCTACCCCACCACTTCCCATGGTTCCTCCCTCACCGTGTGCGCCTTCCTTTTTTTACAGCCCTGCAGCCTCTGAAACACTCTGACAGCAAAGAAGGTAAAGACACCTGGGCTTGAGGTTGTGTCTGTGTATGCACACATCTGTGTGTGAGAGGCTGAGAGGGTGGGTAGGCATCATCCTTTCACTAGTGACCTGAGGCCCCCTCTGCAGAAGAGCAGCCTCAACTTCCCCCTGGTGAGATGGCAGAGGGCTGAGTAACCAAGGTCCCAGCTGCTCTGATGGGACCCAAATACGACAGAGGCTTAAGCAGGACAGGAGTTTATTCCTCCTTCCTGTGATAGTGTGAGCATAGGTAATCGTAAAACCACTGATGACCTGGAGCCAGGTTCCACTTACCTGGATTCTGCCCTCTTCAACTTCAAGCTTTCACTCCTAGGTCTAAGAGGCTGTTTGTGCTCCCACGCCCCCTCCAGAGCCAAGAGGGAGAGAAAGGAAGGATATGTTTCCTTCTAGAGCTTGAGTGGAAGTAGCCTGCATCACTTCCGCTTACATTCCATTGGTCAGAACCCAGGCATATGAGCCCTAACTCAGGGGAGGCTAGAAAAGTGTTCAGCTGGGTAGCCATGTCCCTGGCGCACAGTGGGTGGTTAGTAAATGTCCATAGTCATTATTGGGCCTATTGTTATAATGTCAGTGATGACATTTGGAAATACAGGAGATAGGTCATTTCCTTCCTGTTTTTCAGAATCAAATAACCATAGAAGAGCTGGGCAGATGGAGATAAAAAGTGTCAGCTTAGGCCAGGCATGGTACTTCACACCTGTAATCTCAGCACTTTGGGAGGCCGAGGTGGGTGGATCACTTGAGGTCAGGAGTTTGAGACCAGCCTGGCCAACATGGTGAAACCCTGTCTCTACTAAAAATACAAAACTTAGCCGGGCGTGGTGGTGCATGCCTGTAATCCCAGCTACTTGGGAAGCTGAGGCGGGAGAATCACTTGAACCTGGGAGGCAGAGGTTGCAGTGAACTGAGATTGCACCTGTGCACTCCAGCCTGGGCAACAGAGCAAGATTCCATCTCAAAAAAAAAAAAAAAAAAAAGTCAGCTTGGTTTTGAAGAGTTGCTGGAGAATGTGGCCTGGATGGGCAAACCAGTTTGCTTCCTAACCCTGCTCCTTGGTGAGGCAGCCTGCCCCCTCAGTCTCTGGCCATGCTGGACAACCACAGAGGCAGTGCCCAGATGGGGGAGCTCTTCTCCTCTCCCCAGGGACATACAGAGCCCCAAGAATGGGTGAGGGAGAGGGCAGGGGAAGGGCCCAAGCCCTTCTTCCCAAGTCTCCATTCAGCTTCAGATGCAGAGTGGGGTCTGAAAGATGAGTCTTTGGGATGGCCCTCCACATGGAGACAGGAAGCCCAAGGGAAGGAGGAGGGCCCCTGCCGTGTCACTCTCAGGGAAACCAGTGTGGAGGGGACACTGGGAAGGCTGCCTGCTGGACGAGGGAGTTGGGCCAGGCCTTGGAGGGTGGATGGGATGGACAAACAGGAGATGAGAAGGGAAAAGTGTTGCACGTAGAGGGAGAGTGGAGGGAAGTGTATCGGGCTGTGGGCCTGTGGGTACTGAGAGGGGGCTGCGTGAGGTGGTCCCCCTCAGGTGCCCCGGCGTGCCTGGCACCTGCATCTGTGTCTGGGCCTCCAGGGCCGTGGTCAGCACGGGGGCTGTCCGTTGGGCTGCTGTCTCACACACACTCCCCACTTGAAGTCTGACCAGGTGCTTGGGCTTCTGGCATAATCCCAAAAATAGATCTTCTGGCATCTAATGCTTTTCCCTTCCCTTTTTTTTCTTCCCATCATGAAATGAAGATGATGGACAAGAAATAGCCTGACCATGAGGACCAGGGAGCTGCTACCCCTCCCTACAGCTCCTACCCTCTGGCTGCAATGGGGCTGCACTGTGAGCCCTGCCCCCAACAGATGCATCCTGCTCTGACAGGTGGGCTCCTTCTCCAAAGGATGCGATACACAGACCACTGTGCAGCCTTATTTCTCCAATGGACATGATTCCCAAGTCATCCTGCTGCCTTTTTTCTTATAGACACAATGAACAGACCACCCACAACCTTAGTTCTCTAAGTCATCCTGCCTGCTGCCTTATTTCACAGTACATACATTTCTTAGGGACACAGTACACTGACCACATCACCACCCTCTTCTTCCAGTGCTGCGTGGACCATCTGGCTGCCTTTTTTCTCCAAAAGATGCAATATTCAGACTGACTGACCCCCTGCCTTATTTCACCAAAGACACGATGCATAGTCACCCCGGCCTTGTTTCTCCAATGGCCGTGATACACTAGTGATCATGTTCAGCCCTGCTTCCACCTGCATAGAATCTTTTCTTCTCAGACAGGGACAGTGCGGCCTCAACATCTCCTGGAGTCTAGAAGCTGTTTCCTTTCCCCTCCTTCCTCCTCTTGCTCTAGCCTTAATACTGGCCTTTTCCCTCCCTGCCCCAAGTGAAGACAGGGCACTCTGCGCCCACCACATGCACAGCTGTGCATGGAGACCTGCAGGTGCACGTGCTGGAACACGTGTGGTTCCCCCCTGGCCCAGCCTCCTCTGCAGTGCCCCTCTCCCCTGCCCATCCTCCCCACGGAAGCATGTGCTGGTCACACTGGTTCTCCAGGGGTCTGTGATGGGGCCCCTGGGGGTCAGCTTCTGTCCCTCTGCCTTCTCACCTCTTTGTTCCTTTCTTTTCATGTATCCATTCAGTTGATGTTTATTGAGCAACTACAGATGTCAGCACTGTGTTAGGTGCTGGGGGCCCTGCGTGGGAAGATAAAGTTCCTCCCTCAAGGACTCCCCATCCAGCTGGGAGACAGACAACTAACTACACTGCACCCTGCGGTTTGCAGGGGGCTCCTGCCTGGCTCCCTGCTCCACACCTCCTCTGTGGCTCAAGGCTTCCTGGATACCTCACCCCCATCCCACCCATAATTCTTACCCAGAGCATGGGGTTGGGGCGGAAACCTGGAGAGAGGGACATAGCCCCTCGCCACGGCTAGAGAATCTGGTGGTGTCCAAAATGTCTGTCCAGGTGTGGGCAGGTGGGCAGGCACCAAGGCCCTCTGGACCTTTCATAGCAGCAGAAAAGGCAGAGCCTGGGGCAGGGCAGGGCCAGGAATGCTTTGGGGACACCGAGGGGACTGCCCCCCACCCCCACCATGGTGCTATTCTGGGGCTGGGGCAGTCTTTTCCTGGCTTGCCTCTGGCCAGCTCCTGGCCTCTGGTAGAGTGAGACTTCAGACGTTCTGATGCCTTCCGGATGTCATCTCTCCCTGCCCCAGGAATGGAAGATGTGAGGACTTCTAATTTAAATGTGGGACTCGGAGGGATTTTGTAAACTGGGGGTATATTTTGGGGAAAATAAATGTCTTTGTAAAAAGCTTTTTCTCTGTGAAGTGTTTGGAAGCAGGGTGGGCCCCAGGACTCAACCAGCAGGATTCTCTCCTGGATGTTGCAGGCTGGGGTAGGGAAGCCTGGCCCTCCTTATCTCACCGTCCTTAAATCACTGGATCCCCAAGGCCATTTGGCTCCCTCCTTGGCTTCAGTTTCCCTCTGGGTAAAGTGAAGTTGGTTGTCCAGAAAGCCAGGCCCTTTGGTCACTGTATGGGGCTCCTCCCACTGGAAGCATCACTCAATTTCTTTGCCTCAGAAAACTCAAACCTAGGCTTGTTTAGGGCCTCTACTAATGAACCCATTTTAGAGACTGTGAAGCTGAGACCCAGTAAGAAGCTGGCACCAGGAAAAGAGTTCTGAATGCTGTTTCTGGCTGACTCAATTGGATGGGCACCAGGCCAGGGATCAGAGGTCCATTCCCAGGACATAGTTCTGCCCTATGACCCTGAGCAGGACATTTACCTTCTCTGAGCCTTGGCTTTCTTGTACAAAAAATAGCCACCTATGCATAGTGGCTCATGCCTGTAATCCCAACACTTTGGGAGGCTGAGGTGGGAGGATCGCTTAAGGCCAGGATTTCAAGACTAGCCTGGGCAACATAGCAAGACCCTGTCTCTGCACAGAAATAAAAAATTAGCGAGGTGCGGTGGCACCCACCTGTAGTCCTAGTTACTCAGGAGGCTGAGGTGGGAGGATCGCTTAAGGCCAGGATTTCAAGACTAGCCCGGGCAACATAACAAGACCCTGTCTCTGCACAAATAAAAAATTAACTACAGGCACACACCTGTAGTCCTATTACTCAGGAGGCTGAGGTGGGAGAATCACTTGATCTTCAGCCCAGGAGGTCGAAGTTGCCATGAGCTGTAATTGTACCACTGCATTCCAGCCTGGGCAACAGAGCAAGACTCTGTCTCTAAAGAAAAAAAAAAAAGAAAAGAAAAATAGGACTGAGGTTTTAACTACCTTCCATTTTGAAAGACTGAGAGGAGGCGCACAGGCTTCCAGAGAGCCAGATTCAGGGCTATGGGAACCTGCCTAGGATACTGCGTTCGCTTGCCCCTGGATGACAGTGTCCTGGCACTGGGACAGCCTGGAGCTTTGCAGACCCTGGGCAGCAGGAGGAGCCTGTGCTGGGGGTGAGGACACTTGACTTTCAATCCTGGCTCTGCTGCTAACCTGTGTCCATGTCCTTCATACCTCTGAGCCTTACTTTCCTTATCCATTAGATAGGGGTGACAAGTCATCTCCCAAAAAGTATGTGGCATTCTTTACAAACTGGAGGCTTTGTTATAAAGTTGATGGCTCTAGGGGTGAGATCAGTCATGTTGCTTGAGGTCCTGTCATCGGTGCTCTGGGTGGGTATTAGGATTGAAAGACTTATGCCTTTGCCCCTTCAACCCACTGTGTGCCCTTGAGCTTGCTGCTTCACCACACTGGGCTTCAGTCCCTACCTGTAGAGACAGTAATAGTTCCTGTTTCAAAGCACTGTTGAGAGGGCTGGATAAAGCAGTGGGTGAGAAGACACTGCAATTAGGCCAGATGCAGTGGCTCACGCCTGTAAACCCAGCATTTTGGGAGGCTGAGGCAGGCAGATCACCTGAGGTCAGGAGTTCAAGACCAGCCTGGCCAACATGGTAAAACCCTGTCTCCATTAAGAATACAAAAAAATTAGCCGGGTGTGGTGGCACGTGCCTGTAGTCCCAGCTAATCAGGGGGCTGACACAGGAGAATCATTTGAGCCCAGGAGGTGGAAGTTGCAGTGAGCTGAGATCACGCCACTGCATTCCAGCTTGGGTGACAGAGTGAGACTCTATCTCAAAAATAAAAATAAAAAGACACTGCAAACCATTAGGTGCTGGGCACATGTGGGGGGCTATTCTTTCCCTCCCTGCAGTCAGGCCCACGCGCTGTTGCTCCTTAGGTGATTTTGTAGATTGAGCACAGTGACTTGGAACAAGCTCTCTGAAGCCCAGTTTGTTCATCTGTAAAACAGGCACAGGAACCCATGCTTTTTCTTTGCGACAGGGCTGGATAAGGCTCAGACAGGACACTGTATCAAGTGTTCTGGGCACGGACCCAGCAGGTGTGGGACTTGCCTGGAGGCTTAGGTGTAAAGAGAGTGGCAACTAAGTCCTCTGGTGACAAGTGCCCTGGACAGCAGTATTTTTAGCTGCCCTTCCTGGGCAAAGCTCCAACTCCTACATTTTAATGGAGAAATAATTCTCACAGTGCGACAAGCTATAGCTTGCAGGTGTCACATCCATATTAAAGAGGGGACAGAGCGAGGTTCATTTGCCTGGCTCAAGGTGTGACCAGAATTCGCCTCCAGGACCATTTGTAACCAGGGCTTGAAGACCAGTGGATCTGACTACTCACCACCCAGAAGGAGGAGACTGGGAGGAGGGGTTAAAATGGTGTGGCCAGGGCACCTGGATCATCCTGCCTCTTCTACTTGTGTGTTTGGAGCATTCTGCTTACACTCGCAGACCCTGGGCAGCAGGAGCCTGGGCTGGGGGTCAGGACACTTGACTTTGAATCCTGGCTCTGCTATTAGACTGGCCACCTTCTAGACTGTTGTATCAGTCTTACACATTTACAAAAATATCATAAACATCATGCAACCCTTTTTTCTGTTTTTCTTTACTCTTTTCCCAAGTCACTTCTTCTAGATAGAAGTGTCCTTGTCCTCTTTACCTTCTATATCGATGTGTAACATACCTCTAGTATTTACAAGATGCTAATCCTCAGTGTATGACTCCATGAATTTTTACACAAATCTCTACCCATGTAACCACTACCCAGATCAAGATATAGAACAGTTCCTGGATTCCAGAAAGTTCCCTAGTGTCCCTACCCAAGCAACAGCCCCGCCCACTTGGCTGCTTTCACCAATTAGTTTTACTTATTCTTGAACTTCATATAAATGGAATCCTGCAGTACATGCTATTTTGTATCTAGCTTCTTGCAAAGACCTCCCTCGTTCTTTTTAAATGGCTACATAGTATCTCAAAGTACTGCTGTTCTAGCCTATATTTTGCTAGTTCCTACAGTTTAGACACAAATAATGCAGGCTTGTGTTCGAGTTTCTACAGTATGGAGCCCTAGAAGTGGGATCTCTGGATACATTTTAAGTGTTACCAATTGTTTCAGCTGCCTTTTTAGCCAGTCCCTGTGGCAGTAAGAATGCAAGTGAAGAAAACTTAGGGTGGCTGGAAAAACTGATTCTAGACAGGGCAGAGATGGTGCTTGGAATTCACATCCAGTTGGTCTCTCAGAGACTTCAGAGTGGAGCCTGATTTGGTAGTGTACAGGGCCTGCAGTCATCCCTTCCACCCGCTCTGGACCACCTTGCCCTTCAGCATATGTCACTGCCGCTGCCTCAGTTTCCAGGAGCTATCTGCGTCCCCGGGACCCCAGTCCTGGGGGAGTGCGTCTGCCTCCTAGTGGATTATGTGGGCCGAGCACCGTGTTCTGAGTGTGTGTGTGCCAGGGTTGAGCCCTGCACCCGCAGCACCATAATTGATGGGGGGAGGTTCTCAGCATCTTTGGGGTTTTTCTTTAAAAGAAGGTCTCACTCTGTTGCCCAGGCTGGAGTGCAGTGGTACGGTCATAGCTCACTGCAGCCTCGACCTCCAGAGCTCGTGATCTGCCTGCCTCAGTCTCCTGAGTAGCTGGGACTGCAGGTGCCTGCCACTACACCTAATTTTATATATATATATATATATATATATATATATATATATATATATATATTTTTTTTTTTTTTTTTTTTTTTTTTTTTTTTTTTGCAGAGACGGGATCTTGCTATGTTTCCTGGGCTGGTCTCAAACTCCTGGGTTCAATCAATCCTCCTGCCTTGGCCTCCCAAAGTGCTGGGATTACAGGCAAGAGCCACTGTGCCTGGTCAGCATCCTGTTGGATGCAGGTGGCTCAGGTTAGGTTAAATCTCTTGCACTTGTGTCAGAGAGTATTCATAACCTTTGGCACTGCCAGCTCCAGGTAATTATGGTGACACTACTTCATTACTAATGAGGCAGCTCTTTGTTAGCACAGAGAAACACCTGGGTCTCATAGAGGAGGCATAACCCAGCCCTCAGACAGAGGGACTGTGACCTTTGCCTCCAGCCTTTCTCCAGCATCTGAGCAGCAAAATATCCCCTGCACCTCAGCTTCCTTAGCTAATATGATTTCTCCACCCCAGCGCTCTCCTCTGGATGTGTTTCATCCGTGTCCCTTGCAGATTGAGGCTCTGGCATGGATCACGATGCTTCAGCTCATGATAGATCACCTCTCACCTCCTGCATCCAGGGCACTATGTTCCTAGTGATACAGCTCCAGATCCCATTAGTCCAGCGGTTCTCAACCCTGGCTGCCCATTAGAATCACTTTGGGAGTTGTAAATGGTGCCTGGGCTCCATCCCCAGAAGTTCTGATGCAATTGGTTGAGTTTATTGCTAAGTATTTGATGTGCATATGCCAGTGGCTCTAGTCTGGCTTATAAATTAATGTAAAATAGGATTCAGAAGACAGCCCTGAGCTGAGACCTTTGAGACCCCACCTCTTAGATAAGCTAGCTATTCTCAGTGATCACCATATTGGACTGTGGGTTTTTTGTTTTTAATTAAGGGAAGCACACAAAATACAGGAGCAAGGAAGGTTGAGGGAAGTGATAATCTTTAGTTCAGAAAGGAGGGGGCCCTGTTCCCTGTGTTGTGGGGCTGGGGAAGAGAGCAGGCATCCTGAGTTCCTGCATTCAGACCAGACACATAGGCTATGGGAGAATGATGAAGGATGGGGTGCCGCTGGTGATGGCTCAATCCTTTTTAGCTCTAGGAAATGGGGGGCCCTGCCTACTCCTGATCATCCCCTCCCCCTTCTCCTTTCACGGCCTCCCTTTTGCCTCTGTGTCTCTCCCGTCACCCCCAGGACTCCAGATGTGCGCAGCCACGTGGCTGTTTCTGACTCCCTCTTCCCTCCAGCACCATGTCCTCCACGGAGGGAAGGAACATCTGTCCTGCTCCCTGTAGCCGTCAGTCTACGTGCATGTGCCAGGCTCAGGGAAATAATAGCCTTCGTGCTTTTCCTGCTCCCCGCCCCCCCACCTCCCATCTCACACATGCTTCAGAATCAGGGTATCCTGGGGTCTCTACCACACTGCAGCCCTGTAGTATCCAGAGTGACTGAAGCACAGGAGCTCTCCTCTACCACCCCCACCCTCCTCCTTGCAGCTCTCTGGCCTCTAGTTCTTCCTCAGTCTCAAAACTCACCTATCTGAAGTCCACCTGCCTACCTACCTACCCACCCTAATTTACAGGCCAGCATGCTCCCTGGGTGCTGGTCTACACTCTATTCTGTTTCCTTCCTGCTCCTCATGTTGCAATATCCTCTCCTAAAAAGTCCCTGCAGAGTGTGGCACCATTGTTGGAGGTGGGGAAGAGGGACTGATGTGTCTGCAGAGCCTGCCAGCCACTGACTGACATTTTGCCTTATTTGCTAAGATAATTTAGTGTAATTTGCTAATGAATGAATGCACTTCTTGTTCTTATAGCTTTTGTAATTGCATTGAAATCCATGTGCTTGCTGACAGTTTCAGCAAACGTTCCGGGAACTGAAGCTGGCCAGGTTACAGAGGGCTCAGCCTCCTTGGGTGACCATGCTGAGGGCCTTGATGACCTGTGAGGCATGGCCAGGATGCTGATTTTCTTGGTGTCTCTATCTGTGCTGCTTTTCTCAGCGTCCTCCCGTCCACTGCAGCCAGGAGGATCTGGGTCAGCCCAACAGGAGAATGTGCTGGCAGCCAGGGGTTCTGGACCTAGGACATTTTTGGAATGGGCTTTGCAGTGCTAGAAGAGAGTGCATTCTGTTCTGTCTGCAGGATGGGTGATGAGGGAGTCAGGGGGAAGTATAAGGGAGAAGGGGACAGAGATGACTGGCGAGTGGCAGAAGTTGCATGTTTCATATTCAGTCGTGTTTATAAGCATTTGCTCCAGCTCCCCCCATCCTTGGATATGCCCTCTCTCTCCTCCGCCTGTGCAGATCCTAGACACCCCCCTCCTATGTATCCCCCCAGATCTCTGCAACTCCGTGTTTCATAGCTACGATGAAGCACTTGCTCATTCATTGCACTCTGGGAACTCATCTCCCCAGAGCAGCTCTGGCTGGCCCCCAAGCCCAGAGCCGGGCACAGAGCAGCTCCTGTCCTCTGGTCTGCTGCAAGCAGGAGGTACCCAAACCACATTAATTCAGGTCTCTGAATGGAAGTAACTAAGGCTGAAGTTTACTTCTACACTATCCATGAAAAAATGATTTCCCAGCAAATGAACAATGTAAATGAGGCAGCCAAATGGTGCTTCACCTATTTAAAGGAATAATCTATTTTAAAAATCTTTTAGAAGCTTTTAGTTACCCAGAAACAATTGATACGGTAATTGCAAGCCATTTTTTAAATTTACTTATTAGAGAAGACTCCCTAAGCTCTGTTCACCCACTCCCATGCTCTGCTAACCCTTAGGGAGCTGGGTACTAAATGCTCGCTGTCCTTGTAGGCCCCATCTGTAAAATGGGGTCAAGAGTAGTACCTTCCCCTCCCTAGTTGACCAAAATGGACAGAGAATGCCCAAAGGACAGAGCCTTCACAGGGCCACCTCACCTGCACTTACACAGTATGAATGGACAGATCTGGGCAGATGGCACTGGACTCAGCCAGGACAAAAGAGAGCTTTGACCTGAGACCAATAGGGAGGGGCTGGATGGTCAGACAGGATTTGTGTGGGGAGGATGGGGGTGGAAGCAGAGGCGATTTCTCATTGCTCAGCCCAAGATGGTAGCTGAAGGAGCCCCAGGCACAAGGAGCAGCAGCCATGGCCCCCTGAGCACCAGCACCGCAGATCCCTGGCCTGCAAATCGATTCTGCTTTCTGTTTGATGGGCTTGTTGGCTTCAGCTTGGGGAGGAAAAACAAGCTCTTTCCCAAGGAGAGGAGCCGTGTCAGAGGTGGCTGTGGTGCCTCCATCCCTGCCGCACACCCCATCCCCACCCAGCCCTGTGAGAGATGCTGGGTCAGCGGGCAGGACACCATTCTTAGCCTCTCCCCTGGCCCTAGCCAGGCCTCTGCCTGCCTGGTGGTGTGGGGCGAGGCAGGCCAAGATGCCTGGGTTGAGGGGCTCCTGCGGGCAGTTGTCTGGCCCTGTGCACCTGCTCACCGCGGCTGCTCCTGGTCCAATGTGTGTGGCCCTGGATGGATGTGTGCATTTGGTGGGGTGAGAGAGTAGGTAAGAGTGAAAACAGGAAAGCAAAGGGCAGCATCCACAAACTTGGAAACATCAGCCTGCTGTGGAAGGGACGCTCAAGCCCCTTGTCCACAGTATTGCTGAGCTCTAGAAGGGGAGGAATTGGGAGCAGCTGGGAGCAAAGCTCAGAATAGGACCCAGGAGGCTCTGCCCCCGGCTCAGCGCCATGTCCACAAGACTCTGTGATACACCTCTGTGGGGTTCAATATGAGGACAAGAGGATGGGCATCTGAGCAGCCACTTCCTGCATGTGGTGAGGCAGCCCAACACAGTGGGCTTTTCCGTTTTGCAGCCCCCACAGAGCCAGCCCCTCCAAGGGAGCACGTTTCATTGGCAGCAGTGCTGGCAGTGGCAGCTAAGCCCTTATAGGGCACCACTCCTCCCAACCTCAGCAACCTCCTCTCTCCTCCTGTGGTTTTCCTAATAAACACCTTTAAAATATTTATGAAGGCAGCTTCAATGAAGTAACACGACATTGATTTAAAATGATTTTCTTCTAATAGGTAGCTTGAGCATGGGCTCCATTTCCCAAGCTCCTAAGGGCAGGCCCATCAGGGTGAACCCCCAGGATGGGCATTCAAGGCTCTCCATCAATGAGCTGAGCAGTGGGGATCCCTTCCCTCTCTCAGGGCCTCCACTGGGGGGCCAGGTCTGGTGACAAGTGTGGTGTGACAGTGTCATAGGGCTCAGGAACTGGACTCTGGTAGAAGGGGTCTAGGGGATCAGGCAGGCCAATTAGGGCTCTGGAAGAACGCCTGACATGGGAAGAAGCTGAAAACTGGAAGTCTCCCTAGAACCATGGATAGCACCTCCAACCTGTGCCCCTGGGGCACTGAGAAGCCCAGAAGCTGGGAGCTAGGACTCCTCGGTCTCTGTCCCACTTTATTGATAGGAATGGAGAAAGGCTGTACTCCAGAAGGAGGTGATGAGCGCCATGGGTTTCTAGGGAGGAACCTGGACTGGGATGCTGTGGCCACTGAACAGTTGGTAGCTGAGTTTAGCTGCTCCCCAGCAGCCCTGGCTGGAAAGGACACAATGGCAATGCCTTCTGTGCACGTGTGGGGGTGGGTCGGGAGCAAGTCGGGATCTGCAGTTGGCCCTCAGATTTGTCTGTCTGGCCTTTGAAACTCCAAGAAGCCACCACCTACCCTCCTTACACAAATCCCTGAGCTGCCCTCTCTTGACAGGATTGTACTTTGTCCAATCTCTTCCCGGCACAGAGGGGGAAACTGAGGTTCCTCCCCATCTACCAGCCTCTCCGCAGGCTAGAAGGAAAATCCCATCCATATCTATCTGGCACGCAGACAGAAGGCCCTGATGGAGAAATTTTGGGAGGAAGGTTCTATTCTCAATTCTCACCCCACTCATCCCCAGAAAAGTCTAACAAGAGCTGTTTTCATCACCATTGCCTAAAGCCTGGAGCTGCTCTAATTACGTGTCAGGCTTGAATTTGACAGGAAGCATTTTAATTATTAATTTGAAGTGTGCTGAGCATGGGGTGGAGGAGGGCCGGCTCTCCAAGCTCAGGCCCAGCCCTGTCTGTTGGGACCTCATTAATAATACCTCAGACCTCCCAGCCTTTCTTCTCCAGATGGAGCCTCTTCCCTGCCACGGCCCAGGATCTGCACCTCCCACTCTTCTGACCTTCTAACCTCTCATTTTGCACCATGCTTTCTTGTTTTCCTTATTTTCCTAAGCCGTTTGGCACAGAGTCTACTGTTCCCATTACATGGGATGGAGCAGACTGAGGTGGAGGGAGGGCAGGGAGTCCAGCGGATGTCACAACATGCATTAGCCACGGGCAGGGCAGGGCTTTTTGGGGTTCTTTAGTTGTTGCCTGACAGCAGAGGTGGCCTTCTGCAGGGCTGTCTCTCACCTGCTGTGTGCCTTTATATCCATATCATCTAGGGTGGCATGCAAAGTTTTTTCAATTTGTTGCCTGCATCTGATCCCATCTGATCCTTTTTTTTTTTTTTTTTAAATGCAGAGTCTTGCTCTGTTACCCAGGCTGAAGTGCAGTGGTGCGATCTCAGCTCACTGCAACCTCTGCCTCCCGGGTTCAAGTGATTCTCCTGCCTCAGTCTCCTGAATAGCTGGGATTCTAGGCGCCTGCCACCATGCCTGGTTAATTTTGTACTTTTAGTAGAGATGGGTTTTCACCATGTTTGCCAGGCTGGTCTGGAACTCCTGGCCTCCAGTGATCTGCCCGCCTCTGCCTCCCAAAGTGCTGGGATTACAGGTGTGAGCCACTGCACCTGGCCTGCATCTGATCCTTTTAAAGATCAGTTTCTTTGCTTCATTTACACCCAGGTATGGGTGTGCCCTTTGGGCTCAGGGGCCAGACCACTTGTTCAGTCCTAGGTGAAAGAGTCAGAGCCTGTCGTAGGCTAAGGACATCATTTTGCCCATTTTCTCTCCTGCCCTCAATTAAGAAAGATTCATCCCCTGCTCATTGGTTGTTTTCTGAGTTTAAACCCTGGCACTGTCCTGTGTGTTGGGGCCTGTCTCTTCTGTCACACGTCATTGTTTCTGCCTTCTGGATTCAGGACCACAAAGCTGCAGGCTGGGACGCAGCCCTGGGGCTGAAGATTGTGCTGTGTCACATGGGTCTAGCTGCTGCTGTGGTATGTGACACTGAGATTGCATTTCTGTCCCAGGCTTCCTTCCTTCTGTTGCTGGCCAATCCCCTTCCTCTCCAGGGCATCCCTGCCTCTGCCTGCATCCCAGGCTTGGTGCTCAGGGGCCTGTGCTCAGCCACCCGCCCCTACTTCATTTCTTGATGCAACCTTCCTTAGTGTTAGATTCTGTGCTGTAGTTGGATTGGAAAGTCATGATCCACTAGGGGAGATAAGCATTTATGTGAATTTGATCTAGGCAGAACTGTGGGGTCCAGAGGAGGGATCAAGGAATCCTGGAAGAATTGGGGCAGATTTTCCAGACACGGTGATGTGAGAGCTGAGTCTTGCAGGACATTTGGTATGTTATTCATAGTTGGGTACATTGAACAGAAGCAACTGTATTTTAAACAGAAAGGAATTTAGTACAGGGTATTGGGTGCTTACAAAGACTGAAGGAGCCTGCTTGGGGCTGGGTCTCAGGAAATGATTTTTTTTGAAATGGAGTCTTGCTCTGTGGTCCAGGCTGGAGTGCAGTGGTGTGATCGCAGCTCACTGAAACCTCCGCCTCCTGGGTTCAAGCTATCCTCCTGCCTCAGCCTCCCAAGTAGCTGGGATTACAGGTGTGCACCACCACGCCTGGCTGATTTTTCTTTTTTTGTTTGTTTCCTTTTTTTCTTTTCTTTTTGAGACAGAGTCTCACTCTGTTGCCCAGACTGGAGTGCAATGGCACGACCTTGGCTCACTGCAGCCTCTGCCACCTGGGTTCAAGCGATTCTCATGTCTAAGCCTCCCATGTAGCTGGGACTACAGGCACACGCCACCATGCCCTGCTAATTTTTGTATTTTTAGTAAAGATGGGGTTTCACCATGTTGGCCAGGCTGGTCTTGAACTTCTGACCTCAAGTGATCCACCTGCCTCAGCCTCCCAAAGTGCTGGGATTATAGGCGTGAGCCACAGTGCCTGGCCAGGAAATACTTCCAGAATACAGAATATCACAGAACTGAACAACCAGGGGGCTGCTACTTTGTCATGCAGTAGGTTGAATAATGGTCCCCAAAGATGTCCATGTTCTAATTCCTGGAGCCTGTGAATATTACCTTACCTGGCAAAAAGGACTTCACAAATGTAATTAGGTTAAGAATCTTGAGATGGGAAGATGATCCTGGATTATCTAGGTGGGCCCAATATAACAACAAGGGTCCTTATAAGGAGGCAATAAAGCAGAATCAGGAAAAAACAAAGGAGATGGATGACAGACCAGGAGCTGGCTTGAAGACGGAGGAAGGGGCTGTGAGCCAAGGAAGGCAGGAGGCCTCTAGAAACTGGACAAGGCAAGGAAATGGACTGTCCTTGGAGCCTCCAGAAGGAACTCAGAGCTGCTGACACCTTGACTTTAGCCCAGTGAAACCGATTTTGGACTTCTGACCTCCACAGCTATGAGAGAATAAATGTGTGTTGTTACAAGCCTCTGAATTTGTGGTATTTAGTTATAGCAGCAAAAATATGGGGAATGGGGGAAGAATCATTGGAACCATTGGGTTCAAGACCATGCTTCAACCTGATCCAGGGTACAAAAAGAAACCCATCGCTGCTACCCTTCCACACCCCTGAATCTGAGGCCTCAGCACTGAAATGCTGCTGCAGTTCCACAGGCTTACTGGCTGAAAGCAGCCACAGATAAGCCTCCAAATCTGCCTTCCAGGTTTTGCCAAAGGGCCTCTAATTGCTGGAACTTAATTCACACACAACTTCAGCTGCAAGGGAGCCCTGCATGTTTAGCTTCCCAGGCACTGCAGTCTAGCAAGGCCATGAGAAGATGGCAGGAAAGGGATGCTGAGTGTTCACCAAACATCTCAGACACAATGGGGAACCATTAATGATGAAAATGAGTAATATGCATTAAAACCTGACCACGGGCTCACCAGGAAAATCTCCCACCAGCCCATGCATGAATATTGAGTATGCCTCTGTGTAAAGATGAAGCTAAGCTATTTGCCCAAAAATCCCACAGCAAGGAAGTGACGGAGGCAGGTTTGAATCCAGCTTTCGTCTACTTTAGCGCTTGAGCTTCTAACTGCTACACAGTACTGAAGAGGGGCAGGGTCAGTGCCACGAGGGGAAATGGCCTTGAAGAACACAGATGCATGAAGTAACCAGGCACTTCAGGGAACTGCAAGCAGCTCCTATGCCTTGAACAAAAGCTGCATGGAGAGGAGAAGCAAGGTGAGTAGAGAGCAGCAGAGGCCAGGCCACGAGGGTCTCCGGCGCTCTGCCAAATGGCTGCACTGCATTCCTAAAGACCACCAGGCACCATGGAAATCTTTTTTGCAGGCTTTTCCCATAAAAGGTCTTAAGACAGGAGAGCAACAATTTGTTTCACATTTTGTATGTGAAGAAAGGTTTATACTAGATCAGAGAACTGAGTCATATAGGAAAGACAAAACCCTGACCCTGGTCACACACTAAACCCTGACCCTGTGATGGGCTCAGGGTCATAGACTGAGCCCCAACCCTGGAGACACACTTAGCTCCAACCCTGGTCATAGACTGAGCTCCAATTCTGGTCACACACTGAACCCTGATTCTAATCATACACTGAGCCCTTACCCCAGTCACGCACTGAGCCTTGATCCTGGTCACACACTGAACCCTGACGCTGTGATGGGCTCAGGGTCACAGACTGAGCCCCAACCATGGGAACACACTGAGCTGACTGTGGTCACACACTAAGCTCAATCTCTGGTCATAGACTGAGCTACAATTCTGGTCACAGAGCCCTGATCTGGTCACACACTGAACCCTGACCCCAGTGGTGCACTGAGTCCTGATCCTGATCACACACTGAACCCTAATCCTGGTCATATACTGAGCCCTGATCCTGGTCACAGATAGAACCCTGATTCTAGTTATAGACTCAGCCCCTTCCTTGATCTGAACTGAGTCCTATTTTTGGTCTCTCCCTGGGCCCTATCTCTGGTTGTAGACCGGCCTGTCTTACAGTTGAGCTCTTATTCCCATCCAACCACTAGGAAGGCCACTTATCACTGGGGCAGTCAGGCAAAAGTGTGATTCATTCAGTGCAGCCCTTCTCTATTGCTGTGTCCACAGCCCAGGATGCACATCTTTAAAAAGCAGAGAAGTCTGTTTGTGTGACGTGAAAGATGACTAGACATGCTTACTTAGTGCTTGATGAGTCAAGGAGTAGGAGAAGGTGGAAGAGGAGAAGGAGATGAGTTCCTAGAACATTAAGCTCCCTTTTCTATAATGAAGGGAGCTCTCACTACAAGCCTAGAGCTCCCTGCCAACCAGATAGGAATGCAGAGGGCATAGCGACAACCTGGGACTAGCTGTGCTCTGGCCTGGGGCCTGCTGGGCTTCCGGGAGAGAAATCAGACCTCAGCCTCTCCCACGGCCAGAGGCCAGTAGGATCTTACTTAGTGAGATCCTGCATGTCACACGGGGTAGCAGGCAGAGTGGGCCCTTGTGGCTGGGCCCTGAGGAAACAACCCATTTGTCTGCCGGCAGGTGGGTCCAAGGTACTCACAGTATACTTGAGTCACCCCAAAGTGGTTGTAGATGGGGTAAATCTCTTCCTTGTGCTGGAACCCGTGCATTGCCCTCCACACCCCACCCCTCCTTTCCCCTTACAGCTCTAGAGGTCACTTGGGCCATTCCTCTCCACACCGCCAAGCAAATTTCCACTAATTAAAACTGGAATTTAACCACTCTAGCAGCCTTCTGTCCTGTCCATACAGTCTCCAGGGCTCAACAATGGGGTCTACCCACTACCAGATGTGGTCGTCTCCAGCGTGGAGGAGAGAAACCATTCTTAATGGGCAGCTTGTTAACATCCCCAGGACATGACTGGTTCGGATAGACCCACTTCCAGCAAAGTGCAGCTGCCTGTGAGGCTCTGCTCCAGCCCCACCCTCCTGTCCTGCCTCTGCGATGACATATGGGGCAGGTACTATCCCTCTCTGGACCTTGCGAACTGACCCTGGGAGCAGCCACAAGAATGCCGCCCTGAACCCTTGTTCCTGAGCTCAGGACATTTCCTATGCCCAATATGACAGGGAGGCAGAGAGCCCTTGAGAGAGAAGGAAACAAGACGGTGGTGGTGCATATTCTGGCAGGCCCTGGGGAAGGGGCTTCACACATATTTTTTCATTGAGCCTTCACAGCAGGGCCATTGGTGGGTTTTATATCCTTAAGAAAATGAAGCTCCAAGAGGTGAAATAGCTGGTGCAAGGTCACAAAGGTAGGAGGAGATGGACCCCCAGTCTGGAACCAGGGCTTTCTGGCTCTGAAGCCAGAGTTAGGATTAGGGACCTCACTTGTAGGCCAGCCTTCTCCTGGCTGGCCCTGCCCACCATTTGGTCCAGAATACAAAGCAGCTTCTGAATCTGGCCACGGTTGGGGCAGGGGTTGGTCAGCTATCTTGAGCCTCAAGACTCTGGGATGGTGTCTGCCAGCCTTGGCCTGCCATGGATCCTGCCCTCTGCATCTGAAGTTTTGGGATGAGGTCTCTGCCAGGGACAGAAGGTGGTGAGGTGGGGATTATGGATCCTCTTGGGACAAGCCTGGGGCCAGGAAGGGACCCTTTCACTAGCCACACTCTGTCCCCTGCTCTGTTCCATGTGGAAATCTCTCTGGGCCCCAGTGTGTGCGGTGAGGGTACCGTGGGCAGCTAGAGCTCAAAAGCATGAGGTCTGAGGCTCTCAACCTGGTCCAGAAGCCCTGGCAGCCTCAGCTTGGTGTCAGGGCCATACGTCCTTGTGGCCCTGTGCAGGTGTCATAATCACCATACTGCCTACCTCCAGGGCACACTGCTGTGGTGTCTCCAGCAGAGCTGTGCTGAGGGGGGCCATTTACATAGGTGACAGTGTGAGTGGTGTCCCTGGAGTTGTGCAGTGGCTCTGACAGGTGCCCTCAACACTCCCTAGGGAAAGAAGTTCTGATAGTGATGGGGCAGGGGCACAGGGCCAAAGGGAAGAGAGCTTGTCTGAGGGGTACATTGCAGGGCTTCTGGGACAGCCTCCCAAGGCCAGCAGTAATGGGGAAACGAGGGAATCTGATACTGATGCATTTAGCTAAACCTTGCTTTTAGGGCACACCACTGGGCCTTCAGAATATGCAAGCCTATGGGGCAAAGATACAAGAAAAATTCACTTACTGACATCTTGCTATGTCCCATTCAGTACTTGAAAAATGGCAATTACTCAGTGAATGAGTTATCCATGTGGCTGGCACTACAGTGGATTGATGAAATAGCAACAAGGGCTATTTGATTTGAAGATTCCCTTATTAAAAAGCATGAAATCATCCCTCAGCCCTGCAATGATGCTCTAAATTTAAAAGCAAACAAAGCAACAAGAAACCAAAACCAGAAAAAAAAAAAAAACCACCAAAACAAAACTGGGTGAGTGCTTCGCAAAGTCCAGCAGAGGCCTGCTGCCTCAAAGCACCAGAGGGTCAAAGTGGCCTGTGCCTGCCTTCACTGCCCCACGACCCAGAATGAAACTTCCTCCCTTTCAGGAAGCCTTTGGGAGTCTTGACCCTCCAACTCTGAATCTGGAGAGGGAGTTAGGTCCCATGGACAAGGGTGGGCCAAGCAAAGGCAAGACGTGTGTTTATTCAATGTACATTCACTGAGAACCTTATGGAAGCATTGTTTCTGCCCTCGGGCTTGCAGTCAACTGGAGGAGACAGCTGTATGGGGGAAGATAAACCTCAGTGCAGTGATGAGGGTGGGTCAGAGGCACACTTAAGACGCAGCAAGGCAGAAAGGAAAAGACACGGCGAAACAAGAGTTTGGGGTAGGCTGAATTGGCAGGAATCAGCCTCATATGCCTGCAGGTGCCAGTGCGAATAAATGAGTCCCTGGGCCAGTGTGGGGACACTGGTGAGTGCCTGTCCCACCCAGAAGGGCCCTGCTGCTCAGTTCCTGCTGACTGGTTCTGTGCGGAAATGCCAGCCCAGTGTTGTCACAGCTACTGATTTTTTCTAAGAAATCTGAAATTTTACGTAAAATGCTGTTTTTAAACTACTGTAGGAAGCAAAACAGGTATGCAGGCCACCAGTCTGCAACCTGTGGATAAGAGAAATAAATATCCAAGGAACCGAAAGGTGAGCAGGGTTAGCCCGACCTGAAAAAGGGTGTTCTCTGGGCTAGAGTTCTCAGGACGTCCCCACCCACCCCGGGTAGAAGGACCATCTGCAGTTTCCCTGACACCACCGCCAGCCTCCAGCCCAAGCACAAGGGACCGCATTTTTTTTTTAGGAAGCCAGAGGAAAGACTGGAACCCTCTGGGAGGCCCATATGTTGACTGGGAAGACTGAACTCCATGTCTGGGGCACCATCCTGAAAAACTTTTTCTCGTTTACACCAGGCATTGGAGTGAAAAGTCTGTCTTGAGAGGGGCTGGCAGCTCTTAAGTACCAGGACACTGCAGCATGTGCCACTCATTGAAGTGGTGTCAAGACTGAGCACACCTGGGAACATGTCCTAGACCTACCCCCTTGCCAAGTGGGGCTCCTGGCTCCTGCTCCCAGCCCATATCCCAGAGACCTGCTGACGCTCCCCTTGGTGCCTTTGGGATCACAGGTTTACCCCTAACCACCCTCACCCCCTGCAGGTCAGAAAATGAGCTCATCATACCTAGAATTCACCTGCTCTCAATGGTTGGTTTTCTAGATTTAAGCCTCCGCCCTCCCGCTAGGTCTACAGGAGGAAATAAGCCTCCTCTTAGTACTGTCTCTACGGAAACGGTAGTGTCTGGAGGGCAAAATAGATAGTGCCGATTGTTCACTATGGGCAGGGGGCAGTGAGCAGGGTTCTATCCCCTCCCCACACTCCCAGGTTACTCTTACTATATGAACCTCCTCCCTCCCCTCCCCCTTCCCCTTCCCCACCTCACGAGCTGGACTTGTGTCCGGAATCCGTAGGTTCTCGGTCTGACTTCAAAAATGAAGCCGCAGACCCTCGCAGTTGAGTGTTACTTAGTTCTTAAAGGCGCGTTTCTGGAGTTTGCTCCTTCCCATATTCGGATGTGTTGAGAGTTTTTTCCGTCCGGTGGATTCGGTGGTCTCGCTCGTTCAGAAACGAAGCTACAGACTTTCTCCGTGAGTGTTACAGTTCTCAAGGTAGCGCGTCTGGAATCGTTCGTTCTTCCTGGTGGTTTTGTAGTCTCGCTAACCTCAAGACTGAAACTGCAGACTTTCGTGATAAGCGTTACAACTCACAAAAACAGTGTAAACCCAAAACATAAAAAAAAAAACCGCCTCCACAGGATGGAAAACAAACCCACCAGGTTACCACTACGGGCTCGGGCAGCCCGCTTTTATTCTCTCATCTGGCCCCACCCACATCCTGCTGATTGGTCCATTTTACAGAGAGCCGATTGGTCTGTTTTACAGAGAGCTGATTGGTCCGTTTTGACAGGGTGCTGATTGGTGCGTTTACAATCCCTGAGCTAGACACAAAAGTTCTCCATGTCCCCACTAGGTTAGCTAGATACAGAGTGTTGATTGGTGTATTTACAAACCCTGAGCTAGACACAGAGTGCTGATTGGTTCATTTGCAAACCTTGAGCTAGATACAGAGTGCCGATTGGTGCATTCACAATCCCTTAGCTAGACATAAAGATTCTCCAAGTCACCACCAGACTCAGGAGCCCAGCTGGCTTCACCCAGTGGATCCCCCACCGGGACTACAGGTGGAGCTGCCTGCCAGTCCCGCGCCCTGAGCCCGCACTCCTTAGCCCTTGGGCGGTCGATGGGACTGGGCGCTGTGGAGCAGGGGGCAGCGGTCGTCGGGGAGGCTCGGGCCGCGCAGGAGCCGACGGCGGGTTGGGGGCGTGGCTCAGGCATGGCGGGCTGCAGGTCCCAAGCCCTGCCCCGCGGGGAGGCAGCTAAGGCCAGGCGAGAAATCCAGCACAGCCGCTGCTGGCCCAGGTGCTAAGCCCCTCACTGCCCGGGGCCGGCCGGCCGGCGGTTCCCAGTGCGAGTGCGGGGCCCGCGGAGCCCACGCCCGCCCGGAACTCGCGCTGGCCCACAAGCGCCGCGCGGAGTCCTGTTCCCACCCGCGCCTCTCCCTCCACACCTCCCCGCAAGCTGAGGGAGCTGGCTCCGGCCTTGGCCAGCCCAGAAAGGGGCTCCCACAGTGCAGCGGTGGGCTGAAGGGCTCCTCAAGCGCGGCCAGAATGGGCGCCGAGGCCGAGGAGGCACTGAGAGCGAGCGCGGGCTGTGAGGGCTGCCAGCACTACCTCCTTTGGGAAGCTGCTCACACTCAGCCATTTAGCTAAGGAAAAATTCTCCATTTTACAGGGGTCTCCTGGGAAGGCCCCACCACTGGCCATCGTGTGTCAAGGAACCCCACAAAGATCAGGGCCCCTCGGGATCTTTCCACAGCTGCTCCACAGGCAGTGCCTTGCAGTGACACCTGCAACCCCCACCCCATCCTGCTTTCTTGGGGGTGGAGGACAGGTCGGGTGATGCCTGGAGACTGGGTTTCTGTGGCTCTTCTAAGATAGTGGGGGAGGAGAGGACACCAGGGTGGGTCTGCACCATCAGATTTGTTGTCCACAGTGGGAAGTGCCTGACTTTACACATCCCAGCATAATAGGAATGGAGCAGCCTGAACAGGAACTGAGAGCCAAAAGCCTCAGGCAGGTGTGTAAGCTTGAGTGTTCCTGGCAGGGAGTCATGTCTGATCAGCACAGTGTCTGAGCCCTGGATAGCGTCAGCCTGAGGTCACCCTCCAAGACCCCTTGGTCCCCTAGTCTGGCATGGCTGGTACAGGTAAGGTGGGGGTGGGCAGGTGGTGATGGCAGCTGTGCTCGCCCCTCTGGTAGGGGTTCGGGGCAGGCCAATGGAGGAGTCAGGTTGCATCAGAATTCCAGCTAGCTCCCGTGTAACATGTTACAGGAAGGTGCAGCTCCAGCATCCCACCCCTCTGCCCTGTGGGAGAAAGAAAAGGGCACTGCAAATGCATTGCAGGAGGGACGTTTAACCCGCTTGCAAGATCCAATTATCTTCAAGGGCTTAGCATATCTATGTTACTTACCAATGTGCTAATTGTGTGCTGTTCTTATCTATTCATAAGAGTGGGTCCCTATCATGATGGTCTACTGGATAACTGTTGCTGAGCTATCATAAAGCTATTCTCCCAGTATCAGACTAGACAGGATACCCTGGCTTCCTCCCCCACAGTTAAAGAGGATGGAGTGGCTCTGAGTGGGGCTCTGGGGACTCAAAAGTCCCTTGCAGAAGGTGCTCTTATCTTTTCCATTTTGCACCAATGTGCACCTCTACTTTAACAAGGGCTCTCTCCACCATCTCCTATATGGTTCCCCCAGCCACCTTTGTGAAGTTCCACCAGTATCTCATGTCCTTCATTCCCACTTCTAGGTGACCCAGCTCTATTCCATTTCAAGTGAAATTCCATGTGAAATCCTCCCTCCTTCCAGAAGCCTTTTCCTTTTTTTTTTTTTTTTTTTTAAATGGAGTTTTGCTCTGTCGCCAGGCTGGAGTGCAGTGGTGCAATCTCAGCTCACTGCAACCTCCACCTCCTGGGTTCAAGTGATTTTCCTGCCTCTGCCTCCTGAGTAGCTGGGACTACAGGCTCCCGCCACAATACCCGGCTAATTTTTTGTATTTTTAGTAGAGACAGGGTTTCACCATGTTGGCCAGGATGGTCTCCATCTCTTGACCTCATGATCCACCCGCCTCAGCCTCCCAAAGTGGTGGGATTACAGGCGTGAGCCACTGTACCCGGCCCCCAGAAGCCTTTTCTAGATACTCCAGCCCCACCCATTGTCAGGTAAGCCTAGACCAGAAAGGGCAGTGATATTTACTGGGCTTAGGGCAGGCTAGTCTTGGCTCTGCCAGAGAAATGGAAAGGGGGAAGGATGCTTTGGACTTGGAGCTGTTTTTCTGCTAGTCACCCAGTCAGTGCCCCAGACCCACCAGAAACTAGGGGGTGGTTCTGAAAGTCTGGCCTAAAGCGGAGTTGAAGTCAGGGCCCAAACCCTGGTGAGCACTATGTAAAGTGCCTAACAATCACATAGTATGCTATACATTGTAGCACTTATATATAGTGTAAATAATAATGGCAATGTCAGTCCCCAGAGCAGCCAATTTCTGGCTGTGTAACTTAGAATGAATTCCTTATTTGTTCATCAGTTGCCTCCCCTGACCTGTAAAATAAAAATTGTGGTTAATTCATTTACTCAACAAATAATTATTGAGCAACATATTCTGTTCTAGGTACAACTAAATCTGTCATTTAGTATTTGTTAAAAGATGTAGCACGGTACCTGACATATATATACTAGGTTGTCAATAAACATCAGTTTTCTTACACAAGTCTCAGCTGTGGAATGGGAGATGGGTGGGTGTGGGAAGCGCCGGAACAGAGAAACAGAAAGTCAGGAGTGGACAGGGTGGAGGGCTGGTCTTGTTGCCTCTGGAATTCCCAGCCCCACTACACCCACTTTCCCTTCTTGTTGACAAGTCCTCATTAAGGACAGGGGATGGTGCTGGGGTCTCTGAATAGTTTACCCTCCTTTCTGTCCCTTGATCCCATTAGACCACTTCTGTGGATGACATCATCTGTCCCTCATCTATAAAATACAGACAGTGATGCCTCCTCATTCTTAGACACCAAAGACATGGCAATGTGCCCACCCTATTAATGGAGTGTCAGGTTGGGGACCCCCACCCTTCCCAGGACATCTCCCAGAGTGGTCTCCTCACCAAGCTGACTTGCCTCCCACTTCTGGTTCCTTACCCTGGCATCCCAGGCTAGACCCAGCAGCAGCTATGGCTCCCTTAGTGCTGAAACCCCACACCCTTCAGTTTTGACTTTCCCCAGCCCCAAGGCACACCAGACCAGACCCTCACAGAGGAGTTGTGTATACCTATGTGTGCAAGCACCATGACACCTGGTACACAGGAGGTCTGCAATAAAAGCTGATTGAATGAATGCATAGTGGATACCCTTCTGCAAATGGGGCTCGTTTATTCATTCAACAAACATTTATTGAACCCATAATCCATTTGGTGCCAGTCTCCGAGTCAGGGGTGGTGACATTCAGGTTAACAGTAACTAAGTTCTCCAAAGACTGAGGCATGTTCACATGTTTCCTCACCCCAACACTCCCCTCACCCCGAAGACCCGCCTGGCTCTCAGACGACCCAGCCCCGACCCTCACCTCCAGTGACCAGGCCACCCACTCCAGGCATTTTAACTGCAGTGGATGTTTGCAGTAGATGATGCTAAGTCACTGTGTTTGTGGTTGAATCCTGGTTCCATAGCCCATCCTGTGTTTCCTTAGGCAAGTTACTTCACTTCCCAGAGCCTCAGTTTCCTCATCTGGAAGCTACTTAGACATAAGTAAGATTGCTTATCTCATACGTGCTGTGAGGAGTAAATGAGATAAGACATACACTTAGAACAATGCCCAGTGCCTAGCACGTGCCCAGTGGACATGAGTTATTCATCATGCTATGACTTCTCTCCATCACCAGGTTCCAGCTCCCTTCTGCCCCTCCACAGCACCACTCAGCACAAGCCTGTGCACACAGTAGGTGGTCAGTGGAATAGGACTTCCCGGAAGCAGAGAGATCTGATGGAACATCCTGGGTAAAGAAACTCAAAAACTGGCAAAGGTTTGGAGGCAGGGAAGAGCAGCAAAGGGCTGTACCTGGAAGGTCTGGAGGAAGGACCCAAGGGATGGCTGTGTCTACCCCAAGGACAGGGAGCTCACTACCCAGAAGCAGCCCATGCCATGACTCAGCAGTGTTGAAAGTCAGAATTCTCTCTATCCCTAGCTGGCCACATTTTGTGTTTCAAGTCTGAAGAAGCCACTGGGGCCAGGTGCGGTGGCTCACGCCTGTAATCCCATCACTTTGGGAGGCCAAGGCAGGTGGATCATCGGAGGTCAGGAGTTCAAAGATGAGGCTGGCCAACATAGTGAAACTCCATCTCTAAGAAAATACAAAAATTAACCCGGGCATGATGGTGGGTGCCTGTAATCCCAGCTACTTGGGAGGCTGAGGCAGGAGAATCGCTTGAACCCAGGAGGCAGAGGTTGCAGTGAGCTGAGATCACGCCATTGCTCTCCAGCCTGGGAGATGGAGCAAGACTCCATCTCAAAAAAACAAAACAAAAAAAAATTGGCCAGGCGTAGTGGCCCACGCCTGTAATCCCAGTGCTTTGCGAGGCCAAGGTGGGCAGATCACAAAGTCAAGAGATCAAGACCATCCTGGCCATGTGGTGAAACCCCATCTCTACTAAAAATACAAAACTTAGTAGCTGGGGTGGTGGCGGGTGCCTGTAGTCCAAGCTACTCAGGTGGCTGAGACAGGAGAATTGTTTGAACCTGGGAGGTGGAAGTTGCAGTGAGCTGAAATCGCACCATTGCACTCCAGCCTGGATGATAGAGGGAGACTCCATCTAAAAAAAAACAAAACAAAACAAAAACAAGAAAAAGGAAGCCACAGGGATCCCACTCCACTGTCAGGAGGTCCAGACTGGGTGTAGCAAAATTGTGAAGTCAGCCAAGTACTACCTATATCCCACTTCCCCCTCCTCCAGGATATACTCCCACCACTGCCCTATTTGGGGGCAAATGGCCAGGCAGGGGAGCAGGGGGCGACTGATGGACATTAGCCACTACTACAGAGTCACATAGAGCCAGTGTGGGGTGCAGGATCCCATGGCTGTGTCAGAGACCCCTAGCTCTGGCCCTCAGTTTCTTCCTCTGTGAAATGCGAACTATTCCATAGGTTTCTTTTCCCTGACTGTTGAAAAGATGAGAAACTGTGAGCCTGAAAGTGCTCTTGCCATGACAGATGAAATGCAAGCCTCAGAGGGAGAACTGTTATGTCCATTCTTAGCACCAGGTAGGCCCATTCCTGGTCGGGGACTGCCCCCTTCTCACTCTCAGGGTGGGGCGGAATGCAGCTGGCCCCTCTCCCCAGAGGAGCCCCTGGCACTCATCCTGTGAACCAGAGCCCTATCGCTGATCAGCACCAAATGGCTGAGGATTTCCTGGGGCTGATAGAGGGGCTCAGACCCTTGGTTCTCAGACGTGAGCTGGGAAGAGCTGGCCATGGCCTGCGCCATCCCTGGATTTCCACACTGGTGGCTGCACCCTGGCTAACTCTTTAGGGCTCCAATCTCACCATGAGCTTGAGGAATAAGCTCTACATTGCAGAGCCTCCTAGGTCTGCTCAGTCTTATCCAGATCATATCCCCTGCAGCTGCTCCAGACCGGCCTGTACAATCTCACTGTATGTCCACAGCCGGGGCTGGATAGCACCTCTTCAGGCAGGAGCAGTGGGTGCTGCCAGGCCTGCTGCTCAGGCCCCCTCCGGACAGACGCTGGGGGGCTGTAAACCTGCCTTAATTGAAATATGCAACAGGGAGGCCCCCAAGGAGCGATGTCTTTGCTGTGCTGCCAGTCCCACCTCCCTGCTCTGAGCGAGGGGCTGTGAATCAAGCTGCAGTCAACTTCTGACCTCGAGCTACTGCGAGGGACCAAGCAATGGAGTGTTTGTGACCCAGGGGTGGCTCCCAGTTGGATGGAGGTGTCTTCTTTGGCCATCCCACTCAAAGCCCCTGTGCCCTGGAAATCACTGGACATCTGGGTTGAGGCCACACTGACCACAAGGCATGTCCAGTGCCTTCAGTTTGTCAAGTGCTTTCACAGTCACCATCTCGTCGGAGCTCCACAGCAGCTGGTGAGGTAGGTGAAGACTACCAGACCCATTATACAGAGGAGGTAGATAGGCTCAGAGAGGCAAACGGACTTGCCAAGGTCACACAGCTGCTAGCTAGCAGAGCCAGGCACAGCCTGGAAATCACTAATTCTTGGGGGCAGAGTAGCACAGGCTTTGTGGCTTTGGGGCAGGTACTGAACTACTTTGAACCTCAGTCATCTCATTTGAAAAATGGGGATAGGTGGGGGCACAGTGGCTCACGCCTGTAATCCCGGGACTTTGGGAGGCTGAGGCTGACGAATCACTTGAGGTCAGGAGTTCAGACCAGCCTGCCCAACATGGTGAAACCCCGTCTCTACTAAAAATACAAAAATTAGCTAGGCGTGGTGACGCATGCCTGTAGTCCCAGTTGCTCTGGAGGCTGAAGTGGGAGAATTGCTTGAACCTGGCAGGTGGAGGTTGCAGTGAGCCAAGATCGCCCCACTGCACTCCAGCCTGGGTGACAGAGCGAGACTCCATCTCAAAAATAAAAAAAATAAAAATAAAAAAAGAAAGAAAGAAAAAGAAAAATGGGGTAATAATACTTCCTGTCTCATCAGGTTATTGTGGTGATTAAATGAGATGCTGCTATAAAAAGTATTCGGCATAGAAGTAGCATAGAGACCTGCTCAATAAATGTGAGCAATATAATTGTCATTATTATCCCAAGGATATTCAGCTGCTGTCCCTGTGCTGGCCATGCCCCAGATGAAGCCCTGGTACCTCTAGGCTGTAACCTCATCTTTGTTCAGGACCTGCTGAGATGGGCTCAGGGGCTGGGTGTGGAGACATCGGGACGGAGTGGGGACCACTGGGCTCCTTTCCAAGGCTGCCCACCTGGTGAAGGTGGCCAGGAGCCTGTCTACGGCCCTAATTTTTAGCCCCATGGAAGTGGCTGCCTACTTCCTCGCACAGATCTCAGGTCTGCTTAGGGCCACGCCAGGACTGGCTGAGGCTTTGCCCTGAGGTTTTGGTCTTGGTCTCAGAATCAGGCTGAGAATGGGAGCTGAAAGGATTGGGGGTGGTCCAGACCCTCCAATCAAACCCCTGCCCAGCCCAGGCGATCCTTCAGGCTCTGTGGATGCCCAGCATCCCAGCACGGAGGCCTGCGCCATGGGAGCAGCTTGCCATTCCCCTATGTCCCAGGCAACCCTAAGATGGAAGGGGGTGAGGCAGGACTGTGTATAGCCGAGTAAGTCTGCCTTGGAGTAGAAGGATGGTGGGTGCAAGTGACGCAGGGCCTGGCCAGACTGATGCCACCCCCAGGCCCTGAGTCCTGCAGTCTCCAGACCACCCCGACTGTGAACCCTGGCCTAAAGGGACACCACTCCCTTTAGAGCCCGCCTCCTGCAGGGGAGTCCCCTCTAGGACATGGCCCTGGCCATCAGCCAGACTCCACCACAGAGTTCAGGGGCTAGCAAAAGGAGGATCAGACCTCCCATCAGTTTTACATACTTTCAGATACCCCCTTCAGGAGCCCCGCAATGAGAACGGAGGAAGGGCAGTCCTGCCCACACCTCCTGGGACCTAGGAGGCCAATGGGCATCTTCATGTCTAAGAGGAGCTCTGTGAAAGCTTTGGGGCCTGTGGGGCCAGATCCTTAGCATTTTTAAATTTTATTATGACTTCATTTGTTTAAATATATATATATATATATATATATATATATTTATTTATAGCTCTATGTGCCCACCGCCCCCGGCCCCCTCCCCGGCCCCTAGTTTTTCCCCCTGGCTTTCTGTCTAGTGGCTGTGTAGGGCAGAACCGTCTGCGTGCTCTTGTCTGACACTGTCTGGGTGCTGCTGTTCCTCGTGACCCTTCGAGTCTGTTCAGGGGCCAAGGTAGAGCCTGAGTGGCGGCTGGTCAGTGGAGAGCGCCGTGACTTGTAGGGGGCTGGGGAGGGCTTGTGGGGGCCTGCATGGGCCTCTGTATGGGCAGGCTCAGGGGGCAAGCCCACTTCTTCCTCCTCCACCTCCTGCTCACCGTCCCCCTCCTCATCGTCACAGCACAGAGCATGGTAGAGCACTTTGTCACTGAACCGCACCCTCTCCCGTGTCCCTGGGGTCCGCTGGGGCAGCTGGCTCTTCACCGTGGGGCCAGCACCAAAGGCCTCCTCACTGGAGGAGTCTGGGGTCTCCACTCGTGGCCCATTGGGGATGGGCGTGCCACCATTCATGAGGCGGTAGTCAGGGCCAGCCCCTGGCCGAGTCGACTCGGGACCATCCACGGAGTCCGAGGGGGTAGAGACGTCCAGGAAGGAGCAGAACTCCCAGCTGTCTGAGAGGATATCGGCTGTCATGAAGTCCAGGTGGCCCAGGTCAAAGGGGCCACCCATGCCCGCCTTGTCACTGCTAGAGGTGCTGCTCACAGTGGCCGTGGTCCAGTCGTCCGGCTCCAGTTCAAAGTCGAAGTCCGAGGTTAGCTTATCGATCTGGCTCACCACCTGACCAGGGAAGGGGAGAGGAGATGAGAGGGGCCAGGTGGGTCCCTGCATCAGCCAGGTGTGAGTGTGTCTCCACCCCATCCCTGTAGACCCCTGGCTGATGAGCGTACTGGACAGGGGAGAGCCTGTAGGATGGTGACTGGCCTGGAGGTCACAGGTTGGTTTGCCCTGTGGAGGGCCCAAATCAGATCAGGCTGGACAGAGCTTGTTCCGGCCCTTCCCAAAGGTCTGTTTACCACTGTTCAGTGCCCTGGGGGAGAGGGAACTGCTTTCCAGCCCTGCACACCATCCATTCACTCACCCCTGTCTCTCAAACACAGCAGCTGCTCTGGGGGCAGCCCTGGTGATCAGGGATGAATCTTCCTTAGTTTGAGAGGGGGCCACTTCAGAGGGGCTGAGGGCCTCCAGCAAGCCCATTCCACAAAGAGCTGAGCAGCCCATGCACCCTCAGAGAGGAAATGATGTGGGTGATCACAAGGAAGACCCTGTGTGGGCTTTCTAAAGCATCCTGGACCAGTCCTTGCAGCTGACTGGTGACTGTCGCCCCTGGGTCTCCACCATCCCTCACGGCAAGAACACCAGGTGTACAGCACTGGCTGGGTCACCCCACCCCCATCTCCATCTCCCGGAGCCTCCTCATTCCTTCCCCTTCCCTGCCCACTGACAAGTGGAGATCAATCCTGGCTTGTTGAGAGAAGGAATAAAGCAAGCATTATTTGATAAGCAATAAAGAAGCCATCTATTCTGGGCCCAGAGCTGCTTGTTCAATGCACTCAGGGGGCAGCTCAGCTGTGGAGGTCACTCCACCCTGGCCTGCCTCGCATAAAGTGAAGCCCTTGGCTTCTATACAGAAGGCCCTGGCTTGGGACACTCCCTTGCCTGGGTGGCCACTGTCAGCACATAAATCAGGGAGGAAGACAGTGAGGGAAAGAGGGAGATCCAGTCAGAGACACAGGGATGGGACAGGGCAAGAGAAGGGAGAGAGAAGATTCCAACCAAAAACAAAACAGAAAAACAATGAAAACAAAGCAGCGAGGCCAAGAGTCAGAGTAACAGAGACCAAGAGATCCACAGTGAGTCATCCAGATCAGAATCCAGCCCCCAGCACCTCTCTGGCGCCCTTCAACCTGGGGTCAGAGCAGGCAATTAATTAATTAACTCATTAAGTCCTTAATTCAACAAACAGTTGCTAAGGGCTGCTGCTGTCCAGGGATGTGCTAGTATTTGGCAAGGAGTGGGGGTAGTGAGTGCCCCAAAGTGAGAGGAAAGCAAGGACAAAAGTGATGGCCAGAGTGGCTTGGGCCAGTGGGAAGACTACTTGATCAGGAGTCAGGGGCTGGATGCAGGAGACCTGGTCAACCATTTTTCCTCTGTAGGTCTCAGTTGCCCAGTCTGTAAGCGAAGAGGGTGGGTGAACTAGTTTATTTCCAAGGTTCCTTCCATGTCTGAGATTCTAGGACTCTGTTTATAGGAATGACTCTGAGAGGCTGCTTGGGTGCTGATGCCTAGGGATGGCCCCTCAACCATTGCCCAGGCCAGGAGTGGGGAAACCACTTGGCTGAGGCCTCCAGAAGAGCTGGAGGAATCAGGACATCTGGATTCCAGACTTAGCTTTGACATTGTTCTGTGTGTCTTTTGGAAGATCACAGAACCTCTCTGGACCTCAACCTCATTCACCTCCAAGTGGGTATGACAATCCCAGACCACCAAGTGAGTATGACAATCCCAGCCAACCTTATGAGAGCTTCATGAAGGACAGTGAGAAGGGCAGCAAAAGGACTCTGCAAAGCACTGGGGATGAAAATGACACCACCTCCCATCTCTGAGCACCTACCATGCACCATGCTTTCGAGTGCTCACCTCCACCCATGAGATCATTATCTCCTGTGTCTACAGATGAGGAGTCTTGGGCACTAGTCCCTGGAAAGCTGAGAATCTCCCCCTGCGGCCCCCTGCAAAACTGCACACCATCATGAAGTGCTGCTGTGACTGCTGGGCTTGGGCAGGCGGCAGGGATAGGGCCCTACCCTCCAATCTGGCTACTTCTTCTTGTGCTTCTCCCAGGATGATGCCTTCCTGCCCCAAAGGAACCTCAGAGAAACTCCTATCTCCCAGAAGCCCTTGCTCAACCCAAGCTCCACCCAAGGGCTGGTGGGAGCACTGGCCTAGCGTAGGGACACTCAGACTTGAGTGTCCCTCAGCTCACTCCCCAGAGTTTCTGGTTCTGCTGGTCTGGGGTGGTGCTGGAGAAGGTGCCTACCTAGTGTGCCTCCAGGTGCTGTTGCTGCTGGTCCAGAGACCTGCTTTGAAAACCACTAGCCTAGGGCACTGGGAGATTTAAGCTGGGTGAAGACCAGCAATTCAAGGCATTGATGGCCTCAGGAGAGGCCCACCACCTCTGGGGCAGCTATGCCCTCAAATGAGACTCCCCTGATCAAGCCAGAGCTGTGGAGTTTGCTGCTGCCTGAGGGCGGGGCAGAATGCCAGTAGGAATTGGAGTTGCATGACTTGGCTGTGACCTCACAGGGTCAGCTGAGGCCAGGCTGGGCCCAGAAGCTGGGTCTCCTGATGCTTAGTGAGGACAAGCACCATTGGGCCTCAGGCAGGGAAGATCCAGGGTACACATGGCAGGAGCCCAAGCCTTCAGGCTGGAACACTCCCCCAACCCAAGAAGCCCTTCCTCTTCTTTATTAGTACACTCCTCTCTGGTTCCAACCTGGGGGGATGGAGGAAAGAGAAAGAGGGAGGCCTGCATTCCCGAGTCCCACGTCTGCCACCTCTTGGCTGAGAGACCTTAGGCAGATGATTATCCCCCTCTGGGGCTTGATTTCCTGTCCTATAAAAGGAAGTAACACTCCCCTCCTCACCCAGGGTGATGAAAATTTAACAGATATGGGCCGGGTGTGGTGGCTCATGCCTGTAATCCCAGCACTTTGGGAGGCCGAGGCGGGCAGATCATGAGGTCAGGAGATTGAGACCATCCTGGCCAACATGGTGAAATCCCGTCTCTACTAAAAAATAAAAATAAATTAAAAAAATTAGCTGGGCGTGGTGGTGCGTGCATAGAGTCCCAGCTACTCGGGAGGCTGAGGCAGAGGAATCTCTTGAACCCAGGAGGCGGAGATTGCAGTGAGCCGAGATCGCGCCACTGCACTCCAGCCTGGCAACAGAGAGAGACTCTGTCTCAAAAAAAAAAAAAAAAAAAAAAAAAAAAAAGAAAGAAAAAGAAAATTTAACAGATATGAATGTGTCACAGAGTCAAGATAGCTAAATACTTAAGAACCTGGGCTCTGGAGCCAGACATGGAGTCCTACCCTGGCTTCACTGCTTACCAGCTGTGTGACCTTGGCCAAGTTACTCAACGTCTCTGTGCCTAAGTTCATCATCAAAGGAGAATTCTAGTAATACCTACTTGATAGGGCTGTTGTGAGGATTTAATGGCTTAATGCGCTTTGGACAGCATATGGAACAAGGCAGACTACCAACATCTACAATGCACCGTTGGGGGCTAACATGTGATCATGCCCCCGCACCAGGCCTAAGAGCAGTGGGAATTAGTTCTGCACCAAAGGAATGACCCTCTGATGTGGGTCCAGTGACTGTGGCAGAATTTCCAGTGCCTGTGGCAGAATAATGGGACATGCCAGGCCTTTCAAAACCTAGCACATGGACAGTACCTATTTTGCCCAAAGTTAGGGCTGTCTCCAGAAAGAACAGAACCAGAAGAAGTTCTAAAAACCAACTGGCTATGAGGCCCACAGGCAAATCTGGCCCAACCTATTAGGTGAGACAGGTCACACCACTTGATGAATGACATAGTGAGGATGTGAAAGGGAAGCCATGTGCCCAAGGGTATGCAGCTTCTCTGTGGGGGGCCTGGGTCAGTTCACAATCCCCACTGCTCTTCCCTGGTGCCTCGTTTCCTGGGCCAATGGTGAGGGCAGGTGTGGAGCAGACCCCAGTCTTGTCTTGCTCTCTGCTTTGGATGTCTTGAAATCTGTGATTTTTCCCTGAGGTTTAATAATCATTTTGCCTACATGTAATTTGGGATTGTCTTGGAGTGCATGGAAATAATTATATACACAGAAGGAAAGAGAGGGGGAGAGAGAGAGTGGAGAGAGAAATTGAACCATAAAATTACAGAATCAGACAACCCCCAAGCCAGAAGGGACTGCAGGCACTGTTGAGTCCACCTGTCTCAATGTGTTTGCCGAGGGGGGCAATGAGGCTCAGAGACTGGGAGGAGCTGAGCTGGGACCAGAGGGTGAGTCTTGACTCCTGGGCATTGCACCTTAAGACCAAGAATGACTTGCTCTGAAGAGACCAAGAGGGAGCCCTAGAGAGCAAGGGCAGGACTGAGGGCTGTGGCAGAACCTGCAAACCTCGTGCCAGAGGTGTCCCCAACCTCTGTCCTGGTCACAGCCTTAGCGCCCCTCGCTGAAAAACTGCACCCATCTAGTCTTTCCACCGATAGCAACTTCCTCCCAGCTCTTGCTTCATGCTGCACCTAGGGAACTTTCTTATCAGCCAACAGGTCCACGTTGCCCCTGTGCTTCCAGCCCTTCCATACTCCCCAAACTCCTAAGCCTCCCAAACATAACTCCCTACCCACCCCCTTTCCTCTCCAGCAAGCAGCCTCCACCCTGCCAGGCCTGCCTCCTCACCACCCCTACACACTCACACTCCATCGAGCTCACTTCTGCCTCTGGGCCTCACCTGACACGCCCTCCCTCCTTTCCTACTCACTCCGTCTTCACTTCGAGAAGGAAGCCTTCCCTGATCCCCAGCTGAGGTCAGGTTCCCTATGAAAGGCTCTCAAAGCACCCTGCACCTCTCCTGAAAATGTTACACAATATTTAACACTGCTACAATTTTGCACCTATATGTTATAACGTGGTTGATGTCTGTCTCCCCACTACACAGTAAACCCCATGAGGAGCAGGACTAGGTCTCTTGCTCACCGCTACATCCCCAGCTCGGCACAGGGATCGGCACATTCTGCAAACACAGCTGTTGGATGAGTGATGAGTTGAGACAGATGGCTTAATAAAAACTACTCGGGAGGCTGAGGCAGGAGAATGGTGTGAACCCAGGAGGCAGAGCTTGCAGTGAGCCGAGATCACACCACTGCACTCCAGCCTGGGCGACAGAGCGAGACTCCGTCTCAAAAAACAAAACAAAACAAAACAAAACAAAAAAACTGCTGGGGGCTTCTTTTCTGAGGAAGAGTTCCATAGACCTGGACAATCCTATATTGCCAGACGCCAACCCTCTCTCCAGCCCTGGCTGAGCCCCCTCTCCAGTGGAAGCTTTGCTGTGTTCCTTAAGGCCTTAGAGCTAGGACTGAGGACCTGTAGTCCCAGAACCAGCATCCTGTACCCCCGGACCCCCCACCACACCCCCCACCCTGCCCCACCTCACCTCCCCTGACAAGCTGCCACCTCCTTCCCTCTCTCCCAGCTCCCCAAGGCAGCTGGTTACATAACTGGGGATTCTGCATTATTTATGACCACTGATTATTTTTTAATTCTGTGATTACGTTATTATCTTCTTGGGGGGCTGTGGAGTTGGAGGGGCAGCGAGCTGATCGTGATTCATGGCTCTCATCCTGCAATTTGGCCTAATTGGCCAGGGAGCTTTGGTAAATCTGTCCGGAGGAGGAGAAGGCAAAGGGAAAAGGGAGGAAAGGAAGGCGTGAACAAAAATAATAAGAAAAAAATCCACGCAATTCTTGCTGAGCTGCAGGTGATGGAGCTGACCCACTTTGGCGCAGCTCCGTGGTCCCCAGCCTCTCCTGCTCCAGCTGCTTCCTGGCTGGGCCCCATTTATCTCACACTTGCATGGCCTATGGCTTTCCCTGCCACCTTCAGACAAAGCCCCTTGCCGATGGGACTGCACAATGGAATGGCCAGGAAACAGAATGCCAGGATGACTGCTTCCTAGGCAAATCCGGTGGGGGATCCTCCACTGCCACCCAAGGCTGGGGAAACGTTGTGCCAACCCCTCCATCTTCCTGAGGTGTTTGGGCCAAAGTGAGCAACTGTGCCCTTAAGTTATATCCCACCCAAGAGTCACCGATGATGTGGGAGACACTGGTGTTAATGCAAGGATCACTATTGAGCCCCCATGTTGAGTGACGCCTGGGGGAGGGGGAAACCAAGGATGAGGAGGCCAAGTACCTGCTCAAGGTAAGCTCAATACCTGGGGGCCAAGGACAGGGGCCCTTAACCCTGCCTTTGGGAGCTTCTGGTGGGTGGGTAACAGGGGAGCAGTGGGGAGGCAGATTCCCACCCAGAAACATGACCAGCAGATTCCTGGAGAGTGTGTGGGATTCTCACTGAGAACGAATCCAAATTCCGTGCATGCTGTGCATGGCTCGACGGAATCTGACTCCCTGCTCCCTCTTTGACCTTTCCTCTACTCTTCTCCTTGTTCACTGCCCTCCAGCTGCTCTGGCTTCCTTAGCTGAACCTGCATATGCCAAGCACACTTCCTCTTCGAGACCTTGGCACCGGCTGCACCCTCAGCCGGGAATGCTCTTCCCCTAGATAGCCATGTGACTTGTATCCTCACTTCTGTGGGGTCTCTGTTCAAAGGCCACCTTATTGGAGACCCCCTTCCTGCCCCCATCCCTGTCACTCTCTATCTGCTTTTCCCACTGGCAGGGAGTGAGACTGCTGACTGCAGGAGAAACTAAAGGGCCCCAGCCAGGAGGCCAGGATGTGGTCCTGACCTCCCTGGTCATGGCTAAGAAACTGATGTGATTCCAGAAAACAAGGCCGTACGTGGAGCTGAGGAGCAGGCCAGTTTTAGAATAATTCATTAAAAACATCAAACAGATACGGAGTGAGCTTTGTGCCTCTCATTGTGCTAAGTGCTTTATATATGTCTCATTTAATTCTCGCAACAACCCTGGGGCAGGGGTAGGGGAGGATGCCTAAAATGTAGTCTCCCCATTTTTACCAATGGGAAAACAGAAGCACAGAGAGGTAAAGTAACTTTCGCAAGTTCACACAGCTAAGGAGAGGGTGGAGCTCAGATTTGAACTACAGGCATCTAGCTGCAGAGCCCATGCTCATAGCCCCTGAGCTGTTCTGCATCTCTTACTTAAGATCTACAGAACTTTGAGGAGCTTAGAGAACCTGCTGGGACTGGCCCGGTATCCTGGAGTACTGGGGAGCCTGGGAGAGATAAGGGCTAATTAACGATTGACCGTCATATCCCTCTGCAGCACAATTTTAGCTTTCAAAGCACTTTTACATCCTCACCTCACTTAATCCTTTAAAAGACTTTCCCCACCAATGGGATAGAACTTGCTCATCGCCCAGGGAGCCAGTGGCAGAGCTATAGTAGGGGTTTGCGAGGGCGAGGGAGGTGTGGGAGAGGGAACTTCAACTCTTCTAGGAGTGTGAGTAGGTGTTGATCCCCGCGCCCCCAGCCCACTGCATGCCAAGCCCCTAATAAATCCTTATAAGATCACCGTGCAGTGCAAATCACCACATCCCAATTTCAGAGATGAGCAAACTGAGGCTGAGGGACCTGGGGAGGAAGTGCTTTGGTGTGGCTCATCTTTCAGTGAATTTCAGGCCATATGCTCGAGAGGATGAGGAGAGTCTGCCATGATCAGTGGCATCAGGGGGCTGGGGAAGGGGAGCAGCAGGCAGAGGAGGAAGATGGCTGAGGGGAATAAAGCTAAGCCCTTCCACTCCGCTGGCCTTGTTCTTTCACCAAGCATATGTGCAGCCCCCCACCCCCAACAGTCTTGTATGTGACTCTCATCTCCACTTCTAAGTGCTTGGCCTGAGACAAGAACACAGCTGGTGGGCTCTAAGCTGGTGCTGCCCAGGTCATGGGGTGAGGTGAGGGAACAAGTGAGTGCCTCTCAACCTTGAGCCTACCCATGCCCCCGATAAAAAAATGCTACACAAAGGGACTGAGGAGAGCCAGGCAGATTCAGCTTTACAGCTCCCTTGGAGAGCCAAGAGCCAAGACCACAGGTTCCAGAGAGCAGGGAGATTCCAACCCTTTTCTCCAAACCGGGGTCTGGCACCCCCCCTTGGTAACCCCATCCCTGGCAAATCCCATCTCACAGGAAGACGGTGATGGCATCTCTTCTTTTGCTTGGGCCTCCCAGAGCTTCACCTGCCTTCCTCCACACTCCCCTCTGCCTGTCACCCTGTGTCTAGACCCTGCCTGGGGGACGAGAGAGTTCTGAGGCTTACCCACTCCCCCAGCTGGGTGCCATTGGCAGCGGGCAGGCAGTGGCATACGGGGTAGGCTCTGGTTGCCGTAGCAACCTGCCAAAGTCTTGGGTGGAGGCACATGGCCTACAGGGTGTGTGGGGGGAGGGGACTCATTTTCTCTGTCCTGGCTGAGGCCTCTGGGCTGCATAGCCTGTGAACCTGGAGCTCTGCTATTGGAGACATGGGAGTGGGTGAGTGTGAAAGGGAAGGAGAGGGCATCTAAACGATCTGCAAATAAATCCTAGAGCTATTGCATCACAGATGAGCATAAGAGATCATCTCTGGAAGGCCCCTGTCAAAATGCAAAGAGATCGCCCAGTAGCTCACCTGCTGAAACCCCAGAAAAGGCATCAGGAACCCGAGTTCTAGGCATACTTCTGCCACTGGTAGGCTGTGTAACCTTGGACAAGCCCCTATTGCTCTCTGGGCCTCAGTTTCTTCAATAGTAAATGGACAGAGCTGGTCTGGATTACCTATGAGATCCTTTGAAGCTCTGGGTGGCTATGCGGTGGGGAGAGGGAACACAGATGCCTGGAAGATGCCCAACTGGGAAAAGGCTGGGAGTTGTATCAGAGTTGACTCCCAGGCCTAGAGTCAATCCTGGCTCTTTGTGGGTACCTGCCGGGGCATAGGTCTCATGTCCCTGGCCAAGACTGAGACTTTGGACAGTTCCCATGGCCCTGATCTAAAATAAGATGGAGGCAGGGGGAAAACTGTAGTGCCTTGGACCCAAGAGTTTGGAGGAGGAAGCGTTCCGCAGGGGCATCTGGCGCTTGATCTCCAAATTGTACTGTCCAAAGATGTGCAACCCAGACTATGGCCGGCCCAGTCCATGGGCAGAAGCACCACCACCTCAGTCTGCCTGAAGCAACAGTCATTCTCATCTTCTGAGATGGGATTTCCTGGTAGGCTCCACGAGGCTGACCCTGGACAGCTCTTGTCCTGGCATCTCTATGCCCACTCCCTATCCCATTCTGAACACAGTGCCCTTCAAACAACCCCTCCTCCTTGGCTCTCAGGCCAGGCTGCAATGCCACTTTGCCAGCCTGGAGTTGGTACCTACCATCACCCCACCTCTTCAGCCTTCCTAGAGCCCCTATCCTCCCTGCACAGCTGGCCAGGGAGAGCTTGAGCCCATAACTCCAATTCAATCACTCTCCCTGCCATCTCTGCAGGGGCCCTGATTACAAGGAGTTGAAATTTGCCTAAAGCCCACCTGGCTGGTATAATGGCACCCAGTGGGCAAATTCAGGCTAGCAGCTCAGAACGCTGGTCATGCATTTTGGACTCGAACGCAGCACAGGGGGCAGGGCTGAAGACATGTGTACCTCATTACCCTAGCGATGTGAGAAGCAGTAATTAAACCAGGCTCCACTTAGAAAGACAGAGAGGGACACACACATCCCAGCATTTCTCAGTGGCTTTTCAGCCTTGGCAAAAATATTTAGAACAGTGGGATGGAGACTCGCATCCCCTTAGGGAAGACTCCTGCCCCTGCCAAAATATGCAAGGAACTCTGTTATCCACTACAGCACCCCCAGACCCATTCTTACCCCCGGACAAAGAGGACATAGCTGGCTTAAATTTTTCCAAGATCAAGGGTTCTCAGTATCTGTGTGATTTCTAGGGATATGCTTTGAGCTGGGCCTCAAGCAGTGGAAACCACCTCAGCACAACTATCTGCACTCTCCCAGGGTCCCTTGTGACCAGATCAGAGTCTGGGAGACAGATGGTGGGTTCAAGGGTCAGCTTGGGTCCCAGAAGGTTGTCTTCCACTAAGAAGCTGTGGCGGGATTCAGTCCTTACTGGCCATCTTGGCAGCCCTTTGTGCTAACCCAGAGCTCCAGGCCCACTGACATGCTGCTCAAGTAACCTCTACAACACCGAGGCCCCTCCAGCCTTGGGGTCTGATGAGATTTTTAGCAAAGCAGATTTGCGGAAAGGAGAGCAAGGAGAAAGAAGGTCCCCAGTAGAGTGACACATGTGCACGCAGCTTTGCACACTCCAACGTATTTATGAGTACGTTTTTGTGCCAAACCCAAGAAGGTTGGCTTAGGGTCTGTCTGGTCCCTCCTCACCCCTCACTTACCTCCCTCAGCTCCTTGGCCACCTCCTTGAGCTCGCGAAGGATGCCCTCAAGCTGCCCGATGACCATCTTCATGCGCTGTCGAATCCGCTCCCGCTCACCACCACTGCTGGGGTCGTCACTGGGCTGCCCGAGGTCCGGGGCGCCCCGAATGTTCATCGTTTACCACGTGGCCGCAGGCCTGCCCATACTCCCCCCAGCTGGGCACACACTGCGTCTGCCTCCACGGAGCCCCCCTCGGCTGGGCAGAGCTCCACATTTTAACGGCCCCCCAGCCCACCCTGGCCCTGGGCGGCCCTCAACCAGCCCCTGCCCCCTGCCACCCAGCCTCCTCTGCCTCTGGGTGGAGAGTGGGACACCCAGAGGGAGACAGAGTCTAGCAGAGGGGGTCAAGGTGAGGACACAGGAGAGGAGGGGGAGGGACCTTGGGTCCCAGGAGTGGCCTCCAGGTCTTGAAGTGCCTGTGGGTGTGCAGAGCTGATCTCTGCCTGAGCTTGAACACAGAGGCAGGGGGATGACTCTGCAGGGACTAAGGGTAAGAGATGCCCTTGGGATGGGGGAAGGCAGCAGGGATCCCCTCACAACTCCTAGGCAGTTGCAAAGGCAGAGGTCTCTGGATGCAACTGACACCTGCAGAGGGATGGTGGCCAGGGTCTTCCAGATGTGGAAGGGGCTCCGGATATGGGCAGCTCTGGGGAGGGAGCTGGATTGGAAGAGGGCAGCCCCCTGCGGAGAGAGCGAGCCTGGCGTCAGCCCTCCCAGGCTGCAGCACCAGCCGGCAATGCCGCTGCCTCCCTCCTCTCGCCAGCCTGCACCCTTCCTCGCTGGGGATTTTTTTTTCTTTGTGGGGAGGGGTGGTGGAGGCAGACGGTTTACAGCACAGCCCCTCCTCTAGAGGGAAAGGGAGGGAGCCCCTGCTTTAGAAGCAGAAGTCCTCAGCCTGCTACGGGGCACCCTGGCCGTAGCTCCCGCCCTCCCCCCCCACCTTCCCCCCAGCCAGGCCTGCCCAGGCTGGTTCACCAGAGGGCCTCTCCAGTCACCCATCCTCCCTCCTAGCGCCCCCAGGGTGCCCTCGTTCCCAGCGGACCCTCCCTCCCCCAGCCCCGCCTTCCCTCAGAACCCCCACTCCTGGACTCACCGAGGGTGGGGGCACCGGCCTTCCCTCCAAGCAGCGTCGGGGGCCAAGCCCCAAGACGGAGTTGGGGGGCCCCCAAGGCTCCCTAGGGCGGGCTTCTCTCTCTGGACCCTTCGGCCCCGGGCCTCAGGGAGGTCCTCCGAGCCGTGACCGGAGACATCTGGGCGGTGGGAGGGGGCGGGGCCTCCGCGCTCCAGGGAAGGGGGCAGGAAAAATCTTTCTCAAGCCTCTCCAGGCTCGGGGTCGGGAATGAGCGAGGGTCCGGCAGATTTGGGGCTCCGAGGCCACAGGTGACCGGGGCGCGGGGAGGCCGAGGAGACGCCGGGCAGGTCCCAGCGCGTGAGCCAAAGTCGGAGGGCTGGGAGGGCGCCGGGATCCCCTCAGCCCACGCCCGGCATTCCCCGGGCTCTGCACCGTCCGGGATTCGCTCTGTCCAGTCCAGATCGGCCGGGTCCGTGTTCCGCTGGGGTCTGCCCTGCCCTACCCCGCCCGGAGTGAGCTGGCACCGCCGGGCGCCCGGGACGCGCTCAGCCCGGACCCAGAACGTCCGTGCCCCGGCACCCGCGGCGTCCGGAGCGGCCGCGAGGGTCTGCTCAGCCCAGCCCCGCGGTCGGCCCTGGGCGAGACCGCTCCCACGGCTCAGTTCACGTTCCGAAAGGTCCGGAATCCACCGGGTCCCCGAGGAGGGGCGATGTCAGCCGCGGGGACCCGGTCCCCGCCGGGCCCAGCCGAGAGCGCGCGAAGCCGGGGGCCCCGGCCGGGCTGGGTTCGGCGGCCCGGGCGCAGGCGGGAGCAGCGCCGGGCGGAGGAGAGGAGAGGAGGCGAGAAGAGGCGAGGGGAGGAGGCGCGGCGAGGGGAAGGGAGGGGAGGGGGCGAGCGGCGGGCCGGGCCGGGCCGGGGCGCACTAGGCTCGCAGCCTCCGCTCGGCTCCGCTACCTCCCGTCCGTTCGCTCTCGGCTCCCCGCCTCAGCAGCCCCCGGGCGCCGGGTCGCCGCCGGTGGGGCAAACAGGCGCCGGGTCGGGGCTGGGCCTCCCTTCACCGCCTCGCCCTGCCCTGCCCCGCCGGGCTCCCGGGGCCTGGGCCCGCTCCCCAAGCGCCGCGGCGCCGCGCCGCCCGCGCCCCGGCCGCCCCCGGCCCGCCCCGCCGCCCCCCGCCGGACTGGCCGCCCGGGCGGGCGCTGGCTCCCTTAAAGGCCGCCCGGCTCGCTTGGCTCCGCTTGCCTCGGCGCTGTCAGGGAAGGGGCCGGCCCGCCGCGCCGGGAGGGAGCTTTTAAAGCGACACACACGCCTCCCAACCCCGAGGGCCAAGCGTGCGAGCCAGGGGGGTCTCGCCACCCGGGCGAGGGGGAAGGGTCTCGCTGGCGGGGCTGGAGGCGGACTGACCGGACCCCACGCCGGCTGACCTGGGGCGCGGAGGGACAGCGTTCTGGGGACTTCGTTCCTTTCCCACCTCTCCAGACACCCCCATTGCCCCCTTCCCCTACTGCACTGCCCCCAAGCTTCCCTTTTGGCCACGTTTCCCGCATCCAGACCCTCCCTTCTACCACCCACATAACCCAGCCCCTGACCTTGCCTGAAATCACATTCATTCAGAAAATAGAATACTGCCAACCTTTCCTGAGAACCTACTGTGTGCCAAGCTCTGGGTCGGCAGGGCTGGGGGTTGGAGGCTGTCTTGGACACCCATCGTTTCCTTCAGCTATTCAACAATTGACTCATGTATTAGAGGCCTTCTGTGCATCAGGTTCCATGCTAGGCTCCGGGGCCACCAGAGCATTTCAGGAAGCTCACGGCTCGGGGACACTCCTGAGTCACAACAGAGGCAAATTCTGGAAGCAATGTTAACAGGGGAGTAGGGAAGTGTGGGTTGGGTGGTGCAGTTCAGGCCAGGGCCTGGCGGGTTCTGCCAGGTAGGCCACCCCTGAGCTGAATCTCAAAGGAGGAGTAGGAGTGACTGTCAGTGTGGGGGGTTGGGGATCAGCATTCCAGGCAGGGAGGAGGGTGGGAGCACAGGCTCAGAAGCAGAAATGGGAGGAGGGGAGTTTAAGTTAACTGGGGCCTTTTAGATACCATTTTGACTGCAGACCACAGAGAGACTCAGAGACCATGGTTAGGAGCTTAGATTTTATCCCGGGGCGGAGGGAGCTTTGATATTGGGAGGAACCTGGGCCTGCTTGCCTTCTCAGGAAACCCCTCTGGGGCATTGTGAGTGGGTGTGAGGAGGTGCCACCGAGATAGAGCAGTTAGGAGGCTATTTCACCGTTGGCCAGAAGACAGTGGAGTCTATGAATCTATGCTCATGAGAGAGGCTGGGGCTTGAGAGTAACATTTTGTTTGTTTTTTTTTTTGAACCATCATTAGAGGGGTGAGATGAACAGGGACGCTGCGTAGAAGTAACAAAAGCAGTAGTTCTGGGCTGGAACCTCAGAAAAGAGTCCATGAGTGAGAGGGAGGAGTGATTAGAAAGATAGGAGAAGAACCAGAAAGTGGAGAGTTATGTAGGCCCAGTAGGAGGAGTTTGGGAGAAGCAAGTGCTCATCAGTGTCGAACGCGGCAGGGAGTGGCTGTGAGAGAAGGAACAGAAAGTGTCTATTTGTCTTGGTACTCAGGAGGCCACGGGTGACATGGCAGGGGCAATTGGTTTTGGAGGGTAGAAGGTGACAGGAACCAAACTGTTGGGCATCGAGGACTATGTGCCCAACAGTGAGGAACAGGAGTGAGTACAGATGACATTTTCAAAAGTTTAAGTGGCGGGGAAGCAGAGATCTTGAACTAGAGGCAGAGGAGGGGTCAAGGGAGGTGGGGCTAGGTGGTGGTTTTAGGCTGGCCCATGGGGGACTTGAATTCCAGAGACAGTGATGGTACTGTGGGTGCTAATGATGTTCCTTGGTCTCTGAGTTATCTCAGAGATGTATTCACAGGGGGCTGCTGGGGGAACTGACTCCTACTTCCTTGAGATTCAGCTCAGGGGTTGCCTTTGGAGAACCAGAAGCTGTGAGGGTGGGAATCCAGCTGCCCTGGGTTGGGGAGATGTTCTTCTGATGGGGTGGATCCAGAGGGCCCACCAATCACTTAAAAAATTGTAGCAAAATATGCGTAACATAAAATCTACCTTTTTTTTTTTTTTTTTTTTGAGACAGAGTCTCGCTCTGTCACCCAGGCTGGAGTGCAGTGGCGCGATCTCGGCTTACTGCAAGCTCCGCCTCCCAGGTTCATGCCATTTTCCTGCCTCAGCCTCCCAAGTAGCTGGGACTACAGGCACCCACCACCACGCCCGGCTAATTTTTTTGTGTTTTTAGTAGAGACGGGGTTTCACCGTGTTAGCCAGGATGGTCTCCATCTCCTGACCTCGTGACCCGCCTGTCTCGGCCTCCCAAAGTGCTGGGATTACAGGCGTGAGCCACTGCGCCCGGCCTAAAATCTACCATCTTAACCATTCGTAAGTGCATAGTTCAGTGGCACTAAGTACATTCACATTGTTGTGTAACCATCACCACCACCCATCTCCAGAACCTTTTCATCATCCCAAACTGAAACTCTGTGATTAAGAGCTGATAGCAGCCACTCTCTGTGGAGCACCTACCAGGCACCAGGCACTGGGCCAAGTACTTCCACATGCATTATCTTATTCCATCTCACAGTGACTTTCCATCACCCCTCCCCCCGCCAGCCCCTGGCAACCACCATTCTATCTTCTGTCTCTGTGACTCTGACTACTCTAGGTGCCTCATATAAGTGGAATCACACAGTCTCACCAATCACTTTTGTGGAAGCAGTGATGCTAAGGAACAGCCGAGACCAAAAATGGGCTAAGCCTGAAAAAAAAGAGTTTCTAGTCTTAGGTCCAGGGAATCATCCGCCCTCATCCAGGATGAGGGAGATGTGTTTGAACTGGCAAGGTTAGGAGACAGTGAGCTTGATTGGACAGGGTGGACTGTGACTGCTTAATACATAATTGATCTCGGGTCTCATTAATAGAAGCACAGTGTTTTGAAAAAGGGAGGTAACATTTCTTCTGTCATTTGTGTGGATCAAACTGTGCCTAGCACCTCAATTCATTGGGTGTGTCCATAGGAGGACAGCCAAGTAGAATAGGGGAGGTGACTGGTGTATATGTTCTATGAAGGATGGTAGGGCTGGTCAGAGCAGGCTAGAGAAGAGGAGACTCAGGAGAAGGGGTCTCTGATTGTAAATCTCCAAAGAGCTGCCACAGGCGAGAGGGAATAGATAGTATCTGGGTGGTGCTCAGACCTGCCTTCCTTAGTGTTTGGGGATTGATCCATCCTTTCTTCCACCCAACCTCCCTGGCCACCTGCCTAGATGTCCCATCCTTTAGATCTCTGCTTATTCACCGCCAACCTCCACCCTCTAGGCAGCCTTCCCTAGTGCTTTAGTCTACGGAGAGAAATGGAAGCACTTTTTTTTGCCCTTAACCAAATGCTTCCCAGGGCATTCATTTAATGTGCTAGCTGTGTGACCTTGAGCAAGTCACTTAACCTCTCTGAGCAAGGATAGCAGCCTATAAACATTTTAATTCTTTCTTGAATTGGGTCTCTTGTAAAAAAAAAAAGGGGGGGGGATGTATTTCACTGTCTCTCTGATTCAGAAAAATCAGGACAATAATGACTACTTTCCAGGGTCACTGTGAACATGGAATAAGATAATGCACATGGAAGTACTTGGCCCAGTGCCTGGCACCTGGTAGGTGCTCTGTAAATGGTAGCTGCTATCAGCTCTTATTCATGGCTTCATGTCTGTAAGCCTTATTTCCATGTGAGTCTGTGAACTCCTCATGATGGGCTTGTGTGTGTCTGCCCATCTCTCACATGGACCACTGCAGTAGACAGTAGACAGCGATTTTTACCTGTCTGCCTGTTTTCCACCATCCAGTTCTAGCATTCCTTTTCTTGGGGAAACTCCCTGCTGTCATCACATAATCCTAGTGGGTTGTCAGTTAAAGTGCCCACTACTCCCACCCATCCCTATCCCACTGCCACTAACTAGGCATGTGACTCAGACTGCACCAACCGTGGAACCCCATCCTCCAGCAACAGTGATTGGTCCAAGGGGTGGGCACATAACCTAAGCAGGACCAATCAGATTCTTTCCCTGGGATTGATATGTGGATGCTGGGAGGAAGAACCCCTCTTCCTAGTGGGGTGCAAAACTGGATGTTATGGTCCAAACCTGCTGACAAGCCATTTTTCCCACTCAATCTAGGAAGCTGAGCAAGGCAGCAGAGAGGAGAGGAATTTAGAGAGCATGCTAGCAGCATTGAGTCCCAGTTTTTGTTCTCATGGCCTTCACTCCTGCAGTTCTTCTTTCAGTCTGGAGAGCTGCAACAACATCCTACTCATCTCTAAGAGCTGATAAATTCCTCATATTGCTCCAGTTCGTTTGGTGGGGTCTCTGTCTCGTGTAACCAACTGGAGCCTGACAGATGCACTCAGGAAATACTAAATGAGCTGACTAAATGATTGACTGAGTAATTGGGTTCCCAGATGGGGTAAGATGTCTCCAAATCCTGAAGCCAGAGGGTTGGGACCTGCTGCCCTGTGGCCATGGAGGGGAAGTGGGGGCATTTGGGAGATTATTGCAACAGGCCAACTTGGATTTGGGCCCCAGCTTTGTCATTTGCTAGCTGTGTGATCTCAGGCAAGTTACTTGCCCTCTCTGAACTTGAGATCCTTTGTCTATAAAATAGGCAAAGTACTAGTGACTGCCTAGGGTTGCTTTGAGGATGGAATGAGATAAGGAGCAAAAAGCACCAAGCACAGTGCCTGGGGTGTGGGGGTGAGGGAGCAGGAGTTGGAAGAATGGTAAGAAATGGTAACTGTTTTTATTTAGTCTGCAGTCTACTCTCTCTAATAGCGCAGGACTGAGACTGGCATGCAGCTCAGGAGAGAACGAGGATTCAGTCTGCAAGCTAGATTCTCAGAAGCAATGGATCCTGACACCAGGGAAGCAGTGCCGGGGTGACAGTGGGCATGTTTGGGCTTCGAACAGATAATAGAGACAGTAGAGAGAGTCTACAGAGAGAAATGGAAGCACTGCCTAACACTTAGGCAGTAGAGTTGGAATGATAGGGCACCAATGCCAGCTTTTCCATTAACCATGTGACTCATTTAATCTTCCCAAGCCTAAGTTTCTCGTTCTGTAAATACCTTCCTGGTAGCTGTCTTGAGGACTAAATAAAACAGTTCATGTATCATGTTCAGCACAGGGCTTAGTAGGCGTTTGATAAGTATTACCTATTATTATTGATATTGGGGGCTTAGGGAAATTTTCTAAACACAAAGGTTGGGATGAGTGGCAGTCAGGTGGGATCAGAGGCAAACTTTTCATGACAAAGTCCCCAAATAAAGGAGTTATAGAGAATCATATCTGAATAGCCAAGGAAAGGCCATTTCAGAATGACAGGGTGACATATCTCCTTCTGTGGCTGGACAGTGTCGGGTTCACACTGGGAAAGCCATGTCTGAGGACATTTCTGTCATCTTGCTGCCCACAATAATCTCCCCAGCTGAGTCAAGTTTCTCAAGAGTTTTCTACACTGACTCCTTCCACTTCCTCACTTCCCACTCACTCCTCAAACCTTGTAACCCGCGCCTGCTGGCACTGCATTGCTGGAATAACCCTCACTGTGCAGGACATTATCCTTGCTAAGACCAGCAGACACTTTTCTTCCCCTATCCAAGGCAGCGACCTTGGGGGACCTGACCCTGCTGAGCTTGTCTTACTTCCGGGTCCCCTGTCCTGTGTGGCCTCATGTCTCCTTTCTCTACTGATTCCCTTCCTGCCTCTCTGGCTGCTGCTTCTCAGTTGGCTTCAGGTGTTCATCTTCTTTCTCTGGCCCCTTAAAAGTTAAGTCCTCAGGGCCAGGCACGGTGGCTCATGGCTGTAATCCCAGCACTTTGGGAGGCTGAGGGGGGTGGATCACGAGGTCAAGAGATCGAGACCATCCTGGCCAACAGGGTAAACCCCATCTCTACTGAAAATACAAAAAAATTAGCTGGGTGTGGTGGTGCGTGCCTGTAGTCCCAGCTACTCAGGAAGCTGAGGCAGGAGAATCACTTGAACCTGGGAGATGGAGGTTACAGTGAGCCAAGATTGCACCACTGCACTCCAGCCTGGTGACAGAGTGAGACTTCGTCTCAAAAAAAAAAAAAAAAAAAAAAAAAAAGCTGGGTCCTCGAGATTCTCGTCTAGACTCTCTTCTCACTCTATACACCTTCCGTAAGGGAGCTCTTCACACTCCCAAAAAGTTTTTGACTTCCAATTCACTGTCTCCAGAGGAGACCTTTCCAAAGCTTCAGATCATATTGCCACTTGCCTACTGGACAGTTCATGAGGTTGTCTTGCAGGCACCTAAAACTCAACATGCCCAAGTTGGAACCCATTACCTTTCCTCCAAATGTATCCCCTTTTGTCTTCCTAATTTCAGAGAATGTCAATGCCCTCTACTCCTCCATGCACGCCACAAACTTGTGATCGCACTAGAGTCAGAGCCAGAGTTAGAGCCACCCTAGAGCCAGAGCTCTTCCACATTTCTTCAGTTACTAAGTCCTGTTGCTTCCACCCACTTTATCTCCCTGTCGATAACCAGGCTCTTGATTGCACCCATGAGCCCCTGTATTAGCCAGCAGCCTCCTGATGGATCTGCTAATCTTCACACTTACCCTATGAAGTCTGCTGTTGCTGTTGCTGGTACCAGCCTTCTGATCTACCCACTTATGACCATCCACAGCTCCCTGTCTTTATGAGGAAGTCCGGTCTCCCTAGTTTGGCGTCCACATCTTTCCAGGAGCCTGCCCTTGTCTAGCTCTCCAACCTCATCTCTATTGCCTCTTGCTCTCTGTGCCTCTGCCAGGCTGAACTGCTTTCAGCTTTTTCCTCACCACCACCTTATACCTGCCCTCCTCTTTGCCTGGAATGCTCCTCTCCTCTCTCTTCTCGAGACCAACCCCCAGACCCTCCTGAAATATTCTTCCAGTGTGCAAGGTCCCTCCTCTGCACCACCCCAGAGCCCTCGTCCACCGCAAGTACAGTGTCTGCCACACTTCCTTGCCATTGTGAATCCAGCTCTCTTCCACAGACCACATGCTGCTGGAGAGCACCTCCATGCCCTTGACATCCAGTAGAGCCAGTCAAAGTCAGTTCTCAAGGCATGTTTTGTAAATATTGAGTGACTCTCTCAAATAATTATTTATTTTGCATCTTTGTTAAACACACTATTTTAAAGATGACCCTAAGGTGGAAAAAACTGGAAGGAAGGGGCATGGCACATAACTCAGGGGTCCCCCCAACACGTACCCTGAACCTTAATGGCCTTCCCCAGAACTCTAACACTCAGACATCACTTTCCCCAGGAAAGACCTGTATGCAAAGCCCTGCTGTGTGACTTAGACCAAGCATATGCCCTCTCTGTGCCTCTACTTCCTCTTCTGAAAATGGGATGTTGGGGTATTACAGGAAGATGATATTTTGCAGAGTACTTTCAAAGAATCTTCAGTTAGCTTGCCACGGCATGGAAAAAGTATGCTGTTATCATTTCTGCCTGCCTTCTGGGGAATTTAGGCTGCCCATTACCCTACTCCCCATTCTCTTATCCTTAAATCTCTCTCTCTCACTTACTCTCTCTCTCTGTCTCTCCTGGTTCCTTCCCATCAGCATTTAAACTGGCTCTCTAAATTCTTTCATCTTACAAGTAAGATCCCACTTCCCTCTCCAAGTACTGTCTCGTCTTTCCTCTTTCCACAGCCAAACTCACGCCAAGAGTTGTCCCCATTCCCTGCCTCTCCTTCCCTGGCTCTCACTCATCCCTCTTCCTTGCAATCTGGCATCCGCCTCCACCACTCCCCTGAAAAGCCTTTAAATGCTAAACACACCCGTGACCTCTAAGATGCTCAATCCACAGGACACGTTTGAGCCCTGATCTGACTTGTCTTCTCACTGCATTTGGACATTCAGCCGCCTGTCCTCTCTCGGCATCAGGGATTTCCAGCCTTCCTGGATTTCTGCAGGCTGCATGTTCATGGCTGGCTCTCAGCTTCCTCTGCCCACTTTCCACACTGCCCAACTTTGGATGCTGGAGTTGCTCAAGGCTCAGTTCTGGGTCCTTTGCTTTCTCATGTCTCTCTCTGCCTCCTCAGTTGTATATCCTTCTCTGCTGATTGCCGTTACTACCAATATGGCCACGAATCCCAAATCCACATCTCCAGCCCAGATTCTCCAATTCCAGACTCATGGATCCATCTTCATGTCTTCCGAGAAGCTCAGATTCAAAACTGACCTCAGGATAAACTCTTTGCTATGGTCTAAATGTGGTGTCTCTCAAATATTCATGTGTTGGAACCTAATCCCCAGTGTAATAGTATTAAGAGATGGGGCCTTTGGGAAGTGATTAAATCATGAGGGCTCCACCTTCACAAATGGGATTAGTGCCCTTGGGAGCTGGCTTGCCCCTTTCACCACGTGAGGATGGAGAAGGTACCATCTCTGGCGAGCAGGCCCTCACCAGACACTGAATCTGCTGGCATCTTGATCTTGGATTTCCAGCCTCCAGAACTGTGAGCAATGAATTTCTTTTGTTTATAAATTACCCAGGCTAAGGTATTTTGTTGTAGCAACAGAAATGGACTAAGACACTCTTCTTCCCCATGTTCCCTACCTCAGCCACTCTTACCAGAACTCTGTGAGTCTTCCTTTATATCTTCCTCCCCTCTCTCCTGCCTGCCTCAAATCCGCCTCCATTTGCTCATTCTCCTCCTGAAGATCCCTCCTGTCTCAATTCTCTGCTGCTACCACCTTTGTCTGAGCACCTGCATCTCAACCAGACAGTGAAACCCCCAGACCCCACCATGTGCTCTCTGGTCCTCTTCCATATATTCTTCTCATAGGAGCACAGTATTCTTAAAAAACTTGGAGTGTGACAGTCTAACATATCATTCTCCTGCTCCAAACCTCTCACGATTTCACATCTTCCAAGCCCCAAATTCTCACCACGTTCACAAGACCCTGAGGTCTGGCTCCCGTGGCTCTCTCCTGTGCCCCTCTTTCCTCACTTTCATTGCTCTCTGCCCTTCAGTCACTCCAGCCTGCCTTCATTGCCTTGGATGTGCACATTTTTTGCCTCTTGACTCTTTTTTTTTTTTTCACATGCTGTTTCCTCTGCCTGGGGCACTCTTGCTGCTTCTTCACCTAGCTAACTTCCACTCACCCTGGAAGACTTGACTTAAATTTCAAGCCTCCAGAAAGCCATCCCCCAGGGGGATGTCCTCCTTCCCATTATTTGTCACAGCATAACACTTACATTTCCTGCTAGAATGTATATCCCTTGAAGTGACTACAATATGAAGTGACTGCAATACACTTGCTCAATGAATACAACTGATGGAGTTCAGGGTAGTTAAACAACTTGCTTGAGGTCGCACAGCTCATTAGCAGCAGGTCTCATCTTAAACCCTTTTAGACTATTTTTCATGCCTCTGCCATGGGGCACCACCACACACAAATTCTTATCAAAACAGTAACCACACTTTATTGTAGCTGTGTGTTCAATGGCCCGTCTTCCCCACTAAGCAGTAAGCTTCTAAAGCAGAGGCCATGCTGTCTTGTTTATTCTTGTGTCCCTCACTTTTAGCTATGCGTCTGGAGTGTTCTGGGGATGGAGAACTATGAATGCTTGTTGATGGACTCTCTGGTGATGAGTCCCCCAGATTTGTTTCCAGGTCTGACTTCCTAACAAGCACCAATCTTATTCATTAGCCCAGCTATGGATTGTGTTTCCTTTGAATTTTCATTCAAAGTTAACTCTTTGGAAGTAACTTTTATTAAAAAAAGAACAAATCAGTGAATAATGGAGGGAAGCACACAGGAAATAAGACAAAAAGCGTAAAACACAAGATGCTAGAAAAGGTTGAGGCACAGAAGTTCAGCTCCATATAGAATCTGTGCCAAGGCCGGATGCGGTGGCTCACGCCTGTAATCCCAGCACTCTGGGAGGCCAAGGCAGGTGGATCATCTGAGGTCAGGAGTTCAAGACCTGTCTGGCCAAGATGGTGAAACCCATCTCTACTAAAAATACAAAAATAGCCAAGCCCCTGTAATCCCAGCTACTCAGGAGGCTGAGGCAGGAGAACCCTTGAACCTGGGAGTGGGAGGTTGCAGTGAGCCAAGATCTCACCACTGCACTCCAGCCTGGTTGACAAGAGAGAGACTCCATCAAACAAAAAAAAAAAAAAAAAAAAAGAATCTGTGCCAAGTTATCCACAAGTCACTGTCCCCCACCCAATTCTGCCCTTTTGGTTCTTGAGCCAATCTCCCACCTCCGACTCCCAACCCTCCTACCCCATTCTCTGAGCTCAGTCCTGGTTAGGTGATACTTCCTACTCTTTGGAAGGCTTCTTTGGGCAAACTCACTTCCTATTCATGCCCTAGTTGGCAAATCTGGGAAAATACTTCTAAAAGGCTTGGGGTCTGTCTTAGTCTGTTTTGTGTTGCTGTAACAGAATACCACAGACTGGATAATTTGTTTTAAAAAGAAACTTATTTTTCACAGTTCTGGAGGATGGTAAGTCCAATACCAGGGTGCCAGTATCTCTTGAGGCCCTCTTGCTGCGTCATCCCATACTGGAAAGCAAGAGGTTGAAAGAGGCCAAGAGAGATTGAACTTGAAGCCTCAAGCCCTTATATAATAAGCATGAATCCATTTATGAGGGCAGAGCACTCATGACCTAAACACCTCCCATTAGGCCCCATTTCCCAACACTATTGCATTGGGGACTAAATTTCCAAGACATGCTTTTTGGGGGACACATGTAAACCATAGCACATCAATGATGGGGAAACAAAGGCCCAGTGAGAGTTAGAAATGGACAATGGAGTTCTGTGTTTATCCCACAGACATGGGTTATGCTAGTGCTGGCTGAGCCTGTCTGCACTTTCCCCCAGAGAGCTATGTGACCTTGACTGGGCTATTTACACCCCTCTGGATATGGAAGGAGAGGAGCAGAGGGCTCGAGGCTGGACTGCTGGGGAGTGAGGGTGGTGGCGGCTGAACTGACTGGGAAGGAAGCTGGCAAGACTGAGGCTGAACTCAGGAGGAAGGGCGGGACAAGGGGGCCAAGGCTGGACAAGAACAGCAGGTTCTTGTCAAACACACAGTTTAATTCTGAGGCTGTATTCCTTGTGCCTGGGAGATTTTCAGCTTGCAATAGTGTCATTTACAGATGGATTTGCAGCGGCGAATTACAAGTTTGTAAGCAACAGCTTCTCTGACGCCTTGAAGAAAAAAAAGCCTTATCCCTCTGCAAATTATAAATTCATAACTAACAGTGTTATCCAACTGAATGCAAAACAAATTCATTACCAACTACATTATTCCATTGAATACCAAGTGAATGAACTTCACAGGGCTTTGTGCAGATCGGGGACATGTTGGGAGATGGGAACGAAACAGCACTCCCCCACTTGCCTCTCCTTTGTGTCCTTTCAGGCCCAGAAGGTGGGCAGAACTGGACAGATGTACACTGCTTGAATTAAAAGGTCACTCGAAGTTATGATGGCGATGGTGGCGATGGTGATGATGATGGTGCTGGTGGTGTACCAAAACCAATGACCACACTGCGATTGTGTGTGTACCTCTTATATGATTATTAGGATTGCTGTGGTGACATCTTAAGACACTATCTTGTGAAGGCTTACATGCCTAAGTCCCTGTGACTCGCAGGACACCCCTGAAAAGGGGGATCACCTCCTGTCGTTCACCATGCAGGAAGATGTGGGTCCTCTGAGCTTCTCATCAGAGTGAGAAGATGGGGCTAAATTTAGGCATTCGAGCAGGGATTCCCTGTGTCTCCTCAGGACGTTGCTCTCTTGGGATCAGGCTTCAAAGTGCTGAGACATCTAGATAGAAGCTTCTGGGTGCTGGGTATCAAGACAGTGCCCACAGTGTGCAAACAGCCTGGGGTCTATGGGAGAGGACATAGGCCACATTTTGTAACCCAGATTCTTCACTTCCCTCTGACTTTATGATGTATTCCCCATTTGTGGTCCCTGATATTTACTATTTTTCTTTTCTGTCTCTTTTAGAAAATTAGAAGATACAAATAAAACTAACAAATATATAAGTCATCCCTAATTTTTTTTCCACCAGAAAGAACCACTTTGGGGTGGATCAGACCTGAAACTTGGCCCCTTTTCCAATTCTCACAGAAAAATCCTTCATTCAGAAACTCTGAGCATTCAGTAGACTTGACTGAAAATTTGATATGGGGGAAAAGAAGAAATGGTTCATACTGTAGCCACACAAACAACTTTAATTATTTATTTATATTTTTTGTAGAGACGGGGGTCTCATTATGTTTCCCAGGCTAGTCTTGAACTCTTTGTCTAAAGCAATCCTCCCTCCTCGGCCTCCCAAAGTGGTGAGATTACAGGCGTGAGCTCTGGGGCCCGGCCACAAAAGCAACTTTGGAGAAAGAGCAATGATCTGGGAAATTAAAAGGCCTTCCCCCACTCCCCACCTCACTAGGCATTTTTCTTGGCATCTGCACCATCTCCTCCATGCTAACTTCTTTGGCTCTCCCTTCTCCTCTGATCATCTCACCTTTCTCTGCCATCTTCCTCAGGAGCAAAAGGAATTCCTCTCCTTGTCTCATGCTGAGTGGTTTGCAATCACTGTATGTCTAGATAGTTTACCAAAGTTTTTTTTTTTTCCCAAAGACAGTTTTCCATCTAAGAAGAATTTTGATGCCAGGTGTGAAAATATTTTCATCTTGTTTCGTGAAGACATTACACTTTTAGAACTAGAGGATAATTTTATAAATGCTGATATGAAACCTGCTTTTGCTTATAACAATATAGAGTCAGCATATTTTTATGTCAATAGGCAAATCTATATTTTCTGTTTTAATGGCTGCATATTAATCCATATAGTTTCTTTAAACAATCTCTTTTTTTGCTATACATTTAGGCTGTTTCCAATGATTGTTATTATAACATCCACACATCATCTTTGCAAATTTATCTAATTATTGCCTTATGATAACTTCTTAGAAGTAAGATTTCTGAGAATGCACTTTTCAAAGATTTTTCTTGTATTGTTCAGCTACTCTTCAGGAAGTTCGTGCCAGTTTATACTCTCATCAGTTGTTTAATATTATTGTCCCACTTACTATGAATGCTCTAGCTCTATCTCAGCTGTGCCTTGAGGTGTTAAAGAAAGAGCTCCTAGGGCCAGTTTGGTGGCAACAGTAGCCAATTAGTGTGAGATTATCCAAAGGATACAGAATCCCAGGGAGCAAGAATGGGGGCCGTGAGGTCCAGCTGTTTCACTCTATGTAGGTTCTTTTATGGCCTCTCTTGAAGGATTTGAAATTGATTGCTTGATTGATTTTATGAAGGAACACATTATTTCCCTCCAAATGATGGTGGTGGCGATGAGTGCATGGTCATGATGATACCAATGTGTGGTCATGACAGTGTGATATTGATGAGGGTATGGACAATGGTAGTAACAGGTTAACAGTGGTTCTGACGGTGAGTGCAGTGCCAATGATGGAGATGGTGGTGGTGCTGGTGTTGACAATAGGATGGCAGTTATGGTGGTGGTAGTGGTGACAATGTTGGTGATGATGACTTATGATGGTGGTAAGAATGGTGATGGTAACTGTGGTGGTAATAGTGAGTTCAGCACTGATAAGGGAGATGGTGGTGGTGGTACTGACAGTAGGGTGGTAGGAATGGTGGTTGTGGTCACAGCTATGTTGTGATGGTGGTTAAGAAGGTGGTGAGAATGGTGTTGACAGTTGGTGATGGTAGAAATGGTGGTGTGGCATTGACTGTGGGATGGTGGTGACAATGGTGAGAAGATGTGACAGTGGTGAGGGGCAGCGTGATAGAAGGGGGATGGTGGTGGTTCACGATAGTGGTGAGTGGAGTTGGTGCTGATGGGAAGCCTGGTGCTGATGGTAGTGCTGGGGTGTTGTGGAAACAGAAAGGTGAAAGTGCATAGATGATGGTGAAGGAATGCAATACAGGATTAAAATAGATACAAAGGGAGAGAGAGGTTGTCTTAGGAATGTGAATAAAGGAAGCAGCATATTCTAGACCTAGAACAGTGAGGAGACCCACTGGCCAGAGGGGATGGTGGGGGAGACGTGCAGCAGGAGTGGGTGCTGGGAAGAGTCCTGGAAGTAGTGAGAAGAATGTGGACTCCAGGAGGGCAGCACGGGGAGGCATTCTGGGTCCTGGGAGGGATAGGTCAGAGCCGATTGGCCTGCTAGAGAAGAAAAGTGGATGAGGAGCCAGCTGTTGGCCCTCATGCTGGCCTCAAATGGAGGCAGAAGGTAGGCTAGGCCCTCTCCAGTGCAGGCAAGTGTCCCAGGCATGCTGGCAGCATGGAGGAAGCGGGTGTGAAGGGCCTTCAGTAGCTGAGCCAACCTTAGAATGCATGGGCATGGGGAGAGGTAAAATACCCTGTGCTCTTGTACCAGCTGTACCTGGCAGCTCCTACTCTCACCTTTGCTTGAGAGGGAGAAGGGTCTGAAGCAGGGACCCAGAGCTCCAGCTCCCTTCTCTCCCCCGGCTCCCTGCCTCTCAACAGCTCCCTGAATCTCCAGTAGGCAGTTTTTGTTCACTAGAATTGCCTGGATTCAGAGCTCCTTCCCCACCTTTCCAGGTATAGCATGAAGCTGTTTGGTGTGTATACAAAGCTGCAGGATTCACTCTTCCGGGGCACAGATGCCTGAGAAACTTCAGAGAGGCAGAAGGCGTGAGTCTGAGCAGCCATCATCTGGGCATCAAGGGGTTAACCCATCCCTGAGGGCTGGGCCAGGTCTTTTCCTCGGACTGGGCCCCGCCCTCCGGTTCCTCCATAGAAGCCACTGGAGTCAACTAGGAGCTCACTTTGTGGGAGGGAGAAACGTTTTTTTCTCTTATTTGAATGGTGCTGGTGACCTCACAAGGTTTCCATGGTGACAAGACCAAGGGAGCCAGGGGGCCTTGGTGAATTAGGCCAAACAAACCCACCTCCAAGAGTCTTCTCCCAGACTCCAGCCTTGAGGATGAGGACTCCAGGTAATCAGTGAGCTTGCTGAAGAGGGAAGGTTGGGGGCTGGGGACATGCCAGGCCAGGACCTGCAACAGAAACCGCCGCCCCACCTTTCCTTTCTGTGCCCCACCCCATCCTGCCTAAAAAGTTGCTTTCCATGAGGGCTTGGTGCTGAGTGTGGCCCCCACAGGGATGTCTGTGTGGTCACAGAGTACCTGTGGGAGGGCAATTCTGACCCCAAGGTAGGAAGCAGTGATCCGGTAATTCCAGGCACCAAGGCAGATAAAAAGACCAAGGTAGGTGAACAGCAGAGTAGAGGCCTGGGTGTGAAAGGAGAAAGCCATGAGCATCTGGTTGGGAGTGGGAGCCCTGCTCTCTGAAGCTTGACTTTCTCAGGAGCAGCTGGGGGCTGGAGCTTGGGAACACAGGATCATGGGATCCAAGTGACCAGGGTTTGAAACCAGGCATAAATAATGCCTGCACTCTATGGTTGTGGCCTACATGGGACATCACAGGGAAAGCACCGAGTAGGTGCTCAATATGTGTTTGTTTCCTCCCTCCTTCCCTTCCTCTCCTCTCCACCACTCAACAGCCACAGCCTCCTCAAGAAGTTTGAAGTCTGCATTGAACTCATTAATTTCCAGCTTTTGGCCGGGCGTGGTGGCTCATGACTATAATTCCAGCACTTTAGGAGGCCAAGGTGGGCGGATCACCTGAGGTCAGGAGTTTGTGACCAGCCTCACCTACATGGTAAAGCCTCGTCTCTATAAAAATACAAAAATTAGGCGGGCATGGTGGTGGCCACCTGTTATCCCAGATTCTTGGGAGGCTGAGGCATGAGAATTGCTTGAACTTGGGAGGTGGATGTTGCAGTGAGTGGAGAACATGCCACTGTGCTCCAGCCAGGGCAACAGAGCGAGACTCCGTCTCAAAAAGAAAAAAAAATTCCAGCTTTCAATTATTTGATCCTCACATAATTCAATGTCTAAAATATTGTACTCCTACATATTGTCCTAAAATTCTACCATGGAAGCTCCAACCATTGCTTTGCATGAAATCTCCTTGTAAATGGCAACATCTTATCTGGAAGTAATTGTCTTTTCCCTGGACAGGGGCAGTTGTATGAGTGGGTGGGGAGCAAATGGGGTGGGGTGGGGTGGGAGGGTAGACGGGGGGAATGAGTGATGTCTTGTTTGTTTGATTTTTGTTTTTTCTTTTTCTTTTTCTTTCTTCTCTTCTCTTCTCTCCTTTCCTCTTCTCTCCTCTCCTCTCCTCCTCTCTTCTCTTCTTCTCTTTTCTTCTCATGCAGATGGGGCCCATGAGTGAGGAGGACAAGAGAGAAAGGAGAAGTTTGGGTGTAAATCCCAGAGATTGTTCATCATGTGAGAGGAGCCGTGCATGCATTTCATGCCATACTCACACCATGGATGGAGAAAAAAAATCAAGCTTCACTTTCTGAGAATGGCCCTGGGGGCACTGCATCTAGTGCCTGTGCATCTGCAGACCTGCCGGATGCCTCCAGGGGAATCATGCCACCCCAAGCAAGAAAGGGCCCAGTTGCCAGGAGCCTGGAGGCAGAGAGCTGAGGAGCCAGCCCCTGACATCAGAATGGAGCTCAAAGGTTGGCTGGGTGTGACTCTGCCGTGGACAGCTTCTCTTGGGAAATCTACTTTAATGAATCCAGGGGACCAATTTGTAATCAGCCCATCAGATGTTCAGCGACACTTAGCTGGAATCTCGTTGCTGGACTCTGTGCCCCGCAGTGGATGACAGTTCTCCATCAGGGTCTGCAGTCCTCTACCCTGGACTTGCTGCATCCTGGAGCCCCCAGCAGTCAGGTACCGGCTCTCAGAACTGCCTGCATCCCATTGGCCTGAGCTGCTGTCTGCCAGGGCTGCTGGTAACCAGGCCCACAGGGTTGGATATTCCCCCAACAGGGCAGCTCCCAGTCCAAGCCCAACTGTTACCAGCCCAGAAAGATGTTTCAGGATACCCCTTTCCTCCCCACTTCCCTGCCCTCTGCAGCTCCAGCTGGTGCACCCCATCTTTCTCTCCCCCTCCCTGCTAGGCTGGGCCCTAACAGGAGACCTTTGAGGTGGTTGGGCTTGTTCTGCAACCTTGAGTACCCTTGAGCTACTGCCTCACTCCTCAGTTTTCTTCTTCTTAAGGTTTCTAATTGGACTTTGCCAGTGTATTTATTTCAAAACTGGTCATCTTACTGACCTCGCTCATAGTCTCTTATTACTTTTCTAGTTGATTCTCTTGAGTTTTCTGGATAAACAATAATATCATGTACAAATAATGATGACAATTTCTCCTCCTTTCCAAATGTTGTGTTTCCTTTTGTGTATTAATGTACTCTTGCCTTGGCTAAAACTTCCAAAACAATGTAAAATAATTGTGTTAATAGCAGGCTTTCTCATTCTACCCTGACTAAAATATGAATGACCCTGGCTAGGTGTTTTATTGCTAAGAATGATGTTGACGGTTGGTTGCAGATAGGTTTTTTTTATTATTATTATGCCAAGGAAATGTTCTTTTATTTTTATTTTACTAAGGGTTTTCAGCAGAATGGATATTCAGTTCTGTCAAATGAGTTTTTGATGTCAGTTAAGATGATCACAAAACTATTTCCTTTCTGGTAATTGACATGATTAATTATAGGGGTGGATTTTCTGATATGTAAACGTCATCACTTCTAATGTAGACATCTTTGAATTGCGGAAGAGATCCATTGCCAGGGAGAATCTGTATTGGTTGGATCTGTATTGTGCTGAGTCCCATGAATGTGAACTCATAACTTTTCCCGCATCACCCCCTAATCCAGGATGGCCTGTCAGGCAGGAGCACTGTGACGCCTAAGGGCTTGAGCTGGGGCTCTGGAGAGCTGGATGGGGTGTCAGCTTGTCCCAGGGTGATCTTTCTAAAGGCCAGTCCAATCACATGACTCCCTTTAGTGGCTCCCCATTGCCTTCAGCAGGAAACTCGAGCTTCTGTGTGCATTTTCCAGGCCTCTTACAACTGGCCTCTGTCCACACCACTTATCACCTCCAATCTCTCACCTAGAACCATATAGGACCAGAACTCCTGGAAGGAGGCTCCCCCACATCTCCTATGCCTCCGGCCCTCTCACTTGGCTGCTCTCCTGCCTGGAATGTCCTTTCCACCTTCCTTCCCAGGCAGGACTTATCAGTCCCTGCTCTTCCGACCCCACAAAGCTCAGTTACTGCGTCATTGCTACTTACCAGGGGGAGGTTAGTTTCTATGTTCACCTCTATCTCTAGAAGCCCCAGGAGGTTGAGGACCTGCCTGATCCACCCCATCTCATCTCCCAGCCCAGTGTCTGCCCCATCACAAATGTTGCTCAATCAGCCCTAGGTCAAACATTTTGTTCACACTCATGGACCCCCTACTTGACCCACCGCCTGTGACCTGCAGGGTTCGCTGTCCCAGTGGTGGGCACTGAGAGGCCCCAGTCGCAGGCCTCACAGGTGGCTGCAGCTCCCTGGAGCCTCTTTAGAAAATGCAGTCGGCCTTGTTTCCTCCTCAGAAACAACGACTTAGCACAGCATCCGGGCCCCAGGGGAGAGTGTTCCCCCCTCAAAAGCTGCTGCCATTGGAGATGCAGGAGAGGAAGCCAAGTGGGCCCAGGAGGGACCGGATGATTCGGGGTAGATGGGAGGGAGTGAGCAGGAGGGGCTCTGATAGGCTGCATCCCTGGGGTTTCCTGCACATCCCAGATGCTGGCACCTGCTCTGGGCCTGGGCCGGCAATAGCTCTGTGTCTGGCTCTCCACCGGGCCTTGGGTGCATCCCCTGATTCCCCCAGGGTCTTCTCACCCGACTCTCCATGGGATCCATTTTCAACTCTCTGTGTTCCCTCAACTACTAGGCAGCCAGCTAGAGTCCTCACCTCTTCAGAAAAGCTGATACTAGTTAAGCATCCCAAGTCTGAAAATCTGAAACCTGCAATACTCCAGAATTTGAAACTTTTTGAGCGTGGACATGATGCTCAAAGGAAACGCTCATCAGAGCATTTCAGATTTGGGATTTGGAGATTTGGGATGCTTAACCAGTAACTATTTGTAAATATTCCAAAATCTGAAAAAAAAATCCCCAATCGGAAACACTTATGATCCTAAGCATTTTGGATAAGGGATGTTCAACCTGTATCAAATGGAGGGCTGCTTGGCTGCTAAGCCTGGGGTGGGACAGGAGCAGCCCAGACCTGCCCCTTCTTTTTTGCCAAGCAATCCTGAGTTACACAACACATTCCTGGCTACTATATAATAAGAGGTTAGGTGACATGACTTCAAGGGCATCGGAGTTGGGTTGTGGAGTCTGGCAGACCCGGGTTCAAGTTCTAGCTCCACCTCTTGCTAACTGTGTGATTTTGGGCAAGTTACTTAGCCTCTCTGAGACCCAATTTCTTCATCTGTGGAACAGAGTACCTACCTATGGAGGTGTTGTGAGGATTACATGAAATGACTGACTGACTATAAAGCACTTAACACAGTGCCTGGCACGTAGTCGGAGTTCAATGTACATTAGCTGTTTTATAAGTTACAGGTCAGCACAGGCTGGGCCATAGCTGTCGCTTCATACACCTTTGTCCCCCATGCATGGGTGGAGAAACTGAGGCCCAGAGAGGAGCGGGACATCACATCGCTGCATCCCCTTCATCAGCCTGGGCTGACACCTACTGAGGAGCTCTCTGCTGTAATGGTTTCAATCACAACAAACCTGACGCATGGAGTCTTAGATCTTGGGCTTGCCTTCTGCACAGCCTGGCACCCTCTTGTTTAAGAAACCTTTACATTGCACTAAATGCCAGGAACAGTTATAAGCCCTTTATACGTATAATAACAATATTATGCATATTAACCTTAATCCTTCTAGCAAACCCATGAGAGAGATACTATCATTATCCCCATTTTACAGATGAGGGAATGGAACAGTTCGAGGGCTTGCCCAAGGTCACACGGCTAGCAAGTGGGAGGACCACTATTCACCAGCAGGGATGCCATCGACAAGGTTTCCACCCTGAGGTGAACATAGCCTGGGCTCTGTGGTGTGATCATCGCGGGGTGATCTGGGGTGTCTGGGGCACCTGAAGCCTGTCTTCTCCCTGCACCCTGATGCTCGGGTGGAGGAGGCATTTTGGAGGGGACTTGGTGGCCTGTGACTGGGCACAGCGGGAGCATCTGCTTTGTCCTATTAATGCTATTCACTAGATGCCACATCTCAGGCCACAGCAGGTATTTCCCTCGAGAGAGGACAGTGAAAACTTGGAACAGAAGAGCTTTTTATTATTCAGAATAACTGCACTATTTAATTTACTATTAATAATAGCTCTTGAGTCAACCTTCTCCTGAAGAGAAGTGAGAACTGAAAGGATGTCCCTCTCTTCTCTCCCCTCCTCCCTCCTTTTCTGCCTCCTTACTTCGGAATGCTGTGAACTCAGTCACGAATGATTGAGCTGTTTTGGGGGTAGGAGTGGGAGAAATGGAGGCCCAGCTCATGCAGCGAGCCTGGTTACTCCTCCTCCCTGCAGAGCCTTGCTCTGCTGCTCCTCGGGGGTCCCTGGAGGCCATGACCCATCTGTTGTCAGATCCCTCCGGGAAAGAGGATGACCTGTCCTCCTAGGCTGGGCTGGAGGCTAGAGGCCAGGAGGCTGTTTCAGCTGCAGCAAAGGGAAGGCTGCATCCAGCAATCCTTGCCCTCCTTGTCCTGAGGGCAGGAGTGTGTGTGCTGAAATAAGAAGATGGGGATCCCGTCAGAGACCCATCTTCTGCCCTCTGCATCCAGCGAAGGGCTCAGCGTTAAGAAGGAGCACGTCCAGAGAGGACTACAGCCAGGAATGAGACTTGAACCCAAGCCAGGGGAGGAGGATTTGGTTTGGAGTTCAGAAGAGTTGGGGGACTGAGAACTGCTTTCAAAGAACCTGAGGGATTTGGTTCTTCATCTACAAGCCCTCACTGAGGGCCTGCTCTTCCAGGTGCTGGGAACATGTGAAGCCCCCAGAGGGGCAGAGGCAATGAGATATAACTAATGCTACTGTAAGGCAGTGCTCCAAGGACAGGACCACCATGTCCGGTGAAGTCCTAGGAGGTGAGGACTTGGCTTGCCTCATTCAGAGCTAAATGGGCCTCCTGGCTCCCTGAGGCAAAGGATATAGATGGTCTTCTAGGGTTGACTTTATCCCTTGGGCATTTATTCAAGACGTCAGGCACGCTCCCGGCATCTACATCCTTGACTCTGCCTCCTGTATTGGGGCCCTGTGGGATCTCAGGTGTGTCAGGTGGCCCACTGGGGCTGACCTTCCAGAAGATAGAGGCCTGTTTCTCTCTTTCTCCTAACTACCCAACTGTGCAGAGCTAGAGGACAGTGGCTGTCCCCACAAAGGTCTCTCACGGCTGCAGACCAGCACCCCGTCCACCTCCTCTCACCCCTGGGACATAGCCAACCAGCCTGCTCTCCTCTTGTCAATCTCCTCACACCCTGCCCATCTGTAGAGTGGGCTGAATCCTAGATATCCTTAGGTGATTGAAGAGTGCTTTCTAACACTCTGGTGCGGGGTGGTTTCGGTCTGGCTTTCCGAACGTGCCAGAGCTGGGTTCCACATACCTGCATGCACATACACTCCTAAGCACACACGCTGCCTCCACGCATCCCGGCTTTCATTGTGAGGGCCCCACTCTTTATTCAAGGAGCGGTCTCGGGTGTCTGAATGGATGCTTGAAGGCTCCGTCTTTGCAATTAACACGCTGCTGCAGTATTATTAGCCTCTGATAGGCAGGTCTGCCTTTGCCAGAAACTATAAATATGTGGGGCCAATGACTCAGCAAATCTGTTGCTATTTTTCTTGCAGGTCCGTGTGGATCTGTATCTGTGTACACCATGGCCCCATCTCCCAGCAGCTCCCATGGCTTGTATCCATGGAAACGCAGTCCTCCCCAACTATGGTTCTCTGCTGACAAAACCTGGGAGTCTCCCCAGCCCCCTACCCACCTCGGAAAAGGAGCGTGGACCACACAGGCTCCAGCCAGCAGGAGGGCGGCACTGTGGAGGAGGTGGCCACTTTCTCAGTTGCTTTGAAGGGCCAGGCAAGGCCAGGCCTCCAAGACCTTCCTCCGCGGGTCTGTGGTCAAGGCCTTGTCACCTGCTTAAGGGGAGCGGCCTGTTGAGAGAGCCATCACTGAGGCCCTGGGCCCTGGTGGGATTCAGTTGGCAGGGCAGTCCCTGAGGGCTGTGGGCAGTGCGGCAGGGGAGGGGGGGGGAGGGGTTACTGCCCTCACGAGTGGGGAGCACTAGCACTTGGGAGAGGGAGGCTGAGGAGTAGGGAGAGGGCCAGTGGCAGTGAGGTGGGGGAAGGGGATGTGCAATGTGGGATGAAATCTTGGAGCCTTGGCCGGGCACCGTGGCTCATGCCTATAATCCCAGCACTTTGGGAGGCTGAGGTGGGCAGATCACCTGAGGTCGGGAGTTCGAGACCAGCCAGACCAACATGAAGAAACTCCGTCTCTACTAAAAATACAAAAAAATTAGCCAGGCGTGGTGGCACATACCTGTAATCCCAGCTACTTGGGAGGCTGAGGCAGGAGAATCGCTTGAACCTGGGAGGCAGAGGTTGTGGTGAGCCGAGATCGTGCCATTGCACTGCAGCCTGGGCAACAACAGAGAAACTCCATCTCAAAAAACAAACAAACAAACAAACAAACAAAAAACAAATCTTAGAGCCTTGGCTGTGTCAAATAAGCTGTGGGATAGAAGAAAGAGCATGGCCTTGGAGTCCCTCCCTCTGTCCCTCCTTTCCTTCCACAAACATTCGCATTTGCTTCTTCTGGACCAGACTCTATGCTGGATGTGAAGACCCAGAAATGTTTCAGAATTAGACTCTTTCTCCTCAACGACCCACAGTCTCGGGAGAGAAGACAGATTCTTCATCAAGTCAGAGAGCTCAGGGGTCCTGAAGGTCAGGATGGTTGTCTGTATCAGAGCAGTGGGGCACAGGAGGGTGGTCAGAGAGGCCTCCTAGGGAGCTGCAGCCCAGGGGGCAGGCCAGGAAGATGAGGCAGTGTGTGGGACGACTGGCAGGAGGCAAGAGAGGGCAGTGCCGGGAGCCAGTGGGTGAGAGACTCGCGCACTAGAGTTCTAACTCTGGCTCCTGTTGGCGGTGCTCCCTGGAGAAAGCCACCTAAGGTCTCTGGTGTGTAAAATGGGAAATGGCAATACCTACCTTATGGGCCAGGATGGAGGATTAAATAAAACATCTGGCCCCTCATGCAGCATTTATTGTATTCATTCTATGCCGGGGCTGTCCCATGCCTTTTGCTTTCCTCCCTACAGGGTCTCTGTCACTTCGTCTGTCAAATGAGGGAGCTGGGCCAGATGATGTCTAGAGCCTCTGACATTCCCTGTCCTCAGTTTCCCCGTTTTTGAAATAGGAAGAAGAATCTTCCAACACGCTCCAGAAGTGAAGGAATGGATCGTGGAATCAACAGATATTTACTAAGAGTAGCTTGGGACAGGGCGCAGTGACTCATGCCTGTAATCCAAGCACTTTGGGAGGCCAAGGTGGGAGGATTGCTTGAGCCCTGGAGTTCGAGATCAGCCTGGGCAACAGCAATCAAAAAATCAAAACGCCGGGTGTGGTGGCATGTGCCTGTAATCCTAGCTACTCGGGAGGCTGAGGTGGGAGGGTGCTTGAGCCTGGGAGGTCAAGGATGCAGTGACCCCAGTGAGCCATGATTGCACTACTACTGCACTCCAGCCTGGGTGACAGAGCAAGACCCTGTATGTTCAAAAAAAGAAAATATAAAAAAAAGAGAAAAAGAAAAAAGCAGCTTGCTTTTCCCCAGCTTAGGGAAAGCAGAACCCAGACAGATATCACCACTGCTACCTCCATGGGATGTGGAGGAGCAGGACACCCAGCACTCCCAATGTGGCTGGAGAGGCCCAGTGTGGTCTGCAGCCATGGAGCAGTGACTCTGGGTGTCTCGTGTCGCTGCTCTGCTGCTTTCTCTCTTCCTGTGTCTTGTCTGTCTTGGGTAAGGAAGGACTTGCTCAAGGCCCTGGGATCTGATTTCTAAGGACCATCTTGCCCACCAGGGACCTCCAGACCCTTAAATCCTTGTACTCAAAGCCCTAGGGAAGCTGAGGATCAGGCTGAGGATCTGAAATTATTAACACCGCTTTGTCATATCATAGTGGAGTCTCACACTGAGCCTCTGAGGTAACCCCTATTGCTATCTCCATTTTGCAGGTGAGGAAACTGGGGCTCAGAGATTTTAGGGACTGGCTCAAGGTCACCCAGATGCAATGGCAGGACCAGGATTTCAATCTAGGTCAGCATGACTCCAGCCCCATGTTCTTTCTGGGGCTCTGTACCCACCCTCTGGAACTCTGGTAAACCTCCTGAATCCATCGGGAAAGTAAAGGAGATATAAATAGCACGTGGGATTGTGAAGTGAAAAAAGCAAGTTGCAGAACAATACCTGCAGGATTATTGCAGTCATGTAAAAGAACTACTTGAAATGATGCGTCTATATAATGAGATAAATGCACAGAAGCAGGTCTGGAGGGAGATCTATCCAGGGTTGAATGGTATTCCCCTCTGGGTAGGGTTCAACATATTTCAGAATTGGTTAAGTTTTTATTACAATGAGAATGTATTTATGTACTACTTGTGCAATAACAACCTCCCTCTCCCATAAGGCAGGAGATGGGGTGACCCACCTCCTTATGACATGAGCCATGTAAAGGCTGGGGCAGGTGGAGACCTGCAGGGGAATGTAGGCTCATGGGAACCTTGGAGACAGAATGGCAGTTTTATGTCAGAACTCTTTGTGTGTTTTTCTTGTCTTTTAACAGCCTGGAGAGAAACTCCTTCAGTCATTTTACAGTGAGGAACCCTTGGCTGGGTGCAGTGGCTCATGCCTGTAATCCCAGCATTTTGGGAGGCTGAGGTGGGTGTATCATTTGAGGTCAGGAGTTCAAGACCAGCATGGCCAGCAAGGTGAAACTGCCTCTCCTGGGCGTGGTGACATATGCCTGTAATACCAGTTACTCGGGAGGCTGAGCAAGAGAATCGCTTGAACCCAGGAGGCGGAGGTTGCAGTGAGCCGAGATCTCACCACTGCACTCTAGCCTGGGGAACAGAGTGAGATTCTGTCTCAAAAAATAAATAAATAAAAAAGAAAGACAGAAAGAAAGAAGAAAAAAAGGAAGGAAGGAAGGAAGGAAGGAAGGAAGAAAGAAAGAAAGAAAGAAAGAAAGAAAGAAAGAAAAAGAAAGAAAGAAAGAAAGAAAGAAAGAAGGAAAGAAAGAAAAAGAAAGAGAGAGAGAAAGGAACCCTTAAATCTAGATAGCCTCAGCCCAAGGTCAGAGAGCTTTGTTGCCACGGATTGGTTGGTTAGTAACTTGCTTTATGTTGAAGACAGGCCTGGCTTTGACTTTATACAGTTACTTGCAGATTCTTTGAACCTCAGTTTTCCTACCTGTAAAATGGGATTGATATAGCTACTTTGAAGAGTGTTCGTGAGGATTCAGCAAGATCAAGTTTGCTAAGTGGCCATCACCGGACAGGGGCTGTTTTCAACATCATTCCCCAACCCTCTTTTCTGTTCCCTTTGTCTAAGGAATGCCATTCTAGACTCAGCATGGTGCAGATGAGACATAGGCTTTGGCCTGAATTGGGGCTTGGCCACGTCAATTATTGGCATCTAACATTGAGGACATATTAGATGTCAGGAATCATGCTAAGGGCCATACATACAACTCCCTTAATCCAAATCTTGCTGCCTACCTCAGAGGTGGGCACCACCTATTATTATCCCCACTTTACAGATGTGGGAATTGAGATATCAACATCACCCTGGCCTCATAAAATGACTTAGGAAGAATTTCCTCTTTTTCTGTTATCTGGAGGAGTTTGCATAATAAGGTTTGTTTATTTACACTTAAATATTCACAAGAATTCACCAGGAGAATCATCTGGGCCTGGAGTTTTCTCTGTGAAAAGAGTTTTGACTATAAATTCAATTTCTTTAGGAGTTCTAGAAGCAGTCCTGTTCCTCTGCCCATGCCTCCTCCTTAATCCTCAGCTCCCAAATCTGAGTCCTGGAGGAGGTGATTATAATTGCAGGCCCTGCAAGGTACCCCCAGTTTTATTTACCCCCCATGTGGACACTCTGGCCTTGACTCTCCTCCTTATTGAATGGCAGGGCAGAGTGGGGTGGGGGAGGAGGCAGAATGCCAAGAATGAGATCCGACTTTGCTATCTTGGCTCCAAGCTTGCACCTCTCCCTGCTCTGGTAAGCTGTAAGGAGCAAGGCCTGTGGCTGGAGGACCCATCCCTGAGGCCAACCTTCTGGGACTGTTCCTGAGGATCCACTATGCAAGGTGCACTGGGCCCTGTGACAGCTTAGCAGAGCAGAGCTGCTCCACCTGGCATTGGGATCTCTAGGAGAAGCTCGGTAAACCTAGAATGAATGAATGAGCAAGTTAACAATGACTTCCTGAATGACTGGAACACCTGCTCTAGGTACCCAGCTTAGAAAGGTTAAAAAGACACTTCATCTGGTGCAAGGCAGACACATGGACACATGGTCCATGACATCTTTGGTGACAAATGCTGTGCTACGGGTGGCATAGGGTACTGTAGGGGTACAAGGGAAAATGTCTGACCCATCCTGGGGGTGGGTGATGGGGGTGGCAGGGGCTTTTTGGAAGAGGGGACACAGGCTGAGTCTTGAAAGACACTAGGAGTTAGTCAGGAGGCTGGTGGAACTGGGAGAGAGCATGGGGTAAGAAAAGCAGGGCACTTCCACAGAAGGGGAAGACACTGCATGGTCCCTGAGCTCGGTCTATTAGAGAAGCTACTGGTCACTCAAAAGTCAGCCTCATTTCCAGGCCATTTATTGCTCCAAAGGATCCTGGACTCACAGTGCATTGGAAGCTCAGTGTTCTGACCTTTCCTGCCAATATCAAGGTCAGGGGAAAGAGATCCCTTTCTACCCGAGCTCAGCATTTCTAACTGGAGGAGGGTGATAAAACAATTAAGGATGCATCTGACAGTGAGTAAGAGAGAACCTAATAAATAGTGTCCTAACTGTTTATTAGGGTGCAGTGGGGGTGAGGAGGGTATTTATTCCATATAAAAAGAAATTCAGGGATGGGCAGTCTGGGGCCACCAGGCCGTCAAGGCTCCAGGCTCCTCTCATTGTCCCTTCCACCAACCTTAGTGTGAAAGCCTTTGTCTTCATGCTTGTTGCCTCATAATTGCAAGATGGCTGCAGCAACTCCACACCTAGATCCAACTTCCAGGCAGAAAGAAGATGGAAAGGCTGAGGGGAATGCCAGTTCTGTACCTTCTAGAAAGAATGTCCTGAAGCCCTACCCGGTGACTTCACTCCTATCTCATTGACCAGAAGTGGGTCCCGTGGCCATCTCTAGGCCAGTCACTGGAAGGTGGCTGGGGAAAAAGGGGTGTGGAGAGGCTTGGGCCAACCAGCCAGGAGCATCTGCTACAGGTGGTCACCCACCCCAGAAAGCACAGCCCTCAGCCCCCTAGCTGTGAGAGCCAGCAGAGGCAGGGGGGAAGCTGGCCACTCCAGAAAGGTCTCGCTTCAACAGTCATTCAACAAATGCTAACCATTGCCCCCACTGTGCCCAGCAACTTGGGCCCTGGAGCCCAGTAGAGGAAGTGAGCTTTCAACACAAGGCCAGGCAGAAAGGAGAGCCAGACCCCAAAGCAGAGAGCCCCTCTCTGGGTGGGAGCATCAGAGGGTCCCAAGCCTGCCAAGGCCTTTCCTTGCCTTTGAAGAAAAGGAGATTAAATAGGACCAGCCTCAAAACCCCAGCAGAAAGGACCTGGCCTCTTTATCTGACTGACTGATGAAGTGGCTTCCTCTGGGGGTTGAAGGAAGGTATGCAGATAAGTGTGAGTAGTAGTTACGCCACGATCATTCAGGAAGAATTGGGGTGGTGTGGGGGCGGGGAGAGGTCACTGCTGTGCCATCAATGTCAGCCTCACACAGTGTTGCAGAGCCCAGGCTCATCCCCTACTCCTCCCATTTCACTGATGTAATCTGACATAGCCTTCCCCCTTGGAGGCCTGAGCCCAGGAAGTTACCTTATGTTACCGCCCAGCAAGGTCGCTCAGGCCTTCTTGAGCTTGCCCCGTGATTCTGCCAACCAATTTCAGACAGAGCAGATCACTCTGGGTCTAGTAGGAAATGCCCAGGTCTGGGCATCAGAAGGCCTGTGTGACCTTGGACCAGTCAGCCAACCTCTCTGAGCCTTTACTGACACCTTGTGGCAGCTTCTGCCCAAAACCAAAGTGCTTGGGTGAAAATAAAAACCTGTATTTCCCTTCCACTACTCCCCTGCCACTATGCTCTGGTCTGAGTCACATCACTGCAGAAGGATAGCCTTCCAACACACCTCCCCATCCCACCTCTCTAGGCCACTGTCCTGAAAGAATCAGTGAAAAGGCTTCCCAGGGAAGCAGTTACGGCTCAGTCCTCCAGTCTCCAGTTGCAGGTCTCAGAACTCAGTCCTGCACAGTACTAGTACTTTCATCAGCTCCAGGATGAGGATATGGTGGACACGTGCTTATCACATGATGTCAGAAAATCTCCAGAGGCCAGGCATTGGTGGCTTATGCCTGTAAGCTTTGGGAGGCCAAGGTGGGAGGAGTGCTTGAGGCCAGGAGTTCAAGACCAGCCTTGAACAACATGGTGAGATGAGACCCCATCTCTACAAAAAATTTAAAAATTAGCTAGGCATAGTGGCACATGCCTGTAGTCCTAGTTACTTGGGAGAATCGCCTGAGCCCCAGAGGTTGAGTCTGCAGTGAGCTGTGAACATGCCACTGCACTTCAGCCTGGGTGACAGAGCGAGACCCCGTCTCAAAAAAAAAAAAAAAAAAAAAGAAAGAAAGAAAAGAAAATCTTCAGAAGGGAAAAGTAAGTCCACAGCCTCTCCTAGATTACTGCTTGGTCATGTGTTTGTGTGTGTGTGTCTGTGCACATGTGCGCTCACATCTGTGTACACAAACACCTGTGTGTGTTTTGTCATGGACCTGGGGAACTTCCTACCAGGCTCCTGCAATGGAATGGTTTCAACCGAAGCTCTAGCTGGGACAGGGCCCCTCGTTTTTGGCTTTTGAGATGAACGCCCCAACCTAGTTAGTTATCAGTGCTCGGTTTTCTTGGCTTCCTTTCCTGCCCCATCTATATCCTCTGTCTTCCAATCCCACCATCCAAACCTGCTCCAAACCAGAGGTTTAAATGAATCTAATAAAACCACTCCTAGAGGCAGCTGTTCATGGCTAATAAGGGTGCCCAGAGTGGATGGATAGGTTGGGAAGGGCCTTCCAGGCCTAGCGCCAAACATTATTGGTAGAATTTCAAACCAGGTCTCTGTGGCTAAAACTTTGTCTCTTCCAGGCTACTGGTCTGACCCACTGGCACAGGGAAGCAGTTTTGGGTATGAGGGAAAAGCTGTCCTGAGCTCTCCACACCTCCACCCAGCCATCTGGGAATTCTGGGGTAGGGTATGATCTGTGGATGTGGCTTGGGGACTTGGCGTGGACCTGCAGTGGTTGGCTGGCTCCACTCCATCAAGAAGATTAAGAGGTAATTGAGCAGCTGTTCTGGATGAGGGAGTTGCTGCTTGAAAGTTGGAGGTTGGCCTGAAACCCTCCCATTAAATGTGCTTGTCCCTGGGATTCAAGAGCTCTCTTCAAAAGGCAGGGAGCCCATCCAGGCCCTCCTATGGCTGGAAGAAACCAGTAGCAACCCAGAGCATATGGGGAAACTGAGGATCAGAGAGGAGTAGCTGACTCCCATTTTACCAGGTTGAGTGTCATGGCAGCCTGCTGCCTGAGGTTGGGTGGTATGGCCAAAGGTGGTTCTGGGCCAGAATCCTTCCTGCTGGGCTCCAGGAACCTCCTCTCCTGTTGGTTAAGAGCCAGGAGTGCAGGCTTTTGGAGCCAGGGGCTAGACCACCCTCCTGGCACTGCTATATTCCAGCTCCTTCTCCCCACCCTACAACACTGTCCCTAACGCATTTTTCCATTACTTTTGTGCTCTGAAACATTCGATGGCTCCCTATCACCTCCAGGATCTGCTGCAACATTCCCTGCTGGCCCCTCCCCGCATCACCAGCCTCACTCTGTCTGGACTGCCTGCTACTCTTAGCACCCACCTGCCCTCTGCCCTCTCCTCCATCTCCACTGTGGCCTTCCTGCCATCTTCCCATCCCTTAAAAGCCATTTCTCCAGGAAGCCTTCCTGTCTCCACTCCGTAATTGGGGCAAGCTACTTAACCTTTCCAAGCTTCAGATGGCACCTCTGGGAAAAAATGAGGGAATAACAAGATGCTGCCTCCAAAGGGTTGTCGTGAGGCTGTCACCAATGAAATAATGCATACCCAGGGCACATCACAGTACCTCTTGTACAATGAGGACTCCAACAAAGGATGCTGGGTCAATTTCATCATCATCATTGATATGTTATGGCTATCTCATCGTGAATTGTAGGTCCCATAATCCCCATGTGTCATGGGAAGGACCAGGTGGAGATAATTGAATCGTGGGGCACAGTTTCCCCCATCCTGTTCTCATGATAGTGAGTTAGTTCTCATAAGATCTGATGGTTTTTATAAGAGGCTTCCTCCTTTACTGGGCACTGATTCTTCTTTCTCCTGATGCCATGTGAAGGACATGTTTGCTTCCCCTTCTGCCATGATTGTAAGTTTCCTGAGGCCTCCCCAGCCATGCTGAACTGTGAGTAAATTAAACCTCTTTCCTTTATAAATTACTCCTTTATAAATTACATCTCAGTACATGTAATGTACATCTGTAACGTACATGTAATGTACTGAGTAATGTACATCTCAGGTACATCTTTATTAGCAGCAGGAGAATGGACTGATACAATCATCATCATCAACCACTCTTCCTCCTCCTTTCTGTGGAATAATAAGGGGATAATAAGAGGGACTCTGTGGCTCCCTCTTCTGAGCTGTCAGAGTACCCTTGGTCTCTGTCCTGTGCTCCATTTAATTAGAGAAGCAATGTGTGGGCATGCGCCCCTCCCCTCAGACTCCTCCATGGCTGGGTCCTGAACCCCTGAACTCCAGGGCCCAGGACAACAGTGCTCACACTTTTGAATCTCAGGACAGCCTGAGTTGCTAGGCTTTCTTCCTCAGCCCTGGAGAGCACTAATGGTGTCTTTCAAACCTGGTATCCTGGATGTGTGAGCGTGATTGGGTGGGGGCCAGCCCTGGGCTGGGCTTTGACCCCCTCCTCGGGCCTGATGAGAGCTCTCATTACCTTCCTTCCTTGCCAGCTAGGCCTTGGGGTGAAGCCAGCCCTCAACCTTTGATGGGAGGAAGGCTTAATTACCCCCTCAGGCAGAGGGAGAGGATAATGAGGAGCAGATGAAAAGCCTGGGAAGGTTGCTCCTTCCAGAGGCCCCCACCTCTTAGCACCCAGGCTGCCCCCGGCCCCACCTTCAGCCTCTTTGGGCTTAGGTTAAGGCCTTGCACCCTGGTCTGCAGAGGGCCCCAGCACCCATGGCCCTTGTGTGATTCACAGATCACAGGGATTACCTTGGATTCTCTCTACCACAGTGCCTGAAATCTCATTAGCACTTCCTATTGGGGTCACACCAAGCACTCCTACCCAATCTAGAAAGAATGGTTAGAATTTTTCATACCACACTGGGATCCTGGGACAGTTTGGATAAGGAAGCCATACATTAAGGCCTCTGGTTTGTATGAAACCTGAAATTTGTGATGGAATGGGAAGCAAAGGACAAATTTCACAGAAGGAAGCCAGTGGAAGGGGTCATAGGCCTGCCTCCTCTTGGGGCTTGGCTGGGGATTTGTGGTTGGGACAACATGGCTGGGCTTGGAGACTCTCTTCCCTCCATTGCAGAGCAGCTGAAGGGCTTGGTGTGTTCTTGGCTCTCAGTGGGCAGGCAGGAGGGGAAGAGGAGGTGTCAAGTGTGTCTGGGCAACAGTGACAAAAGATGAGGGAGAGTAGTTGGGCAGACAAGTAAAGATCATTCTTGCAGGGCAGGCCCAGGATCCTGGGTTCTTTCTTGTGGGGGGCACGGGGTGATGTGGGTAGAACTAGGGTGTTTTGTCTTCTTGTTCCCCAACTCCTGGGCCATCCCTTGGAAATGCCACTGTGCTCAGCCCAACAGGGAAACCCTGAGGGCTCTGGCCCCACAGCTGCACACAGGCTTGCAGGGTGTTTAGCTTGAATGCCAGTCTGTCCTCCCCGGCGTTGTAGCAGGACTAGCCGCAGACAAAACCTCTCAGACACCAAGATGTAGAAGGAAGGGCTTTATTCCGCTGGGAGCATTGGCAAGCTACTGCCTTAAAATCCAAGCTTCCCGAATGCACAATTTCTGTCCCTTTTAAGGGCTCACAACACTAAAGATTTCACATGAAAGGGTTGTGACTGATTTGAGCAAGCAGGTGGTATGTAACAGGGGCTGCATGCACCGGGGGTCAGAGAGAAACAGAACAGGGCAGGGAGTTTCACAATGTTCTTCTATACAATGTCTGGAATCTATGAATAACATCGGTTTCTAAGTTATGAGTTGATTTTTAACTACTGGGTTTAGGCCAAGCAGGCCCAGGCCTGGTTTCGGGCCTGGCGCCAGGCTACCTGTCTTTGGTTTTACCTCCTTGTTGTTTTTTCTTAAAACAGGTACTGAGTATAAAACAATATAAAACAATATGAGAGGGTCTCTCTCTTCGCTCAGCGTGGGCACCTCTGGAGCAGGACAGTGGAGAGGGGCCTGAGGAAAGTACTTCTGCCTGGACTAGCACCTGCCCCGGTCATGGTTCCCCAAACTCCCCATTAGTGCTAGTTCTTCCCAAAGAGGCATCAGAGGGGCAGGGAGGTGCTGGGGGACACTGTGGTCCATGCTGCCATTGACTGATTTTAGGGTCCTGGGCCAGTTAATTTACTCTTCTAAGACCTAGTTGCCCCATCTGTAAAATGGGGTTTGTAACAGTATCTCAAGGTTGTAGTGAGGACTAAAAAAACATAGTGTATGTAAAATGCTCAGCATAATGCCTGGCATGGGGCAAATGCTCACCACTGTTAACTGTTATTACAGTTATTATTAATCCCGCTGGGCAACGTTTCTCAACCTTTTTAAATTCCAGGCTCACTTGTGATAAGCATACAAACCTCATACTCCTCCCAGTAATAGTATAGGATTTAAAACATCAAGGAAATAGAAGGTTGAGGCAAAAAACAAATCGAAGCACTTATTATATAGAACATGCTTTTTCAGATGAGAGAGCACCCCTGCCCCCGCCCCCCCAACACACATACACAATTGAGGCTCACTACAGGGGTGGGAGCTGGGAGGACTGGCAGCCCCCTCTGAGAGGCCTCAGGGTGGAGGGCCAGGAGCACAGGGTGGCCTCTGGTGGGTGCCTCTCCTCCCTCGCTGGCCCACAGTGGCCTCTGGATCCCAGCCCAGCCTCCCAGCTCTGGCAACAAGGGCTTTGAGGGAACAGAGGAAGCTCTTTGGAATACAAATATCTTTGGATCCTCCGGTCTCAGCCGGCGCCCTATTCTCATGCTAATACGGAGAGAGTTTGGGGGATGCTTGAAGGGGAAATTGCCAACTGTAGGAAACCCAGCCCAAGCCTGGGGCCCTGGGGACAGGGCTAGAGCCTCTGGGGTCCTTTCCCGTGTAGCTTCCCAGTACCCAGCACTAAGTTCCAGCCCCATGCCCCAACAGTCCTGGCACATCCCCTGGCGGGCTGGGTAGATTCTACAACTCAGGGTCTATTTGCTGGACAATTGCCCCTTCCAGTTTTCCCCATGCAAATAATAATTCACTTGGCAAATAATAATTCACTAGCGGCTGTTTACCGCAGCCCTCCAGTGCCAGGCTTTGGGGAGATGCTCCGTGCATCTTAGTTATCTCATGTAACCCTCACTGTGCAGCCCATGGAAATGAAACTCAAAGAGAGTGGCAATTTGCCCCAGATCTCGCAACTGTGGTGCCAGGATCCAAGTGCAGGTGTGTGCACCCCACTGGACTCACAGGGCTGGTGGCTTTGGAGACCTCATGAGCCACAAGATGGCATCAGGGGGGCCTGGGAGGTGAGGGGCATGGGGTTTGGCACAGCAGCAGTCTAGGCCGTAGGTACTACAGGCATAGACAGGACCCGCATGTCAAAAAAGGACTCGGTTGGTGGCTCAGGTCAGGCAGACAGTCTCCCCAGGTGCTGAGTCTGAGTTCTCAGCCCCCAGGCCAGGCTGGGGCAGAGGAGCAGATGGAGATGGGTAGGCGTTCTTGAGTTGACCTGGAATTTAGAAAGGTGATCTGCTGATGGCTTAGGGGGTATGCTGGGGGCAGGCTCTGGACCTGGACAATCTTTCCCTACTTCTCAGCTTGGTCAATACCTACTCCTCCTTCAAGGCCCAATTCAAACCCCAGCTCACTGGTGGAGGCTTCCCTGACTCTCCCAAGCTAACACCTAGCTCCATACTCCTCTCTTCCCCAACCTCTGTGGCATCATTTAGGTGCGGCTCTGCCTCCTGCCCTAGGCTGGGAAGTCCTGAGGGAAGAGGCCTTGCCTGATTCATCTCCATGACTCCAGTGCCCAGCATGGGACCTGGCACTCAGCATGGCTCAGGAAATGTTTGCAGAATGAATGAGTGACTCTACAGGATGAAGGAGGCTGTGATCTTCACTCTTGCAGAGTCTCCAACAAAAGGAAGCCACTGAAACCTAAGCAGGAGGGTGCTGCTTAGTATCATTGATTTCTCTGTGCCCAGCACCACATCTCCCCTGCTCTTCTCTGATTTCCACCATAATTGTGTGGATGGTTCTGGATGGACTTGGGCTCACCCTGTGCTGGCCCTTTTCCCCTCAAGTGCACCAACGCCAGGAAAGGCAGTTTGACCGGTGGATCAAAGCAGGCTGGAAGTGCGGGGGAGAGAATACCTCCAGGACAGCCCTCAACCAGCAGGGATGGGAGCCAGTGTGTAGCTGCTCCAGCCTCCCGCTTTCCAGTGGGGAGTTCTGGAGACAGAGGCCCCACCCTCCACTAAGGGACCCGTAAGACTGTCCCGTTAGGTTGGCCGTCCCTCTTTCCTGGTTTGCGCTCCTGCTCCCTCAAGATGGCAAGCTATGCAGTAGAAATTTCGTGACTGTGGAGTCTTATTCTCACTGGGCTCTGACCCTGATTCCTGAGGCTTCCAAGGGTTCTCTGGAGGTATGTAGGAAGCTCCAGTGGAAGAGAGCTATTCAGGGAATTATGTCCTGAAATTAAACTCCACGGTCCCCAAGGGAGGGAGAGAATGGGGCATGGTGACACTGGGGTGGGGATGGGAGAGAGAAGTTGTTGGGGGTTTGATGGGAAACCCATTTTGCCGTAATCGTATTGTGCACATTAAAACCACAGCTACCAGAGCAAAGGGGTGGGGGTGGAGGCAGAGCAGAAAAATGGCTAGAATGAGCTGGCAGGGGAGGGCGTGTCTGCAGACTCATTTGGGATAAGGGGTTGGGGGTTAGGGATCCCTTGGCCAGTCAAGGACAGCCCCACCCACCTCTTGCCAATTGGAGTATAGAGAAGGTGGCAGGCAGAGAGTGGAAACTGGGACTCTGCTGCATTGACACCTGCTAGGTGCCAGGCACGGCAGTAGGTGCTTTGCTGAACGCCACTCATTTATAAACTGCTTTACATGCACCACCACATTTAACCTTTGCAGTAGACCTTGGAGCTTGGCACTATTGCTATCCTAAGTTGCTATGAGGGAACTACACAGAGAGGGAAGTGACTTGCTCAGGATCCCCCAGCCGTTTAACAACCCCATGCACCACAGCTGGATGAGCAAGATGTCTGCAGTGAAGGGACAGAGGAATTGAGGCCAAGCTACTGGGGAGGGGTGGAAATGCCATTCTGGAGGATCTGTGACGTTGACAGAGACTTTATCGACACAACAAGCCAGCTAACCCCTAACGAACGTGTTGATTCATTCATTCATTCCATCAGTTACTCCAACATGTGGGACTGCATGGTTGTGAAAACAGAATATGACCTTGTAAAAGGAGAAGCCTTGGGCCCTTGATGCCAGGTGGGAGGAGGATGGAGAGCTCTAAGAGGACTGGAGATGCCAAGACGGCTTCTTAAAGAGGTGTGGAAGGACTGCGGATGGCTGCTTTCCCTCTTTAGATCCTGCTGTGGGATGCTAGCACAAAGTCTGGAAAATGCACCTGACTTTGCCTAGAGGGCAATAGGTCTCTTCCTGGGGGTGTCACGCAGGAGGGTACCTCTCTTGCTAGTCTTGCCCAGAGCTCCTGAGGAAGGGTCCCTGTGACAGCTCCTTCTCTCCCCTGATCAAGTGGCCTAGGCTTCAGGTAGCAGGACTGGTGAACTGGTTGGGCAGACATGGCTGTCCTTGCCTAGGCCAATGTAGTGCCAGCCATGGCCTTCCCAGAAGCCTTAGACTACAGGCAGAGCTGCCTCACTCTAGCTGTCCTAGCTGCTGGATGCCTGCCAGGTGTGTCTCTGAAGGCCTATCTTCCAAGACTCAGAGAGTGACCACTGGAAAAGACACATCTGGACCCTGAGATCTCCAATAAACTTCAAGTGTTCCCTCATCAGCGTCTCATGTGGCATAAACTTCCCAAATCCTTACTGAGGAGGTCATGATCTGTGCATATCTCTCAGGAGCCCAACAGCAACTATCTATTCAACAAATATTGGTGCTGGCCTTTATTCTGAATGTAGACTTCCATCGGGGCTCAGTGTGAGGCCAGGGTCAAGGCTCAGTGTACGATCAGGGTTGGGGCTTGGTCTATGACCAGAGTCAGGGCTCAGTGTGTGCCCAGGGTCAGGAGCCACTGCATGGACAGAGTCACGACTCAGTCTATGAATGCGATCAGAGTTCAGCCTGGAGCTGCTGTCAGAGACTAATCTTTTCCAGGCCTTGACTTTCCTTTAGAGCAAGACTACAGGCTCAGGGACTGCCTGCTAAGAGCAAGGTAAGGCAAAACAGGCTGAGTTCAAATCCTGGCTTACCACTTGCCAACTCACCTGGAGCAATATCCTGATCCTGCAAACCTTGAGTTGCTTACCTGTAAATGAGGACAAGGGGAGGCACCTGCCTTAGTTCATTCTGTGCTGCTGTAACAGAATTCTTGAGACTGGGTAACTTAAAATGAAGAAGTATTTATTGGTTCATGATTCTGGAGGCTGTGGAGTCCAAGATCAAGGTGTCAGCATCTAATAAGGGCCTTCTTGCTGTATCATCCCATGGTGGAAGCAGAGAAGGCATGTGCACATGGGGAAGTGGGTGGAGCGTAAAAGGGGGCCAAACTTGTCCTTTTATAAGGAACCCACTCCCAAGATAACAAACCCGCTCCTATGATAATGACATTAATCCATTCATGAGGGCAGAGCCCTTATGGCCTAATCACCTCTCATTAGACCCCACCACTAAACATTATTGCATTGGGAATTAAGTTTACAACACATACCTTTTGGGGCACATATACAAACCATAGCAGTGCCTCATAGGTTGGGAAGGCTTAACAGGTGAAAAACACCTAGCTCTGAATGTGGCACTTAGTGAATGCTCAGGAAATGGCAAACTCTGCTTTATCCATTATAACCATCATACTAGAGGCTCAGGATCTAAACACTTTACACCTGGTTCCAGTCCTGCCCTCCTGATTCAGGTTTGAGTCAGAGAGTCAAAGGGACCAGTCTCCCTGCTCATCCACGGCCAAGGAAGTCACTGGGTCCTGGGAAACTTCCCTGGAGTCAGGAAAGCTTGGGATAGGGAAGCCTCTTGGGGCAAAATCTCACCCCTTTGATGACCATCAGCTTTTCTCAGAGGCTTCAAGACTCTACCTGCCTGCTGCTTGTGCTCTCTGGTGGGCAGATGAGCCCTGCAGCCCTGGTCCCTTCAGTCCCCAGATTTGGGATGAAGACCCCAGTCTCCTAGATGAAGCTTGTAGCACTCCCTCCTGTCTGCCCTACTCTGCTCCAAGGGCCCTTTGCTGTCCAGGCTCTGTGTGCCTCTTCCTGCCTTCTCCAGCAGTCCCATGGCCCACTTCTTAGCCTCTCCCATCACAACCCTCCAGGATTCTTTCATTGTTTTTGGCTTCCTCTCCCACCCATCTTTCATTTGGATGTTTCCTAAGAGGACAGAATTCTAACCACCAGCCAGCCCTTCCTGCCCCATCCAACAAAACAGATAATCTGTTCTCCATTTTCCCAGAGGAGAAATGAAAACAAGTGGCTGAGATTGCAACAGGAATTGAGACGAGTTGCATTGGCATGGGAGAGCTGTGGGAGGCAGGCATGAGCTGGGGATGGGGTGCTCTTTTGGGATTCTGGTCACTAATCTTGAGTGGCGTAGGGACGTTTTGTCAGAAACAAAGAATGAACTGAGTAATCTAGAATCCCTGCTTCCTGTCTGAGGACCCCAGTCTTATCAGAGAAGCATTATGGATTCTCAGCTAGACCACTGGGGGCACATCCCAGCCCTGCATCTTCCAGGCTGAGTGGCCTTGGGCATGTCACTCAACATTTCTGGGCTTCAGTTTTCTTATCTGTAAAATGGGCTGTTGTGAGAAGTAAAGGAGCATGGAGCACATGTTCCATGTAATTGTTAGCTATTATTATCTACAGTAGCAGACCCTAAACACTTCCAGCAGCTCACTCCCAGCAGTAAAAAAAGTAAGTGTGGGCTGGGCGCAGTGGCTCACGCCTGTAAATCCCAACACTTTGAGAGGCTGAGGCAGGCAGATCATGAGGTCAAGAGATCGAGACCATCCTGGCCAACATGGTGAAACCCCGTCTCTACTAAAAATACAAAAATTAGCCGGGCGTGGTGGCATGCATCTGTAGTCCCAGCTACTCAGGAGGCTGAGGCAGAAGAATCGCTTGAACCCAGCAGGCAGAGGTTGCAGTGAGCCGAGTTCGCGCCACTACACTCCAGCCTGGCAACAGAGTGAGACTCAGTCTCAAAAAAAAAAAAAAAAATTAAGCGTGTCCCTAATACATATCAATATTAATTCATTCATAAATTATATGCATGTATTTCTGTGCTAATATAGTCTATATGTTATAAAATATATACAATAGTCATATTAAAAGTATAAGATAAAGAACAAAATATAAATAGAAGCTCTAATAGCTTCTTCCCATACCCCAGCGGATCCTCTTATGCCCCCACTGGAGGCAGGAACAGTACTTTGGAAACCTCTTCATGTGCCGGTAGCCTGAGTAAATTGCAGAAAAGCTTCTGCCAGGGCCGATGTGAGAGGAGAAGCTCCAGAGCCCCCACGTGGGAGCCAGGGAGTGCTAATGTGGGTGATTAAATCATTTACAATAATCCATTTGGAACAGCAGCCGTGTCTAACATGGGGCGTGATGACTGCTCCACAAATAGAAAGGTGGCCAGGGAGGCAGTTGGTGGGACATATTCCAAGGGCATGGGGTAGGCGCACAGACTTACCCTTGCTACTCACTGTCTTGCTGCAGTTCACCTGCCAGCCTCTGTGCCTGCCCAGTGCAATGGATCAGTCTGCCCCCTCCCTGCATAAATGTGCCTGTCCTCTTCTGCATCTGAATCGGTCCCATCTCTTCTAGGAAGCCTCATTGATGGCTCTTTTCTTTCTCTCTCTCTCTCTCTTTTTTTTTTGAGATGGAGTCTTGCTCTGTTGCCCAGGCTGGAGTGCAGTGGTGTGATCTTGGCTCACTGCAACCTCCGCCTCCTGGGTTCAAGTGATTCTCCTGCTTCAGCCTCCCGAGTAGCTGGGATTACAGGCACACACCACCAAGCCTGGCTAATTTTTGTATTTTTAGTAGAGACACGGTTTCAATATGTTGGCCAGGCTGGTCTCAAACTCCTGACCTCAAGTGATCCGCCCACCCCCTACCTCAAGTGATCCGCCCACCTCAGCCTCCAAAAGTGCTGGGATTACAGGAGTGAGCCACCACATCTGGCCCCTCAGACTACTTTTTCTACACTGCACCAGGCTGGTGCTTTGCTCCATACCCTCAGTGTACTTGACACTGTGGCCTCTTTGGCCCTTGATGACCACCTTCCCTTACCAACCTGACTCCCCTCCTGTTGCTCTCCTCTTCACTCATTCTGTTCCAGCCACACTGGCCTCCTTGCTGTGTCTCAACAAATGCTGAGCACTTCCCCACCTCTCGGCCTTTGCACTGGCTGTTCCCTCTGCTGGTTACAGCCCCTAAGCCCAGGTGACCCTCAAGGTTTACTCTATCATGGCTTTTCCATCTCATCTCAGCTGACGTCTTTCCTGACCAGCTAGTAGAAAATAGCAAACCACCCCCGTCACTCCTTATTTCCTTAGCCTGCTTTGATTTTTCCATAGCCCTTGTGTTTAATTGTTCTTTTTTTTTTTTTAACTGTCCACCTCTGCCAGCTAACCTGTAAGCTCCATAAGATTAGGCCTTTGCTTTGTAAACTGCAGCATCCCCAGGTTCTAGAACTGAACCTGACACATGGCAGGTGTTCAGGAAACATTGGTTGAATGAATGTGTTCCATTGCTATCCCATGAGGCTGAATCCTGTCTCTCCCTGGCCTAGGCCCATAGGAGAGAGGCTGGAGCTTTTCCTCTTCCATCTCTCCCGTTGGTCAACTCTCCAATTTAGTGGCTGGTCCCTCCCATCCGGCATTCTCCTTCACCATATCCATCACATGTTTAATTACTTTTTGGGAAGGTGTCTAGCTTCCCCATCACCTAACCCCCTAATTGCTCAAAACTAATTTTTTTGGGGGTGAGGATCTAAACGGTGCTGGATAAGAGGGAACCAGGAGGGCCGAGGAGCCACCCAGACAGCCCCTTCAAGATTTCCAAGTCAGTTTTGAAAGAGCAGCAGGCAGTTACTTTGCTCCCTAATTACCAGCCTCACTGTGGACATCCTCAGAAGACACATCTTTCCTAATTGAAACAGCAGGGTGGATTGCAGGCTCTGGGCAGCCTCCTTTGCCTTTTCTGGCAGGAGCCAGAGGCAGGCAAAGGTGTTTCATTAAAAGAGAGCTGTGGAAAGGGAGTGGTCATGGTGCCCACTGCCTCCTGGAGGCCCACAATTTAGACGCACAATGAAACAGCAAATATGACAACAAAAGAATCAAGTCCCTGGTCTGTCTCCCCATCTCAGGGCCTGGGCCTCACCTGGCCTCTCCTTCTCCCATCAACTCTCTCCTGCATAGCCACAGACTCCAGCCAAGTGGCAACTCTGCTGAGCACCTGCCCGAGTGGACTTTGGCCTCCTGCCATCTGTGAGCAGGGAGGTGTAGCTCAGGGGTGGTCCCGGGATCGTGGGCAGCCCCTCTCCTCCCTGGAAGAGATAAAATCTTGGCCCAGGCCAGCCAAGCTCAAGGTCTTAAGGCTTATTCAGCTTGCTGGAGTTGCTGCTTATGGCGGAGCCTACTGAGCCTACTGACTGCATTCCCTGTACCTAGTCTCCTCCTTTTTTCTGAGTAATAAGAACACTTCAGTTTTCCTCTAGGTGGCAAGATGCCCAGCTAAAAGACTACATTTCCCAGTTTCCCTTGCAGCTACATGTCACCAGTGATTTTGTGGGGTGGATTTTTAAGCAGATGTTGTAGGGAGGATTTGGGGGAATATCCCTTCAGGGAAAGACAGGTAGATAACATGTGCCCTTTTATTTTTCACTATCCTCCTTATTTCTGCTTCTTGCCCAGAATGTGGATGTGATGAATGGAGCTCAAGTAGCCATCTTGGGCCCACGAGGATGACAGCCATATATAAGGGATGGTAGGTCAAAAGATAGAAGGAAAGTAGATTCCTGAGCATCATGGAGCTGCCATACAACCTTGGACAGCTTAACTCCAGACTTCTTTTTTGGCAGAGAATAAACTGCAAATGTGCTTTTGCCACTATAGTTGAGTTTCTGTTATTAACGGCTGAAAGCAAATCCTAATTCACTGACCCCTTTAAGAATGTGGTAAAATGTGGGCCCTCACTCCACAGGTGCATAGAACAGCAAGAGACATGGACACACGTGTACACACACACACACACATGCACTCTCTCTCTCTATTTTTTACACAATTTGTGGGGGAGAAAAAGCCATAGACATTCTCCAAGTAAGCAGACTCAATCATTGTTTTAGTCTGTCACCCAGGCTTTAGTCCTTGTTGCTCACTGTGTCTGGGGCTTTGAGGTACAAACCCATGACCTGGCATTTAGAATGTGTTTTATTGACAGCCCTTTTGCATTTACTGCTGTTAGATCAAGTATTTGCATCATGGAGTAGAAAATAACCCAGTACCTGTTCTTGCCGAGTCCTGAGTGGGGATGGGGAAGGAACACTAGACTGATTTATTACCAATACAGATGGGATAAAAGTTAGGTCTGCAGAGGGCCATAACCAGGAGGTGCTCTGGATCACAGGAAACAGTGGCCTGCAGGAATGAGAGAGGGCTTCCTGGAGGAGGAAGGAACACTAGACCTGGAAGGGCCAGCTGAGAGATGTAGAGGGAACAGGGATCACCTGAAGGCAGCAGCTAAGATGACAATGCTAAGGGGACTTTGGCCTCGGTGTCCATAGGGGACTGAGCAGGCAAAATACCTTCACCTGGAGACACAGAGATCACTGTGGTCATACCAAGCCCTGGTGGGAGGGCGAGGAGTGTGAACTCAGTCTTTTCATCCTAAGAATATGACGGAGAGCCTTGCACATTGGGCCTGGCAGGCAGAACGTGGGGCCAGAGACCATGTGGGCCATTTCAGAGAATGGGAGGCTGGAGGTCCCCACCTTTCCCACCCTGCAACAGGTGCAGCTCATGAGGATCTGAGGAAGCCGCCCTACGTGGTCCCAATTCCTTGCGCACACTGCTGGCTGTCAGTGCCTCACTCTGTTTCCTCTGCCTGTCTTCCTCAAGGCTTGTGCCCTCCGCTGGCCCTTCCAGGTCTAGTGTTCCTTCCTCCTCCAGGAAGCGCTCTCTTATTCCTGCAGGCCACTGTTTCCTGAGATCCAGAACACCTCCTGGTTATGGCCCTCTGCAGACCTAAATTTTATCCTGACCTCTGCCTCCAGGCCTCGCTCTGCCAGCAGTTCTCCTCTATGCCTTCCTTCTAGTCTCTCTCTTCTCCCACCCACAGATCTCCATGCTCTGGGGCTCTCAAAGAATTCAGGGACTGTGGCATTCAAGGCCAGCTGGTTGATGTCACTCCTTCTAGCCTCGAGGAGAAATCTGCTCCGTTGCAACCTATGCCAGCTCAGAGGCCCCCCTCCTCCCACAGATACCCACTCTAAAAAGTCCTCCTCCTCCTCTCACCTGTCTTCCCCCATAAGGGTGACGGAGGTCAGAGAGACATAAACAACCTACGGTTTCCAATTAATTTTTAATTGCAACTTGAAATTCTTAATTGCAGCTGACACGCTATCTCTGATGGAGGCGCGATGGTGAAGGTGGGGGTGGCGGTGACCCAGTTAGAGATGTTCAGCCCCTGTCGGACCAGGCACTGAGCCAGCTGAGGAGAGGACCAGAGGGCAGCCTGAGCCTGGCTGGGCGTGCTGGCCAATTGCCCCAGGAATGCCATGGTGGAGTAGTTGTGCCTCGGGCCCTGGGCCTGCTCCCTCAGAGGCCAGAGGCCTGCACTTTGGCCCATCCTCTGGGGAGGGCTACCAGAGATGCCCCATTTGTCACTGTCTCATTATGGCCACTGAGGGTCCTGACAGGACAATGCGGCAAGCTCCAAGTGGCCCATCAGGGCCTCTACTGGAGCCCGTTTGGACATGCAAAAACCAGCCAAGTTCCAGACAAACAGATGAGTTGGTCACCCTAGCTGGAAAACAATTAGCCCCTTTGACACCCTTAGTTCTGGGAAGCGGGGAGCTGCCATTGAGACACTCTTAGATGGCTGGGGAGCTGCCCCTCCCCTCCTCCCACAGCTGTTCCTTGACCTGAGGTGCCAACATTGGGTCTGTGCGACCACAGGGTCTGTGGGTGCAGCTTCTCTCCTGGGCTAGTCGCCTGTGCGTTCTGCCCAGCAATCTCTACCTCCCCCCTTGGTAGGGAGACAGACAGGTAGATCTGTCTGTCTACCAGCTCCACAGGCAGGTTGTTATCTGATCTGGAGCAAGACATGTCCCTGGTCTGAGCCTTAGTTACTCCCTTTGCCCTTCCTCTAGTTCAGGAGTAGCCTGGTAGTGCCACTCGGGGGTAGCCAGTAGTGTGGTTGGGAGTTGCAGGACAGGAAGGGGCCAGAGATGGACAGCATCATCTGCCTCTGCAGCCTGTCCTGAGGGAGGAGCTCTCAGAGTGTGGGAGAAATCTCGCCCAGCTGCCACCCTGCTGTGGGAGTGGGGCGCCCATGGAAGGAGCCAGTCCGAGGCGTTCTGCCATCCTCTGCTCACCCACCCACTCCTGGCATGCATTTGCAAATTCTTTGGCTAAGGTAGCTAGTTCTCCACAGGCGCTATTACCTGAGACCTGCCAGCTAGTGACAACAGAAAGCCCGCACGTTGACGTCCCTCTTTGGCTTGCCTGGAAGTCTACTCGGGGCTGCAGGACTGGCAGGAGCGGGGGCTAGGGTCAGAGTGGGGCAGAGACCGTGGCTGCTTATGGGGCAGGGAGAGGGTCTGGGCCGGGTCAGGGGCTGGGGGAGTGGGAGGATCTGGAGAGGATGGGCTTTCCTGGGGAGCTGGGGGAGCATCCCATGGGTGTGCTCTGCTGAGTGACACAAATCTGGCTTTCACTCACTCATTCATTAATGCATTCATTCATTCACTCATTCATTCATTCGCTCAACAGAGGTTTACTGAGCAGCTGCCAACTGCAGGCCCCATTCTGGGCCCTGGGGGAACTTAGGAAGGAAACAGGCCAAAGCCAGAATACCAGTCCCAGGAAGCCACCTTTTCTCCAGGGGTGTGGTTCATGCCCCCTCCTGGCTTGGCCCCCTCCCTGGTGGACCCCCTACCTTCTCTATCACAAGTCCAGGTCTGCAGTAAGGTAGACACAGGGTCCTGGGGTTCCAACCTGGTCCAAGGGAGCAGCCTGGAGTGTGCTTAGAAACATTTGTTGACTAATGGGCTCAGGGACTGAGGGCCTGGGGAGCCTGATCAGGGAGCCTGCACCTGCCTGTCCCTCGATGTCATTCCCTCAGTCTTCCCGGCACTGAATGAGGCCCAGTGTGGGCAAAGCCGCGTCATCCTTAGCAGGGGCCCCCATCCCAGGGCTTATGAGGCACCCCAGCTCCCCAGGAGCCCCTCTGGGAAGCTGCAAACTCTGCTTTCCATACTTCAGAATTCATCTGTCCTGCCACCCCTTCCTTCAGACCCCCTGGGAGTCAATGGGACTCAAGGGATCAGTGAAATAACCCAAAGTACATTTATGATACAACCCCCTCAACCATGCATTCTGCACCTCCACACCCCTCCAAAGCCCTGCCCTTGGGGAGCCTGGAGACACATGGAGAGGGACCTGCCTGGGTCCTAACAACTGTAACATGTGAACACTGACCCCAAGTGACATGGAACCCTTGTGATATGGCAGGTGCCACACTTGGCACTTTACATACATAGTCACATGCACTGCTTATAGTAACCCCGGAATAGGCACTATCACTATCCCCATTTTACAGATGAGGACACTGAGGTGTAGGGAGGGCTCTCACTTGCCCATGATCATTCAGCTGGGGAGTGGGACCTCACACACAAACCCAGGGGTCTGACTGCTGAGCCCATGCTCCTAATGTCCACACGGTGCCCTCCTACGAAGCGAACCTAACAGCAGAGCACGATTAACAGCAGGTGAGGACAAAAGTACATCAGCCTGTTGGTGCTCAGAGGGGACGAGGCCCCTGTAAACGGAACACTCAGCGAAGGGCCCTAAAGGAGCGGGGATGGGGGCTCCTCAAGGCAGATCCTGAGCAGGACCCGCCCAGCACCCGCTCCCAGCCTGTCAGGAAGGCTGAATGAAAGAACACCGTGTGGATCTTCCTCTGGCCCTTGGAGGCTGTGCCCTCTGCTCAGAGAGGAGGAGCAAGGACATTAGCAGGAAGGGCTGCAGAGTGAGCTAAGGTCTGGAGGTGAGGATGACTCTGAAGGCCTTCCTGGAGAGCAGGCTGAGGAGGTAATGCCTGACTTGGTGGGGGAGGGGTGCTGAGGACCCGCAGGCCACTGTGGAATTGGACCCATCTGGCTGAGGCAAAGGCGCTGGCAGTTATGTTGCACTAAGTGGGCCAAGAGGTGACCTCTGCTTTGGTCTGACTTTGGCCACAGACCTAAGAATCTGGATACAGTTGGGCTAGAAGGGCCTTGGCAGACTGCACAGCTCAACCTGTCTTGTGCAGGTGGGAAGTGGGAGATCCAGGGAGGAGGGACTTGCCTGCACCCTCCCCACCTCCTGCTTGGGTGTGTGGCCCTCCCGCTGGGTGGGAAGAGCAGGCAGGAAACATTGTCTGAGGTTTCCAACCACACGGGAGGAACCCTGAAAAGACATTCCTGAGAGAGGCATAAACTAAGACCTAGAAAAGACAGAGGCTGACCTCACAGCCCCTGACTTCCTGCTTCAACCTCCCTTCCCAGCCCAGGCCAGTCTCTTCCCCATGGTCGCACCTTTGCTCAGCAGTTCTTCCCAGCGGGAATGACTGCCCCCACTTTCTATCTTTCTGTCTCTCTAACACTCACTTGATATTGACTGGACTTTTATGTATAGTTGGGCCCAACCCTTAGAACTAGCTCCAAGGGCTCTGGTTCCTCCAAGAATTCTCCCGTGATCGCATCTACCTGCTGACCTCTCACTCCCTTGTGTGACCCTGAACCTGAGACTGGCTCTGACGAGACAAATGGGGTGCTGTGAAACTTCCCTCATCCGTCCACAGGCCTGCTGCTCCTCCCCTGCCATGCTCTGAGCTCCCTGAAGAGGTGACCCCACTGCAGGCTGCCCTCCAGTCCTCTCTGCAACTCCCAGAGCAATCATACTGGAGAAGAGAAGGTCACCAAGGCCTGGGTCCCAGGGGAAGCTGAAGAAGACCCCTCCAGCTCACACTGCCTGCCCTTGTCACCTGCATGGACAGAGAAATGGCTTCTGTCCCTGCAGTCAGACAACCAGGCTTGTGGGCTCTGTAATCTCCATGACTTTATCCACCCTTCCCCTCAGGGTCTTACGGGACATCGCTATCTTTCAATCTCTCCAAGACTTATTTAGCCAGAGTCTTTACCACACTCCTACCTGAGTTTATCCAGCTTCTCTTGCATGCCTCCGGTGACAGGCTGCTCACTATCCACAGGGTCACTTCTTATCCTACCAGGGCTGGTCAAAACCTGTGTCTCTTTAGGTCAGCAGTGCCTGGTGCCAGAGGTCCTATCAGTAGACCCAAAGCTGGGTGAACAAAACAAAGGCTGGGCAACTCACTGTCACCTGGGCATGTGACCAGCCTTTGCTCTCCACTCTGGCTAATTCTTTTGTCTGGGGGCCACATCGCCTGCCTGCCCTCCCTCCTTCTGTGCGATTTTCTTCTTCTTCTCTCTTTCCTCCCCCCACTTCCTTGTATCTAAGGATTGCATGAGTCACTTCACTTTGAGCTGCCAGATGTCGGATGCAGTTGGGCTTGGAGTGGAAGCCAATTTTTTCCCTTTACTCAAAAAGAGCTTGGGGCTGATGAAAGCCCCCAACACTGTCATCCTGGATTTTTCAGGACGGTAGGATGGCTGCGTCAGCTAGCACCACTTCTTCCAGGTTCTGGCCTGCCCACCGTCCGTTCCCAACTTGGGAGGGCAACTTGTCCTCTCACTGGCACCAGGCATAGGGCCAGGCCAGCTCTGTGCAGTCCAAGGCACGCTCAGAATGGCCCTCATCATCTGGCCATGCAGAGCTTTGCCAGTCTGAGTGGAGCCCAGGGCTCAGGGCCAATCCCCGCTCCATCCAGGGAGTTTTCAATGAGAGCTAGGTACCTAGCTCCATGCTGGAGCTGTGGGGGAGACAGGAAAAAATAAAGAAGGGCCTCGCCTTCAAGGAATTGGCAGTCTGTCTAGGGAGATGAAATTCATACAAATAGTGGTTCATGCGTTTCTGTTTGGATTGTGCATCCACTCCCAGACATGACCTCATCCAGTTCTCACAGCTATTCAGCATGGGTGTCATCATCTTCGTTTTACAGATGAGAAAAATGGGGCTCTGAGAGATTAAGTGACTTGCCCAGGTCACATAGGTGGTTGTGGAGCTGGGCCCTGCCTCATTCGCTGGGCTCCAGAGCCTGGCATCTGTGCTGAAGTTGGAAAGGAGGGAGGGATGGCTTCCAGGAGGAGAAGGCCCACTGTCCTCTCCCCGTCTCCTCCAACTGAGGCTGGGCTCTCTCCTTTGCCATGAGAATATACCTATCTTGAGCACATTCCAGAGGTGCTAGGCAGGCCAGAGATCTTGTCTGTTGGGGAGTATGGAAGTGGTGGGGTGCTTTCTTAGATTGGGCTCCCTTGAACCTAAAGCCTGGGGCCAGGACTTGGGTACAGGAAGTGTATTGGGAGATTTCAGGAAGAGGGTAGCTGGGTAGTGAGACAGGGAAGGAGGAAAAGCTGATATAAAGGAGCATTAACAGAGAAGCCGCTGTGGAGGGCAGGGCTCTACTCCCCTGGTATCTCCCAGGACTGAAGGCCTAAAGGACGGAAGTCAGGGGGGCGGGTTATATATTGGCCACCATCACCCATTGGTTGGGGGGCTTCTCCAGGGAGGTGATGGCTCCTCTGGACTCCAGGAAGAAAGTGGAATCCCTGGCCTCAAGTGCTTGAAGCGGATGCTGAACTTGCACAGAACTGCCTATCCCAGAGTGTGGCTGGGCTGGAAGTGTCTTCTGCGGCAGAGAGTTAGGAACATTTGGTTCCGGGCAACCACATCTTAGGCCCTGCTGCCACCATGGAAGGCCCTGCTTCAATGACCCAGTGGGCAAGTTTTATCGAGCAGTTACTGGTGGGTGTCTGGCTGGGAGTCCCGGAGTCAGGTCAAGAGAGAAGTAAAGATTTAGGGGAAGGGGAAGAAAAAGACGTCTACACACTCCTGATTCATTTTGCCTACCGTCAGCATCAGTTCCGTAAATCTCTCCCCTTCCTGCTGGCTGGCTGGTTCCTCAAGGGCAAGAATCAAGTGCTATCCATCCGTGTGCTCAGCTCCAGCACAGGGCCTAGCCCCGACATGCCCAGAGGTGCTGCACTGAAAATCCAGCATGGGATTATGGCCCAGCCTTGGCTCTTGGCTGCCAAAGGTTGAATGTGGGTCTCTGGGCTCATCTCACAAGGCCCTGGGTCTCCAGGGCAGGGGAAATGAGGAGCAAAGCCACCCTTTTTTTTTTGTCATTAACAGAGTAGGGCCTCTGGCTCATAAAGCCCTGGGATCCCGCTCCCTCCCTTCTCTTTCCACTTGATTACTTGTCTCTGGAATGGAGTGGTTTCAGGCTGCCAAGTGTTTTGGGGAAAATATCCTGTATAAGAAAGACACATTCCCTCCATAAACTCGTATTGTGTTTTTGATTGTCTCCCATAAAGGAAGAGATGTATCTTCCAGTTTATGTTTACGACTGTGTAGATTAAAAAAAATCAATTCTTTCACTCTACATTTTTTCAGCCAAACTTCCCCCAGCAGCCTTTCTGCTGGGCCAACAGGCTGATGCCCAGAACTCGGGGCTGGAGGTTTCTCTGCCATCTGTAGGCAAGCAGGAGAGGCCAAAGCCTCGGACTGGCTGCAGGCCTGGCACAGGAAGGGAACTTCTTGTCCCTGCTTGATTTCTAAGCCAAGTTGGCTCTGGAAGGCAAGGGGTTGGCTGAGAGAAGGTGGCCGGCAGGGAAATAGGAGGCAGCCCCAGCCTGCACCAGCACCCTTCACCAGGCCCAGTGAAGCCTCTGATGGAGGTGGCAGGGAGCTCTCCCCGACCAGCCTCAAGTGCTGCTGCCTCCTTCATGAAGCCTTCCTGATTGCCCAGGGTAAATGGAACTCCTTGATCTGTTAGCTTCTTTGCTGGACCCTCTAGATTGATTTCTGATTGATTTTTGTCTGCTCCAGGGTCATTTGGAGTGATGGTTGCCTGGTATTTGAATAAAGAGCTCCCCTATCAGAACATTCAGGTTCAAATCTTAGTGCCTCTGTTCCTACTGTATGACCTTGGGCAACCAACCTACTTAACCTTTCTGAGTCTCACTTTCCTCAACTGGCAGATGAGGGGCATTTTGAGGATTAAACCAGGGGTATTTTGAGGATTATGGTCGGGTTTCAAACCATACCTTCTTTCCTGCTTTCTTTTTCTCCACATCACTTAGCACCATCTCACATCTTATGCTTCGTTTTGTTCAGTGCCTGTCCGCCCTCACTCCAGGAGGGCAGGGGTGCCTGTGCATTGCTCCCTGCCACATACCTGGCACAGAGAGGCGGCTCCATGGAGCGGACCGGATGGATGGTGCAGGATGAGCACCAGGCTCCGCATCAGGGCACAGTAAATGTTGGCTCTGTGCCCTTTCATGTCTGGAATCCCCAGTTTGGCATTGCAGGCAGGGGAAGCACTGTCCATCCAAGGCCGATCCTGAAGGTGGCCCAAGAGCCTGTCCCCAGCAGCAGACTGCAAACCCTTTGGGTACAGGGACTGTCTCTTGCCATTCCAGGGTCCTCAATGCCTATCAAGGGGCTTGCTCACATGGGCCCTCTTGGGATCAGAATTTCTTCCTATAAGAGGCCAGAGAACTGATGGAGGGTAGTTTTAGTCTAAACCATGCTGGCGGGTGCCAGGCTGTGGACTGCCCCATGTCTGTCACCAAGCTCAGCCCAGATGAGCCAGGCATAGGTCACCAACACACTCGCCCACCAGCTCAGCCCACAGCTCACACTAGCCTCAGTTATCTGGTTCCAGTTTGCCAAAGGCACTCTGACTCCAAGGTGGAGTGGGGAAGCCACTGACTTCTGTGTCTGGCAGGCTCCATTTCTGGAGAGTCAACTGAGGCCAAGCCCAACCTTCTTGAGCCTCACTTTTGACATCTGCAGAATGGGTGTGGGTGGAGATTTCAAGCAGGAAGCTAGTTCTCCAGTGGGACCCCTTCTCCTGGCAGCCCCTCGACTTGCCGCAAGTTCCAGCAATCACCCCTCACCTCCCTCTGCTTTTCCTCAAACCTTTTACAACCTTTTATTTTGTCTAATCCTCATGACAGATTGGTGGAAAAGCCACCAGGAGTTATTATGCTCATTTTAAAGATGAAGAGACTGAGGCCAAGAGGCAAAAATCATGCTTGGGGGTTGGCGAGGGGGTCCCCCAGCAGCCTGGGGCCAGACAGACAGTTCTCCTGCCTACCAGGCAAGCCCCAGCACCAGCTCCAAGCATCTGGAGGGCTGCAGCAGGGCGCTGGAGGGCTGCCCCCTGTCCCCCTCCCTCCCTCCCAGCTCCACTGGGGGGGTCTGCCGGGCTCTTCTCCCTCTGCCTTCTAATTGCTTGGAAACAGAGCTGACGGCAGTGGGAACAGCTCAGCCACTGCTGGTCTCATGACTGGAGGCTTTTGTTTGTTCACAGAATCATATTTTTACACTCTGGCTTCCGCTAATTTATGCCGCAGACTGAGCTCTCCCTTGCTGAAGATTGAGTTTGGGAGGGTGGGGAGTTGATTCCTGGGTTTATTTAGTCATCTTGGAGCCTATCAGAAGCCAAGCAGGGGATAAATTAACAACAACAAAAAGTAATAATAGCCAGGCTCAGGGTTTATTTTCTGGCGGTTCCCTCCTCCAATAGGCCTGCCGTGTTCCCTTAGCTCATCTGCTGAAGGAAGCTTCGCTGGGAAAATTAAACGGCTCCTCATTTAAGATGGAGCAATCAGCCCTGAGCTAGTCGCTGCTCAGCACCTATGGGAGCTCATCCCAGCTCAGCTGCAAGGGGAGAGGGAGGCAGGGAAGCCTCAGAGCACCCCCAACACACACACACACACACACACACACACACACACACACACACACGCACACGCACTGTAGCTGCTACCTCGCTCTGTGTGAAATGATGACGCTCAGGTGCACAGTTGCAACATCCTGTAGGAAACTGGGCTCTGTTGGAAGCAATCCAGGAGGGCTTCCTAGAGGAAAGGACCCAGGGATCTGAGAATGGGAAGGAGTCTGAGCCTGACCCATAATAGGCCAAAGGCGGGGATGGGGACAGCACTGCCGCAGAGAAGTGGGGAGGGGAAGAAAGCCATTTGGGGAGCCTAAATTTTTGCAACATCTCTCCTGAGATGGGCTCTGCCTCTACAAGTGAGGGTTGGGGCAAAAACACTCTGTACCTACTGCAAATAAAGTGAGCGCTGGTGCTGATGAAAGGGCATGGAAGGACCTCCCCTCAACTCCTGTAAGCCCCAGGAACATAAAAGAATTGTCTTGTACTTAGGAACTGAGTCAGGAAGGGCCTGAGAAGGCCCATGGAGGTCAAGTTCATGCACACAAGGTCATGAGAGCAGGGAGAGGGGATCGATGGGGACAAGAGAGAGAAAGCCAGCCTTGTGCCTCAAAGCTGGCACATAGTAGGTGCACAACGCATGTTAGTTCTTGGCTCCTTCTTTCCCTCTCAGGACATATGTGGCTACCTTGTCACCTGCCATGCCCCCCAGGGCCAATTTTGCCAGTGGGCACAAACCTGCTGATTGTATTCACCCATCCATCCACCCTCCCACCCACCAGTCTCCCTTTCATCATCTGCCCCTTCACTCATCTACCCACCCATCCACCCATCGTTCCACACCCAGCCTCCGATGCAGCCAGCTCCTACGCAATGGAGCCAGCAGAGCCAGCACAGAACCTCACCGGCAACCCGGCTGGCTGCCTGGAGGTCTCTCATGGTGGCGTCTACTTTGAGAAAGTACCACGGGCCTTGCTGCCAGCACTGGAGACATAGGAATCTGCTTTGGTGAGCTGGGTGCTAAGGAGATTCATCTCTCTGTGGCAGATTCACATTTACCAAGCTCACAGGGACTGATATTTATATACATACCCTGATGCCAATTTATTAATTTATAATAAGAAATGCTACTCAAGTGCAGCGGATGTTTGTCTTGGCAGAATAGCATCGCTCCCAGTAGGCAAGCTACAGTAGGAAGTCAAATTATCATCAAAACGCTGGGTTAGGAATTCACAACGAGAAATAGAACTTCTGAGGGTTTTCTGGGTACATGTATACTCCTGGGTCCGCTTCTCTCCCCAAAAGCAAGTTACAAGAGAAGATGATCTGAAGTCTCTCTGGTGAACCTGAATTAGAGAGCTGAGGTGGCACAGGGTTGTTGGTCATATGATTTGCTATCTGATGGCCTGATGCACCTGTCCCACCACAGCCCCAGATCTGTCTCAGGCATCCTCTGGCCTGGAGGTCAGCGAGTTCCAACCCCCACCGCCTAGTTTTTAGACAGCCTGCAAGCTAAGAATGGTTTTTACATTTTTAAATGATTGAGGGGGAAATGAGAAGAAGAATAATATTTCATGACATGTGATAATTATACGAAATTCAAATTTCAGTGCCCCAAAATAAAGTTTTAATGGAACACAGCCACATTTGTTCGTTACATATTATCTATGGTTGCTTTTGCGCTGCAACTGCAGATTTGAGACGTGGCAACAGACTGTTTAGCTTGAAAAGCTGAAAATATTTCCCCGCTGGCCCTTTATAGAAGTCTGCCGACCCCTCTCCCTTTGGTGGCCTTTGTCCCTTTACTGAACTGCTGCCATTCTTCAGCTCTGTTGACCTGAGATCGTCCACAGATCACCTGGCCTTCACAAGTCAACAAACTCCCAGCTTTGTTTGAAACTTTTATCAGAGGTGAAAGGCTGGTAAGAAGACCATGGTCTCTCCAGTGGTTCAGGCTTCAGGTACCCTGGGCAGGCTGTCCATCTCCAGGGAGAATGTTCTCTGAGGGAGAATGAACAGCACAACTGAGACCCTGTGGCCTTCCTCTGCTTTAAGACTGTGAAGCGTCGTCTGGAGTTCTTAAGAGGCAGCTGTGTGGGAGAGAGAGAGAGAAAAAGAAGAGGAGGTGAGGGAGGGGAAGGGGAGAGGGAGCAAAGAGACAGAACAAGAAGGAGCCCAGGAGAAGGCGGGAGGGGAAGCAGAGAGATTCACCGCCCTGTAGGAAGCATTCAAAGCATTCAAATGGCAGTGGCTCCAGGCCCATTGGTCCATTCTTCCAGGACTCCTTTGTCCTGAGCCTGGGAGGTGTGGGCGAGCTTGTCCAGGAGTGCCCAGGGTGGTATGGGCACAGCTGGGCGCTTGGGCAGTCAGGTTCTGGGCATGGCCTCCCATGTTCCCTCTGCCCTGCTGGGGACTGGGTTTCTGCCTCCTCTTGAGTAGCTGAGGAGGCTGGGCAGGATTCAGATTGAGCTTTAGGGGCATTCAGGTTGACAGGCCCCTCAAAGATTGAGAAAGGGGGGCTTTCTCTGCATTTGGTGGCACCTGTCCTGTGGTCCAGAGCCAGCTCCAACCCTGCCTCAGCTGGCTTCTGCTGGCCTCAAATGTAGGCCCTGGGCAGGGTAGTGCAGACCACACAGAGGTACCAGAGAAGATGGGGCACTGAAACCCAGAGTCTGAGATCCTTGCTTCAGGCACTGTCCTCTACTCCAAACTGCTAGGAGAAAATAAACCCTGGTTTGTTTCACATCTGCCTCACTTAGCCAGGCTTCCAGAGGCCATGGACAGAAGGCTGTAATTAAACAAATAAAGCAAAGAGAAGAAAACCTTTAAAACAACAATTAAGCAAAGCAAACAGAAGACAACCTTTAAAACAAGATGTCCACGGGAAAGCACATTTATTGTCTTTCCTGCTACTGGCATAGGCCTTAAGCTGGAAGCACCTGTCCTCCCATTTTATGGATGGAGAAGTCAAGGCCTCAGGTTACAAAGAGCCAGACACAGCCATGATGGGTCTTAGGCCTCCTGACCTCGAGTCCAGGACTCCTGTCTCTACAGAGAGGCAGCGTAACATCACAGAACGGTTAAGACCTTGGGCTCTTGTGTCAGAAAGACATGAGTTCAATGCCTGCCCCCATTCCTAGACAGTGCAAGTTTCAATCTCCTTTATAAAATGGGAATGTCACAAAGAGAACTGACCCACAGGTTGTTTTGAGGAATTAAAAAAGAGACTCCTTGTCAAGTGCCTGGCACATGTAGTTGGCCAACATGTATTAACTTTAAAAAGTCTCTGACGGGTACGGTGGCTCACGCCTGTAATCCAGTACTTTGGGAGGCTGAGGCGGGTAGATCACTTGAAGTCAGGAGTTTGAGACCAGCCTGGCCAAGTGAAACCCCGTTTCTACTAAAAATACAAAAATTATCTGGGTGTGGTGGCACCCGCCTGTAATCCCAGCTACGTGGGATGCTGAGGCAGGAAAATTGCTTGAACCTGGGAGGCAGAGGTTACAGTGAGCTGAGATCATGCCACTGCTCTCCAGCCTGGGTAACAGAGCAATACTCTGTCTTAAAAAAAAAAAATCTCTATTGTGCATTAGATGCTGGGGTTAGAGAACTGAACAAAACCCTGTATGTAAGAAGGCTTCCATTTAGTGGGGGAGAGATATCAACTCACTGTCGTGGAGGATATGGGGTGCTGTGGGTTGACGAGAGGAAGGGAACCAGAGGTCACTTCACAGAAATGGCAGGTGTACTAACTCCTGGCGGCAGAGCCGTTGTTCCTCAGGTGGAAGAGGGGAGGGGAGAACATTCCAGAACATCAAGGCAGATGGCCCAGCACAAGCAGAGGCAGAAAGAGACGTGTGTCCCTCCCAGGTGTGAGGCTGCCTCACTGGGCAGTCCTGGGGGCATTCTCTTTGCCAATGAAGGGTCGCTATTTGGCCTCCCATGGCCTGAGCTCGTCATACCCTCCCTCCAGTGTCAGCTCTGGGAAAGCAAACTGGTTCAATATTTGCTAAAGCCAAACACCATTTTGTTTCAGCAAATTTTCTGATGGAAAAAATTATTCTGTAATGAGGTCCCAAGTTAAATAGACTTGGCGTTTGGAATCATCTGGCCCTACACTTTGCCAGGTAAGATAGAAATGCGGTATGAGGATGAGGGGGATTAGTCTCCTTCACTGTCTCTCCCTCCAGAAAGTCCTCCTAGCTTTTACCCTCATAGGCACACACATAGATAGACACCCCGCCCCCCACCACCACATCCTAGCACCATTTAGCCTACATTCAGAATTTGTCTCATACCCCACCCAAGCACCCTGCCACAAATAGTTAGGCACAGTTACACTCACCTCTGAGCATATGCAGTCTCCCAGACTTACAATGTTATAGCTTCTGTGCACAAGTGCACGTGCATACACACACACATATGCACACACACACACACACACATACACACACACGGGGCTGTTCTGGGTGTTTCCTAAGGCCACTGCTCCACTGCTGCTTCTAATAACCTTCCAGATGCTGGAGAACAGAAGAATTGGGGGGTCCAGGACCTATGAAGGACTCCAGCCTCCCATTTGCTGCTGTCTGCTTCCCCCAGGCTGGGAGGGCACATGCAATGCTCCTACCCAGCCCTGGCTGTGCAGAGCCCAGAACTGTAGGCACCTGCTCTAACCATGTGCTCACTCAGAGTCGGTGGGGGCACTCCAGGAACACTCTATGGCCAGAGCCCAGGGAAGACCCCATGGGAGGCAGTGGAGTCCAGTGTGTCTGGTTCAGAATGGCCCGTGGACTAAAATCATGTCACTGCCAGGCTCCATGGGGATGTAGTTGGGTCTGACAGTCCTTGACTAATCTGTGCTTCTCTTCCTGAAACCCTGGCACTCTGCCCTCTGCCAGCCCAGCCACCCACAGCCCTGGGCACTAACTCAGCTGAGACAGACTCAGGAGAGGGAGGAAGGAAGGGAAGAGCAGGGGCAGAGATCCAGTTCCAGAACCAGAGAAAGACACCACCTCAGACACATGGACCCAGACGGGCTCTGGTTTTCAGAATTAAACCTGGAAACTCTGGACCCTGCCTATGTCTGTTTTCCTGCCTATCACACCTCTCCCAGCCTTAGTCACCTCCGCAGTTGGGTGAGCGCGTCCCTGCTCTGGGGTCAGAAGGGAGGGGTGTCATCCACCCAGCAGATGCTGACTCGCACTTACAGCCTGTCACCCGACAGAGCAGGCTGCACCCAGGCTGCTGAGATGCGCCGGCTATTTTTGTGGATGAAGTGTGATGTCACAGGTACAGGGACTTCCTGGATACCAGGGGGAGTGGCAGCTGGGAGGGAGACCTGTGCCTGCTCCACTGCTTAGCTCCAATGGTCCCTGGTCAGGGGTGGTCTCCAGGGTCACCAACAGCTTTCTCTTTCCATTGGCCTGCCCGTCCTGCAGGGGAGGAGTCCAAGCATTTCTCAACATCTCGGTGTGCCTAGGCCTGAGCCAGGGTGCTCTGGGGACAGAGCTCACCAACAGTAGGAAGATTCCTGGGTCCCGGACCAGTTGGGAATATGTGCAGTCAGGTGCCCAACCTTGAGTGCCCCAGGGGTTCTGAGATGAGAATTCCCCATGGTGGTGCAGTGGTCAGGGAAGCCTTAAGAGGACTGGCATCCTAGCCAGGGCTGGTGGGAGCCAAGACTCAGCGGCCAGGGGAATAGTGAACATGCCCTGAGGGCTCACCATAAGCCAGGACTTGTTCCAGTGCTTGTACATGGCTCAGTTTATTTAACCTTCATAACAGCTAAGGCACAGAGAAGTTAAATAACTTGCCCAAGGTCACACAGCTAGTTAGTGACAAGGCCTAGATGTGAACCCAAGGCAATCTAGTTCAGAGACCATGCTCATAGCCACTTGGCTCTGCTTTGTATGTAGAAATTATCCTGCTAGAGGAAGGGTTTAGGGTGGGGGAAGTTGGAGAGGCAAGGACATGGGGAGGGAGTTGTAAAGGGACTGCATGCCGGGTGAGGTGGCTCACGCCTGTAATCCCAGCACTTTGGGAGGCTGAGGCAGGTGGATCACCTGAGGTCAGGAGTTCAGGACCAGCCTGGCCAACATGATGAAACCCCGTCTCTACTAAAAATACAAAAATTAGCTGAGTGTGGTGGTGTGTCCTCAGGAGGCTGAGACAGGAGAATGGCCTGAACCTGGGAGGTGGAGGTTGCAGTGAGCCAAGATCATGCCATTGCACTCCAGCCTGGGCGACAAGAGCGAAACTCCATCTCAAAAAAAAAAAATGGGACTGAAATGCCAAAGAGAGGATTTGAGAGCTGATCCGATGGGTGACTGAGAGCTGATCCCAGGGAGTAGGAGAGGTGATAGCCCCTGCATGACCCCTATACACTTCCCTAACTATATCAGCCCACCCCTGGCTCAGAGGAAGAAGGGATGTTGCAGGTGAACTGAGATGCTTTTTGCTTTGTCTGTCCAATCTCCACCCTTCTTCTTGTAACAGAGTGCCATTCCTCAGGGACCTGCCAATCACAGAATATCCCCCCCACCCACCCCACAGGGACAGGCACATGATCCAAGCATGGCCAGTCAACATCTCTTGAAAATTTAGAACCCAGGAAAGACAGCCCTTCTCCGCAGGTAGCTCTGGGCAGAGAGAGCCCTGGAGCAGCCTGTGGGCAATATGCTGGCCTGTGGAGAGGGCTGGCAGGAGAAAAAGAGGCTGGCAGCCAGCGGAAGCAGGGGAGACCCCAAGAGGGAGGCCGTGTGGCTTAGGAGTCTCACTTTCAGTCTCCACGAGGCTTGCTACTCCCCTGGCCTTCCCTACCACTTGGTTTTGTGATCCAGCGACATCTCTTTGTGCCCACCTGGCTCAAATTGGGTTTCCATCATTTGTTACTACAAGGGCCCTAAAAGGTAGTGCCTCCTAGACTGGAGAAGGGACCTTTGAGAGCCCCTAGTGAAGTCTCTATGCAGAACTCAGGGTCCCCTGACGGATATCCACTCACCTCTCCCAAGATGGGGAGATCACCCTGCGCATATGCTCTGTCCAAGTCCAGTCTGTACGACGCTGGGGTCAGGGATGAATGGGACAGTCTATGCCCCTGAAGCTCTAAGCCTGACAGGGAGACAGACCTCAGACGGGGAGCACACACCATAGCAGAATGGAGCCTGGACAGTGTGGAGGTGCCACCCCCAACCATAAGAGCCAGCCCCCATCCCCTGATCCTGAGCTGCCTCCATATAAACTTTTGGGGGATGAGGGGGAAGACTAATTCTGGAGACCCAGGGTCTATCCGGCCTGGCTGCCTGCCCCAGCCCTGGGAAAGAGCCTGGCCCATCTCTGAGCAGATGAGCCAGCCTGGGCCAGGTACAACAAACACTGTTTGCTGGTCTTCCCCGGGTGTTGACCACTAGCCCTGGCTACTGTTCCAGCAGCAGGGCCTGCCTCCAGACTATTTAGGGAGGTTCTGGAAAAACAGCAACAATACAACAAAACCTCAACACAGAATCATTGGAGCTGTCATTCCTTTCCCTGGAGCCAGTCCTTCCTCCCACAGTGCCAGCCCAGCTGCCCTCTGGTCCCTGCATCCCAGGTGGCTGTGCCGATGTTGGCAGCTGTGTGCTCTAGGTCAAGGTGCCTGTTGTCCAGCTATGTCCTTACCTTCTTCTGTGTGTGCCTTCCACTCTCTGTTCTGTTCCAGGTGTCTGGCTGGTTTCCTCATGCCTCTATCTCCCCCTCTCTCAGACAATGGTCTCTCTGAGATAGACGCTGGAGGCCCAAGCCTGGGTGATTCCACTTCCCCAAGTCAGCTGTTGCACCCCACCCTCTCTTCCCTTTCTAAGCTGACCAATTTCTCTCTCCCCTTAAAAATAGTTTAAAAAAAGTGTTTCCTAAATCCTGGAGCACTGGAATTTGGTGATTGTTCATGGAGATTTGGGCCAGCTGTTTCCTATGCTGGGGCTCTAGCAGGGCAGTGATAAGGGAGGGGAGAGGAACTCAGACCCAGGGAGGGAGGGAGGCCCTTGGTGGGCTCAGCAGCAGACCACCAGAGAGGACACTGTGTGAGTCCCTACCATGTTACATTTCACGCTGGGGACCTAGGCTCACTCAGGAGCTGTGATGCCAGGAGAACAAATCGTGGCAACACGCTCCACTTGGCTTTTGGACTTAAAAGCGTAACCCAAAGGGCAACTGACAATTTATGAATGACTCTTTCTGGCTGCCTAGGCTTGGTTCCAGGCCCCTTGTGTGTGTCCCTGTGCGTGTGCATATGGTTATGTGTATGCGTACTTGGCCCAATGTCTGCCTCTGAGCTCACATGTGCACACAAGCATGTATACATGCCAAGGCTTGGCTACATCTGCCTCTGTCTTCTGCTCATGACAAGAGCTAATCTACAGCAAAGCTGAGGAGTTTTAAGATTCTGAGGCTGGCACCTCCATGGACCCCTTGCTGTCTCTGGCCCTTGCCACCTTCCCAGCCAGCCCCTCTGCCCTTCCTTTCTGTACTGGAATCCCCATGAGGTGCCTCTCCTGACTGACAGGTGCACAATTTGATTCAATTTGTGGGTATATGAAGAATACTGTTTATAAATGCAGTATTTTCCTTAAAGCCTTATAAACCAGATTCGATACTTCTCACAGTCTCTGGAAGTTACCTTTCGGTAAGAGAAATATTAGAACATCTGCTCCTTGTCTGTTGGATAAGCTCCCCACCCTGGGAGCTGCTCCAGGCTTTCTCTAGCCTTTCCCCAAACTCACTATTCTGCCTCATTAGACCTTTCTGGACCCTCATCTCTCCGCACACAGGAGAATGAGGGGTGGGAGGAGGTGGCCTGGGGCCATGGGAGGACTGGGAGTCCTTGGGGGGCTCTTGGGTACCAGTCCTGTCTCTGCCAATCACTACTTTTGTGACCTTGTGCAAGTCTCTGCCTTTTTCTGACCTCAGTTTTCTTCTGTCTAAATTGGATACATTAGGCAACACCAAGCCCTTGGCCTGGAGGATGGTCAGAACCTCCAAGGGTGGCTTTAGAGGTTCGCAAACTACTCGTTTAATTCACTGAGGCTCTGATTTGTTTTAAATCATTTTACTGGTTTCCTGTGGCTTCTGTAACAAATTATCGCACACTGGGTGGCTTAAAACAACAGAAACTTTTTCTCTCACAGTTCTGGAGGCCTTAAGTCTGCAATCAATAGTACTGGGCTGGAATCAAGGACTTCAGCACAGCCACTCTCTGGAGGCTCTAGCAGAGAAGCTATTCCTGGCCTCCTGCAAATTCTGCTGGCAGCTGACATTCCTGGGCTTGTGGCCACATCACTTCAGGCTCTGCCTCTGGGGTCACATTGCCTTCCTTCTGTGTACCCATCAGATCTCCCTCTTCCTCTCTCTTGTAAGGATACTTGTGATGGTATTTAGGGTCGATCTAGTTAATCCAACATAATCTCCTAGTCTCAAAATCATTAACTTAATCACATCTGCAAAGACCCTTTTTCTAAATAAGGTAACATTTACAGGTCCCAGAGATTCGGGGCTGATATGTTTGGGGGCTGTCGTTCGGCCTACTACAACCAAAGGTGAAATAATTTAGAAATGTCGCTTACCACTAAAGTGAAGAATGAGATTTCTATATGAAGCAAAGGGAGGCAGGAGTTTTAAAAGCTTGAGTGAACAAAACGACTTGCAAGGGTCCTCCCTGTCCTATCACTGCAATTTTAACTGCCACATGCTGAGGGAGACACAAATTAATTGAGTTTCCTTCAAAGCAACACACAATCAAAAAGTGAAATCCATTACCACTAGACAAAACTGATCCCAGGCACATGGCCTGAGATGCCCCTGTGGATAAAATGTTACCTGGATCCATGAGGGTCTTTGGTTCAGGGGGGAACCCCATTCCAGGGCCTCAAACGTCTCTGGCTCCTGGTTCCATGGTGGGCCCCAGGCTCAGGAAAGACAGAGCTCAGGCCAGGCTGGTGGATGGGTTGGAAAGGCCAAGATTGCAGGCCTACTGAATGCCCCAGAGATTCAGGGCCACACCTCAGCAGGAATACAGCCCAGGAAGAGGGGGCAGGCCCTCTGGTTATGCCCTCTGGCCTTGCTGTGAGAAGACGGCCACTTCTCAGACTATTCCAGACAAGCCTGTGGAGCCTCTGGGCCTACTGCCTTGAATTAGGTGCCTGTTACAATGGACCCCTTTGCTTCCCTCATGCCTGGCACATCCTGCCTGTAGCCTTATAGCCTCAGGGAGCAATAACCTGAGGATAAGAATGCGGGCAGAGTTTAAAATCAGACAGTCTCGCGCTCAAATCCTGGCCCTGTCGTTTGCCAGCTGAATTTGCTTGGGCAACTGATTTCACCTATCTGACTTGGGGACTGCCTCTGTGAAATGGAGACAATGCTCTCTGGGTCCTTGGGAGGCATGAGGGTGGAACTGTGCCCAGTAATAGTGGTCATTTTTATTTGGCTGGGGAAGAGATTCACAGCGTGTACTTATTAGCAGCAAAAGCCAGGAGATCAAGGAATCCAGAGAGGCTGGGTTAGGTCATGTGCAGCTGAAATGATTGAGGAGCAGAAGCTGTGTAGGAGCCAATGTGACCCCAGGCTATAGGAACAGAGATAGCCAGTTGGAGGCAGGACAGAAGGAAGCAGGCAGGATGACATTCAAATGCCTTATGGAGGTCTACAAGACCCTATGTGGCTGCCCTGCTCACTTCTCTGGCCCTTTCTGCCCCTGCTCCTCCAGATATGCTGTGTCCAGCCTCACTGGCCTTTTTATCATTCTCTCAGTGTTCCAAGCTCCTTGCCACCTCTGGGCCTTTGCACATGCTGTGCTTCCTTACCACTCAGCTAAACTTACTTACCGTTCAGTCTCAGCTTAAATATCACTTTTTCAAGGAAGCTCTCCCACAAAGACTGTTTCCCAGGTCTATGTTCATCAGCACAGGTCACTGGTTCATTAACACTGGACCACGTGCCAACCTACCTCTGTCCCATGAGCAGCAGCCAGGTGAGGTGGTTGCTGGTGGGACAAAGCATGGGGCTCAGGGGCTGTGGCAGGGAGGACTTTCTTGGATGCAGCTCTGAGCAGGCAGGTGCCATAAGGCGTGTCTGAGGCACACAGAGAGAAGACAGGGAGGTCAGTTGATAACCCAGAGCCCCTAGTGACCAATAAGTCCACATCCACTCTCTGCCGGGGGATACCTGTGATGAGGAGGGGAGTGATTTGTCTAAAGCCATTCAAAGGATGAAGGCAGGGCTGGTCTCCTGACCTCAGCTAAGGATGCCTTCCAATGCCCTGGGCTGCAGAGAGAGGAGCTGGGCTAATGAGAACTGGGGCAAAAATCGGGAGCCCAGGGCTGTGTGGCTGGGAATTCAGAGAGGAGGAAGGTGGGTTTGTGTGAAGGTACTGGCAGGGATCTCCTGGGCCAATGTGACCCCAGGCTGCCCACACCTAGGCTGCATTCTCCTCGGCCAAGCTAGCCAAGGTAGCCCTGCCTGGGCCCAGACTTCCAGTGCTGGGCAGGAAAGGATGGCTGTGATTCTTGGCTGATGGCATCTTGAGCCCTTCTTTTTCCATATCCCTTTTCTTGTTTTATTTTGTTGTCTTATTAAATAAAAAAAAAAGATGGGTCTCTTCTAGCTGGACCCACACTGCAGGTCCTGAAGGTAGAAGCCAGGCCACCTAAGGAGGGATCTGGAAAGGGGTGAGGAGTGTTCTGCAAATTGTGGGCGAGTCTCCTGTCTCCACCTGGGGAAGCTGCTGGTGCACTGTGAGGGTCTTTGGAGGGCCCTCCTCTTTTGGCTACGAGCGTCTCACAGAGCCCCTTTATTTCCACCCCCATCCAATCTGCTTTACCATGCAGGCCACTGAGAAGGGTCGCAGCCTGAGTCCTTCCATCTTTGAGGGAAGTACATTTTCTTTGTGACTAGAAGGTATGGCACCAACTGCTGGGTCTGGGGCCTCCATGGGGAAGCAGGTAACTAAGGGAGACTTGGAACCTTCACTGCCTGGGGTAAGCCTGGTGCCCTGGATGGGATGGGAGGAGTGAATGTAACATGGGCAGTGAGCCGGGGAGTGGGCGGGGGTCAGGGTCCAGCTCTGACCACTTTTATATCTTGGGTCTGGTGTTAGGCTGGGGATGTGTGTAATTAGTTGGCTAAAATTAAGAGGTCTATTGTGCCCCTAACTCCTTAGAGGCCAGGCAGGGGTTTCCAGCAGTAGCCGCACCTCCTCCCCACAGGGACCGATGGCATGGTCGGTGGCTATGCCGGCACTTCTGCGGCTCACTTCATTCTGTCAGGATAAGAGTCCTGAGTGGGAGACAGGCCGGCCTGGTTATGCTCTTTACAGGTAAAGGGGGTAGATATAGAGCAGATAAACTAGGCCAGGGATGGGAAGGGACTTGCCAGCACCCCTGCTCCCCTGGCCAGCATAGGAGTGGCTGCTGCAGGAACGGAGGGCCCAGAGAGGGGCCTTGGGCCCAGCAAAATAGCTCCAAGGCCACACAGGTCAAAGCCCTGGGTTACCTTGTTCCCCCACGCAGCAGCAGGGCTGGCGAAGCAGGAGGAGAAGGCAGGGCAGGACTGGTGCCCTCCAAACCTCAGCCAGCACCCCAGGCCCAGGCCTGCCTCTGCTGGTCCCAACATTAGCCACATGGGTTGTAACTCAAGCTACACAGCATCCTGGGCCATCTCTCCTCTTTTGGGGACAGTTGTGTGACGTCCTGTTCCTGACCATGTGTCAAGCCACCTGAAGGCAGCGGTGCTGTCCCACCCCAACGTGGTATTCCCCTCTGCTCCCCTGCCCTTGGCGGGAGGACCATGCCCAGAGAATGAGGGTTGGGAGGACTCAAGTGGTCTGGGCAGCTGCCGGGAGGAGGCATGTGAAAGACAGAAGGACTTTGGAAAGGGAGGCAGACTCAGGGGAGGGATCCCAGGAGAAGGGAGATGCACCCTGAGCAGAAGGAAAGATGAGGCCATGGAAATGCCTGGTGTTTGTGGAGGCCAGGTGGCCTTCATCCTAGGGGAGGGAGCAGGAAGGACTCCTGTGCAGGGCCTTGAGTGATCAGCCATGAGAAGAGGATTTGTCTTCAGGGTAGAGAAGGATCACCCTGGGGCCTTCCTGAGCTGGTGGGGACACTCCCTGCACATTCGTTCCCGCCACTCTCTAGGGCTGCCAGCTGGCCTCCCTTCCTGGTGCTGCCATCACTCCTCCTCTCTCCTGAGGACTCCGATACTGGGCTCAGGCTCCAGCTCCTTTCTACGGGGTGAGTGAAACCAAATGGGCGGGTTTGCTGGCAAGGGGCAGGAGGCACCAGGGCACGGTAGGGTGGAGAGGAGGCCAGTTCCAAAGGCTGGGGTCTGGGCTCCAACCACACTCTGCATTCACTGCCTCCTCCCTGAGTAAACCAGGCACTCTCCTGGGCCTCAGGCTCCTCCTGACAACCAGCAGGATGCCAGCTTCTTTTGGGACTGCACCAGCGTGGGGCTGTGGCACAGGGCCGGGTGTGAGCAGCTGGTCTGCCCTGCAGCTGCTGCAGAGAGCAGCTCCCGTCCTGGGGGCAGGGGCCATGTGGTCTGTATTTCTCAGTGTGTCTCCACCTCTGCTTCTCTGTCCATTTTCCTCTGTATCTCTTGGTAGCTGCTGCTGCTTCTTTCTTATCTTCCTCCTGGACCCTGGAAATCCCTGTAATTCTGCTGTCAATCTCTTCTTCCCTTTTTTAGTTTCTTTTCCCCACTATCTCCCTCATCTCCGAACACCCACACCCAGCCAGCTCCACATGTGCTGCACTTTTCTTGGAAGCAGCTCTCACGGCTGTCCCCTGTCAAGGCTGCCACCCTGGTTCAGATGCCCAGTGGCCTCTGTCTTAAATTGCTACAGAAATCTCCAATGGCTCCTATTTCTTTCTTGAAACCACTGCCAAAATATTCTCCCAGAATACCATTTCTCCTTGTCTCTCCCTAGGTCAAAAACTGAGCACCATTCCCGGTGCCTTGAGTGCAAACCATTCCTCTTAGTACTCAGACCCTCCGTTCTCCGTCTGGGTCCCCCAAGTTAGAGCAAGGAAGAGATTGGCATATGACCTGTCAGAGGTAGGGCGCTGCATACAGATAAGGGGGCTTGGGAGTTGGGGCTAGCTTAGAGAGGGTAGGGACTTCCCCAGTGAGTGTTGGAGGAGGCATTGCTGAAACCAGAGGCAGAATTGTAGCTGGAAGGAACTGGGAAACACCCCAGAGAATGTGCTGAAGCAGAGTGGCAATAGAGGTGCCAGGATACTAGGGCCATGACTGGAGAATCCGGGTGGGATGAAAGAATTTCTACATCTAAAGCTGTTCTCTAAGGTCAGCAATCAGAACTACATTCCTGATCCAAGAACCTGCGTGGTCCTTGGGCCAGCACAACATGATGCCAATAAAGTCAGAAGCTGGTCTTTCTGATGCTGCAGGGGTCAAGATTTATTTTGTTGTCATTTGTTTGTTTTTTGAGACAGAGTCTCACTTTGTTGCCCAGGCTGGTCTTGGACTCCTGGCCTAAAGCAATCCTCCCACCTCAGCCTCCCAGTGTAGGGATTATAGGCATGAACCACTGTGCCCAACTGGTTTCAAGAACTTTAATAGGACTTTGCATTGCAAGATTTCAGTTTATAAGGTCTGGCCTGCCTTTGCCAGAATATACTAGGCGTACTGAACCTTTTCACCAAAGAAACACTAAAATATTTACATTCGACAATTATCATCTGTGGTCATGGTGATGTTAGCCCCTAGTTTTGAGGTAATGGCCTCCCCCAGCTTCAGAACATGCTCTAAGCCTGTTTGGAACATATCTCAGGCTAGGGACAGCTTGAGACTAAGTCAGCCCAGGCAATACAGTGATGCTTCTCATCTGTTTGGTCAGTGCTGAGTGGAGACAGAGTGGATCAGACGATCCTAGGAGACCCCTTCCTCATACTGCTCTGGTTCTATCCCTGAAGTGATTTCTGAAGATGTTGGCCATCAGGCATAAAAACTCAAATTGGGCCAGGAACAGTGGCTTAATGCTTGTAATCCCAGCACTTTGGGAGGCCAAGGCAGCCAATCTCTTGAGCCCAGGAGTTCGAGACCAGCCTGGCAACATGGCAAAACCCTGTCTCTACAAACAATACAAAATTTAACTGGGTGTGGTAGGGAATGCCTGTAATCCCAGGGGAAGTGGTGTATGTAAGGGTGGAAGTGTAGATAGGGGTAGCCAGGCAGGGATGGGCTTGGGAGAGGAGACAAGCAAGGTTTGGAGGGCTTAAGACTAACTTGGGCAGAGGCAAGAGCATACAGAAAGGCTCAGAGACGGGGCTGGGCGTCGTGGCTCACGCCTGTGTAATCCCAGCACTTTTGGAGGCCGAGGCGGGCAGATCACGAGGTCAGGAACTTGAGACCATCCTGGCTAACACGGTGAAATCTCATCTCTACTAAAAATACAAAAAATTAGCCGGGTGTGGTGGCGAGTGCCTGTAGTCCCAGCTACTTGGGAGGCTGAGGCGGGAGACTAGCGTGAACCCAGGAGGTGGAGCTTGCAGTGAGCTGAGATCTCGCCACTGCGTTCCATCCAGCCTGGGTGACAGAGTGAGACTCCGTCTAAAAAAAAAAAAGAAAGAAAGAAAGGCTCAGAGACAGAAGAGAACATGGCATCTTTGAGAACCTGAGGAAAGTTTAATATGGCCCACGCATTGGGTTCACTGGCGGCAGATGGAGCTTGAGAAGGAGGCAGTGCAGGATAACAAAGGGCTTCCTAAGCCGTATTAAGAAGGTAGGATTGGACTTCCCCTTGAAGGTAATGGGGAGCCACTGAAAGTTCTAAATAGGAGAATGAAGTAATTAGATTTGTGCTTTAGAAAGATCATTCTAGCTTCTCGAGTGGAGGCAATAGAGGAAGATATTGGAGATGGGGGCAGTTAGGAAGCTCTGGGGGTGTGAGATGGTGGGGGATTGGACCTGGGCAGTGGTGGTGATAGGAAGAGGAAGAGGAAGTGGGGAGGATGCCTGAAAGTCTGGAGGCTGGAACGATAAGCTAATCCAGACTAGAGGCCACGCTCCCTCTTCCAGCAGAGTGTCTGGGGGCCTGCTGCATTTTCCCATGCACTGTAGTCTGTTGTCAGAGAGGAAGACACCTAAGAGAAGGGGTTGTGTGGGCTGGAGCTGTGGAGGAAAGCCTGTGGCATGCCATTAACAGGATGGGCCTCAGGTCAACAGGACTTAGCCTCTAGGTTAATCCCCTTGGAAGGAGGACGAGACTTTGCTTCCTCCTCTAAGCCCCCAGGCCAGCCTCAGCCTGTGACCTCATGCCTTGCCTATTCTCATATGAGCTTCTTTCTTGCCTGTTGGCCTCTGAGGCTTCCCACCTGAATAAGCCCAGCCACCGCTTATGCTTCCTGATCCCCTGATCCAGTTCCTCACACTGTAAGAAAGTCCTGAGCCTCCCCATGGAATGTCATGCTCCTACCTCTAAGGCAGCCACTTGCTCTATGCCTTTGAGCACTCTTGGCTCTGAAAGTCTTCTATTCATGGAGAGCTGGTGCCTAGTGGAACCAAGAGAGGCTGAGTCCAGAAAAGTGGCTTCTTTAGGAGTGGGTTAAACTCTCCACCTCAGACAAACCCATCCCAGACCCAAGCTATAAGATCAAGCCAAAGGCCCAAGTCCTGGTTCAGGGCTCCCAAGGGTATGGGCTATAACTCCCAGCTCCTCTTCTGCACATACCCCATGAGCCACAAAAGTTCTTCTCCCATTCTTGGTGAATATTCACACCAAATATTGATGTCAGAGTGCATATTTCCCCTAAAATGCTCCATCCATGAGCATTGTGAGAGAGGAATATGAGTGCAGGGTCGAGAGGCTCTCTTAGCTCTGTAGGTGGGAGGCAGGGAGCAGAGTTCTTAAGCCAGCCCCTCCCGGCAGCCCTACCACTGCCTCTGAGCACTAATTAGAGATGAGCTCAGGCCTGTGGAACATATGGTTTGTCAGTTTTGTTTCCAGGTGAAGCCAAGAAAAGGAGATGGAAAGGAAACTCTTGGCAGAGGGAGAGGCTCTGAGGAGGGGGTGCCCAGAGGGTCCCCTGGCCTTTTCCTCATGGACTGGTGATTATCAGAGCGCATGCCTCTGGCTGTAGGTCATCCAGCCCAAACAAGAAGGAGCTTTATCATCTCACAGGACAAGAAACCCAGAGGTGGGGCGGGATCCAGGGCACAAGGTGGGCTGCTTTGGCTCTGCTGCTCCTCCATCAGCTGCACTCTATTCTGAGGGAGACCAGCTCTCTTCCTGCAATGTTTAAAAATCAATGTGAGATCATTATTCATGCCTCCCAGCAGACTTTCTCTCACATCTCATTGGCCAGGATTATTCAAAGATCCCTTTCTAAAACAATTAGCAAGGGACATAGGACTGTTGTGACCATCCCGGGGAAGCCCTTCACCTTCCGGAGGAGGCAGTTGTCCCTGAGCCCAATCCAGGATCCGTGGAATGGGAGAAACGATTGGTAGGGGGCATGGATACTGGATAGGTAACCAAGGCCAACAGGGTGAGATTGACACCAGTCTGGACTCTTTCTCTGCATCATTTAGAAAGAAAAGGCAATCTTTCTAATAGTAAGAAAGAAAGAGATGAGAGTTGTGGCAGATCAGGGGCTAAACTGGACATTTGCACTCAGAGTTCTTCCCATCTGTACTTTCTGCTGTTCACAGCACTTTTCTGCCCAAAGTCTGGTTCAATAATCATAATGACCCTGTGAGTAAGGCAGGGAAATGATTATCATCTCCCCTTGACAGGTGAGAAAAAGGAAACACAAGGAGCTAAAGTGACTTCCCAGACCCCTTCCAGGCATCCTTTAGTCATGCCACCTAGATATATTGGCATGTCATGTGGCTTATTTTTAGATCTTTTAGGAAAAAGTTTCATTCTCACCAATCTCACCAGAGGTCTGCCTGAGGAGTCAAGTATCCAGGGATTCAAGGAGCTTCCAGAATATCCATGACATTTTTTCTCTTCCAACTCATGGAAGGAGATACAAAGACCTCCTTCCTGACGCAGAGCACAGGCCTTTTCTATTATTCTGGAAACAGGTTGCTTCCTAAATCAACGTTGCTGTCCAGGGAGCAGCGCTGTCCTTGGTACTGGGCACTACTTCCTGTCATTGGCCATCCTCAATTGTCTTTCCTTTTCAGCTTCAAGGCTGAATTCTTAAACCAAGATCTAGAGGGATTACAGGAACTATAGTTAACCCTAACATCACATCTTGTTGCCCCACTGAGGAATTCTTCTATGGTAGTGTGTTAGGCTGTTTTTTTAATTTTTATTCTTATTTTTTTTATTTTTTTTTTTGCATTGGTATAAAGAAATAGCTGAGGCTAAGTAATTTATAAGAAAAGAGGTTTAATTGGCTCATGGTTATGCAGGCTTTACAGGAAGCATGGTGCTGGCATCTGCTTCTGGTGAGGGGCCCAGGAAATTTTCACTCATGATGGAAGGCAAAGTGGGAGCAGCCATCTTACATGGCAAAAGTGGGAGCAAGGGGCGGGGGTGCCACACACTTTTAAACAACCAGATCTCATGAGAACTCACTATTGCAAGGACAGCACCAAGCCATGAGGGATCCACCCCCATGACCCAAACACCTCCTACCAGGCCCCACCTCCAACATTGGGGATTATATTCCAACATGAGATTTTGGTTGTACAAATATCCAAATCGTATCAGGTAGGCAAGGTAGGAATGGATTTGCAAGTTCCAGACACATGCTCTTGGGCTCTCCTGTTGTCTTAGCACATGTCTACAGCACTAGTTCAGGGGCTCGTAAGCTATGGCCCACAGTCAAATCTGGCCTGCCACCTGTTTTTGTAAATAAAGTTTTATTGGAACTCAGCCATGTGTGTTTACTTATTGTCTGTGGCTGCTTTTGCTCTACCACAGCAGAGCTGGGCAGTGGTGACAGAGACCGTATGGCTTAAAAAGGCTAAATATTTACTAACTGGTCCTTTACAGAAAGAAATTGCCAACTCCTGTTCTTGTTTATTCTCTTTGGGGCAGATTTTTGTTCTGAGCACAAGCCTGTGTTACTCATAATTCCCTTTATCCCTATTGATCCCTATCTACCCCCAACCCCCTAGCTTAGGATCCATGCAATCCTGAAAGACACAATCCCAAATGTTTAAATCCTGAAAGCTGAATTCTGGGAAAGGGATTAGTGCAGTTTGGGTTATAGCAGCATAGTTGCATCATATTAATTGCATCCTGTTAAGCGGAACTATTATCTTCTTATTATATTTGTTGGTTTAAGAAGATGCATGTGGGAGCCAGGTTGACAAGGGGTAGACTTGGGGAGTTAATTTTAGGTGTCAATTTGACCAGATTAAGGAAAACCTAGAAACCTGGTAAAGCATTGTTTTGGGTGTGTCTGTGGGGTGTTTCCAGAGGAGATTAGTGTGTGAGTTCAGTGGACTAGGTGGAAAAGATCTGCCCTCAGTGTTAGCAGGCACCATCCTCTTGCCCAGGGGCCCAAAGAGAACACATACAGAGGGTGGACTCCGCTCTCTGAGAGCTGGGACAGGCTTTTCTTCTGCTGCCTTGGACATCAGAACTCCAGGCCCACCAGCCTTTGACTCCAGGCCCACCAAGATTGACACCAGCGGCCTCCCAAGTCCTGAGGCTTTCTGCCTTGGACTGAGAGTTACCCCATCTGCTTCCCTGGTTCTGAGGTCTTTGGACATAGGCTGAGCCATGCTACTGACATCCCAGGGTCTTTAGCTTGTAGACAGACTGCCAAGGGACTTATCAGCCACCATAGTTTTGTGAGCCAATTCCCCTAGTAAATCACCTCTCATATGTCTATATACATATCCTATTGGTTCTGTCTCTCTGGAGAACCCTGATTAATATAAATTTGGTCTTGGGGAAGCTGAATATTATTTCTTCTTACTGTATTCCTTACAACACAACAGAAGAGATCTGTAAAATTTTTCCCTCAGAAAAAGGCTGTGATAAGTTAAGTGACAAGGCTACTTAATGGTGAAACATAAAAGTTTAAAGACTAATAATTACTGGTGCTGCAAAAGCAGAAAATTGCTTAATGGCAATGGTCAAGCAATAACCAGACTTTCTAATGGACAACACATCTTTACAAAATTTGTAAACCACAATCACTCTCCAAATACAAGTGCAGTGAGTGTTCTGAAGATCATACATGAACTGAAAATGCAGGCGAAAAATACAAGAAATCTCCAATGCCAAATTAGTCAATCATGTGTGACTTCTGACCCTTCACGCATAGCATCTATTTGCTATGCTATGTATTTCATCTTTGCATCATCTTCAATATTGGAGGTAGAAATTGTGTAGACCTTTAGAGAATTCTAATTTGTTGTATGCATTTTTTTTCAAGTTTGACTCCATAAAAGTGCATTATCACAATGTTGGCTTTGTGTGTAAGTATTGTGTATGTATATAAAAATGTCTAAACTTCCTCAAGAAATGAAGAGATGGCTGAGCGCGGTGGCTCACGCCTGTAATCCCAGTACTTTGGGAGGCCAAGGCAGGCAGATCACGAGGTCAGGAGATCGAGACCATCCTGGCTAACATGGTGAAAACCCGTCTCTCCTAAAAATACAAAAAATTAGCCAGGTGTGGTGGCAGGCACCTGTAGTCCCAGCTACTTGGGAGGCTGAGGCAGGAGAATGGCGTGAACCCGGGAGGCAGAGCTTGCAGTCAGCCGAGACTGCACCACTGCACTCCAGCCTGGGCGACAGAGCGAGACTCCATCTCAAAAAAAAAAAAAAAAAGAAATGAAGAGATGTCCTCCCTGTATATCTGCATTTATGAAAGATAAAATTTCTAGAGATTTTAACTCTTTGGGTGGCTGTACCCATTGTAGTTTCAGATCAGTCTCATCGAAAGACTTAGGGTGTCCATCACGGTCCTTAAGATGACCTCAGTTATAAAGCTGGGTGCACACAATTACCAAACATAGTGATACGCATGTACAGCTTTTGCTTTTTGACCTATTTCTTTATCAATGTGACTCCTCTGCTCATAACTGTTATACCCATGTGACTGTCGTTAGGATACTGAATGTTTATGATTACAAAAATACATATGCCATCATTGCCTGTGTTGTTGTGTAAAGGTGTCAATGAAGTGTTCTGTCATGTTTTTATATGTTTCCCAAATAATCCATTTTAAAAATGTAAGTAAATATTTTTTAAAGCATTAAATTTTTTTCAGAGTTATATTTTCAGGGTTTTCATCTTTCAAGAATGTGAATGTGGGGATTTTAGACTTTAGGGATTTTGATATTTTAGGATTTTGACATCCAGGATTATGGCATTTGGGATGTGTCTTTCAGGACTATGGCCCGGACCATTTAGGAAGGGGTCTTTTCCCAGCTTTCTCAGTTGCTGGGTAAACTGGCTTCCTGACCTAAACGGGTCCTAGGTCCATCTCATCTCTTTAAATTCAAACTGCTCTCAAATACAAACTCAGTGGTCCTCTCTGGCCTCTTCCCACAGATGTTTCTCAAACCCATTCATCTAAGGCTGAGCACACAGCCTACTTAGCTTCCCCGAGCAAAGCCTCTAGTCTAGACAAGGCCACAGTTAATACAGGAGTCACCCCTATGAGACATACTTCTTTATAATCTTTCTCAGTGTGTTAGGACTTTTTCAGATGCAAATAACAGAAACCTGATCCAAATTAGCTTAATAAAGAAAAAATAACTCTGCAGAAAATTCCAGAAATAGATCTCACTGCTCCCAGCACACAGGTGATGCCATCAGAACTCAGCCTCATGTTCCATCTTGACTCTGCATTCCTCAATATTGGCTTTGTTTAGACAGGCCTCCAAATAGCTTTGGCTCGTGTCCTCAGCAGAAAGAGAGATCCCCTTCATTCTAACATAAGAGCCCAGAGCTGAGTCTCAGAGCTCAGGTGGATCACATGATCACCTCTGAACCAATCACTATGGCCTGGGGGATGGGATGTTAGGATTGGCCAGGCTTGGACCACATGGTAATGCGAATATTGGGGAGGTAACGCCACTGGACAGACAGAGTGGCAGAGGGGTGATCCAGAGTGGAGAATGCTCCTACCTACCAGGTGGAGGGCCAATGCAGGCTGGCCAGGCAAGGACAATAGGTGGACACCTCACCTCACTTGCCTGGTTTGTTTGACTTCTCACTTACAGATTGTCATTTTCTTCTTCTCTGCTGTCTTCTCAAGGGGCTGTATCAGCGTTCAAGTCTCTCTCAGCCTACATGATAAAGTCTGTGCTGCTTCTTAGGCTGAAATACACCCTCCCTTCTGTCTACCCATAAGCCTTGCCTCCCACCATCTCCTTTATCTCACGAGCTCTGGCAATATTGAGCTTCCACCAGCAGTGCCCCAGTGGCCCCAGGTCTACAGTCTAGTTTTGCACTTTCCATTCCTTTTGCCTTTCCCATTTTGTCTGCATGGCACACTTCTGATCTACTGCCCAGATCAAGAGTCCTCTCCTCTGGGAAGTCACATCCTCACCTCTAGGACAGAAGAAAGCACCCCCTCATCTGTGCTATCACTGCCCTGTACTACTGTCCCATGGGGTCTATCTCTCTGTCTCTTTCTGTTTATCTTTGTCTTCTGTTTTAGACAATGAGCTCCTCAAGGTCAGAGATGTTTTCAGGCAATGTTTGTTGAGTGAAAACCTTTCCCTGGGGGTTGGCCTTTGTGTGGCTTCTCCAACTCCAGCCTTAGAGCAATGCTAGATCCTCTAAAATCCCATAAGATTAGTGGGAGACTATAGGCTAAAAAGGGGGATAAAGCCAAGTAGATGCATTACTAATTAATTCAGCAGACATCTAGTGAATACTTTCAGTGCCAAGCACTGTGCTAAGTGATGGGACCACAGAGGTGATTCGGGCATATTCCCAATCTCAAGAAATTCACTGTGGAATAGAGAAATGAAGTTATCTAAGCTGCTTGCGTTTCCCTCATTCTCTGGCCGATATCTAACCTAGTATCTGACACATAGTCAATGTTTAATAAACAGTTACTGAACAAATAAATGAATAAATGAGCAAGTGAGGGAACAAATGCTATGGAGGGTACACATAAGGCTGTGTCAGAGTATGGGGAAGAAAAGAGTGCTGGGAATATCCTTTCATCATCTCTCATTTACTGAGGCATATGCTGGTTGTTGGGGATTCAGAGAGAAGGGGCGCTTGTCCCCTGTTCTTGAAGATCCTGCAGCCCAGGGGACAGAAAAAATCAATGTTTACAAGACAGTGTGAGAATTACTGAGCAGAGATATGCTGAGAACTGTGATAAGACAGCATGGTGGGGGGATGCATGGAAGAGAAACCAATGAATTAATTGATTGTCCAATCAGTGTCCTCTGTAATGACATCTCTATGTTCTCTGCCCTTTCCTGGTTTTTCTGTGGGAGCTCCAAGAAAATACTAATTCATTTGGTCAAGGAGATCCTAATCAATATGGGGGAGGACCACTCATGAAACACTAAGTGAAGAGTCAAAATATTGGACAGTGGTTCCATGCTAAATCATGACACAGAAAGTCACAGAAGGGAGAGCTCAGGTTCCTAGTGGGCCTAAGTGGTCAGGAAAGGCTTCCTGCAGGAGAGGCATTCTGAAAGGCAGGCTCTGGGGCTACAGATCTTCGACAGTCTTCAGTGCCGGGCTGGGGACCTTTTATACTTTTTTTTTTGAGAGAGCCTCGCTCTGTTGCCAGGCTGGAGTGCAGTGACATGATCTCAGCTCACTGCAACCTCCGCCTCCCGGGTTCAAGCGATTCTCCTGCCTCAGCCTCCCAAGTAGTTGGGACTACAGGTGTGTGCCACCACGCCCGGCTAATTTTTGTATTTTTAGCAGAGATGGGGTTTCACCACGTTTGCCAGGATGGTCTCGATCTCTTGACCTCATGATCCGCCCGCCTCAGCCTCCCAAAGTGCTGGGATTACAGGTGTGAGCCACTGCACCCGGCCTTTTTATACTTTTATAGTTTACTCCACAGGCAGCAAAGAATCATGGAAGAGTAGTGAGCTGGGGAGGGGTATGTTCAAATATGGATTTTACAAAAATTACTTTGGGCATAATATAGAGAATGGGGGAGGGAGATGGGGAATGCAATATAGGATATAGGGGAACAACCTGGGGGCTTTGTCATAGAACTAGTGAAAGATTATGACAGCCTCAGCCTCATCCTTCAATTGAGATAACCTGGCTTCCAGTAATAGGAAGGTCATTCCAAACAGTTTCTTTCCCTTGGCTCATGGCCAAGTTAAGGTTTCTTGGGGGTTCCAGTCCATTTAACAAATATTTATTGCACTAGGCAGGAATGGAGCTAGACACTGAGGATAGAACTGTGAACAAAACAACATTGCCTGTCTTCAAGGAACTTCCATTCTAATAGTCATCTCTATGGCTGCAGGTGGCTCCCAGGGAGAGAGGAAAGCTGGTTCAAAGTTGCCTTTCAGGATGGCAGAACTGGGAGATACTCTTAGCAGTCAGTCCACACATCCCCCCACCTACAGCCCCATGGCTAATAAGCCATGTGTTTCTTCCATTTTATCCCATTTAATCCCGATCCCCAGCAGAGCCTAATGAGGCAGATGTTGGTGCCCATTATGCAATGATAATGAGGGGGCAAGGACTCCCTGGGATACCACTGACAATGACTTCCCTTAGAGGGTACTAAGGCAGCTATGGGAAGATGCTTTTGAGGATCAGGTGGGGAGTGTGCAGGGAGGCCCAGTCTCAGGAAGACGGGGCAGTCCCTCAGTGCCTGTGTTGGTCCCTAGGACTCCTGGGGAGGGCTGCACCACTCACCAAAGCAACACTGAGAGCCACAGAATGCTAATCAGACTCAGACATCAGGATCTCAGACAATAACTGCGATACTGAAAATACACAAAATAACCAGGCAGCCTTTGTAATTAACTTCCGCTCCCTTCCAGCAGTCATTTGGAGTTAATGGTTTCTTAATTCAGTGCTCATTTGGTGACTTTAATTTCCAATTAATTTTGCCGATTTTCCTCCGAGGTGCTCATGGTGTGATAGAAAATTCCTATATGGTGAAATCCCCACCACAGGGACCTGGAGTGGGTGGGGAAGAAAGGGGCTAGGGTCAAGCTGCCACCAGAAGACCAGACTCCTGCCTGAGTGTCAGGAATCAGCATCTCCTGGGTTCAGGAGGTCCTTGGGGAGTTCAGGGGTCCATGAGAGACTCCTCCCCTAAGAGGGGGCTGGTGAGAGCTGATAAAGTGGTGCAGGGGTTGAAGGTACCCCTGAATTTTTCTAGCTCTGGAGAGTTTTGAGTCATAGTGGATGGGGCAGGAGAGGAAGCCCAGCTCTCCTGGAAGCATCAGGGAAGGGGTCAGGACCAAGCACAGTGCCCTCCCTTCCATCAAGCAGAGGCATTTAAGAGGTCTTGGTCCAGATCCCCTTTGCTGGGCCAATGCCCTCATTGCCCAGCTGCTGCAGATGTCAGCTGCTATCATCTCACAGCCTCCCCCTTCTCTAGAGTTGCCTTTGGCCAGTGAGATTCACCTCTTCTGGAAAGTTACATTACCCATGGCTCGGGACATCCTGTACACAAGGACTGAGTGGTATAGACAGAAGGCTGCATCCCTTCTCCTTAATCTCCCTCCCTTTTGCCTCAAGGTGAGTCTGCCACTGTGATGAGCTAGTGTTCCAGAGTGGTGCAGCCAGACCCAGATGAGGCCACATCCTTGCTTAAGTCCTTCCCTCCCTTTCTGCTGCCAGAACTCCCTCAGTAAATCCCATGCACCTGAATCTCTGTCTTGGGCTTAGCTTCTGGGGAACCCAAATGACACCAATAGTTTATATATTAAACTCTTGTCCTCCTCTTGCAGTGTGCCAGAGGCTGTTCTAAGTCCTTTACTCAAAGAAATCCATGTCATCCTCATAGCAACCCTACAAGCTAAGCATTGTTAGTGTCCCTATTTTGAAATAAGAAAACAGACAGCAAAAGATTAAGGAATTTTCCCAGGGGCAGCATAGACTGTAAGTGCAGAACAGGAACTTGAACCCGGGGACTCTAGTTCCAGACTCTGTGCCCTTAACCATTATGCTGCCCAAGATGGAACCACTGACCTCCAGCAACTTCCCTAAAGGCATGGATGATGTAATTCAAGAGCCTGAGCCACTAAAGTGTGAGGGAGAGCTTTTCTCCAGGTCCTTTTTCAGAAGGACTGAGGAACAGGGGGGTCTGGAATCCTGGAGCTCTGGCCCCATGATAACCAAGCACTCTTTTTTTGAGACAGAGTCTCACTCTGTCGCCCAGGCTGGAATGAAGTGGTGCAATCTCAGCTCACTGCAACCTCCGCCCCCAGGGTTCAAGCAATTCTCCTGCCTCAGCCTCTTGAGTAGTTGGGATTATAGGTGCCTGCCACCATGGCCAGCTAATTTTGTATTTTTTGATTTTTTTAGTAGAGATGGGGTTTTGCCATGTTGGCCAGGCTGGTCTCAAACTCCTGACTTCAGGTGATCCACTTGCCTCAGCCTCCCACAGTGCTACGATTACAGGCGTGAGCCACTGCACCGGGCCTAGAGCACTCTTTTAGGCAAACTTTCCCCTCTGGGGATGCTCCTGAAGATCAATAGCATCGTGCAACAGACAAGTGCTGGTGAGTGAAAGTCAGACATCAGATTCTAGTGCTCACTGTGTCTCTGACTCTCTTTGTGACTTGGGATGAGTCATTTTCCACCGGTGGGCCCTCGCTTCTCCAGCTCTACTATGTGAATGAGAGTTAGTGACAAAGACTTGAAGAGCCCCAGCTATAATGTTTTGGCTTTATGAAGTGGAGACACTTTATGAAGTGGTCCTTCCTAGGGGATCCCCCATTAGAGGATGAGAACAGATGTCCATGGAAGGCAGAGGAGCTACTTTCCATGACCTGTGGGCATCAATGGCTCTGTTCCCAAAGGATTGAGGAGGGGATCCACAGGGCCACAGAAGAACGTAAGTCACAGTGACTGCTCAGTGGCCATATATGGAACATTCATTCATCAGCAAGCACTTATAGGGTGCCTACCTCATGCCAGGGACCCTGCACATGTAACTCATGTTTCCTTAAGCTAGGGAACAATGAGGTACAATCATAACAATTGCCATCAATTCATTGACCCTTTCCCTACTTACCATTGAAGGACCAACCCCATGTAAAGTCACCCCACTTCCACACACACAGTGATTTTTGGAATTTCCATGGGTATCTCCATTGTACACAGGGATAAATATTTTCTGTTATTAAATGGGGGGTGTGCTGTGTCCTTGCTCTCCCTTCCTGAGACCCTCACAGTGATGCTCACTGTCTGTGAAGTCATAGGAGGGGACCCCGCTGCTGAAGCCTTTTATGAGAAAGCCATATTCCCTCTGCTCCCAAAGCTGCCAGTCCACAAGTGCCATGAAGTGTGATGGTTTCTCTGACCTTTATTGCTCCTCAAAGGAAGAGGAGAACCCCCTCAGTCTCCTGAAGCAGGGCTAGGCCAGGGGGACGGCAGTGAGGGAGGGTGAACAGGACTGGTATAAATATTGCTTCTTTTCTTCTCCCCCATCCTGACTTCCTCCTTCTCCAAACCTTAGGGATACCATGTCCAGGGGCAGCTTCCTCCCACAGACCAGGGAGGCAGGGAGGTGCAGGGCAGCATTCCATCTGCCTTCTTCCCCTCTGTGAGTCCCACCTACCTCACCTGCCCCCAAATCCCAATCCTCAGAAGTGTCCACAGCACAGCTGCTGTCAGATCAAAACCTCTGCTGGACAGCTCCGCTGAGGCCCTTGTTGGGGAACTGGAGCTGTCATGGCTATGTCTGCCACAGGTCCCAATCCACAGCTGGTAGGAGCTGCAAAGTCCAGCCAGCCAGGACTGGTTTTTTATTTTTCTAATGAAAAATAAAAACAGACACCTTTGCAGGGAAGAAGACCAACCTTACTCTTAGAGCCAGGGCATTATGCCACAAAGTGGCCTTGTGCAACCCCAGGGCTTGGCTGTGTGACTGGAAGAGTCAGCCCTGACGGAAGCTTCCTTGCTATGCTTTCAGCTTACCTCCACTCTTCATCTTACCCAAGCACAGCTATGACCATGCCCCTCTCCGGTCAAAAGCCTTCAGAGGCCTTCAGACATCTGCTGGGTGAAATCTGAATGGGCTTCTTGGCATCAAAGGGCTGCCATACTCTGGTTCTAAGCCATCTTCACTCCTATCACAGATTACAGCCACACCTAGAAACCCACTCTTTCCCATACTTGCCCCTTGCTGCCAATCCTCAGGACCTTTGCACAACATTTGTTCTGTGTGGAGCACTCCACACTTCCCCATCTCCACCTGTAGAAACTCACTCTTTCCCTGGGGGACCTGGGATTCAAGGAGGACCATGGCCATGGGGGTCTGACACCACATCTGCCAATGCTCTCCTCTCTAATTTTCTCTCTCCTGTCTCCCTGTGCCCTCATTCCCTCCGCCACTCCTTTGGCTTCATTTTCCTGGATTCCATGAACACAATTGAATTATAGTCATTAGGTTGGAAGGGACGCGAGAGCTCCATGTTCTCTCACCTCCACCTAGATCAGTGATTCTCAAACTTTGGGAGAAATCAAATCAGCTGGATAGCTTGTTGAAACATAGATTGCTGGACCCCACCCTCAGAATTTCTGATTTGAGCGGCCTAGAGTGGAGTCCAAGAATGTGTATTTCTAACAAGCTATCAGGTAATGCCAATGCTGTTGGTCCAAGGAGCACACTCTAGGAACTGCTGACCTGGGTTTGGGCTCAGAAATTAACCTTGTATCTCTGTTTCCCCCGAAACAAAGGGTCCAATGCCAGCACACTTACTCTCTTGGTTTGGTACCCACTGATGGTTGTTGTGGCTCTTTTATCTATCTATTTTTTTTTTTTTTTTTTGACAGAGTCTTGCTTTTCGCCCAGCCTGGAGTGCAGTGGTGCAATCTTGGCTCAGTGCAACCTCCGCCTCCTGGGCTCAATTGATCCTCCCATCTCAGCCTGCCATGTAGCTGGAACCACAGGCTGTGTGCCACCATGCCTGCCTAATTTTTGTATTTTTTGTAGAGACGGGGTTTCTCCATGTTGGCCAGTCTGGTCTCAAACTCCTGACCTCAAGTGATCTGCCCGCCTTGGCCTCCCAAAGTGCTGGGATTACAGGTATGAACCACTGCTCCCGGGTGGATGTGGTTCTTGATAGGAAGGTAGGGCTTCCAGGCACCTGCCACTCAGAGCCCTGGGGAAAGTCTTGGGTTTCATTATTACAATAAATTCACTGACAAGAACACAAAATTCTTTGCAGGGAAAATAATCATAGTGATTCATAAAGAAACATACTGTAACAACATCAAGAGTGGTAATAATAGTAATAACATGATTGTAATATAATGTCATCTTCCCTAATGTGCTAAATCCAGATTGGTCTGAGCAATATAAAAGAATTACTGACATACACAAATGCTCAGAAAGTCTAGCTCAGACGTATTTGGGGCTATTTAGGTGATGGCAATGGTGATGATGACTGTAATAACAAACCACATTTGTACACAGCTTTAGTGTTTCTAAAGCACTTTTTACCAGTTTTATTTTAGCTGCCACTCTGGAAAGTAAGCGAGGTGGGTAAAGCTTCTTTGGTTCATACATGAGGCTCCCATGTGTTCCTCCTTTCAGGCCTCATTCAACAAACATGTGTTGTGTGCAGGTTAGGTACAGGACAGGGTCTGGGATAGGGTTGTAGACAAAATGCAAATTAAATATAAATTCAGGGTTGGGTGCAGTCACTCACGTGTATAATCCCAGCATTTTGGGAGGCCAAGGTGGGAGGAGGGTTGGAGTTCAAGATCAGCCTGGGCAACATAGCAAGACCCCCATCTCTACGAAGAGAAATTTTATTTTCATTGATTTTTAGTTTTTTCTGGCACTTAGTTCTGCTTCACACAAAGAAATTTTAAAAAATAAATAAACTCAATGCAGATTCAAATATCCATTAAAATGAAATTTGAATTTCAGAGAAACAACAAATCATTTTGTAGTATAACCATGTCAGAAATATTGCATGGGACATACTTAAACTAAAATTGTCTGTTGTTCTTCTGAAATTCACATTTAAGTGGGTGTGCTGTGTTTTTATTTGCTAAGTGTGTGGTACCCTACTGGGGAAGGAAGGAGGGGATAAAAAGAATAAGAAATGTTTCTTGCCCTCAGAACAATCTCACAGTCTGGTTGGACATCACAGAGCTCAAATGATTCCAACCCATGTAGTCAGTGGTCTGGTAGCAGCGTTTCTCAACACGATGCGCACAGGTGGCACCTGGGGATCTTGTGAAACTGCATACTCTGATTCCGCAGGTCTGGGGTGGAGCCTGAGAGTCTGCATTTCCTACAAGTACCCAGGTGGGGTTGACGATGCTAGTCCCTGACCACACTCTGAATAGGGACAGTGTAGCAAGGAGCAAAGAGGCTGTGGGGGCTTAGAGGAGTTGCTCAGCCCACCTTTGGGGGTCAGGGAAAAGCTTCTTGGAGAAGGTGATAGGTAACTGGTGGGTCTTGGCTGGTAAACACTTGGGGAGGGAGGTGGAGAAAGTGTCCCAGGAGGAGGAAGCACGATTTTTGGAGTCTCAGAGGTGTGAGAAACTACTGCAAATCTGGGAAGGGTGTGGGTGAGTGTGGATGGAGGCTAGATTTGGGGTTGCAAGCAGTGCTGGAGTCTGGGCATCAGAAATTCATCAGACAGATGGGGTCCTTGTCATCACAGACCCCACCAAGCCCATCAAGTGGCAGAGCCAGGGCCATGGATAGACCAGCACCATCCAGTGTGGCCGGGGATGAATTGGAACCAATCACTGGAGTGGGGGAGCCCAGGGAGGGAGCCATGTACTCTGCCTGGGAGTTGGAGAAGGTGTCCTCCTGCGCAGCAGGGTATTTGGGGACAGGGTCTTGGAGGTGAAAGGGACTTTTTTTTTTTTCAAGGGCTGAGAGGAAGAGAGGTGAATGTCTTACAAGAGGGGCCAAAATGGAGATGAAAAAGTTTGCTATGTTTCGGAAGAGTGGCTTCCTTGAGGACAGCAACCATGTCGAGTCCTTCTTCTCTGGATTCCCGGTGCTCAGCATGAGGCTTTGTCAGCATGGGGCAGAAGGCTAGATCAGCTGGCAAGGTAGCCCAGAGCCTCTACTCCAAGCCCTCGTTCATTTTGCTTTATCTCTCCACACCATGGTCAGAACATCAGTGGCGGAGGAACTTGTCATACTGGCAGACTTGGATTCACGGCTGGGGTTCTGGAATCTGTAGTAGTTAAACGGTCTTGGAGTACTTCAGAGTTAGCAGAGCTGGGGTAGTCACTCTCATAAGGCTTGTTCTCATCTTCTTAGGGTTTATCACAGCACGCAGGACAGATTGCTAGTGTTCTTCTGCGTCCGTTCTCTCCCTCTTCCTTGGCTAAATAGATTGCCTGCATTATAGATGGGTACGTGGCATCTCAGAACAAAATCTACATTTCCTAGCTTCCCTCGGTGTGGTCATGGAACCAGGTTCTGGCCAGTAGGGTGTGGTAGGTGTCACTTGAGAATCAGTCTGGGTGTAGCACAGGAAGAAAATACTATTCTAGGTATTCCAGACAGAAAGAGATTTAATAGAGGGATCTGGTTGCTTACAAATTCCTTGGCAGGACTGGAAGCATGAAGGTTGTGGGATGTTGTTAGCGTTTCCAGTCACATCACAGGAGCTACAAACCAGAGGTCAGGAAGCTCCGGGAAACTGCTGCCAATGTCATAGCCACCCCCAGCTGCAATGAGGCCAGACAGTGGACTGGAGGATCCCAGGGGCCAGAGGCTGCAGGCCAGGTGCTTCTGCCGCCTAAGGCAGAACAGCTTCAGCCATCTTTCTCCCTTGCAAATAGCATGTGAGTAAAGCTCATTGGCTGGAACTAGTGACATCCAGAATCCTGGTGGCAGGAGTCTGACAAACACAGTACTGAGGCTTCCAGGCTCTGTAATACAGTGAAAGCATAGCAGGCGGGGAGGGGGAGCAGGCTGAATGCTACCTGGTGATATTCACTATCACTCCTTCTTGCCAGCGGGGGTAGGATGCAGTGGCAAGGACAACTTCCTAGGATGGCAGAGAATCATGGTAGCAGTCACAGAAATGCCACCCAGGCTGGACCTTTGCATAGATAAGAAATAAACTTCTACCTTGTTGAAGTCACCGAGCAGCTGAGCCCATGTCCTGTCACACCGCTATTAAGTGTAAAATGAGGTCTGAGAAGTGTTAATACTCTAGCGTGCATCGTGTTGATGTTACTGTAGTTTCAATTGAACCTGCCCATCAGGAGTGCAGCAATAAAAACTCATTGGCAGACAAAGCAATATTCAGGGCTGTGTGTAGCTGTTGCCAAATGAGAGCCATTGAGTCTATGCTGAGGGAAGCTGGAGAGAGCTCAGAGGATACAGGGGTGTTGGAAGCCTTCCTGGAGGAGGCATTGCTGGAGATGGAGAGGAGAAAAGCTCTCCAGTGGAGGCCATTTTTCTCTTCTCTCTCCAGAGCTGTATCAGCCAGGGAGCTGCCCCACCCTGCCTCCAACCTTGGCCTCTCCTGGTCAAGGCTGTGAAAGGCCAGGAGGAGGGTGGCAGGGTGCCTGCGGTTAACCCCGGGAGCAGACTCTTAAGCTGGGGCAGGATAGAGACCAGAAGGATGGCCTGGGAGATGGGGAGGAAAGGAGAGGTTCAGCATTGCTCCAGAGGGAGAGGCCCGTGACTCTGAGACAGTTCTCAGCTGTATCTACAAGACTCTGAGGACAAAGATGGGGACAGACACATTCAAGGAATGGCCTCAAGGTCATGAAGTGGTGCCTGATTCTGCCTTGCCCCCTGTCTCGTCTGCCTTGCAGCTCCTCCCCAGGAAGAAACACTATTCACCCTTCATACAGGGGGCCTCAAGTAGGCCTGTGACCTGGGGAACAAGGGCCGTCCTATGAACCCATGACAGGCACAGGGCTAGGGATGCACCCAACCAGCTATTCTCTCTTCACCCATTTCTGTGAGAAGTAAGTGATTAGGATGTGGGGATAGACCCAAACTGGCCAGGGTCAGGGCCGAGTTTCAATTTATGACCAAGGTTTAGACTGTTCAGGATGAGAGAGTGGTCCAGGGAAGGATCAGAGATTAGACAGCCACAGGGACCAACCTGTGGCCACAGCTTTGTCTGTGCCAGAACCATGGTTCAGTCTAGTACCGGAGTCTGTTTTTTTTTTTTTTTTTTTTGAGACAGTATTTCACTTTGTCACCCAGGCTGGAGTACAGTAGCATGATCATGACTCACTGCAGCCTCCACTTCCCAAGGTGCAAGCAATCCTCCCTCCTCAGCCTCCTGAGTAGCTGGGACCACAGGCATGTGCCACCATGCCCAGCTGATTTTTAAAAATTTTTTGTAGTGATGGGTCTCACTATGTGGCCCAGGCTGAAGGATTCACTTTTCATGGGGAAAGAGTGTTTAACACAGTGGATGAATTCAATTTCATTAGTTCCCTTGGTAATAAACCAAAATGAAAGGCTATTATAAGTGTGATTTATTCCCTTATATCATAGTTAACCTTCATTTCACTTCCGGGGGCCCTCTTTACTCTTCCCCAAAACTTGTGGTTTAGACCTTCTGACACTTTGGTAGAAGAGGATATACAGACACAGAGGAGGAAAACGAGCTGCCTGAATTCTCATGCAACTTCAGAAAGGGCTAGAGCCAGGCGAGAAGCCAGTTGAGCAGGTGCCCAGCACAGGGCAGCCTGGTGGACTCACAGCTTCCTGCAGTGTTTTGGAGACAAGCCCCAGGTCACCCTGAAACCCATGGGCAGGCAGTGGACAGGCAGGCCGACAGCCGGCTGGAGGAGTTGGCAGCAGGGAAGTCCCGGATCAGAGCCTTGGGCCACAGCCAACGCTGTCTAGTTGGGGCAGAGGATCGGGGTGGCGATTTATTCAGCCTGCTCTACAGACAGCCCCAGGGCAGGAGCCAGCAATTTTCCAGTCCTGAGTGATGGAGCCGGGAACCACTGAGTGGCCTGGAAGGGCAGGGACCCCCCCAGGTCCTCGTGGGCATGCTCAGCTGCTGAAGGAAATATGAAGTGATGGTAAGTGACAAAATTGAAAATGTAATTAAGACAGATGGAACTAACTGGCGGGGATGATAAAAGCCATTCCCCAGGCTCTGGGATTTAAAGTGAGGTCACAGGATGACCCTGTCCTGGCCACACATCTGGCAAAGAGGAGGCGAGGGAATGAGCTTGAGGACAGGAGCCAAGCTCTGTGGAGGACACTGAGCAAACTGGGCTTTTGCCGCACTGAAAGAGCTAGGTCAGATACAGGATGAACTTCCTGGAGAGGAGGGTGGTTAAACATTGGCATAAGTGAGACATCTTCTCCTTTTCCCAAGGACATATATATCCCTCCTGCGCAGACTTGGACACAGGAACCTGGGCAACCTGACCTTGCCAAGATCTGTGGGAATGTGAAATAGCTCCATTACCAAATGAGAAGGCTGCACAGGTGGAGGTGGGTGGCATTTGGGAAGAGAACAAAGGGAAGTGGGCTCAATGTGTAGCAAGCCCCAGACAGCTTCCTGCTGGCCAGAGCTGGGAGAGTAGGAGTCAGCCAGGCACCATGCAGGTGGGTATCACAGAGGCAGCAGCACTGAAGGAGAAGAAAGTGTCCCTTCGAGACCTCCTCACGAAGAGTTGCACCAGGAGTGAGGGGGCATGGTGGCCACTCCCTGAATCCACAGAAGCAGCAGCCAGGCAGCCTGACCCCAGGTTCTGCAAGGCCCTGATGGAGGGAAACCAAGGGCCCACAGGAGAGCCTGTGTAGACCCTCACAGGGGGTAGGATGGCTGGGATCTGTGGCAAGATTCATGCAAGAATCAGGGAGCTCAGCACCGACATCCGGGGCAGCCTTGCTTTGCCAACCACAATGGAGAGAGCCAGTTTAGCTTCACCATGATGGATTGCACTGGCCAGCTTTATCAGCCCCCATTCTTTCAATATCCTGTGCCAGTTCCCCATGACAGGCAATGGGTGGGCCAAGAAAGTGGCTTCTTTATATTCAGCGAGCTCCCAGATTGGCGGGAAAGAAGAAACTCAGGCTCCCATTCAAGGCGGTCATTCACTCCCCATTTGTTAAGCACCTGCTCTGTGCTAAACAATAGCAGGGCAGAGGCTCACTGTGATGCTTAAAGCAATACTTTAAGAAGTTTACAGTTTTTGTATGAATTAAAATATACGAAGCAGTCAGATATGAAGGAAATACTTAGGTATTCATTCAAGATGATGTGTGGCTCACATGGTAAGGGCATAGGAGCTGAGGGAAGGAAGAATTTGGTGCAGGCTGGAGAAGTCAGTGCAGGATTCTTAGAGGAGGCAGAGTTTGAGCCTAGCCTTTGCAGGATGAAGAAGAGTAGCTTAAAAGATTAAAGAGGAGCATGCATCTTGGGTGGGTTTAATGCACAAGTAAATATGTAGAGGTGAGAAAGAGTATTCAGGAAGAATTTTCTGAACTTTAGGATAGAACTAAGGTTGGGCTGGAAAATAGATCCTTGGGTGATCCCAGCAGATCCAAGGCCACTCTGGGGTCAAACATTTCTCTATGAGAAGAGCTTGTGCCCGGGGATGACTTACTGTCCCCAAGTGGACAGAACCATCAGCAGGAGGTCAGTCCCAGATCTGAATGGCCAAGGGCTTAGGCTTCCCCCGACTCTTGGGTCTGTGGAACAGCTGTCCTAAACCCCACCTCCCCAAGCCACAGAAAATGAAGCCAGATTGGAATAAAGGATGCCCTTCTGCTATGCTGATGGCGAGGGATCAATGTCATTCTGCACCCTTCCCCCACCACGGCCAAGAGGTGGCAAGACGCGTGCAATGGGCAAGGAGACCTGTGCTCCATGTACTGTCCTTCCACCAGGAGCTGGACCACGGGCTCCTCTGGCTCTGAGGCTGATCGTGTGGTCCTTCCTTGCCATGGAAAAAGCAATGGAGACAGGTTGGTCTTGCCATCTGCGGACCATCTTTCATTATAGGACATGTCTTTGTTATGGATCCTGAGCATAGAACAGGCCAGCATTATCTGAGAGATGGGAGAGATGCTCCGTCACTTCAAGCACACTATCCATCTATCTGTCATGGGCCCAGCATTTATGCCTGCAGCCAGGACACTGGAATAGCACATCAGGATTTATGGGGGGCATTAAGTCATAATTTATGTCACTTTCTCTCCCTTTTCAAGACAGTCTTTCTGAAACATCTCTGTCTCCCTGGCTCACCATTCCTAATGACCCAAGATGTGTGTTTCTTCCCGCCTACCTGCAGCCTGCTTTTGGGGGTGCTTTCTCTGTTACCTCCCCAATCCCATGGGTCAGCCTCTTGCTCTTAGCAAGTCCCTGCCCCTGACCTGGGAGAAAGGATCTCCAGAAGTGTAAACTAGCTGATAAGGAGGAGACAGGCCCCTATCCTGGTTTGCTGTTGGATCCCCTGAGGATATGGGAGTTCCAGAGGCGCCCCAAATCCCTCACCCGTGATGGCTGTAGGGGAGCAAACAGCTATTCCAAGTCCCAGGTGTGTAGCCATGGAGAAATCACTTTCTTCACTCGGGTCTTTCACCTTCTCCTCCACAAACAAAGGGGCTCACAGATGACCTGTACAACTTCTCCCCCCTCTAAAATGGAGGAACCACATGTCCTAGACACCTTCGCTCATTCAGAGCTAAGCCTGGCAAAGGGCAGGCATTCTACTGTTCCAGAGACAAGTCAGAGCCAACTACGGAGGCTGGGCTGTGAAGTGAATGCTCCTAGTCACCCTCACGCTGGAGGGATCCCAGTGGGAGCTGTTCCTTTGCAGGGGGTGCTGGGGTGCCACTGCTGGCTTTACCTCCCACCTTTTCCTCGGCTCTCTTATTTCATTCCTTTCCCTTCCTTCCTCCTTTCCTCATCCTCTCTTTCCCCTCTCTCTTCTTTCTCATCTGACTTATGTCTGCCTGGAACTTTGCCACCCTGCTTTACCACCAACTGCTTACTTCAAACCACATTTTGCCGGACCAGAAATAGTGCCAGCATTGACCCCGACCTGAGCCAAGATTTGAATCGAAAGCCCCAGTCCTTGAACTCTGACTGTTATCGGCTGATTTGTGTCCTCTCAAATTCACATGTGAAGCCCTAACCCCCGGTACCTCGAATGTGACTGTATTCGGAGATAGGATCTTTAAAGAGGTCATTAACGTGGACTGAGGCTATTAGGGTCGGCCTTAATCTAGTCTGACTGGTGTCCTTATAAGAGGAAATTTGGACTCTCAGAGACACAACAGGGCTGAGCACCCACAGAGAAAAGGCCCTGAAAAGAGGCAGCAAGAGGGCGGCCATCTGTGAGCCAAGGAGAGAGACAGAGGAAACCACCCCTGCCGTCGCTTTGATCTCAGATTTCAGCCTCCATTTCAGTTGTTTGAGGCCCCAGTGTGTGGTACTTTGTTATGGCAGCCCAGGCAAACTCATCCATTGACACTGAATGACCCTGGTATCTGTCTCAGTAAGATATCCCTTTGGGCAGGCAGCAATGGTGGAGAATCATTCTTGATCCGGAGCATTGAACATTGAATGTTCTCAGAAACTGAAGCACTTTCACTCCGATTTCCTCAGTCTGCTTGGCACTATTCTGAGGTTGTAGCTGGTTCTGTCCGAAGCCATGAGCTGCAGGGGCCCTTTCAGAGGCAGTGGTCATGTGATAAAATCGTATGATGTATGTCTCGACATAGGAAAAAACTGTGTGGCTCCAAACACTGGTGTTAATAAAACAGTTTACATGGTTGTGACCAAGTAGAGACTCTTTTGATCAGATATATACATCATATATATATATGTATGTGTGTGTATAATATATATTATATACTTACACATATTAGAATTTTTAAAAATTTTTAAAAATCTGAAATATATTCACATGGTTCAAAAGTAAAAAGCATAAAAGGTATATAGTGAAAAGTTTTCTTTCACTCCTGGCTAAGATTCACCCAGTTCCCACCACCCTCTGACAGAAACTCCTATTAATCTCTTGTGAAGCCTTCTAGAGATTTTTAAAAAATTTATTCTTGAGACACGGACTCACTCCATTGTCCAGGCTGGGGTGCAGTGACACCATCATGGCTCATTGCAGCCTCGACCTCCCTGGGCTCAAGTGACCCTCCCAACTCAGCCTCCTGAGTAGCTGGGACTACAGGCGTGTGCCACCATGCCTGGCTAATTTTTACTTTTTTAAAGAGATGGGGCTGGGCGCGGTGGCTCATGCCTGTAATCCCAGCACTTTGGGAGGCCGAGGCGGGTGGATCACCTGAGGTCAGGTGTTTGAGACCAGCCTGACCAACATGGTGAAACCCCATCTCTACTAAAAATACAAAATTAGCTGGGCATGGTGGCACATGCCTGTAATCCCAGCTACTTGGGAGGCTGAGGCAGGAGAATCGCTTGAACCCGGGAGGCAGAGGTTCCAGTGAGCTGAGATCGCACCATTGCACTCCAGCCTGGGCAACAAGAGTGAGACTCTGTCTCGAAAAAAAAAAAAAAGAGAAAGAAAAAAGAGAGGTGGAGTCTCGCTATGATGCCCAGGCTGGTCTCAAGCTCCTAGGCTCATGCAATCTTACTGCCTCTACCTCTCAATGTGCTGGGATTATAGGTGTGAGCTACCACATCTGGCCTAGAGTTTCTGTATAACTGTATAAGCAAAACCAAATATTTCTTCATACTTCCCCCTATTTTTCACAAAAGTTAGTATCCTATACACACTATTTTGCTCCTTTCTTTTTTCACCTAATGAAATATCCTGAAGACTTGTTTATTTCTTAATAAGCTCCCTCATTCATTGTTCACAGCTGCGTAGTATTCCATTGGAGGATTTACCTACAATTCAAAATCCTCCTACCTCCTGTTGCAGAAATGCATAACATAGGAAGTTAGACTCACTCAAGTACCATTGTCCAGAGGAAGCCACTGGTAACAAGATGATGCATTTTTATCTGACTTTTTAGGAATAGTCATTATGGTTTTTCACAGAAAATTTAAAGTAACAGTTTCTAATTCCTCGTAACTTTTTAATGATGAGGTTTAAAAATTTTTCTTATTTAAGGCTCAGGATGCATTTTAAATTTATAATTTATTTCTATATTTAATCCTGTCATCAATCATTTATTCTTATAATGGTTTTCAAGTACTATGTGTAGAGGTTTAATATTATCACTTCTATATTTATTTTAACACATATAATTAAACATATAATTAAATGTATATTATATGTAAAAAAATCTTCCTGCATCCAAATACATTTTGAGGTTAAGGAGAGCATATCTTCACTAGAGGATGTCTGAGATAAATGATCAGTATGACTCACTGCAGGGGATCTCAGACTTCGGCTTGCATAAGAATTGACTAGGGATGCATAAGACACCCCCCAGCCCCACCACAGGATTCTGACCTCAGTAGCTCTGAGATCAGACCAGTCAGCTGCACTGGAGCAAGTTGATTCTGTTGCAGGCATCTACAGCCCTCTCTCTGAGGAGCCCTGGTCAATGGGAAAGGAAGTTAAACTACATCCTGCACTGAAAATATTAAGGTTGTTGCAATTAATCATTAAACTTAGCTCTCAGGTTTCTGGCAGCTCAGACCAAAGTAGAACCAAAAGGATGTAGTGTTCTTCTCCCTGCCAGAACAAAAGGCCAGTTCTTCAGGAGACATAAATGTTTTCCTGACATTAAATTCTAAGCAGCATTTATCATGGGGGTCATTATTTGAGATACCCTAAGCTACACAATGGGCAGCATCTTCCTCAACAGCCCCATGGAAAACATAGACACAGTCGCCACTGTTCCTCTGCAGAAGTCATGGCCCATCCCTAAACCCAGCTCAGGACAAAATTCTGCAGGAAGCTCAGCCAATGTGAGCCAGAGGCATTGAGAAGACTCAGGCTACCTCAGAGTAAAAGTATAGGCCTCTTGTGACACCGTCAGGAAATCTGAATGGGGATGCTCAATGTGACCGAGAGAACACCAAGGCACACCCCATACCTATGGCTTCTGAACTCAAGGGAAGACAGGGTCTCTGTCCCTGACCATGCCCAGTGTGAAGAAGGAGGCCTCTCACCTTACCTTAAGAAGCTCCTGGAACAATGTGGCAGGAGGAAAAGGAGGATAGACAGCTGTTTCCCCATTCTCCCACCTAAAGCTTTGAGTATTTTCTGAACCTTCAGCAATTGGGGCCACTCTCTCATTAAGCATACAGTTCAGGAACTGGAACACGGTAAATATTCATGAAGAGAGAGGGGCAGTAACCAGTGTGTTCCCCATCCTGCTGTTCCTAGGATATCTTGAAAACCTCTAGTGTTCTATGGATTCCAAGGGACAGGTGGAAGTATATATGCCTAATATCCTAAACAAGGTCCTCAACCCCAGCCACTGTGTGCTTAAACTTAGGCAAGCCAAGACATTGTAAAGCCCGTTCTTCCTCTCTCTCTTAGGCTCTCCCTCATTCCAAACTGGAGAATGACCTTGGACTCCTGATTGCCAACAGTATGTTCAGGAAGCTATGTCACTGAGGCTAGAGCTAAGTTGGGATAGATGACTGCATGCCTCTGGGGTGCATTCAGCTGATGAAATGAGGCCTGTGAGCCAGGACAGATGCAAGAAATTATTGTTCCTCTAAGATGGATGAGACCTTGGCAATGATGGTGGAGACTGCTGGTTATACACCAAAATCCATCCTCCCCTTCTTCCATAATGATAGAGTTGTAGCTAGCCACGTGGCTGCTCAGCTAGGGACTATGCTTCCCAGCCCCCCTTGCAACTAAGTATGGTCATGGGACCAGGTTCTCAACAACAGAGTGAGCACATTATATGCCATTTCCAGGCCTGCCTCACAAAACCTTGGGAATGTGTTCTACTGTGCTCGCTTCCCATGAGTCCAAACTCAGATAGGCCTGGGCCCCAGCTGCAACCAAGCAGATAAGTGCAATGCCCTAGAGCAGTGGTTCTTCATCTTTAATGTGCATCAGAATCGCCTGGAGAAATTCTTAGCTCATGGATGGCTGGGCCCCAGCCCAAGAATCTCTGATTCAATATCTCTGTGGGTGAGAGCTAAGAATTTCCATTTCTAGTGTGCTCCAAGGTGATGCTGATGCTGTCGGTCCAGGGACCACACTTTGAGTAGCAAGTCCCTGAGTTACAACAGAGGGATGAGATGAAAATCACCTCCATCCCTGAATGACCACATGGAGCACAGCCTTTGTACACCCAGAATGTTCATCTTGGATTGATGTATCAGACTGTCTTTTTTAAAGCAACTGAGTTCTTGCTGGGTCTCTATGGTTCAGAGCTCAACTTTACACTAATGAATACAGCAGTCATCTAGCCCACTTGTTTAAATACAGAAGGGGATGCTGGGGTCCAGGAGGAAAAGGACCTGCCCAAGGCGGCAAACGAAAATGAGAACACCAAGCTCCAGCTCCCAAATGGGAGCCTGAGCCCCGTGTGTAGATGTGGGAGCACTACAGTCCCTTTTACTCGGTGTGAGAGGTAGAATAATACCCCCCATTCCCCGGCCAAATGTCCATATTCTAATCCCTGAATCCTGTGAATAGGTTAAATGATGTGGCACAGAGAAAATGAGATTGCAGACTGAATTTAGGTTGCCCATCAGCCGACTTTTTAAAATAGAGAGGTTATAAAGTTTGGCCCAATGTAATCATAAGGGTCCCTAAAGGTGGGAGAAGGAGGCAGAAGAACAGTCCATGTCAGAGTGACACAATGTTAGAAAGACTCAGTTGGCCACTGGAGGCTTTGCCAAGGAATGTAGCAGCCTCTAGAAGCCAGAGGTGTCAAGGAAACAGAGTCTTCCCTGGAGCCTCCTGCAGGGAACACAGCCCCACCAGCACCTTGATTTCAGCTCTGTGAGCCCTCACCAGACTTCTGATGTCAGAACTGTAAGAATATTAATTTGTGCTGTCTTAAACCACCAAATTTGTGGTAATTTGTTATGGCAGCTACAGAAAACTCCTGTGTGAGGAAACTGTTCCCTGTGTGAGGCAGGTCTGGCCCTTAGGCTGGGGGCCTTTTCTTCCTCCACCTCCCCCACAGCACCTGGCTCAGGGCTGGGTCCCAAGGGATGGGGGAGAGAGAGGACACACAATAAAGCATGTGGATAGGGACATAGGTCCTTTTCCCCAAAACCAAAGGGAAGGAATGTGCTTGTATCACTCTTTGGGATGCACCCTGATATGATCTGGCTCTGTGTCCCCACCCAAATCTCATCTTGAATGGTAATCTGAATTGTAATCTCCACGTGTTGGGGGAAGGAACTCATGGGAGGTGATTAGATCATGGAGGCAGTCTCCCCATGCTGTTCTCATGATAGTGAGTGAGTTCTCATGAGATCTGATGGTTTTATAAGGGGCTTTTCCCCGCTTTGCTCTGCACTTCTCTCTCCTGCAGCAATGTGAAGGAGGACATGTTTGCCATCCCCTTCTGCCATGATTGTAAGTTTCCTGAGGCCTCTCCAGCCCTGCAGAACTATGAGTTGATTAAACCTCTTTCTTTTATAAATTATCCAGTCTCAGGTATGTCCTTATAGCAGTGTGAGAATGGACCAATACACACCTTATCTCTTATAACTAAACCCTCACTCTGTCCAAGATTGAACTTAATTTAGGGCCCAGCCTGAGTCTTCACTCCAGTAAACATTTTGGAAAAATATGTTGACCCCTCAGGGGGAAGCTTAGGGTGTGGGTGGCACAAATTGGCCCTGCTCCCATAGTCCAGCTCATCAGGTCTTATCAAGGCCACTGGGGACTGGGGGAGAGGCAGAGGCTGCTGGTGACAGGGCAGGCTCCCAGGCAAGGGGGGAAGTGGGGAATGAGAGTCCTGGGGGAAAGAGGGGAAAGGGTGAGGATGGGTTCCAGGCTCCCACTGGAGGCCTCAGTCTTTGGAAATCTTCAGAAATGGCAGGCTGTGGGGGCAGCTTGTAAGCCCAGAAAGGGCATTTGTCCTCTGGGATGGAAGCATCACTTTTGACCAGGTCCTCTGTAGGTCTGGAGGACCTAAGAGGTGGTCTGAGGACACTGCTGAGTGAGGGGTTGTGCAGTTGAAGAAGCAAATGTCTACCAGTGTGAGGGACTGATTCAAAATCTTCCCTGGGCCTCCCAGCTACCCCGTTTCCCAAAAGGAGCCCGTCACCTCACTGGCACTCCTCTCACAGAGCTGCCCTGATCCCACAGTGAGCTGCAAGCCCTCCCCAGGTGCTTTTACCCAGGAAGGCCTCCCTGACTCCCAGCCTGCCTTGATCTCCATGCTCTGACCCCTTCAGCCCTGCCTTGCTGCATCTCCCTGCTCCCTGGGCCACACCCCTGTCTGTCCACTCTAACAGGAGCATCCTGAGAACAAAGCCCTGTTTCTTCCTGAAAATAGGCACTTACATTCAAGCTGGAAGACCTGGAGGTAAAGGACAGTGGCTGAGGATGCTGCTGCAGGTGGCATTTGCTGGTAAACTATAAAGGCAAGTTAGGGGCTCAGGAACCCAGAGCCAAGTGCAGGAGCAGAAATTAGGAATCCTGGGATGGAGACTCAGCCTTGACTCTGTCTCACTGTGCGACCTTAGGCAAGTGTTTTTACCTCACCTGCAGAGCCTTACTTTCCTTATCTATAAAATAAGAATATTCATTCATACAAGTTCAACCATGGGGATGATTTTTGGGGTGGGGCCTTAAAAATGTAAGGAATTCTGATTCAGCTTTCAAATTAGGAATAGACAGAGGGAGCGAAGCCTGCACACCTGGTTGGATTTCCCATCCATTCTGGGCTAGAATGAGGGAAATTATGCCAAATAAGGGAAATGTGAATTAAACCCAATAATCCTACACTAAAATAAAGTTCTGAGGCTTAAAGAGGCTGGAATGTTGTGGCCAAGAGGAGAGAACATTAGAAATGTGTGATCTATCCATCTGGCCAAACAGCTCTGGGGGGAAGAACTGCATGGAATGGCTCCTGAGAGCAGGCCAGGCATTGTTCAGATCGGAAAGAACCTAGCCTGTCAATCATTTACAATTTGGTGTGAATTCTGTGGCTGGTCTATCCCTCCCCAAGGACTAACCTACTAGCTGGAACCCTCCAGGCAAATGCAAGATTCCGTCTCCTAGTAAAAGACTCTTGAAACTACCACCTTAACTATGAAACTACCACTTTAACTGCTCTTTCAGCTTGACTCAAACACCTCTGGATTCCAGGATGCTGGAATAGTCCATCATGCCCTTCCAACCAGGGTAAGCAGAGAATGCCCCTATGCTGGTGAGGCAGTGAGTTCCCCACCCCCTGGGGAGTTCAAGCCTAGGAATAGCCTTCTGGAGCTTGCACTGACAACATGCAGGCTCCCTCACATTTTTGAAAGGCTGAGATTCTAAGATTCTGTGTGAGGGACAAACAGACAGGGACTGTAAAGCCCTATTCCCCTTTCCCCAAAGGTGGGTGTCCCACAGGCCCCCCTGGACTCCCTGAACCCTTTGTATGAGGTGACATTGTGGGAGAACACCAGGCTATAGGCCCAGCCCCTGAAGCTTACTCTCCAGGCCCTCTGGAAAAGGAACCGCTAAGCAGCCCCCACCCAGGTAGCTGGTCTACACAGCCTTCCCCAGCCCTGCCCAGTCACAAGCCTGAGAATGAGTCCAGGTGCAGAAGAAGGCTCAGCCTGGGTATGCCTCTGCCCCATGCCAAAACTCTCAAACTGCAGGTGGCACATTTTTCTTCCTTTGGAACCAGAAGGAACTGGCAGCTTCTCTACCATTCTGGCACTGTTCGGATGAGGATTCATGCCAGAAAGGGCTGGGGTAGAAGGAAGAAGATGAGAAGGGCAGGAAACTAGGAAGGAATTAACATTTAGAGAGCTTCTCCTCTGTGCTCAGAACTGTGGGGGCACTTTGCAAGCATTTGTTCATTCTTTCAATTACGAATTCATTCACAGATTACTTCTACAGACACATAGTGAACATCCACATGTTAGGCCTGGTCCTTTGAGGACCTGCCTTTGAGGAATCCACAGGATAACAAATGCTATGAAGTTTACTTCATTTATTTATTTTACAAAATCCGGGAGAGACATATTATTTTTCCCACATTACAGATGAAGAAAGGGAAGATCAGAGAGGTTAAGCAACTGGCCTAAAGTTACACCATTTTATGTGGCAAAGGTGAGAAGCAGAACTTGGTTTTCAATTCTGTTATTACCATCCCTTCCTACTGTGTGTCTGTCTTTATCTTTAAAATGGGAGTGCAGCTCCTTCTTTGCAAGGTGTTGATGAAGATTAGATACAGCACATGTTAACCACTGCATGACATGGGTACTCAATAAGCAGTTCATGATGCAGTGTCTCTTGTGGCTCCAAGCCCTCTATTCTCTCACTTCCTCACATGGTTTTTGGAGACATGTTGCTATAGAGCTGGACTTAGGAGTTGGGGAAGCAAGGAAGCAATTAAGGGCTTGAGAAAGCCTGGGTCCTGTGGGAGGCAGTATATTTATCAGTCTGCCTGATAATTGAGCACCAGCTGTGTATCCTCGGGATCTGAGAAGGAGATGGAAGACCCAGAAGATACAACCCCTACCTTGTGGGAATTCTCAGCATGGTAGGGGAGGCAAGATTGACAAATAAAAACAACATAGGAGAGAGGCCCGGCTGTGTGCTCACAGTATAAGTGCTATAGGGACCCAAAGTGGGCATGGACTATCAGGAAGCTTCCTGGAAAAGGGCAAATTTGAGCTGGGCCTCCACATGTTCTGAATATGTGAAGAGCAGGCAGCTGATAAGAGGCTCATAAGCAGGCCACTGGGTTCCCCGTTTTTAATTTTGAAATAAGTGTAGACTTCAAGAAGTTGCACAAATAGTACAAAGAGTCCTCAAGTACCCATCACCAATCTTCCCCTAGTGACATGTGGGAATGTGGGGATAGCTGCAGCACAATATTAAAACCAGGAGATTGACTTTGCATAATATGATTAACTAATCTATAGATCTTACTTTGCTGTTACCAGTTTTTTGCAGGCACTCTTTTTTGTATGTGTATATGTATAGTTCTAGAAGTTTATCACATCCATATTGCCACCACTACAATCAAGGCATAGAATGACTGATCACCACATAGGAGTTCCCTCTAGAGCACATTTTTTTGTTTGTTTGTTTTTTGAAACAGGGTCTTGCTCTGCTGCCCAGGCTGGAGTGCAGTAGCACAGTCACAACTTGCTTCAGCCTCAACCTTCTGGACTCAAGCGATCCTCCCACCTCAGCCTCCCAAGTAGCTGGGACTAGAGACTACCACCATGCCCAGTTAATGTTTGTATTTTTTGTAGAGACAGAGTTTTGCCATGTTTCCCAGGCTGGTCTCGAACTCTTGGGCTCAAGCAATCCACCTGCCTCGGCCTCTCAAAGTGCTGGAATTACAGGTGTGAGCCACCACCCCACATTGAATTTAAATTGCCCACATTATGCCCTGCACAGGCACTAAGGATGTGTGCCTGCTCATCACTCTAGGAAAGCCTACCTATCCCATCTTGCTCTGCACAAAGAGGCCTTTCCAGGGAAAGCAAGTTGGTGACTGAGTGTCCATGGAGAGATCTTCCTCGGTTGCCTGAAGCCCCCTGCACAAACCCTCTGTGAAGAGGCTCACCTTATCACGTTCCTGCAGAAGAAGAAACTGAAACCCTGAAGACCTGGTCCTCCCAAGGTGAGTCTTGAACAAGCTCCTTGAGGTTCAGCACCACGGACAGATCCAGGGCACAGGGGAAGACAAAGAGTGTTCATAAAGACAAGAGAGAGGGCTGGGTGCTTCTCTGGGTCACCTCATAGTCTGGAGATAGAGAAACCCTAAGTGAGCATATGACCCACTGCCCCCCTCCCCCAACAAACAAGGGCGCAGGGCAAGGAAGAGGGGTGCATTTCAGGAGAGAGATCCCTGCTTGCCTGACTCTTCCCCATTATTCAAAGCTTATCCTCAATCTCCTCTGTTCTGAGAATCTCTCCTTGACTTTCCCACCTTGCTGGCTCCCTTCTCTGAATTAATTTACCCCAAAAGCTGGCAGCACCATCCAAGACAGCCGGGAGCACATCATGTGCTTTTCTCTGCCTGCTCCCACATATGAAGCCGCACCCCCAGCCAGAATGTGAAGGCCTGGAGGAAAGACCAACTTGTCCTTCACTTCTCTCTTCCATTTTCTCCCTTTTTTCTTCCCACCCAATGTAGCTCCACACAGGGTTAGGAACTCAGGGTCTTTCTGGGGGACTTGTTAGCCAAGGGGTGGCTCTGTCCTTATTTGATTCACCTTCCAGAATCCCACCTTGGACATCTTTTCTGCCTGGCACTATTGGGGCAGGGAGCAGAGGGAGCATATTCAAACCTCAGTTTGCCTTCCAGAACTTCTCAGCCAAGCTTCCTTCCCCTTTTCCCATAAACTGTAAGGCCCTTGCCCCTTGGGAATCCTCATTCACGGTATTTTTCCTGGAATTATCTGTGCATCCTGGAGTTAGCCTCACCAAGCCTGGAGAACACCATCCCCGGCCACCTCCCCACTGGCAGCATTATCATGGGTGCCGTGCTGCACCACCCATATGCCCCCTTCAGAACTAAAGGGCTTACTCTCCCAGCTGCCAGGAAAACGATTTTTTGACGCTTCTCATTTCTCAGCCCCTCTGGGAATTGTCTCAGCTGAAGAAAGCATCCATGCCTAAGGTAACACCCCCTTCCCAGGGCAGTCCACATCCAATGACAGGGTATTAGGGCCCAGCTCCCTCACCCCACTCTGAAGGGTCCTCCCAACCTCAGAGTTCCTATGGAATCATTGGAGGCTCTCATGGGAACTGCATTGCTGCCCAACTTCTCCCTCTGCCCAATCCTGCTTCCTCCCCTCCCCTACAGGCATTGGTCCTGAGACCCCTTCCTGATGCTTTCTGCATACTAGTTTTCTCAGAGTATGCTTCCAGGGGAACCCAACCTCTGACATCTCTAAAGTCTTGGCCCTGTGGGATGAGGGTTCTACTAGCCACCAGGCTGGCTACTCAGATGAGGCCCAACAAGGCTGAGTGGAGCAGCCCTGTTTATTAATTTCCCACAACTCTTCAGAAAGACTCTGTTCACTCCACATTCTATGACAGTCTTCAGCCTTGCTCTTAGAAGCAGCCCTGCCACCCCGAGGTCCTCTGGGTCTTCTGGCATAGTGAAACAAACTCTGAAGGCAGGCAGATCAGCCTCCAGTGCCTCCAGGTACTAGGTAGGTACCCTTGGGCAAGTTCCCTCATCTCCCCGAGCCACTGTTCCCAGATCTGGAAGCAGAAATGATAATGAAATGATAATGAAGACATCATAGAAGTCATACAACACAAGTAAAAATGTTTACAAAGCACAGTTCCTGACATATAAATATGTGCTCAACAAATATAAATTCCCTTCCCTTCTTTTGAGTCTGAGGGCATTTTGTAACAAATTGCCAATTAATATTTTTAATATTGAAATATGACATTTTAATAGTATTGAGTATCACAAGTGTAATATAAATCTATAGAAAACGTTGCAAATTTTTCATGTGATGGATCAGGGAGGCAGGAAGGTGGTCATTCAACTGAATTCTCCCTGTATACTGGTCTTCTTCTTCACATCATTGGAAAATTCTTGGCATCTAAAGAGGATTCCTCACAGTGTAAAGACTATCAGGTGTTTTCTTTGTATCCTAAAGGGAAATGGAGCCCAAGCAGGCCACCTCTATACCTGGCTGGAGCAGAGAATGTGTCCCCATAAGAAAGCAGAATCAGCCCTTCTTCCTAAGCAATAGGTAAATGGATTGGAGAGGAGGTGGTACCTTAAATTATGGCTGCTTTGGCCACACAACTGGGTGCTAGCATCTGGAAGAGAGGATGTGAGAAGACAATCAGCCTGTTAAGAGAGTTTTATGAAAGTATAAGTTGTCCCTAAAATAACAACGCTAAGTATCCAACTCTGACAATGATCTCTTCCCAAAATGCAATGATCATCCACTCCCTGAAGCATCTTCCTGCTCCCTCAGACTTACTTCCCCCAAATCCTTCTTCCCCTCTCCCCAGGCAAGCTGGAGAAGCCCTGACCACCCCAGAACAGGTGCTGCTCCCTCACTGTGGCATCTGTGGCCTGGGTGTGTAGAGTGGGAGCTGGAGGGGGCTTGGGGAGCCCAGGGAGGGAAGCCACACCCCGGGCACACATTTTACTCCAGCTGGGCCTTTTCTGACAACCTTGGACCAGCACACAGCTACACCCACACACAAGCACTGGGCTCAGAGAGTGCTGAATTCAGCCCCAATTAAAGGGCCATCTCAGGGCAGGCTGCCGGCACCAGCAGCTGCTATTTTGGGACTCAGTGAAGGCAGTATCTTCTCTGTTGCTCTCTCCTCCATCTCGGTTTTATTTTTCTCCTCTCTCTCCCTTCTCCATTTCCGTTCTCTCTCTTGGATTTTCTACCTGAGTATGCATTTCTTTTCACCTCTCAGCTCCTCTGTCTCTCCAGCTGCCCCCATCTCTGTGGCTGGATGTCACTCTAGATCTCTCTTATCAAATCAACTTGACACATACTTATTCCCCGCTCCACTGTACCAGACCCTGGCTGGGCTCTGGAGAAGAAGCGATCTGCAGGTCCCTGACTTTGAAGAGCCCTGAAGTGTGGTCTGCCTTTCTCTGCTTCTCTCTGCCCATTTCTGCATCTTGACCTGCCCTGCTCACCCTGCCCAGGAACCCAAGGATTGCTTCTAAAGTCCAAAGAGAGGATTCACGTTCCAGCCGTCCTATCTGCTGGTCCACTTGCAGTTTCTGTACCCCCGGGTTCTGTGCCCCAGGTTCCCAGTCCTGGCTTTAGAGGCTGGGGACTTCTCTCTTCCTCCTCCAGGCTTCCAGTTTCAGCAGGAAAAGAAGGGCTGGCATTTCCAGGGTGAATCTGTGGCAGCAACGGCTCTAGAATGTCCCAGAGGCCCACGGCCAGGCCTCCCCACCATCCTGGCCCCAAGGAGACCTGGCCCTGTGCCTGCAGCGTAGAACCATTTGGTCTCCCTTGTATGGTGATTTTCACTGTAATTTGGTCTCCAGGTCTGTCTCTTGAGATTGGCCATAAGCCAAGATAGCTACTCTCCAGGAGAGCCCTGAAGGGGGGAAAGTTAGGTTTGGGTGTGTGAGACACAAAGAAGAAATGAAAGTAAAATGCAGAAGGACAAGAAATTTATTACTCTGAGGTCCCACATAGGTTAGGGGTGTCAATGGTGTCCAAAGGAAGTCCAAAAGTGACAGGGAGTTCAACTTGGGGCAGGGGGAAGAGAGAGAAAGAGGGGACCTGTGGGACTTTGCCTTTCTTAAAGCCTTAGCGTTATCATTTGGGCTTTCCCACAGGGGTTGTTGATTGGCTGGTTCAGAGAAAAGATACTTGAAGGGGGGACTCATTTACATGACTCTGGTGTTGACCATTAGGTTTCATCATGGTCAGAAGCTGTGGGATCAGCGGTATTGGGTCAGTGGGATGAGGAACAAGCAGGCTATATTGCAAACAACTACATGGGGAAGGGAAGTGTTTTGGGCTTTAAATAATTTATATTAAACCTTAAAATGGATGCTGAGACATCAACTACATTAAAACAAATTTATGACACTGGGTCAGACCAGCAGGCCGTGCTCCTTGTCAGTCGAGAGATTCAGGATTCATAGACCAAAGCCTCTTCTCTGTCTTCTCCTTCTCATTCCAGAGGAGCCCACTCCACTATCTCCTGCCCCAGCCCCTGCAGCCCTGGTACACTATCCTGTACTCATGGGACCAAGCTCTCCCACCATGGTACCTGCTGGCTGGGTTTAACCTGACTGTGCTCTTTGACACTGAGTGTGGAGTAGGGGCTGATAATAGGACCTGCCTGCAAACTCTCCGAGGTCCTTCCCCTCAATGGATTCCCTTCTTAGGTTTCCCCCTGTACTGGAAATAGGGGGTACATGGTAACGTCTTATGGGTATTATTGAATTAATAAATTTAAAAACTTAGCCAGACACATGAGTATTTTCAGATGTATTGTCTTATTCAATTCATAGACCAGTCTTATTAATCTCATTTTAGAGTTGCAAGAACAGAAGCCCAAAGAGGTTACCCAAAGTCAAATCACCAGGGCTAGGGTAGGAAGCCAGGCCCCCTGATGCCCCAGTCAGGGCTTGCTCTGAAACACAGCTCTTGCCTGTAAATAAAAGAAGGGGAAAAAAACACTTCTACACAGCACAGTTCTTCCTCAGAGAGTTCTTCATCTGAGATCCCAGGGCCTCAATGTCCTTAGCAGCTGCTTGAGAGATAGAACCAACTCTTCAGGAGAGACAGTACAAGGCACCCGCACACTGAGCCAGACTCAACCTGGCTGGGACCTCGGCAGAGCAGAGAAGCCCTGGCTCTGGGCCAGTTGGGCACAGCTGGTAACAAGTTCTCAGTCAATGGGAGCCCAGGGGCGAGAGGAAGCTTTAGGGAGGAAGGAATGTTCTTTGAAGTGGTGTCAACCAGAGGCTCAGAGGTGAAAACGTCAAAAACTCCCAGGTGGCCGGCAGGACTGAGACCCCCATCTCCCAGCAGGAAACAGGAGGCTGGCTTGGCGGGGCCACCTTTGAAGCTCCCCAGGGGACGGACATGCCACTCAGGGCCTCCCTGGTGAACAATCATGCCCCTAAGGCCTATGGCAGAAGCGGCCTCTGAAGCCGGCTTTGGGGCTGGGGAAAGTACTGCCTGTCTTTGGTGGCTTTTTCAAGCTCGCCCTGCTCTTTTTCAGCAGTACCACATCAGGGTGTGCCAGACGAAGAGGAAGGAGGTGGTGGAGCCCAGGTGTGCCAGGCTGCCCTGGCCCAGAGTTGCCGTGCGGAGTCAAGGACCCCAAGCCTGTTGGGACCTTGACCTCTAGGGACCCCTGGCTCTAGGCTGGCCTGCCCCATATCTCCCTGACTTCTAACCAGTAGACTCCCAGAGCCAGCCATTAGACTCCAGGGGACCCCCAAACCCCGAACCCTGGGCCTTGAGTGCCATATCCTGCAGGTCACCAAGGCCTGAAGAGTTGGAATCCCTTCTCTAATCCACTCTCTCTTCTTCATTTCCAGCACCTCTGCTGGATTCTGGCCTTCCTCATCTCCCCTGGACTGTTGTTGCCCACGATCTGGCTTCTGTTCTGCCCTAGCCACCCAGAGCCGGCTCTGACATGCAGATCAGGCCCTGCAGTCTCACATTCTTGCTTCTGCTCATCCTTCACCCGACACCCAGGGCTCCATGACTTGGCTCCTATCCACCTCTCCAGCTTCCTCCCACCTCTGCCTCCAAGGTGCCCTCCTGAGCTCAGCTGCAGGCAGCCACGGCCGCTCCTCAGACATGTCCACCTGTTCTCACCATTGTACCTGTGCCATGCTGTCCCCAGCTACGACAGAATCCTCCCACTCTAGCCTACAGGCACTGGTCTATCTTAACTTTTTACTCAACTTCTAGACTTCATTCCAGCTTCACCTTCTCAGAAAGCCTTTCCTGGAGGCTGGGCTGGGCCTGTGCCTCCCTTGGGCTGTCTCTGTGCCCTATGTGCCTGATCTCACTACTTGCCATGCTGGACTGTCACTGCTGGCAGGTGTGTCTCCTACAGGAAACTGGGCTTCACGGAGGGCAGGGGTCATTTCCAAGTCACCCATGTGGCTCCACAACCCAGCATGTAGGGTGATAAATAGACAACCCTGTACCAGTTCCCACCATCTGGTTGAGGCAGACATACACACACATGCACACACACACACACACACACACACACAAACTACTGAGCTCTCACAGGATTGGGTAGTGTAAGCTCAACTGAGGGCAGAGTCAGCAAGGAGGGTTCCCTTGAGAAGGCAGGATTTGAGCTGGGTTCCTTTGAGCTAGGTTCCAGAGGCATGCTCTGCACCTATCTGGGGATGTGAGTGCAGACACCCGAGCCAAAGCTGGGTGGCCAACGACTGGTGGATTGCATTGCATTGATGGCCCAGTGCTTCCTGCTCCCTGTGTCCTGGCCCTCTGCGGTGTGCTTTTGTATTGTCCTCCCACTATGAACAGAGGTTACGTCACTACCTCACCCTTGAGTTGACCCAGCCATGTGACTTCTTTTGGCCAATGGGATACTAGCAGACATGCTGCAAACGGAAGTTTGAAATGAGCTTTCACATTGGAGCCTGCCGTCTTGTGTCTGTGCTTTTGGCTAGCTTAGGTCAGCCAATAGCCAGCTGACCTCCAGAGTGAGTGACCCCATCTGAGAACTGAAGAATCACCCAGCAGAACCCAGACTAAATTTCTGACCCACAGGATAATAAGTTAAATGAATATTATGTTAAGCCACTGAATTTTGGGGACTTTGTTATACAACAACAGTGACTGAGGCCAAGGTGACCAGCCTTTTGAAGGGCAGGCTCATCCACAATGGTTCCCACGATGGGCTGGCCATCTGAACAGGACCATCACTCCTTCAGCATTTCCACTGCCCCCTCTGCCTCAGCCACCTTGGGCTCTACGAGACCTCACACATGTCCTGTGTCTTTACACAACCTGTTCCTTCCTCCTGGAAGACCCATCCTCATCTTGTCCTCTGAATCCTGTTCACTCTTTAAGACCAGCTCATACCCTGAAACCTTTGTAGGTTCACAGCCTCTCTGCCACCATCAATCTTTTGGGAATGAAGTAAGGTATAAGTGAGTAAAATCCCTCCCCTTCTGTCTCCTGTCTTCCTGTATCCCCCTTTGCTCTGCTGGTAGCTTTATTGCAGCACATCCCCTTTCATAGTTACCAACCCATGCCGTGGCTCCTGAACACTAAGTAGGGAGGAAGGCCCAACTGAGAGAGTGGCTCTCACGTAATCCTGGGTCTCCCCAAGCCTCAGCACTAGCCGGGTACCCAAAAGTATCCTGGGAGGGGGCAATGAATAAAGATGAACAAACTTTCCATCTACTGATTTTAGAACAATGAGACATGGTACTATGTAAAAAACCCACATTGAAATTCAAAGACCTGTTTTCAGTCCCTACCTTGCCCTGCAACATTTGCCAGGGGCTTGCCCCCCTCCGAGCCTCAGTTTCCCATCTGTATAATGAGGGGCTGTGCTGACTCATTTCCCACCCCCCCCGCCCCCCCCACCCCCGTCAGGGCTGAGCATCTGTGGAGTGTGCTCAGGTATCCGGTCCTCCGGTTGCCAGCTCTGGCCTGGTTCCTCACTGGCCTGGGTTGTGTGACAAAGCTTCCCACCTGCCAGCAGCCTGGCCAGTCCTTTGGATAGTGGTGGCTAATGAGCTGGCCTGGGTTCTTTTGACTGCCAGCATCTTCCACTTTCTGAACCTGCCAGTGGGATAAGGAGGCCTTGGTGTTGGGAGACATCTCTTCTGAAAGCTCTGCTGGTCAAGGCTGGGTCCCTGCCTGTCTGATTGGGGAGGCCTGGCCAGTCTTCAGGAAATTCACACACACACACACACACACACACACACACACACACATCATCCAAGGCTCTCTCCTGGAAGCTTCTGATGGGCTCCTAGGAAGGAATGCTGACTGGCTGTGTCTTCCTCCCTTGGCATCCCCTAGAGTCAGGTAAGAAGAGGACAGAGAAAGGGAAAATGGGCCAGTGCAAAATTAACCACACAGAGAAAGACTTTTCCACTCCAGCTCACTGAAAACCAGGATGAAAGATCTCAGAAGCTGGAATCCAGCCAGGTTCACACCTAGGGAGCAAAGCTTCCTGGGGTACAGTGCAGGAAGGGAGGCTAGATCTGAACTAGAGCTTCTCCTCCAGCCAGTATTATCACTGCTTACTCAAGGAGGTGGGAAAGCTCCAAAGATGCTCACCTCATGCATCTCCCTGGCATACCAGGAAGAAGCCTGGGGCAGAAGTCCATGGTGTCTCTGTGGCCCTAGGGTAGGGCTCTACTGCAGCCCTAGGGTAGAGAGCTAGGCCACTGGGGCTTCCAGATTGCACCCATCACAGACAGTGAGCGGCTGACGCGATGCCTCTCTGGCTCTACCTCCTCCCTCGTCTACCCCTCTTTCCAGCAGATAAACTTGAAGGAAGCAGGGAGAGGCTGTTTGTGGATGCAGAGTGGCTGCTCACTCACTGCTCTGTTCTCACACTATCTCCTCGAACCCCACCCCTGTGAATGCTAGAGGCAAAGACTAAGAGGCTGAAAGTCCGGAGCCTTGGCTTCTAGTCTGGGTGTTTTCCCTTGATATCTTTGTGACCTTGGAAGGTACAGTGCTTCTTTTGGACCCCTGGATATTTCTTCTGCAGGTAAGAGGTAATAACTCCCACTGTCAAATGGCCGCAGGATGGAAACCTTCTGAAACCATCAAGTTCTTTATACAGATGTTTTCATTATTGAGTCCAGAGAGGTGGTCCCCAATGTGCTTGAGGCCTCACTGTCCCCTCTTTGCTGGCCTCTTTGCAGCCTAGGCTTTGAGAAACATGGCCAGGACCTGGCCTCTCCTCCCCGCCTCATGTTCCCCGGCCAGCTGCCCCAGTGGTCCCTGCACAGGTTCAGCACCTGCTCTGAGCCCATCCTGGAGCAGGGCTGTCAGGGGAGGGACCTTCCCTCCAGCTCTCTTCCTGGGTACAGAACCACCCAGAGAAGAGCGACAGGCTAGAGCAGGACAGAGTGTGAGCAGGAGCTGTTGTGTGGAGAGTAGATGCTCAGAGAAGGGAGAGGGTGGCACAGAGGAGTAAAGTTCCTCTCCAATCTGTCTCCAAATGCTTGTATCTTCTACAGTCTATACTACCCATGGATTTCAGGTGGAGAGAAAGACATCTTTCTGACAGTGAGAGTTGCCTGGGAGTGGTGGAAGGAAGCATCCTGTCGATGAGGCTTTTTTGCTGAGTGTGTGGGGGCTTGTGCACACAGAAATACTATTTATAGCTACCTTTTAAAATTTAATAGGCAATTTATTAAGGATACACATATAAAAACATAGCTTTTTAGAAGGATTAAGCTCCACTTACCAATCTTATTGTTCTATGCATAAATGCAATAAAATAAGAACAAGACCTTCACTTTTTCTTCAATTAAAGTTTGATTAACTCAGGTTGAAAAAACTACTCCTTTAAACAATCAGTGCCTTTTACAACTCAATTAAATTTGCTTAAACAATTTCAGCTACATTTAAACATTTAATATATTTGATTTTCCTACGTAACTTAAATATCTAATGGAATAAGCAAAATCTTTTTATCACGTACTTGAAAATCCATTGTAAATACAATAAATTAAATTTATAAAAATACTGCCTGGGTGTGGTGGCTCATGCCTGTAATCCCAGCATTTTGGGAGGCCAAGGTGGGCAGATCACTTGAGGTCAGGAGTTCAAGAACAACCTGGTCAACATGGTGAAACTCCATCTCTACTAAAAATACAAAAATTAGCCAGGCATGGTGGTGGATGCCTGTAATCCCCGCTACTCGGGAGGCTGAGGCAGGAGAATCACTTGAACCTGGGAGGCAGAGGCTGCAGTGAGCTGAGATCATACCACTGTACTCCCGCCTAGGCAACAGAGTGAGTGAGATTCCGTCTCAAAAAAAAAAAAAAAAAGAAAGAAAGAAAATAAATAAATAAATAAATTTATAAATAGAATAACTTTTACATTCTCTTAAATATTGCAATACTGTTTCCAAAATTTGTTACATTCTCCCATACCTTTCAACTAAAAATTACATGTCTACAGGCTTCTGATTACAGCTAAGATGGAGTAAGCAAATTTCATCCTCTCTCTCCCACTGCTTACAAATAAAATCCCTGGAATGAATGCATGCAACACTGTTTAAGAATACTGAAAAAAAAATAATAGCAGGTGGATTTGCAGGAAATAAATGCTCAAAGAATGATCAATATGACCGTGAGTTTTCTGGTATTTTCCCTCCAATATCTCCTGACTTGGATGCTAGAGGGCCCAAATGCCACTGCACAGTGGGCACAAACAAAAAAGCTCCAAGAGGAACTCTTCCTTCTAGCCACAGGACTGGGAACAGGGACCCTGCAGGTCAGAGAGTGACCCCAATTGTTCTCTCTTTTACTCTCCTGGGTATGTCCCAAGGAAAGCCCCAATCATGAAACTATACTCCTGTAATGTTGGTAGTGCAGGATCTAAAACCATGAGGAAAATCCTTCTCTCTGGTCAGAGGAATTGGGAAAGGGAACCCCTATGAAGGTGTGGGGGAAATTCTGTTGATTTTTCTTTCTTTCTTTGTCTTTTTGCTTCACCCAGGAGGTGGACCCCAGGCAGGGGAAATATGCAACAGTTAGGGGAGGGTAAAACTCCAGCGTTGCAGCACAAAGACCCGGAAAAGGGCCTCTGGGCGCCAGAGAGTGTAAGGGAAATCGCGGTGTGCTAAAGAAAAGACTTCCTTAAATCCGTGGGTGAAGTCCTGGACTCTTCCTTGAGCAGGGCATGTGTAGAACTGATCCAAAGCAGGTCAGGACTTGTGGTCTGAACTAGATAGGGTTGATCATATAATATTCAAAATGCCCCAAATTACTCCATACACAAAGAACCAGGAAAATCTCAATTACTTTCAAAGGAAAAGATAATTAACTGATGCCGGCCCTGAGATAATCCAGATGATGGAGTTATCACACAAAAACTTTAAAGCAGATATTATCACTATAGTTCATAAAGTAAGAAAAAATGATCTTGAAATGAATGGAAGGATAGAAGCTGTCAAAAAAGAACCTGAAAATCATTTTAAAAAGAACAAAATGGACATTTTGTTGCTAGAAAATACAATAACTGAAATTTTAAAAATCACCTCAGGGCTTCAATTGCAAAACAAAGATGACAGAAAAAAGAATCAATAAACTTGAAAATAAATCAATAGAAATTATCTAATCTGAACAACATAGAAAAAAAGATTGAAAAGAAAGAATAGAGTTTCAGGGACTTGTGAGACAATATCAAAATGTCTAATATTCATGTCATTGGAGTTCAATAGAAAGAGAAGAAAAGGCTTGCTTGGTGCAGAAAAAAAACTTGAAGAAATCATGGCTGAAAACGTCCCAAATTTGGTAAAAAGACATAAATGTATTGATTCATGGATCTCAGTATATTCAGAAACCCCCAAAACAATAAATTCAAAGACAACCTCACCCAAAGACATCTTAAACAGCTGAAAACCAAGGATAAAGAAAAAAGTTAAAAGCAGCCAGAGGAAAGCAATACAATACATATAGAGGAAGAACAATTAAATTGCCTACAGATTTGTCATCAGAAACCATCAAAGCCAGAAGACAATGGAAAAAATTCTCTAAAATGCTGGAAGAGCTGTCAACCCAGAATTCCATACCCAGTTAAAAAACAAAACAAAACAAACAAACAAACAAAAACCCAAAACCTTTTTAAAAGGCAAAGTAAAGATATTTTTATATGAAGAAAAACTAAGAAAATTTATTGCTGGCATGCCAGCTGCAAAAGAAACGCTACAGGAAATTCTTCAGGAGAAAGACAAATGATACCAATATTTGGGAGATTTTTCCAGATGTCTTTCTCTTACTCATTTTGAGTTGCTCCTGTAGCCACTGCTGCTGCTACTCTCTTGAAGAAGGCCACACTCCCACTCAAAACTTGGAACTTAAGGAGTAAAGGAAGATGACAAAATTATAAAACTAGGTAAATATAATAAATTATTTTCTCCTTAAGTACTTTAAAATATGTACTATAGAAAGAGAAGAAAAGGCTTGCTTGGTGCGGAAAAAAAACTGGAAGAAATCATGGCTGAAAACGTCCCAAATTTGGTAAAAAGACGTAAATGTATTGATTCATGGATCTCAGTATATTCAGAAATCCCCAAAACAATAAATTCAAAGACAACCTCACCCAAAGACATCTTAAACAGCTGAAAACTGTTTAAGCTGAAAGCAAAAGTTATAACATTGTATAATGAGGTTTTCAATGTCTATAGATGTATATAACGAGTACAGCATGAAGGAGGGAAAAGGACCTATATGGCTGCAAGGTTTCTATATTTCACTTGAAGCGGTAAAATAGTAACTCTAGATAGACCATGAAGAATTAGGTATTTGTATTATAATCCCTAGAATAACCACTTAAAAAATACAAAAAGATATAGTAAAAAAGGCAACAGAGAAAGAAAAATGGAATGCTAAAACAATATTCAAATAATCCAAAGGAAGACAGAAAAGGGGAAACAAAGAAATAAAAGATTTGGGACAAACCAAAACCAAACAATAAAATGGTAGACCTAAATCCAACCATATCAACGAATGTATTAAGTATAAATGGTTTAAACATATCAATTAAAAGACAGAGATAGTCAGATTAGATTTTTTTAAAATAAGACCAACTCTATGCTATATATAAGAAACTCACATTAAATATGATATAGATAGGTTAAAAATTAAATGATTTTTAAAACTACCATGAAACTTTTTTTAGAAAGCTGGAATGGCTATATTAATTTAAAGCAAACTAGACTTCTAAAGAAGGAAATTTATCAGAGATTAAGAGGAATATTACACAATGAAAAAAGGATTAATTCATCTAGAAGTTGTCACAATCCTCAATGTATATGTATCCAACAATAGAGCTTCAAAACACATGAAGCAAAAAATTGAGAGAAGTAAAAGTAGAAATAAACAAACCCAGTTATACTTGGAGACTTTAACAAAACTCATCTTTCACTAACTGATGGAAAAGTAGACAGAAAATCAGTGAGGACGTAGAAGACCTGAACAACACTACCAATGAACTTGATCTAATTGATATTTGTAGAACACTCCACCCCCAACAGCAGAATGCACATTCTTTTCAAGTTGCTCCAATATAGACCATATTCTATAGGTCATAAAACAAACCTTAACAAACTTAAAAGAATTGAAATCATACAGAGTATGTTCTCTGATTGTAATGAAGTCAAATGAAATGAACGAAAGAGAGATATCTGGAAAATCTCTCAAATACTGGAAATTAAGCCACACATAAAAAATTCATGGGCTAAAGAAAGGTGAGGTTGAGGAGCTGGGATGCTAGCCTGGGAAGTTTGCCCATGCTCTTAACCAGTAGGCCACATGGCCTCTCAAGGTTTTTCGGAGCCTTGAATGCCCAGCTAAGGACTTTGAAATTTGCACTTATTCAATGGATAAGCATTTAAGGATTTTCACGTATAAGACAAAGCACTATTTGCAAACAGATGGAGTTGGGTATAGCTTGTGAAGGGGCAGGAGAAGGGGCAAGACAAATCTGTTCTGCCCCACCAGGGAGGCAAAGTGAAATTAAAGATTTGGATTTTTCAAGATTTTTTAAAGAAGACATTTTTGAAACAGAGCCCATCCCTCCTTTTTCACAGAGGTTATTTCCATAGTCCTTTTGGGTTGTACATATGTTACATGAGCTGGCAGCTCTAGAGGGAGGAGCCTATCTCTACCATCAGACAGGGGCTTTCAGACAAAGGCCATGTAACCCTGCAATAATGGGGGTTTCCCAAGAGATAATTAGCTTGTGGCTCTAGACAAGTTGCTTAACCTCCCTATGCCTCAGTTTCTCATCTGTATGATGGGGATGATATCAGTTCCTACTGACTGTTCCCTGGCCTTGGGCTAAGCTGCCTGGGAAAAAGGCTAGAAAGGAGTTTGAACTCCTGGCTTCTGGTAGCTGCAGTGGGACCCTAGCTGGAAGGTAGGTGGGAAGGTGTCTCTCTAGTTTGCAGTAAGGCTTGGAGGAAGGTCTCAGCATGACAAGAAGTGGGACTCCTACCTCCAGGGACCCCAAGTCGGAGCAGGGTAGGGCATATTAAATATCCTCTGCAGAGACTTTGATCAACAGCCATGACAGGGAGGGTTTCTGTTCTCTTTGAAGCAGCAAAAAGATCAATCCTCCTTCTTATCTCAGCCTCTTTGCACAGTGGCATCACGTGCTCCTGCAACCACTGAGGCTGCTACTCTCTCAAAGACGGGAACAGAGGAGGCAAAGCCCAACCCAGCCCTGTCTCCTCCCCGCCGTCTCCCTGCCTCCCTGTACCCCTCCATCCCAGGGATAAACAGAATCTGCCACTTTCTAGCCTTCATTTGGCCCAGCCCCGGAAGGAAAGAGGAGGAAAACAAAAGAATACCTATGCACCAGGAAATAAGACCTTCCAGGGCTCCTTCATCAAACTAGCTAACCTGGGCACTCCTCTTTTCCTCAAAATCTGGCTTTTAAAACATCGCCTTTTGCTGCCATCTAAAGATAACCAGGATAGGAGGCAGGAGACTGGATTCTAGTTACAGGTATTCCTTTGATTTGCTGTGTGACTTTAAGTAAGCTGCTGCCCCTCTCTGGAGCTTAATTTCTCACCTACGAAGCAAAGTTGCTGCATATGTTTTTCAGGACTCAATTTAAAACTCTGTAGTCAAGACCAGGCTGTGGCCAGGGCCAGATTTCCATGTGTGTTCAGGTTGTAGAATTGTCTTTCTCAGATCCTCTCACAAAGGAATTGCCCCCATAACCTTGACCTCACTGACTCCTTCCTATCTTGGCCAAATGTTTTTCTACACAATCTATTAGTGGAAAGAGCTGCTTGGCTAGTGGAGCAGCATCCTGAGTCTGCAGGCTCTGCCCATGAGGGGCAGGAACAATTCCCATCAGTGCTGCCTCCAGCTTGGTCAAGGACTGAAGACAGCAGAGGAGAGGGTTTGCAGGGTCACTCTGCCTTTGAAAGGCTGGGAGAAGAAGAGAATAGGGCACGGGGCAGGATAGGGAGGAGTTGAGGTGGGAATAAGGGGTCGTGGGAGAAATGTCCTGGACCTCCTGCCTCTGGGTGTTGTGTGTTTATGACCATACCAGCCTGGTGAGTTTGGGTAGGGGTCAGGGGTTTACCCCATGCGAGTATAGCGCCTCCCCATTTCATTGGGTGAATGAAAGTTTCAGACCCAGAGGAAGTAAGATCCTCCACCTGTCTCCTGCCCCCTAGAGGAGGTCCCAAAGACAAAGGGCAAAGGCCGCAAGAGTCCTGCTCCTCCAAGCCAACCCAGTGAGCTGATGCTGCTTCCGGGCATCAGGCTTTGGAGAGCTCAGTAATAAGCTTCCTGTATCTGGTCTCCAGGATACTGACAGGTCTACTTTCTGGCCAGATCCAGGCCCCAGTCAGAGTCTCCCAGGGTGTAGAGGATGGAATAGCTCCAGAAAAGGGAAAAAATGAGGAATGAAGTGAGAAAGAAGTAATTCCAGTCTCCCTGCTTCTGCCCAACACTGGAACGCACCAGGCCAGATCTGAACCTCTTCTCTGCCTCTAGGACTGAGGGTGTCAGTGTAGATCTCCATCCTCCTGCTTTTCCTCCCCCAGCCCCAGCTTCGTCTGTCTCTTCCATCACTCCAGGCCCCTGGGGTCTCCTGCTCTGCCCTCATGAACCCTGACCCCTAATAAGTCCCCAGGGTCAGCCCTTTGCCCACTGCCCAGCCCCCTCGGTGGCCCCCAGCTTGGGATCTCTCCAGGGAGAAGGGAATCATCTGTGAATTGCTGCCATGACTGGCAAGGCCCAGGGGTGCCATTCCTGGCATGCTGCCCAGGCATTTGGACCTACAGGGTAGGTGTATTTGTGTGTGTGCACAAATGTTCACACTTCAGAGAGCAAGTTTTCCATAGAAGTGAGGTGCCCAGATTGATTTCATGCTGTTTTGGGGGAAACGTGTAAGTGTGGGCATGTTGCAGCATGATATAGATGTGTTTGTATGCACATTACGCGGGGCTATTTGTGTTTCTGTGGATCTGAATATGTTGGAAAGTGAATATTGAAGCATGTGGTCCTACATTTTGTGGGGGCTTGTGTACTCCTGAATTTCAGGGGTTTCGTGTATAGTTTGCAGAGTGATATGTGTGCCCATGGGCAATGTGTGCTAGGTACCTGTGAGCTCTTGAGTATCTTTGCCACTTTCCCTTTGCCTGGAGGAACTTCTTGCTGGCTCCTGCCTCCCTGCCTCCTCTACATTGGAGGGAGAGCTGGGCCCTTGGCCAAATAGCCCATCTGAGGTCAAGAGTCAGCAGCAAACTTAGTGCCCCTGTGGTCCTTGCTGTCTGACCCATGTAGCAACCGCAGGCAAGTGGGGGTGGGGGATGCTGATTGCAGCTGGAGAATCCCAGGAGCAAGCATCTTGAGGAGTTCAAGGTCAGCCTTCTTGTGCTCTGAAACAAATGATAACACAAAAAACTGCTGTTTACTGAATGCTTGAGTATACTAGATACTAGATACTGTGAAAAGCACTTTGCAGACATTATTTAAACCACACAATAATTTTACAAAGCACCCCCTTTTACAGATAAGGAAAATGAGTCTGGGAAACTAAATGACTTAACCTGGGTCAAATAACAAGTAAGTTATAAGACTAGGATCTGAACCCAAGTCTGTTTGACTCTAAAACTCATGATTCTCTCTCCCTATTCTGGTCTACAGATTATGCTAGAAAGAGGGGAGAGTGGAGGAGCTCCTCTTCTCCAAAACCCACACTTACCAAACAGATCTGTTTGGCTTGTTAGAGGTGAGCCTTCATTTCACAGAAGGACCTCAACTTTATACCCATAGATTTAAGATCTGGAACTCCCTGATGGAGAGAATGGAAAGGAGAGGTGGGCGGAGGAAAATAACCAGAGAAGGCCTCCTGGAGCTGTTGGAGAGAAACATCGCAAGCTTTGGTGGGGGAGGGAGTTGGATTTACAGACCTTGGTCTGCCCCTGGTGTCCTGGAGCCTAGTTGCTTGGTGTGTGAGGTTCCCATGGCTCACTCCTGTGGCTTCCCTGGGAAGACTGCTGTGTGGTCACCCTCAGGATGAGGACGCTGGGGAAGCAACTCATCAAGGTGAGACGGTCAGAGGCAACCCTGCACATGCACAGCTACTCTAGTGCCCACTGGGAGACTCTGCTCATTCTCTTCACTCCCAGATTTAAGTTGCAGGGAAAATGCATTATTTTTTCATTAAACATTTATTTTGGAATGGATAGCCTTCAGAGATGTAATTAGCCATGTTATTTCTCTCCATTAGCAGTCCCTGGCATTTGCTGGAGTTTCTTGTCCTTTTTCCTCTCCATTTCACTCTTTCCATCATCTTTATAATCTAGGTTGCAATACTTCCCCACCCCCACCTCCAACCAGCACCACATAGTCTGTTTTTAGACTGAATAACTATTTTAAAACCTGGAGAGGGAGTTATAGCAAACTCCCCCCCCTCCCCACTGGGCTGTAGGATTACAGTCCCCTGAGCCAGCTAGGAGCTCCACGATGCCCACCACTGCCAACAGGAAGGGGGAGGCAGCTCCACGTGACACTGTGACGGCCTGGCTAGTGGCAAAGCTAGGCAGAGCTAGGAAGGTTGTTGGCTCCCCATGTTCTGGCTGGATGATCCCAGGTAAGTTACTTAACCTTTCTGAGCTTCTGTTGACTTCATAGTGTTCAAGGCTGGCACTCACTTAGGTAAAGCACTTCACCGGAGGTATATAGCAAGTGCCCAGTAAAAGGCAGCTGTGGTGGGGAGGTCCACAGGCAAGAGGGAGACTTGGGGACTAAATGAACAGGAGACATGGGTAGCAGGAAAGGCATAGCCTGGGCTTGGTGAGTCCGAGCTACCTGCTTTGGTGGTGACCCAGGAGCCTGGGCTGGGGGACAGGTGACAGGTAGAACCATGAGGAAGACCCCTCACGGAGCAGGACTGGGTGGAAAGAGTAGTCAGGAGCTCTGCCTCAGCTGCCCATGGCTGAGTGTCCCTCTTTTGTCCAGAGTTGCTCCTATGGGTTATTTCTGGAATGCAAGAGAGCTACCTAGGAGGTGGGCTCCCCAAGACCTTAGAGATGGCCCAAAGTGCAGTAACTCCTTAGCCCTCCAACTAGGTTAGGGGATTTCTAGGGTGACTGGGCTGGTTATTGCTCTGGGGAATCCAACTACCTTGGTGCTCAGAAGGGAGCTGTCTCCACCACTCCCCGTCCCTGCTATCCTCACGCTAGTGACACATGACGTGCAGCCATCTCCAGCATTGTCAGAAATGCCATGCTCCATGGAGTTGAGGGCAGAAAGCCTGAAGCCAAAAATCTAAACTTACCCTGGTCCTCCACAAAGAGGGGTAAAGAGAAAAGTGCAGCTTTGGCATGGAAGATCCTTGGCATTTTGCAATGAAATAAAATCAGAATGCGTGTGATTTCTATCAAGATCTAGAGTGCCGCAGACTGAGACAGTCATGGGTAGGTATCCTTTGAAGGGGTTGATACTTGTTAACAGGGATACAGTTGCATGGCATTTCACAAAGTTGTGTCTTGTTGCATTGACATGAAGGGAACTGGAGTGAACCTGCTTTTTAATACTGGCCTTACCTGCTTTTATAGTAATCCTGGTCCCCTAGGTCCCCAGAGACATGCAGAGAAGTGGAAATTGGCTCAGAGGGTCTTTGAACTTGTACATGGATGTCACTACAAGCCTCATGGAAGCAGGCAGCATTTTGATGTGAGTCTAGTTCACAGAAGTAAATTTTCATAGTGATTTTTGTGGACAAGTCCTAGGCATTAGTAATAATACTGGCGATGCTGAAGATAATAATAACTACCACACATTGGGTGCCTCCTGCGCTCCAGGGCCATGCTTCAATTACCTTCAGTTCTGTAAAGCATTACCATCCTCATGGCACATGTGGAGATGCCGAGACTCGGGCAGGGTAGAGAAGATTCGCACTGTGTAGAGGACGGCAAACAGCACAACAATGCCCGCCACCAGGAGCAGCAGAACCAGGATGTCAGCCCACTCCATGGTTTATAGGTGTCGCCACGAAAGACACGACTCACACAGGCACTAGATGGAACAACACTTTACTCACACAGAGAAGAGACAGAGTAAGATCAGCTGCAATCATGGGTTCAGTCCCGCATGGCCAGGGGTCTCCTGCTACAGCAGACACAAGGTGACGGTCTGCACACACCCCTCTTGTGCAGCAGCGGGTGGACCCTGTTTCCTCCCCACCTGGAACAGATATAACAGTGGGGTTGGCCAGGTGCCTGCCACATGACGCACAAGCTTAAGCAGAACAAAGAGTACACGCTGAGTCTGAAACAGGAAAAAGATATTCCCACGTAAGGCGATAAGCCCAGCACAAGCTATGAGAGCTCCTTATCTGTTGGTAAGGAAGTGTTTTTGGCTCAAGGCCACTTGTATGGGGCTGAGCAGAGGTTAAAAAACCACATGCATGAGACTGCCTTTCTCAACCTAGGTCATATCATTGGTGTGCAGCAGAGCCAGGATTTGAACCGGGTCTTTTTGGCACCAAAGCCTATGAGCTTTCTCATTGATGAGAGGTCTTCCCCAGGCCACTCCAAGTCTCCTCTCCCTCCTCATGCCAGCCACATCAGCTAATGGACAGCCAGATTCAGCAGAGAAAAATGAACTGAGTGGGTTTCTCCCTCCTTGGACTTCTTTAATGCAAACACCTAAAATAATATTTTCCCTGAAGAATCCTCACGTATAGAAGTTTAAAGCAGAAAGCTGGATTCCCATCAGAGATGAGAAAATGCATAACAGAAAAGCAATATATGGGAAACCAAGGCACTTGGGCAATTATGTAAATAAATGGACATGGTAAGGATCATTCAGCCCTGGAAAAAAATGGACACATGTAATTCCCTTTCAGAATCTGAAAAAAGAAGAAAGAGGGATGGAATAAAAGCCCTTTTTGCTTCCGTTACAGAGTCCTGCAGTTCTGTTTGAATATTAAGCCTCCATGTGGTTGCTATGGGGCTTTTGTAATATGACTAAACTGTATTGGCTCATTTGGGGAAGGGTTATCACCTACAATTCACAGATAGGATGCCAGAGGTTAAAAGAAGTTCAGTAGTTGATCTATGTTCACCATGTTCGTTTTAGAAGCCAGGTTGAATTGAGCCCTCAGATGTTTCCAATTCCCGACCTGATCCTCATCTTCTCAAGGAACAATTGCAGTGAATCCTCAGTTGCCTACGTGGTTAATGTGGAAGAACAGAGACATAGATAATCCTAAATGATGTCTATGTCTCTTGCTCTAAACATTTGCTTTGGAAACTTCTTGCAGACCTTAGAATGAAGCCACCCTAATGTGCAAGGGGCCCCATCCTTACTCCACACCTTCCCTACTCAACGTTGCCCACCTCCCACTCCATGAAGACCTAGGGGCAGTAGATCAAAGGGAAGAGGCTCTTAACTCTCTCCTAGGTTGAGCTAGGGTAGTGGGTAGAGGAGAGAGGCCGATAATAAGGCATTTTGATTTAAAAGGCCTTCTGCAGTGCCGCAGGCAAGCAGAACAGAAACAGTAAATGAGACAATGAATTGTGTCCGTGGAAGACTCCATATGGACAGTGATTCATTATGTTAATAAGGAGGTGAAAGCCAGAGGTTGACTGTATTCTGATTTCATGTCTGGGGAATCTGTAGCTCAGAAGCGGGGAGCATCCAAATTTGAGGTCAGAGTCCAAATTCCAACACCCAGCTCCTGATTCCAATTTGGTTGGTCGAATTACTATCATCTCCTAATGACTAAGGATGCTTTAGAGCCAGATGGGACCTGAGTAGAAGTGCAAGCAATGCTTAAGGTGGAGAAGAGTGATGCTGGAGCCAAGCAGAGCCAACTCCTTGGGTCCATGCAACAAATATTGAGCACCTACCAAGTGCCAAGTGATGGCAGAACTGGCATTGGGAGAGGGAACCACAGAGGAATCTGATGTTGACCCTGGCCTAAAGGAACTCAGGGTAGGAGGTGATATGGGGCAGGCACAAATCTCTGTCATACATACAGAGAGGGAAGTGAGATGAGGTCTAAGACAGCTTCATTTATTCTCCCATTCAATTAAATCATTAACTCAGCTACTCAGGCACGATCGTAAGTGCTCCAAATAAAAAGCTAAACAAAACTGATCTCCACCCCAGAAGCTACCATTCCAATGCTGAAGCTAAGTCACCCCAGGAGGCATATCAAAACACATTCCCCAGCCCCCCAGGCCCCAGCACTGACATACTGATTCTGAATCTTTATAACTGGTACCCAAGACATCTGAAGCCTGGTTTCTAGTTATTCTCCAACTTTGGGCACTGGTCTGGTGGAATAGGGAGGGAGTCCAGCTAAGAGAGTCCAGAGGAAGAGTCAGAGATAGAGAGCAAGGCTTCATGGCCCACCTCTCCCTGGAAGCCCTCCTTGACCAGCACAGCCCACACTGATCCCCATGTCCTCTGAATCCAACCTCCACTGCGTGTTCTGCAGTTTTGCATTTTTCTGTTTGTTGTTGTTTTTTGTTTTTCTTTCTTTCTTTTCTTTTCTTTCCTTTTTTTTTTTTTTTCCAAAACTAGCAGGTTTAATCCCTCTTCTCCTGCTTGTGTCTCATCTCTAAAGGTGGGTGTTCCCGTGTTCCAGGTCATTGTGATGAGAGTTCCAGGGGACTTGTGACACACTGCTGGCCGGCTCTGTTCAAGTGTGGGAGGTCAGGAGCAGCCAGTTCCTCCTGGGAATGCAACCCATCTCCGAAAAGGATTAAGCATCACTAGGGCTCCAAGTGAGTTCTGATCAGAGGCTGTTCGGAAGACAGCAGGGGCCATGACCACCCTCTCTCCTGAAAACAGCCTCTCTGCCAGACAGTCAGCCTCCTTCATCCTGGTGCGTGTTCTTTGTCAGCTCTGAGTGCCTCCCTCCCCAGCCTCTGGTTGGCACTGGGACCATTTTCCCCTGCTGGGTAGGAAAAGCTAGAACCCTGAGCTAACATAGAAGGTGGAGCAAGGGCGGTTGTACCTTACTCTTACCATCAGCCCAAGGACAGGACTGAGACATCCAAGCCCCCTTTCACCTTCTTTCCAAGCCAGCAAAACCTTCTCCACATATGTGCTATTCTAACTTTATTGAGTTGTAGGTTTGCAGGTGCGAACCTGAAGATGCTGATAGATTTTCATCGGTGCTTTTTGCCAACAATTTTGGTATACTGCCACCAGGTGGCAGTAATGCTTTTGTTAGTAGGTAGTTCTAAACCCAGTTTACAAGATACAGCTATTTGTTAGAAGTCGGCTTCAGTCATAAAAATTTTCCACACGGTATTTTTTCAAAATCATAACTAATTACAATAACTTTAGCCAATCTTAAGTCTCATTAATCATAGTGATTAAGAGAGTGATACATAAAAATGCAAAATGGACACTCCTCTCCCTGAGTTTTAAATGTTACTGCTTTATGGCAAATTATCACCAGGCCTTGCTTTAAATTTTCTTTATATCTTTCTCATTTCTCTGAGCTTAGAGAAGGCTAATAAAATAAACTGTCACATAGCATTTATTATGTACGATGAATGTTCTAAATGCTTTATTTATAGTCATTCATTCTCATCACAACTCTATGAAGTGAATAATGCTGTTGTCTTCCTTTTATAAATGAGAACATGGAGCCACAGAGACTTTGTCACTTGCCTACAGTCACACAGCTTGTTAAGTGGCAGAAGTTGTATTTCGACCCAGACAGGTGGGGTGCAAAACTCAGTATTCTCAAAGTGTGGCATCCAAACCTGCAGCATTAGCACCAACTGGGAACTTGTAAGAATGCAGACTCTTGGGCCCCAGATCTTCTGAACCAATAAACTGGAGACGAAGCCCAGAGATCTGTGTTTTTTGTAACTCATCCCTCCAGGGCACTGTGATGCACAATTAGCTTTGTGAACCACTGTTTTAAACCATTTTCTTCATCACGGTGCTGTACTGATGATACACCCTCCACACCTGGGTTGGTAATAATTGCTGAAGTGGGAACCCCTTGTTACGGTTGGGAGTCTATCTTGTCCTCAGGTGAACTGGAGTAGAAAAGAGAACCTGTCCAGGTGCAGTGGCTCACGCCTGTAATCCCAGCACTTTGGGAGGCCGAAGCGGGCAGATCACCTGAGGTCGCGAGTTCAAGACCAGCCTGGCCAATATGGCAAAACCCTGTCTCTACTAAAAAATACAAAAAATTAGCCAGGCGTGGTAGTGAGTCCCTGTAATCCCAGCTACTTAAGAGACTGAGGCAGGAGAATCACTTGAACCAGGGAGGTGGAGGTTGCAGTGAGCTGAGATTGCGCCACTGCACTCCAGCCTGGGCGACAGAGTGAGACTCCATCAAAAAAAAAAAAAAAGAAGAAGAAGAAGAAGAAAGAAGGAAGGAAGGAGGGAAGGAGGGAAGAAGGGAAGGAAGGAAGGGAGGGAGGGAGGGAGGGAGGGAAGCTTAAGCAAAGTCAATGACCTTCCCTGGGCTTTATTGGAGGTTCTGTGGCTATGAGTATTCAGAGAAACTTGGCATTAAAACCCTCATAAAAAGTTTTTCTTGTCCTCCAAAGGCTTTCTTTTTTTACTGAAAATATGGGAGAAAACCCCTAACCCAATGATGCAGTGGGGAGAGGAGATTTATGCCTGAAGCCAAGGCCTCTAGCAGCAGGAAACTTTTAGAGGGACTGAGCCACTTAGGGCTCCCACTTCTGGTCCCCTTCCCCAGGGGAAGAATGGCCAAGGCTTCCTCAGGTTTGCTGATGTAGAACTTTAACCTGCCTAGATACACCCTGAAGGTGGGAGATTTCCATAGCTGCTCTATCTAGCAGTACGCTTCCCAGGACACTAGGAAAGGCACCACTGCAGAGCTGGAGGGTATCCAGCCCCCTCGCAAACTGCAGACTTCCCCTCCCGGATTACCAGGTCATTATACCCAGTGTATGGAAAAGGGTGTTATTAGGTTGGTTGAGCAAAGAACAGAGGAATATGGGAAGATGAAGGTTGATTTGAGAAGCCACTGTGTTGACAATCTCCGTCACATTAAAGGAGCCCAGATACACATTCTCTGATTTCTAGCATAGGCAGGTAGGTGGTGTGCATGTAGAGAGAGGGCTTCTAAGTGACATTTCCCCCTTTGCCTTCTGCGGGTCAACAGCCTTCTTGTTCTGGTCCTTGGCTTGCTAGCAAGTGTCTGAGATAGTCTTGTGGGTGGCCTATAGTTTGCTGAAGTTTGGAGAGATACAGGGAACTGGTGGGTGTAGAGAAATGGAGTTTCCTAGAAGGAAGAATCAGTGACTTTTTTTGTGGGTTTTTTTTTTTTTTTTTTTTTTTTTTTTTTTTTTTTTTTTTTTTTTGAGACGGAGTCTTGCTCTGTCACCCAGGCTGGAGTGCAGTGGTGCGATCTCAGCTCACTGCAAGCTCCGCCTCCTGGGTTCACGTCATTCTCCTGCCTCAGCCTCCCAAGTAGCTGGGACCACAGGTGCCCACTACAACACCCGGGTAATTTTTGTTTTTTTTTTTTTGTATTTTTTTTAGTAGAGAAGGGGTTTCACCATGTTGGTCAGGATGGTCTCGATCTCTTGACCTCGTGATCCACCCGCCTCGGCCTCCCAAAGTGCTGGGATTACAGGCGTGAGCCACCGCGCCCGGCCGAAGCAGTGACTTTTTATAAACAAATTCAACCACGGCAAAGTAGGCAGATGGCCAATTGTTACAGGTAGAGGTTTAGAAATGCAAATTCTCTGAATACTCAACAGATGTCTTCTTGTGATGTTTCTAATTATTTCTGCCTTATTGCGTTGATGCTGTATCTTTTGTTACGGTGTGCGGTGCATATTACTTTAATTTCAATATTACCTCTCCATTGTGTTTGACTTTTTTTCGTATCTTTGTTCGTCATTTATTTTTTAATCATTGTAGGGCATTTGATTTTAAGGTATTTCTTTTGTTCACAGCTTGTGTAAGATACATATTTTTTATTTGAGTGGAAAATCCTTGCCTTTTAATTCCTTCCCACTGCCCCTCCCACCCCCAGCATGGCATTAGGGTTAAGCCTCTGACTGTTGCATCAAACAGCTTAGGGTTCAAACTCCAGCTCTGATACTTTCTGTATCTAATCTCAGATATGCTAATTAACCCTCCTGTGGTCTCAGTTCCCTGATCTGTAAAACAGTACAAGAACTTTACCACTTCATAGATATTTGCGAAGATTAAATGGGTTGATATATGTAAAGTGCTTAGAACAGTGTCTGGCACATCATCAATTGCTTTTTAATGTTTACAGCTAATAAGAGAATGAAATGCATTTATTTTCATAATTAATTGCTTTGGGTTTCTATCATTTTTATGCTTTATACTTTTATTAATTCCTTGTTGTTTCCTATATTGCTTGCTTTTATTTTTTAAAGTGAGTTGGAAGATGTCCTGTTCCTATAAATTCCTAATTTTTAAAGTAAAAAATAAAGCAATTTCTTTTGACTCCATCCTAATATCTAATAAAGAAATAGAATCTGCAATTAAAAACTTTCCCACAAAGAAAACTTTAGCCCAGATGGCTTCACTGGTTCTACCAAATATTTTAAAAAGAAATAATACCAATTCTATACAAACACTTCCAGAAAACTAAAAAAAAAAAAAAAAAAAAAAAAAAAAAAAAAAAAGAAATCCCTACTCATTTTATGAGGCCAACATTACCCTGATACCAAAATTAGAGATCTTACAAGAAAAGAAACTCACAGGCAAATGATTCTTGTGAACATGGATGCAAAAATTCTAAATAAAATTTTAGCAAATAGAATACAACAATGTATAAAAAGCATAGTATATCATCACCAAGTGGGGCTTATCCCAGGAATGTGAGGCTTACTTACCATTCAAAAGTACTCAATATAATTTACCATACTAACAAACTCAAAAAAAGAAAACCATATGACCATTTCAACAGATGCAGAACATTATTTGACAAAATCCAACATCCATTCCTAATTAAAAACTCTCAGCATGCTAGAACTGGAAGGGACTGTCTTCAACCTGATAAAAGGCATCTGTAGAAAGCCTAGAGTTCACATCATACTGAACTGTGAAAGCCTGAATGCTGCTCCTCTAAGATGAGGAACAAAGCAAGAATGTCTTCTCTCACCACGTTTATTCAACATTGCACTTGAGTTCTAGCCAGTGCAGTAAAACAAGAAAAAATAAATAAAAGGTATTCATACTTGAAAGGAAGAAGTTAAACTGCCTTTACTCACAGATGAACATGCTCATCTATGTCAGAGTTGGCAAATTTTTTCTGCAAAGGTCACAATAGAATTTTTGGCTTTATGTCCACGCAGTCTCTGTTGCAACTACTCAACTCTGCCATCATAGCATGAAAACAGCCACAGACAAAAATGAGTGGGTGTGGCTGTATCCTAATAAAACTTTATTTAGAAAAACAGATTGGAGGCCACATTTGATCCATGGATCATAATTTGCTGACCCCTGGTCTATGTCAAAAATCCCATGGAATCCACAAGAAAGCCACTACGACTACTAAGTGAGTTTTACTAGGTTGCAGGAATACAAGATTGATATATAGAAGTACATTGTATTTCTATTAGAAATTTAAATTTTAAAATGATACTTTTTACAGTAGCATCTGAAATATGAAATACTTATGGATAAACTTGACAAAATATATGAATGACCTAGACACTGAAAACTACAAGACACTGCTGAGAGAAATTTTAAAAGACCTACATAAACAGAGAAATATATTGTGTTCACAGGTCAGAGGACTCAATAATGTCATCAATTCTCCCAAACTGGCTTACAGATTCAATACAGTCTCCACCAAAATCACAGCTGCCTTTATTATAGAAATGGACAAATTGACTAAAATCCTTATGGAAATGCATTTCTAAAGTTAAAGCATTTCCTTTTATAGTTAAGGATCCCGGGACACAGCCCAGCTTTGCCTGTTCCCTTCTGCTTCCTGCCACATTGCATGCTGAGTGTTGCAGTTTCTGAATGAGTGTAGGTTGGGAGAACATGATGACAATCAGAGGGGCAGAAAGCTTGCTCTGATGAGTGGCAGTGTCTATGCAGGTGGGGAACACATCAGGGCAGACCCTGCTTCCCAGGGTTAGGCCCACACCGAGATTTGTAACTTCTTGGCCCATGTGTCCTATTTTGGTTCAGATGACAGGGCATACATGAGTTATTAAAAATGTGTTTCTCAATCCATTTCCATCAAATATACAGTTAGTAGAAATTATCCCAATTTGGAGCCTGTAGGCTCTTATTTTTAGTTAACAATGCTGCTTTGCCTTCATTTATTTATTTATCTATTTATTTGAGAAGGAGCCTTGCTCTGTCACCCAGGCTGGAGTGCAGTGCCATGATCTTGGCTCACTGCAATCTCCGCCTCCCAGGTTCAAGCGATTCTTCTGCTTCAGCCTCCTGAGTAGCTGGGATTACAGGCACCCCGCCACCACACCCAGCTAATTTTTGTTTTTTGTTTTTTTTTAGTAGATATGGGGTTTTATCATGTTGGCCAGGCTGGTCTCGAACTCCTGACCTCAAGTGATCTGCCAGCTTGGGCCTTCCAAAGTGCTGGGATTACAGGCGTGAGCCACCATGCCTGGCCTGTTTTGCCTTCTAATACTTTACTACTCATGTGGTTTGTGGACTAGCAGCATCACCTGTTACTCAGGAGCTTGTTAGAAATGCATCATCTTGGGCCCCACCCCAAACCCTCTGAATCAACTCTGCACCTGCAGAAGATCCTTAAGTGATTTGTACGCCAATTTAATTTTGAGTCACATATTCAGATGTATACTAATGGGAAGTTGGGAGTGTGTATATTTACATGTCTACTCAGCTCTGTCCATCAGCACATCTTTATGTCTGCAATGTGGCATTTCAAGATATTCTTCTCTCCAGCAGAAGAGAGTATCCCAGGAAGAAAGGAATCTTCTCTTATTCCAACAGGAACCCTCACTCCTGTTGTTGTTGTTGTTGTTGTTGTTGTTGTTAGAGATATTATTATTATTATGTGCTCTGTTGCCCAGGCTGGAGTGCAGTGGTGAGATCTCGGCTGACTGCAACCTCTGCCTACCGGGTTCACGTAGTTCTCCTGCCTCAGCCTCCAGAGTAGCTGGGATTACCGGCATGCGCCACCATGCCTAGCTAATTTTTGTATTTTTAGTAGAGACAGGGTTTCACCATGTTGCCCCAGGCTGGTCTCGAACTGACCTCAAGTGATCCACCTGCCTTGGCCTCCCAAAGTGCTGGGATTACAAGCATGAGCCACTGCACCTGACCCTAGTTATTATTTTATAAGCATTTTGAATTACTTTGCATGCAGTGCACTCACCTCTCTCCAACACATACACACACACATGTTCACATACACATAGCACACAGATATATACCACACACACACACACACACACACACCCTTATCAAAAGCAGAGACTATCTCTCATAATGAACCATTCTACATTTCCAGGAAAGGTAAAGTGGAGCTCATAACTGTGTCTAATTAATGCTTATTTTATATTTTCCTGTGATCAAAGCAGTGTACATTATTATAGAAAATTTTAAAAATACAAGAAAGGCCAGGTGCGGTGACTAACGCCTGTAGTCCCAGCACTTTGGGAGGCTGAGGCAGGTGGATCACCTGAGGCCAAGAGATCAAGACCATCCTGGCCGACATGGTGAAACCCCCTCTCTACTAAAAATACAAAAATTAGTTGGGTGTGGTGGCGCGTGCCTATAGTCCCAGCTACTCAGGAAGCTGAAGCAGGAGAATCGCTTGAACCTGGGAGGCAGAGGTTGCAGTGAGCCGAGATCCACCACTGCACTCCAGCCTGGCGACAGAGTGAGACTCCGTCTCGAAAAATAAAAAATACAAGAAAAAGGATAAAAAGTACTTATTTCCTATCACTCAGAGATAATCACTGCTGTTTTTAGTGGGGGAGAGGAACTTTTTTGTATTTTCTCAGTCTTTTTCTAACAACTTTATAGTAGTCAATGCATTATATATTAGAGTTTATGTGGGGTATTATTATAATATATAACGGACACAATACATAGGTATTACTATGAGGGCCATAGTTGTACTATATAGTACATAGAGAAAATGCTAGATATACAATTCTGTATTCTGCTTTTTTCTGTTAACATTTGTATTTTTTCTGATTATTATTCATTCCTTGTAAACAACACTTATATGCCTCAAAATATTCCATTAAGCACATAAACCACAGTTTACTTAACTACCCCCTTATTGCAGAACATTTAGAGTGCTTGCATTTTTCATGTTGGTGAGTAATGTGCATGAAAATTATTGTGCATACAGGATTTTTTCTATATATTTTCAGTAATGTCCTCAAGATAGATTTCCGAAGTAAGTCAGGCTGTGCGCTTTGATACATATTGCAAAGTCCAGAACATATTATTTAAAATCACACTTAAAAGCCGAAGCCTTCTAACATAAGGCAGAACTGGTTGCTGCTTTTGCCAGGTGAAGAGAAAACCACCCATTGACAAGACAGAATGGGACAGCTTCTTTGATGAGAGTGGCCACTTGGCCAAATCACGGGACTTCATTTGTGTTAACATCCTGGAAAGGGTGGGTCCCCAAGCTACCCTTGGCCTTGCCCTGGAACTGGGAGCATGGATGGGCAGGGGGCAGGTGTGGCGTTGGATGAAGCCCTTTTGGTAGGCATCGATAGAGCCCATGACCTCCACCTCCCACCCCCACCCCAGGGTCTGCACCCCTTCGTGAGGACTGAAGCCTGGAAATTCCTCACGGGCTACTTCTCATGGCAGAGTTCCCAGGATGAGCGGCTCACGGTGGACAGCATGAGGAGGTAGAACACTCCAGACCCTGCTGGGACAGGAGGGGGGCCTGCAGGTGGCAGGTGCTGCCTCCCCAGCCTGCAGACTATCTTCTGCCCCCATGCAACTTCTTATTCCGAGAGGAACCCCATGCCTCCTGACCCAGGCACAGCACACAGGAGGTGCGGCCAGTTCGTGCCAGTGCCTTCTCTCCCTGAGCTCCATTTACCAGCCCATCAACTGCCAGGCATGGGCTTGGTCCCAGCCACTCCTCTTACCCCTGGGCCCCAAGTCCCATCCTTCCTTATGGCCTATGCATTCTTCCTCTGAAGCAGCCCTTGAACAGAGTCTGCCACCCTCTTCCCTGGGTGCCACCCCAACTCCACCTCCTCCCTGCCCCCCATGGCTGAGCTGCCTCCCGGGTCTAGTCTCCCCACTCCCTGCCTGTGCCCACTGTTTCCTCCCGGTGCCCAGGGGAAGGTACAAAACCCAGTATGGGCTGCCTGTGTCCTTAGATGAAACACTCCCAGTGGTGTAACTGGTAACGTTTCAAATAGCACATCTTCTCTTCCAAAAACTTCCTGATCCTAGCTCCACATCGCCCACTATCCCAGAGCCTGACATTCCAACCACACTGACAGCCTCACTGACTCCTCATCTGCCCACTCCTGCCCCAGCACAGACCACGTTTGCACTCCCCTCTGTCCTTGGTTCACCCTTTCTCCTCCCTCCACAATGGCTTTCTATCATCTGCCTATCAGTAGCCCACCCTTCCTTCAAGGCCCAGATCCCACAGTATACCTACTCCAAGCAGCCCTCCCAGATCTCCCAAGGGAGCCAGGGATGAGGCACTTTGTTTCAGTAGATAACACACCATCTTTGAACTTGGACCGTCTTGGATTTGGAAACCGGGTTCAAATTTCAGCACTCTGATTTACACCCTGGGTAAACTTGCCCATGAACTTCAGTGCTGAAGTCTCAGTCTCCTCCTCTATAAAATGCAGGTAACAATCTATTTCACAGAGTGGTTGTGGGGGCTCAATCAGATAATACAGGTAAGGCACCTTGCACAGGGGAGGAATCAGTAGCTTTTATGATTTTGATGGGAATCCTCCCTCCCTGAAGCCGGAGGCCCTTGACTTGCACTTCCATGACCCTGGGCACTTGGTCCCACAGTAGTGAGAACGGAGCCTGTGTCTTCCCTCCCAGGTTGAATGCAAACAAGGGCAGAGGCTGCAGCCAGTTTGCCTTTGTCTTGGGCCCTCTCCTGACCTTGCCTGTCCATGGGAGGGCTCCGTACACACTGGCTGAGTCAGACTGACTCCACTGCTGAAAATCTTCCCATCAGAGGAACGGACTCCTTTGGATTGTGGCTGCATGACTATGTAGCCTGGGCTGGACTCACCTGTCTGGGAGCCTGAAGCAGGGGCTAGGCCCAGCCCCAAGGGAGCATCCAGACAGAATGTGGAAAAGATTCACGTGTCGGGGCCAGCCAGAGTGACCCGGGGTGGGACGGGGGTGTGAGGGCTGGGCTAGGGAGCTCAGAGAGGTTCAGGAGCTCTGACAAGAGCCCACCTGTGTTCATTTCCTGAGGCTGCCTTAGCAAGTACCACAAACTGGGTGGCTTCCGACAACAGAAACCTGTCTTCTCGCAGTTCTGGAGCCAGAAGCCCAAAATCAAGGTGTTGGCTCCTTCCAAAGGCTCTAGGGTAGAACCCTTCCTTACCTCCCAGCTTGTGTGGCTCCCGGTGTTCCTCAGCTGGTGGCTGCCTCACTCCATTCCCTGTCCCCATGGTGGTGAGACCTTCTGCTTTCTGTGTGTTATAAGAACACATGTCATTGGATTTGGGGTCCACCTGGAAAGTCTTACGGATCTCGTCCGGAGATCCTTGACTTAGTCACATCTACAAAGACTCTTTTCCCCCACATGGTTACATTCACAGGTCCTAGGGGTTAGGACATGGATATGTCTTTTTGGAGGCCACCATGCGGCCAGCAATACCAACTAATCATATTCTAATAATGAGGACAAAACACCGCCTCACTCAGCACTTCCAATTCTGAGGCACAGGTGCCAGTATTATGCCCATTCTACAGATGGGGAAACTGAGGCTTAGAGATGGAAAGTCGTGTCCCCAAGACTTGCCCCCAGTGGCAGACACCCCGTTATTAAGATGTAGAGCCAGGATTCAGGTGCAGCGTTTGGAGTACAGAGCCCAAGAAGTTAAACTGTCTCTGTTCTGCAGTCCAGGTGCATGTTGGAGGACAGTTAGGGTGGCACAGGTTGAGATGAGGGACAGCATCACAGGTAGGGTGCATGGCTGGGTGAGGGTGCTGCCCTGGATCTGCCTGGGGCCTGGTAGCTGCAGCTGCTCATTCACCACTTATCAGAAGGGGAAAAGCCACCTTGTTCAGCCTCAGTTCTGTTCTCACAGGAAGAACTACAAGGCCTTATGCCAAATGTATGAGAAGATTCAGCCCCTTCTGGAAAACCTGCACCGGAACTTCACAGAGACTCGCAATAACATTGGTGAGCAAAGTGGGGTGGAGAGGGCTGGGCAGAGGGAGGGCTTGAAGCCAACCCTGCCCCCTTCTCAGCCACTTCCAGGGAGGGATGGCTCCAGGATCCTGGGAGTTGCTTTGACTTGTGCCTGGAGTTTCGCCAGCTGAACCTTGGTTAATCCACCCCACCAGTCTCTCCTGGGTGGCCCTAGATGCCCCATACCATGTTTTCCTGGGTGCATGATGTTCCTGCTGCCTGGTCTTCCTCTCTCCTTTCTTTGGCTTTGAATGAGGTTGGATTTGAACTGGACAGAGAGGAAGGGTGGGGGAGGACATTCCTGGCCGAGGGTACGGCCTCGTTAGAGGGTTGGAGGTGGGAAGAAACACAGACAGCTCAAGGTGTGGTGAGGAACTGAGCCTGGCAGGGGCTGATGTACCTTTCACAGCTCCCTCTCCCTCCAGGATGTCCTAGGGCCTGCCCATTGGGGTAGGGGAAGAAATTCACCCATAGACCTGCTGGATGTGATCTGGTGCCACCTACTTGCCCCTTGCTTCCAACCTAGCACGTGACATTCAGAAAATCTATGACAAAGATCCCCTGGGCAACGTCCTCATCGACAAGAAGAGGCTAGAGAAGATCCTGCTCCTGAGTTACGTCTGCAACACGCAGGCAGGTGAGCCTCAGCCTCCCCTTGTCAATGCCCTCCCAGGACCTGGCCCAACCTAAGCCAAGGGTCCAGGCTCTCCCACCCAGCCCCTCCTCCCCAACCCCCTCTTCGCCACAGAGTACCAGCAGGGCTTCCATGAGATGATGATGCTCTTCCAGCTGATGGTGGAGCACGACCACGAGACCTTCTGGCTTTTCCAGTTCTTCCTGCAGAAAACGGTGAGGGCAAGGCCTGAGCTCAGGGACGCCCCTCCCCAACCCCCCACTACTCCCCAAACAACTCTTTGAGGATGGGCAGGCATTGGCCACCCCAGCCATTCCTTCCAGGCTTCTGGGTCTCAGAGGAGCCTGGGAGGGTGACGCTAAACCCAGTGGTTCAAAGTAGTGGTGGTGGGGAGGCACTGAAGTGGAGAAGGGGGATGGAGCAAAGCTCTGGGTCCACCTCTCAACAAACCTTGAAAGAGCATGGCTGGCCAGGCCCAGGGAAGGTGCCCTCTCCTGGCATTTTCTTCCCCAAGCACGGTTCTCCTCCCTCCTCGCTGCTTCTTCCTCAATGGCTCCCTGTGGCCTCCAGAATAAAATCCAATAACCTTAGCCAGTCATTCAGGGCTGTTCCCTTCACATAACCTGAATTCCAGGCACACCAGGGGACTCAATAGTCCCCAGGGGCTCCCTCACTGTCCAAGTTGAGGGGTTTTGAAGGTGCAGCTCCCTGGAACACCTCCCTGGAAAGCCTTTCCTCATGATCTGCGAGAGGCTGCCCAGAACCCTCCCTCATCCCTCCCTCCACCCCACCATCCCTGCACATGTGCTTGCTGCCCTTCCCTTGTCCCAGTTGGCTCTGCCCCAACACTATTGTGTGAGGGAAGAACTGGGCAACTGGGCTCACTAGACTGTGAGCCACAGTTGAGAATCTCTACTACACACACATACACACACACACACACACACACACACTACACAGCCACCCAGAGGCGTACAACATATACAGACAAACTTGCATACACAGATCACAGTCACATAGATATGTATGCACACACTCACACACACACACTCAGACTCATAGAGACATGGGCCCAGCGCACAGACAGACACACAGAGCCTCCAGAAGTGAAGCTGGGGGAAGCAGAGTTGACTCTTCCGGTGCCTTGAAGCCAAGGGGGACTCAGTCTGTCTCCCACCATCGTGTGCAGGAACACAGCTGTGTCATCAACATTGGCGTGGCCAAGAACCTAGACATGCTCAGCACCCTGATCACCTTCCTGGACCCCGTGTTTGCTGAGCACCTAAGTGAGTGGTTCCCACCTCCTGCCACCTCACGCACCCCCCAGGCATGGGAAGGGGGCTGGGACCCAACTGTCAGTCCCTAATCATGGGGGGGCTGGAGAGCAGCAGAATCATTTGATTGCTTCTCCAGGCCCTGGGAAGAGGGTTATCTGGATGGGGTTGGAGCCTGGACAGTTGAAAGTTGACTCTAAACCATCTCCCAGGGCAGCTGGAAAAGGGGCGGCAGGCTTTTTGTATTTCCCAAGTGTTTTGCAGGCTCTGTAGTTTGGCCTCATCTGCATGTGTTTGCTGCATCATATGTGTTTTCCCCTGACCACAGCCTCACCTTCTCTCCCCACAGAAGGGAAGGGTGCAGGGGCTGTGCAGTCCCTCTTCCCCTGGTTCTGCTTCTGCTTCCAGCGTGCCTTCAAGTCCTTCGATGATGTCTGGAGGCTCTGGGAGGTGAGGTGTCCAGCTAGGGATCATCAGGCTGGGCTCCACCCATCAGGCAGAGTGGAAGCTGCAAGTCTTCCTTGCCTCCCCCTTTCTTCCTGGCTTGGATGGAGTTCAGTATCTCGGGGTTTTGTTAGGTCAGCAACCCTGCTCCCACCTTGCTGGAGGAAGCTGGAGCATCACTTTGTCCATATGTTCATTTAACACAAAGGCCCCACTGACTGTGCCTTCTGCTAGCAGTTGACACAGGAGGGCCCTATGGCCTGTGCAGTGGGAGCCTGGGCCTGCAGCTCCACTTCCCCGCTGCCCTGCCCAGGTGGCCTCCCCACGCTTTCACTTCCCCAGCTGTCCCCCCAACCCTGGCCTTCCCCTTCCCCAGAGTGCTGCTCCTGTGGAACTCTCTCACAGAAGGTGGGTCCCTAAGGACACCTGTAGTCCTGTGACCACAATCCTCAGGGCCATCAGCAGATGAACCCTCTGAGGAATGCCACCCCCACCCATCAATGCCCTGCCCATGGCCACCGCTGCCTGCAGTGTCCAGCCCAACCATCCACCTGGCATGTAGGGCCCCACAGATCTATTCCCACCTGCCTCTTGGCTGGCTGGTCTCCATGCCCAAGTCCATGACCACACCCAGGCCTTTGGTGACATCCTTGGGTCATTTAATTCCCATCAACCCTTGCTTGCCAAAACCCCACTCAAATTCGACAGTTTCCTAGTGTCTTCCCACCCCTCATTGCCTCCCTCCCCTTCCTCTATCTAATGAATTCCCTGAAGCCTCTATCTCTGAAACCCCCAGGAGACAGCACAATGCCTAGAACCAGGAGTACCTGTGAGCACATGCCTGAGTGAGTGGATGAGTGAGTGAGTGAATGAAGGAATGATTGAATGAGCAAGTCAGCAGCAAGGCCCAGGAATGGCTGACTCCAGGCACGTGGTTGGTGGGTACCTCACCATCCTCAGGGCATCTGCAGTCTCAGACCACAGGGCCCAGACTGAGACGTCCTGACCCACAGGTTCTGCTGACGGGGAAGCCCTGCAGGAACTTCCAGGTGCTGGTGGCCTACAGCATGCTGCAGATGGTGCGGGAGCAGGTGCTGCAGGAAAGCATGGGCGGGGATGACATCCTCCTGGTGAGAGCACCCTCGGGCAAGCTACCACCCCTGCTCCTGGAGGCCCTGACACCCCACCCCACCCCAGCTGAAAGACCGGGGTTCATGGGGTGCTGGGCACCAGTGCCACCTTTTCCCCCCAGACAGAAAGGGCAATGAGATCTAAGGTACGGATTACCGTGCCAAGGGCTTTTAATAGAGCTTGTTTAAGCCTCACCACAAGCTTGACACAGGGAGGCTATAACCATCATCATCACCCCTAGTTAACACATGAGGAAATGGAGGCCTTGAACACTCCCTAACTATTAAGCTCTACCATCTCGCAGTTAACCCTGTGGCCCTAGGATATTGCTGAAACAGAAGGACCTAGAGTTTTCCACCATTTTAAAAAAGCTACTGAAGTCTTTGTTGGAAGAAACAAATCTTAGGTGACACCCTAATTATAAACCAAGTCCTCCTTCAAAGCCCCTAAGACACTTGGTGGAGCCCCAGGACTCCTAGAGCCTAACATGAAAGCTAACATTTACCATTGCCCCAAAATATCAAATTTTAGGCATTGAGCCAAGCAGGCTGGGGAGAGGTCAGGTGGTCCCCAGCGACTGCTGTGAGCAGCATCCTTCTTCCCTGGGTGCTGCAGGCAGCTGCATGTGCCCAAGAGTGCTGGGAGATGTTTGCCCCAGCCCCACCCACAACTGCTCCCACACTCCCATGCAGGCCTGCAACAACCTCATCGACCTTGATGCTGATGAGCTGATCTCTGCCGCCTGCGTGGTTTATGCTGAGCTCATCCAGAAGGATGTAAGTTGCCCCAATGATGTGTCCTCCTCCTCCTCTTCCTCCTCCTCCTCTTCCTCCTCCTCCTCCTCTTCCTCCTCCTCCTCCTCCTCCTCTTCTTCCTCCTCCTCCTCTTCTTCCTCCTCCTCTTCTTCTTCCTCCTCCTCTTCTTCCTCCTCCTCTTCCTCCTCCTCCTCTTCCTCCTCGTACTCCTCCTCTTCTTCCTTCTCCTCCTCCTCTTCTTCCTCCTCCTCCTCCTCCTCATCAGAGCCTATCCTGATCTCCCAAACGCAGCCCATGGCAGGTGCATTCAACTTCAGAGACACAGACTGTGCCACGTTCTCTACCACTGACCCATGCATGTTGCTCCTCATGGTCTTCTCGTTGTTTGCACATGTAGCTCCTTCCTCCCTGAGCAGGCTGTACTACTTGAGAGCAGGGCCCTCATCCCCCATTCCCTGTGTCCATCCCAGTGGGTCTGGGCACCCAGAGGCTCAGGAGAATGTCGCTGCTTAGAAGAACCGAAGAATGAAAGGGACAGACCAATGTCTGTGCACCTCCCACCTGCCTCCTCCCTAGGTTCCTCAGACATTAAAGGATTTCTTCCTCTGAGGACACCAAAGCCCGCAGTGGACTGATGCCTTCGATGGGCAGGATGAAGGCCAGGGGCACTGGAGTGAGGGAGTAGATAAAACAGCTGCAATATAAACAGTCCTCTGGAATAATGGTTTGTGGTGGATGCTATGTCTTTGACCTTAGGGGCTGGGACGCACATGAGGGCTGAGACAGGGTCGTACGATAGGAAGAGAGGCTGGCTGGCTGAGAGACACATTCTGAGACTAGGGAGGGTGCTTGCTGGAAGAGACTGGGTCAGTGGCTCCTCCTTGATGGAGGGTTTTCCAAGGCTGCGGTGGATCCATATCTGGATACAAATGGTTAGAGTAGAACCAGCTCTGAAAGGCTTCCAGACCCCTGTGGAGGACAAAACTGAGCACATTTAATAAGGATTAGTTCATCTGGACTTAGGTCCTGAGAGGAAGGCTGGTCCTGGGGCTCTGCCCCCACCCCCACTGCTCCCCTGAGTCCTGTCACATCAATCACACAATTAAGTCATTTTTTCCAGAGATTTCCTGCTAGTCTGTGGAAGGGGCTGGCCTGGAAGAACTATCTGATGAGCAGGCAATTCCCTTCCTGGTTTCAAAGCCTCCCTCATAATTGTGCCTTCATTTATCAGCCTGCAAATGTGTCCTCAAGCTACATTTTATTTTCCAGTCTTGATCAATCTTTCTTGAGAATGCACTCTTTGCCCTTGGCCAGGCAGTCAGTTGCTCTGTGAGGAAAAGGTGCATCACACCTGCTCCCCCAGGCTGTGCCACAGCCCTGAGCCCCTGTCCAGCCTGCCCCATGCTCTAGCTGGCCCCTCTGAGGGAAGACATGTAGATGGGCCAGAAAGGCTGAAACTGCAGAAGGGTTGGGGCTGGCTGGGTGCCCCCAGAGCTGCTCAGCAACACACATACATACACACATACACACACACACGAATGCACACACATACACACTGCCCTGCCCAGTGACTACAAGTTTTCAGGAGGGCTGACATTACACATGGGCAGGAGGGATCCCTTGCTTTTGCTGTGAACTGGTCCTTAGAGGTAAGGCATGGCCATCCCTCTCACTCTTCAGCCAACTGTCCCTCCCTCTGCTCCCATCCTGGCACTCTTAGTGACCATCACTCCAAAGCCATTATGTCCCCAATGAGTGCTTGGTCTCCTTCCCCTCAGGCGACAGTCTCCCATCCAGGACCAGCTCTGAGTCTCTTAGCTGCTGTATCTTTGCTGGAAGGTTGAGGGGGAATGCTGAAGAATGAGGGCCTGTCCCCCCAGCAACACCTTCTCTGCATGGCTAAAGAGCTCATGTTTGCTGGGCAGGGAGGCACATGGGTCAATTCATATACTACACTTCTCCTTTGCTTTTATGTTCCTAAGGCAGTTTATTTAAATAAGTGTTCCCGCATGAAAGACAGTTCTCCAAGGATGAAACTGTGTTTGCATTTTGCCAGAGAGGCAGAGAACAAGAGTAAAAGACATCTTGCTGAGCTAGTTTTGGCCTTGGGAAGAGAACAATCAATAGAAACATCAGATGAACATTTTCTAATGCTTCTTTTAGACTGGTGACTTCAGATGGCCGATTATTTTTGGTTGGGACCTACACACAATGCCAAACATCTATTTCAAAACAAACATTTAAGAACTCATCTTCTAGACCACTTGCTGTCAAATCTGTTGTTAAAAGCACTGGAGCCCCTTTATTACACAGTCCTTCCCAGGAGCCCAGCGGATGAAGTTTGGGTGCAGATCCCAGAGCCCTCTCCCCCGACCACCCCTCTCAAGCCCCCCTCCTTGAACCTCACATCATTTCCTGTGTTATCTGCAAGGAGCCTCTTGTCTACTAGGGTGCATATTTGAAAACCTGTTAGGTCTTAAGGACGAGGTGGATTCAATCTTGACACCAAATTGATCCAGATTCAGATAAATCCCAGGTGATGGAGTGATGAAAGTAACAATCTTGGAAGAGTGGAGCTTCTCTCAGCTCATCTGCAGTACTCCCAGCCCAGCAGACTGTAGATTAGGATCTTCCCACCATGCTGCTATGCAGGTCCTTAAAAATAACACTGGGCTGTATAATTCATTCATTTATTCCCCCTTCTCTGGCTCACTTAGTTTATCATTTATACAGCCCAGTGTTGTTTTTCTCTAGTAGGGTCCATTCTGGAGATAGAACTACAGGAAGCATTGAAATCCTAGAGCCTAAGTTTGTGTTATGACAGTCTAGTTTATTTCAGCATGCATTTATTCAGTACTGTCTTAGACCATTTGGACTGCTCTAATGATGGCAGTGGCAGCCCATCTGGAGCAGCCACTGCCATGATGCCAGCTGCAGTGGGGGAGGCGCAGTGAGGGCTGCATGCTCCATGGAGCCAGTGGGAGCCAGAAACAGGCAGGAGCCCCGCCCCCTTCCAAGTTGGAGGGGTGGGAGCCCCACCCTCCCTGGCACAGCTGCAGCCACCCTGCCATGGCTGTGGACCCAGGCATCTCTGCACTCTTGGGGGCCCTTGAAACCCCCATGCCCTCACAGGCTCAGAACTGCCTGCTCCCACTGCCTGGCCTCTCCCCACTCCTGGTGCCCACTCTGATTTCGGAGCAAAGCTGTGGCTGAGACCAGGTGCTGTCACAACCCGGCCAGGTGTGCTCACACCTGGGGCAGCACTTACACACCAGCCCCATGCCTTCTTGGCCCCCCTCTGGACTTTGGGCACCGACAAGCATGGAAGAGAGGCTGAGGGGGTGGGTGCTAAGGATGGCTCGGCATGGGCCTTCAGGCACCCCTCATCATGAACAGCCTGGGCACCGTGGATGGCAGGTTAATGACAGCAGGAGGCAGGCAGATCCTGGGTGGAAAGGGGCAGATCCTGGTGAACCCCACCTTCAGGCCAGGGACAGTCTGAGGACTAGGGGCCAGGCTGCCAGTTCCACAGACTGGAGTGACAACCTATGGGGCTTTTTCTGGGTCTGCCCATGGCCACCCATGGACAAATCAGCATGCACTTCCTCCCCTCTGAAGCCCATAAAAATCCCCAGACTCAGCCAGCCTCAGGCAGACTACCGGATGACCTGTCTGTGGAGAGGAGCTACTCAGGGCGGGTCTCCTCCGAGCTGTTCTGTTGCTCAATAAAGCAACTCTTTGCCTTGCTCACCCTCCACTTGTCCACATACCTCATTCTTCCTGGATGTGGGACAAAACTTGAGACCCACCGAATGGCAGGGTTGAAAGAGCTATAACACAAAGAGGGCTGAAACCCACCCCTTGCTTGCCATGTTGCAGGTGACAGGAAGGAGAGAAGAGAGGAGAGAAGAGCTATAGCCTTTTGGGGATCCCAGACCTAGGAGCTCCCCAAGCCAGGGCTGTGACATCGTCTTTGGGGCTCTGTGGTTCTTGGTGTCTCCAAGCTTCCATGCACCGCTGCGTTCCCTTGTGCCAGCCATGGATGCTGTTTGTGGTACTCCTGGTCCAGCTGCAGCCAGCACCCATACCAGCATCTGGAGCTGCCCCTCCCACCACAGCTGGCATGCTTGGCTGTCTGTGTGCAGTGGCCAGACCCCACACTCATTCGTTCACACACACTTCAACACTCCATGTCTGGCTCTCCCTTGGCAAGTGTGGGCTCCAGGCCAATAGTGCGAGCCGAATGCCTGCCAGGCTGAGTGGGCAAACAAGCCCAGTAGGCCCGAGCAAAACTCAGGCAAAGGCGTCACTGTCCACACAGGTTTCAAGCTGGAAAGGAATACCTCAAGAATTCCATGACAATAACACAATAATGTCAGTGATGATGGCGGTGATGGTGATGGTGATGTCGGCGACGTCAGTGATGGTGGTAGTAATGTCAGTGATGGTGGTGAAGCTAATTATATGGCGGTGTTGGTGGCAGAGGTGTGATGTCATTTATGATGGTGGAGGTGGTAGTGATGGTGACATCAGTGGCAGAGGTGATATAGAATCTGGTGGTGGTAATGATGTCATCACTGGTGGTGGTGATGATAGTGCTGACTTTTCATTCTGCCAACAAAAACTGACTGTCTCTAATGGTACTCCTTAAATAGTGCCAGAGGAAAAGATGAGATTCAAGGAAGGGACTGAAGGGGATTGCAGTGGGGAGGGCTCTGATATTGATGATGGTGTTGGTGGTGAGGGCAATCATGGTGGAGATGAAAACAGTGACTAATTCATTCTGAAAAAACTAGTGCCCAGCACACTTCCAATGAGCAAGGCCTAGACATAATATCTTTAAATGAATCACCGTGGCCATGAGCATAAAGAAAATGGAAGCAGCCAGGCCCCATCCAAGCTTTCCAAAACTTGGTCCTGAGCCAGATATGAAAGCTTGGATTGGATTGGCTGCATTTCTTCCAAGCTCTCACCCTCACCTCTCTTTCACTCTTCTTCTAAGCCTCTTCCCTGGAGAATTCATTCATTTATTCCTTCTTCTCTGGCTACATTGAATGACCCCAAGGCCACTTTTTGTTCCTGGAGTTAGGATAATAGCTCTCTACCCACTAACAACTGCACAGAGGCACCGTGGATAAAACTCCAAGTTCTCTGGGCCCCAGGGTCTGTGTTACCCCCCTCAGAGAGGAAGAAAGAAGGTGGGCTTTTGCACCTACCCTCAGGCTTGCCAGCAGAACCGAGTCCTGGCCTGAAGCCACCAGACCTTTGGTCAGTGGGGAGGAAGGGATACTCCCTCCTTTCAGGAGGAAGAACATAGCTACTAGGAAGGGCCTCCACTGCCCAGGACCCAACCCCAAAGGACAGCTGGTGGGCTGGAGCTTCAGGAGGTCACGAACAAGGGCACGTGACCCCTACCCTCACAATTATACAGAAGCTGTACTAATTGGGTAATTAATATGTTCCACGCCTTGTGCTAAGCACTCGCATGCTTTATCTAACAGAATCAGAATTCTGATTCTGATTTCACCCTCATGACTGAATTCAAACTCAGAAACAGGTGCAGTCATTACCCTCTCATTACCAGCGAGGAACCTGAGGCACTGGGTTACACAGCTAGTGATTTGCCAAGTCCGGATGTGAATGCTGATGGGCGAACCCCAGGGCCCCACTGTTATGCCATGGTATTGGCTCTTGGGCAGCTTCCGTTTTCACCTCTTTCCCTGCCCACAGCCTCACTTGGCGTCTGCCATCCTCCCGCAGCCCACACTGAGTCTCCTGTCTGGTCCTCTGCAGAGCAGGCCCTCATCTCACAGGCCACCCCACCCTTGGCAGCTGAAGCCCCACCGATGGGCCGAGATGGTCCAGGGCTGGATGACAGGGGTGGTGTGTGCAGGAAGCTCTGTCCTACTTCCCTCGTCCCTCTCTATGCCTTCGATTACCCCAGTAAGTGTGGGAGGGCCCAGATGCAGCCATGTTTACTGCATCTTGTTTTGAAACAAAGCTCTGAACATTCCTTGTGCATTCCTTCTCCAGGATGGGGAGTGGGCTGGGGGTCTGGGGTTGCAGGAAGTCAGTCTGCAGGGGTGAGTGTGGGGACCCAAGATGGGGCTGGCAGGTCCCGCATGGAAGCAGCAGCAGCAAAGCCTGGGCAGCTGGGGTGGGCCAAGTGTTGTGAGGGGAGAGGCGCGCAGCTCTGGGAGACAGGGTGGAGGAGGGCTGTGCAGGAGTAGCCTCTCTTTCCTATCCCTGCCCCTGCCGACCTTTCTCTGGACCAGCCCCCATGGCAGAGACCCCCTGGATGGAACAAGACCAAGGCAGAGAGGAGGGAATTTCCAGTTGGTGCCAAGTGCCATCAGCCACACTGCTCAAGAGGGAAAAGGACTTATTTCTGGGACCTCAAACAAAAGCACTAGCTCCACTGTCCTGCCAGACCCTGGTGCTCGCTGAGCTTGTAGTGGGGAAGAGATTCACAACCAGAAATGAAGGAGGCTGGTGGCAGGCACGGGAGGGCGGAGTCACAAGCAATAGCATTTAGTCTGGGTGCACATTAGAATCACCAAGGGAGCTTTTTAAAAATAACCAATTCCCAGGGCCCACCAATTAAACCAGCATATCTAGGGGTGGGGCCAGGGCACTGGTCTTTTTCAAAAGCTCCCAGGTGGTTCTAAAGTACGGTCAGGAATGAGAACACCTGAGTTCAGAACAGGAGTTTAATGAAGGGGGATTAGTGATCAGCTGGTTTGACTCCTTCCTTCCACTTAGAGGGAGTTCAAGGAAGTCCTCACAGTGAGTGATTACGGACCAGAGAGGACAGGAGTGACTGTGCAGGGCACTGTCCAGGAGCAGAGCTTGTCTCCGCAGTCGATCTCCTGTTACTCTCCTTCCTGGACCACACCAATGGCTGCCCTCTTTCCAGGAGCTCTGGAATAGACCTCCCTACCCTCCCATCTTAGAGCCCTTCAGCTGACTGACTCTAGAATTAAGCATTCCAAGTTCTATTCTGAGCCGGCACATAAAAGAATTTCTTTAGGGAGTTAGTAAGAGCCAAAGTCTCAAAAGTCTGACCCTCACCTGCAGTGATATGCAAATTGTACCCGAACACCGGTAGTGCAGCATTCAGAGGCTGGGAGCAAATAGGATGCAAATGTATGCAATCATTATGCAAACAAGGGCAGCCCAGATTAATGGCCTCAATCTTTCAACTAGACAGCAGCTGTCTCTTTACGTACGGGCATGGCTGACATAGAGGACTGAATTGTCTCCTGTCAGAAGCATCCTGAGGAAGGGTCAGCTCTCAGGTCAAGAGGAGGGATTGTTCGGACACCTGGCTTGCCGATGCTCTGCTCTGAGAAATCTGCGCAAAGATGTCTGTCAGCCAGGCAGGATATTCTTCTCTGCCCGGGCTCCTCACTCAAGTCCCAGGAACAATGCTAGGCACTGAACTTTGTGGGGAGAGTAGTGGTGATAGGGATGATGGAGGTGGTGGAGGTCATGGGAGAGGTAATGGTGGAAGTGATAGAGTTGGAAATAGTTGAGAAGACGGCAGAGGTGGAGGTGAGGGTGATGAAGTTCCTGGTAATGATAGTGACATGAACAACAGAGATAATGGCGACAACAGAGGTGAAAATGGGCTTGGAGGAGATGAGAGCCATGGCGGTAGTGAGGACAAATATAATGGAGGTACTGGTAGTGGCAGCAGTGGTGACAGCGATAGTGGAGGTGATACTGGATGTGATTCTGCAGATGAAGTGGAGATGACAGAGGTCATGTTAGTGGCAGTCATAGTGGAGAGGATGGCAATGCCGAGGTGAGGGGTGGAAGTCATGGCGAGGAGGAAAATAGTGACGCTGCCATCACAAAGGATAGAAATGATGACAATGGCAGGTCGTGGTGGTAATGGTGAAGATCAAGGTGGCGGCTCAAGTGCTAGAGGCCATGGTAGAGTGGTGGGGGCAATGAAGGTCATTGTAGTGACCAGTATGAGATGAGGGTAACGGAGCAGTGGCGGAGAAGATGAAGATGATGGTGGGGGGAGTTGGTGACAATGAGTTCTCAAAACTCCTAGCTCAATAGGAAAGGGGGCTAGAGAACGTGGCGGAACAAAGGCACAAGGAGGGGCGGTAAACTTGAATAAGAGATACAAGGTCTGTTGTGTTGGGGAGAGGAAGCGTGAGGCCCCCAACCACAGGCCTAAAGAAGGCTCAGAGGCAACACCAGACTTCTCTCTCCTTGGCAGACTCGGTATGCACTCCAGTTTAACTCAGTAAGTGGGGTAGGCCTGAAGTCTGCCAGTGATCAGTGGGATGGCCTGAGATTGGGGAAATCCCAGCCCCCATTAGTCCTCAGTTTCCCCCTCTGAAATGGAGGACAACATGAAGTCCCAGTGCATGCCCCATGGCTGACTAGTGGTGCATGTGTAGTGGAATGGGGCTGCCATATGTGTGTGGGGTAGGGGTGATGTCAAGATGTCAAGAAATAGCCCATGATAACTGGGCTGGGGAGATATTGACAAACGTCTTCTCAGGGCAACTCAAAGCAATGGCCTCTTGTCACTTCCATCCCATGGCTTGGATCCTCTCCATTTCTCCATCATCCCCACCTCATCTTGGTCGCCGCACTGAAGGTCACCAGAGCTGTTTCCCTGAATGTCCTCACACCTCTCTTTCCCTCCTAGAAGGCCAGACCCTAAGTGGGCTGCAGTGTGAATTGGTTAGTCCTTGGACTCTGGAATCGGGCCCCAGGTAATAGTTGTGTGACCGTGGACAATATACTTAACCTCTTTGAGCCTCTGTTTTCTCACCTAGAAATTAGAAATAACAATACCTGCCTTACAGGTTGTAATATGGCTATGTCTATGATGCATTTAGCCCAGCAAACTTCGACTCAAAGAAATGGTAGCTGTTGGAAAGCCACAGAAGTAGTCAGGTTCAGAATTAACAGTTACTCTGTAACCCAAGAAGCTGTAGCCACAGGAGAGAGGACCTCTGCAGGATCTGTGGCTTCCCACAGCCACAAGGTGCAGCCTCCAGGGTGAGCCACCTCCTCTTTCCTGTGGAGCCTGCACTTGCGTGTGCCAGCCTACAGAGGGCGCTCCTCCTCCTCCACAAGCCCAGGACTCCATGGGGAGGCCTGGCTGCCCCAGGGACCAGGCACCCTGCCCAGGTTGCAAGAGTCCTGGGCAATCCCTGTGCTCTGGGGCAGAGGTGTTGCCGAGAGGGAGGAAGCCTAACTGGCTGGCCCAGAGCTGCTTTGGGTCTGAAAGGGGGACAGGGAGAACTCTGTTGTTCATGGCTCTCAGAGGCCCTACGCCTTGTACTCTAGCTGCAAATTTGATGGGGAAGGAGCCTGGGACCAGGGGAGCCTCGGGTTTCCCCGGAAGCATTTCCCAGCAGCCCTAGGACCCTGTGAGCAGGTGCAGTGGGACCCACGCGCCGCCTCTACTCCTCCTTTCCTGGCTGGGAATCCTTCCTGCCCCCCAGCACACACACACATTCTCAGTGTAGTTCCGTGTGATTCACTGTGAGTGGTCATCATCATGGCCCGCATCATGGCCTGAGGAGAGCAGGGACCTCAGCTGAGTCATCTCCCCGAATGGTAATGAGGGCAGTCTGGAGAGGATCTGTCCTTCAGCCTCCTCCCTGGGTTCTCGGTCTCCAACCCCTCACCATGCGCAGGCTCACCCAGGGAGCTGCTGCTTCACCAGCAGGGAACTGCTCTGCCTCACCAGGCCCGTGTGGCACAGGGTGCAGCTGTGCAAGCCATGCCCTCTGGCCACAGGGCAGGTCATTAGGCCAGCACTCATCCCCTGCCACGGTCAGGGCTGTGTGGGGCTGGAATCAGAGGCCTCCTCCGTTTCCTCAACCTGATTCCTAAACATTACCTGTTTCACTGTGAAAAACCATCCACGGACCTCTCCTGTGGTTTTCTACGCCCAAGACCAGCAGTGTTCAGTAGAAACAGAATGTGAGTGAACCACAATGTATTTTAAAATTTTAATAGCCACATTTAAGAAGAAAAAGAAAACAGGTGAAAAAAATGTGTTTAGCCCAATATATTCATAATATATTCATAATATATTGTTTCAATGTGGGCTGGGCACGGTGGCTCATGTCTGTAATCCCAGCACTTTGGGAGGCTGAGGTGGGCGGATCACTTGAGGTCAGGTGTTCAAGACCAGCCTGGCCAACATGATGAAACCCTGTCTGTACTAAAAACACAAAAATTAGCCAGGCGTGGTGGCATGTGCCTGTAATTCCAGCCAGTTGGGAGGCTGAGGCAGGAGAATCACTTGAACCCGGGAGGTGGAGGTTGCAGTGAGCCAAGATTGCACCACTGCCCTCCAGCCTGGGTGACAGAGTGAGACTCCATCTCAAAAAAAAAAAAAAAAAATATATATATATATATATATATACACACACACTCATATATATACACACATATATATAGTTTCAATATGGACCCAATATAAAATAATTAATAAAAATTTTACCTTTTTTGGCACAATGTCTTCAAAATCTGGCATATATTTTACACCTTTAACACATTGTAATTGGGAACAGCAGCATTTCAAATGCTCAGAAGCGCGTGTGGCTAGCAGCTCCCATATTAGACTTCACTAGCAATTGTTAGCTCCTGGTACCATCTTTACAGGCAGGTGAGTCTCCTAGGAGCCTGAAGTAGCCGTGGCCGAGAGGTCTGATGAGCTTCAGTTTCTCTACCTGAGAGCCCAGCCCTTGAGAACCTCCTGGGAAGCGGGTGAGCCTTGCTCCATGGCCCCTGGCTCACAGCTGGATGCACCCTCAATTCCTGACCTGAGGGCTCCCGCTCACAGGAAGCTGCCATCTGGTGCAGTCCCTCTAGAGGACAGAAGAAGGTTCAGGAGGCGCCCTCCTCAAATCCAGTCCTCCGGGTCATTCAAGGCCCCAGGCTGCACTCCCAGAGCTCCTTGCCCTGGGCCATGCTCCCACTTGATGCCAGGGCTGTGCTTCCGCTCTGTGTGAGGGGAACCTGAAAGGAAAGTTAACATTTAGATAGTGGAAAGGAGAGAGTAAGGAAGGAGATCCAGGAAGGCAACAGTCTGGCCAAGGGTCTGGAGGTGGGAGGTGGCGGGACAGGAGATGACAGGGAGCCCAGGCGGAATCAGAGGAGAGAAAAGAGGAACAGCCGTCGCCCTTGGAGAGGGGTGTGTGTATGAACGCTAAATGCCGAGCCTGGACAGAATGGAGCCATAGAAGTCTCTGAGCCAGGGAAGGAATTCAGTGAGATCAGGATTTGAGGCACATTAGTCTGGGGGCTGTACAGAAAGGACTGGGAAGGGAAAGATGAATGGGAAAGTAAGTGGGGTAATTAAAAACATAGGCAGGAACGCAGAGCACTTGGACCTTCTGTGGTTGGCCCCAGGGAGCTCAGCCTGGGATGCGGGCCTCTGTGCCAGAAGTCTGCACAGGGGACTGGGCCAAGGGCTTTGAGGTGGGCAGCCCAGGAGTCCTGGGGCCCCGCCCCCTCTGCCTGTCTCCAGGAGAAACTGGACAGCTCCCACAGAGGGACTTGCAGAATCAGTGGTTTCTGGCGATGTGACTGTGAGTTGGGTGTGGGTTTGCTTCTCCCTCCTATACATCCATCACCACCCGTTCTCTGCCCTGAATGCCAGGGTCTGAGGGCTGAGCTGCCAGCCCTGGGCTCCTGCAAAGCCAACATATAATTCCGGGCCACTGAGAACCCAGGCAAGACTTTTGTGAGAATGAAACAAGACAGGCCCCTCTGCGCAGACACAGCCTCTTGGCAGATGGTGCCTTCGTGCTAAGCAAAAAGTGCCCGGCGCGGGCTGGGTTTCAATCCCCACCACACCCTTGGCTGAGGCCTGGCACACGAACCATGTAACCATGCACGGCAGTCCTGCATAATTCCCAGTGCTGGGGGAAATGGTATGAAAGGGGTGAGTCATACTTGAAAACCACAAGGCACCAGAGAAGAGACCTTCATATGAGACCCCCTACCTGTCCTGCTTTCTCCTTCTCCCCTGGACCAGGGGCCCAGAGCTACTGGGGGACTGGGCAAAGGGAGGTACAGCAAGAGCAAACTCGCTGGATCCAGGGAGTCATAGCAGCAGAGTCTCAGGCCCAGGCACAAAGCCTGCATACATCTCTCTCCTGGAGCCAAGTGAGAACAGTCCTAGGAGAGAGGCAGGACAGAGACTAGAGTCTTGTTTTTAAAAAAACTGAGGCCAAAAGAAGTTCAGTGGTCTATTCAAGATGATGCAGCTAATAAGTAAGGGTGGACAATGAGAGGCAAAGTCACAGGGTAGCGAAGAGGCATCAGGCAGACCTAGGAAGAGTCCCAGCTCTGACTCTGAGCATTCATTGAAGTTCTTCAAGTATCAGTCTGCTCATCTGTAAAATGCGGCTAATAGCTACGGTTATTCCTAGGATTAAAGACAGCAGTGTATGTAAAACACTTAATGACAATTATAGAAACTGGGACTCAAAGCCCAATTTCTTGCCCAGGGAGAGATGTGGATGCATTGCAGAATTCCTCAATAGATCAGGAAGTCCAGGATGTTAGAAAGTTGTCGAACTACCAGGCCCACAGAGCAAAGAAAGAAGATTCAGAGAGATGCACCTTCCACAGCTCTGGGGATGCGTAGCTGTGCCTCCGAGGCCTGCTTCGGGACCAAGGTGAGCATGGCCGAGGGCTCAAAGTTGAGTCCCTCTCCATGAACTGCTCTTGGCCAAAAGGAGCTGCCCCATTTAAAGCCACATCCCCTGCACAGGGAAGCCTCATCCAATGATTGTGTAAGTCCCTGGGCCAGGCTCTCTTGCCTCAATCTGGGGTAACTCTGCAGGCCACCACAGCCCTGGAGCTTCCCAGGGAATCACCTGCAACTGCCCACCTCTGCTCTTCTCTCCCCACAGGTGAGGGGCATGCCCCCAAGAGCACTCCTCATGCAAATGCCCATGTGCACATCTTCATCAGAGTCTGCTTCCCAGGTGTATTGTTTCCATGGCTGCTGTAACGAATTACCACAAACTTGGTGGCTTAACGTAATGCACATTCATTCTCTTACAGTTCTGGAGGCCAGGAGTCTGGAATCAGTTTCACTGGGTTTGAGTCATGGTGTCATCAGGGCTGGTTCCTTCTGGAGACTCTAGGGGAGGATCTGTTTCCTCACCTTTTCTAGCCTCTGGGTGCTGCCTGCATTCCTGGGCTAGTGGCCGCTTTCTCATGTTACTCCAACCTTGCTTCCATTGTCACATCTCCTACTTCCTCCCCTGACCTTCACCCAAATAATCCAGGATAATCTTCCCATCTCAAGATCCCTTTTTTTTTGTTTGTTTTTTTGAGGTGGGTCTCACTCTGTCACCCAGTCTGGAGTATAGAGGCACCACCATGGCTCACTGCAGCCTTGACCTCCCAAGCTCAAGCAATTCTCCCACCTCAGCCTCCTGAGTAGCTGGGACCACAGGCATACACCACCTCACCCAGCTAATTGTTTTTATTTTTTTGTAGAGATGGGGACTCACTTTGTTGCCCAGGCTGGTCTCGAACTCCTGGCTTCATGCAATCCTCCTGCCTTGGCCTCCCAAAGTTCTGGAAATTACAGACACGAGCCACCGCGCCTGGCCAAGATCCCTAACTTAATTACATCTGCAAAGTCACTTTTGCCATTCACAGGTTCTGGAAATTAGGATGGGGATATTTTGGGGGACTATTATTTAGCCTACCACACCGAAGAACCTAACCAAAGAAAGCAGCTGCCTGCCTGCCGTGGCCCTCCTCATTGCCTTCCAAGCATCCTCTTGTTGACACCTCCCCAGCAAGGGCAGTCTCACTCCATCACAGGACGGTAGGAGGGGTCTGGCTATGGAAGGCCTGTCTCTGGAGTCAGTGAGCCCTATCGGCCTGAGGGTGTGTGATACCCAGCTATAAGGAAGGCTTAAGCAAGCTGGAAGCCTTTGAAATCCAGAAATACCTGTCCCCTCTTTTCTCTGCCTCTCAGCCTATGTCACATTTCAAGACTTGGCTGCTGCAAGAAGCCTTCCCCAGAGCAGACAGAACAGCTCCCTCTTCTCCAGCCTCCACCATGCTCGATGGTGGCACCACTGGTGCCCACCCCACAGCCCACTGCATGCATCTGTCATTGCATGCCTGCCTCTCCCCTCGACTGTGCAGTAGGTCTTTCTCATTTTCCCATCCGCTCCATGCTTAGCATGGGGTCTGCTCCCCTGGAGAGCAGAGACCTTCTCTGCTTCCAATCAATCAAATAAATGCTTGTAGAACTGGGTCATGCCGAGCCAATCCACAATTCCCAAGGAGGAAGACAGAAGTGTGAGGTGTCAGCTGAGTGCCCTGGTGGCTCAGTCTGAATCAGTGCAGGCTGGGATGCCCTGGGGAGGCCCCCCTCTACATTTCCATCAATCCGGGTCGGGTCTGGCAGCTGGTGGGGTGACATGCTGCTGCTCCCGCAGGTCTGCCTGCTTGTCTCCCTGGCTCAGAGCAACTCCATAACCAGACCCAAGCTCACCTGTTCACCAGTCCCAGCGACCGTGCAACAGTTTTCCCATTGTCCATACTTTTCAGAGTAGTCCATAGTCTCTGTGTGTCCTTCTCTCTTATTCTCCCTGTAACTCGCTCCCCTTTATCCCACCAAAACTGCCCTCCTGAAAATCACAACCACCTCTGTGCTGCCCAGTCCACAGGACACCACTCAGTCCTTACCATAACAGGCTGCTGCCGCCTCCTGTCCTGGCACCCATGCCTCCGGCTTCTGCATCTCTTCATGAGAGAACTATCTGGCCTTGGACCAAAACTGGCCCACATGGAATATCAGGGGGATTCACACCCCAGGAGCAGCCCTTGAAGGAAGGGCGGGGAGCTGGTGGATACACACCCCAGATTTCCCACCCCTCAATGGGACAAGTCTGAGACCTGTTCTGTACACTCAGAGGGTCCACAGGGGGCTGAACCTCAGTGTTCCACAGCAGTAGCTGCTGGGTAACTCTTATCTACCTTTTTCTCTTCCCTGTCTCACTTCCCTACTCCCTCACATGCTGCCTGGGATCATCTTCCAAACAAACAACTACACCCAAATCCTTGTCAGAAGGCCTGTTTAGTGGGGGCAGGGAACCAACCTAAGGCAACATATTCAATCATGGTACTCTCCTCAATGCCAATAAGAAAAGACCAGGCCCCTTCACTCAGTATTCAAGACCTCAGTGATCCTGCCCTCGGTCTGCCTCTTTGACACCAACTCTTACCTTTTCCAGCCTCAAATGTATATTCTGGGCTGGGCACGGTGGCTCTTGCCTGTAATCCCAGCACTTTGGGAGGCCGAGGGGCTTGAGGTGAGGAGTTCGAGACTGGCCTGGCCAACATGGTGAAACCCCTTCTCTACTAAAAATAAAAAAAGTTAGCTGGGTGTGGTGGTGTATGCCTGTAGTCCTAGCTACACAAGAGGCTGAAGCAGGAGAATCACTTGAACCTGGGAGGTGGAGGTTGCAGTGAGCTGAGATCACGCCACTGCACTCCAGCCTGGGCAACAGAGCGAGACTCCGTCTCAAAAAAATATATATATATATACTCTGGCAACACAAAATTTCTCATCTGCTTTGTGACTTAGCCCAGGCATTTCATCTAGGAAGTCTTCCTTCTAAGTCTAGAGGTCAGTGAGTCCTTGGGCTTCCTGCCCCATCCTAAGGTGAGCACTTCTATGAGTCAGCCACAAGGAAGAACTAACCAGGTTGGAGTGGGCTGTTGGCCCAAAGTCGAGCTCTATAAGGCTACAGTGGGCTGCTCTGTAGCCAGCCATGTGTGCACTCTCCCCAGCCCCCGCAGGCATGCAGGAAGCCCCTTCTTGCCTAGTGGTGTGCTGAAGTCAGCTTGCACTGGCTCAAAAGAATGAAACTTGTGCACCTCTTCCAATTCTGCATTCAGTGGCATTATGCGGGTTGTCTGAAATCGGCTATGGCAAGAGTATTTACACCACAGAAATTGGCAATTGCTACAAATCAGGGGTTTCATTTTCTTCAAAGAGTGACCATGGCCTCCCCTCCCGCCATGTGCCATAATCCTGAGTATGTCTATGGGTTCATAGTACAGGTCCCAGGTCTGAGGCAGGGCAGAATCAGCTTGGGGGAAGGGGTGTTGACTGGCAGCATGGTGCCAAGATAGATGTGGAGCCAGGGGTCAGAGTGCAGCTGGGTGAAGTGGAAACCAAAGGAGGGACGAGAGGAGCTCATGGGACTGGGGGACAAAGGCCAGGGATGTGTGTGTAGAAAAGAGAGAGACTCCAAAAGAAATGGAGAGAGACAGCAAGGAAGAGACACGGAGAGAAGAGTAAGAGAGACATGGAGACACAGACAAAACAAAACACACAGATGGAGGGAGGAAGACAGAGTGAGACAGCAAATAGAGACAGAGGCAGAAACAGAGAGCGAGAGACAGCTTGAGACTGGGAAGAAATGACAGAGTGGAGGAAGCCAAGGGCAAAAATAGAAGAATTTAGCGACAAAAACACAAACTGGAGAGTGACAAACAAAGACCGTAGCAGCAGAGGGGGCCCAGGAGGGTGCAGCCCAGGCCTAGCTGGGGCCCACGGTGCATGAGGCAGCTTGCAAGAGAGGCTCAGGGCCCACTTAGGACAAGGCCTCCCACGCCCTCTAGCCCCAGCCATCATGTGAATACCTCCTTAGGTGTCCATCAACTACTTGAAGATGTGAATGTTTGATTGCTTCTCCAATTTAGGCATTAAATCCCTCAGTAATTCAATAATGCATTGTCCAATTACTCACATGACACGCAACTTTAAATTAGGAAAAAATATTTAGACAATTCAATTGCTAAATGATCTGATTGTTTCTGAAATTCCCTCATAATGCTCCCTTGAGTTATTCTCCCTTCTTAAATCAACCTGAGAAAGGGATGTGCCGACTCAGCAGTCTGTTTCTTGGCTCTACCTGGCTGAATTCAGTACAACCTTTAGATTAGAGTCCCCGGATTCAGGCACTTTACCTTGTCCAGTGGTGTGCTGAAGTCAGCTTGCTGGAAAAAAAAGAAATTTTCACACCTTTTCTTAATTCTGCATTCAGTGACATCATGTTGATAGCTTGAAATTGGCTGTGGTGGGAGTATTTACACCATGGAAATTGGCAACTGCTACAAACCAGGGCATTTTTTTTCTTTAAAGAGCCACCACTGCCTTTATTCACCTCCCATTCTCCCACCAATCTGTGGCCCCCAGGTGGGATAAAACCCTGAGCAGATTTGTGGGTTTACAGCATTTGCTCCAGGGCCCAGCTGGGAGCCTCCCTAAAGGGGCAGAGCAGAATCAGTTGGCTTGGAGGTTTGGGAGAGTCAACTGAGCAGCATAGGACCAAGCTGGGAATTCCAGGGCCCTTCCCTGGCCTCTGTCCCAGGGATCATTGTGCCTCCCCATCAAGACAGCACAGTCTGGAACAAAGAGCTCCTGCCTGAACATTGGGAGAACTCAGGTATCACTCGGTGTCGGTCAAGGAAACCCAGGCTCTCAGCAAGGGACTGGCTCCTGGTCACCAGCAGGGTGGATGGGATGGGCATGTCTGCTGGGCTTCAGTTTCATGTCCCGTTTTTCTAAGCTGCTCACACTCAAGAGTCCCAGAAAGTTTGTTGTGCTACTTCTAAATAGAGAAAAGTTTTGTCTCCATAAATTTATACTCTCCACTGCCTTCCCAGGAAGCTGAGTTCTGGTCACAGGTGACCCTTTGTGCTGCCATCTTGAAGGAGCTGGGTAGGCAAATTAGGGACAGGAGGGGCTAGGGAAGTGGGAGACGTATGTGGGAGGAGGTCGGGGAGAGGCTGGAGAGAACTATGGAAGAAGGATTTCATGTGTCTCCGTGGGGTATGAGACCATCTTCTGAATCTTCCCACCCAAATTGTCAGTATACTCAACCTTGCTCCCTGATGTCTTTGAGTGAATGGAATCTGGAGTGGAGAGGGTGGTGGCAGTTTGGAAAGAAGGATGAGGGACCAGCCCCACTGGTTACATGTGGAGAGGACAAGGTACACGGAGGAGGAAGGCAGGCCTGGCAGAGCTCAGATATCTGTGGGAGGAGGAGGCAGGTTCTTGCCTCTCTCTTCCTCTGGGAAGCAGCTTGTTTGGGAAATCCAAGCCCAAGTCCATCCAGGGCAAGTGCCTCGATTTTCCCTTGAGAGGAAGAAAAGGGCTTTCCTGACCCAGGAGGAGGAGAAGACTGAGGTCAAGTCAATCAAAGGGACAAAGCTAACCCCTATGCCATCAAGAATGTATGTGCAGTGCTGAGTACTATTTTTTGGATCTGAGTTGTGCTGAGTGTTGGTTTACAGAGCTCCAGAACCCCCAAGTGTAGAATGACTCATTCACCGATGTCATGTGTGTAGAGAAGAGATCTGCAAGCCTGGAAGATTCACCTCTTCAGGCTCTTGTTCTCTGTCCCACCAGCCTAGTAATATGGGCAGGTCTTAACTTTATAAAGAGGCCCCACCAACCACAATTCCATGCAAAGCTTGCTGCAGAGACCCAACTCTGAGGGTAAGGACCCCAGGCCAGACAGCAGACAACTGGGCATCTCTCTTTCTCTCTCATTTCCTCCTCCTCCTTCTCCTCCTCTTCCTCTTCTTCCTCTTCCTCCTCCTGCTCCTCCTCCTCTTTTTTTCCCCCAGTCTGAGCCCTCACTCCCCACCAGCTAACTAGCCCAGAGCAAGCAGCTAAATATAGTTCCTTATTCTTTGACTCGTAGAAATCAGCCACAAACTGTCTGTCAACATGAATTTCTCAGCTCAGTTGTTCTAGCCATGAGCAGCTGCTGCTCCTGATACTTCACCGGGCTGCTCTCAAGTTCATCTTTGGTGGGGTCTGCATGGAAGGAAAACACAAATTTGAGAGGGCAGCTTTAGAAAGTGTGAAACGGGCATAGACTTTGAAATTGGAGAGACAGGAACCAAATCTTAGCTTGACCACTTCCTAGCTGTGTGATCCTCTGCTGGCTCAATTATTGAGCTCTTACTTAGATTCTGGGAGATGCTCTAAGATCTTTCCAATAAATTCTCATTTTTGCTCAGGCTAATGTGAGTTGGGCTTCTGTCACTTGCAAGCTGAATAAGAACTTGCTTCTCAACCCCTTGGGTCCTCTGCTGATGGCCTCTTCCATCCATCCTCACTCACATGTTCCATTCCCACATTTTGTAATCTCTTACCCCTAAAAAGTTCCAAAGCTGTTTTCTTTCTCTTTTACTTTTAAGAAAGATTTTTTTCAAGTGTAACACACTTACTGTATAGTCTCAATTTGTTGGGGTATAGACGTGAAATTGTTTTCTAACTTCCCTGAGCCTCACTGTCTTCATCTGTACAATGGGACTACTATTGCCTGGCTCACAGGACTGCTAGTACGGTCAACCAGGAGCCTAGATGGAAAGCTTCTAGCCCAGGCCTGTAACAGTGGGAGGGCTGGGTAGCTGTCCATTCCTCTCCCTATGTGGAAAGTTATTCTTTACCTATCAAACAGTAGAACAGAGGCTAGAATTATAATGCCTGCCCCCAGAAAGTGGCTTTATTGAGATGTACAAAATATTCTACATTAATTTTTATTTCATTCTCACATTTATTGAGATGAACAAAATCAGTGTTATGGATTGTTATAGACACAGTATCTGTCCCTGTGCCCTGACCCTGACTGTGGGGCTGTCAAATGTGCTTCCTGGGGAACCAGATACACCAGACACACCACACACACACATAAACACACACAGGAACACATGAAGCCAAGCAAATTCAGAGACAATTTGATGAGTGTAACACACACACAGGAGGGTATATGCACATTTGTGAGTGCACTGCAGGCCCATGGCTGGATGAAGCATGGGAAATGGGGGAATCCACAGGGCGCACGTAGCCCGCCAGTCCTGGCTCTCAGCGCTCTCCTTCTGGGCCAGGCCTGGGCCATGCTTGTGTTGAGAGGCTTTGGCGCCCTCTGCTGACTGCGGTCCTCCCTGCAGCCCTCTCCAACCTAGCCAGAGCAGGTGCAGCAGGCCCAGGGAAGCCAGGCGTCTAGGAAGGGGGAAAACCAGAAGGGAAGAGACTGAAAGGAGGTAAAGAATGGAGGGAGAAGAGAACCAGAGCCTATACTGTCCCCAAAGCCACCAGGATGGAGGACCCAGCTATGCAGCCACTCACTGACCACAGCAGCTGCTTACAGACAGGAGCATCACCTCCCAGGTGCTCATGATGACTGTCTAGAGACCCTGTGGTGGCACAGCTGGTGGTGTGAAGGGCACAGGCCCCAGAAAGTTCCTCAGGCTCTGGCTGTGATGCCTTGTAAGTCCATGTGGCAGAACCATCAACCAGACCAGTGAACTTTTCCACCTCCTCTGGGAATGCCCAGGGCCAGACCTTCAATCCTGCAGGCTAGGGAGCTTGATGATGGCAAACATGGACTTGGGAACCAGACTGACCTAGGCAGAGTGCCTGCACTGCCTCTCACTAGCTGTGTGACCTTGGGCTCCTAACCTCTCCCTGTCTCTGCATCCTCGTCTGCAAAGTGAGGGGAGTAAGACAGCTGCAGTCAGGATGAAATAAAAATCCATGTAAAGGCCAGGCGCAGTGGCTCACACCTGTAATCCCAGCACTTTGGGAGGCCAAGGCAGGCAGATCACTTGAGGTCAGCAGTTCGAGACCAGCGTGGACAACATGGTGAAACCCTGTCTCTACTAAAAATACAAAACTTAGCTGGGTGTGGTGGCACGCACCTGTAGTCCCAGCTACTCCAGAGGCTGAGGCAGGAGAATTGCTTGAACCTGGGAGGTGAGGTTGCAGTGAGCCAAGATCATACCACTGCACTCCAGCCTGGGCGACACAGCGAGACTCCATCTCAAAAAAAAATCCACATAGAGTGCAGCCCAGGGCCTGAGGCAAAGTGCATAATAAATGCTAGCTACTAGCATTACTGTTGTGGTGGTTGTTGCCCTTGCCACGGGCTTCACGAGAGATGAAGGACAGAGTTTCATCAGGGCCTCTGCAGCTGGCATGACTCCTGGGAAGTGGAGGGAAGGTGGGATCATCAGAATCTCATGTTTGCGTAAGGCCATGATGTCAGGCTGTTAGATTCCTGTTAGGAACACCTGTCCCAATTGTCTGACCTTCTTTCTTCTAGGGTGGCATAGCCCTGTTCCTCTGCAGGACTCATCACAGCCAGGGAGGCCCCTCTTCTGGTGTTTTCAGACTCAAGGACACCGAGACTCACTTCTTTCTCATGACATAACCTCCAAGTTACAACACTCAGAAGCTGTCAGTGGTCATATTTTCTGTCTTAGACAAAACCAGTCTTCTGGGAAAAGAACAAATGAGGCTGATCTGCAGCAAGAAGCAAAAACAAGAACCTGGTGGGGCTGCTGTGGCTTGCAAATCCCTGGTTCCAGATGTCTCTAAGGCCCACCCACATCCCCGCCCCTCTGCTGGCTCAATTATTGGGCTGTTTCTTAGATTCTGTGAGATGCTCCAAGATCCTCCAATAAATCCTCATTTTTGCTCAGGCTAGTGTGAGTTGGGCTTCTGTCACTTGCAAGCCAGAGAACAAGGACTAGCTTCTCGACCCCCTGGGTCCTCTACTGAAAGTCTCTTCCATCTATCCTCACTACCCACATGTTCCCATCCCACATTTTTGCAATCCTCTACCCCTAAAAAGTTCCAAAGCTGTTTTCTTCCTCATTTAAGGACTTTTTTTCAAGTGTAGCACATTTTTTGTAGGGCCTCAATTTGTTAGGATGTAGACGTGAAATTGTTAATAATCTCCCCTCCAACACACACACACAGTCAACTGTGCTCTATTGAAATCCCTTTCCTACTGGGTGGTAGGGATCTTAATGACATCGTGGCTGCGTCCCACAACTCCGCCGTCACTTTCATCTACTAGAACTGTCTCATTTCGTTAATCAAGACTTCCTGTTTGTCTCTCCTGCCATTCCCACTTCTGCCCAGATGAGAGTGGTGACTGGCCCTCCCCCACCAACAAGGCCACAATGGAGGGGAGCATCCAGCTCCAGATCCGCCTCCCTATCACTTTTCTAGTCTCTCAGTGACTGCGGGGCCAGGAGAGGGACTTGGAAGCAACTCTCACATGTCCTCTCCTAGGTGGATTGTCACTGCTTCTCTGGCTACTCCACTCCCTCCTCTCTGCCCTGGTGACTGTCTCGTGGACAGCCTGTGCATTCTCTCAAGCCCTAGAGAGACGCCCTCATGGGTGGGACACCAGCTTGTCCACTTGAGCCCAGCCACCTCACACAGCTCTCTCTCTCCACTCCACCATCTGTCTTGTATTGCCCTCTTCCCCAACTCAGGCAGCTCAGAGGTATACAAGGGGGTTCACAGACTAAGCAGATGCCCCCCTGGGGGATGGTATGCTTGTCTCTCCTTACAAGAAATTATCTTATGTTATCAGGGAGGAAAGGCACCCACCCCACCCATCATCTCCCGTGAAGAGGGGAGCAAGCAGCCTCTACCACAAACACTGCCCTCCCCACATGGCAACCGACCATTCCATCCCCTGCTCCTCTTCCAGTCACTGTGGGAGGTGGTGGTGGTTGATGAGAGAAGAGCCATCAGCCCTGCGGGAGGGAGATGGTACTAGCTGCTGACCACCCACTGACAACCCTCTGAATGCAGAAGGCAGGGTCCCCAGTGCCTTTTGTACTCAGCTTTGGGTGTTAGCTGCAATTCCAGAACAGGAGGAAGAGTCCCACACAATATCCTGTTATGCTGGTGCAGAACTCTCCTCCCTCCCAGATCCCAGCTGAATTGATCAAAAGACTAGGAAAGAAGAGAACGCCTGTTGGCCTGGACTGAAAGCCAGAGAAGGTACATTCTCGTGCCAGGAAAGCTGGGGATTGCTGTAAAGTGTGCAAGATACAGATTAAAGGAAGACCTCAAGGGCTGATTCACAACTCCAATTCTTGAGAAAGCAAAACTATACTATGAGAAGTAGATGAGGTCCTGGCAGAATGTACTGACCCTAAATTAGGGCAGATGGTGGGACACGGGGCTTGCAGGGCATCTTTGGAAAGCCCTTTCCATACTATCAACTGCCTTGGGAAGGAGCTGACTGGGAGGTGGGCTGGGGTGGGGGTATGTGGTTGCCATGTCAAGTAGGTAACTGAGCTGGGTGGGGTGGGAGGAGTTCCTCCCTCAATCAGGTTCTCTCTAATACCGTGTTCCTCCTTTCCTGTTAGTGGGGGCAGAAGTCTTATCATAGCTATGTTGAATACCTACAGGAACAGCCAGGAAACCCTGGACGCTGGGCAAATAGACCTGGCCCTTGGTGCAGAGGAGGCAAGGTTACCTGCTGGACCTGGCCCCAGCCAACTCCCACACAGTTGTCCCAGCTAGATCCCTGAGCTGGTAATGGCCCTTGGACGCTCTACCTGGAGTGGGGAAAGAACGGAACACTTGCACACAAACACACACACAAACCTGCAGCCAGCTCAACTACTGGCTGGTGCCTCTGGTGACAAGTGGGGAGACATGTCACAGACAGTTTGTGTTCATAGCCAACTGGTGATGTGAAATTGCATTAACCAGTCCTAAAATATGACAGGACAATTGGAGCAACATCCAGACGAAGGGTGACCTAAAGAGAATCCATTTCCTTCTCCTTGTTTGGGGGAAAATAGTAAGATTTTATAAAACACTCACTTTTAGCTCGGTGCGGTGGTGCCTGCCTGTAAATCCAGCTGCTTGGGAGGCTGAGGCCAGAGGATCACTTGGGGTCAAGAGTCCGAGGCCAGCCCAGGCAATATGGTGGGACCCAGTCTCTAAATAAATAAATTAAAAAAAAATAAAATTAAAAAAAGTTTAAAACACTCATCTTTAAAGTAGGAGTACAGAGAAAAGCAAACACACACCCCCACACACAAACCCACATGCACACACATATACTTGGAAATACACAGAGCCTTTGAAAAGACTCTGCATGAGGCAAGAAGAGAACGTGGCCCTAAAAGGGCAGAGAAAAGTAATTCCTTTGAAAAGATTTATCACATAAACATAAATAACTTGCAGACCACATCTGTTCTGTACGCAATTCATTTAATTAAAGTGCGCACTCTAAGAAATGAGAGTTGAAAAATAAGATGGAAAGAATGAAATGAGAAGGCTGCTGACTGAGAGGCAGGTGGAAATCAAAAACAAACCAGAGGAGAGAAGGAAAGACTGCAAAGAAACTAAAAATGCAGTAGAATTTTAATTTCCATCAAGATGGTAAAGAACAGAATTGGAACTACAGAAAATGGAATCTGTAAATGTGAAGGACAGATAGGAGAAGTTCTCTGAGACTGCAGAGGAAAAGCACAACAGGATAAAAAACAGAGAGACAACATGATAGGTATCCGGGCTTACAGAAGACACTAAACAAATGAAATAAAAGCAAGAATCACAGGAGAAAGATGTCCCTGAGCTGATGAGAAGCCTGGGCTTATACATTTAAAAGATTCCTCCTTAAGTCAAATTAATAAAAATAAATGAACACTTAGAAATGCCATGTAGAATTTTCAAATTGCAAGGGTAAAGAAAGAATTCTATCAGCACCCATGCAGAGAGAAATATGGAGAAATATCTGCAACATTCATTTTTGTTGTTGTTGTTGCTGAGACCGGGTCTCACTTTGTGGCCCAGGCTGGAGTGCAGTGGTGCGATCACAGCTCACTGCAGCCTCAACCTCCTGGGCTCAAGTGATCCTCCTGCCTCAGCCTCCCAAGTAGCTTGGGACTACAGCCATGTATCACTATGCCCAGGTAATTTTTTTGATTTTTGTAGATATGGGGGTCTCACCATGTTGCCTAGGCTGGTCTTGAAATCCTGGGCTCAGGTGATCTTCACACCTTGGTCTCCCGAAGTACTGGGGTTACAGGTGTGAGCCACGACACCCAGCCCAACATTTCTTAAAGTGTATAATTGGAAGAGAGAGTCCATGGAATTTTGTTAACTATTTGTACTGAGGAAAAAAGTTTCTGTCATAAAATAAGCTTGGGAAATGCTGAATTAAACAAAACAAGATAAAACCCTATGCTGAGGCTTTCTCAGGGCTTTTAACGTATTCATGCATGTTATTAAACTGGCAATATTAGCAAGCCCAGTTTTCCAAACTTATTTGACTATGAAATCCTTTGCCATAGACTATGTGGTAAGACTGGTGTTCAATAGAACACACTTTGGGAACCACTCTTTTACAGAATTTTGAGAGATCAGTTGTGACCTTACATTTTAACAATTTGCCTGGTGCAATCATGCATGAAGACAACAGAAAAAGACTTTCCCACATGCCAGAACTTAGGACACATGCCATGTATGGCTCTACTTTTCACGGGGAAAAAGGTACTCAGAGATGCACTCTTTCCAAGCCAGCAAGAGTCAAAGTAAGTAAAATAATAGTAAGTGAAAAAGCAAGTCCTGGGCTGCAATTCTCAACTTTGGCCCATATAAAGTCTCTAAATTAAAAAAAAAAAATCCAGGCTGGGCAACATGGCAAAATCCCATCTCTACAAAAAATAAAAAATAAAACATTAGCCAGGCATGGTGGCATAAGCCTGTAGTCCCAGCTACTCAGGAGGTGGGCAGATTGATTGAGCCAGGGAGGTCAAGGCTGCAGTGACCTTGACCTGCACTCCAGCCTGGGCAACAGAGTAAGACCCTGTCTCAAAAAAAAAAAAAAAAAATCAACACAGAGAAATTGTATAAAAGCTCTGGAAGTGAATATTAAAAACATGTTAAACACATGGTTATGCACGTATCAGTCAGGAAGCAGAAATCACACCAGAGCCACTTCCTTCCCTGCCCAGCCCTGAGCCCCACAAACTGCATTCATCACCCAGGCTCCCTTGTCCTCCAGCTCCTTGCTGAGTCTGACAATGGAGGGTATGGGCAGGAGTGTGGAAGGCAGGAGGTGAGAAGAGCTGGTGTATCTCATCTGTGCCCTGCCTCTTTTCGTGCCCTCTCTCTGGCGGGGACTTTGTTCCTCCACAAGCTCAGCTCTTGCCTGCACCTCTTCTCCAAGGTTCCAGCTCTCCCTGGGCTCTGGTCACACTGGTTCCTCCCATTGTCCCTGAAGCCCTAAGGACAGTAACACCATAATGTCTAGTCTCTGGGTACCTCACCATCCTTACCATGCCTTTTTTGTTCACTTAACCTTATCCACATTTCCTTTTCTTTGAGACAGAGTCTCACTCTGTCACCCAGGCTGGAGTGCAGCGGCACAATCTTGGCTCACTGCAACCTCTGCCTCTTGGGTTCAAGTGATTTTCCTGCCTCAGCCTCCCGAGTAGCTGGGACTACAGGCATGTGCCACCACACCTGGCTAATTTTTGTATTTTTAGTAGAGACAGGGTTTCTCCATGTTGGCCAGGATGGTCTCGAACTCCTGACCTCAAGTTTTCCACCCACCTCGGCCTCCCAAAGTGCTGGAATTACAGGCGTGAGCCACCGCACCCAGTCCCCTTATCCACATTTCTATAAAAAGTCCCTTCATTAAAGTCTCTTTAGTTAAACCATCTTGGGTGAGTGTTTTTTTGCCAGGACCTTAACTCAAACGCTTCTCAATTCTTTTTGTAAAGCCAGAATAACCCTGATACTAAAACCTGACAAGTGGCACAAAGAAAGACAGAATGAATGAGTCATACACCTGCCTCATTTATACAAATGTAGAGTCCTAATGAAAATTTAATCAGATAAGTCCAATGTATGTCAACAATGTATTAAAAGAATACACCATGAGCAAACATTCCTGGAATGCATGGATAATTCTATATTAGAATGGCAGTGAACTGATTTACCACAGCAATAGGTCAAAGGAGAAAAAGATCATTTTACATACTGAATAGATGTTTGGTAAATTGCGACATCCATTCCTGATTTTCTTTTTAAAAGCTCAAGTAAACGGGAAATCAAAGTACACTTATCTCACATGATAAAAAATAATAAATCTCAAACCAACAGCCAAAACCAAAAGCGTAAAATACAAGTAGCATTCCACCAAATCTGAGAACAAGACAAAGAGTTCTAATATCTTGTTATTTAACATTATTCTAAAGATCCTAGCTAATGAAATTAGATAGAAAAAATAAAAAAGAGGGAAACAAATTATAATTATTTGCAAATATGATTGTCTTCCCATAAAAAACTGAGAAAATACAAAATTATCAAAATAGAAGAATTTAGTAAAGTGGCTAGTTATAAAATAACTTTTTCTTTTCTTTTCTTTTTTTTGAGACAAGGTCTTGCTCTGTCACCCAGGCTGGAGTGCAATGGGGGTGATCTTGGCTCACTATAATCTCTGCCTCCTGGGCTCAAGCGATCCTTCCACCTCAGCCTCCCAAGTAGCTAGGACTACTGGTGCTCACGCCATCATGCCCAGCTAATTTTTGTATTCTTAGTAGAGACAGGGTTTTGCCACATTGCCCAGGCTGTTCTTGAACTCCTGAGCTCAGGCAATCCACCCACCTCGGCCTTCCAAAGTGCTGGGATTACAGGTGTGAGCCACTGCACCCAGCCTAAAATAAATTTTCATTTCCTAATAAACTGTTAGAAAACATGATGCAAAAAAGGGGGGCTATATTAGTTATCTCTGCTATGTAACAAATTACCCCAAAACCGAGTGACTTAAAACAACACATTTATTATTTCAAGTTTCTGTGGGTCAGGAATCCAGGTGTGGTTTAGCCAAGTCTTCTGGCTCAAAGTCTCTTACAAGGGTAAAAGTAAGGGGTCAGCCAAGGCTCTGGTGTCATCTGAAGGCTCAACTGGGGAAGGATTTGCTTCTAAGTTCCCTCACATGGCTGCTGGCAGCATGTGGTTCCTCACCAGTTGTTGGACTGTGGGCCTCAGCTCCTGGCTTGCTGTTGGCCAGCCACCACCCTCGGTTCTCTGCCACATGGGTTTTCCATAAGGTGGCTCACAACACAGCAGCTGGTTTCATGAGCACAGGAAAGCAAGAGGGTTAGAGAGACAAAATTACAGCAAAACAGAAATTCGCCTCTTATAACCTAATCTCAGAAGTAACAACCCATCATTTTTTGCCATATTCTATTTATGAGAAGCAAGTCACTAGATCCAGCCCACACACAAAGGAAAGGGATTCTCCAAGGGGGTGACTATCAGAAGGTAAGGATCATTGGGAGCCATTTCAGAAGCTGCCTGCCACAGATGTCATTGCTTTATTTTATGAAAATAAGCACCAAACACACTACATTCATCTATAAAATAAAGCTTCCCTAAAGACCTATAATAAAAAAGACCTTAATAATAGAAAGATATGCCACGTTCCCGGACAGAAGCACTCAATGGTGCAAAGAAGTTGATTATCACTAAATTAATCTACAAAACTAATCCAATTGCAATGTCCAGTGGGATTTGTCTGCTAGTTTATCTCGGCAGAAAAAAAAAGTTTAGAATTTATCTTAAAGAATATATGAATTGCCACAAAGAACACCTCAAAAGAAAAAAATGGGCCAGGCGTGGTGAGTCACGCCTGTAATCCCAGCACTTTGGGAGGTCGAGGCAGGTGAATCACTTGAAGCCAGGAGTTCAAGACCAGCCTGGTCAACATGGTGAAACCCTGTCTCTACTAAAAATACAAGAATTAGCTGGGTGTGGTGGCATGCATCTGTAGTCCCAGCTACTCGGGAGGTTGAGGTGGGAGAATCACTTGAACCAGGGAGGCAGAGGTTGCAATGAGCCGAGATAGTGCTACTATACTCCAGCCTGGGTGACAGAGTGAAACCCTGTCTCAAAAAAATAATAAAAATAATAAAACAAAACAATGGGACTTGTATTCTCAGTCATTAACCCTTATTAAAAAGTTACAATCATTAAAATAGGGCAACAAATACCAATGTAAGAACGATGTGATAGGCCAACGGAACAGAACGGTAAACCCAGTCAAACACACAAAAATATTTAGTGTATGATAAAATGGCCTTTCAGATCATTGGAAAATGATTAATTTATTTATAATTCATTTGGGGATAGTTGGTTAATTTGCTTTAAAGTTATGTTCTTACCTCTCACCACACATGAAGACAAAATGAAGAGTTTAATATAAAAAGTGAAATCATAAAATCTCAGAAGAACATTTAATTGAAAATTTATATGTTCCTGGTGAAGGCAGCGGTTATGCAACAATAAAGTCCAAGACCATAAAGAAAAGATTAATAATCTGACAGCTTAAAAATGAAGCATCAAGAAAGTATTTTAAAAATTGATGGAAATGACAAATTAGTTGCATAATATGTGACAAAGAGTGATATATGAAAAGGTGCTAAATATACATCTTATAAACCAATACTAAAAAGATGAACATTACAATAGAAAATAGTCAAAGAATATGAACAGAAAATTTACCATTCATTCACTCAACAAATATTTATCGAGCACCTCTTCTGTGCCAGACAAGTTTACACATGGGACACAGCAGTGAACAAGACAAAGGACAAAGGTCCCTGCCCCAAGGAGCTTACATTCTATTGGAGAGGGGCAAACAATAAACAAGTAAATTATGAAGTATTTTAGACGGTGATAAGTACTACTGGCAAAAAAGAAAAAGAAGGGTTAAGTAAGGCGATCAGGAGTGAGGCATGGGGAGCTCAGGGGCTGGGGAGGTCTCATCAGGAAGGAGACATTTGAGCAAAGCTTTGAACAGATTCAGGTAGTTGACCACACAGAGCAGGGGAAATTGCCATGGTGCGGCGGAGGGGCAGGAGAAGGCCAAGTTGGCTAGAACAGAAAGAGCAAGGGACCAAGTGGTGAGGACCCTGGAGGCCTTGAACAGGACTTTGGCTTTTAACCTGAGAACCATTGCAGAGCTTTAAGGAGAAGAGTGAAATTTTGACTTATGTCTCAAAAAGGATCATTCTGGCTACCATCTTGAGAGCAGACTTTTGGGGTACAAAGGTAGGAGCAAATAGACCATTTAGGAGGTCAGCAAACACATGGCAACATGTTCACTCTCACGGGTAACCAAAAAAATGCAACTAAAAAAATGTATTCACCTGTTTTTAACCTATCCAATTTTTAATGTTCTTTTAGAAAACAGTACTCAGTATCAGTAAGGGTGAATTACCTTCGGGCAGGTAAATGGGAACCACCTTTCTGGGACCAGCTGGGTATTCTGTGCCAAAGCCTCAAAAACACTCAAACCCTTTCACCAGAAATCCAACTTCTAATAAATTAATCTAAAGGTCTAATAATCGCCAGTACTTATTGAGTGCTTGTATGCACCAGGCTCTGAACTAAACGCGCTCCATATTACCCCCATTTAAATTCTTACCATTATTCCTGTCTTACAGAAAGAAAAAAGGCATGGTGAGTCACACAGTTCACAAATGAGGGCTAGAACCAAACCCAGGCACTGTGACCTGCTACACAGGAGAGGCAGATATGAAGATTTCTTCAAGGGTGCTTATTACAGCATCATTTATAATAGCAAATAAAGTACCCAAAAAAATCAACAAAGGAGGTGATTCATTCAGTTATGATTTGTCCACATAAGTCAGTCATTAAAAATCTGGTTAAAGAAAACTCGTTTCCGATCCAGCCAGGTGCTGAGACAGGCAGAACTTTCCAGAGCTTCTCCTTGGAAGCTGCCAGCTGCTGTGATGTCCTATTTCTTGATCCAGGTGGTAATCCAGAGGTGTGCTCACGTTGGGATCATTCATCAAGTGGTACACCTAGGATTTGTGGACTTTTGTGTGTGTGTATGCTATACTCATGTTTTTAAAAGTTATTTTTGGCCGGGCACGGTGGCTCACGCCTGTAAGCCCAGCACTTTGGGAGGCCGAGGTGGGCAGATCATGAGGTCAGGAGATCAAGACCATCCTGGCTAACATGGTGAAATCCTGTCTCACCTAAAAAAATACAAAAAAATTAGCCGTGCGTGATGGCAGGTGCCTGTAGTCCCAGCTACTTGGGAGGCTGAGGCAGGAGAATGGCATGAACCTGGGAGGCGGAGCTTGCAGTGAGCCGAGATCGCACCACTGCACTCCAGCCTGGGAGACAGAGCGAGACTCCGTCTCAAAAAAAAAAAAAAGTTATTTTAAAAAATTTAAGTTGCCAGGTGTTTCTCCTCCTACAGGGACACAAGAAGGCTGTGGAGCAGGATTCTTGGGCCAGGGATGAGGCCCTAGTTATGTAGACCCAAGGCTGGTAGCCACCACTTGCTCCACGTGGAAATGGCTCTCAAGATTCTGTGGTCTGAGAAAGCCTGGTCCTTCCCATACTGCAGGAAGGAAATGCTATGCAGGAAGCGGCTGGCCTCCTGGGCAGATAGAAATGAAGGTACTCCCCGACCCCACACCCTACCTTCCCATTCCAACCAGTGGGTTGACATTTCCACCTCTAAGTGAAACTGGCAATCTGACTGCAGGCCCAGGATCCAGGTCCAGTCCTGAGGGAGACAAGGTCCTAACAGGGGAGGGACCCACCGCTCCGGAACAGAGAGGGTATCTTGCGGAGTGGGGGACAAAGTCTTGACCTCCTCTTCATCCAGGCAGGCAGGAGCTCCTGTGATCAATATGAATATTGAAACGGCAGTTACCTTGAGACAAGGAAATGTTCATCAACTGTTATTACACAAACAAAGCAGCTTGTAAAATGACATAGGCACTATGATCCTAATTGTTTTTTTAAATGAGTGGGGGGGTGGAGCCTAAAACAATGGTTTTTCTCTAGGTTACAGAATGAATTACTTTTTCTTTTTTACTCTGTATTCTAAATTTCCTATAATTGACCTATTTCTTTTGTAATCTGAGATTAAAAATTGTATTACAAAAAAACTTAAGGGAGAGATTGCTGATATCTCATCTTTCATCACCCTGTGGCCCTTTCCTTTCCAGAACCCAGCTGGGCAAAACTAGTCTCCACTGGCCCCAAGGGCCTGCTCCTTCTGTTACAGGAAAGGGTTCCCGATCCAGGCCCCAAGAGAGGCTTCTTAGATCTCACACAAGAAAGAATATGGGGCAAGTCCACAGAGTAAAGTGAAAGCAAGTTTATTAAGAAAGTGAAGGAATAAATGAATGGCGACTCCATAAGCAGAACAGCCCCAATGGCTGCTGGTTAGCTGTCATCTATGATTATCTTTTGATTGTATATTAAAGAAGGGATGGATTATTCATGAGTTTTCTGGGCAAGAGGTAGGGAGTTCCCAGAACTGAGAGTTCCCCTTCCTTTTAGCTCACATAGGGTAACTTCCGGATGTTGCCACAGCATTTGTAAACTGTCATGCACTGGTGGGAGTGTCTTTTAGCATGCTAATGTGATATGATAGTGTACAATGGGGAGTGAGGACAACCAGAGGTCATGATCATCACCATCTTGGTTTGGGCTGGCTTTTTTTTTTTTGAGACAAGAGTTTCACTCTTGTTGCCCAGGCTGGAGTACAATGACGTGATCTCGGCTCACTGCAACCTCTGCCTCCTGGGTTCAAGTGATTCTCCTGCCTCAGCCTCCCGAGTAGCTGGGATTACAGGTGCGCACCACCACGCCTGGCTAATTTTTTGTATTTCTAGTAGAGACAGGGTTTTACCATGGCCAGGCTGGTCTTGAACTCCTGAGCTCTGGTGATCTGCCCGTCTCGGCCTCCCACAGTGCTGGGATTATAGGTATGAGCCACCATGCCCAGCCATCTGGCTTTTTTTTTTTTTAATTGCATTCTGTTTTATCAGTGGAGTGCTTGTGACCTGTATCTTGGGCCTCCTGTCTCATCCTGTGACTACCAAGGCCTAGCCTCCTGGGAATGCAGCCCAGTAAGTCTCAGGCTCATTTTACCCAGTCCCCATTCAAGATGGAGCCCCTCTGGTTGGAATACCTCTGTCACTTCCATCACCACATCCAGTCTCACCCCACACCACCTCCCCTTCTCCAGCTCCACTACCAACCCCCACCAGGGGGAAATGAGTAAACTGCATGAGCTCTGAGAAAGCAGAAAAAAAGCCACCTCATGAAGGTGAACCAAGGACTGAGTCGCTGACAGACAGAGATGGATGGGTAAATGGGCAGACAGACAGACAGACATGGAGACTGAAATAGAAATGCCTCCCAAAGGTCACAGAGAGTCAGTGCCACGTCTTCACCTCCACCCAGGACTATCACTTATACACCCCCACCAGCCTGGGCACCCACTGGAAACTTGGCAGGTCTGGCTGCTCTCTGTGATGACTGCAGTCAGCACAGGGCCTGGTATTCCACAGATACCCAGGGAACATGCTGAGTGAGTGAGTGAGTGGATGAATGAAGGAATCGTTCATTGGTAGAAGCATCAGCAGATAGAGATGACAGGAGGGAGTGTGAAAGAGAGTTGAGGAAGAACAGAAACAGATGGAGACAGATGGAGGCTGCAAGTCACAGACTTGGCCACAGATAGAAAATGAACGAATAAGGTGGAGGGAGGTTACTGCAGAAAATTTAAAAGCTATAGAAAGCCGGTCGTGGTCATGTGCACCTGTAGTCCCAGAGGCTGAGGCAGGAGGATGGCTTGAGCCCAGGAGTTCAAGGCTGCTGTGAATCCACTGCACTCCAGCCTGGGGAACATAGCAAGACTATGCTTTTTTAAAAAAAACAAAAACAAACAAAGAAAAAGCTAGAGAAACCCAGAGAGATCCCAGTGAAAGTTAAATTTACAGACAAAAAGAAAAGGAGAGAGAGAGCACAAGCCCTCCCTTAACTTGTCAGGATGTTAGCAGAGAGAACCAGGGGTTCCTGCCTTAGTTTCCCTCCTAGATTTGCAGGTCTCTGCTGGACTGTGTCCCAAGGGCCTGGCGCCCTGCTTGGTTTTGTCAGTTCTCTCCCTCGGGCAGGGGACAGTTTCCTCTTACCCCCACAGCATGCCAGCTCAGGGCCCTCCCACCCAGAAGGCCCCAGACAACTATGCAGAATCCCCCCGCCAAGGCAGGTCCCTGGGAGAAGATCTCTCTCCCCAGCTGGTCCTCATTCCTGCAATGACAATCGGCTCCTGTCTCCACTGGCTCTGGGCTCAGGGCCCCCGGGTTGGATAGGGGTTGGGGCTGGAAGTGGAGGTAGAGACAGGAGCCTGCTTGCCCCAGACTCTGGGGAGGGGTGAAAGTCAGAGAGGGGAGAAGCTCTAAGGGGCTGAGGCGGCTTCCCGCCTCCACAGAGCCCAACCTGAATGCCCAGAGTACTGTATCAGCTTGGTTATTTCCAAATCCCCTGGGAGCCGTAGGGGAGGGGACCCAGAGAGCTGGGAGGAAAACCGACTGGGAAGTAGCCAGAGCCACAGAATTCTCCTGGGTCCTAGAGAAGGGTGGGTTCCTTCCACCCCCAACCCCATTAGTCCCTCGAAAAGGCTCTGACCTCACCTCCCCCACTTCCGGAGTGGAGTTCCAGCCCTGAAGAAACACTTCCAAACCCATGGCTCTGGCCCCCTCCTCAGGCCCCCTCCTCGGCTACCTCGGCCCTGGGGACTGGGTCCCCCACCCCACCGTTGCGCCAGATGTGGCTGCAGGGGAGGGGTAGGCACGGGGCCCAGCTGGCAGTGGTCACTCGGTGGTCCTCTCCCTGCAGAGTCAGCACTTTCTGTGCCAGCTCGCCCAGCCTCCTCACTCAGCACTTCCTCCAGCCCGCTTTCCAGAGGCAGCAGCTGCCTGGGTTGGGTCTTGGATTCCCAGTGCTGCCCCAAACCCATCTACAGCGCAGCCTGGAAGATGGAGGGTTTGGGTGCTCTGGGGCCTTCCCTCTTGGCATCCCCACTATCACAGAAAATTCCGACCCACCATGGGCCTCCTAGTACGTCCCTCTGCAAAGCAAGGGAGGAATCCCACAGCTCCTGACCCCTCTCTGCTCCCCAGACCCGCTGCTGGTCAGGCCTGCTGCTTCCTGGTTCCCCCATGGACTTTCCAGAACTCAGCCTTCCATGACAGGGTCACAGGACCCTGGCTGCTCCGTGGGAGCCCCGGCAACACAGAGCTGAGCACGTGGCAGGGGCTTAATAAAGTCATGCGCAATCAACAGGCTCTTTCATCCTTCTATCACCACCCCTCCGAGGGTCCCTTGACACCGGTTCCTAGTGCCAGGAACTGGCAACAAGCTTCAAGCACATGCCTGGGTCTTAAAAATGTGGGTGTGAATCCCAGCCTGCAGGGACAGGCGGAGAGAGAAGCTGCCCTTCACCCCAGACAGCTCTGGCTCAGCTCAGCCTTCGAGTCCACGCCCTCATTTGACCCCAGCTCTGCACCCTCCATAACCTGCCCAGGTCTCTTTTAGGACCCCACCCTGCAGGTTTCAACCTAAGGATGCCAGGACACCTCCAGCCACCAAGGCAAGGCCTTGCCCAGCATGAGGAGAGGTGATGGAAGGCAGGCTCCCCTGGGCTCACAGAACTGCTGGGCCTGTCAGCCACTGCAGGAGACCTAAACCCAAGTAGAATGAGGTCAGAAGGAGGGAGTAGAGAGGAAGGGAGAGGACAGCTCTGGTGGAGGGGCCACCTCTGGCCCCCCTGCACAAGGTTCACCCTGAGCAAGGAAAGATGCTGAAGACAGATAAAAACAGGAAAGACAGAGGAAGTGGGAGTGGGGGTCAACCCCAAGAGATAAATCCCTCCCTTCTCTCACAAGTCAAGAGGAAAGAAGGAAAATAGTGGCCACATGTCTGGCTCTGTGCTGGGGACTTTTCATAATCCTCTCATTCCATCCTCTCAAATATGCCACAAGAAAGGTATGATTACCCCCAGGTCACAGACGGGACTCTGAAGCTCTGAGAGCTTAAAAAGCTTCCCCGGGGAGTGGCTGGGCCAGGCCAGGTCCCTAGCTCAAGTCATGGTGTGGACCCCCAGGTCTCCATCTCAGCAGGGATGGCTGGCAGGAGCGCAGTCCTGGCCAGGGGAGTCTGTGCAGAGGCCCAGGCTATGTTCAGAGCAGAGTTTATTCAAATAGAGCCTAACAGGAAACTTGGCTCCTCTGACTCACTCTGATTCGACCTTATTAAGAAAAAAAGAGAGAGGAGCAGGAGCCAGCATCGGGTAAGGTTTCACGCCAAGAGCTGGCTCTGAGGCCCGCTGAGTGGAATGGCATGTGCCCTGATCCCCCCACATCCAAAGCCTTGAGGCAGCCCCTGCCCTGCTGTCCGAGTCAAGGCGAGGGGTCCTGCCTTCACGTTAGGGCAACTGAGTTCCCTTCCTCACAGCCATCCTCTGTCCTCCCTCCACTCCTCTTCCCTTCCCTCCCTGCCTAGGGGTACCCTGAGGCCTGTTTCCATTTCTCCCCCTCCTCTGCTGCAGCAGCTGCCCATCTGGCTGGCGGGAGGGCCCTACAGGACCCCAGGGATTCCAAGCAGCTGAGGCCAACACTGCAGGGGGCAAGCAGGAGGGAGGGAAGGCTTAACCCTCCAGGTCCCGGCCCTCAGTAAGCCCTGCCTCAGCATCTTGCTTGGTGTCAGTCACACCAGTGGCTCTTTGGAGGAATCTTGTCTGGAGTCTGAGATGGAAACCCCATGCTGGGGAGCTGAGGTGTCAGCGTTGACAAGTTGCTGGCCAGGAGGTATTGGAAGCCCCCTACCTCTGGGCTGGATTCTGGGCATTTAAAGGGTAGAGACATGCTGGAGTCCAAGCCTCAGTCCTGAAGAACAGTGCAATGGGTGAACAAATGCTGCCTGGCAAGGATGGGGTTGGGAGGTCTATAGTTCCCAAAGAATGTCCACTCTAGTTGCCTCCTCTCTAGGTGGGCTCCAGGCATTTCCAAAATAAAGAATATACAGGAGCCAAATTAAGGACAGGTCCTTCATACCTTGTTTATAAGCCCAAGAGGGCAATTTCTGCCCTTCGGTTCCCAGGAACACGGTTGGAGAAGGCAGCCCAGGGGAGGCCAGAAGAGCAGTATTTGGAGTGTGATTTCTTGGATGCCAAAGCGTTCAAACTTCTGGGACCCCCTCCTATCCCTGCCATTCCCAGAAGGAACAGAGAATCTCCCAAAGCACTCTCAGGAGCCATCTGGCCTAATCTTCCATTGGTAAGCCGTGGCACCTGGATCAGATAGAGTAAGGGACTAAGCCACACAGCAACAGGACCAGGCCAGGTCTCCGGAACCCCCTTCTGTTGTTCAATGCTTACTGGCTTCTCTGCCTCACAGTGACCCCTGTCCCATATCAAAGACAGCCCCCAGTTTCATTTTATCCATGTGTACACTCAAGTTATTCCCAGGCTATGCAGAGCCAAGAGATGTAGGACAGAAACCATACGTGATGTCTGGGAAGTTGATCTCTCCCAGGATCTCACAAGTGCTTTTCAGCTCAGGGATACACCCCACTCTTCAGACTGGGAAAGTAAGCCCCTGAGGTGTGCCACGAGGGAAAAGGTGCAGCTCCAGTGCCTCTCTTCGCAGGCCCAAGAGCTGCGGTGCACCTGGGACCTGGAATTAGAGAGTGGTCCCTGTTCAGCATCTCCCCGAGGAGGCCCACCAACAAAGAGGGTGTGTCTTTTTTTTTTTTTTCTTCCTATTGAGGGTGTGGGATAATGGTGGAAGGAACATGCAAAGAGGGTGTGTCTTAATTAGCACTGGCTTTAGGGAACAAGGAAAAGGGAGAACCCGGGAGTACGGGAAGGAGGCTGGGGCAGACAGGAGTCAGAGGCCCATTCCAGCCCAAACGAGAAGCCAGTGAGCAAGGTGGAGACCAGGGATGCTGTGACCAAAGCAGAGAGGAATGGGCGGGGTGGTGCTGACACCCCAGCCCCGTTCTGCCTGCCAGAGCCCCACTTACCAGGCCCGAGTCCCCAGAGGTCCCCTCCTACTCCCTGCTCGATTCCCTTCCTCAGAGGCAGGTCTGTGGCTTGGCTGGGAACTCCAGGGACTGAGGGAGCACTGCAGCTGTGGGACCGGCGCATAGCTAAAAGCCGGCGGGCCATAGGGCCCCGCGGAGGAGGCCCCAGCAGGCGGACCAGGAGGCCGAAGCCTCCCGACGCTCCCAGCCTGTTGCTTATTCATTCAGAGTGGGAAAGCGCCAGCCGAGCGGCCAGCCAGTGCGGGGCTGGCCATGTAAGGCCCACAGGCGGTCCTGCCCGCCCGGTGCCCTGCGGAGAGCCTCGTGCAGCCCTGGGCACCGCCCCTGCCCTGCCCTGACCCCTTGGCCTTGAAATGCTGTCATCGGAGGAGCCGTCCCGCTCGGGACAAGGCCAGCATGGACAAAGCTAGAGCTGGGGCAAGCAAGGAGCCTTCCTGTCCTCGAGGCCGTGGGAAGAGAAGCACGCCCAGGGGGCCACTCCTGAGAGCCTCTCTGTCCACCAGGCCTCTGCAGAGGGGTCACCATGGCTCTGGCCCGAGGCAGCCGGCAGCTGGGGGCCCTGGTGTGGGGCGCCTGCCTGTGCGTGCTGGTGCACGGGCAGCAGGCGCAGCCCGGGCAGGGCTCGGACCCCGCCCGCTGGCGGCAGCTGATCCAGTGGGAGAACAACGGGCAGGTGTACAGCTTGCTCAACTCGGGCTCAGAGTACGTGCCGGCCGGACCTCAGCGCTCCGAGAGTAGCTCCCGGGTGCTGCTGGCCGGCGCGCCCCAGGCCCAGCAGCGGCGCAGCCACGGGAGCCCCCGGCGTCGGCAGGCGCCGTCCCTGCCCCTGCCGGGGCGCGTGGGCTCGGACACCGTGCGCGGCCAGGCGCGGCACCCATTCGGCTTTGGCCAGGTGCCCGACAACTGGCGCGAGGTGGCCGTCGGGGACAGCACGGGCATGGCCCGGGCCCGCACCTCCGTCTCCCAGCAACGGCACGGGGGCTCCGCCTCCTCGGTCTCGGCTTCGGCCTTCGCCAGCACCTACCGCCAGCAGCCCTCCTACCCGCAGCAGTTCCCCTACCCGCAGGCGCCCTTCGTCAGCCAGTACGAGAACTACGACCCCGCGTCGCGGACCTACGACCAGGGTTTCGTGTACTACCGGCCCGCGGGCGGCGGCGTGGGCGCGGGGGCGGCGGCCGTGGCCTCGGCGGGGGTCATCTACCCCTACCAGCCCCGGGCGCGCTACGAGGAGTACGGCGGCGGCGAAGAGCTGCCCGAGTACCCGCCTCAGGGCTTCTACCCGGCCCCCGAGAGGCCCTACGTGCCGCCGCCGCCGCCGCCCCCCGACGGCCTGGACCGCCGCTACTCGCACAGTCTGTACAGCGAGGGCACCCCCGGCTTCGAGCAGGCCTACCCTGACCCCGGTCCCGAGGCGGCGCAGGCCCATGGCGGAGACCCACGCCTGGGCTGGTACCCGCCCTACGCCAACCCGCCGCCCGAGGCGTACGGGCCGCCGCGCGCGCTGGAGCCGCCCTACCTGCCGGTGCGCAGCTCCGACACGCCCCCGCCGGGTGGGGAGCGGAACGGCGCGCAGCAGGGCCGCCTCAGCGTGGGCAGCGTGTACCGGCCCAACCAGAACGGCCGCGGTGAGTACGGCCCCGGCGCCCCTCCGGCCGCGCGTACCCCTGGCCACTGGAAACTGCTCCGGGCCCCCCGGGCCCCTCCTTAGAACTTCCTGGAGGCCTCCCCGGAGCTGCTAAGCACGGAGCAGCGCCCCCTCCCGACTTCCCCCGACCCAGCCAACAGCACCCCCCTGGCATCTCACCTCCCAGCTTAACCCGCACCCAGGCATCATCAGTGCCAGGGGTTGGCCAGGCAGGTGTGGGCTCTGATCCTGGCTTTGGTGGAGGGACTAGCCGAGCTTTGGGAGGAGGCTCGCCTTCTGCACTTGGCTTGGGTCATCTGAGGACAAAAGGAAGGAGCCCCTCATCCACCTTCTCCCTCATTTCAATGAGGGCATCTCCTTCCCCCCTTAGAGATGTTCTATGCCAGCTCACAGGGTGAGGCAAGGAGCATCAGAAACCTGAGTCTTCAGGGCCAGAAAGGCCTTAAGGGATGCCCCTGGAGGTGTGGCAGGCTGCCCATTACTGGGCATGTGTGAGGTTGGCTTGAGTGCGCAGGAGGTTAGAGGGGAGCGTGTGCTCCAGGCAGGAGTCCGGACTTCCTCAGGGGAGTCTGCAAGGCTGGGGCAAGAGAGACCAGTCAGGCACTGGCCTGGGTGCAGAATTTCAGGGGCTACCAAAAAACACAGTAGTTGAGATGAGTAATATTGAGATGTATTTTTTTAAGTCAAAATTAATGCAAAAAAAAAAAAAAAAAAAAAAAACCTGTGATAAAGGAAATATCCAGATTTTAAATAGAGTCAGTAATAGTGGTATGCCGAGCCATATTGGAGCCTGAGGCTAACTGAAAAATCAGCAACACGGATCCTGTCTTTATTTGATATTTGGATATTTTGTTCATTACAGATAGTTTTGCATTAATTTTTATTTTAAAAACTATTGTGTTAAATATTACTTATCTCCGTTACTGAGTTTTTTTGGCACCCCCTAAAATTTTGCACCCCGAGGAAAAAAAAAAAAAAACACCTCACTGGCCTCATTCCCCTCACCCTAGTCCTGGCCCTGGCGGAGAGCCCCAGCTGTGGACAGGACTCCCTCTGGCTTTTCAGGGGGTGAACATACGTCCTCCTCTTGGGAAGGCCCAAGCCCTCTGCACATGAGGACACAGTGGAAAGGCAGCTTCCACACATGCTGTTAGCAGACAGGGCTACTGTGACAAGGGCTGACTGGTGGGTGTGGCCAGTGCTGGACGGCCATCAGCCATTCTCTGCTGTCCTAGAATCCCCCTCCCTGCTACCCTCTCCATACAGGCAGCTTTTGGGCCAAGGTTTTCTACTCAGTCCCCAATACTTATGCAGTCCAACTCTGCCTTGCCTCTTTCAAGCTGTCGTCAGTTTCCTCTACCCATAATTCTCTGCTCCCCATTGAGGTTGCTGTGCCTGGCCCACCAAGTAAGGGCTGACTGAGCCCTCCAGTGCCTCAGAGTATAGGTGCTAGTGCCCCAGCCTCCTCCTCAGCCTCTGTCAGCAGAGGGATGATGCTTTGTCTCCAGCCAAGCTGACCTCAGTGAGGGGCTGCTGCTCATGGGGTGCCTGTCTCCCTGGGTACTGCTGGAGGCCAAGACTAGGGGAGAGGAGCGTCTCCACTGGGAACACTCACTCTATCACATCCAAGGTGTCGCTTTTGAGTTGTGTGCTGAATCCCACTTTAAGAACCTGCAGGAGCTCAGGAAAAATCAGATGGCAGGTCCTTCTGTGGTGTGATGAAGGATGCATCCACCTGCTCTGGTCCTTACCAGGTACTTGCAGCATCCCTGCAGAAGGGCGCATTATAGCCATGCATCAGCTGCTCTAGGGCCCCTTGGAGAATAGGATGTTTTACCTAGAGGGTGCTAAACTTTTGCAGTGGCTTTTCTTAGAATGCAAGACCTCAGCATGAGGCTCAGCCTGATGGGCCCCACCTCTGGGCAGAGAAAACTGAGCTCTCAAATGCCACAATATTGGCAGAGGCATGCCTGGGACTTGGCATCTGGGCACCAAGTCAGTGGGTCTTCTAGGGCCTGTCTTTGGGCTGTTAGTTCTTAAGGAAGCCAGTTGATTGAGAGGGGAATGGGACAGGGCAAGGCCATGTCTGAAGTGGGGGTGCTTGGTGCTTAGCAGACCTCTGGCCACTACCCTGAGCCCCACAGTTCATTTTGGGTCAAAAACATTTCTCCCCTGAAGGTAGCATCCTAGGTGCCAAGCTGAGTGTACTCACATGCATCAAGTCCAGGCCCTTCCCTGGGGCAGTCTACCAGGAGGGGCATCTCAGTGCTGTGATTAGGCAAGCATTGGTGGGGCCAGGGGCTTTGTGAGCCCAGAGGAGGGCCCTCCCTGTCAGGGGCTAGGGCTCAGGGAGACTTCCACAGGAAGCAATGTCTAAGCATTGCTGCAAGGGATGGTCATCAGCACCATCCAGGTGCCCCTTCCCCTAATCATTGAGGGTGTGGGGTGGGAGTGTGTTTTTTGCTGGGGAGGGGATTGCAGGCTAGTTTAGGGCTCACAAAGAGGCCAGAGAGGGAGCAGTAGTCTCTCCCATCATTGGTTCCTCCCTCCCCACCCTGCTAGGCCAGACCGTGGAAAATCCCAGCCCAGGGAAGGCCAAGCCTTGTGCTTGAGATCAGACCCCCAGGCCTGGTGTGGGAGCCCAAGGCGGATTCTCCGAGACTGACTTCATTCCTCCTGGCCACACACCCAGGGGTCTGAGGCTGGGCGCTGGCAGCCTGTGAGTGTGTGTGGGCGTGGACGTGTCCTCACAACACCAAGCACATGTGAGCACCACCCACCTCCCTCCATGGGTGGGTGGTTTCCAAGCGCCTGTCCTGAGCCCAGTTTCTTCCTCGGGTACCTGTGCCCTCTTCCTTCCTACCCTGGGCACTGAGACTGCCCAAGGCTTCCTGCAGTACCATTCTCTCCAACTCTGAAACATGAAACTGAAAAGAAACTAGAGGAAACAGAGGCCCAGAGAGGGTCACATACTTTGCCTGGCTCTCATAGCAAATCCTTGAAGAGAGGCCTGGAGGGTGGCCAGCCACTTCCCAGGCCCAGCTGGGTCTCCTGCACTGTGTCGGCTCCCTCGATGTGACCACTCCTGCTATTACCAACCAGGCCCTCCTCTCCTGGGATCCTCGCCTCAGCTCCTGCCTCCCTGGAGTTTCAGCTTGTCTGAGCTGGGGGTCTTAGTGCCACCTAAGAAGCCCCACAGCCCCAGAAGACCAAAGCTCCCCTCCCAAGGCCTTACCCTCGCACCCCCCGCCTGACTCACCGGCTCTGGCAATCCTGTGAAAGGAACATGGAACAGGCAGCCCTGGGCATCCTCCCAGGGCATCTTGGATGGCTGTGCTAGCCTTGCCTGACGTGTGTCCTCTATCCCTGACTTCACATGGCCAATCAGAGGCCAGGAGAGAACCGCAGCTGCCTCCTCCCTGGTCCCTTGCTCCCAGTCTCTCCCTCTTCAGTCTGTCCTGCATGTGGGGCAGATAAACCCCTGCAGTCTGACCAGGTTACTCCTCTGCTCAAGAAGATTCTGTAGCTCCTCAGGGCCTTTAGGACAAAATCTAGTGTCTCAGCCCAGCACTCCAGAGTTAGAGGCACCTCCTTCCTGTCCTTTCTTCCTCCTTTTCTCAAGCCTCCACAGCCCCCATGGGACCATGCTGCTCGTGGGCCTAGATGTTACACCTCCCTAGACACATGCAAGGGTGTTTCTAGGGTACCTCCTTCTCTGTCCAGCCTCCTGCACCCAAGAGGCCAGACCTGTCTGGACCCTCAGTCCCTGAGAGCAGCCCTGGCTGCCTGCTACCACCTCTCCTGCCTGAGCCCCTAGCTCACCTGGGCCTGCTCCACCCCACCTCCACAGGCTGCCTGCCCACCTCTGCCCTCCAGGTCACTCGCCTTCCCCTGCAGAGTTTGGAGTAGATGCAGGGAAGGACCAAAGCAGGCTTCACCCAACAAGCTTCCAGAGTTAGAGCCCAGAGGCAGGGATAATAATACCAACTTGGCCATTTGCTGAAGACCACTTCCTGGGCTTACTGACTTCAATGTGCAGTTTCATTCATCCTCACAACCTCCTAATGAGGTGCAGATTATGGTCCTCCTGGTGTAGATGAGAAAACAGGCCTAGGGAGGTGGCACAGAAGGGTACAGCCGAGCTTGAATTCAAACTGAACCTGTGCTCTCTGCATCACAGTGAGATGACCCAGGAGGATATCATGTTCAGCCTGCGGGCAGGGTGGGGCAGGGCATGAGCATGGACCCCTCTGCCAGCTTTGCCTCTGTGGTCCTCACCTCCCACATCTGCATCCAGAGGAAGAATTATGCTTGCATTTGCTGAGTGCGTTATACATCATCTCCTTTAATTCCCAGGTCCTAGCCAGGTACTGTTATTTGTCCCGTGTTACAGATGTGGTGACGAGCTCACTTGCTGACTTTTAGTAGTGGAACCAGGATTTGAGTCTGTGTGACTCTCTATCCTGAGTTCTTAACAACCATGCATTTAAAAAAAAAATTTATATATTATTGCTTATCTTGTACACCTCATTTATTCACTCATTCATTTGGTCATTCATTCATTCAACAGATATTTGAGTGCTAGATTCTGGGCACTGGTTGTGACAGGGTGAGATGGGACAGTGAGTGTGAAAGACTTTGGAAGCAGAGTCTCTCCCCAGTGTGGGGTTAGGGTGTAGCCTGGTCATGGTCATTGCAGATTCCAGAACGTTTGTGTAACAAACACTCATATGGTGCATACTAAGTGCCGGACACTGTTCTTGGAGTTTTGCAGTTAGAATCACTTAATCCCTGTGACAACCCTGGGATTGTTATCCCCATTTTGCAGATGAGGAAACTGTGGCCCTGAGAAGTTAAGCGACTTGCCCTGGAGGCAGAATCACAGATCAGCATCCCTCCTTCCTTCCCCGAAGTTGTCTCAGATTGTTCCTTCAGAAAGAAAAAGAGTCTTCAGGCTTAGAAAGCTGTGTCGGATCAGACAAGCTGTGGAAACGGAGGGTTCTGGGCCCTCCTCCTGCCTCCCTGTTTCTCCTTTGAGAGTCATCAGTGTCTGAACAAACAAGTGGAGTCCTAAGCAGCCTCATTCCAGGCAGACTTCCTGTCTCCTCTCTTATCAGCCACTTGCAAGGCACCTTCTCTCTCCCCTGCTCTCAAACTGGACCATCCCTGCAAGAAGAGACAGCTCCTGTTTTCAATAATAAGAATAAGAATATCTGATATTTATTGAACATACACTATGCTAAGCATTTTATTTTTCTCATTTAATTCCCACAACAGCCTTGTGAGATAAATAGTATTATCAGCTCTATTTTATAGATGAGGAAACTGAGGCTCGGAGAAATTAACCAACTCACCCAAGGTCTCAGGGTTAATGAGTGGCCAAGCTTAGACCTAGGCTGACTGTCCAATCCAGTGGGCCCTGGCCTCACTCTGTTCCGTCTCTTAGGGACGGGTGTTTTATATTCTGTGTCACCTGTCTCTGTGTTCACTGTTCCCCTGAGGTGTAAACACCTGAAAAAAACCAAATTTGGGTTTTTGCCTCAAGTTTGCGGGCCCCACAGAGTTGCTGGGGATGGTGGCAGAGCAGGGTTGGGAGCCATTAGTACCATTATGGGCACCAGGTTACTGCTAGACTTGGCCTGGGAGCTCTGGCTTTTTGTCCTCTCTCCTTCCTCCTAACCTCAGGGGTCCTCACTGCAGCATCCTCTGCTCTCAGAAGGTGTACCCCTCTCCAGTAGCTCCCTAGTAGCTCCTGAGTCCATTCTACCTCCTTTCTAAGCTGGGAACACATGGAAGACTTCCCAGGACAGTGGCTGACATGGGCAGGAGAGGAAAGGGGCAGGGAGGGAGCTGGGGTCCGCCCAGGCGGCCCACACCTCCTTCCAATTGCTGTGCCCAGCATTCCTGCAGAAGAGCAGTCAGGGTTGGGATGCTGGAAAGAGAGGTTTAGACTTGCCCCTCCCCTGGCCCTGACCTAGCCGCCTCATTTCCACAGGCAGCTGGACCAAGGGCCTTCTTTTTGTCGGGACTCATGATCACAGGGTGAGGGTTGGGTCTGGGTCCCTCTCCCTCTTGCTGATGGGCACCCAGAAACCAGGCATTGCAGTACCACTTGGAAATGGGGAGAGGGGTGTCAGAATGCCAAAGCAGGAAGAGACACAGGATGGGAAAGCGAGGCCCCAGAGGCCTTTGCCATCCAAACCTCAAGAGACAACCCATCCTTCCCCCTGCTTGTGGGCCAGCTGGAACCACAGGTTTTCCAAACCCAACGCAAATCTTTCTGCAAAAGAAAGGACTCTGGGAATCGATTCCAGACCCTGCTTGACAATGAAGTCTGTGCTCACACAGGCAGTGCCACCAGACGTTTTATGGAGTATGGGCATTGGCTCACGCACTTGCCAAGGACATACAGGTGCTAGGCCCTGAGCTGGGCGTGGAGAATTTCAGGGGCATCCCAGAACCCTCCCTGGCCTCACTGACGTCTCAGCCTGGCAGTGAGAAAACAGACACCTGGGGTGGAGAGTGGCCCAAGTCCATGTCTGTCTTTGCCAGCTCTCAGCACCCACTGTGCACCTGGGAGACGTGCACCAGAAGCTGAGTACAGGCAAAAGATAATACCACTCACCCCTGCCCTCATGGGCTCTTGCCTGGCTGCAGAAGGCAGATATCATCTCGTGAGGAAATAGGGCAGATATCATCTCATGAGGAAATAGTCATTTAACAAATATTTATTGAGCGACTTACTGTATGCTGGGCACCGTTCTAGAGCTGGGTATTCATTCGTGAAAAGAAAGAGACAAAATTCTTGCCCTTGTGGATCTTCTATTTTCATGTATAAACATAATAAATATGTAAAAAAAATAGAAGGTACTAAGTGCTGTGGAAAAATAGAGATAGGTAAGGAAGATCGGGAGTGTAGGAGAGGGACAGGTTGCAAAGGTGGTCAGGCCTCATGAAGGTGACACTTGAGCAAAGACTTGAGGCATATGAGTGAGCCATGCAGCTGTCTGCAGGAAGAGCATTCCAGATAGGAAGACAGCCAGTGCAAGGCCCTGAGGCAGGAGTTCCCTGGGGTTTTCAGGTGTGCTCCAGTGTGGTTAGAACAGAGTAGAGTGGAAATGGAGGTATAACAGGGGACAGGTCAGAGAGGTAATGGGGTCCGGGCCATGGGGAGCTTGTCGGCCATTGTAAGGGGTTTGCCTTTTATTTTCTGTGCATCCCTTTTACTCAGCGTTTGAGCTGAGTAGAAGCATGGGTCCCTGACTGCTAAACAGGGCCCCTGACTGCTGTGCCAGGAGTGGACAGTGGAGAGTCAGCCAGGGGAACCGACAGGAGGCTGTTCCAGAGAGTAGGAAGAGTGGTAGCAATGGAGGAAGCCAGCTTTAGGGTATGTTCTTGAGATAGAGCTGAGGGGATTTCCTGCTGGGTTGGATATGGGGTATGAAAGAAAGAGAGGTGTCAGGGATCACACAGTGGTTTATGGCTGGTGTGGCTGGAAGGATGCAATTGCCTTGAGCTGAGATGGGAAGGCTGTGGGCAGCGTAAGTTTTGTAAGAAATATGAAAATTTCAGGTCACTGTGCAGGGCCTGAGAGGGCAAGGAGGGAACCCCTGGAGTAACTGAAGCATCAAGGGAAGCTTCTAGAGGTGGGGTAGGGGGCACCAGGCAGGGCCTGCAAGGGCGGGGAGGGCTCAGGGGCAGGGGTTGGGTTCACGCTGGGAGGAAATGTGCATTAGGTGTGCAGAGAGGCAGCAGAGGCTTGGCCTCTGAGCAGGGAGCTGACCTCCGCATTGGTTAGCATTGTCTGCCTCCCCCTCAGCCCAGCCTGCCTCCTGGGCAGCTGGCGCAATCAAGCACACACTTACAAATCCCTTCTGTGAGTCAAGCCCTTCTGCTGCTGTCTCTCCCCATTGGTGGGGTGGACAGGTGAGTGCTGTAAAAGGGTGCAGGGTGGTGGTGGAGGGGTGTTCAGGACTGACAGGGTGGGCTTTGGAGCTAAAGACTGTGTGCCTCTGCATAGGTAGAGCTGGTGTGTGTGTGTGTGTGTGTGTGTGTGTGTGTGTGTGTGTACGCGCATGCACATGCATAGCTGGGAATTCCAGGACAAGGGCACCATGGAGTCAGGGGGTAAAAAAGGTTGGGGTATGCTGCCAGAGACCTGCCTACTGATCCTTAGGATTAAGAGTTCTGGAAGGCTAGGTAAGGTCAAACCACAGACGGCTTTAGCTGCCACTCTGAGACTTCTAGGCTTGATTCTGTGGGCAATGGGGAGCCATTGAAGACCCTGGGCCTGGCTTGATGGCTGTCCTAGCTCTCAGGCTTGAGCTGGGTTACATCTTCATTATGGGGCAAAGTGGAATCTGCAGCCACCTTGCCTGCCTGCTCACCAAGCAGGTGTGGCACTGCCAGGCCAGTGCTGACAAGTTAATTTCCTGATTATGAGATAATCATTTCCTAGGGAATCGGGCAGCCAGCTCCCGCCGTGGAGGCCTCTCTGGCTCATCTTTATTCAAGGCCCTGCTCTGCAGAGCTTTCTGCTTCTCTGCCACCTAGGGGCTCCTCTGGAGTCTGGCTGCGCTAGCCAAAACATCCCGCTCAGCACATATTTCACAAGCAACTGACCAGTTCCTCCTGGACTTTGTTTATCCTCCAGCCCTGGGCTCAAGAGATTAGGGCTCTTTTGCATTCCACTTTCCATCATTTGCCCCTCATGAGGAGGAGGCTTGGAGAGGAAAGATTCCAGAGACAAGGTTTACTGAACCCACAAAAAAGAGGAAGCCAAGAGGGAAACAGGTGAGGTGTGGACGAGCAATGGGAAGGCAGCCACAGGGCTCTCAGCGCCAGGCAGCCTCCCTCCAGGAACCGCTGGGCAGGAGGGAACAGATTTCTAATGAAGCAGGAAGGATTTAGGTCAGAAGGTGGGAGAATTTCCTGACTGCTAAAGTATCGTCTGTAGGGGTTGTGAGAGGGCTCGGGCTCTTGCCCAAGGCTGGGGAATGAACTGAACAGCTCCTAAAAAGTATTTTAATCTCCAAGTGTTTATCGATCTATCCAACCTGTGTTCAGGGGCCAGCTAGTTCAGTCTCCCTCATCATCCAGATGGGGAAAGTGAGCCTCAGAAAGGGGACTGGGGAGACTGGACAAGACAGTGAACTCACCTCTGGAGCTTCCCCCCTGAGAAGGCCCCAGCTGCATCCCACCAGGGAAGGGGCAGATGGTCTTTGTCCTCCGGTTCCCGAGGGCGGGCACGGGAGCCGTCAGCAACTCCAGACCCAGCATTGAGCAGGAGGACAGGGTGGGCTTGTCCCGAGCACACAGGCCCCAAGAGTCAGTGTGACAGGTTCCTCCTACTGTGCTCCTGCACACTCCCACAGAGGAAGCTCCAGGGGCAGAGCCAGGATATAGAACATTGGTTCTGTCTTCTCGGCTCCGTGTCTTCACTGTCCTGGAGGTTTGAAGGGCATGCTATAGCTAAAAGGCTTACCCCACATCAGTGGCTGGCTGTCTCCCTGTGGAATGAATGGCCCTGGGACCGTATTCCCTCGCACGCAGCTCCTCCCCAGCCGAGCATCCTGGCTTTGGCCATCTCAAGGGTCTTCGCTGCCCCGTGACTCAGCATCCCTGCCATCCTGGCCCAGGCTCTGTGCAGCCTGCATCTGAGGAAGAATGCCCACAGAGGCCGGCACAGGGCCTCAGGCCCCGAGTCAGGTGGAGGACAATTAGAAGTGGAAGAATGGAGGCCATGAAGCCTGAAGTGGGGCTGGGTCAACCCAAGGCCACACAGAAGGCCTATGACACAGTAGGGCAAGACCCCAGGCTCCTGTCTCCCTCCTGGGAGCAAGAAATTGATGGTGGCCAGGGTTTTCCTGGGTAGTCTGAGCAAGCCCATCCACCCAGTCTTTGGGTGGTGAGACCCGCCCCAGCCTACCCCCACCAGTGGTGCTGGGGGCTTGGGAGAAGACTGAGCAGGGCTGTAGGTGACCCAGGGAGCTGGCTGCGTACCTTCATCAGGCCCAGGAGGGGCACGTACGGCCGTTCACTGTAGCGTGTTTGTGGAGCGGGGAGTTAGAGGTGACCTGGAGGTCTAAAACAGGAGGCTGGCCGGGTGCGGTCACTCACCCCTGTAATCCCAGCACTTTGAGAGGCCAAGGCGGGTGGAACACTTGAGGTCAGGAGTTCGAGACCAGGCTGGCCAACATGGTGAAACCCCATCTCTACTAAAAATACAAAATTTAGCCAGAGCACACACCTGTAATCCCAGCTGCTCAGGAGGCTGAGGCAGGAGAATTGCTTGAACCCGGGAGGTGGAGGTTGCAGTGAGCTAAGATGGCGCCATTGCAGTCCAGCCTGGGCAACAGAGCTAGACTCCGTATCTATCTATCTATCTATCTATCTATCTATCTATCTATCTAGGTAGATAGATAGAACAGGAGGCCAGCTAGAAGGGACATAGAGGATGCACATCGTGGAATCCTATGTAGCAGTGACAGGCAGTGAACTAGATAGACCTTAAAAGTTTACATGGACTGGGCTCGGTGGCTCACCCCATAACCTCAGCACTTTGGGAGGCTAAGGTGGGCAGATCACCTGAGGTCAGGAGTTCGAGACCAGCCTGGCCAACATGGTGAAACCCTGTCTCTACTGAAAATACAAAAATTAGCCAGGCATGGTGGCATGCGCCTGTGGTCCTAGCTACTTGGGAAGCTGAGATGGAAGGATCACTTGAACCCGGGAAGCGGATGTTGCAGTGAGCCAAGATCGCACCACTGCCCTCCAGCCTGGGCTGATGGTTTCCCCTGTATTTGGAGTAAGCAAAAAGACCTCATTTGACTGGGTGCGGTGGTTCACGCCTGCAATCCCAGGACTTTGGGAGGCTGAGGCAGGAGGATCACTTGAGCCCAGGAGATCAAGGCTGCAGTTAGCCATGTTCACGCCACTGCATTCCTGCCTGGACAACAGAGCAAGACCCTGTCTCAAAGAAAAAAGAAAAGGTGGAGGTGGCGTGGGGAGCTGGATATGTACCTTCACCAGGTCCAGGATCTTCCTTTAAAATGCATACTTTTTGAGGTGAGGGCTGATCACACAGTCTGATAATAACTGGACTTCACCCAACATTGGCCACTCTGCTTGGAGGGCCTGTTGTACCCTACAAGCCAAAAATTGCAGACCAGCCTCCTTACTCCTACACTGATCGTGTCCACTAGCCCCCAACTCAATCAACCCTTCTTTATCCCCTTCCAACATCACATAATCCCCCAGCCCCAAGCCCTGCAGAGGGGCCAAGAGCCCAAGCCTGCAGGCCTGGCTGCTGACGAAATGTCCCCTGGGAGAGCTGCCCAGAGAAGGAGCCATTGTTCCTTCCTGGAAAAACATACCAGCTATGGGAGGGGGTCTGCTATTCCCTGGGACCTCGGCAAGGATCCTGAGGGTGAGGCGGGGGGGCCTGGCCTGAACTCCTGAGGCTGCTCCTTTCCAGCAGCTTCCCCGAGCTGCTGCCTCTTGTGTCACCCCCATGGCCATGAGGGTGTGACAGAGGTGGAGCTCAGAGAGGGAGTCACAGGAGGCCCTGGTGATTGTTAGAGATGTAGAACAAAGAAACTTACAAAATAATGGTAAGAGTGATTCCATTTAAGTTCTAGAAAAGGCATAACTAATCTACAGTGATTAGAAGCAGAGCAGTGGCTGCCTGGGGTGGCGGAGGCGGGGAGAGGACTTACAGGGAAGGGGCCAGAGGGTGACAGAAACAATCCACAGCTTGATTGTGGTGGAAGCCACACGGCTTTATACATTTGTTAGAACTTATCAAACTGTACACCTAAAATCTGTGCATTTCACTGTGTATAGAGTACAGCTCAAAAAGTTTATTTTTATAAAAAGAGTGACAGGAGGAGTCCTGGGAGGGCAAGGAGACCTAGGATCTCCTCCTGGGGTACCCCAGCTCCCTGTGTGACCCTGTGCAGATTTATGGGCCTGAGCCTCAGTTTCCTCCGGTGCTTCCAAAGACATTATGTGCCTTGGTGTCTTGGGGGCAGGACATGGAAAACACTTTGGGTTGCCTAGAACAGTCATTAAAGAGGCTCTCCTGACAGAGCCTGAGGGGCTTTGGACCAGTCAGTCACCCTCAAAACAAAAGTTGCTCCACTGAGGGCGAGTAGGACTCAGGGCCTGCCCATAGAATGCCATCTGGAGCGGAGGAGACACACACAGGTTAGTATGGTGAAATCTAAGTGTAGATCAATACAGATGGGGTGGTGAGAGAGGAGAATTTTGTGCAGTCTGAGATATCATTGCAATCAGGGGAGACTTCCCGCAACAAGAGGCCCCTGCCTGAGCCTGAGATTCCTCAACAGTAAGAGGAAGAAGATGATCATCTGTAGCGAGGGTCAAGGCTCAGATTGTGACCAGCAGCCCCAAGCTGTTTGTCCTTAGTCTCTCTTCCAATTCTCCACATGCAGTACTCTACAAATGCCCCTCCTCCATAACTCTGGCACTTATAACCCTACTCCACTCAGTTTTAATCAGACTTGATGATATCACAGCAATTCCTGTTTTTTTTTTTTTCCTTTAGCTGAAGAGCTTTAGTCCATCATCAGGGGACAAACAGAAATGAGACTGAGATTCAGAATTGCTGATAGGCATCAGACCTCCGTCTGTGACCAGGATCAGGGCTCGGTGTGTGACCAGCATCGGGACTCAGACTGGGATCAGGAACAGGGCTTGGTGTGTGATCAGGGTCAAGGCTCAGGGTGTGCCCAGGGCCAGGGTTCAGTATGTGACCAAGGTCAGCGCTTAATGTGACCAGGGTCAGAGGTCAGTCTGTGACCAAGGTCAGGGTGCAGACTGTGATCAGGCACAGGGCTCAGTGTGTGTACATAGTCAGGGCTGGGAGAGGCCAGGAACAGCATTGGCCCTCACTGGCCCCACCTGGCCTCTTCCTCCCGCTCCTCCAACTTCCCTGGGTTGCATAGCCAGCTCATGAAATAGCCTAGATAGGAAGGGTCAGGCCACAAAAGCTTTGTGGAGCCATCTGTGCAGTATTTCTTGAAACTGGGCCTGGGGTGGGGGCAGCAAGCTGTCTGATGTCAAATGCTGGGTCTCCTGAGTCTTAAGGCCCAGCTACCCCACCCTATACGCAGCTGAGGGAAAGGCACTGGGTGATGGGGAAGGGGCCCATCCCTCTCATCCTCACCCCTCCCCCAGAGGCTTCCAGGGTCCAGAGAGTGAGAACCAGCTCCCAGCTGGCTTGAGGGCCTATGGGTCCCTTGGGAAATGACTGCAAACATTCCTAGGGGCTCAAGTAACAGGGCCTAGGCTGGCCAAGAAGTCCCCCACCAGCCAGGAGCCACCTCATCCTCACCCACCCTTGTACTCCAAGCTTCCTCATCATTCCAAGTAGGTGAGATCACCCTGGCTGCCTGGACCAGGCTCCCCCATGAGGCCCAGGCCCCAGGGAGAGCAAAGCTAGGGTCTGGGAACTCAGGGTGGTGTGGGGTGGGGGATATGCTGGCAGACACTTCTGCCGATGGCTTAGAAGCCAGCCTTCCCCTCCTTGGCCTCATCTTCCAGACCTAAAAGCTGATGAGAGGGTCTTGGCAGCAGGAAAGGGGTGGGAAATCCCTCCATGGGACTCAAGTCCTCCCACCTTGCCTGCTCTCACCCTTCCTGAATCCCTCAAGAGCAGAGGACTTCAAAGAAACTAAGAGGAGCTTACAGCCTCATCTTATCACTTACCTGACAGAATCCCTGAGGCCAGAGAGGAGACGGAATTAGAGGCCCCAGAACCACTCCCCTTTAAGTCAGTGGCTGGGCTGGGATAGAGCCCAGGGCCCTGGAGTCCCCCCTGCCCACACCCACTGCTGCCCGCACCCACCCCAGCCCACACCCCATCACGAACAGAGGAGATATTCCCTCTTCATTCCAATGCAGAATGGAGTCTGGACACCTAAGTTTGGTTTCTGCTTATTCCTAGTAACTCCTGCTCAGACTCCTGCATGCCCAGGGAGGAAGGTGGAGGGGCAGGAACAGGACGGACAGGCCCCGGGCTCTGGCACATCCTGGGGAACAAGGGACCACAAGGACGGGGGCAGTCTCCAGACTTCCCCTGGGCGCTTGACCCCAGGCCTTGCAGGGGAGAGAGCCAGGGCCTCCCTCAGGTTGGTGGCCGGAGGTTGCAGACAGAGGAGGGTGTGGTCAGGTCTAGGGTGATGATGGCAGGAAGTGGTGGCAGGTGATGGGGGGCGGGGGTATGGGGAGGAGTGGCTGCACCAGGCAGAAAGGAATCCTGAGAAGGTCAGGCTGGGTGCCCAGGCTGAGAATCCTGCCCTGTCAGCAGCCTGCTCTGGGGAAGTGTTTTCCTTCTAGCCCATCCCTTCCTGCCCACCCTGACTCCTGCCAGCCTGCATCCACCTGGCTCTGCCCATGAACCTTCAGGGACACACTCCAGGCCAGAAGCCCAGGGCTCTCTTGGTGGTTTACAAAGAATGCTGACTGCAGGGATGAGAGGAACGGAGGGTGTCTGGGGGCTGCTGTCCAGAGGCCTGGGGAGTAAGGACTCGAGGGAGTGCCTCTGTCAGGAAATTACATGGTTCACTCATTCCTGCCTCCAGGTCTTTGTTCATGCTGTTTTCCCTGCCGTGGACACCCTTTCCCGCTCTCTGATTCTCTAAATCCTGCCCCATCTCCCAGATCTTGTTCATGTCCAAGCTTTTCCAGGAAGTCTTAGCAGCTCCCACACCGCAGAGCTCGAGATGTAAGCTCTTGCTGCCTGACTTCCCTGACCCCACACCTGGGCCCAGGACCTAACACCCAAGGAGAATGGCAAAGGGTTTTGGGGTATGAGAGGATGTTTGGGGTGTGAGGAGGTCTCTGGGCATTAGCAGTGGCCAACCTGATGCTCTCAATGTCATGCTCTTCCTCCCTCCCCCCTTCTCTCCCACTGCCCACTCCAGGTCTCCCTGACTTGGTCCCAGACCCCAACTATGTGCAAGCATCCACTTATGTGCAGAGAGCCCACCTGTACTCCCTGCGCTGTGCTGCGGAGGAGAAGTGTCTGGCCAGGTAAGGAGCTGAGGCAGAAGTGTAGAGTGTTGGGATAGTCCCCGGGAGTCACCCAGAACCCAGCCTAGCTGTGGCTGCCAGCTAGGCTGTCTGCAAGCTGATGACCCTGGCCAAGTGCCCCAGCCTCCCAGGACCCTGACCGTTTCATCAGTGAGCCTTGCCTGCCCCGAGGGAGTCAGGAGGGGAGGGGAGCAAGCGGGGGCCCAGCATTTCTGTATACTGTACCTCACTATACAAGGAACTCCACTTTTACTGTGGCACTTCATCTTTATATGAGCCCTGAAGGCATGGGTTACCCCCTCAGGAAACTGAGGAGCAATGAAAGGAACTCAAACCTTTTGGATCTGAGCTGTTTAATGAGAAGGTTCCTTTTGGGAGCCCAGGCTTCCAGTGGTCATACAGGGACCCAAGGAAGTCCTATTGGGTGGATGTACCTGCAGGATAGAGCCCAGGAGTATGGAGCCATGTCCACAGAGGACAGTTGTGGCTTTGGCTGGTCCAGGCTGCCTCTGCCTAGTCACAGCAGGGGCAGTGAGCCCGGGGGACAAAGAAGTTTCAGTTATATGTTGCACTGGAAAGAGGGGAAGGAGACCAGTTTCCATGAACCTAGAAGGTGAGCACAGCTGGCTCGCCATTATTCATGGGTGATCCTGCCTCTCGCAGTGTTTGCTTCTAATTTATAAGCAGTTCATATTCTGCTGGAACATAGGTGCTTTGCGGATACCTCCCTGGGCCAAAATAATTAGTTAAGATTATGTTATCTGCTTCTTTTGTTAATATCCCTTTATGTTGAAAGCACCTATTTTTCTTAATTACCTGCTTTTTGGACATTTGAACTCTCTGTTTAGTTTGACTTTTTACTATCTAGGAAACTCTTTAGAATCTCAACATTTTCTCATTTCTAGAACTTCTAGTTCACTGCCACTCTAAGTAGCTGATCATAAACCCTTATCTGTCTGTAACAAGATAAAGAGCTTGAACTAGAATGTAACTCAACTCACTCCTTCATTGAGAAAGTCTTGCTTTAAAAAAAGAAAAAGTATCCGCTGAACTAAGCAGAGTGATTAGGAATGTTGTCGATGTACATTCTGGTGCAAGTTCCCAATCCCATCCCAGACTGGCATCAGTGTGGGAACTGCCCCTGGTCCAGGGACCGCAGGCTGAGTACCACTCAGCCAGCCTGTCTGGGCAGTTCTTGTCTTGTTTCAGTTGTCTTGGGGAAGAGAGCATAATGGTCCTGCTGGAATTCCTCCAGCAATGAGGAACTTACAGCCTCCATGACAGCCCTTCCAGTCTTAAGAGAATTAGTCAAAGTCAAACTATTAACATCACTGCCTCTTCATGAAGGATCCTGAGTGCCCGGACCTGCGCTCCCAGCTGGGGAGAGGAGGCAGCCTGTCCTCTGTCCTGGAGGGTCTCCTGGTACAGCTGGAGAGAACAGCCCTCACCTGTACCCCAGTGACAGAACCAAGACACGAGTGGGAAAAGAGCCAGAAGGACTGGTTCACAGGCCAGGGCTGCTGGAGGTCAGAGGAGGGAGGGATCAGCAAGGGCTGAGGCCTCAGAGGAGGTGGGCGTGGGAGTTCAGACCTGGAGAATCCTGCAAAACTGGAGCCCTGGGGCAGGAGGGCCCTCTGAGATCATTTCAAGTATGGGCCGCAGGCTGGTGCCAGTTCACATGCTGCAGGCAGAACCCAGAGAAGAAAAGGGACCAATTCCAAGTCTCACCACCAGTTTGTGGCCAAGCTGGGCCTAGAACCTAGACCCTTATGGTTTCCCACGGTGTGCTGAGCCGAACAGAAGGGCAGGATTTAACTGAACAGAGGGAAGGAGGATGTTTTGTTTCAACCCAGACATAGACAGATTCCAAGCCTCCCCCAGACAAGGCTGAGGGCCTTTCATCCTGGCAGACAGTCTGAGCCGCCTGTTGTCCAGACATTCTCTCAAAGAGAGCGCTAATCCCTACGACTGGCCACCGCTCCCCTCTGGCCTTAGGATCGGACCTTAATGAGTGCCAGGGAAGAGCCCCTGAGGCCAACAGAGTTAGCTGTCAGCCGTCAGCTAAAGAGGGGAGGGGCCTTCAGCCACCCCTTCCTGTTCCTACCACACATGTGTGTGCATGTGTGTGTATGTGTGCATGTGTGTGTGTCTCCCCTCACTGCAGCCCCTCGTTCCTCTTTCCACCCTTTTCCTTTTGTCACAAGGCCTACCTCAGTTGGAAATCTGGAGTCAGCAGGTGACTTGCGAGCAGGCAATTCATACCAGACCCATGTTCCCTGAATGGAAAAGGGCAGGTTGCCAGCCTGAAGCCATGCAATCAGGGAGAGGTGGTCTGGACCCAGTGCAAGATGTAGATGGTATCGGGCTGTGCTGCAGTCAGTGCTGTTAGAGCTCACAGGCAATCCGGATCCTCTATGTAGAGCAATCAGGGCAGACTTCCTGGAGGAGGGGACTTTTGAGTTGACCCTAGGATACTGGGTGAGTTTTGGAATTCTGGGTCAAGCAAACAGCATGGGCAAAAGTATGGGTCAGGGAAAAAGTTCAGCCTGTTTGGAAAATAGGCTTTGAAGCAGGAACCCAGGGTGTGTGGGGGAGTGGAAGGGCAGATGGGACTAGAAAAGTGAAGAGGCTTTGACCAGAGGACTTCACGTCTGTTTTTCAGGCCCACACCCAAGACATGGCATACTTTGGTCAACAATTAGGGCTCTGTCTTGTTGTCAGAGACTTATCAGAATCTCCTGGATAGGACTTTTTTTTTTCTTTTTTTTAGAAAGGGGGTCTCACTCTGTTGCCCAGACTGGAGTGCAGCAGCACAATTATAGCTCATTGCAGCCTCAAATTCCTGGGCTCAAGGGATCAGTCTCCAAGTAGCTGGGACTACAGGCATAAGCCACCTTACCTGGCTAATTTTTTAATTTTTTAAAAATTTCTTTAATTAAATTAATTTTTTAAATTTTAATTTCTCACTATGTTGCCCAGGCTGGTCTCAAACTATGGGCCTCAAGTGATCCTCCTGCCTCGACCTCCAAAAAGCTCTGTAATTACAGGCATGAGCCAAAGTGCCTGGCCCCCGCAATAGGGCTGTTTTTCAGTGGCCCTTCAGAGATTGCTATGTGCTCCTGCACCTAGGGGCTGACCCCAGCTGAGTCACCTGCAGGTATCAGGGACACTGCCATGCTTGGTACCGCTTTAGAAAGATGCTGTTGGCAGCTGGCGGCCACATGGTGGAGGCCAGAAAGGAGGGGACAGCCAGGATTTCACGGGGTCAGAAGACAGAGGAAGAGGCCTGAGCCTCCGCCACAGTTCGAGGAGACAGAGGAGAAGATCTTCAGGGACAAGGAGTGGGGCTGCAGAACCAGTGGCCAAGGGCTGGGGGTGGGGCTGAGGGGGCCCATGCTGGGTTCTGGTGTCACTGTGCCCCAACCCCCCCTCATCTCCCCCGCCGTCCCTGCAGCACAGCCTATGCCCCTGAGGCCACCGACTACGATGTGCGGGTGCTACTGCGCTTCCCCCAGCGCGTGAAGAACCAGGGCACAGCAGACTTCCTCCCCAACCGGCCACGGCACACCTGGGAGTGGCACAGCTGCCACCAGTGAGTGGGGAGGGGCTGGGCCCGTCCTCTTCCACTTCTCCTCTGGGCCAGGGACCTTGGTGCCTGAGCTCCCCTCCCACCATGAGCACTCTGGGAGACACAGATACTGGATTAGAGGGCCCGGGGAGGTGTTACCTGCCAACTCTTTTCACTGGGGCAAGTGTTTCTCAGAGAAGCCTTAGCCAAAGCTAGGCTGGAAGATGGATATAGAAGGATTGGTCTCAATCAGGGATGGAAATGTCTAGAATACAGGGCATTGCCCAGTGAGGCCATTACAGGTGGGAGCCCAAAAAGGAAGTGAGGGGTCTAGAGCATGTGCTGTCCTGGAGTGACCCAGCTAGGTGGGGAGCACAGAGGGGCCACCCCGCAGTACTCAGGAGACAGGAGAACCTAGACCAGCCAGGAGGCTGTGCCACAGCAGGGTCACCTGAGCCCATCTCAGGATGGGGACAGGATGAGAGGCCCAGGGAAGACTAGGCCCTCTTCTTTCTCCTTCTCTCCTCTGCCCCTAGGCATTACCACAGCATGGACGAGTTCAGCCACTACGACCTACTGGATGCAGCCACAGGCAAGAAGGTGGCCGAGGGCCACAAGGCCAGTTTCTGCCTGGAGGACAGCACCTGTGACTTCGGCAACCTCAAGCGCTATGCATGCACCTCTCATACCCAGGTTGGGCTGGAGAGATGGGGTTTGGGGCATGGGAGGATAAGGAGTTGGGGAGGCAAAGAGCGAGGCCCGCTGAGGCCCGGCAAGTGCCAAGGCTTCTGGCCACTCAGCTCTGCTCACAGTGAAGGTCTTCTCACCAGTCCTCAGGCTGCCACACTGCCCTGCAGGGACTGTTCCCTCCCTGCCCCAGCCCCTTTCCCATGTTATTCCAGGTGATCTGCTCGTGGAGAGAAGGAAACATCGCAACAGTCTGGAGAGCAACACGTCCTATTGGCCTGTTCACCCACCCATATCCCTCTTTCCATCAGCCACCCTAAATATCCACAAACTGTCCATCTGTCCTGTCTCTTTTTATCCATTCTGCCATCCATCTCGTCCCTCCCACCTGGCTATTAGATATCTGTCTTTCCTCTGGTCCATCTAGCCAGTGGCTTTAGGAAGGTGTGGACCCACCCTGAGCAGTTGCCCTGGGCCAGGGTCAGGGGAGAAACCCAGGGGAAGGTGGGCCAGAAACTCCTGAAGGTGGGCGTGGGGTGGCTCTGGGAAACAAGCAGCATCACAGCCGCTCCTCTTGTCCCTTTCCCAGGGCCTGAGCCCAGGCTGCTATGACACCTACAATGCGGACATCGACTGCCAGTGGATCGACATAACCGACGTGCAGCCTGGGAACTACATCCTCAAGGTGGGCCTCTGGGTCTGGGGCTTTCCCTCCAACCTGATGTTCATGTCCAATGTCCCCCCGTTCCTGAAAGAAGCTTCAGCCTCTGGGCCTGTTCCCTTCTCCCCAGCTGCCGAGCAGAGGCAGCATCTGAGGCATCACTTGAGGTTTAGGCTTCCCAGCCGAAGATTTAGGTCTCAGGCTGACATAGCCTCTCTTTCCATAAAGAACCCAGGGAACCTTTGCCCCAGCTGTGGTAATGCCAGAGGCAGTGGTGATACTGTCTCCCTAAGTGACAGAGGACCAGGGAGAGCAAGAAAGACTTGGAGAGCCATGTGGTCTATCTTCCTGTCTTCGGACAGGGCAGACTTTGTATCATTTGGGAGACAGATGAGAGGCCCTCAGCTCCTTATAGGGACCCCTGCAAAGCCAAGGGCTCCTGTGACTAAGACCCTTTTAGCCTGAACCCCTCCTGCTCTAATGGACACTCACTCCATCACCTCTTCCCTTGGTTGAGGGAAAAGTAGAAAAGCATATTAACAACACACATCCAGACTTGGTACATCCGTGTAGGCCAGGTTGTCATGGGCCCACCTGGGGAAGCCATGTCTCAGCCTCCTCCACACAGGTATAAAATGAGTAGGGATCATTCCACCAGTTCATCTGGACCCACTCAGAAGCAGAAAAGCAGCTCAGTAAAGGCAGAGCAGTGAAGCCAGGTTTGCAGGCGGAGGCCTTCCCTGCAGAAAGTCAGCAGGTGGAGAGATGCATCCGGCAGCGGTTCTCTGCAGTTCCCTCCTGAGTGCTCTTCAGCAGGCTCCAAGCTTGCTCCTCCAGGGCCTGGGGTTGTCCAGTATATTTTTTCTTTTCCTCATTCATCCACTCAATCAACATGTAGGAAGTCCCCTCTGAGTTCTAGGCACTAGACACACAAACCACATAAGCAATGCAGTTCACAGTCCCTGCCCTTTGGGAGTGTACCAGGATTTGAAAGTTGCATCCCTGCATCTGTTCTTAGATGTTCTGCAAATAAAGCTGGCCCTACCCTAGTTAATCCAACATTTAAAAGTGTTGTATCCCAACAGCTCCTTTTCAGACAAAAAGCACAGATCATACTTGGGCCATCATCTCAGTGAATGTTGGGCACGTGGGGCTCCAGAGCAGGGGATCAGACAGGCCCTCGATCAGTCACCTAGACAGGGATGCATAGGGAATGACTTTGAGCCTTGGATTTGGGGAGACCAGGTGTTGAATCCTGGCTCAGCTCCTCATTACTGCATTCCCTCGGGCAGGATCCAACCTCTCTGACCCCAAATGCCCCATGCGGGGCCCACCTGGCATAGGCTCTAGCTCTAGGGAAACATCCAATCTTCTGATAAGGGGGATTAGATGATGTTTTCTTGGATTACCAGCTGCCTCTTCTTTCCCCTCTGTGTCTCTCTAGCAGTGTGTCTCTGTTCTCCCTCTCTCTGTCACCTCTCTGTCTGTCTGTCTGCCTCTTTACCACCTTCTCTGGTGAGCAGTTGAGGTGCAGCCCCCCTGACTAGACTCCCTTTCTCCCTGTTTCTCTTCTTCCTCAGGTGCACGTGAACCCAAAGTATATTGTTTTGGAGTCTGACTTCACCAACAACGTGGTGAGATGCAACATTCACTACACAGGTCGCTACGTTTCTGCAACAAACTGCAAAATTGTCCAGTAAGAGTTTGCCCACCACCCTTCCTGGCTCCGTCCCTTTCCTGCCTGGGGAGCAGGCAAGGCCACCTGAGATACCTAAGATACCTGCACTTTAGGTCACCTTGATGGCCGAACGCAGCTGCAGCAGGGCCCATCAAAAAGAGCCTTGTCCGTGCCAACCCCAAGCTGAGTGTTTACGGTGGGGCTCAGGCCGTAGGGTGTTGATCTGGGGCTGCATCCTGTGGCTCCCTGAGATGTCCCAAGTGAAAACCAGCAGAAGGCAGAGTCATTTGATGCAAGGCCATGAGCTCTGCAGTCCCAGTTCCACAGCTTCCTCGCTATGTGACATTGGGTTACTTCCCTGAGCTACTTTCCTCAACTATAAAATAGGTATTTCCACATAGGCTGGCAATGAGGATCTACAGGCCTGATGTCTGCATGTTCACAGTGGCACACAGTGAACAGCAGCTGTGATCATTAGTGTCCTTTTCAAGTGGACTGGATTAAACAGTCACAGATTAGAAGTGATTCTGGTTCAAAGGAGCCATCTTCAGTCCCTAGGCCCCCATTGTAGAAGAAGTGCCTAAAATCTGGGCTTGGGATTTTGGCACATGCTGCTGGGTAGGGTCCTCAGTCTTTCTCCTGATTCCCCATGTGAAGTAGTTTGCAGAGGGACCCCTTGCTTACAAGCTCACAAGGAAACCCCACCACACTCCAGATCGAAGCAACCCTTTTCCATTAAAAAAAAAAAAAAAAATTAGTCCTAGAGCTTTCAGCTTTAGTTCATCAACTGGGAGAAAGGTGGTAGAGATCTTAAGGCCCAGAGAGGTATCTTTCCCTAAAAGTGTGTACTTATTAATGGATGGCAGGTATGAGAGATTAAGCCTATGACTATGGTCAGGGTGTGGTGTATGGCCAGGGTCAGGATTCAGTCTGTGACAAGGGTTAGGGCTCAGTGTGTGACAAGGGTTAGGACTCAATGTGTGACCAGGATCAAGGCTCAGTGTGTGACCAGGATCAGGGTTCAGTGTATACCTAGGGTCAGGGCCCAGTGTGTGACCAGGGTCAGGGCTCAGTCTGTGACCAGAGTCAGGGCCCAGTGTGTAGCCAGGCTCAGGGCTCAGTGTGTGACCAGGATCAGGGCTCAGTGTGTGACCAGGATCAGGGCTTAGTGTGTGGCCAGGGTCAGGGCTCAGTCTGTGACCAGAGCCAGGCTCATTTAGAGACAGCCCTCTCACACTTGGTTGCTACCATCAACCTAACTGTTCACAGCATGCTGCCACCACATCATGAATATTAAAAATGGGAACAGCAGCCTCCAGTTCAGTGCAGAGATTAGGTTCCTCATGAGTAGAATGAGATCAGAATTCCCCAGGGCACACAGCATGTTTGAAAGGACGAACTCCTGTCCCATCACTGGCAGTTTGGCTCTTTAGCAGGCCTGGGTTTCCAGCACATTCCTGCTCCTCAGGGCCTGTCTTAGCCATTCAAGACCCAGGGTCACCTAAGTGGTAGAAGCCATTCTAGGGAAGGAGGAGGAAGGAAGAAGGGGGTATCCAGGAAACAAAGGAGGCTGCTGGGGGCTCGGGGAGGCAGGGAATCCCTCCTGCTGCTGGGAAAGGGGGATGGGAACAGAAACAGCATCCCACGTGCCAGGCGCCTGGAGCAGCCAGGAGGGCTGTCGGCAGGGCAGATGGAGAAGCAGCCTGCGCGGCCCTCCCAGCTCCCCGGGGGCCTGTGGGCAGCAGGGGGAGCCAAAGCCCTTCCTTCCAAGAGCTCTTTACATAAGTGCTTGGAAAGGCCGGGCCTTATTAGAGTGTCTCAGTCTCTGTGACCCTGACCGCAGGCAGGCAGCTGGGCCAGCGTGCACAGGAAGCTGGACAGAGCGTTCCCAGAAAGGCCACGGGACTGACGCCTGTGGGTTTCCATCGTGTTTCTGGAGGAAAAAGGAGGCTTAAAAAAAAAAAAGTACTGAGTTAGAAAAAACAAGAAAGTATTTCCAGACAGTAGCAGCTCTGCTAATGGCCTAGAAAACAATCTGGGACTAGGGCATGGGGAGGGGAATGTGCTGAGACTGTGCCCTGGGTGGGTGGGAGTCCATCAAACCCCTCCTTTTGGAGCTGGGCTGAGGGGGTCGGAACTTTCTCTTGAGGGAAATGTAGGCCCATGCCTGCCCTGCCACGAGGGATCTGGGCTGTGGGAGGGACGCCCTGGCTGAGGAGGCCACGGGGGCCTACTTTGCAGCCCCTCATTGACCCACTGTCTTTCCTTCCTCAGATCCTGATCTCCGGGAGGGACAGATGGCCAATCTCTCCCCTTCCAAAGCAGGCCCTGCTCCCCGGGCAGCCTCCCGCCGAGGGGCCCAGCCCCCAACCCACAGGCACGGAGGGGCATCCCTCCCTGCCGGCCTCAGGGAGCGAACGTGGATGAAAACCACAGGGATTCCGGACGCCAGACCCCATTTTATACTTCACTTTTCTCTACAGTGTTGTTTTGTTGTTGTTGGTTTTTATTTTTTATACTTTGGCCATACCACAGAGCTAGATTGCCCAGGTCTGGGCTGAATAAAACAAGGTTTTTCTACTCTGTGGCTCTGCATGCGGCCTGCTGGCTGGCTGGCCAGCCACAGCTAGTTTGGGCCTGGGGGATGTCCTTAGGCATCATCCTTCCCCTCGCCAAATGTGGAAAGGGCAGCCACCACCCGGTCAGGACCACAGTGACCATGAGGGCGCTGAGCCCATCGTGGAAGCCTGTGGGGTTGAGCCCTTGGCCAAGCCTGTCGCATGGGAATGGGACCACATCCGACTAGGGGAGGGCCCTGCAGCGGGGTGGGCGGCACCAGCCTGCTCTCCCTGCTCAGCCCCTGCTCCTATCTGGGCTCGTGTGCCCACTGCTGCCCCTTCTCAGCCTTCAGCCTCACACTCCCACCGGTCCCCCTCCTGGCCCTCTCACTCTCACACCGTTCACTCTCCACCAGCCACCCACTCCCTTACAATTGCAGGCTCCCGAACTCAAGTCTCCTGAAGGCCAGGTGCTGTGCTAGGGCACACGCAGGAGCATCGTAGCTTCTGCCCTCAGGGAGCGCATAACCACAGGGAACGGGGAGCACGCGTTGCCCAGTGAGGCAGCACCTAGGGGTTCTGGGGAGCCTTCACATGGGAGAGAGCCTCCTTCCAGGCAGGGAGGGGAGAAGAGGATTCTTGGCAGAGAGACAGCATTGAGCAGAGATCATGAGGTGGGGCTGCAGGCCGACAGGGTGTGAGTGGGAGATGGAGGGAGGCCCCGCAGCCCTGCAGCCCCCGTCCCCTGCCCTGGCTGTGGCATCCCAGAGGTCCTGGACACTGGAATGGACCAGGAAGAAGTGAGAGGGTGGTGCCTCTCCTCCTCGAGGCCCTGAACAACGAGCCCTCGGGATGCCTCCAGACCCACCTGCTTCCCTGTGGGGGCAACACCAGTGAGAAAGGGAAAGAGACTTTGTCCAAGTACCAGGGCTCTGGGTTCCAGGGCCAATCCTGCTCACTGCTGTGTGACTGTGGGCAAGTCAGACTTCATCTCCGGGCCTCAGTTTCCTCATGAGTAAGATGGGAATGCCCTCCTGCCTGGCTCCCACACTGACATGGAGAGTTGATGAGCTACTGCTGCAGGGGAGGTGCCGGGGGAGCTACAGGGTGTCAGCACCCACCCCTCCAGATCTTGGTGAGCCCCAGCCCATTTGCAGAGGTCCTCCAAGAAGGTGTCCCCTGCTTTTGGCTCTGATGCGATCCTTGCCTCAGGGTCCCTGGTAGCAAGGAGGTTTTCTGGTGCAGTAGAGAGGGAGGGCTTCTTGGAGCCATGCTATGCATCCAGGAGGGTTCTGGCCCAGTCCCCTGGAGCCCTTGGGCCACTCACCAGCCCAGGCAGCAGGGTGGAGTGGGTGTGGCTGCAGCCCTCCCTCGGCCCTTCCTCTGCAGGTCTGGCTGGGATTTAACTCTGCTGACAGGGTAGGTGCCGCAGCTCTGCCACTCTCCCTCTGGAGCTGGACCAGGACGGGTGAGAGGAGTACAGGCACATGCCTGTCATCCAGGGCTGCCATTCTGCTGCATCCCCTGCCGGTGTGTGCTTCCCAAGATGCTGTCCTTATTGCAGCCCCACCCCCTCTCCTTCCTAGATACTCCCAGGAGTGAGCTTGGGAGGGGGTCAGACAAGGTCAACCAATTCCAGACTGTCAGGAGGCCCGTATGAGGTAGAGACAAAAGCCCCCATTTCTCAGGTCAGAAAACTGAAGCCTGTCTGAGACCACAGGCAAGTTCAAGGCAGACACAGTGCTGGAGCTCACGTCTCTAAGCCCTAGGCCAGGGCCAAATGCCGGGTGTGTGCAGTTTTCTGGGGAGATCTGTACCCTCAGCAGATGAGCTATGGCCCTGAACACAGAATTGGATGGAAGGAGAGAGTAAGGGTGGCTTTTCCAAAAAGCCCACACATCACAAAGTGTGGGGAGGTGGGGAGCACACAAGGAGACTCCCAGACACAGTGCTCCCGCGTGCCCATGAACCTTTGGCCTGAAGTTCAGATTCTAGGGGGGCTGGTGGATGTCCCCAAGCCTGCCATCAGAGTGAGGACACCTGGGCCAGTCCTCACATGCTGGGAGGACTCTGAGATTAGATCTCTGGGGAGGGGCTTCAGATACCCCTTTGCCCCCCAAAAAGCAGAGGAGGCTTTCACCCAAAGGAGAAGAGAGATAGAGAGAGAAGAGAGAAGACAGCCGTGACGCGCAGGGACCAGGGCAGCCCTCACCGCTTCCTGGCTGACCTGTCAGGGCCCTATCAGTGCAGCTTCACGGCACTGCCCAGCAGTGACGGCCCCTCGGGAAAGGAGATGCAGCTGCTCCCACCTCAGGGGGCAGGGTTTCCTCAGGTATTTTGACTCCATGTAGAATGGCAGAGTCTCCCTGAGAATGGGGAGAGAAAAACTGTCAAGACGGCAGGGGCCCAGCAGGCGCTGAGCTGAGGAGGGCGGCTGGGAGAGGAGTGCTCTCCCAGCTCGGCCTCAGCCTCTTGAGGTCTGTCTGGCTGTCACTGCATGGAGGAACAGCCTGCTTGTTCCTTGTTCTTGCTGTCACCTGGCTCGGGCCCCTCCCTAGATAGAGCTCACCTGTTGGGCTCACCCCACCAAGCCAGGCCCAGGGAGGGGTGTGTGAGGCCCACTGGAGGCCAGGTCACGTGACGCAGGGACTCAGGCCCACTGGTCCCTTCACCCTTCCGTTTGCCCCTTCAAGGCCAGCTGAAACCCCGATTTCTCGAAGCCTTCCTTAACCATCCCCTCTCCCCTTCAACTGGGGTGCACTGTGTGGCCTCATTCAGGACTCTCCCACCCCCACCCTGCCACGGACACACAGGGGCATGGGAGGAGGCACCCGAGCCTTGCATGCTGGACAAAGGTTACATAGGTGCCATCTCAGCCAGGTGCAGTGGCTCACGCCTGTAATTCCAGCGCTGTGGGAGGTCGAGGCGGGCAGATCACTTGGGGTCAGGAGTTCGAGACCAACTGGCCAACACGGCAAAACCCCATCTCTGCTAAAAATACAAAAATTAGCCAGGCATGGTGGCACGCGCCTGTAATCCCAGCTATTCGGGAGGCTGAGGCAGGAGAATCGCTTGAACCCAGGAGGCGAAGGTTGCAGTGAGCCAAGATTGTGCCACTGCACTCCAGCCTGGGCGATAGAGTAAGACTCTACCTCAAAAAAAAAAAAAAAAGAAAAGCAAAACAACAACAACAAAAAAACCATAGGTGCCATCTTCACTCCTGACCCAGCACCTCCTTCTGGGCTGCACAGACCAAGAGGGTCTCTGCTGGTACACTGGGCACTGGTGTGCAGGAATCCACCTGGGCTGTAAGGGCCTCAAGTCACCTGCCCAGCATCCCTCCCTGTCCTCTTCTTGCTCAGCCCCAGGGCTGGGGAGCTCACTGCTTCTCGAGACATTTGCTGTTAGAAACACCTTGAGGTGAAACAGACCCCCACCCCCTGCCCCGCAGCCTTCCCTTGGGCTGGTCCTCGGGGTCTACTAAGTAAATGACTCTGGTGGATGTGACTGGACAGCAGGAAGGACAGAGACAGCAGAGGCGACACCTGGCAGGGGGCACAGCTGTGGCCCTGACTCTGTCCTTCAGTGGGCCTCAGTCTCCCTATCTGTCCTGAGGGGGCTGAGTGTCTTGCTAGTCCTTACCTGGCAGAGAAGAAGGGGCAGGGGAAGAGAAGAGAGGGAGGGGAGGAAATGGGAGGTAGAAGGAGGCTGGGTAGGGAGTGATAGGCAAAGTCCAGCCTGGGGGAAGGTGGGCAAGCAGCAGGGGGACTGCCTCAGAAGGGGAGCAGGGAGCCAGCAGAGGCACTGCTAGGGCTGCAGCCTGGTGAGGGCTGGGGCGTTATCTGGCTTGGAGGATGCCACAGAGAGAGGCCTGAAGTGGGGGTACTGGACCTCAAACCAGGGCTGGCCTGAAACCCTTGGAAGGGCCTGCTAATAGAGACAGAGGTGCCCTGGGCCCTTGGCAGGGCGGGGTGGGCTCTGAAAGCCAGCCCAGACCTGACCCCTCTGCGGCCTACCATCTTGGCCACAGCCTTGACCTTCTCCCTCCCCCTGCACCTCAGATGCCCACACCCCCTGTGCATTACACTGTGCGCTCCCACCCAGGGCAGCAGCCCCCTGCAGGGAGGGCCCAGGCTAAAATCCCACCCATTCTGTTTCCTCTCCTTCCACTAGAATCCCACCTGTTTTGAGAAGTTGGCAGGGCCTGTGTTAGGGAAGCACCTGATAACCAACGTGAGAATGGTGGCGCTGGTCCCATGTCCTGTCTCACTTTTAGATGAAGAGCTTCTTCATCCTCAAAAAAAATGACTCAGAAGAGAGCCCTTTAATAGACTGCTCGGCTAGGGGTGGAGGGCTCGTAAGGATATTTACAGATCCTTGAAAACAGAGCTTCCAGCATTTAACCCTGAAGAGAGCTGGAGCCTGGGCCCCAACTCCTTACCCCACCTGAGCCTCCTCTCTGCACTGGAGGCCTCTGAGCCTGACTCCGCGCACCCCACGCTGGCCCACAAGCCAAGGCTCCTTCTGATGCCCCCTGAGGCTGCTGGCATTGGCCAGGGCTCCATCAGCACCTCCTTGGGTGGGGGGGATTACCGCTTTCCCTACTTACTCCAGCCTTGGTTAGGGGGCCCATTTCCCAGCTCCTGCCAGGCTCTCCACCCATTTGTGGTCAAGGCAAGAGAGACCACACCCCCTTGAATGTCCAGGCACTGAGTCCCTGCCGGCTACTCATACGGATGGGCCCTCCCCAGCCATTCCTCACCACGGCTGCGTCCGGATCCACACCACAACCACAGCATTGTTGGAAAGCAACTGCACACCTCCCTGCAACTTCCCCTCGCATCCCCCAGACTGAGTCATGCAGGCGGTGCCCGTGGGCAGACCTGGCCAGGGTTGGCACCAGCTGGCCAGAGAGAATGAGAGGCACTGACCACACCCAGGAACCTCGCTAAAGCCCATGCATAAGGGTCAGGAGAGCAGCCAGATGCTGGGACCCAAGGGTGCCTGTGACACACACCACCCTGAAAGTTGCAGCTGAGCTTTTCTGAGAAGGATGGCAAAGTCCTGGAAAAGCTTTAACGACAAAACTCAACATATGGAAGGCAGAGGAAGCAGGTAAGGATTCTGGTCTCCTTTTATGTGAAATAGCTTTAAAAAAAACTTTTTCAAAATCACGTTTAATATGCGTTGAGCCCCCTGGCTACCAGGTGGGAAAGTCAAAGTCCTGAATCATTTACTCCCACCCTAGACACCTTGAACTTCAGAACTTCAGAGAGGAGTCCTGTGGTCTTTAGTCCTCCTGGTCACCGCTCCCTGGCTGATTCACTCTCCTCCAGGGGCGGTGTCTCCACTTCCTGCAAAGCTTGGGCACATGGGCAGCCATGTCCCTCGAGGTTCGCCACCTCCCCAGGGCACTGCCAGGAGGCACTGTCCTCGTTACTAGCAGAGCCAGAGCCACCACCACAACCATAGCCACCACCTCCCCAGCCCAGGGAACTCTCCCAGCCTCTTTCCTCGGCCTGTCTTCACTCCCTTCTAACTACTCACTCTTTTCCTCTTCCTCTCTGGGGCAACCTTCCATCATCCCTGCCATGTGCCTTGGTTCAAGGAATCAGCTTTGGATTCTGGCCCTTAAGATGAGGAGTCACAAGTACCTCCTAGGAATGAGAAAGAGGAAAAGACCTAGCAGGGGAATGCCAATAATATTAGTGACACTCACTAATTTCTTCAACACTTAGCCATGGGCCAGGCCCTGCTCTAAATGCTCTACAAAGGTTAAGCCCATTTAATCCTCACAAGAACTCTATGAGGGAGACACTGTCATTCCCATTTTGTAGATGGACAAACTGAGGCACAGAGAAGTCATGTGACTTGCCCTAGTTCCGTCAGCTAGTGAATGGGAGAGCCAGAATTCCAACACAGGCACATTTCTGGAGACAGGGCATAGGTTCCTCCAGATCCTCAAAGGCATGTGGGACCAGGAAAGAAGCCATAGGTCTGTGCTCTGAAACATGGCAAGAACACTGTTCAAACCATCCCATCATCTCCTTCCTCCACGAGTCCTCTAGAATCATGTGTGGCTCCTGGAAACCGCAGCTTGAAAAGGATTGGTGAGAAGCCTAATTCCTCCTAGAAGTAGTGTGGTAGTGTAATTCAGACTTAGATTGTTCTTTATGGGTGAGAGAGAGGGCAAATTACAATAGATAAACTGGCTGGGTGCCGTGGCTCATGCCTGTAATCTCAGCACTTTGGGAGCCTGAGGTGGGTGGATCGTTTGAGCCCAGGAGTCTGAGATCAGCCTGGGAAACATGGTGAAACCCTGTCTCTACAAAATACACAAAAATTAGCGGGGCTTGGTGGTGCACGCCTATAGTCTCAGCTATCTGGGAGGCTGAGGTGGGAGGATTGCTTGAGCTCAGGAAGTGGAGGTTGCAGTGAGTTGAGATTGTGCTGCCGTACTCCAGCCTGGGCAACAGAGTGAAGCCCTGTCTCAAAAATAAATAAATAAATCATCGGCTAGTCAACAAAATATTAATAGAAAAATATGGGATTAGAAGGGATAAGAACACAGCCATGGAGATGACTTTTGAAATTGAAGAAACTAGTGCATGCTTATAAATTGGAGTGTCCCAACATTAAATAATAATTTTCTAGTATTTCTAAATTGCCAAAATTGACTCGAGTGAAAAGCACAAAAAGACCAATTACCACAGAAGAAAATTTAAAAATTATCATCTCTAAGAAAGACACCAGCCCTAGGGAGTTTTAGCATGAGTTATTTCAAACTGGAAGAACAGTGAATTTCTGTGTTATGTAAACTCTTCCAGAGCATATGGGGAAAATGCTGAATTGATTTTATGCTTCTGAATTGATTTTATTAAGCTAATCCTAACACCAAACTCTGATAAAGATTGCTATCCTGCGCCACCCACCCTCACGCTGATAACCACAGACCAATTTTACTCCTGGCTGTGAATACAGAAGTCCTGGATAAAATGCCACCAGTGGAATCCTGTACCATTGTAATACCAGATGCAGCCCGTGTTTGGCATGCTTTCCCCTCCACCAGATGTGTGCTAGGGCAAAACTGGAACCTGATATCTGGGTCCAGGCAATTTGGACACAACATTCACTTCTGTGGTCCTAAGCGCCCCCTCTCAGGAAGCAAAGAGTAAAATGAAGCAGGTGTCCAAAGCTTGCAAATATGCAGAAAGGCTACAGCTTGGATTACTGCTGTTGACTGGCAACATAGTTAACCACAATATCCTGTTAGAGTGATCATTCATCATTTCTTTTTTTTGTTTGTTTTGAGACTGAGTCTCTTTCTGTCGCCAGGCTAGAGTGCAGTGGCGCTGTCTCGACTCAGTGCAACCTCCATCTCCCGGGTTCAAGCAATTCTCCTGCCTCAGCCTTCTGAGTAGCTGGGACTACAGGTGCCTGCTGCCATGCCCAGCTAATTTTTTTATTTTTAGTAGAGATGGGGCTTCACCATGTTGGCCAGGCTGGTCTCAAACTCCTGACCTCAAATGATCCACTCGCCTCGGCCTCCCAAGGTGCTGGGATTACAGGTGTGAACCATCATGCCCGGCTGTTATTTCTTTTCCTTGCTGAGAAGTTCTTAAGTATTTTTTGTGCTTTTTTTCCTTTTTATGGTAGGTGGCTACCTTCTCTACCTTTTCCCTGCAGGGTTTGATAACATGATTGAATAAGCAAGTCCTAATAAATGCCCTCTTTGCTGTATCAACATGCATACCCCCGAAAACTTGGGAAACAGTGCCTGTCGTGCCCTGGGAAACCGAATCCTGGGCCCAAGGGACATGATCCAGCTGGTAGTGCCCCTGTGCCAGGTGAGAAAAAGAGACCTTGCCCTCTGCTGGAGTTGCAGCAGCCTGGGAGCTTCTCAGCCAGGGAACAGATCATCGCTGCAGCTGGAGGACACCCTATTTCAGATATGTGACATCAGAGGCCATCTCATTTCTGATTCACAGCCATTGCCCCTTCCACTTCTTCACAAAAATTCAAGTATATTAAGAAATACATATTTTTTTGAGACGAGGTCTCACTCTGTCGCCCAGGCTGGAGTGCAGATCATGGCTCACTGCAGCCTCGACCTCCTTGGGCTCAGGCAATCCTCCCACCTCAGCCTCCCAAGTGGCTGGAACTAGAGGCACGTGTCACCATGCCTGGCTAATTTTATTTATTTATTTTTTGTATTTTTTTGCGGAGACAGGGTTTCGCCATGTTGCCCAGTCTGGTCTCAAACTTCTGAGCTCAAGTAATCCTCCTGCCTCTGCCTCCCAAAATGCTGGGATTACAGGCATGAGCCACAGTGTCTGGCAAAGAAATAATCTGCATACAGCAAAATTTACCCTTTTTAGGTGAACAGTTTGATGAGTTTTGACAAATATATGCAGTGATATAAATACCCCCACAGTGAAGATGTAATACCTCCATCACTCAGGACTTCCCTCTTGCCTCTTTGTGCTCCGTTTTCTACCTCCCACCTCCAGCCCCCGGCAACCACTAAGCTGTTTTCTGTTTCTGTAGTTTTGTCTTTTCCAGAATCTCAAATATGTGGAACCACATAGTATGTGGCCTTCTATATCTGGCTTGCTTCACTTAACATAATGCTTTTTTAATTTAAATTTTATTTTTATTTATTTATTTTTGAGACTGAGTCTCACTTTGTGGCCCAGGCTGGAATGCAGTGGCGTGATCTTGGCTCACTGCAACCTCCGCCTGCCAGGTTCAAGCAATTCTCCTGTCTCAGCCTCCCAAGTAGCTGGGATTACAGGCACACACCACCATGCCTGGCTAATTTTTTATATTTTTAGTAGAGGCGGGGTTTCGCCATGCTGGCCAGTCTGGTCTCCAAATCCTGACCTTGTGATCTGCCTGCCTTGGCCTCTCAAAGTGCTAGGATTACAGGCAGGAGCCACCGTGCCAGGCCTATTTTTCATTTTTGAGACAGTCTCACCCTGTTGCCCAGGCTGAAGTGCAGTGGTGCAATCTTAGCTCACTGCAACCTCTGTCTCCCGGGTTCAAACGATTCTCCTACCTCAGCCTCCTGAGTAGCTGAGATTACAGGTGCCCACCACCACGCCTGGCTAATTTCTGTATTTTTAGCAGAGACAGGTTTTCTCCACGTTTGCCAGGCTGGTCTCTCAAGTGATCCGCCCACCTCGGCCTCCAAAGTACTGGGATTAGAGGCATGGGCCTCTGCACCCGGCCTAATCTTATTTTTAATTGTAAACTGACAAATAACAGTTGTATCTATGGAGTATGAAGTGATGTTATGATGTATTAATATGATGTTGAATAATCAAACTGAGCTAATTAACATATCCATCACCTCAAATACTGTTCTTATTTTTTGTAGTAAGAACATTTGGAATTTATTCTGTTGATAATTTTGAAATGTACATTATTTAAGATATTTGACCAGGGGTGGTGGCACATGCCTGTAATCCAAACACTTTGGGAGGCCAAGGCAGGCGGATCACTTGAGCTCAGGAGTTCAAGACCAGCCTGGGCAACATGGTGAAACACTGTCTCTACAAAAAACACAACAATTAGCTAGGGATGGTGGTGGGCACTTGTAGTCCCAGCTGCTCAGAAGGCAGGGATGGGAGGATCACCTGAGCCCAGGAGTTTGAGGCTGTAGTGAATTATGGTCTAGCCACTGCACTCCAACTTGGGTGACAGAGGGAGATCTTGTCTGAAAACAAAAAACAAAAACAAAGTGGCTACATGCTCACCAGACACATTATATCCTCTTTTTTTTTTTTTTTTTTTTTTTTTTTTTTTTTTTTTTTTTTTGAGACGGAGTCTCACTCTGTTGCCAGGCTTGAGTACAGTGGTGCAATCTCGGCTCAGTGCAACTTCTGCCCCCTGGGTTCAAGCGATTCTCCTGCCTCAGCTTCCCAAGTAGCTAGGACTACAGACACGTGCCACCACACCTGGCTAGTTTTTGTATTTTTAGTAGAGACAGGGTTTCACCATGTTGGCCAGGATGGTCTCAATCTCTTGACCTCGTGATCCGCCTGCCTCAATCTCCCAAAATGCTGGGATTACAGGCATGAGCCACTGTGCCTGGCCTGTATCCTCTTTTTAAAAGCCATTCTAGTAGGTATCCTGTGGCAGTCATCTTTCCATATTCCTGGGGACTGATTCCAGGACTCCTGAAAATAGGAAACCCCGGGCATGCTCAAGTCCCTGATATAAAATAGTGCAGCGTTTGCATATAACCCAGGCACATAACCCGCTCTACTTTAATTTATCTCTAGATTACTTATGATCCCTAATATAATTTAAATGCTATGTAAATCGTTGTTATGCTGTATTGTTTTTATTTGTATTGTTTTTATTGTTGTATTGTTATTTTTTTCAATATTTTTTATCTGTGTGTTCACTGTGCAGTTGGTTGAATCCGTGGATGTGGAACCCGTAGATACCGAGGGCTGACTGTATTTCATTCTGGTTTAAATTTTCATTTCCCTAGTGACTAACAATGTTGAGCATGTGTTCATGTGGTTGTTTGCCAGGATATCTCTTCTTTGATGAAATTTCTGTTCAGATCCTTTGCCCATTTTTAATTGGCTTGTTTGTCTCATTATTGAGTTGGAAGAATTCTTTATCTATTCTGGATACAAGTTATTCATCAGTGATATGTTTTGCAAATATTTTTTCCCAATCTGTCGTTTGTCTTCTCATTTTTTACTAGTACCTTCTAAAGAGCGGAAGTTTTTAATTTTGATAAGAGCCAATTTATCGGTTTTTTTTCCTTTTATGGGCTGTGTTTTTTGTCCTATCTAAATCTTAACTTAAACAATGTCACAAAGATTTTCTGTAAGCACTGCAATAAATGGTATCCCATGAGTTTTTAGGACTAAGTTCTAATTTTTGATTTTGCCCAAATTTCTATCTAAGGGATCTAGGGAGTCATGCCCTACAAATCCTAAATTCTCATCAGATGGGTTTTATTTATATATTGTGACTTACTTTTCAATCTGACTCTGGTATAACATTACGAGACAAGGAAAAAATATTTAACCCCAAAATATATTTCCCTGCCATAGCTTGAAATTGCCCTGCAAGTCTCTTGTGGGAAAAATCCACATTCTATAGAGAATCCCCTTGCCCCTTTGTTTTCCTTCCTTCCTTTCCAGATCCAGGAGATAATCAACTAAGAGCCAGGCACTCTTTTAGGTCTAATAAGAAACATTTTACAACCTGCTCTCTCTCTCCTCTCTGTCTGAAGTCTGCTATCTGAGAGATTCCTCTGCACAATAAAACTTGGTTTCCACAATCCTTTATTTTAACCTGAACATTTCCTTTCTATTGATCCCAGATCTTCAGACAAACTCAACCAATTGTCAACCAGAAAATGTTTAAATTTACCTATAGCCTGGAAGTCCCCACTTTGAGTTGTCCCTCCTTTCTGAACCAAACCAATGTATTTCTTAAATGTATTTGACTGATGTCTCATGCTTCCTAAAATATATAAAACTAAGCTGCACCCCGACCATCTTGGGCACATGTTCACATGTTCTCAGGAGCTTCGGAGGGCTGTGTCACGGGCCATGGTCACTCATATTTGGCTTAGAATAAATCTCCTAAAATATTTTACAGAGTTCGACTCTTTTCATCGACAGTGTTGATATGTTGTATTTTTATTTCCATTAGAATATTTCTAATTATCCTCATGGTTTCTTCTTTGAACCATAAGTTATCTAAAAGTGTGTTGTTTGATTTCCAAACATTTGGGGACTTTCCAGATATCTTTCTGTTACTGATTTATAGTTTAATTTCATTATGGTGAGAAAACATACTTTGTATGATTTCAATTATTTTTAATTTGTTAAGATTTGCTTTATGGCCCAGAATATGGTCTATCTTGCTAAAGTTCCATGGGCACTCAAAAAGAATGTGTATTCTGCTGTTGTTGTGCGAAATGTCCTATAAATGTCAATCAGATTGTTGGTTATTAGTGTTATTCAAGTTACCCATACCCAGCCTGATTTTCTGTGTACTCGCTCTACCAAATATTGAGAGAAGAGTGGATGTGTCTATTTCTCCTTTCAGCTCTAACGGTCTCGATTGCATGTACCCTGACTGTGTTCTCCAGTGCACATGCATGGACAGTTATGATGTCCTCTTGATGAATCAACCCCTTTATATACAGTCCTTCTTTATTCCTGGAAATATTCTCTGTTTCTGCTTCATCTGACATTAATATAGACACTTGAGCTTTCTTTGGATTAGTGTTTGCATGGCATGCCTTTTTTCCATTCCTTTGGTTTTAGGCTATCTAGGTCTTTATTATTATTTTTTATTTCTTTTGAGACAGAGTCTCGCTCTGTTGCCCAGGCTGAAGTGCAATGGCGTGATCTCAGCTCACTGCAACCTCCACCTCCCGAGTTCAAGCGATTCTCGTGCCTCGGCCTCCCAAGTGGTTGGGATTACAGGCATGTGCCACCACATCCGACTAATTTTTGTATTTTTAGTAGAGATGGGGTTTCACCATGTTGGCCAGGCTGGTCTCGAACTCCTGACCTCAGGAGATCAGCCCGCCTAGGCCTCCCAAAGTGCTGGGATTACAGGTGTGAGCCACCGCCCCAGCCCTAGGTTTTTATATTTAAAGTGTGTTTCTCACAGACAGCCTGAGGGTCCCGGAAATTTTCTGGAAGTTGCGGCTCCACCCTCAGCTCTCAGCAACCCCTGCTCGCCTGCACTACCTAGGGGATGCGTGGTCTTGCCCTCCTCCTGGTGGTAAATGTCTCTGTGTGCTCTTGCCCGCCCCCTGGTGGTAAATGCCGTTGCTGCTACTCTTGGTTGGGCTAGTAGTGGAGGCAGTTTGTGGACGTGTGTTAAAGGGTTTCCGGACGGTGGGATGTTGCTCCATTCTCCTGGCCCAGCCTCCGCAGAGCCTGTGTACTAGGGTCTCAGAAGGTGGAGTCTTCGAAGTGCTCCTGTCCCTCCTGTCGTGCCTTCTATCTCCTGTGGGTTTAACACAGGAGAGTGCGTCCTGCGCCTCCCACAGGGGCAAGTGGTGTTTACTTTGATCCTGCCCCAGAAGCAGTGGATCTTCGTTTCTGCCTCTCCCGCAGCAGCCCTGGGGCCAGAGAGTGCAGCCTCCCACGTGGTTTTGCCCAGAGAGAATCGTCCTGGGGAAGCAGGTGGGGGTCGCTGCACAGCAGTCAATCACCGCTTGAGTGCTTGTGCCACCAGCAAGGGGGAGGGGTCTCTCCCGGCTCCCCCTCTGCCTCCAGTCTTTTTCCTGCAGTGAAGGCCTGTGCAAAAAGCTCAGAAGGCAGGGCAGACTCCCTCCTGCCCACCACATGCTCTGCCCAAGACAGTTGGTCTTGCCTTTCCTTGGAGGGGCTTGTCACTCTTTGGAATTCAGTTCTCTTGGTTGCCTGCCACCTCAGCTATCTGACTGGTTTAAGAAATTATGGTTTTGCAAATTATCTGGTGTTTTGTTATTGTTAGAGTCGGGGGGCGGGGTGGTTCATTCCTGTACTCCCAGCACTTTCGGGGGTGAGGTGGGTGGACCCTTTGAGCCCTGGAGTTCAAGACCAGCCAGCCTGAGCAACATGGGGAAACCCTGTCTCTACAAAAAAAAAAAAAAAAAAAAAAAAAAAATTAGCCAGACATGGCGACAGGAGCCTGTAGTCCCAGCTACTCAGGAGGCTGAGGTGGGATGATCACTGGAGCCCCCCCAGAAAAGAATGGGAATGATGTTCCCTTGTGGTTTTTCTATATCCTAAGAGGAAATAAAACACTCTTCTCTTTCACTTTTAACATATGCAAATGAGTGACTCTAAATGCCTTCTAGGGCAATGTCTCATGGCTTACAGTGCCTCGTGGTTTTTCTCATTTCTTTCATGATTGCAGCTGTATTTGCTACCACTTGTGCAGCTGACATTTACCAAGCCCTTACTGTGTTCCAGCATGCTTTCATTTAGAACCATCCCTGACTCCTCTTTTCTCTCAAACCCACGTTCAATTTGTCAGATAATCCTGTTGGCCCCATGTTCAAAATATAACCAGTTCCTTTCAAAAATAAAAATGGACTTATCATAAAACCCGGCAATTGCACTGTCATGCATTTTTCCCAGAGAAATGAAAACTTATTTTCATGGTGGAACTTGTACACAAATGTTCATAGAAGCTTTATTTATAATAGCCCTAAACCAGAAAATACTCACAAACTATGGTATATTCATACCACAGGATACTATTCTGCTGTAGAAGGAATGAACTATTGGTACAAGCAACAACTTGGATGAACTTTTGCTGAGTGAAAAAGCCAGCCTCAAAAGGATACATCACTGCATGATTCTATTTACACGGCAAATAATATAATTAGAGAGGGAATAGACTAGTGGTTGTCAGGAGTTAGGAATGTGTATTAGTCCGTTCTCCTCTTTCTATAAAGAAATACCTGAGACTGGGTAATTTATAAAGACAAAAGGTTTAATTGGCTCATGGTTCTGCAGTCTGTACAGGAAGCGTGGTGGCTTCAGCTTCTGGGGAGGCCTCAGGGAACTTACAACCATGGGGAGGGCAAAGGAGGAGGCAGGCACCACTTACATGGCCAGAGCAGGAGGAAAAGAGATGGGAGGTGCTACACACTTTTGAACAACTAGATCTCATGGTGCTAATCCATTCATGAGAACTCCACCCGGTTTGGTGGGGACCCAGATCAGTACCATATCAGAAGGGAGGGGAGGGTGTGGCTGTAAAGGGGTTACACGAGAGGCTTTGTGGTGATGGTACAGTTGAGCACCTCGGTCATTCTGGTGGCTACTCCAGGCTACACATAGGGCAAATTTACATAGAGCTACTTTGTGGTTGGCTGGGTGCGACGGCTCACATCTGTAATTCCAGCACTTTGGGAGGCTGAGGTGGGGGGATGACGAGGTCAGGAGGTCGAGACCAACCTGGCCAACACGGTGAAACCCCGTCTCTACTAAAAATACAAAAATTAGCCGGGTGTGGCAGTGTGTGCCTGTAATCCCAGCTACTCAGGAGGCTGAGGCAGAAGAATTGCTTTAACCCGGGAGGAGGAGGTTGCAGTGAGCCAAGATTGTGCCACTGCACTTCAGCCTGAAAACAGAGTGAGACTCTGTCTCAAAAAAAAAAAAAAAAAAAAGCTTTTTTGTGGTCTTTGTGCTGATACCAAATAAGTGGTATCATTTCCAACACCAATCGATTTTCTGCTTCTGTGATACCAATTGGGTGTTCAATAATTCAATTCTATTCTGATACTAACCTGGAGTTAGTGTCAGACTCCACAGGCTGAAGGGCTCAGTCCCATAAGACTACCCCCATTTCTCCCAGGCGCAGTGGCTCACACCTGTAATCCCAGCACTTTGGGAGGCTGAGGCGGGCGGATCACCTGAGGTCAGGAGTTCGAGACCAGCCTGGCCAACATGGTGAAACCCTGTCTCTACTAAAAATACAAAAATTAGCCAGGCCTGGTGGCGGGCACCTGTAATCCCAGCTACTCGGGAGGCTGAGGCAGAAGAATTGCTTGAACCCAGGAGGTGGAGGTTGCAGTGAGCTGAGGTCACGCCATTGCACTCCAGCCTGGGCAACAAGAGTGAAACTCCATCTCAAAAAAAAAAAAAATGGCTGGGTGTGGTGGCTCATGCCTGTAATCCCAGAACTTTGGGAAGCCGAGGCAGGCGGATCACCTGAGGTCAGGAGTTCGAGTCCAGCCTGGCCAACATGGTGAAACCTCATCTCTACTAAAAGTACAAAAATTAGCCAGGAGTGGTGGCGAGTGCCTGTAATCCCAGCTACTTGGGGGGCTGAGACAGGATAATTGCTTGAACCCAGAGGCGGAGGTTGTGTGAGCCGAGATCGTGCCACTGCACTCCAGCCTGGGTGACAGAGTGAGACTCGATGTCTCCAAAAAAACAAAACAAAACAAAACAAAACTACCCCCATTTCACATGCCAGTCACAAGTACTGGGTCCCCAGGTTACCCACACTTCTGTCCAGCCAACTACAAATTTGGAGGTTCCCGTGACCTCCATTCCTCAGGTTTGATAATTTGCTAGAATGGCTCACAGAACTCAAAAAAACACATTACTTCACCATTACTGGTCTATTGTAAAAGATACAACTCAGGAACAGCCAAGTGAAGAGATGCATAGGACTGGGTATTGTAGGGTGGGTGTGCAGAGCCTCCCTGCCTGCTCTGGGCGTCACCCCTCCAGCATCTCCATGTGTTCCAACCCAGAAGCTCTCCAAACTCCATTGTTTTGGAACTTTATGAAGGTTCCATTACAGAGGCATGATTGATGAAATCATTGGTCATTGGTGACTGAACTCCATCCCTAGCCACTGTCCACTCCCTGGAGGTCAGAGAGTGAGGCTGAAAGTTCCAACTCTCTCATCATCAATCATGGCTTAGTCTTTCTGATCAGCAGCCTGTATCCAGAAACTATTTAGGGTCCTCATTAACATAAGCTCAGGTATGGTTGAAAGGGGTTTGTTATGAATAACAAAACATCACTGTAACTCAGGAAATTTTAGGAGGGTTTTAAAAGATCTGTGCCAAGAACCAGGGACAAAGGCCAACTCTATTTTTCTCACTATATACATGATTTCCCATTTCCTACAGGCACACACAAACACACACACAAATGGGTGCGTGCATAACTGGTTAGATCTGAATAAACTCAATGGATTGTGCCGATGTTCCATTTCTTCGTTTTGATACTGTACTCTGGTTATGTGAGTTGTTCGCATGAGAGGTAGGGAACATGGGACTTCTCTCTACATTCCTTTGTGACCTTCTGTGACCCTACAATTATTTCAAAATTAACAACTTAGAATACAAATAACCAGAGTCCACCTCCCGCCCTGCTACCAGCCTGGTCCACACCACTCTCTTTTCTTGCCTGGATTATTGCAACAGCCGCTTTTTTTTTTTTTTTTTTTTTTTTTTTTTTTTTTTTTTTGAGATGGAGTCTTGGAACAGTTTCTTAATGGGTCTGCTTTTACATACAATCTATTCTCAATAAAGCAGCTTCGTAAGACAGATCCTACCATTTGTAGAAATAAACAAAAACCATTCAGAGCTTGCTGTAGCAAGGTTGTCAGCCAGCATCACTTGCATTTTTGTAGGGACTCAAAATCAGGCTGAGCCTTATTGTCGGTGGGCCGGGGGTAGGGGTGCGGGAAAGGAGGTGGGGGAAGGCTTGGGGTGTGCCCTGATTGGAGGCTATTGGCCTGGAGAAGCTGGGTGGGATAATTTGGAGGGGATTCTGAGATTGGCTGGGGAGGGGTGGGTGCATATTTGGCTTTCTCTTGCTGGCCCTAAGTTGGAAGCTGGGACAAAAATTAGGGAAGCTGCCAGTTTTTAATCAAGTCCTGGCCTTTCGGGGCTGATTGTTAGAGAAGTTATTGTTTTGCTTCCTGGATGGCTACTGGAGATAGTGATCTGGCTTCCTTCATGTCTGACTTATAGCAGACTGGCATCCTGGGCTGTGGATTCCAGATGAGGGGGTTGGTTTCCTGGGCAGCTTGCTGCAGGTTAGGCTCAGAGTTCTAGTTTCCACAGGGTCTGGCCATGGTGCACGTGTATGTTCAGTCCCTCATGTTCCTCTGCTTAGAACCCTGCAGGGGCTCCCACTGAACACAGCCCTTCCTGTGGCCTACCAGGCCCTACATGAGCTGGCCCCATTTCCCCTCTGGCCTGGTCTTCTGCCACTCTCCTCCCTCTCTCCATCCCAGCCACAATGGCCTCCTTGCTGTTCTAGAACATGCCAGGCCCTCTCCCAAGGCATTCATGGCCTTCTAACATACTGTATGCCTTTCTTATTTTTCTCTCTCTCTCTGTTTCTCACTCTCTCTCTCTCTATATATATATATGTATATACGTACGTATATACCTATATGTATATACATATACACACACACACACACACACATATATATATGTGTGTGAGACAGAGACTCACTCTGTTGCCCAGGCTTGGAGTGCAGTGGTGTGGTCCTAGCTCACTGCAGCCTCAAACTCCCGGGCTCAAGCTATCCTCCCACCTCAGCCTCCCAAAGAGCTGGGATTACAAGCAGGAGTCAATGCACCCGGCCTCCTTTCTGATTTTTAATGCTTATTGCTTATGTCTAGCTCTCACAACTAGAATGTAAATTCCACAAGGACAGGGTTCTTGGTGGGTTTGTTCCCTACTATATCCTTGGCACCTAGAACATTGCCTTGCCCAGCACATAGTGAGTGCCCAATAAAAAATGTTTGAGTGAATCAATGAGTTTGTGCGTACATGTGTGCAGATACATTTACTAACATCTACTACTTCTAATTAGGTGCTCAGTGTTTACTAGACACTATGCTAAGTGCTTTCATCTAGTATCTAATTTTTATTCTTCATAGCTTTCCTATGGGTAGGTGACATCAGGCCACTTATCTTTCAGGTAAAGTGGTCTCAGAGGACATGCTGAAAGCCCATGAGCTTCTCAGGGACCTAAATAAATGTTTAAAACCTGAGAAAAGTCTTGGCTCCAAAATGTAAAAACTACAGAATCATCCAAATTAATAAATGTTTAATCAAATGTCTACAAAGTGTCATCGATTGTTAATTTATGTCATTAATTCTCTATTGGCCTCTTTAATTATTAAATGCAGTGTTCATAAGAATTTCATTACTTTTGAAAAGAATTTGTAGACTAGATGTTAACTCTTGGAGCACAGTCATGTATCTGTTAACCACAGGAATACCATCAGAAAAATGTGTCATTAGGTGATTTCAATGTTGTACAAACATCAGAGAGTGTCCTTACACACTCTGTGATGTGTAGCCTGCTACACACTTAGGCTATAAGAGATAGACTATTGCTCCTAGGCTACAAACCTGTACAGCACGTGACTGTACCGAATACTGTAGGCAATTATAATACAATAATAAGTATTTGTGTATCTAAACATAGCTAAACATAGAAAAGGCACAGTAAAAATATCATATAAAATATTTAAAATGTACACCTGTTTAGGGTACTTACCATGAATGGAGCTTGCAGGACTGGAAGTTGCTCTGGGTGAGTCCGTGAGTGAGTGGTGAATGAATGTGGAGGCCTAGGACAATACTGTACACTACTGTAGACTTTAAAGACACTGTCACCTAGGCTACTACACTAAGTTTATTAAAAATATTATTCTTTGGCAGGGCGCGGTGGCTCACGCCTGTAATCCCTGCACTTTGGGAGGCCGAGGTGGGTGAATCACCTGAGGTCAGGGGCTCGAGACCTGCCTGGTCAACATGGTGAAACCCCATCTCTACTAAAAATACAAAAAATTAGCCAGGCATGGTGGTGGGCACCTGTAATCCCAGCTACCAGGGAGACTGAGGCAAGAGAATCACTTGAACCTGAGAGGCGGAGGTTGTAGTGAGCCGAGATTGTGCCATTGCACTCCAGTCTAGGCAACAAGAGCAAAACTCTGTCTCAAAAAAAAAGTTTTTCTTCAGTAATAAATTAGCCTTAGCTTTCTACAACTTTATGAACTTTAAAATTTTTTTTAAACTTTTTGACTTTTTATAATAACACTTAGCTTAAAACACAAACACATTATGCAGCTATACAAAAATATTTTCTTTTTTTGTATCCTTATTCTATAAACTTTTTATTTTTCAATTATTTTATTTTTACTTTTAAAACCTTTTTGTTAAAAACTAAGACACAAATACACACATTAGCCTAAACCTACATAGGGTCAGGACCATCAATATCACTGTCTTGCACCTCTACACCTTGTCCCACTGGAAGTTCTTCATAGGCAACAACACGCATGGAGCTGTCACCTGCTATTGCAACAATGCTTTTTTTCTTTTTTTTTTTTTGAGACAGAGTCTTACTCTGTCGCCCAGGCTGGAGTGCAGTGGCACGATCTCAGCTCACTGCAGCCTCCACCTCCAAGGTTCAAGGGATCCTCAAGCCTCAGCCTCCCAAGTAGCCGGGAGTACAGGCACGCGCTACCATGCCCAGCGACGGGGTTTCGCCGTATTGGCCAAGCTGGTCTCGAACTCCTGACCTCAGGTGATCCACCTGCCTCGGCCTCCCAAAGTGCTGGGATTACAGGCGTGAGCCACCACGCCCAGCGGACAATGCTTTCTTCTGCAATCTCTCCTAAAGGACCTGCCTGAGGCACTTCTTGAAGAAGTGTCCGTCTTTTCAGAAGTATGTCCATGGTGGTTTGCCAAGTTTGTTTCTTTCTTCCGTCATAGATTTGCATGAGTAATGCTTTGTGTCAGCTAAAATGTTACATCGGCTATGACGTCACTAGGTGATAGGAATTTGTCAGCTCCATTATAATCCTATGGGACCGCCATCGGATACGCAGCCCATCACTGACCTGAGACGTCGTTATTTAGGGTGTGACTGTACTTTAAGAATGCAAATGAATACCCAGGGAGGGCTGAGAACGCGTAGGTAATTACACCATAAATGAATTACTCTTAGCCAAGTAATTTCCAAGGCAAACATACAAAAATCACCTCGTGTTACCTGACAGTGCTATGTTATATTTAACGTAAGAAATCTGTGTATTTTAATATTTAATAAGGTGTGGGAAGGAACTTCCAAAGGTAATAGCATCTGGTCCTAGCAAGGTCTTAAAACGCCGTTTGATTTCAGAATGCCTCATTTTGTAGATTTAATCCAGAATCTGCAGTTTCTGGCGACGCAGTAGTCCGTCTCCCCCAGTTTCTCCTGGCCAAAGCCTCCCACCTTCCTCTCTACCCCCACAACCCTGTCAAGCGCACCTGGACCAGGTACAACAGGGGTGTGTGTGTGAGTGTGAGTGTGTGTGTGAATGCATTTGGGAAAGGCTAGGCAGGGTGAATATTCCCTAGACCCCGCTCTTCACCGTCACTCTACTACAGCAGCTCACTGCCCTGCCCCGCCCCTCCCCGGCCCTGGAAAGCAGCCTCTGGAAAGAGGAAACCAGCTATCTCCCGTGTTGCCACAAGATGGCACCACAAGCTCGGGACTGGCTTTCTTTGCGTTCCCGTCAGAAAAAAACGAGAGCTCTGACCTAGGAGCCGAGGCTCCCAGGGAGACCTCTGGACGCCACTCCCCGGGCTGCTTCTCCTCCTCGGGGTGACTCGGGCCCTCTGGAGTGACCTGCATAGCTTTGTGGTTCGGGCTCCCATGGGGCCCAGAAGCCAGCATGGAGACTTAGGGCTTCTCTTGGGCCACTTTTCTCCTCATACCCAGCATGCAGACCAAGGTTGGGGATGAATTCTGAACGTGGGGCAGAGTCCCTGTCCCCAGAGCAACTCTGAGAGCACCTTGCCCTTCTTCCCAGGGCACAGGCACCAGCCTTCCTCCCCAGCTCAGTCCCTGCTTCTTTCTAAGACAGGTTCTTGCTCTGTCGCCCAGGCTGGAGTGCAGTGGTGCAATTATGGCTCACTGCAGCCTCGACCTCCTCCTGGTGAGAGGTGACAGCGCGCCTGCAGCCCTCGCTCTCGGCGCCTCCTCGGCCTTGGTGCCCACTCTGGCCGCGCTTGAGGAGCCCTTCAGCCCACTGCTGCACTGTGGGAGCCCCTTTCTGGGCTGGCCAAGGCTGGAGCCGGCTCCCTTAGCTTGCGGGGAGGTGTGGAGGGAGAGCCGCGGGCGGGAACCGGGGCTGCGCGCGGCACTTGCTGGCCAGCGCGAGTTCCGGGTGGGCGTGGGCTCCGCGGGCCCCGCACTCGGTGCGGCCGGCCGGCCGGCCCGCAAGCCCCGGGCAGTGAGGGTCTTAGCACCTGGGCCAGCAGCTGCTGTGCTCGATTTCTCGCCAGGCCTTAGCTGCCTTCCCGCGGGGCAGGGCTCAAGACCTGCAGCCCGCCATGCCTGAGCCTCCCCCCAGCTCCGTGGGCTCCTGTGCGGCCCAAGCCTCCGCGATGAGCGCCGCCCCCTGCTCCATGGAGCCCAATCCCATCGACCACCCAAGAACTGAGGAGTGCAGGCACACGGCGCGGGACTGGCAGGCAGTTCCACCTGCAGCCCCCGTGTGGGATCCACTGGGTGAAGCCAGCTGGGCTCCTGAGTCTGTTGGGGACTTGGAGAACCTTTATGTCTAGCTAAGGGATTGTAAATACACCAATCGGCAGTCTGTATCTAGCTCAAGGTTTGTAAACACACCAATCAGCACCCTGTGTCTAGCTCAGGGTTTGTGAATGCACCAATTGACACTCTGTATCTACCTACTCTGCTGGGGACTTGGAGAACTTTTGTGTCTACACTCTGTATCTAACTAATCTAGTGGGGACATGGAGAACTTTCGTGCCTAGCTCAGGGATTGTAAACGCACCAATCAGCACCCTGTCAAAATGGACCAATCAGCTCTCTGTAAAATGGGCCAATCGGCTCTCTGTAAAATGGACCAATCAGCAGGATGTGGGTGGGGCCAGATAAGAGAATAAAAGCAGGCTTGCCCAAGCTGGCAGTGACAACTCGCTGAGGCCCAGTTTACGTTGGCGAAGCTTTGTTCTTTCACTCTTTGCGATAAATCTTGTTGTTGTTCACCGTTTGGGTCCGCGCTGCCTTTATGAGCCGTAACACTCAACCGCGAAAGTCTGTAGCTTCACTCCTGAAGCTAGCGAGACCACGAACCCACCGGGAAGAAGAAAAAACTCCAGACGCACCGCCTTCAGAGCTGTAACACTCACTGGGAAGGTCTGTGGTTTCAGTCCTGAGCCCGTGAGACCACAGACCGACCAGTGGGAAGAAATTCCGCACACATCTGAACATCAAAAGTAACAGACTCTGGATAGGCCGCGTTTAAAAACTATAACACTTACCACGAGCATCCGTGGCTTCATTCTTGAAGTTAGTGAGACCGAGAACCCATTAATTCCCGAAACACACTGGGCGCAAATCTTCCCTTCTCAGTTTTCCAAGTAGCTGGGACTACAGGCGCCAACCACCATGCCTGGCTAATTTTTTTTGTATTTTTAGTAGAGATGGGGTTTCACTGTGTTAACCAAGATGGTCTCAATCTGACCTCGTGATTCACCCGCCTCGGATTCCCAAAGTGCTGGGCTTACAGGTGTGAGCCCGCACACCTGGCCACCAGTTATTTTTCAATTGTTCTGTTTCCCTGTTCTTGCCTTACTAAGAAAGTAATTTTGAAATGACCGATCCGTTCTTTGTTTTTTGTTTCTGGTTTCTTCAGCTTATTCTGTCTGTAAAACCTGCGTCCTCTGCTCCGCTCCATGAAGACGCTCATTCTGTTTTATAGAAGTTAGTAAGTGTGATATATCTATTCTTTGTTTTTGTCTATAGTTCCTGGCTGACAGCCCATATAATCATTGTAATTTCCTAGGAGACTAGAGTGTGATAAGAGTATCTTTCCTTAAAATATTTGGCCTTTCATCCTTTGTTCTTGAAACAGCTCTGGAGCAGCTCCAGAGTAAGCATAAAGGTGAAAGATGGGCCGGGCGGAGTGGCTCACGTTTGTAATCCCGGCACTTTGGGAGGCCAAGGTGGCAGATAACGAGGTCAGGAGTTCGAGACCAGCCTGACCAACATGGTGAAACCCTGTCTCTACTAAAAATACAAAAATTAGGTGGGCATGGTGGTGCATACCTGTAATCCCAGCTGCTCAGGAGGCTGAGGAGGAGAATTGCATGAACTCGGGAGGCAGAGGTTGCAGTGAGCTGAGATCGCCACTGCACTCCAGCCTGGGCAACAGAGCGAAACTCCATCTCAAAAAAAAAAAAAAAAAAGTGAAAGTCGGGCTTGTTGTTTGGAGCCACAACTGAGCTTAACGTTTATAACCACAGGATGGATGGCTGCTTGCCAGGGGATCCAACCGTCTGCTCAGAGCCCCACCCTCCACATTCGGGGAGGAGAGAGGAACCGAAGGTTGATCACCAATGGCCAGTGATGTAATTGATCATGCCTACATAATGAAATCGCCATAAAAACCCGTAACGACTGAGTTCAGGGGTTTCCCAGGAAGGTGGTCTTGTATGGAAGATTTTGTATTCGGGGATGGAAGCTTTTGTATTTGAGGCCCTTCCAGAGTGTGCCCCGTTTATGTCTTCATCTGGCTTTTCATTTGTATCCTTTAAAATATGCTTTATGATAAACTGCTAAACGTAAGCAAATGCTTCCCTGCATTCTGTGAGGTGCTCTAGCAAATTAATCAAACCCAAGAAGAGGGTCATGAGAATCCTGATTTATAGCCAGTTGGCCAGAAGTACAGGTAATACAACCTGGGGCTTGTAATTGGCACTGGAAGTGGGGGACGGTCTTGTGGGACTGGGATCTGACGCTATCTCCAGGTAGATAGTGTTGGAATTGAATTAAGAACACCCAGCTGGTGGCCACTGCAGAACTGGCTCCTTGCTTGATATGGGGGGGTGGGGGAACCCCACACATGTGGTATCAGAAGTGTGTTTCTGGAGTATAGTAGGAGAAATTGAGTTTGTTTTCTGCTCATACACAGAGAAACAAAATCACTAAAGAGCAACAAATTGTATTCTGTTCAGATAATATAGTGGAAGAAATATTCCACTTATAGTAGTACCAAAAAGGATAAAGTACTTAAGAATAAATGTTCAGACGATATAAAGGACATTTCAAAACTTCTAAAGGACACAAAAGACATCAAAACACACCATGTTCAAGGATAGGAAGACTCAATATCATAAAGATTGTCATTTTCTTTTTTTTTTTTTTGAGATGGAGTCTCGCTCTGTTGCTGGGCTGGGTGGAGTGCAGTGACTCAATCTCGGCTCACTGCAACCTCCAACTCCCGGATGCAAGCGATTCTCCTGCCTCAGCCTCTCAAGTAGCTGGGACTACAGGTGCATGCCACCACGCCCAGCTAATTTTCGTATTTTTAGTAAAGACGGAGTTTTACCCATGTTGGCCAGAATGGTCTCAATCTCTTAACCTCGTGATCCACCTGCCTCAGCCTCCCAAAGTGCTGGGATTACAGGCCTGGGCCACCATGCTTGGCCAAAGATTACAATTTTCTATGAGTTACTTGACACATTTAATATAATCCCAATAAAGATACAATATTCTTTTTAAAAAACTACACCAGGTCATTCTAAAGTTCATTGAAAAAACAAACACTAGTCAGATAAAGACACTGACAGTATTCTTTTTAAAAAACTACACCAGGTAATTCTAAAGTTCATTGAAAAAACAAACACTAGTCAGCCATGGTAAGTGGCTTGCATCTGTAGTCCCAGCTACTTGGGAGGCCAAGGTAGGAGGATCACTTGAACCCAGGAATTTGAGGCTGCAGTAAGCTATGATCACACCTGTGAATAGCCACTACACTCCAGCCTGGGCAACATAGCAAGACTCTGTCTCTTAAAACAAAAAAAGGCAGAAGGTCTTTCTTAAGAAGCATTAAAAAGAATTCCTCCTATAGATATTTAACATTTTATGGCACCCCAATAATTAAAGTGGTCCTAGAGAATGGATAAACATTAGCCCAATGGAACAGAGCAGAAAGCCCCACTATAGACCTCAACACAAAAAATTCATGGTGTTGAAAAAAGGGGGATCAATATTTTATACTTTATACTTATTTAAATTCCAAATGAGTTTACAATTTTACAAGTAAAAAATAAAAGAGAATACATTAAATTCTGTTATGATCTCAGAATGGAGGTTTTTTTTACTTATGACTCAAAATCCAGAAGTCATAAAATATTTATCAATTCAAATACATTTTTAAAATTTCATGAGAAAACATTATAAGCAAAGACAAAATGCAAACCAACAAATTGGGTGAAAAATTTACAGCTCATATCAAAAATGGCTAATCTTCCTAATATTTAAAGAGCTCCCAAATGTCAAAAACAGAAATAGAAACAACCAGCACTAGAAAAATGAACAAAGTAGATAAAATAACAGTTTGTAGAAAAGGAGACACATGGCTCTTAAACATATTAGAAGATGCTCAACCTCACTCAAAATAACACAAAAGCAAATGAAAAGGTTTCTAGGTAATTCAATGGGGAAAAGATACCTTTAAACAAAAAGTGCTGGAACGATTGGATATCACCATGAAAAAAAAGAACGTCAACTTTTACTTCACACCATATACAAAAATTAATTCGAAAATGGATCACAGGTCAGGCAAGGTGTCTCATGCCTATAATTCCAGCACTTTGAGAGGCCAAGGCAGGTATATAACTTGAGCTCAGGTGTTTGAGACCAGCCTGGGCAATGTGGCAAAACCCTGTTTCTACAAAAAATATAAAAATTAGCCAGGTTTGGTAATGTATACCTATAATGCCAACTACTTGGGAGGCTGAGTGGGGAGGATTGCTTGAGCCCAGGAGGTTGAGGCTGCAGTGAGCCAGGATTGTGCCTCTGCACTCAGCCTAGGCAACGTATGGAGAGTCTCTCTCTCTCTTTTTTCTTTCTTTCTTCTTCTTTTAAGAGATCAGGTCTTGCTGTGTTGTCCAGGCTGGCCTCGAACTTCTGGGCTCAACTGATCCTCCCTTAGCCTCCCAAGTACCTGGGAATATAGGCATGTGTCACTGCATCCAGCTATACTAAGAACTTTTAAAGCTCAACAATATTAATAGCCCATTTCTTAAATAAGCAAAATATTGAACAGATAGTTCACAAAAGAAGACACGTGCCCAATAAGCAAATTAAAAGTGGCTCAACATTGTCAGTCACACCTGTTAGAGTGGCTAAAGTTTAAAAGACTGACTATACCGCATGTTGACAGGACCACTTTGGAAATGTTTGACAGTTTTTCAATCCAGCAATTCTAGGTATTTACCCAGATGAAAATATATGTCCAAACAAAGACTTGTACACAGATGTCTGGAGGAGCTTTATTTAATAACCAAACCTGAAAACTACTCAAATGTTCATCAATGGATGAATGAATACATTGTGCCTCTATCTAGACAATGGAATGTGTTGGCAATACAACAAACTACAGATACACAGAATAACATGTATTACTCTCAAAACCATTACAGTGAGGGGGAAAAAGCTAGACACAGAAGAGTACTGTGCACTCATTTCATTCATATGAAATGCTAGAAAAGTGAAATGTGATCAGCGGTTATGGAAAGGTCAGTGGCTGCTCAAAGCTGGAGGTGGCAAGCACTGACGGGAAGTGACGTGGAGAACTTTGTGAGTGGATGGGAATGTTTTGTATTTGATTGTAGGGGGTGGTGGTTACTCAGGTGTTCACATTTGTCAAAGCACCTCAGATGACACTTTTTATTTTATCTTTATTTATTTAATTTTGAGATGGAGTCTCACTCTGTTGCCCAGGCTAAAGTGCAGTGGCATGATCTCAACTCACTGCAACTTCCACCTCCTGGGTTCAAGCAATTCTCCTGTCTCAGCCTCCCGAGTAGCTGGGACTACAGCCGTGTACCACCATGCCTGGCTAAATTTTGTATTTTTAGTAGAGATGGGGTTTCACCATATCGGTCAGGCTGGTCTCAAACTCCTGACCTCAGGTGATCCACCTGCCTCGGCCTCCCAAAGTGCTGGGATTAGAGGCGCAAGCCAGCCAAATAATACATTTTAAAAGGGTGTTTGTTGTATGTAAATTACACCTTTAAAAAATATGTAAATGCTAGGGGAAGAGAAACCAAACCAAACCAAACCCTGTTCTTTGCTGGAGCTAGAAATCCAAGACTTACAAAGCAATAAACAATTGGACAATAAACAGGCTGGGCTAGATGGCTCATGCCTGTAATCCTAGCAGTTAGCGGGCCAGGGCCAGGTGGGAGGATCACTTGAGGCCAGGAGTTAGAGACCAGCTTGAGAAGGCCCTGTCTCTACAAAAAAAAAAAAAAAAAAAAAGCCAGGCATGGTGATCCTTTAAGCCTGGGAGGTTGAGGCTGCAGTGAGCCACAATCACTGCACTGCACTCCAGCCTGGGAGACAGAGTGAGACCCTGTCTCAAAACAAACAAACAAAAAACAAAAAAATAACTTGAACAATAAACAAAAAAATTACACTGAGATACAAATTTTCACTTTCCAGAATGTCAAAAGACCCAAAAGTTTAATAACACAGTGTATTGACATGACTATGAGAAAAAAACACCACTGACAATGGGAGTGTAAATTGGTATAATCCCCAGAGAAGGTATTCTGGCAATATTTACTAAATTATAAATGCTTTGATTTAGCAATTCCACTTCTAGGATTTTATCTTATAGATAAACTCTACCACAAATAGCACATGTTAAAGGTTATTCATTGCAAAAGTATTTAAAATAGCAAAACACAAGAAATAATCAAAATGTCTATCGGTCCACGACAGGTTGAATAATTTATGATACATCCATACTGTGGAATCCTATGTAAGTACAAGAAAGCACAGGGAAAGGCTGTCTGTGGTAACATGGAAAGATCCTCAGTGGGTAATGTTAAGTGAAAAAGGCAACATTGTGTTTCTATGTTGCCATTTGTATAAAAACAGGAACAACAAAAACCCAGAAGATACATATTTGGATTTTCTTGCATATATTTTTTTTTAAAAAACAAAACCTTCAGGAAGAATTACCAAGAAACTAATCGCAGGGGATGGGGGAAGGCATGGGAAATATGTGTGGAGGGAGAATTTTCATAATATGCTTTCCTATCTTTTTAAATGTTTAGCCAACCAAAATTTAAATATTGGCTGGGTACAGTGGCTCACACCTGTAATCCCAGCACTTTGGGAGGCTGTGGTGGGAGGATCCTGCGAGCCCAGGAGTTCAAGACCAGCCTGAGCAACATGGGGAGACATCCTTATCTCTACAAAAGAGATTTTAAAAATTAGCCGGTTGTGGTGGCACAACCTGTGGTCCCAGCTACTCAGGAAGCTGAGGCAAGAGGATCGTTTGAGCCCCAGAGTTCAAGGCTACAGTGAGCTATGATCATGCCACTGCACTCCAGCCTGGGTGATAGAGCAAGACGGTCTAAAAAATTTTTTTTAAATGCTTAAAAATAAGGCCAGGTGCGGTGGCTCACACCTATAATCCCAGCACTTTGGGAGGCCTAGGCAGGCAGATCACTTGAGGTCAGGAGTTCGAGACCAGCCTGGTCAACATGGTGAAATCCCATCTCTACTAAAAATACAAAAATTAACCAGGTGTGGTGGTATGCGCCTATAATCCTGGCTACTCAGGTGTCTGAGGCAGGAGAATCACTTGAATCCGGGAGGTAGAGGTTGCAGTGAGCTGAGATTGTACTGTACTCTAACATGGGCAACAGAGTAAGACTCTTGTTTCAAAAAAAAATAAAATACTTTTCAATAACATCAAAATAACACATTATATATTAATATATTAACTAGGATACTTAAACTATTATCATTATTCACCAGGTTATCTTGAAGAAAAATATAATAAGAAGTGTCTAGTCCGGTATAAGGACATATTTGGCACACAGTAATGGTTACTATTTCTATACCCTGCCCCTCAAATGCCCGCACACAACCTGTCTGGTACTTCAGGTTCTAGTTCCCCGAAGCCCAGTTGCCTGACTGCCTCTTCCAGCTGTGCCCTTGCAGGGACTTCTCCTCTGCTGAATGATTTTCCCCATCTCTTCTTATTGTCCACCTACTTGGTAGCTGGGATGTGGAGGACATCACCTCCTCAGGAAAGCCTTCTCTGATTGACACACACCCTCCTCCTCCCTCTTCACACCGACCCTTTAGGTGGCCCTTGTCCTTCCTCCCCTGTGGACTGCAGGGTCTGCTCAGTCCTCTGTAGTCCTGGAGTGCTGGCCAAGGATCGAGCTCCCCTCCACAGGGTGGGGATTCATGGCAGGGGCAGGCCTTACTCTCCACCTACACAGACATCCAGAAAAGTTTCGGTTTCCCCTAAACGTTATGTTGATCTTCCCATGCTCACAAAGAAGAGTTTGGGTTTCCCCTAAGTTGTGATCTCATTTTTCCTGTCTTCCCTACCCTCCAGCCCTACCCCAGCCAAGGGGCCGTGCCAGCTTTCATGGTGAAGATGCCTGGGGTTTCCTGGGCAGCCCTTCATATACTGTGTAATAGCAATGGAAGGAATCCACAGGTGAATGCTGATGCAGGAAGCTCCCAGTCCAGCAGGGAGGGCAGCCATATATGCAAGGAGCAGAAACACACAATGTGGAATGGGTGCAGAGAGCCAGGCAAGGGCACAGAGGACAAGTCTCACTGGGCCTCAAAGGGTGGCCACAGTGTGGCTGCGGGGATTGGAGGGCAGGCTTTGGAACAGACAGCCTCAGCTAGAAAGCCCTGGGAGGGCCCATGAGAGGCCTCCAAGTAGGCAAAGGGGCAACAGCAGGTGCAGCAGCCTGGGACTCTAGGAAGGGGCCCTGGAAACCTGAACCTCAATGGCCATGGCAGTGACAGAGGGGTCTGTGCTGGGCTTTAGGGAGGTGCCTCAGGCAATGTGGAGGACCTCCAGGAGGCGGGACAAGGCAGTGTCTGGCAAAGGCAGGGACAGACAGCAAACAAGACAGAGCCAGGCACCCAGGAAGGGCAGAGACCCCTTGGGGGAGAGGGAAGTTGCGGTGCCACAGGACAGGCTGGGGGCTGTTCTTAAGGGGAGGCTTTGATTTTTGTGGTTTTGTTTTTCCCAGAAGTCTCTCCAAGGAGTAAGATTCCTTTCTTAGGACTCAAGAAGTCAGAGGCCCCCTTCTCTGGGGCCCCTGGGGTTTGGGCGAGAGTACTGGAGCAGAAAGCAGGGCTGGGCTGGGCCTGGGGCCAGACCTCAATGACTGTTTCCTTCCCGTCAGCGAGCGGAGAAGCAGTGACAGAGTGTACCAGGAGGGGAAGCTGACGGTGGCCCCAACTCCTCTCTTGAATGGGATATGACCACCCCACCTGCCCCTCAGTGTTTGCAGGACACTCTGGCACACTCATGCCTTCCTTTCCTGGTGAACCTGTATCCCACTACAAAGAGGAACAGAACTCCCCACCCAGCCCCACCCTTGCTTCCAGGGGCTTTGAGACACTCAGGAGAAGGAGCTTCAAATATTGTGAGGGTCTGTCTGTGTCAGCCACCAGGATGTCAATCCCTGCCTGGGCTGGCAGCATGGACCTTGTGGACCCTCCTAGCCCACCCCATGCCCCCAGGAGCCCCGCTTGGCTTCTTCTCTTTTATACATTGTAAACACCACATTTATTTGTCTGAGGCTTGCAAACCTCTGGTAAGAAGCACAGAACGCAGGGCTCTCCTTCATGCTGCCCTGGGCCCCAGCTCGCCAGGCATGCAGGACAGAGCTGGCAGATGAGTCAGAAATCTTTGGGAGCAGCGCCAGGGAAGCAGCAGGCCCTGCTCCTTCCCATGCCCAATCCCGCCAGCACGGGCCTGGACTGCAGCCAGGAAGGTGGGCCAGCCAGGATCCCCAGGTAACTTCGCCACAGGGACCTCTTCTTGGAGCTGCCTTCCCTTCCCTCCCCATCCCTCTCCAATCCCCGCAGAGCTTAGAGCCTGGGCCACATGCTTGGTCCCTCACACAAGGACCAAACCAGCTGCTGTCAGGCTGTTTCTGTGGGTCCTGTCTCTCCAGTCAGGAAGCCAGCAGGGCAGGGCAGGCCTGGCTCTCCTCCTGGAATCACACCGTGCACCCAGCTCAGCGCTGGGCACTCAGCTGGGGACCGGGATGGACAAAGCCTTGTCCAGAGAACCACTGTAGGGGAGACGTGCATGGCAGCCGGACTCAGCCTCCTGCAGCCTCCATTCATGGGCTCTTGGCTGGGCCTGAAATTTGTTAGGGCCTCAACTCTCTGTGGTGCAGATGAACACCTCCTCCTCCAAGAGGCCCCTCAGGCTTGGTGCCAGGCTTGGGACTGGGCTCTGGAAAGTCAGCCAAGGCTGCTACTTCAAGGCCCTGAGGACAGCCTCCAGCTTCATGGCCATAGCCAGGTCGCCCTTCACCTTCAGCCGTCCACTCATGTAGGCCCCCAGGGGCCGCAGCTCTCTGCATAGCAGGGCCCGCAGGTCTGCCTCGGCCATCTCCACCACCACATCAGGGATGCCATCAGGCACCCCGTGTCCCACTCTTCCTCGTCCTGTGGGGCAAAAGAAAACCGAGTGTCAGTAGGGGAATGGAGGAACGTGAAGGAGATCTATGGGGGTGGGAGGGGCTGGTATTTCCCATTGGGAGGAGAGTACTGGTTAAGAGTTTGGGTTCTAATACCCTGGGTTTGAGTCTTATTGGCTGTGTGAACTCTTGGATCCTCAGTTTCCAAATCTGTGATGATAATTCCTTTAGAGATGACAATTCCTAAAGCATAGGCTCATGGTGAGAAGTGGGTGAGATAATGTACAAAAAGTACTTGGCACAGAGCCTGACAGGCAGCAGGCCTGTAACACGGGCAGGCCTCTTGGTATTGGAAGCCTGGCTGCATTGTCCTGCGGATGGCGGGGAGACCAGGGCATAGTTAATGCCTGGAAATGGTGTCTGAGCCCCTGCCTGCCATGGGTTCACCCCAAATTATTGGCAGGAGCAGGGGGCAGTCTACGAGAGCACCACTGGGGTAGGTAACAAGAAACCTAGCAAGCTGGATGGGAAGGAGAGGCAAGGAGGGCAGCGGCACCTGTAGTGAGGTCCAGGAAGTAGGCGCTTTGGGTGCCGCTGGGCAGGACGACATTGAACTGGTAGCAGGCCCCGACTTGGCTGACCAGGGCCTCAGACAGGAAGGGCTGTAGAGCAGTCAGTAGCCCCTCCGCCAGAGGCTGCTTCGGACTGGACCTGGCACCAACTTGAGGGGCAGGTGGCTCAACTTCACTCACCATCTCCACGGTGTCTGCTGGGGGTGGCCAACAGGGTTGGGGAAGGAGGCAGAGAGGAGGTCATCGTGTTGCCAAGGTCAGGACCACTCACTGTGGCCTCTGCACCTTTTGTGGCAGTTTCCTCTTAGATCCCCTTCAGGCCTCTGTTCAACTTCCTCCTCTACCAGAAAGGTGCCCCTGAGTTTTCAGCCTAAACTGCAAACTCAGTTTCTAAACTACTCCAGCCTCAGATATAAAATTCTTTCCAGCTGCCCTTCTGGTGATGTCGCCTCCTCCCATGGAGGCTGCCAATGGCCTCTACACACTCAGACACCTGGCCTCCTCTCACTGCCTTGGCTGTGGTCAGTGTGGGCTGAACATCTGTGCAGGGTGTGTACTGCACAGAGCTGCTGGGATAGTGAGCAAAGTCTGTGCTGGCACCAAGCTGGTAAACACCCCCGCTCTCCTCCCCAGGGCTCCTCACCTGGCCCCGGGGACGGGGCACCTCCTGCCATTGAGTTCATGCTTCCTCCCAGGAAGTGCAGGGCCAGCTGCTGGAGGGTGCTGTCCAGGTTGGGCCCAGCTGGGCTGTCCTGGGGCGGCTGGAGCACGGCCTCCACTGCCAGCTCCACGCGGTCTACCTCCAGCCCCCAGGCCCTGGTCACATCGTTGATCTCCAGCTGGAGGACAGTGTGAGGAGAAATGTAATTAATTCAACAAACCTTTCCTGAGCACCTTCTTTGGGCAGACTGTGTGGCCGTGCATGGACATGGAGGCACCACACCGCCCTTGAGACACTCCTAGCCTGGGAACACAGGCAGAGGGCAATGACCTTTCAGCTGTGGTAAGTGCCAAGACAGAAGCAAGGCCTGTGGTGAGCCCCCAGCAGAGGAGGGTGGTGCCAGCAGGAGGGAGTCCTCAGGTGGAGGAGGACCCTTCCAGCAACAGGAACAGCATGTGCAAAACCCCAGACAAGAAAACCTGGCATGTTCGTGGAGCTGCGAGGAACCAGAGTTCCATTTAGCTGGACCCTCACATGTCGGCTGAGGACTGGAGACAGCTGAGGGGTCAGAGGTGGGGTGTTTCTGCTTACTTTGATTTATTCTGAGGCAACAAAGAGCCCCAGGGAGGAGTTTGAGCAGGGAGGTGATACAGCAGACTTGCTTTAAGGCAAGATCCTCCTGGCTGCTGTGGATGCTGGATTATAGGGGGCTGAGGGGAGGGATGGAGACCAAGGAAGACATTGTTTCAAAATACAGCCAAGGAATGATGCAGCTCTGGCGAGGGTGGAGGGGAGCTGTGAAGCCAAGATCCACTGAGGGAGGCATGCCTCTATCAACTGTACTGAGCCACAACAGGGCACTAGAGAAGTGCAAGCACCAGGCTCGGGGCTGCCTCGATGTGTGCAATGATATGAGAGGGGGCGGGAGTGGGGAGGAGTCAGGCTCCTGAATGGATGAGTGTGGCATTCACTAGAGAGGACACACGGGGGTGGGAAGGGAGGGATGGCAACTTTTTTTTTTTTTTTTACTACTGTAAGCTTGAGGTGTCTGTGGGGCAGTCAATTGTCCAGTAGGCAGCTGGAGAAATGGCCCAGGGTACAGAAGCATCAGGGCTAGGGCAGGACATTGTGAATAATCAGCATCCACAGGCAGCAGACAGCCCAGATGGATGAGCTCTCCCAGGGAGGTCACAGATGAGAAGAGGCCAGTGATGAAACCCTGGAAACTCAAGGGCAGGAGAATAAGTGGCAGTAACCAGGGATGACAGGGAAGGAGGAAGTACAGGGGGTTCTGGGGGCTGGGGGCTGGGTCGACCATGTCAAATGCTGCCACCAGGTGATGTAAGGGAAGGGCTGAGAGGTGCCCACTGGGCTGGCATGTGGGAGGTCACTGTGATGTTGGCCAGCGCTGTCTTGGGAGCCCAAGGAGGCCAGGATGAAGGATGTAGGGGCAGGGGCTGGGAGCATGGATGAAAGTCTTGCAGAAGAAAAGGGGAGAAAGGGAGTGGGAGCTAGAGGGCACTGTGGCAAAGGGAGGGCACATTTCTACACAGAAAGGAGAGGTGACAGAGAGAGAGTGCATGGAGTGGAGGGAAGGCATCCTGGGATAGCAGGGGGCCCACAGCACTGCGCAGTACAGGGATGAGCCTCAGAGAGGGGAGGCAGAAGGGCAAGGAGGCAGGAAAGCAGCACAGAGGCAGGTGGGTTTGAAGGGGTGAAACTGGAGGAAGCAGAGTGCTCATCCTAGAGTTTTTCTCCTGAGTGTTAGGAGGCAAGGCCTGCTGCAGAGAGCAATGAGCAGTGGTGGGGCTGGAGGAGGGCAGTGAAGGGCTGAGGCAGCTGGCCTGGAGCACTGGCAGGTAAGGAGTGGTAACTGGCTAAGGAAGGTCCAGCAAGTGAGAGGTGGGGACTCTGATTTCTCTAGAAGAAAATCAGGCAAAAAGGGGCATGTGAATAAGTGTACGCCTGAACCAGGGCCTGAGGGCGGTGTGCTGGACCTCCTGAGGTTCTGTCTCAACCACAGGCACAGCTCTCACTCTACCAGGTGCTCACTCAGTCTGGGAAATGGGACTTAAAGGACTCTCACATCCTGGTGTGGAACTGACCTCCCCAAACTGCCTGTCTCACATCAAAACAATGTGCAACAAGACTGAGATCAGTTTTCTCTTCCTAAAGGTGAATTAACACGGGGCATGGTTTTATGAATAAAAGTTGTTATCCACTTGCTATCTGAGTTGTGTTAGATCAAGCACTGGATTGAGGGGCGATGGTGGGATGGAGGCAGGTGGTCTAGCTATGGCTCAGCTCTGCCCTTGACCATAGCTCTCAGAGGCAAGTCAAATTATTTCTTAGCCTTAGCTTCCTCCCTCCAAAATAAAACAGTAGTACCGACTTGCAGCAAAAAATGTCAAGCTCAGAAATGCTGGGCCAGACAAAAGGACTTTGTAAACCATAAACTGCTAAGCACGTAAGAGCTACTGTTAGGATCTCAAATAGTATTTCCTCAGGAATTTCCCCTCGCTGCTTCCAGTGGGACCTCCAGGACTGGCATTTATCCCATTCCCCCGACTGTCCTCTAACCTTGATTCCCCAGGGCAAAGCAGAGCCAAGAGGAATGGGGAGAAATGTCACCTACATTCCCCTGTCAGGACACAAGAGGAAGCACAAGTTGAGTGTGGCTGCAGGGGACACAACTCTGCATGTGTATTTATTTCTACCCCATCTTGTAGCAGAAGAGATTTAGGGCAAACTCCAATATACACATGGAGAAGAGGCAGGAAAAAGATCCAAATGTCCTCATGTTCCTTTGTTCTGTTCCAAACAAGGAAACAAAAATCACAAGCATGCACACGCTGCATGGTGAGCCTGGAATTCCCCAGCAGGTGACTGGGCTGGGAGGGTCCCTGCTCCATCACCCATCTGCCTGCCCCATGAGTCAGGCCCGGAATGAGAGCTGTAGAAGCCAGTGTCATCATGGCAGAGCAGTGAGGGGTAAAAACTAAGGGGCAGACCCCAAGAATGTCTGCCGGGGCCACTTCCTCTTCTCAGGGACAAGTTTGCCCAGGATCGTTATGGTCTACGCCCACCTGCCATTCCTCAACTCATGGCCCCACCCAGGCACTGGCTCTTCAAAGGTGGTTACACTATTGGGACATATGGTAAACTGAGGCCCAGAGTGGTCTGACTCTTTTCTCAAAGTGACCTGGCAGGTGGAGCCAGGCCGGTGCCACCCCTCAAGCTCCGTCTTGTGAGGGGCTGCCTACCAGAAGCTGGTCGCTGATCTTGAGCTTCTCCATCTGGATCTCCCGCAGCGGCCTCTTGAGCAGGGCCTTGGTCATGGCGTTCTGGGCTGTCATGCGTGTGGCTGTGTTCAGGTCTTTCACAGTCATCACCGACAGCACCGGGTCCCAGATGCGAAACTGGACATCGGCTCCCACGGACAGCACAGCCCCGTCCTTAGAGGCCAGCTGTTGGGGGAGGCCATGAGAGAGAGACACTCAAGGGGCTGGGGGTGCAGGGAGGTCAGGCCCACTGGGGCCACCCAGCTTGAACCACCTGCTTGGCAGCTAGCTCCTCAAGGGCAAATGGTGTCACCAAGTATGTAGGGTTAGGTGTATGAAGCAAGGATGTCCTCCTAGCTTCCATCAATTTTCTGGTCTCTTCTTCCCCCTTCCCCCCTCAGATGGTGACTCACAGGCTGAGGTCCTGGCACCACAGTACATTCTGGACAGGCCCCCAGTTCCTCTGTCAAGGCAGCTGAGAAGCCCCTCACCTTGCAGGGAGGGACGTTGAAGGCTCGTGTCCTCAGATCCACCCTCTGAAAGGAGTCAATGAAGGGCAAGAGCAGAACCATGCCAGGTCCCTGGGGGGTGCGGATCCGGCCCAGGCGGAACACAATCATCCGCTCGTAGGTGGGCACAATCTGTCCACAATGGCAAGGGAAAGAGTTGAAAGTGGTCAGCCTAGGCTGGCCAATGCTGTCTGCCTAGGTCCCTTCCTCACTTCTCTCCTCCTCACCTGGGTCACAGTTAGGTATCCCTAGCACTGTTTCCAGATGAGAAAACCAAGGCTCAGGGAAGCTAAGTGACTGCTCAAAAATTGCATAGCCCTAAGTGAAATAGTGAAGATTTGAATGCAGTTCTGAATAACTCCAAAGGCCATGTGTCTTAACTACTGCACTGTATTGACTTGATCCTTAGAGAAACTTTTCATCTCTGTGGTCTGAAGTTAGACATGACTCATACCAGGAAACTGTCTGTCCTTGGATTAGTTAGGAGAAAAGGCTCGGCTGCCCTAACAGCACCCCCGGGGAAAGGGCTTTGTCAACTTTAGGTCCCTGGACCTCCTAGAGAAGTAGTGATGTCCAAATTGAGAAATGAAGGCCCAGAGAGGCAAAGAAACCTGTTCAAGGTCACATGGCATTTGTTTCTGTGGCAGTTTTAGAACTAGGATATAAGGCCATTTAAGGACCCCCTTGCAGACCACACCAAACCCAGAGGTTTTCTAGAGAGGGACTGTTGCCTAGGGCTACACAAAGGGCAAGGCCTCCTTGGGCTTCCACCTTCCCCCAGCTTTCACGTGCGATGCTGAACTATAGCTCCATGGTTCATCCTTTTCCCACTGTACCACCCCTTATGGAAAATGAGGCCTGAATTCCTATTATGCACTACCAGCTGGGCTAAGTTGGGTGTTTTCATTTCTAATTTATTCTAACCCAAAGAGAAGATAATTTGGCAAAGACATCTGCGTGTACCTTAAAGCCAGTGTCCAGATCCCAGGACTTAGGAGTTTGGGACTTGCTTCTACCCCCTACTGGCTCCCAGTATGACTTTAGACAAGCCCAAGCCTTAGTTTCCTCCCCTGACCAATGTGAATGAATGGTTCTTGCCTAGCCCATTACACAAAGGGGTAATAATATTTAGGGAAAGGGGACAGAGGATAGGCAAATTTATTCATCAATGCCAAAGCTCTCAGTGTGGCCCAACCACCCTGGGGGCTGACCCAGCCAGCCTTACCTTCAGGGCAAACCAGCCAGAAATGGGGAAGGTGACCAACAGCAGCAAGAACCCCAGGAAACTGATGAGGCCATGACAGAGGCAGGAGGGCCAGCTCTGGGGTACATCTGCAGGTGAGAGCAGAGGTGGTCAACTGGACCTGCACGACAGCTGCCAAGCGGAGTGAACTTGGGCAAGTGTACCTTACGCCCACCTTCCCCTCGAGAGGCTCCTTCCTTCTCAGGGCTCTCAATCTGGCTCCTTGCCTAATATTCCCGTATCTTTGGGCAGCTGCAAGTTAGGGTCTGTTCCCTCCTCCCATACATCAACACTCATTTGTCCCAAGTCCAACAACCCTCACAAGGCCTTATTCTCTGCTAGGCAACAGCCATTCAATCTCAGAATCCAGTCCGCGTGATGATGCTCTCCTCACTGGACTGAGTAGGGGTCAATCCTCTCGTTTAATTTATATTGCCTACCCATACCTGGCATGGAGCCAGGAGCACCTGGGCATCTGTAAACATGCACTGAATACTGCTGGCAAAACACATTCCTCCTATACCATCAGCCCCAGAAGTGTGCTTTCCAGGAGTCCTTATGAAGATGATGCCTTAGCCTACAGGGATAAATCATAAATAGCTTATCAACGGGAGCCACAGATGAGGAATTAGATTATTATTTTCTATTCCACACCCAACTTTAATGCCTTAATGACCATTAAAAAATGCCTATTTCACGAGATGGCGCCACTGCACTCCAGCCTGGGGGACAGAGCGAGACTCCATCTCAAAAAAACAACAAACAACAAAAAACAAAAACAAAAAAAAACCCTGCCTATTTCAATTCAAGAAAATTGTTAGGGGTCGGGGTCAGGGGCAGGGCTAGAAAGATGAGGCTTATCCAAGCCAAATGTCCTGGCCCCTGGAGATTCAGGAGCCCAAGTTGGGAGCAAAGCCGAGACAGCTCCAGAATCTGGGATGAGGTTATTTGCCGCTTTCCTCCCAACCCTGGACAGGAAGCAGTCGGGAGCCCTGCTCCATTCTTCCAGGAAGCCCTGCCCTCTGGGCTAAGCCCCAGAGCACTGAGGCTCCACTTTGTGCCTGGCTCTGATCCACCAGGCCTCTCAAGAGACTTCTGGATAGGGAGAGCTTTCAGGACAGGAAGGCCAGGGAGGGATCAAATCCAAGGTTAGGCGGTTAGGCTGAACAGCGTGGGATCTGGCCTGTAGGCCAAAGGAGCCACAGAAGACTTTGAGGGCAAGACAGAAGCAGGGCAGATCCAACAGGCAGCTGAGGACCTGTCATTTTGGCCTGCACATCCAGGAGATGCCTAGTTCCCGGGCTTCTAGAGGTGCCCCCTAGGGCGAAAATTCTTCCATTTCCCTGCAGCAGGTGCCTTTAGGGTGCTGGTGGCCTCCTCTGCCTAGACCTCGGTTTCTTCTATGCGAAATAGAAACCTGAAACGTCTTCCCAGGCCTAAAGGGCTGATAAGAGCCGAGGACAAATGTGGTGAGGTGAGGTTTTGGAAGATAGGAGCAACGCTGGCTGGCTCTGGGGCCAAAGCCCCATGACCCTAGGGAGGGCGGATCGGCGCTAGCACCAGGCGCCGGGTCCAGCCCCCTCTCCACATCGTATCCCTTTCTCAGTCCCCCCTCGTAGGGTGCGACGGCACCGGGCCGGCCGACTCCTCGGAGGCAGAGATTCGGGCCTGGGGGTTGCCGGCCGGTCCCCCCCGGCTCCGCCGTGCCAGGCGGCCACTCACCGGCCCCTGTCCCCACGCCGCCCCGCTCCGGGGACAAGCAGCCCTTCTGCGAGCCCAGAAAGCCGAAGCTCGACTGCTGGAAGCGGTCAAAATCACCCAGGGGCAGCGCCCGGTACCCAGACCTGCCGAGCATGGCTTTTGACAGGAGACACGCCCCGCGCCTCCGCGCGGCGCCCTCCCTGGCCAGTGGGCCCTACGCGGCCCCGCCCTCCTGGCTGCTGCTTCCGGCTTCACCCGCGCGGCCACCCGCGGCGGCGCGGGCGCAGGAAGAGGAGGCCGGCCGGGGCCCGCTTCCGCCGTCGCATGGCTCCCCCTGCGCTGGGAGGACCGAACTGCAGCCCAGGGCTACTGGGTGTGATCGGCGTTCCTCGGACCCCGCTGGGGTCATCGCCTCCTCCCCTCTTCTCCTACTCAGCCCTAGAAAAGCTGGAGGGGAAGCTGGGCACGGTGGCTCACTCCTATAATCCATCAATTTGGGAGACTCAGGCAGGAGGATCGCTTGAGGCCAGGAATTCAGGACCATCCTGAGCAACATAGTGAGAGCCCATCTCTACAAAAAATTTTTAAAAATTAGCCTGGCGTGGGATGCCTGCCTGTGGTCCCAGCCACTTGGGAGGCTGAGGCGGGAGGATCTCTTGAGTCCAGGAGTTTGAGGCTGCAGTGAGCTATGATCGTGCCACTGCACTGCAGTCGGAGCGAGAGAGCAAGATCTCATCAGGGTTTACAGGAAGCCAATCTTCTCCAGGATCAAGGACATGCTATATCAGCCTTCTCAGCACTCCTTCTCTCACACTGGAGGCAGGACATGCCATATCTGGACTTTGGGTTTCTCTGGGACATAGTCTGCAAATTATTCCTCTTTGTGAACCCACAGCCCAGCAAGCAGGGACTGGCATAGGGCAGGTCTCAATACTTATTTGTTAAGTAATGGCCTGGCCAGGTCACCGTGATCAAGGTGGAGTAGGAAGGCCTGAACTTTGGCACAAAAAGAAAGAAGTTTCACATGCAGACTTCGGGGAGCATGGGAGTGTAAGGAAGAAGGGGATAGCACAGAGCTACATGAGGGCAGGGGCCCCAGAGCACCACAGAGGTGAGGCCCTCAGTCCTGCAGGTCCAGAAAGAGCATGCCCCTTGATCCAGGTACCTGGAATTAACTTGCCTCTCCAGGGCTTGAGAAAACCTGAATGCAACTCGTGAATTTCCTTTGAGAAGTGTTAACTTCCAACAGGACTTTGGGGTAGTCTGGGAGCAGGCTATCTTCCAAAGCAAGCAAAGAAATGAATAAAGCTTCCCCAGCTCTGCCTCCTCAGCCAATCGCCTCTGGCCTCCGAAGCCCCATCCTGCCATAGCCCACTTCCAGGTCCCTTGTGCAGATGGCTGCCCACCATATTTGGCTTTCATGGACTGATTCTCTAAAGGCCTGGGAGTACTGACCAGGCTGGAGGGAAGGGCAGGCTCCTGAGGCCTTACAGTCCCTAGGAAGTTGCGTATCTGCCCAACCCCTGCTCTCCACCCTGCAGACTGTAAGGTTTACAAGAGCCAGGCCCTATCATCATCCTTTCTAGTCTGTTTCTAAGTTGGAACAGAGTACGGAATGGGTACACAGGAGCCAGCACAGTGGTTGCGATGGTTTAAGTTTGAAGCCGGGGCGCTGACCCAGTGAGGTCACCTGGAACTGTGCCCCTTTCCCCTTACCAGCTGGGAGTCTGACATGCTTTTCCATTGGCGAAGACCTAGCTGGCTCTCCCCTCACCCTCTTCATACCCGCTCTCCAGCTCTCCCCCTCCCTCCTGCCCCCACCACCTCAGATCCACCAGCCTTTCCAGCTGTCACTCAAGGCATCATCCTGCTCCCTCACCTCCAGTCACTGGCTTCCCAGGATCTCTGAATCAAGTCCCTCCTCTGCATCCCACAGCCACTGTCCTAGACCAGGGCACCTGCTCCTAGGTTGTCAGAGTGACTGTCCCATCATGCACAGCTGATCGTGTTGTTCCCTGGTTCCAAATCCTTCAGCAACTTCCCATCACTCACAGAACTGGTTCAATCTCCTCAGCTAGGATCTTGTCCTAGCACACTCCTTGGGTATCATTTCTCATGAATTCCCTCTTAAATCTGAAAATGGCCAAAATTAGTTCCCAAACAGGCTTTTGCAAGAGCTATCTTTTCTGTTTCAAGTGTCCCCCGTACCCCACCACCTACAACCCTAAATCCCTGGTGAATTTCCACTGCTTTTGCAGGTCCCAGCTGTGGGCTCTCCTTTCCAGAATGTCTCCGTTTGCAGGCTTGCTCTTCCATTACATCTACGGCTCTTAGAAAGCAGGGGCTGCGTGTGGCTCATCTTTGTACGCCCAGCTCCCGGCAGGACGTGGCACGAAGCAGTGCCAGTGTGAACGGATGAATGGATCAAAGCCGGGAGCAGGGCTGCCCCCCTGCAGCTCTGCCCTACCTCTCCCGCTTTACCGTAAGTCAGCGGTAGGTCTGCAGCTCTCCGCCTCTACCTCCTCCCCGCTCTGGGCGTGTCTTTAAAACCCACAGTCGGCCTCTCTGCCCCCTAGAACCGCCCCCAGCTTCTGTCTCACTTCCTCTCCAGAGGCGGGCCCTGAGCCGGCACCTCCCCTTTCGGACAGCTCAAGGGACTCAGCCAACTGGCTCACGCCTCCCCTTCAGCTTCTCTTCACGCACTCCAAGATCTAAACCGAGAATCGAAACTAAGCTGGGGTCCATGGAGCCTGCACCCGCCCGATCTCCGAGGCCCCAGCAGGACCCCGCCCGGCCCCAGGAGCCCACCATGCCTCCCCCCGAGACCCCCTCTGAAGGCCGCCAGCCCAGCCCCAGCCCCAGCCCTACAGAGGTACTATTGGGTTAGGGGATGATGGGGTTAAGCTTTGTTGGTTTGCTGTGGTGGGGAGAGGCGGGAAGAGAGGGTCTAACGGAGGATTTGGTCAAGTACCCTAGAGAGTGACACAAAGCGGGAAGTCCAGACACCAGGGTCCTGACCGTCTCGGGTGGGGCAGGGAAGGGAGGGTAGGATAGAGTAGAAAAGAGGACACGGAGGAGTTGGGGCGGCCTCGCTGGGCTGCGGTTTCTCCACTGAGCAGTTGGGCAAGGTGAGAAGGGTCAGTGGCCTCCGGGCCTGGGCCCTTCCGCCCACCCTCGAGCCCTGCCTCAACTTTGCCTCAGATGCAGGACTTCAGATTAGGGAGGATGGAGGTAGTACCCCTGTTGCGCTGGCCTGGAGCCAGGGGCATGTCCCAGGCACGGCAAAACTAAAACCAACTTCCCAGATCCGAGGTGAGAAACTGGCTCAGACTGAAGAGGTATCTTTGCCAAGGCCTCCCAGCTCATGTGGTTTCTGCTTAAGGAAGCCTCCCCAACGAACCCTTCTCTTGCCACACCTTTCCTGCCCACCTCCCACCTCCCCCGACAAAGGAACTACTTGGGTTTCTTGCTCTGCTGCCTTTCAGGCCCTTTTACTCCCCTTCATGAAAGTACAGAGGACACCGTATTACAGTAACTTTTATAAACATTATTACAACTAAGAATAACATTACTTAACAATACTAGGTAACATTTATGAGCACTTCAAATGTGCCAGGTACTGTATTAAGCACTTTGGTTTTTTTTTGTTGTTGTTTGTTTGTTTTGCTTTGTTTTTTGTTTGTTTGTTTATCTGTTTGTTTTTGAGACGGAGTCTCACACTGTCGCCCAGGCTGGAGTGCAATGGTGCGATCTCGGCTCACTGCAACCTCCTCCTTCCGGGTTCACGCCATTCTCCTGCCTCAGCCTCCCGAGTAGCTGGGATTACAGGCCACGCCACCATACCTGGCTATTTTTTATATTTTTAGTAGAGATGGGGTTTCACTATGTTGGCCAGATTGGTCTCTAACTCCTGACCTCGTGATCCACCCACCTCGGCCTCCCAAAGTGCTGGGATTACAGGCATGAGCCACCATGCCCGGCCTGTTTTTGTATTTTACAAAATGTGGTAAAATATACCTAATGGATAAGTTCCTATGTTAACCATTTATAAGTGTACCATTCAGTGGCATTAAGTAGATTCACAATATTGTGTAACCATCACCACCATCTATTTCCAGAACTTTTTCATTACTCCAGAAACTCTGTACTCTTTAAACCATAGGGGAGGGAAAGATGGCTTGCCTCCACCCTTCTAGTTTCCTTGGCTGGGCTATGAATTAAATAGCCTATGAATTAAATAGTCATAAAATAGATTACCAGCGGAAAACCCATATTTAATTACATATGTATACTCAGGAGTCCCACAATATATGAGACTCAAAGAAAGGTCAGATGATTGAAGCCTGTATAACATCCTGAGCTACGGAAAAGAGCTTGGAGCTTCTGGGTGATGGTGATAACACAAGTTATGGGAGGGTGAGGAGAGGAGCTGTTTGGTGAATAGAGGTTGTCTTGCTATGTAGATTAAAAGTTCTTAGATAATAAAAGTTGTCTGGAGCAGCCCTCTTTTAATATAGATCATTTTACTAATGTAGATTTTCTTTTAAGATATAAATGCCTTTCTTTTTTACAAAAGGAGAGCTTTTCAGAGCTATTCCTGTATCAGCAGTTTCTCAGAATAACCAGCTTAAAATATGCCAAAGAAGTATATTTCAAGAGCCTCCTGCAGTCATACTTTGAAGTGGTGTGTCCTGAGCCCCAGTAATGCAATAGCTCCTCATTTTCTCCTTCCCCTAGCCCTTGGTAACTTCTAATCTACCTTCTGTCCCTATGAACTTACTTATTCTAGATATTTCATGTAAGTGGAATTGTTACCAGTAGAGGATCTTGACTGCAAATTGTTCAGGTTCTTGGCATTTTGAACAAAGAATTGGACAAAATGTACAGCAAAGCAAGGAAAGAGTGAAGCAATGAAAGCAGAGATTTATTGAAAATGAAAGTACACCCCACAGGGTGGGAGCGGCTAGAGCAGGGCTCAAGGACCCCAGTTACAGAATCTTCTGGGTTCCAAATACCCCCTAGAGGTTTCCCATTGGCCACTTGGTGTTCACCCCATTGGTTGCAGAAAGCAACCAACCAGACGTACTTTCAATTTTCCATCTGCCCTGCAGGAAATGGGGTGATTTGCAAAGAGAGTAGCCTCTCTTCCTTTTGTTACTGAGGCATGGAGAGTTGCGGTTTTCCTTTCGATTTAGTTCTAGGAAGTCAGAGGGAATCGGCCTTAGGTTCCCTGCCTCCAGACCCTATTCTCCTGCCTCAGAATCATACAGTGTTTGACCTTTTGTGACTGGCTTATTTCACTTAGCATAATGTCATTGAGGTCTATCTATGTTGTAGCATGTATCAGAATTTCATTTCTTTCTAACGCTGAGTAATATTCCATTATATGTGTAGACCACATTTTGTTTATCTATTCATCTGTTGATGGATACTTGGATTGTTTCTACATTTTGTCTATTGTGAATAGTGTTGCTGTGGACATTGTTGTACAAGTATCTGTTTGGGCCTTGTTTTTACATCTTTTGGTTATATATCTAAGAGTGGAATTTCTGGGTCATATTGTTGTTCCATGCTTACCTCTTTAATGAACCCCCAAACTGTGCATTAAGCACTTTATATGAGGTTGGTACTTAGTGTATCTACCTTCCAAACTGAGTTCCTTGAAGGCAGAATGTATCCTACACCTCTTATATCTCAGAGCCTATTACTGTGGGTGATGAGAAGTAGATGCTCAATAAATGGTGCAGTGAGAGCTGGAGGGCCTGAATAAATGGGGGTATTGGGGTGCTGATAAGCCAGGGTTTTGCATCATCCAATGACTGGCTGGAATGGAATATGAGGTCCTACTCCAGGGTCCAGCTGTAAGGGTGGTTGGCCGGTAGGTGGGGGCTTTTGGGACTTCTCCAGGCCTCACCTGCCTCTCTGGTCCCCCAGCGAGCCCCCGCTTCGGAGGAGGAGTTCCAGTTTCTGCGCTGCCAGCAATGCCAGGCGGAAGCCAAGTGCCCGAAGCTGCTGCCTTGTCTGCACACGCTGTGCTCAGGATGCCTGGAGGCGTCGGGCATGCAGTGCCCCATCTGCCAGGCGCCCTGGCCCCTAGGTGCAGACACACCCGCCCTGGATAACGTCTTTTTCGAGAGTCTGCAGCGGCGCCTGTCGGTGTACCGGCAGATTGTGGATGCGCAGGCTGTGTGCACCCGCTGCAAAGAGTCGGCCGACTTCTGGTGCTTTGAGTGCGAGCAGCTCCTCTGCGCCAAGTGCTTCGAGGCACACCAGTGGTTCCTCAAGCACGAGGCCCGGCCCCTAGCAGAGCTGCGCAACCAGTCGGTGCGTGAGTTCCTGGACGGCACCCGCAAGACCAACAACATCTTCTGCTCCAACCCCAACCACCGCACCCCTACGCTGACCAGGTGAGTAGGCCGGCACAGGGTGGGGTGGTGCATCCAAGTACCAGGTAGAGGGCGAGAGGAGCAAAGATCCAAAGAGTCACACAGCTGAGGACAAGGAGCTTCTGGGGCCTTGCAACTCTAAATGTGGTCTGCAGATATGCAGTGTCCGTGTTGATGACCACAATTTATGCTGCCAGTCCCCACGCAGGTGGATAGTAAGTTTCCAGTTTCCTCCTGTAATAAATAATGCTGCAGAATCATCTTTGCATCTTTATCCAGTAACTTCTTTAGGATAAATTTTTAGAAGTGCCACTGCTGGGTGTAGGGGGACGGGAATTCTACATTTGATACATGTTACCAAACTGCCCTTTAGAATTTAGTGGAATTTTCCGAGAGCACTGACACGGAATCTCAGTAAGGCTGGATTCTAGGATCAGAGACAAGTAGTTAGTTTCTGTCTGAAAAGTTGAAACCATTAACACCAGGCAGCGCTATCTGAGAATGTCTGTATGGGGAAAAAAAATCACATCCAGTTGTAATTATTTTTATTAAACAGATTTTAACTCAGTTTTTTAATAGGTAATACATTCGTACAGTTCACGAACAAAATTTGTAAAGAGGAGAGAGAGAGTGCAATCTTCTGTCCATGCCCAACTGCCTAATTCCCACCACTTCTCCCTCTTCCCATCCACAGGTAGCCATTGTTACTAGTTTTGAATGTTTCTTCTGAGAGTTTCTTTACGAATATATATGCAGGTAGGAGCAATCTTATCAGGTCCTATTTTCCCTCTTTTAGCCAAAAAGGTAGCATAACTATGTGAACTTTTCACCATTAGCAATAGATTGTTCATAGAAGGCGCTTCTTGGTTCTTAGAGATCCACTTGCAAAATGAAAGCATTTTTCGCTGGTTTTTGACAACTCAGAACTATATATGGCTAAACCACATATTTGCTGAACTACATATCTGCTAAACTGACTGTGATTTGTTTCCTGCTTTAGGATAAACTTCCCACACTATCAGAATAAGCTTTCCCCTCCGACTCCTCAACAGCTGGTATCACCACGTTTCTTAGCTTATTGTAAAGGTTGAGTGGCTTTCCACTTGTTTATTGGCCATTGTGTTTCTGCATTTGCGAGTGGCCTGTTTAGGTCCTTTGCCTGTTGTTGTTGTTGTTTCCGTTGAGGAATTAAGGGACTAATTAAAGAATTCAGGAACAAATTCCTCGAAAGAAAAAAATGTATGCATTTCTTTTGCTCTTACAATTTATGCAGTTTTAAAACTTACATATTTATTGGATTTTGATTGAAATTGCAATAAATTAGGAGAAATTGGCTTTATCTCTGGTTCTATCTTTTGGATTTAAAAAATTTTTTTTAATTTTTTTTTTTTTTTTTTGAGATGGAGTCTCGCTGTGTCACCCAGGCTGGAGTGCAGTGGCGCGATCTCGGCTCACTGCAACCTCCACCTCCCGGGTTCACGCCATTTTCCTGCCTCAGCCTCCCAAGTAGCTGCGATTACAGGTGCACATCATCATGCCTGGCTAATTTTTTGGCATTTTTAGTAGAGACAGGGTTTCACTATAATGGTCAGGCTGGTCTCCTGACCTCAGGTGATCCACCTGCCTCGGCCTCCCAAAGTTCTGGGATTACAGGCATGAGCCACCATGCCCAGCCTTATACTAATTTCTTAATGAATTTGTAAGCTTTCATGTTTTGAACGTGATAATGCAGCCATCCCACGGGATCCATGGGAGTCTGTTTCAAATTCATAGATGCTCAAGTCTCTGATATAAAATGGCATAGTATTTGTATATAACCTCTACACATCCTCCTGTATACTTTATTTTTTATTTTATTTTTATTTTTTGAGACGGGGTCTTGCTCTGTCGCCCAGGCTGGAGTGCAGTGCTGCACTCGTGGCTCACTGCAGCCTCAATCTCTTGGGTTCAAACAATCCTCCCACCTCAGCCACCAGATTATACAGGACTGCAGGTGTGCACCACCACACTCAGCTAATTTTTAAATTTTTTGTAGAGACAGGGTTTCACGACATTGCCCAGACTGGTCTTGAGAACTCTTGGGCTCAGGCAGCAACCCTCCCTAGGCCTCTCAAAGTGCTGGGATTACAGGTGTGAGCCACTGTACCCATCCCCTCCTGTATACTTTAAGTCATCTCTAGATTACTTATAATGCCTAATACAATGTAAATGCTATGTAAAGAGTTGTTTTACTATATTTTTGAATTTGTATATTTTTTTATTGTGGTACTTTTTTAATTGATTTTTTTTCGCCTGAATATTTTTGATCCAAGATTTGTTGAATCCACGGGTGCGTAACCTGCAGATACTGAGGGCCAACTGTACATATAAATTGTTTAGCGTAGTGCCTGGCACATATTAAATACTCAGTGAATGTTAAAATTCTATTATAATTTCTCTGCTCTAGAACAATTTGAAGAATATAAGAAATTTAGGCTTATAAAAGTTTTTTGAAAAACCATCTTGGAACTGGTGCCTTTTTTATAGTAGATTTTTGGGAACTTTTCCCATTTTTGCCATGGCATTAATCTGTTTTGGCTCTTGTGTCAGATTTTTGGAAGATTTTCCAGTTCATCCTGAGTTATCTTTCATTATTTAAAAATCTCCTATATGCCTGTAACTATACCCCCTTTTTTTATTTCTGATGTTGTATATTTGTGGTTTAGCAGTCTTTTCAAAGTACTGTACTTTTAGTCTTTCCTTAGATTGCTTACTGATTTTAATGTTTTCCTTCTTTCTGTTTGATCATTTTATTTTTGTCATTTTCTTCCTTCTAACTTTTGTCATTATTCATTTTCTAGCTTCTTGAACTTATAATTCATTTATTTGCAATCTTTATTGTTTAATAATAATAACTTTTTTTTTTTTGAGAATCTCCCTCTGTCACCCAGGCTGGAGTGCAGTGGTAGATCTTGGCTCACTGCAACCTGTGCCTCCTGGGTTCAAGTGATTCTCCTGCCTCAGCCTCCCCAGTAGCTGAGACTACAGGTGCCCACCACCATGCCTGGCTAATTTTTTTTATTTTTAGTAGAGACGGGGTTTCCCCATGTTGACCAGGCTGGTCTCGAACTCCTGGCCTCAAGTGATCCACCCGCCTCAGTCTCCCAAAGTTCTGGGATTACAGGCGTGAGCTACAATGCCCTGCCTAATAATAACTCTTTTAAGGCATAAGTTCTCTGTATATGGTTTTGGCTGTATGCCATAACTTTGATAACTTCATTAGTGTTCTCATAGTCAATCATTTCTCAAATTTCATTTCAGTCTTTTCTTAAAAAGGTTCTCTTGCTTAAGGTCAAGAGTTCGAGATCAGCCTGGGCAACATAGCAAGACCTCATCTTTACAAAAAATAAAAAAAATTAGCCAGGCATGGTCGGTGGTACATGCTTGTAGTCCCAGTTATTTGGGAGGTTGAGGCAGGAGGGTTGCTTGAACCTAAGAATTTGAGCCTGCAGTGAGCTGTGATGGTGCCACTTCACTCCAACCAGAGCATCAGAACCGGACCCTGACTCGAAAAAAAAAAAAAAGAAATTTTTTTCTCTTGAAAAGTTTTAGAGAATAGTGTTTTCTAAAATTTTCAAGTGGTTTTGATGTTTGGTTTCTTGTTCTGTCACCCAGGCTGGAATGTGATGGTGCGATTTCATACTTGTTAATTTCTGCACTATGGCCAGTTTATACAGTTTGTATGAGTTCTACATCTAAGACTATATTGAGATTTTCTTAGCGGCCTAGGATATTCCTTGGACTCACATATTCCTAGCAATAATCCTTAGAGTTGAAAAGTTGTATTTGTTGTACACACATATATATACATACACAAATATATGTATATAATATATATGTGTATATATGCATATATCTATATGTATATATCCATATATATGTAAGTTCTAGTGCTTGTGTGTGTGTGTGTATCTCCACGCTATTGAAACTTTCTACCTTTCTTTCTTTTCTTTTTTTTTTTTTTTTTTTGATGGAGTCTTGCTCTGTCATCCAGGTTGGAGTGCAGTGGCATGATCTCGGCTCACTGCAACCTCCTCCTCCCGGGTTCAAGTGTTTCTCCTGCCTCAGCCTCCTGAGTAGCTGGGATTACAGGCGTGTGCCACCATGCCCGGCTAAGTTTTTTTTTTTTTTTTGTATTTTTAGTAGAGAAGGGGTTTCATTATGTTGGCCAGGATGGTCTTGATCTCCTGACCTTGTGATCCACCCGCCTCAGCCTCCCAAAGTGCTGGGATTACAGGCGTGAGCCAACATGTCTGGCCGAAACTTTCTACCTTTCCTTCCATTCTGTTTCACCAGTTCTCTAAATGATAATTACAGAGTGGTAACTTCCCCATCAAAACATATATATAGGCCAGATGTGGTGGCTTCCACCTGTAATCCCAACACTTTGGGAGGCCAAGGCCGGTGGATATTTTGAGCCCAGGAGTTTGAGGCCAGCCTGGGCAATATGGTGAAACCCCGTCTCTACAAAAAAATACAAAATTAGCTGGACATGGTGGCACATGCCTCTCGTCCCAGCTATTCGGGAGGTGGAGGTATTCCTCAGAGAGGATCACCTGAGCCTGTCCGTTCAAGGATGCAGTGAGCCATGATCACGCCACTGCACTCCAGCCTGGGTGACACAATGAGACTCTGTCTTAAAAAAAGAAAAAAAGTGGGCCAGGCGCAGTGGCTCACGCTTGTAATCCCAGCACTTTGGGAGGCTGAGGCAGGCGGATCATGAGGTCAGGAGTTCAATACCAGCCTCACCAACATGGTGAAACCTCGTCTCTATTAAAAATACAAAAATTAGCCGGGCGTGGTGGCGGGCGCCTGTAATCCCAGCTACTCGGGAGGCTGAGGTAGGAGAATTGCTTGAAACTGGAAGGCGGAGGTTGCAGTGAGCTGAGATTGTGCCACTGCACTCCAGCCTGGGCAACAAGAGTGAAACTCCATCTCAGAAAAAAAAAGTGTATACACACACCAACACACACATACATGCACACTCTAGAACCTATCTCATCTATCACCACAAAGAGTAGAATATAACTATTCTTCCAGAGAAAATAAAACATTTAGCACACTTTTATAGTTTTTCTTCTTCCCTCTTCCTTCTCACTTTCAGATTTAGTTGAAATAATGTGAACTTTTAGTTCCAGATTACTACCAAATTGTTAATTTTTTTTTCTTTTGTAAACATCCTTTCTGAACAGGTATTAAGCTTCATGGTCATATTACAACGCACTTGTTAGCCATACCTTATACTTTAATTGGTTTCATTGCTCATGATAAGTTTTCCTATAGCTTTTCTTCTCCTTTCTTGAATTATTTAAGGTGATTAATTTTCCATTTGGCAGGAATACTCCATCAAGTAATTAAAAAAATTATTCCAGAGTTTACTTTCTGAGACCTTAAGTGTCTTTACTTGTATGTCCTTCTTTTGCTGTCACATGTGAGGGAAAGTTGAGCTAGGTGTAAAATTCTGAGGTCATAATCACAGTGCTTTCACCTCAGAATATATAAACCTTGCTTCATAAATTTCTAGTCTCTGGTGTTGTAGATGAGAAGTCCACTAATGGTCTATTTTTTCTCTGTGAGTAATCTGTTTTTGTTTGTTAAGGATCTTTATTTATTTTTATTTATTTTACTTTTTAGAGATGGGGTCTCACTCTGTCACCCAGGTTGGAATGCAGTGGTGCAATCAGAGTTCACTGCAGCCTCAAACTCCTGGGCTCAAGCAATCCTCCCACCTTGACCTCCCAAGTAGCCAGGACTACAGGCACCTGCCACCGTGCCTGGCTAATAAATATAGTTGGATGGTTTTCATTTGTTTATTTGTTTGTTTAGAGATAAGTTCTTGCTCTGTTGCCCAGGCTGGTGTGCAGTGGTGTGATCATAGCTCACTGTAACCTCGAACTCCTAGACTCAAGAGGTCTGCTAGCCTTAGTCTCTGAGTAGCTAGGACTATAGGTGCCTGCCACCATGCCTGGCTAATTTTTAAAATTTTATGTAGAGATAGGGTCTCACTATATTGCCCAGGCTGGTCTAAACTCCTGGCTTCAAGTGATCCTCCTGCCTTAGCCGCCCAAAGCACTGGGATTACAGGCTTGAGCCCATGCCCAGCCTGCTAAAGATCTTTATATAATTTTTTCTTTTTTCAATAATCTTCTATCGCCATTGTTGATCTGAAAAACTCAAGTCTTTCTTCAGCTCTTCATCTCAGGGAAATTGTATTCTGCTTTTTAATTTTTTTTTTTTTTTTGAGATAGAGTATTGCTCTTGGAATATAGTGGCATGATCTTGGCTCATTGCAACCTTTGCCTCCCAGGCTCAAGCAGTTCTCATGCCTCAGCCTCCCAAGTAGCTGGAACTACAGGAATGCGCCACTACACCTGGCTAATTTTTGCATTTTCTTTTTAGTAGACACAAGGTTTTGCCATATTGGCCAGGCTGGTCTTGAATTCCTGGCCTCAAGTGATCTGCCCGCCTTGGCCTCCCAAAGTGCTGGGATTATAGGCGTGAGCCACTGTGCCTGGCCATACTTTTTAATATACTGATAGCCCTTCATTTGTTTATTTTATTTTTTATTTTTATTTTTTGAGACAGGGTCTCACTCTCACCCAGGCTGGAGTGCAATGGCACGATCTCGGCTCACTGCAACCTCCACCTCCTGGGTTCAAGTGATTTTCCTGCCTCAGCCTCCCGAGTAGCTGGGACTACAGGTGCGCACCACCATGCCCAGCTAATTTTTGTATTATTAGTAGAGACGGCGTTTCACCATATTGGCCAGGCTGGTCTCGAACTCCTGACCTCGTGATCCACCCGCCTCAGCCTCCCAAAGTGCTGGGATTACAGGTGTGAGCCACTGCACCCGGCCCATTTGTTTATTTTTAAAATTTTTACTACTGTTGTTATATGGATATTGGAACTCCAAGAACATATTTTACATCTTTTAAATTTTTTCCCCATTAATTCTGTTGCTTTGCTTTTTTCCCCGAGATTCTCAGAGAGCTCCTCGAATTGTTTTTCTAACTCGCCAGCTCATCTTTTCGCCGCTGACTCCATTCTTCTATCTGCTACCCCTGTAGAGTTGTTGTGGGTTTTTTTCCCCCCAGCAATCTTTTTTTTTTTAATTGCCAAAAGAGCTTAATGCTCTCAGGATGCTTTTTCTTGGCAGCCTGCTCTTGTTTTCTCATTGTAGTGTGTTCTTAAGTCTCCCTGAAAAACACAGTTGGCATTTACAGAGGTGTATGTTTCCTACACGATCCCCTTTTCAATGGGTACTTGCTCAGTTTGGCTGCTGATTCTCTTCATAGGTCCTGCGGTCTGTGCTATCTGCTCCCATGTAAAAGTTGACATCTAGATTGTTCAGTGTTTGTAGCTAGCGTGGGCTGGCAGCAATTGTGTAAAGCACAATTTATACCCCACATTCAATCCCTGCAGTGGAACAGGGCCGCTCCCCACGAGCCCCAGATGGTGTCAGCTTGTAAGTAGTCCCACCTCTGCTGTGGGGGTCAGAGGTGGATTTCTCTCCATTAGGGATAGAAAAAAACCTTTTGTCTGTACCCATTTTAGATGTCCAGCTAGGTCCCTGTAAATTAGACTAACAAGATATAGATTAACACGAGAAAAGCAGGCTGGGTGCTGCGGCTCACACCTGTAGGCCCAGCGCTTTGGGAGGCTGAGGTGGGTGGATCACCTGAGGTCAGGAGTTCGAGACCAGCCTGGCCAACATGGTGAAACCCCATCTCTACCAAAAATATAAAAATTCGCCAGGCATGGTGTCACACACCTGTAATCCCAGCTACTCAGGAGGCTGAGGCAGGAGAATTGCATGAACCCTGGAGGTGGAGGCTGCAGTGAGCTGAGATCACACCACTGCACTCCAGCCTGGGCGACAGAGCGAGACTCCGTCTCAAAAAAAAAAAAAAAAAAAAGAAAGAAAAACAGGAGCTTTTTAGCATGTGCATCTAGCATGGGTATCACATCTAGCATGGGAATTGTGCATATACCTGGGAGTATCCAGAGATGAGTAACTCAAAGCGTTGGTTAGAACTTCAGCTTACATAGCATCTTAATGAAAGAGAAAGAAATGTTTAGAGAAGTGGCAGGGTAAAAGAAAGGGGTTTTAGGCTTGCAAAGGTGGCAAACTGTTGGAAGTTGTGTTTCTGTTTTGCATTGCTAGAAGGAATACCTGAGGCTGGGTAATTTGTAAAGAAAAGAGGTTTATTTGGCTCATGTTCTGCATGCTGTACAATCATGGCACCAGAAACCTGCTTGGCCTCAGGTGAGGCTGCAGGTAGGTTTTACTCATGGCGGAAGGTGAAGGGGGAACAGGCGTGTCGCATGGCAAGAGGGGAGCAAGAGAGAGAGAAGGAGGAAGCAAGAGAAGGAGATGCCAGGCGCCTTTAAATAACCAGCTCTCCCTTGAACTACCAAAGAGAGGATTTACTCTTTACCACGGGATGGCCCCAAGCCATTCATAAGGCATCCACCCTCATGACCCAAACACCTCCCACTAGACCCCACCTTCAACATTGGAGGTCACACTTCAACATGAGATTTGGTAAATATATGGGAACTCTAATGGAGTAAGGTTTGTTTGTGCGGGCCTACTTGGTGCCAGCTTTCCATCTTCGTGGCTGTAAAACTTCCCTGAGAGAGGAGATTTATGGTAGTTCTTGTTTCTCAGAAGTTTCTGTTTTTTGTCATAAGAGCAAAGAGCGTAAGAGTCAAAAGAGTTTCTGTTTTTAGTCATGAGAGAAGCTCTTAGAAGGCTCCTTTCTGCGTCTGTTGGTTTTCATTTGCCTGCAGCTCAAAACAATCATATGCCAAAGTGGCATATTTTGGAGTGGCATATTTTTATCCCTTATGTCAGGTACAATGGGCAGGGAAGGTTCAGCCAGCAAGAGGGCAGGATTCCTGTTCCTTGAGCACGGTGCATGGCCTTAACAAACCTGAAAAATCATGTGCTCCCACTCCCATTTCACATTGTTTCACAATTTACCAGTGGTTACTGGACAAACTCAACTTATTTTTTCTGCACAAAACTTCAATGCCATAAATAAGAGCTCACAACTTTCCTCTGGTCACAAGTCAGTTAGCAGCCACCTCGCTCTTTGACCCTGGGCTGATTTAGAGCTCACACTGGGGAGCAGCCCCAGAGGTGGCTTTAAACCTGGGACTCGGGGTGTCTGCCCTGGGGTGGCTGCCCTGGGGTGGCTGCCCTGGGGCCATTGGTATTTGCTCCACATGCCTGTGGAGTCCATTTTTTCATGTTCATGTCACACCTACTGTGTTGCATGTTCTTTACTAGGGGGTGGGGTAGAAATATGAATGGACATAGCCCCTCCTTGAGATCACAGCCTGGTAAACAGATCAGCCATTAACAATTGAGGCGGCAGGGTTCCGTGCAGAAGGCTGCATGACTTTGCTGTCTATTGTGACTGCGTTTTGATAGTTACCTTTGTCACACTGTCTTCTGTATTATGTTTGCCCTCAGCAACATGTCGTATCTGGCACAGGGCTGACATCCTGTTTGTGCTCAGTCATTTGTGGAAGGAAGAAGTCAGGCAGGCACAAAGGTGGCTGAGCTCAGAAAAGGCCACTTACCCTGCTGGGATCAGCTGGGGAAGGTGGCTTCCAAGAGGCCATCACACTTAGTGTGATGTATAAGGAAATAGAAAGGCCACAGACAGGAGGGACTGCACGTGCAAGGAAGGGGCACTAGTGAGTTTGCAGCATCTCAGGAACTGCAATAGAAGGTTGATGTGAGGGCAGGCACTAGAAGGGTGAGTTGGGGTCAGATGTGGCAGGCTTGGAAGGAGTCAGGACTCTATGCTACAATTTCCAGAACACTCAGTGTTCTCAGCTTTCTCCTTTGTCATGCCTTCATACCACCTAATCTTCTCACCAGTGACTATCCTCTGGAAGACAATGGGAATGGGACCCTGTGGAGGGCTCTGTTGAAAACCCATTGATGGGGCCGGGCGTGGTGGCTCACGCCTGTAATCCCAGCACTTTGGGAGGCTGAGGTGGGCAGATCACGAGGTCAGGAGATTGAGACCATCCTGGCTAACATGGTGAAACCCCGTCTCTACTAAAAATACAAAAAAATTAGCCGGGCGTGGTGGCGGGTGCCTGTAGTCCCAGCTACTTAGGAGGCTGAGGCGGGAGAATGGCGTGAACCCAGGAGGCGGAGCTTGCAGTGAGCCAAGATTGCGCCGATGCACTCCAGCCTGGGTGACAGAGCGAGACTGTGTCTCAAAAAAAAAAAAAAAAAGGAAAACCCATTGATGGGCATTGAGGAGTGGTGGGATGATCAGAGCCTCTCTCTGCACTCTGGTACTTTGACAAGAGTGGGCAAGTTTGGGAACAGGGATATCAGTATTTCTTTGGCTGCATACTTATTTATATTTCACCCCATTCCACGGAGAATTTGAGGGGATTTATCACCAGATGTGGGATACTTATCCAATAGAAACTGAAGCAAAGAATCTGGACAAGGGAAAGGGAGCCTCATGAGTACACTAGGTCTTAGGTCCAGGTGGGGGTGAGGCCTGCAAGAATGCAGAGATGGAGGGGTGTGGAGACGGCTGTGGTCCCACACTGCCAGCACTTGCCTGACCAGACATTCTCAGGAGTGCTTCCACCCAAGCATGGTGTGGGTCTAGGGCTGCAGGTGGAGCTAAGTCCTGTCTGCGTCTGGGTGTCAGATCCTAAAATTTGCTGGATGGAGTTGGGGAATTAATCCAGCTGAAAGAGCTTGAATTATCATTGAATGGAGGAAACAAAAGGCCTATTAATCAAGTTTAAGAGGTGTGATTGAAGGATTGGCACCTATCCCTGCTTGGTGCTCTCTTGGTGCCCTCTGTGAAGTTAGCAGTAAATTGCATTTTATTGGGGATTGATATTATTGGGATTGCTTCCTGGCCTGCAAGGAGCATTACATGGGCAGAAGAAAGGCTGCTGCCAGGAGTTGGGCAACATGATGAAAGATGTGGACAATAAATGACCCATTTCCTAGTTTTTCTATGAACTTATCTTGAAGGTAGATTTATAGAATAATATGTGGATAAAAGGGGTTTTCCTCCTGGTCTCCTTTGATGTTTTGGAGAAAGAAGCAAGGACTTTATTTATTTATTTGTTTATTTTTGAGACAGTGTCTTGATCTGACACCCAGGCTGGAGTGCAGTGGCACAGTCATGGCTTGCGGCAGCCTCAACCTCCCAGGTTCAAGTGATCCTCCTACCTTAGCCTTCCTAGTTTGTAGAGACGAGTTTTCACCATGTTGCCCAGGTTGGTCTCGAACTCCTGGGCTCCACCCACCTCGGCTTCTCAAAGTGCTGTGATTACAGGCTTGAGCCACCACGCCCAGCCAGAAGCAGGGAATTTAAAGCAGCGCAAGCCAAGATCAGGATTAGGGCTGGTGCTCCGGTCTCACTTCTCCTGAAGGCCAATCGCCTCTACTTTCTGCAGCTATGGGAGTGGGCTTTGCTATTCAGGGATGGAGGCCTGGGACATTTTAGAACAATTTGGGTTTTTTAGTTTTGTTTTTTTGAGACAGGGACTTGCTCTGTCACCCAGGCTGGAGTGCAGTGTGCGATTATAGCTTACTGAAGCCTTGACCTCCCAGGCCCAAGTTATCCTCCCACCTCAGACCCCCAAGTATAATAGCTGGGACTACAGACATGCACCACCATGCCCAGCTAATTTTTTTTTTTTTTTTTTTTTTTTTTTTGTAGAGATGGGCTTTCATTATGTTCCCTAGGCTGGTCTCAAACTACTGAGCTCAGGCAATCCACCTGCCTGGGCCTCCCGAAGTGCTGGGATTACAGGCGTGAACCACTGTGCCCAGCCTTTAGAACAATTTTTAACAAGACTTGAAATTAACAAGCTTTTGGCATAGTGGTGCACGCCTGTAGTCCCAGCTACTAGGGAGACTGAGGTGGGAGGATCACTTGAGCCTCAGAGGTTGAGGCTGCAGTAAGCCATAATCATGCCATTGCACTCCAGCCTGGGCAACAGAGCGAGGCCTTGTCTCTAAAAAAAAAAAAAAAAAAAGAAATTAACAAGCTTTTCTCATTGATTGCTAACTGATAAAATTAAAAACTATTAATAGAACCACCGCCAGCCAGCCAGACAGCCATTGAGCAATCACTTATTGAGCATTTATTTCATGACTGGTGTTATGATAGCTATTGCCAGATGAAAAAGAATGCCTGCCTTCGAAGCTTGAATTTGTGGAGAGTTTCAGCCTATGGATAAGTTGCATGTGTGTGCAGACTTGTACTCTATGGCAAGAACCCAGAGGTCCCAGAAGATACGTTCAGATCAAGTGCTGTGGCAGTTTTCAGAAGGGAAAACTTGTATTTATGTGGGAGGGTCAGGGAAACCCTGATATTTTAGCATTTGGGCTACACCTTGAAGGGTTTATTTGTCTCTATAAGTTGCATCTAAAACAAACTGTATAAATTAGTGAGTTTTTTTAGTTAGTAGCTTAAGCAAAAGCTGGATTGATGGCTGATGTAAGTGCATAGGGGTCAAGCTGGCCTCTGACCTGACCAATTAGATATTCAGATTGTGTCACCAGGAGGTACTTTCTCTGTATTTCTTGTGACCTGGCTTTCTTCCAAGACTGGTCCATTCACAGAAGGGTTTACTCCTCATGGGTGCCAGATGATTGCAACAGCTCCAGAGGTTACACCCTCAGCCCCAAATTCAAGGGGAAAAGAGTGTGAATCTCTCCCAGCATTCCAAGCTAAATCTCAGTGTGTCTTTGATTGGGTCAGGTTCCTCTCCCTGCAAGGGTGGCTCAGGCTAGGGGGGTTCTCAGATTAGCGTAAGCCTGAGTCATATGCTCCCCCAAAGCTCATGGACTGAGAACAGGAATGTGTGGCTACCTAAAGGCAAAGTCCAGTTTCATATTGGTACAAGAAGAAAGAAGAATGTGCCTTTAATACATCTTAGAAAAAATGTCCAATAGCCACCGTAAATGAAAGCAAAGAAGAAAAAAACACTCCAGGTATATGGAAGGCAGTGGAACAGAAACTGAAGTGCAGGGGACAGGTTTGAAGCCAGCCTCAAGTGAAACACCCTGACCCCTTGGTGCCTGGGTAAACTCTTTTCAATAGAAAGCCATCCTTTTCCAACCAGGTTAGGGAATGGGCTGTTCAGGCTGCATGCAACCTTTCCTGTTGACAAAGTGGAGAACTATCCTGCCATTTGAGATGTTTTTCCTGTGCTATTCTCCTAACTCCCACACCCTCCTGTAAGATTATCAGGAAGAGAGAACTGTTCCCTTTGTACAAACAAGGCGAGAGGCCAGAGAGTTAACAGGAGCTTCCCAAAAGGGAGAGCTTGCCAGAGCCGGGGCCAGAACAGGATGCAGGGTTTCCTGATTGCAGAATGGGTGCCCCTTTCCTACTCCTGCTGGACTCTACATTCAGGCAGCCCACAGCTAATGACTGCACTGAGTTGCAAAAAGAATTCTAAAAGTTGTTTCTTAAGAATTTAGAGTGTATCTTAAGTAAGCATGCAATTTAAGCAATGTTGAACTTAATTTTCCCTTTTACAGAAGATAAAGAAACTAAAGTGAAATTAGACTTGCTGAACTTCAAAGAAATAATTCTTCATCTTAAAATATTTTCCTAAAAGGTCCCTCTAAGATTAAGAGAAAAAAACCCCAAGACATTAAGAGGTTGGAGCCATTTTGTTTTTTGAAACAGAGTCTCGCTCTGTTGCCCAGGCTGGAGTGCAGTGGCGCAATCTTGGCTCACTGCAACCTCCGCCTCCCGGGTTCAAGCAATTCTCCTGCCTCAGCATCCCGAGTAGCTGGGATTACAAGTGCCTGCCACCACTCCTGGCTAATTTTTGTGTTTTTAGTAGAGACAGGGTTTCACCATCTTGGCCAGGCTGGTCTTGAACTCCTGACCTCGTGATCCACCCACCTTGGCCTCCCAAAGTGCTGGGATTACAGGCGTGAGCCACCGTGCCTGGCCATTTTTTTGTATTTTTAGTAGAGATGGGGTTTCGCCATGTTGGCCAGGCTGGTCTCGAACTCCTGATTTCAGGTAATCCACCCACCTGGGCCTCCCAAAGTGCTTGGATTACAGGCAGAAGCCACCATGCCCAGCCCCATATCGTTTGTTTTTAATGAAATGCTTCTATTTTACATGGTAGTAACTGAGTCTCTGCAATGAAAGATCAAGATGGTTGGCTTCCATCCTTCTAGTTTTGGTTCCATGTCAATAGGACTGTAAGGTTCACCACTGGTCTTTTTACTTTAACATCACTTTTCCCAAGTTTTGTATTTTGATTGAGCTCTTAATTGGATAGATATTATCAAAAAGCAATTTTTTTTTTCCAAGAAGGACTTTTTTGTTCTGAATTCCTTGAGTCTCTTGGTGTTGAGAATGTCTTTGGGTTACTCTGATACTTGAATAATATCTCGGCTGGGTATAATATTCTTAGGTCACAATCACTTTCACAATTTTGTAGACACTGCTGCATTATCTTCCAGCATCAAATGTTCATTAGGACAGCTCTGGGGTCAAACTGACTTGCTTTTTCTGTCTTTATGCCTAAAGATATTTTTTATTCTTGAAATTTATTAATTTAACCAAGCTGTCTTGGTGTTTAACATTTTGTATCAAATTATTCTGGAACCTAGCATGCTCCTTCAATCTAAAAATTATCTTTATTTCAATTGCTTAAATTACTTCTCCTCCATCTTCCTTTTCTTCCTTCTCATTTTCTTCTTTTTCTTGCTCTATTACTAATAATATCACAATTTGTAATTTATTAACTTTAGGTGTGTTCAGTTTAGTAATATAACAGTACTACTACCATTTAGGGTGGGGGAACTTATTTACTTAATGACTTAATGAATGAGTAACAAAGATTAGAACCACCATATACATTCACTTGATACATATTTTTATAAAAGTGCTTGAGAATATCAGAATTATTTATGTCACACAAGGAGTTACTGCCTGTTTTCTGTGTCACCAGATTCTATTAACATTTAATGATTACCTTTACTCTTTGAATTTTGAATTTTGTAACAAATTCCTGCTGTGGCATATTTTGCAATTTGGTTATGTTCTGCCAAAGCTGTAACAGTAGGTGAGGTGTTTCAAATTTGGCATGACTGAATAGAAGAGCTGCCCGTTCTCACCATATGTTACTCAACTCATATATTGCTATGTTATTTTTACCTTACTCATCAAATTATCTTTTCTCTTATACATGGCTTTAATTAATTGATTATTTTAGGTATTTCCATCTCTGGACATTTCATGTACTGAAAATAGATCAGATTTAAATAAAATAGCTTTATAATCAGTATTTATGTGATAAACTCTGTCTTATTTCTTGCAACATTTACCGGCATGTAAATCCAAATTGAATATTGGTTAATGTTCAGCAATATTCAATACTATATAATTGTAGTGTATTGTTATGAAAGTCAATGAATTTCCCCCCATGATGTACTTTGTTCCAAAATTTGAATCTCCTTTAATAACATATAACACATAAGTTGCTTAAAAAATTTCTCACTGCTGACACTATTTGGATTGTACTTATGACAGGCATACTGGCCATCACCTCAGCATATGAGGATAACCATATTTTAGAAATACCATGCTGGTGGCACTGGGGAGAGCTGATTGGAGCTGGAGAGACCAGAGGCAGGGAGGCCTCTTAGGACATCGTGCTCAAGGAGATAAGCAATAATTGAGGCAAGAACAGAGGCAGTAGCAGTGGGAACTGCTGGGACAGGTTTAGGAGCCAGCATTCTGCCTTAATCATCTTTACACCCTTGCCGCATGCCTAGACCTAGTTGGTACTTAGTAATTTTGGGGGGGTTTTTTTGAGATAGAGTCTCGCTCTGCCTCCCAGGCAGTAGCGCAGTGGCGTGATCTCAGCTCACTGCAACCTCTGCCTCCTGGGTTCAAGTGATTCTCTTACCCTCAGCCTCCCAAGTAGCTGGGATTACAGGTGCCCGCCACCACACTCAGCTAATTTTTGTATTTTTATTAGAGACGGGAGGCCGAGGCGGGTGGATCACAAGGTCAGGAGTTCGAGACGAGCCTGACCAATATGGTGAAAACCTGTCTCTACTAAAAATACAAAAATTAGCTGGGCGTGGTGGCGGGTGCCTATAGTCCCAGCTACTCAGTAGGCTGAGGCAGGAGAATCACTTGAACCTGGAAGGCAGAGGTTGCAGTGAGCCGAGATCATGCCACTGCACTCTAGCCTGGGTGGCAGAGCGAGACTCTTTCTCAAAAAAAAGAAAAAAAAGAAATCATTGAAGCCATAGAGGACAGGGAGGCATCCAGGAGTGGCCATTGAATGGTGGTGCCATTCCCCACCATAAAGATGGCAGGAGAAACAGGGAACCCACGTGGCAGTGTACCCACTGCCTGTTGAATGAGTGACATGATCCAGGGGAACACTGCCCACTATGGATACACCAGCCATATGCCTTGGGAGCAGGTACCTGTGTAGAAAAGAGTGGAGAAGAAAAAGCACAAACTTTCTCCTCCCCATTCCTGGGTGTGGCACCAGCATCAGACAGGAGTTCAAACAGTGCTTCCTTTCACCGCTTTCCTTGCTGCTTTTCTATTCTGGTATCTTCTTCTCCAAGACCTCAGGCTTTCCCCTCTCCAACACTACCTTCTCAGCCAATAAATCACTGGAGGGGAGGTCCATAGGAATAATGCATTCACTCTCTTCAAATATCCCAGGCTCTAGAATTACCCATCTCCTCTCCTGGTTTCAGAAATCTTGTTTTTTCAATGGTGAGATAGCAGGAAACTGATCTGGTAAAATGCATTCATACTACTGTATAAATGATTGATGGATCCTTTTAACTGTAGTTACTTGAATTTCCAAAAGAGCTCTCTTTTACCACTCTACCAAAGTGAAAGTGCCAAGTTGCTGCATGGAAATGGGACAGGTAGAGGAGAGTTTTTGGTCACCATTCAGGCAAGCCAGGTGGTACCAGCTCTCCTTCACTGGTCCTATTTCATAACATTTTTGCTTCTTGCATTTTAGAGCTACCAGTTTCCTAGAACAGCAGAAGTAGCATGCTCCCCTGGCCCAACCAACAGGTGCGGCTATAGTGGCCTATCTGTACTGGGGAGGGGACACCCCAAATCTGACATTGACAGGTTCACCCAACAGCAGGGATGTCCTGTGCCATGTGTAATACCCCCTCTTCTTTCATAGCTCCAGAATGTCCAATGACTACATAGCACTGTGCTGAGTCCTTCACATACACCAGCCTGTCTTTGTGCTTGTAACAGTCTATAAGGGAAGCATTATTACTCCCATTCTACAGGTGGGGAAATTAAGACTCAGAGAGAAAAGGTAATTTGCTCAAGGCCTTGTAGCTAGAAATTTGGAAGAGCTAACACATACCACTCTTGGCATAGCAGTTTAGACATGGACAGCTTTAGGATGGGGAGACTGAGAACCCAGGAAACACGTTGAGGCTTCTATTAAAATACACTACTCGGCCAGGCGAGATGGCTCATGCCTGTAATCCCAGCAATTTGGGAGGCCGAGGTGGGCAGATCACGAGGTCAAGAGATTGAGACCATCCTGGCCAACATGGTGAAACCCTGTGTCTACTAAAAATACAAAAATTAGCTGAGTGTGGTGGTGCACGCCTATAGTCCCAGCTACTCAGGAGGCTGAGGCAGGAGAATCACTTGAACCCAGGAGGCAGAGGTTGCAATGAGCCGAGATTGCCCCACTTTACTCCAGCCTGGTAACAGAGCGAGACTCCATCTCAAAATAAATAAATAAATAAAAATAAATAAATAAAATAAAATACACTACTCAGGAGGCTGAGGTGAGAAGATCACATGAGCCCAAGAATTCAAGTCCAGCCTGGGCAACATAGCAAGACCCTGTCTCTGAAAAAAAAATTAACAGTGTGGCTATTTCACTGAATAATCATAAAGGGATAAATGAAACAATACATCCCAGAGACGAGAAAGAGCTTTGTTGTAATACCTAGATGGGATGTTCTTTGAGTGTTCCCCATTGCTTCCTATTTAAAGTCCAAACTCCTTTACTTAGAATTGATTATAGAAAGTTTAGGAAAATCTAAATAGGTGAAAAGGAGGGATGAGAGAAAGAGGAAACTACTATCACTCTAGACCTTTTCCTTTCCTTTTTGCTATCTCTGTGATCATCTAAAACAAAATGAACAACATTTAGTGTTGTATAACTTGCTTTTCTTATAAATAGTCATGAAGATCTTTCAAAAAAATATACAGTTTTGAATTTTTTAGGCAGTGGCATCTTTTTTTTTTTTTTTTTTTTTTGAGATGGAGTCTCGCTCTGTCGCCCAGGCTGGAGTGCAGTGGTGCGATCTTGGCTCACTGCAAGCTCCGCCTCCCGGGTTCATGCCATTCTCCTGCCTCAGCCTCCTGAGTAGCTGGGACTACAGGCACATGCCACCATGCCCGGCCAATTTTTTGTATTTTTTAGTAGAGATGGGGTTTCACCATGTTAGCCAGGATGGTCTCGATCTCCTGACCTCGTGATCCACCCACCTCGGCCTCCCAAAGTGCTGGGATTACAGGCATGAGCCGCCGCGCCCGGCCGGGCAGTGGCATCTATTGATTGTATGGTTTCTTTTATTTCTTCAGTAATTATAGTGTCTTTACTATGGTGAGAGTAAATAGTCCACTGTGTTTTCTCCTTCGAGATGTAATTTTACACATTTAACTTTGTGATTCATTGGAAGCATATATGGGTATGAAACAAGAAGCAAGGCTCTAACTTCATTCCTGCCCCCTACCCTCCTCCCTAGCCAATTTCTCTGATTCCAATTGTTGAAAACCCCTTTAATGTCCATCAGTTTGGGCTGCTGGCTGGGCGCAGTGGCTCACGCCTGTGATCCCAGCACTTTGGGAGGCAGGGGCTGGCGGATCACCTGAGGTCAGGAGATCGAGACCAGCCTGGCCGGCATGGTGAAACCCTGTCTCTACTGAAAATACAAAAGAATTAGCCAGGTGTGGTGGCGTACACCTGTAGTTCCGGCTGCTTGGGAGGCTGAGGCAGGAGAATCGCTTGAACCCAGGAGGTGGAGGTTGCAATGAGTTGAGATCACGCCACTGCACTCCAGCTTGGGTGACACAGTGAGACTCTCTCAAAAAGAAAAAAGAGAAAAAGATGGGTTGCTTTCTTTGTTATATAAAATATTACATTTCTATAGATGCCAGGGACTACATCAGGCCTATCTGGTCTGTTCTACTGATCCTTCTCTTGACTCTTGAACTAGTACCATATTCTCTTAATAATGGCATTTCTATAATGTGTTATCCCTTCCTTACACTGATTCCTCAAACATTTCTTAGCAGCTGGTCATAGTGGCTTAGGCCTGAAATCGCAGCACTTTTGGGGCCAAGGTGGAAGGATGACTTGAGCCCAGGAGTTTGAGACCAGCCTGGGCAAAATGTTGAGACTCTGTCTCTATAAAATTAAAAATTTTTTTCTTAGCTATTTTATCTGTTTGTTCCTTCATATGAAATTTAGAAACCTAGCCAGGCGTGGTGGCTCACGCCTGTAATCCCAGCACTTCTGGGAGGCTGAGGCGGGTGGATCACCTGAGATCAGGAGTTCGAGACCAGCCTGGCCAACATGGTGAAACCCCAGCTCTACTAAAAATACAAAAAAAATTAGCCAGGCATGGTGGCTCACACCTGTAGTCCCAGCTACTTGGGAGGCTGAGGCACAAGAATCACTTGAACCAGGGAGGCAGAGATTGCAGTGAGCCAAGATTGTGCCACTGCACTCCAGCCTGGGCAACAGAGTGAGACTCAGTCTCAAAAAAAAAAAAAAAGAAAAGAAAAAGAAAGAAAAGAAATTTAGAATACTTTGGTTAAGTTTCAAAAATAATTTAAATTGCCTTAAACCTGTTTATTAACTCAAGGAGAATTAATAATCTTATAATATTTAGTCTTATCTCTTAGTAGGTTTTTGTCATTTTCTAGGTATTTTGTACCTTCTTTTTTTTAATTTAAAAAAAGTTTTTTAGAGATGGAGTTCTTGCTGAGTTGCCCAGGCTGGCCTGGAACTCCTGGGTGTAGGCAATCCTCTCACCACAGCCTCCCTAGTAGCTGGGACTATAGGCACACAATCATGGCTTTGTAGAATTTTTTAAATAGCTGCTGTGAATGGGAAGATGGATTTTTTTCCCATATTTCTTCTCATTTGCTTTGCTAAGATAGAATTATGCTATTTTTCTTTCTTAATTATTATGTAATCTAGCCACTTTGGTGAGCAATTTCTTATTAAGTTAGTGGTGTTTTTGCTTATTGTTTTGAGTATTCCAGAAGCAAATAGATGTTATTTCGCCTTTCTGAAGATACGGTTAAGTCTGGGTTCTTGTCACGGAGCCCTTCTGGGCAGTTTCCCACTTCACCTCTGCCTCCTCCAAAGTGCCAAGCACGCAGCAGGTACTCAGTGAGTGTCCTCTGAATGAAGGTAAAGGAACCGCTTGGCTAAGGTCATTCCTGGCCCTGGGTGGCAGCCCTTTGATTCAGGATCTGCACCTCAGTCTTACCAGAGGGCTGGGGGCTTTTAGACCCAGGTGTCTGATTCAGGCTAGCCACCTCACAGACACTTGCCGCCCATTTCCATCTAGAGGGAAAGCAGGGGCCAGTCACCCTAGGGAGACCCCATTCAGGACAAAAGAAGCTTAGAAAAAGGACCCAGCGGAGGCTATGGCCATCCAGAACGTCTTGCTCTCTATCCAGCCAGGCTGCCTGAGGCGTGCCCTTCCAGGCTTGGAACCCTGTCTCCAAGGAAGGGGATCCAACATCAGACACAGCCCCTCTCCCCAAGTGTCCAAGATCCAAAGGGGGAAAATAACAACTGTTTCTTATTCTCTTCCCTTTATTCCTATACCCTATAGAATTGCCCACATTTATTAGTATTCTGTTTTTTAATTTCAAAAAAAGGAATACATTCATACATTCACAAGGCTCAAACATAATCTAAAAAGGTATGCAGTGAATGTCTTACTCTACCCTCATTCCACCCATCCCATAGCCACTTTTATTAATTTGCATGTCCTTTTAATATTTATTTATTCAAATACAATCAACTATGAAGATATTCTTATTTTTCCCCATTCTTACACAAAAGGTAGCATCTGATACACACATTTCTGCACCTTGATTTCTAACTTAAAATATATATCATAATAATACAAATAGTTAGCATTTATTGAACACTCATTGTATGCCAGTCATTTTTCAAACTTTTATCCATATATTAACTCATTTAATCCTTCCAGTACTCCTATTATTAACCTCATTTCTCCATGGAGAATTTTCCTTATCAGTATATAAAGAGCTTCCTCAATGGCTTACAGCTACATAGTATTCCGTTGTATGGGTGGATCATAATTTATGTAACTAATTGCCTTGTGAGGGACACGTGGGTGGCTTCTAATTCTTTGCTATTGTGGACTGTGCTGCAGTGAATATATTGTATGGATATCATCTTGTTATGTGTAGAGATAGAGCTGCAGAGCAGATCCAAAGAAAGAGGATTGCTGGGTTAAATGCATTTGTAATTCTGATGGGTATTGCCAAATTGCCTTCTGTAGAGTTATTAGTTCTTTTCATAATTGCTTAGTATTTCTAATTAAACGTAGCATTGATGAGCACTATGTATCAGTCTGGCTGGCTAGTAGGCTCTCTGTTGGTGGTTCCAGAACAAGTTGATCTCAGTGTAGTCCCAGATGAGACCCTTTCTTCTGGCCTCAGGTGGGCTGACTTATTCCTTTTTTTTTTTTTTTTTTTTGAGATGGAGTCTTGCTCTGTTGGCCAGGCTGGAGTACAGTGGTGCAATTTTGGCTTACTGTAACCTCCACCTCCTGGGTTCAAGCAGTTCTCCCACCTCAGCCTCCCAAGTAGCTGGGATTACAGGCGCACACCACCAAGACTTATTCTTATCACTGCCGGTGAGAGTAAATTACAGCAATATTTCTGGGGAACTAACAGTATTTTCCCTGGTAATATTTGAAGAAGCAGCCTTGTAATGGTTAAGAACATGGACTCTAAGCTGGACTGCCTGGGTTTTTATATTTTCTTTCGCTGCTGTAACAAACTACCACAAATTTAGGGGCTTAAAACAATGTAAATGTATTCTGTTATGGTTCTGGAGGTAAGAAGTCTGAAACAGGTCTCACTGAGGTATATAAAGGTGTCAGCAGGCTTTGCTCCTTTGGGAGGCTCTCAGGGAGAACGTTTTCTTGCCTTTCCCAGCTTCTAGAGGCTGCCCACATTCCTTGGTGCATGGCCCCTTTCTGTCTTCAAAGCCGGCAACATCACAACATTCCCACCTCTGCATTCATCACATCACATCTCCTCTCATTCTCCTGCCTCCCTGCCCTTTCCTTTGAAAGGATTCACGTGATTACGTTGAACCCACCCAGATAATCTAGAATAATCTCTTTATCTCAAAGTCCTTAATTGAATAACACCTGCAAAGACCCTTTTGCCATAGTAAGGTGACATATTCACAGGTCTCAGGAATTTGCACGTGGACATCTTTAGAGGCCACTATTCTGCTACTACAGTTTGCATCTAGACTCTACCACTTACTAATCGTGTGATCTTGAACAAATTATTTTGCCTCTTGCACCAGTTTTCTCATCCTTAAAATGGGGATAATAATGGTATCTATTCCACTGGATTGTCAGGAGGATTGAATGAGTAAATATTTGCCAATGCTTATAATAGTATCTGAGACACAATAAATGCTATGGAAGTATCTGCTAGCTAAAATATATTAACCAGGCCAGGCACGGTGGCTCACACCTGTAATCCCAGCACTTTGGGAGGCTGGGGCGGGTGGATCACCTGAGGTCGGGAGTTCAAGACCAGCCTGACCAACATGGAGAAACCTCGTCTCTACTAAAAATACAAAATTAGCCGGGGTGGTGGCGCATGCTTGTAATCCCAGCTACTCGGGAGGCTGAGGCAGGAGAATTGCTTGAACCCGGGAGGCAGAGGTTGCGGTAAGCTGAGATGGTGCCATTGCACTCCAGCCTGGGCAACAAGAGCGAAACTCCATCTCAAAAAAAAAATAACCAAATAAAAATATTAAAATACAAACACTTTGATCTAGCAGGCCTATATTTATAATCTATTTCATAGGAACAAAAGCTTCCATGATTAGGCTATATAACTTGGATATTACTAAAGTGTTGTCCATATTGGCACCAAAAGAAAAAAAAAAGGAAAGGAAAACGAAAGAAAGAAAATGCACAAACAGGAAATTACCTGAATGCCAGCAAAACGACAGTGATTGAATCAATTGTGGCCCATCTGGGATATACCAGAGCTATTAAAGAGAATACATCTGATCTGTGCCTATGCACCTAGAGGAATGCTCTGAGTGAAAGTTCGTTGAGAGGAGGAAGTTCAAAGTAATTATATGACTTGATTTATTTCTTTCTTTTTTTTGAGACGGAGTTTTGCTCTTGTTGCCCAGGCTGGAGTGCAATGGCACCATCTGGGCTCACCGCAGCCTCCGCCTCCCGGGTTCAAGCAATTCTCCTGCCTCAGCCTCCTGAGTAGCTGGGATTACAGGCATGCGGCAACACACCCGGCTAATTTTGTATTTTTAGTAGAGACGGGGTTTCTCCATGTTGGTCAGGCAGGTCTTGAACTCCCGACCTCAGGTGATCCTCCCGCCCCGGCCTCCCAAAGTGCTGGGATTACAGGCGTGAGCCACCGCGCCCGGCCGATTTCTTTCTTTCTTTTTTTTTGAACAAACATCAGCCCCCAAAATTATTGTAGATATCTAGGTCAATCATTTAACATGTTCTGTTTCTTCCTCTGGGAAATATGTATAACGACAATTCTCACTCAAGGGGCTCTTGCAAAGGTTAAGTGGCATGGCTGACATGTGTCAAGTCTGTACCATCCTGCAAGCAGCAGCCCAGTCTGGCATTTGTGTAAGGCGGTTTCAGTGGAGAGATGTGTGGAAGGGTGCACCCCACGATGCTCACCTGGTGCTTCCTCGGTGGGGAAGGGAAATTCAGAAGTGGTGGAAAGAGATGATTGTCGTTTCGTATATCTTTGTATTGTTTCCCGGATGTTGAAATTGTTACTGTAGTAACTTTTTATACTCATGTGTTATTGGTAGTTTGGATACTATCACCATAACCACAAACACTGAATTAGGAAAAGCAGAAACCTAGAAACATGCCATGATTCAAAGTCTGGTATTTTTGGAAGAGGAATTTAATAACGAACGTTTTAAGAGGAAAAAGTCAGGAGAGTCCTAACCCAGGCCAACCTTGTGTGTCCACAGCATCTACTGCCGAGGATGTTCCAAGCCGCTGTGCTGCTCGTGCGCGCTCCTTGACAGCAGCCACAGTGAGCTCAAGTGCGACATCAGCGCAGAGATCCAGCAGCGACAGGAGGAGCTGGACGCCATGACGCAGGCGCTGCAGGAGCAGGATAGTGCCTTTGGCGCGGTTCACGCGCAGATGCACGCGGCCGTCGGCCAGCTGGGCCGCGCGCGTGCCGAGACCGAGGAGCTGATCCGCGAGCGCGTGCGCCAGGTGGTAGCTCACGTGCGGGCTCAGGAGCGCGAGCTGCTGGAGGCTGTGGACGCGCGGTACCAGCGCGACTACGAGGAGATGGCCAGTCGGCTGGGCCGCCTGGATGCTGTGCTGCAGCGCATCCGCACGGGCAGCGCGCTGGTGCAGAGGATGAAGTGCTACGCCTCGGACCAGGAGGTGCTGGACATGCACGGTTTCCTGCGCCAGGCGCTCTGCCGCCTGCGCCAGGAGGAGCCCCAGAGCCTGCAAGCTGCCGTGCGCACCGATGGCTTCGACGAGTTCAAGGTGCGCCTGCAGGACCTCAGCTCTTGCATCACCCAGGGGAAAGGTAAGCACGCACGCCACCTTCCTGGGCGGCCTGTGCCTCTGCTGCACCCTAGGGAAGGCGAGTCAGAAGAGATCATCTCCATTTGACAGAAAAGAAAACTGGGTGTTTATTCAGTCTTTGGGGGTTGGTAAGGTCTTAGGTTCCAGGGCACAGGATAAGGGGGAGATGAGGCCCTGACAAAGGGCTGCAGCCACCCAGAGGGGACACATTTTACTAATTTACAAGACTCTGTGGATTGACCTAGCGATGACTCATGGGGAACACGTGAAAGTTGAAAAACTGCAAAGCTGAGAATCAGACCCAGTATCATTTTGGCGCCAGAGGGACCAAGCACTTCAGGAGGTTCTCTTAAGCCACCGGTGTCTCGGAACAGAGAAGTCAATTGGGACCTGGGGTTACGGTAGAAGGGGGCTAAGAAAACCTCCTGGGGATGGTTGGATGCTTACCCAAAACCATACAGTGGCTCAGTGGAGGAGATCCCTTGTCTGCAGGATGACCTGCTGTCTGCCAACCTTTGCGCGCCCTGCCTAGTGTTGGACGCTTGAGAGGTAAGGAGACACAGACTAGTTTCTGATCTCAAGGAGCCAGAGCCACTTCACGTAGCTGGAGAATGAGACAGTGCTCAGCTCTGCAATCCAAATCCGGGAGATGTAGCAGCTGTGTATTAGCTGGAACAGGGGGGCTTTCAAAATAAGGGGTAGGGGGAGTGTGCCAGAGAGTCTCCAGGAGTCTTTGACTAAATCTCCAAGCTGGAATGTGAGCTCTGAGCAGCTAGTATAGGATGCCCTTACTGGGAAAGGGGAGGGAGGCTATGGAATCTGAAGGCACCTGGGTAGGGTGCCAGTGACAAAGAGCTTATTTACTTCTCCTGGAGCTGGACATGGGTCATGAAGGATAATCTTAGAGGGCCTGGACCTGTGCCTTCTCCACCTAGGTAGTGAATGTCACCCATATTAAGGAAATGACCCCACAGAGTTTACACAGCTTGCCTTGGGTGTTATAACTGGGCAATAGCAGAGAGAAGGGTTATTTTATTCTGAAGCATAAGAGATTTAGATTTAATAAAAACCAGGCTGCAGATAAGGAAGATCATGGAGCTCTCACTATATGTAGAGAGTCAGTGAGCCGGTAGTGATGGCTTTATGATTGCGCACACTTAGCCTTGCTGTTGGCTCAGAGATGGAGAGAGGTACACTTGGGGTTTGGAGCCAAAAGCAAGCACTCTAATGCCACCTCCTTTTCCCTTCTGGCTGGGTTCCTGCCCACTGCATTCGAGAGAGCTCTCCTTCCAGCTGCCCCTCCAGGGAGTTGTCCAGTGCTTTGGGATGCCCTGGAAAATAGGTATCCTGGAAAAGCAACAGGGACCTCCTCTCTATCACTGTCCCAGGTCAGGATGTCCCTTACCAGCATGTCCTTGACCTGCCTGTGACCTTCTTTGTGTTCTACAGATGCAGCTGTATCCAAGAAAGCCAGCCCAGAGGCTGCCAGCACTCCCAGGGACCCTATTGACGTTGACCTGGTGAGATGGGTTTGAGGTCTGAAGGGGTGGTGGTGGGGCCCAGCAGGTCAGGCAGGTTGTGAGTCCTGCTGTCCCTGTGTGTGCAGGGAGAGCGTCTGAGTGAGGGACAGCAAGTGGCTGGACTGGAAATTTCAGTGAGAGGAAGTAAAGGAAGACATTAAAGAAGGGTTGGCTGGCTAGCTGGCTCTGACTCTAGGCTCCTAAATGCCAAAGTTGCTCTTGATGGGCCATGAGCCAGGTTCAGTGGGGGTTAGATGTGGGGTAGACAGTCGGCCACAGATCAGGGCTGCTGCAGAGGGAATTCCAGCATTAGATGGCATATTAGTGCCTTCCAGCCATGAGAAACTATGGTTGTCAGATGTATGGTTAGATATAGGGTCAGCAGTCCTGAGGGATGTGCAGATGTCCTCTCCCCTCCTACACCCTACCCCCAATGTGGGAGCCTTCTCTTGGAGTCAGAATAGGTGGGCCTTCCCCTGCTCTTTCCCCACAGATGGTTCTTGGAAAGGAACGGGGAATGGTGCCAGGAGTCAGATTTCGATCCCAGTTGCCCGGGTTCTGCTGGTGTGATTCCAGGGCCACCATACATGTAACAAAGCAGACTGTCTCAGGGTTCAAGGTATCCATGTCCCATCTAATGCTGGCATTCCTTCTGCAGCACCCCTGACCTGTGGCTGTCCAGCTTTCATGTACACATCTCCAGGGACAGGAAGCTTGCTCATTCTAGAGGCAGCTGCTCCCAACTCTGGACTGCTCTGACTTAGAAAGTGCTTTTCCGAGTGGAAATGCAGTGGTGTCCCTTTGACTTGCCCCCTTTGGCATTCACAAGTATGGCTCCTTTCCACCAGAATAAGCATCCTCGGTTTCTTCCTGGACTTGGCATCTGGTCTCTTCCCTAGCCTAGTCACTCAGGTTTGCATGCGCCTAGCCTATCAAGGATCTGGCCCAGGACTGGCCAGTCCTTCATGGACAGCAGGTCTTCTGGTGGTGGGTAGGGGCCTAGCTTTTGCCATGGCATGACCCATAGGAGAGAGAGAGTGCTGTAGGTTGAGGCAATCAGGAGAGGCTTCCTGGAAGAGACAGGACTTAAGAGTCTCAGAGTTTTAGAGCCAGGCAAGAGCATGGAGTCTAACCCCCTTTTTTTCACAGAGGACGAAGCTAAGACCCAGAAAGGATGTGACTTACCCAAGGCTACACACAGCAAATTAGGGGCAAGATTAAAAGCTGACTCTGTTTTTTGTTTGTTTGTTTGTTTGTTTTTTAGATGAAGGCTCGCTCTGTTGTTCAGGCTGGAGTGTAGTGGCGTGATCTCGGCTCACTGCACCCTCCGCTTCCGGGGTTCAAGCCATTCTCCTGCCTCAGCCTCCCGAGTAGCTGGGACTACAGGCGCGCACCACTACGCCTGGCTAATTTTTGTATTTTTTAGTAGAGACGGGGTTTCATCATATTGGCCAGGCTGGTCTTGAACTCCTGACCTCATGATCTGCCCGCCTCGGCCTCCCAAAGTGCTGGGATTACAGGCGTGAGCCACTGTGCCCAGCCTAAAAGCTGACTCTTAACTGCCTTGGGTACTGCATTCCTATATACACAACCTCAAGTAAAAAGAGGAATTTTTTAATATATGTGTGCATAATACAATCACATAGTCAGAAATAAAAACATAGAAAGTGATCAATAGTGTCTTACTCCCACTTTAGCCCCCAGTTCTTATGCCCATATAACTATCTTTTAAAAATTTCTTTTGAGACAGTCTTGCTCTGTCACCCAGGCTGGAGTGCAGTGACACAATCTCGGCTCACTGCAACTTCTGCCCCCTGGGTTCAAGCGATTCTCATGCCTCAGCCTCCTGAGTAGCTGGGATTATAGGCACGCACTACCACACCCAGCTAATTTTTTGCATTTTTAGGAGAGATGGGGTTTTGCTATGTTAGCCAGGATACTCTCAAACTCCTGGCCTCAAGTGATCTACCCACCTCAGCCTCCCAAAAGTGCTGGGATTACAGGCATAAGCCACCGTGCCCCACCTCTTTTTTAAATTCTTATATATCCTTCCAGAATGTATGTAATTACAAGCAAATATTATTATAGATATTTGCCTTTTGCATTCTGTGTTTCACAAAGGTAGGATAATACCAGATACACATGGTATCATACCAGAATTCTTATCCTATCAATAGGTAGAGAGCTTCCCGATACCTTTTTGCAGCTGCATAATGGACCATTAAATGGATATGGCAGGCTTTATTTAGCCAGTTCCTTGTTGCTGCATATTTAGGTTGTTTTGCTATTACAAACAATGCTACAATGCATGATGTTTGCAAATAAATAATATAAAATAATAAGGCCAGGTGTGGTGGCTCACACCTGCAAACCCAGGACCTTGGGACACTGACGTGGGCAGATTGCTTGAGCCCAGGAATTTGAGACCAGCCTCGGCAACATGGTGAGACCCTGTTTCTACAAAAAGTGTAAAAATCAGCCAGGTGTGGTGGCACATGCCTATAATCCCAGGTACTCAGCAGGCTAAGGTGGGAGGATCACCTGAGCCCAGGGAGTTTGAGGTTGCAGTGAGCTGTGATCACACCACTGCATTGTAGCGTGAGTGACAGAGTGAGACCCTGTCTCAAAAAGCAAATAAACAAATAAAATCAAAATAATAATAGGGAAATGCCCTTGGTCCACAGACTCAGCTGTCTTCCAGATGCTAGTCATTGGTGAATGAACAACAAGAGAGCCTGCACTGTCTTGTGTGAAGGTCTAGGTATTTTGGGTCTTTGTCTTGATAAAATCAGAATAGACGTGGCCTCTCACTATCAGCTAGGAAGCAGTTTGAACTTGGAGTATCAGAGGGTTGCTCTTTTTGCCAAGCCTCTGGCTTCAATCCTTGCCTGGGGATGGCAGTGCTGCTGAGGGAAGGAAGTGGGGAACACTGTGAGTGCAAGGACAGGTGAGGCAGGCACAGACGGCTGTCCCAAGGGAAAGTGCTCCATCAGCTGTGCCAGGAGAGAAGCAGCTCTTGGGTCCGTGTTTCTGCCTTAGAAGGCAGGAGTTGGGCATCTAGCTCCAGCACTCATCCCTCTTGAAACTGCTGGTTTGTTTACTTTCATTGCAACTATATGCCTGGAAGAGATGAAGAGAAAGCTCAACAGGCTTCACTAGGATTGTTTGGGTGGGGTGGCAGCAGCTCAGATATTTTCCCTCCTCTGTTTTTCATAGGCTTTTTGTAATCGTGTTATAATACTTTAATGGAAAAAAATAAATTTATTATTTTAAAGCTATAAAAATTATAAATCAGTCATTATGATGTGTTTTTCTCTACTGAGCCCTCTGGTGTGTTCCCTGTTTTATTAACGTGGATGGAGGGTGTGTCAGGGAGGTTGGGACAGAGGCAGAGAAGAGGCCAGCCCGGCCTTCGGGGAGTTCGTGGCCTGTCTGGAAAGAGGGTCTTTTACATACCAGCAGTTTGCAGAGCCAGACACAGAACGATAGAGCAGGACCTTTTAAACTCCTTTTTCAAAAAAAAAAAAAAAATGTTTAATTTTGGTAAAATACACATAATATAAAATACATCATCTTAACCATTTCAAAATGTTCAGTTCAGTGTACACTAAGTGTACAGTTCTTTAGCATTGAGTACATTCACACTGCTGTGCAGCCATTACCACCACCCGTTCCAGAAGGATTTTCATCTTCCCAAGCTGGAACTCTGTTCCTGTTAAACAGTCACTCCCCATGCTGCCTCCCTCAGCCCTGGTGACCCTTGTCTACTTTCTGTCTCTATGATTTTCAATACTCTAGGTACCTCCTATAAGTGGAATCACACAGTATTTGTCCTTTTGTGACTGGCCACTTTCACTTAGTGCAGTGTTCTCAGGGTTCATCCATGTAGCATGTGTCAGAATTTCCTTTCTTTTTAAAGCTGAATAATAATATCCCATTATGTGTATATGCCACATTTTGTTGATCCATTCGTCTGTTGGACACTTGGCTTGTTTCCATTTTTTGGCTATTGTGAATCTGCTACTATGAACACGGGTGTACAGATATCTCCTTGAGACCTTGCTTTCAATTATTTTGCATGTTTACTCAGAAGTGGGATCGCTGGATCATATGGTAATTCTATTTTTAATTTTTTTTTTGAGGAATCACCATGCTGTTTTCCATTTTTTATTGCACCATTTGACATTTCCACCAGCACCGTGTAAAAGTTTCGACTTCTCTACAGCCTCACCAACATTTGTTATATTGTCTCTCTCTCTTTTTTTCTTAAATAATAGTCATTCTAATGTGTGTGAGGTGGGTTAAACTCTTTTTTGACCACTATCCTCTATTGAAAAAAAATATATATTATATCTTAACTTATAGTATATACATATGCACACACATACTGTAGCTAAAGGAGTTTTATAAAATAGGCTGGGTCCAGTGGCTCACGCCTGTAATCCTAGCACTTTGGGAGGCGGAGGCAAGTGGATCACCTGAGGTCAGGAGTTCAAGACCAGCCTGACCAACATGATGAAACCTCGTCTCTTCTAAAAATACAAACATTAGCCGGGCGTGATGGCAGGCACCTGTAATCCCAGCTACTCAGGAGGCTGAGGCAGGAGAATCACTTGAACCTGGGAGGCAGAGGTTGCAGTGAGCCAAGATTATGCCACTATACTCCAGCCGGAGCAACAAGAGCAAGACTCTGCCTCAAAAAAAAAGAAAGAAAGAAAAAAGTTTTACAGAATAAATTATGATTGTTACATGGGATGTACTCTGATAATTTCTATTCTATACTATTATTTTTGACATAAAAATGTTGGTCATGCCCCACTAAATTGCTTTCATGGTTGGATCCACTAATGGGTCACAAGCTGCAGTTTGAAAACCACTGGCCTTAAGAGTGACTAGACTTTCCTAGAGGCCTGGCAGAGACAGATCCTGGGAGATAATCTGTTCTCTCTCCTTCCCAAGACAGGCTCACACTCTCTAATCCAGAGAGGTCATCCTCCTTCTTTTTAAAGATTTGGAGAAAAAGAAAGGAAGGAAGGAAGGGAGGAGGGAAGGAGGTCAATCCATCATGGCCAATGGTGTGGAGCCCATGAGAAGGACCCACCGCGGGGTTCTGGTACCTGGCACACCCAGGAGCCAGCACTGTGCTGGGGCCATCCCTGCCTTAACTCACATGCCCAGCAGCCTCTGTCGGGAGCCTCCTTGCCCAGCCCCAGCTTGCCTGGGTGGTTCTCAGAAGGCCCACACAGGAGGGACAGAGCTTGTCCCTGTGAGGAAGGTGTATCCCTGCCACTCACTCATTTTCAATAATCGGTCCAGTGGACGCTTAAAGTTCACAAAAGAGAGAAAGATGGTGGGGAGGGACATAAAAGACTCATCAAGTAAAGAAAATGAAGAGCACGCCGGGGCAGGAAGAGGCCTCCATTTCAAGACACTGGATTTGGCCAGGTGTGGTGGCTCATGCCTGTAATCCCAGCACTTTGGGAGGCCGAGGCGGGTGGATCACCTGAGGTCAGGAGTTTGAGACCAGCCTGGCCAACATGGTGAAACCCCATCTCTACTAAAAATACAAAAATTAGCTGGGCGTGGGGCTGTGCGCCTGTAATCCTAGCTACTTAGGAGGCTAAGGCAGGAGAATCGCTTGAACCCAGAAAGCCGAGGTTGCAGTGAGCCGAGATAGTGCCACTGCACTCCATCTCCTGGGCAACAGAGCAAGACTCTGTCTCAAAACAAACAAACAAACAAACGAACAAAAAACACTAGATTCAAGTCAGGCCAGGGGTCCCGAGGTATGTGACCTTGGGAAATCACTTCACCTCTCTCTGCCTCCGTTTCCTTCTCTGAAGATTGGCAATAATCATAGTACGGTACCTACTTTTTTTTTAACTATAATTTTTATGGCGATAAAATTCATATAAAATTCACCATTTTAACTCTTGAAGTGTGCAATTTAGTGGTATTTATTACATTCATAATATTTTTTAAATTTTTTAATTTTTTTTCTTTGCAGCTCCAGCTCAAATGATTAAATTTTTTTCTTTTTAATTTTCAGAGATGAGGTCTTGCTATGTTGCCTAGGTGGGAGGCTCAGGTGATTCTCCCACCTCAGCCTCCTGTACTTTCATAATCTTGCACAGCCATTGCCACCTATCTAGCCCCAGAATATTTTTATGCCCCCAAAAGGAAACCCCTTACCCATGAAGCAGTCAGTCCCATTTCCCCCTCCCCCATCTCCTGGCAACCACCAATCTGCTTTCTGTGTCTATGGATTTATCCATTCTGGGCATTGCATGTAAATAGGATCATACAATGTGTATTTTGTGTCTGGTTTCTTTTTTTAAAAAAATTTATTATTATTATTAGTGTTTGAGACAGAGTCTCACTCTGTGCCCCAGGCTGGAGTGCAGTGACACAATCTCGGCTCACTGCAATGTCTGCCTCAGGGCTCAAGCGATTCTCATGCCTCAGCCTCCCAAGTAGCTGGGACTACAGGTGTGCACCACCACGTCTGGCTGGTGTCTTTCATTTAATGTAATACATTCAAGGCTCATCCATGTTGTACATCTCAGTCCTCATTGCTTTTTATGGCTGAATAATATTCCATCACGTGGCTATACCACATTTTGTTTATTCAGTCATCAGTTGATGCACATTTAGTTTGTTTTACCTTTTGGCTATTGTGAGTAGTGCTGCTCTGAACATTCACGTGCAAGCTTTTGTTTAACCGTCTGTTTTCCCTTCTTTTGGGTGCACACCTGGGGTAGAATTGCTAGGTCATATGGTAATTCTACATTTAATTTTTTAAGAAACTGCCTCTATTTCATTTTGAGATAGGTACATGAAGCACTTAGCACTGTGCCTGGCACAGAGTAGTAATAAGAACAATATTTATCATCATCAATGACATTTTCTAAGTGCCAGGTATTTTATATTTTACTTGTATTAACACATTTCATCCACATTACCATATGAGGTAGATGTTATTATTCCCACTTTATAGAGGGGGACTGAGGCCTGAGGAGTTTTAAGCAATTCATCCAACTTGTGTAGTAGCTGACCCAGGTAGAGTTAAGGCTGAGAGGGCAGAGGCAAGGTCCCAGGGAGGCCAGTTTCAGCTCAATGGGAGGATTTTCTCACTGTTAAAGGAGCTGCTTTCGCCAGTAGTGAGCACTTTGTCCCTGGAGGTGTGTGTCTAAGTAGGGCTAATTACTGAGCATGTCCTGAGTTGGGCAGTGTGATTCCTGGGGTATCTTCCAGCCCTGTTAGGACACACAACAACCAAAGTGGTCCCTGGGCTCCAGTAACTCAGAGTCAGAAGGAGGTGATGCCAGTCGCGGTGGCTCGTGCCTGTAATCCCAGCACTCTGGGAGACTGAAACAGGAGAATTGCTCAAGCCCAGGAGTTCAAGACCAGCGTGGGCAACATAGTGAGACCCTGTCTCTACAAAAAAATTTTTTTAAAAAAAGGAGGTGATGTGATGGAGAGTTTGGAGGACTTCTTGTCCCCAGTGAGCTCGGAGCTTTGAGTCAGGGAGCCTGGACCTGTGACTTGGTGAGGCCCCAGGGATTAGGCCAACCACAGGTCTGGGGTACCTGGCCCTGGGGCTGCTGCCTAGTCATTTCTGACTCAATTTTCCCAACTTTGCAGCCCGAGGAGGCAGAGAGAGTGAAGGCCCAGGTTCAGGCCCTGGGGCTGGCTGAAGCCCAGCCTATGGCTGTGGTACAGTCAGTGCCCGGGGCACACCCCGTGCCAGTGTACGCCTTCTCCATCAAAGGCCCTTCCTATGGAGAGGTAAGGTTCTCCCCAGCCCCAGCCTTCCCTCCTGAAGGCCTGAGTTCCACCAGGAAAGTGAGCTGGCACTGGGGTGGGAATCCAGGCCTTCATCAGATCAGCTCTTTGTGGGAAAGTGTTTGCTCAACGCCTTCTCTGTGCTCTCCCCTGTTCTTGGCTGCATGGTCAGGGAGCTTCCCATAAGCATGGCCCACTCCCAGCCCAGCAGGGGTGCTGAGACACTCAGGGTTGTCAGAGGCCAGCAGAGACTGGTGGACAGCAGATAGTACCAGCTTGGGAAGGCTTCCTGTCTGAAGAGAGACGTAATCTGCGTGGTTGAGAGCAGAGGAGAGGGGACAGCAGGAGCAAAAGGGTGGCCACAAGTCCCTGGCAGTCAGGGCAGGCTCTGCCCACTCACCCCTGCAGGCACCTGACCTGGCTCTGTGACTCCCTCTATGCAGGATGTCTCCAATACAACGACAGCCCAGAAGAGGAAGTGCAGCCAGACCCAGTGCCCCAGGAAGGTCATCAAGATGGAGTCTGAGGAGGGGAAGGAGGCAAGGTTGGCTCGGAGCTCCCCGGAGCAGCCCAGGCCCAGCACCTCCAAGGCAGTCTCACCACCCCACCTGGATGGACCGCCTAGCCCCAGGAGCCCCGTCATAGGAAGTGAGGTCTTCCTGCCCAACAGCAACCACGTGGCCAGTGGCGCCGGGGAGGCAGGTAGGGAGGTGGGTAGGGCAGTGGCCTGGGTGCTGCCCGCCAGGGTCTGGGCGGTGCCCCTCTTCTGTATTTTGGCCCCATCCAGAAAGCCCAAAGCCAACAGGAGTCCCTTATTCCCACTGAATAAGATAGGGAAAGTTCACAGTGTGCGTGGGGGTGAGAGTGGACACAGTTTACCATGTGTTTTGCCATGATTGAGGTGTGGGGAGCCTGACAGGCTAAAATGCACAGTTCTATGAGTCCTTTCTCCCAAACACTACTGTGCCTTTGCACAGGGCAGGTCTCCACAAGAAGTTTGTTGGCTGATGCCTAGCATACTCCCAGAGAGGGCTTGGGCATACCATAACAGGAAACTGGACTCCCCATGACCTTAACTCTGCTCTCTCAGTCTACACCCATCATTTCCCCAAGTGTTTCTGCAAAGGCCACCTACCTAAGTATCTCATTTGTCAGAGTTATCTTCTATGAACACTGCCAGGCAGGTAGTCAGTTGGGCAGGAGTTGAGGTCAACCCAGAGGAATCTGGAACAAGAGAGTTCTAAGGATCTGCTTCACCCAGAGTACAGCTTTGTTCCTCATTCTGACTGAGCCCTAGCCTTGGTCACACACTGAGCACTGACTGATATTCCTTACCCACAAATGCTATTGGTAATCGATGGGTTTTGATTAACTAAATGAAGCGTCTTTTAACTCTAGACATCCCAGCTCATGGAGCTGAGAATGGGGACAGTGTGCTTCTTTAGGATTGCAGAAGGTTCCAGACCAGGTAGCAGTTGTCAGGCCTCCTGTACAGGGGGCAAATTCTGAATTCTGGGCAGATAACTTAATTGAATATTCATAGATAAGGCACAGCAAGAAATTATGGAAACCCATTTGTGAATTACTCAAATCCAAATGCAAAGCAGAGTCACATTGGCACACACAGTGGCTGTTCCCGTCCCCCTGCAGGGCATCCGTTTCCCCCAGCCGACTGGCCTGCAAGGATTCCCATAGGTGCACACCCACACCCCTCCCAGCATGCATCCTAGGCAGTTCATAATGCATCTCCCCTTCCCCGTTTCAGAGGAACGCGTTGTGGTGATCAGCAGCTCGGAAGACTCAGATGCCGAAAACTCGGTGAGTGGCCCAGAAGTTCAGCCCAGGACTCCTGCCTCCCCCCATTTCAGGTCCCAGGGGGCACAGCCACAGCAGGTGACTCTCAGACTTGCCTTGCGCCTGGGGAATTTTCCAGTGAGGCATTGAGTCCCAAGCTGTGCTGAGGACAGTCTCCAAATGACAGCTGCATGCCTGGACCACCCCAGCCCTCCCACTACACCAGGGCCAGGAGCTCTTCTGAAATGCTGATAGCATGTGTCCAGAGCCCTGTCTCTTTTCTGGAATGTCCAAGACCTTTGTCTGGAGCTTCCTTATGCATTTTCTGTCCTCTAAGTCCTCAGTGAGGAGGGCTGGACAAGAATCCATTCCTTGGTTTATTACAGCCAGTGGGGGCCAGTGAAGGGGTGTCAGGCCACAGGGCAGCTATATAGGGGCCAAACAAGTGAGGTTTGACTCCATCCATGTAGAAAGATATATAAATCCATTCCACAGTGAAACAGGTGGCCTCGTGGGTAGTGACCCTTCTGTCCCTAGAGGTTTATTACTAGAGGCTGGACTATCACCTGTCCAGGGGAAAAGGGGATCTGAATAGAGTGAAAGGTTGGACTGGGTGGCCCCTGAGGTCTCTTCCAGCCCTCAGTCTGAGGTTCTGTATTGGAAAGTGCATGGAGCCCATGGAGACCGCCGAGCCACAGTCCTCGCCAGCCCACTCCTCGCCAGCCCACTCCTCGCCAGCCCACTCCTCGCCAGTCCAGTCTCTGCTGAGAGCACAAGGAGCCTCCAGCCTGCCCTGTGGCACATACCACCCCCCAGCTTGGCCTCCCCACCAGCCCGCTGAGCAGGCTGCCACCCCCGATGCTGAGCCTCACAGCGAGCCTCCTGATCACCAGGAGCGCCCTGCCGTCCACCGTGGGATCCGCTACCTGTTGTACAGAGCACAGAGAGCCATCCGCCTTCGCCATGCCCTCCGCTTGCACCCTCAATTGCATCGGGCCCCTATTCGGACTTGGTCTCCCCATGTGGTCCAAGCCAGCACTCCTGCCATCACAGGGCCCCTCAACCATCCTGCCAATGCCCAGGAACATCCTGCCCAGCTGCAAAGGGGCATCAGCCCACCCCACCGGATACGAGGGGCTGTGCGATCCCGCAGCCGCTCCCTCCGGGGCTCCTCCCATTTATCCCAGTGGCTCAACAACTTTTTTGCCCTCCCCTTCTCCTCCATGGCTTCCCAGCTTGACATGTCTTCCGTGGTGGGGGCAGGGGAAAGCAGAGCCCAGACTCTTGGAGCAGGTGTTCCCCCTGGGGACTCTGTCAGAGGCTCCATGGAGGCCTCTCAAGTCCAAGTGCCTCTGGAAGCCTCTCCAATTACATTCCCACCACCCTGTGCCCCAGAAAGGCCCCCCATCAGCCCAGTCCCAGGCGCCCGTCAAGCAGGCCTCTGAGAGTGCTACCCTTCTCTTGTAACCTTGCAGCCAACACCCCTGCCCGGCCCCTGAGCTGCCTCCTCCAGCCCATGCTCTTACAGGCCCTGCACAGAGTAGCACTCATTAATTCTTGGTTAAGGAATGAATCAACGAATGAATGGCTATGCATGGACCTCTGGGCAGGGAGACCTGGGTCTTCTCTGGCTGAGAGGGGAAGGCTAAGGCATGGCTGAGATTCAAGCCACCATTCCAGGCCTCTTTGCCCAAGAAAGAAACTTCTGTCACCCTTGCACTCTCCTGTATTCTGAGTCCCTGGCCAATAGCACAGCCTTCCATGCCCCGACCCCCACCCCAAGCCTCTCCACTAGGCCTCTGCCAGGATCTAAGCCCATGAGCACAGGGACTGGCTATCCCAAGACCTGGCAGATGTGGCTGCTCAATAAACACTTGTTGAACCATCACCCTTGCGAACCCTTATTCCACGACCATCGCGTTCTCCGATGGATCCAGCTCCTCCCTGCAGGCTGTTCTCTCTTCCCTATGCTGGAACTCAGTTCTCCTCTGGGGATACCATGTCCCCTCTTCCTCCCACACTCATGGGCATCAGAGGTGGGAGGTAGGGTCAAGGCCCCCTGCTTCCTGGACTGTTCCAGCCCCTTCCTGGCCGTCTGGTAAGATCCTCTGTCCCTCTCAGGGTGGGCCCCATGCTCCCCAGCTCATCCCAGACACCCACCTGCCCACCCTCATTGAGGGCAGACGTGAGCATTCACCTCCCAGATTTCTTCTCCCTGCTCAGGTCCTGCCTTCCTCCTGAGTGACTTCTATTTCCACCCACCTGCCCGCCACTCCTTAACCTCTCAGGGGTTGTCACCCCATTCCCCCAGACAGCTGCCTGCCCCGTGGCCGTGCCCTGCACCTTGCCATCACCGAGCACTGTCGGTCCCTCAGCCGGTCCTCTCAGACTCTGACCGCAGCCTCCTGTTCCTTGAGCTCTCAGTCCTACCTTCGCCTCCCTCCAGCCCCGCGCACTCCCCATTTCATCCCATCTTTCATCAGAATTGCAGCTCCCTGCCCAGCAGAAAATCCTGGAAGGACTCAGGAGCTTGTCGCCTCTGTGCTGCCACCTGGAGACCGAGATCTGCAGGAGAAAGGCCTGGGAAAACTATGAGTGGTTGCCTGTGACTGCTAAGGGCTCCTTGGTGCTCCGCCCAGCATGTCCTTTTGCTCTGCAGGGCAGCCCCCGCCTGCCTTTCTTCACTGGGCCCTTGTCCCAGCCTCACCCTCAGCTGATGGCGGCACCTTCTGCTCCAGGGAGAAAACAGGAGCTCTCCAATGGCATAGGGACAGTTGACATCTTGCTATTTACAGATCCCCATCGCACCCCTTCCCTGCCCTCGTTAGGGTGGAAGGGATGTCCACCTGCCTCCAGGACTCACCCTGTGTCCTGGCCCCAGCCCTTGACCCCCTGGGAGCCTCACTCCTCCTCCTCATCTCTCTTGCATCTTCTAATGTATCCACTGCCTTCTGAACTAAACACCCTGAATGAGGTCTTTCTCATCTCAGAAAACTCCACCCACTTCTCTCTCCAGCTGTCGGCTCCCCTTCCTCTGCTCTCCTTGTTTACACTTCAGCCCCCTCCTTGCCCCTTCTTCACCCCACCTCCTGCGCTTCCCCGCCAGTACCAGGGTGGCCTCTGTGCCTCTAGGTGCAGTGTCGCGTTTAGTCGTTATTATTCTTGACCGGCGCTGGGCCCGGTCTTTCCTGGAAAGATCGCCTGCTCGGATGCAGCTCTGGGCACTCCTCCCTCTCCTCTGCAGGCTCTGTTTTTTCTTGGTTGTGGTGCTCCTGCAGGTTTGCTGCTGGGCCCTTTCCTCTTTTCAGTCTGTGTATTCTCCCAGGTGCTCTCAGCCACGCCCCTGACTTCAGTTACTGCCCAGGGGTAGCTGATACCCAACACTCGCACCTGCCTGCCAGACCAGCATGGCCAGTGACCTTCCAACAGCTCCGCATGGATGCCCATAGGTACCTCAAACTCAGCACCTTCTCCTCCCGTCTCACTGGCTCGCCCCACTCTCTGCCCGGTTGCACAAGCCAAGACCCCATAGCCACCCAGGGCACCCCCCTTTTGATTATTCCTCACATCCAACCAGTTATTGAGTCTTGTCTTTCTAGGGTGTAAATTCCTCTGAAATCTGGGCACTTCTTTCCATCCCATAATCTTGGTAAAATTAAAGCTACCACTGACCCTGGGTAGAGGCAGAAGCCTGGGAAGGAAAGGTGGAGAACAGGTTTGGAGTGCCAACAGTGTCCCCAGATGTCATGGAGAATCAAGTAGAGGGACCCCAGCAATATTGGGGGTGGGGCGGGGAGTATGTAATGCTCAGCTATCAGCAAGGAGTCATTAGGGGCTATACAGTGAATTAAGGGAGGGGGTAAAAGCACATTTCAGGTGATGATGAATTAAATACCTAGGAGCTCACATTAGAGAGCAGGCCTAGAGACGTGGGGAGAGAGCCAGAGGACCGCTGCTTTTGTGTATGTAGCTTTAAGACACAGGTTTTAAAAATTGTTATAGGAGTCCCAAACTTTAGAAAATATATATTTTAAAACCCCAACAAATTAGGTCCCCCCTATGCATTTCTCACCCAACTTCTGGGCCCTTTCCAGACCCCTGGTGCCCCCAGAGTACACCCAGCACCACCACTGCAAATTCCTACTCCCCAGCTTGGAGGGGGTGGGGTGATATTCCCAAGGTGATCCCGGCTCCCACCTAACCCATCCTCCCCAGCTCTGCAGCTTATATCCAGCTTTGCAGTGAGGAAAGTTGCAGAATACTGGTCTGCTACATTACTACTTTCCAAGTGTATCAGGGCATTTAGGAACCCCTCCCTTGAGCTTCACCTGTGTCCTAGGGATTCAGTGAGAGACTGTTTGTGCAAGAAGGAGCGAGAGGCAGCAGGGCATAGTCATGGGGTGGAGCAGTGAGTCCCCCAGGCCTGGTTGTGGAGTACCTGGGGTGAGGACTTTGCTTAAAAACTGCCAGAGTGGGTCAGCAGTGCGCCTGCCCTGGGGCCCCTGCTTTAGGATCCAAAGTGGAAAAGATAGGTGTTTTCACCCACTCTTGTGACAGATTACTGGCTCCGGTGCCTTGGTGGCAGCAGCAACAGGAGGGGGCCAAGGTGAGGGGGCAGCCTGTGGCAGAAGTGGCAGTGGTGACGGCGGAGGAAGGGAGGCCTGTGGGGAATGGCTGATCCAGGGGAGGGGCCGTGGCACTGGTGAGTGTGCATCTGAGAAAATGAAACGGAGGTGCTGGCCAAGAGGCTGGAGCTAGGCAGAAGGGCAGCAGAGGCCACAGGCTGGCCGAGTTTATGGTCCAGTTCACTCATAACATGTGCAGTATTCCTGGGGTCTTTGAGGCTTTGCAAGAGCTGGGGTTTTGTGTCTGCAGAAAGATAGCAATGCATGTGTCTTGCCAAACTGATCCCAGCTGTAGCTGATGCTTAAGTGCTCAGAAAGTTCTTCAGGAGCTTGAGGGCTCTTGATAAGCATGAATGTCAGATGTTCTGTATCTTCCAGAGGCTGGATGCTGACTATCAGAGTTTGGCTTGTGTTTGGCTGATGAGCAAACCTGGAATGAATCAGTGATAAGGACAATTGTTCTCAAGCTGGCTGTACACTGGGGAGTTTTCCCAACTACAGATTCCTAGGTCCTACGCCCTGAGATTCTAATCGAATCAGTCTTGGGTGCAGCCTGGGCCTCAGTTTTTTCTTAAAGCTATGAATGCCTAACCAAAGTCAAGAACCACTGAATCGGGGGATTCATTGCATGTCTGTGGTAGAGGAATGCTGCTCATTTGTTTATAGATGTGGCAGTCTTGAATGCAGGTGACATTTTCATACCAGGGTGTAATACCGCAGAGGAGGGGAGAGGCTGGATCTTCCCTGATGTACCTCCTGGACTTTTGGAGTGTGATTACAATGCCAATCCAGCCACTTCCTCTGAGCATGCTTGGGACGACTGTTAGACCTGCTGTGTTGAGTTAGAATGCACTTGACCTGCTCAGGCCGTGAAATCTATGAGGAAGGGGAGTGAGATGGATGTAGCTCATGAGCCAGATTGCAGGTGTATCCAAGTTGCATGTATATCCTGAAAAAATCCTGGCTCTCACGAGGCTCAGCCTGAACACAGTTTTGCATTCAAAGAAACAATGTCCATTAACCAAGTATAATAAAGAAATAAATCCCAGTATTTACTTGCATCTTTTGAAAGAACATTAAAGGGAATCCAGCTCATAACCCCAGCAGCACTTCTTCAGTCCTTCTTCCCCTTTTCTTTGGCGCCTGGCATCTCTCACTGCATAGCAAAGCTTTCCCCCTTGATTCCCGGTCCTCACACGCAGGCTCAAGGCTCTGTTTCCCATCTTCTTTCTTCTGTCCCCCTTCCTTTTCTCTTCCAAGCAAATCTAAGTCTTTTCCAGTGACTGTCCCTCTCTATGCTCCCCCGACACCCAGTTATCCTAATTTGCGGAATAAGGCCAAGGTGTGGGGCCTGGGGGCAGAATGGGAGAGTCTCCCCTAGTGAGCAGGGAGGGGAGTATGTTCTGCACCAGGCCACTATGTCTGATGGCCCTGCTGGCAAACCTGAGTCTTTCAGAAAGTCTTGTTTAAATGCGTCAGCACTCCCCAGCTGTGATGCTGGAGTTTAAGGCGGAGCAGGGGAGAATTCTGGGTTTACAGCTGGCTGGAGTTCCAGTGAGACCAGCTCCATGGGTGGCCATACTTTATGGAAGTCCCCAAGGGCAAGAGGAATTTTGGAGGAAGTGAGTCAGGGCTGAAAGGTCCAGCCTCTCCTCCATTAACAAGCTTGGTGGAAAGGGGGTGTCCTTTTATTAAAGGAGACAGTAGAGGTTTCTTAGAGAAGGCAGCTCGAGTAAGTTTAGGACAAAGGACATTTCCCTGGCCCCGGGACAATGGAAGGCTCTAAAAACGAGGTTCTAGTGGCTGCCATAAATGACCCTGCTGTAACGATGGGAGGGGTGGCCTAAAGAGACAGTACTGTGGCTCTCCAGGGAGCTCTCCTCTTGGAAGAGCAGATCTGAAGGCGGGAAGACTGGTTCTAAGGCCGAGGACATTGCCCCGAGCTTTGTGGAGGCACTCAGGAACACAAAGGGGCATTTCCAGTTGGGTTTGGAGCAGGAAGAAGAACGAAAAAGAGAAAGTCCTGTGTGCCATGTCAGTGGGTGGCAGCATGGACTCAGCCTCAGCTATTGGCACCAAGGATCTGAACCAGGGAGGACCCAGAAGGGGAGCCCAGCCCCTCCACCAGCTTGTGGGAGAGCGCTGCTGCCCAGTGAAGCCTGGAGAGAGGAAACAACTGGATTCTCCCAAAGCGGGAGAAGGTGGAGTCTCCAGCCACCCAGCTACAAGCTAGGAAGACGCCTTGTAGAAGGCTCCTTACAGGGAGGAAACCGAGTTGGAAAGGCGAGACAGCAGTGTGGGCTCACCCGGAGCAAGACGTGTGAAATCAGCTTTTGACAGCGTGGCTGAATGAGGATCTGGAGATGCGAGGCGCTGGGCAGACTCTCTGACTAGATCCCTGGATATGAAGAGGCAAAGCCAGCTCTAGATGGATTCATAGTGAGTGTCTGCTTCTGACAATAACTGGCAGAAAGCTGATGAGCCTGGAGCAGGGCTGTGAAATGCAAATCCAGTGAAATCCAGCCACTCCTACAAAAACCCACCACATCTTAGGTTACTTGTGGGTGGAAACGCTTTTTCTCTCAGTTGAAGCTTGGTTGGAAGCAGATGTTTCACTTGGGCATTGGAAGGGTCTGGGGAAATGTGCTGCCTCCTAGGCCAGGGACATTAGCCAGAGGCCAGAATTAACTGAGGCTTTAGCACCAGGTGACACCAACTTCATTGAGAAGCCAGCGGCAGTCCATAAAGAGGAAAAACCCAAGGCCTGCCCTGGACTCTGTCCCAGCCATGCTCCCAATTGGCCCTGTGATCCTGTCCATGTCTCTTCCTTGCTGGTCTCTGGCTAACGTCCACAGGTGGCATTCATGGGAGGTTCCAAGTTGGTCATCAAAGACTAAACATCTGGGCTTGGCAGCTGAGCAGATGATAAGCAATTAACTCTGTATTACCATCAGAGGCTCCACCTCCCTCTGTAGTCCCAGTCCCTTGGGAAAATCTCAGAGCTGGAGCCCTTCCCTCATCCTCTGGCTCCCCACCCCATGGCTTCTCGAACAGTGTTCCCACCAGGACCTTGGGACAGGAGAGAACGCCTCACCTGAAGGACTCCCAAAACTCAGGTTTCTCTAAGCTGCTGGGGCAGATGCCAAGAGCCTCCACTGCTCTCTCACTGCCAAGGACCTGGGTGTCCACCTAGATGTGGCCTTCAGGAGGCCAAGCAGTCCTTCCCCTCGCCTTTGTGTAGGACACTGGCACCTCGGCTGACTTCGGGGACAAGAAAAGGCAGGCTCCCGACCCCTTCCAAAGAATCATCTGGGGTTCAAGATGAGGCTTCTTTCTCCCGTCCCAAGTTTTGGTGTTTCTTCTGAGTCTGCTCAGAAAGATGAAATTAGGAGCAGACATCTCAGGTCCTGCCTGCCATAGCAGATGGCTCCTTCCCTGAGCCTCCATAAGCAGCACAGCACACTCATGCACACACCCACTGGCATTTTCTCTCACACTTTCATACACTTGTGTCAACGCAGGTTCACAGCTCACACTTAACTGTGCATGCACACACAGATTTAGCACTTGGATTCATTCCCACACATGCACGTTCACAACCTGTGTGTGTCACCCTTCCTCCCCTACTCATGAGGGTGTATGCCCTGGTTCATACATGTAACCCTCACATGTGACACACCCAGTTCACACCCATTCATGCACACATACCTTCTCTTGTGCACACGTCCCCTTTCCCAGTGGTACACCCTCCTTCATGTGCACGCAGATGCTCCCAGCTATACCAGCTTGCTAGTGTTCTGCACAGGTGCTTGCCTTGGCCCTCTGAATCCCTGACGCTTGGTTTTTCTGTGTTGCAGTCCTCCCGAGAGCTGGATGACAGCAGCAGTGAGTCCAGTGACCTCCAGCTGGAAGGCCCCAGCACCCTCAGGGTCCTGGACGAGAACCTTGCTGACCCCCAAGCAGAAGACAGACCTCTGGTTTTCTTTGACCTCAAGATTGACAATGAAAGTGGGTTCTCCTGGGGCTACCCCCACCCCTTTCTAATTTAGTCTCTGAGTCCCAAAAAGAAGTGCAGGCAGAGCCATCTGCCAGGCCCAGGAGAGCTCTGAGCTCTGGCCAACAACTGCAGCCAGGCTGGGCAGAGCACTCCGGCTCACCTGGGCTCCTGGCGTGTCATTTGCTGGCTTGAATAAAGATGTCCGCCTTATCCAGTGCCTGAGTGTGCGAGAGAGGCAGATGCCTCCACAAGTGCACCTCTGACCAGTTCTTCTCTCAGACAGAGAGCCTGGGGAACACACTCCTAGACAGAAACACAATGCGTGAGCTCATTGCCGTGAGCCCTGTCATCCAAGTAAGGCCTCTGGCTGTGCTACACGTTTCTGAGTAGAGGGCCAATCCCACAGGTGGCTGCACAGGGCTGCCCACAGATCCAAGGTCACAGAGGGATCAGACCCCTTATCCTGGAAGCCCCTCTACTTCCTCCAGTGCTTGCCCTGGCTCTGCAAATGCCCCTCCTTGAGCCAGAGCCCCAGGCCCTACCCTGTGGCATGGACTCAACATTGGGGCTAGCCCAGCCAGACAGAAACAGCAAGTGTTTTCATGGTACAGAAAAGTCATTTGCAGACCTCAGTGGGAGGCTCTTGGCCTTGCTCTGAGTGGAGTGCTTTCTATGTCCCAGGGCTCTGACTGGGCTGGGGTCCTTGAGGGGATTGGAGGAAGGAGCATGGGATGGAGAGCTAAGTTCAAGCAGCCTGGGATCTCTAGTATAGGTGGCTGAGGCTGATAGAAGACAGGAGGGACCTGTATCCATGGGGTTTGGCCAACTCTGGGGCCGGTAGTGGAGGAGGGGAGAGCTGGATCCCCAGCTGGTGAACAAAGTGTTTGGAGGGCAGCCGAGCCTCCCCTTCTGACTGCTATCCCACCACAACCAGGATCAGAGCTGCATTTGGGGGCTGATGTGTGGCTACTGCCAGCAGACCCCAAGGTGAGGTCTCTAGATGGTGAGTCAGCAGCCCTAGAGGACCCCCTGCTCCCACCCCAGAGCTCTCTGTGACCCTGGGTCCTCACCCTGCCCTTCTCTCCTGCCCAGCCCAGAAGATTAGCCAGCTGGCTGCGGTGAACCGGGAAAGCAAGTTCCGCGTGGTCATCCAGCCTGAAGCCTTCTTCAGCATCTACTCCAAGGCCGTGTCCCTGGAGGTGGGGCTGCAGCACTTCCTCAGCTTTCTGAGCTCCATGCGCCGCCCTATCTTGGCCTGCTACAAGCTGTGGGGGCCTGGCCTCCCAAACTTCTTCCGGGCCCTGGAGGACATTAACAGGCTGTGGGAATTCCAGGAGGCCATCTCGGGCTTCCTGGCTGCCCTGCCTCTCATCCGGGAGCGTGTGCCCGGGGCCAGCAGCTTCAAACTCAAGAACCTGGCCCAGACCTACCTGGCGAGAAACATGAGCGAGCGCAGCGCCATGGCTGCCGTGCTGGCCATGCGTGACCTGTGCCGCCTCCTCGAGGTCTCCCCGGGCCCCCAGCTGGCCCAGCATGTCTACCCCTTCAGTAGCCTGCAGTGCTTTGCCTCCCTGCAGCCCCTGGTGCAGGCAGCTGTGCTGCCCCGGGCTGAGGCCCGCCTCCTGGCCCTACACAACGTGAGCTTCATGGAGCTGCTGAGTGCACACCGCCGTGACCGGCAGGGGGGCCTGAAGAAGTACAGCCGCTATCTAAGCCTGCAGACCACCACGTTGCCCCCTGCCCAGCCTGCTTTCAACCTGCAGGCTCTGGGCACCTACTTTGAAGGCCTGTTGGAGGGTCCGGCGCTGGCACGGGCAGAAGGAGTCTCCACCCCACTTGCTGGCCGTGGCTTGGCAGAGAGGGCCTCCCAGCAGAGCTGAGAGGAGGGGGTGACCAGCTTGGAGTCTCTGGTGGGCAGAGAGGGATGGGGTCCCTGAGCCAGGCCCCACCCATCACAGCATTCCCAGGTCCTGGTACCCAGCCCTCAGTTGTCATTTGGTTCAGAATCAGTTCCCTTTCTCTGGGACCAAATTTCCCTTCTCTAAACATCCTACAGAGAAGGTTCCAAAGCTGAGCACCCATCACCCTAGGTGTGCACCAGACTCCTATTAGCCCCTCCTTCCAGGAGCTAGAACCAGGGAGGTCCTGAGTGAGGAAGGCATGACCTCTGGGCTCTCTAGGTGGCCCTGGTCTTGCCCCATCCATCCCACCTGCCACTACCTTGGGTGTCCTTACAGCTCTGCCCTGACCCCAGCCCCTGCCCCTGGACACCTGCTGACAGCTCCCACACAGAACAGTCTGAGGTGATGCTGGCTACAGCCCTGGCAGCCCATGGCAACTCAAAGTGCCTTCCAAACCAAACTGCCCCTCATGAGGTTAGGGTCCCCCACCCTCCACCTGCCCAGAGGCCAACTCTGTTCCCTTCTCCTTTCATCCCAGAGGGGCCTCATCAGCAAAGACAGAAACTGATGTTCCATGCATGTCCCTGCTTCCAAAGCCTGACCTTCCAAAGCTTGCTTCCTTCCTCCTGGCTGCACAGACACCTCTGCTTGGCCACAGCTTTGCTCTTTGGTCCTCAGGCCACCAGACCCCTCACAGCATGGCCCTTGGCTCTTCCTGCACTGCCCTCACCCTCAGCCGTCCCAAGGAGTGCCCAGCACTACTCAGCATGTAGTCCAGGACCTGCGGCATCAGCATCCCCTGGGAGCTTCTTAGAAATGCAGACCTGTGGGCTCTACCACAGGCCTCTGGAATCAGAATCTTCAGGGTGGGGCCCAGCAGTCTGTGTTTTAACAGGTTCTCCCGGTGATGCTGGTGCATGCTCAAGTTTGAGAACCGCTGCTCTCATAGACTGCTCCTCCAAGGGGAAGCAGTGTGGAACAGCAGAGAAAGTCCCGTCCCTATCTCTGACTGTGCAGTGAGTGTGGCCTAGGAACAGGTCCCTTCCTAAGCTCTAGTGTCCCCATCTGTAAAATGGGCTGATTGGCCTCCACGGTCAGAGCGGCCATCTGGCTGTGCCATCCTGCATTTTTAGGAATGGAAAGCAGGCCTCTGAGGCAGTGGACAGGAAGACTTCTCATCCTTGAATTCTAGCTCCCATTCCAAACTGTTAGTCCCCAACCTTGTGGTCACATCAGAGGTCAACAGCAGAACAGAGGCAGGTCAGGGTTGTCCGCTCTGATTAGCAGAACGACAGCCCCTTCCTCCTCCTCCCTCCTTCCCATCCCTACTCATTAGCTCCCTGCTCCTGGGATGCTTCCCAAGCAGCCCAGGCCTCTAGCCTCCATGGCTGATGACCTCAGCTTTCACACTGGTGAAGTCTGTGTACCCATACTGCAGCCCCATCCCATGGGGCCCCTGAAGACCCACTGAGGAATTCCGTAGGGTCTTGTTCCCACGACCGGAGTGCTGGCTCTCACAGTGAATTTTGATGCATTTAAAATAAGATTCTGATGCCAGACTGTTAAAACAGGCGCTGGTTCTGAAGCACCGATGGAAACAGATTGATGCAGATGGAAGGAGGAAGGGAGACTGGGCCCACTGATTTCCAGCCCCACCATGTGTGCTGTTTTCAGATGTGATTGAGGGGTGTTCTGCCCTGCCTCCACTGTCACAGCCTTTAATAAAGATGTGAATCTTGAAAGCCTGATGCTCCAATCACAGACTCTGCTCAGCATCCCCAGAGGAACCACTGAGAAGCCTTTTGCCTGGATAGGAGGGGGCTCTCCCAGGCATAGGCTTGTGGCCACTTGCCCAGCACAACTGTGTTTTGTGGGGCGTCTTTTAGGACTTAGCAGAGCTGAGAGCCCTTTGTTGCTCAATGCTGTGAGCCTTAAGCATGTGAATCCCCCCACATGACAAGTGGGGAGACCCAGGGTAGGCTTTCCTTTGGATCATCTCCAAATGGGAGTGCCATGTGGCAGGAAAGAAGCACCGATTTCAAGAATTACTTCCTAGAGAAAGTCAGGAACTAGAGACCAGAGTCTGCAGGAACTTTGCCACTGCCCTTCACTGGCTAATCCTGTACTTCTCTCTGTGTTCCTTGAGTGACAGGTGGTAAAACCCTTAAAAAGGGAGGTGTGGGAGGCCCAGGACTTTGGTAACAGGTGATGAATGTGTTGTCTTGGCCATCACAGGTGGAGCTTCAGTTAGTACCCGAGGGATTCCCCTGGCACAAGCATTATAGGAATTAGTCCACCACTGGCGTGGGTGAGCAGCCAGGTAATGGGAATTGATCAGTGCCACCACCCTTGACCCCAACTACCATCCCAGATGCCCAGATTCCAGTCCTGGAGTTTTATTCTCTCAGCTTGATCCTTTGACCAAGAAGATCCAGTCCCAATATGTCACCTGTGCTTCATCTTTGGACTATATCTCAGGTGTTTACGTGTCAACTAATGGGAGCTTACTGGGTTAGAAGTCAGGACACTGAGTTTCAATCCTCACTTAGTAGTCTGTGGCCCTCTTTGGCACATTAACCTCCCTCCTTGATCCTCAGGCTGCACCTCTGGCAAATGGGAGAATGCGGCTCCTTTTGACTTCAAGGGATCTTTGTGGGAACCAATGAGAAAATGTGTGTGAAGATAGCTTTTTGGTATATTTTAAAAGTGCACAAATTTAAGATCTTACTGCTTTATAAAGTGCTTTATGAATTATAGGAAAATAAACACATTTTAGATCTTAGAAAAAAACAAAAAAACATGGGCTTGTCTTCAGGGTAGTAAAGAACAAGATCTGGGATGAACAAACAATTGTGGGGGTCCTGGGGTCTGAAGGAGCCAAGATCAAGGGGTCAACCATGGAGGGGCTGGACAGGAGGTGGCACTGTGCTCCCAGCACACCCAGATGGGACATTTCACTCACTGGGGCCCGGAGTAGACAACAAGCTTTCTATGTGGCAGCTCAGCGAAGCCCTGCTCCAGGGTCTCCTTCTGAGGCCTGAAGTCATTTAAAAATCTGCTTTGCCCCTAACCCCAACCTGGCTCTTAGCTCCAGCAGCTGTCACAGAGCCTGGTCAGGCTGTTTTCCCACCCTCTACTTCCCCTTGTCCTGGCCCATGTCCACCCTTCTCCCTGCCCATGTCCACCATTCTCCCTATCCCAGCCTCACTCTGACTCCTGGCCCCAACCCTGACCACTCTCCATGCCTCAGAGTCTCACCCTCAGCCTAGCCCTGCCAGCAGGCCCCATCTCCTCCTCTGACCTCAGCCTTGTCTCCGCCTCACACCCCAGGTGCCTCCAGCACCTAAGCCTAGAGTAAGGGGCTCCCTTCTCATCTTTCCTCACTCCTCACAATTAAGGAAACTCCATGGCTAGTGTGCATACCACCCGGGCTGGAATGCACCAAATGTCAAGTCAAAGGGGGTAGGACACAGGGAACCCTGCCTGGCGAGAAGGGGAGCTGAGCTAGGGCTGCTCCCGGACTCTGCCAGCAGAGGGCGCTGCAGCGCACCCCCCCTCCCCCCCCCCCCCCCCGCCACCCGGTGCCTGGCAACGGGCATGGGCCACGGTAGTGCTGGTGGTGCTGGTGGTTTAAGCTCAGGCAGCTCAGTCCTTTCTAAAGTGCTATGCGTGCTTCCTGTGGTATGGGAGATAACTGTAGATACGAGGCACGTGGAGAAACATTTTTTTAAAATGTTAAACCTTTTATATTTAGTTTAACATCTGTTAGAAACAATACAACCAGGCCATGCGCGGTGGCTCACACCTGTAATCCCAGCACTCACTTTGGGAGGCCGACGCGGGTGGTTCACTTGAGGTCAGGAGTTCGAGACCAGCCTGGCCAACATGGTGAAACCTGTCTCTACTAAAAATACAAAAATTTGCTGGGTGTGGTGGCCCGTGCCTGCAATCCCAGCTATTCGGGAAGCTCTGAAGCAGGAGAATTGCTTGAACCTGGGAAGAGGAGGTTGCAGTGAGCCGCGATTGTGCCACTGCACTCCAGCCTAGATGACAAGAGTGAAATTCCGTCTCAAAAAAAAAAAAAAAAAAAAAGGAAAAAGAAAAAAAGAAACAATACAACCAGCTCATCGAAAGTCTGATTTCTGGCCAGGTGTGATGGCTCACGCCTGTAATCCCAGCACTTTGGGAGGCCAAGGCAGGTGGATCATGAGGTCAGGAGATCAAGATCATCCTGGCTAACACAGTGAAACCCTCTCTCTACTAAAAATACAAAAAATTAACCGGGTGTGGTGGTGTGCACCTGTAGGCCCAGCTACTCGGGAGGCTGAGGCAGGAGAATTGTTTGAACCCGGGAGGCAGAGGCTGCAGTGAGCTGAGATTGTGCCACTGCACTCCAGCCTGGGCAACAGAGTGAGACACCATCTCAAAAAAAAAAAAAAATTGTGATTTCTGGGATCTAGTTGCTCAGAATGATGCTGAAGTGGAATTCTTTAAAGATCCACTTAGGACAAATAGTAAGTAACTCCACACTCGGAAGGGACACAGGTAGAGGAAAACTTATGACTGTGGAAGTGAATGGCCTGTTAATTTGGGGAAATACTGGGTTACCAGTGGACTTAGGGTGAGCTCCACAGCTAAGGATAGGGCCCAAGTTAGAACTGGGGTAAGGATGGGGTGGGCTTAGAATCGGGGTGAGGGTTAGAGCTAAAGTTCAGGGGAGGCCCCAGGTTAGGATTTGGGATTAGATCAGATGGAGGGGCACATTTGGTGCTTAAGGTTGAGAATAAACCTTAGGAATTAGGAATTGAGTTAGAATTGGGGTGAGTTAGGAATTTAGTTAGAAATGGAGTTAAAGTCACTCTTCAGGCCACAAGTCTTTGTGACTTTAGTAACTGAAAAGTCCATGGAACTGTGAACAGATGGGCAGGAGCTTCTCGACCCCCTAATAGGCACCCCAAGTTCAATCTGCCTTTTCCCCCAAATCCTCTTCTAGAAGCACCTGGCAGGGGCTCTGCCTGAGCTCACAACTCCAACAAGGTCAATGTACACCAATCGGATTGGAGGGACTGAGGAGTGGGCAATCCTGCCCAGGAGGGAGAGCATGGGACAACCAGGTAAGACAACTGGGTACCAGACACGATTTCACCATTTAGCACAAGTAACCTTTAATCTTCCCAACTGTCCTATGTGGTTACAGCCCATCTTCCTCCTACAGAGGAGCACAGCAGGGCAGCAAGGCTGAGTACCTCGTCAGGGTCATTAAACTTGTATGTGGCAGAGCTGGGATTTGCCTGCGGGGAGCCTGTGTCTAGACTGGCACCATCTGTGGCCTACATCATGGAGCGCATGGCCACGTGTTGGGGGACAGGCTGCCTGGTCTCTCCTTCTCTCCTTTCTGTGCTCTCCTGAGTTGTCAGTCTCAGGTGATGCAGAAGGCAGGTCTCTGGAAGCTACCCCCACCTTCTCATCCCTGTGCTTGAACTTTCATTTTAATTTTTTCATTTAGGGCAGTGTTTCTGGACCTTTTTATAATTATTATTATTGTCCTCTTAAGGAGCATTTTTAGCATCTTTTCCCAATTGTGCCTCCCTGTATGAAATTTTAATACCATAGATACACTGTACATTCCATAGGATTTTCTAGATACAAGATCGCATCATCTGCGAATAGAGATGGTTTTACTTCTTCCTTACATGGACATATGTATGGACTGTGAGCCTTTGGAGGGTCAGAAACCATGGTAATAGCCAAGATGGTCAACTGCCCTTCCTCCCCTGCCTTTTCATCCTCTGTGGGGTGATAATGCCTCTGTTGAGAATGCATGATTTAGGGTAAGGCCCCACCCCGTTACAATGTAGGTAAGAAGTGGTCACGGGAAGGAGTGGGTGGGATGCGGGCTGCACCTCTATGTGGGTGGAGACTAGGTGGGCCAGATGGAGGGAGATGGAAGGGAATGGAGATCCAGGTTTCTGAGAACACACTCGCCTGTAGTGGCCTTGGTCCTGGTCCCAGGCACAGGCACAGGCTGAGCCTGGGGCTAGGGGAGGAATGGGGCCAGTACCGTCACTTATTTTTGTCTCTGAATCCAGATGTCAGCTCCAGACCCGCTGGACCTGAATAAAGCAAATACCTGTGGAGACTCTGTTGAGAGAAGAGTCTAGAATTTCAACAGATTCTCCCCATACTAAAAGCAAACAAACAAAAACAAAATGAAACAACCAAACAAACAAAAACAAAAAACAGGAAGTTTGGACGTCTCTGTTCACCCTTACAAAATGCATTTGCTGTCAAGTGAGGGGAAAATTCCTTCATTCTTGGCTCAAGGAACTTCCTTAAACTAAGACCAGCTGCCTGGACTGTGCTAAATTCAGTTTATAAATATTATAAATATCCCAAACTTGATAGCCAAGCACATTACAAAAGCTAGCTAGCTAACCGCAGAAATTTTCCAAAATGCTAGCCAGTCAGACAAGTATGAGATATTGTGAAATCCTGTGTTGCTTGTCTGATTTCCTGAAATCATTCCTCTCAGACTGAGTGCAGAAGGCCTGGGGGTGGAATTCAGGAGCACTGACTATCTCCTACAGTTCTAGAGCCTTAAAGCCCTGGCCGACCCCAGGGTGGATTGATTGCACAGTAAGTCAGACCAACCAGCTGGGCGCAGTGGCTCATGCCTGTAATCCCAGCACTTTGGGAGGCCGAGGCAAGTGGACCTAGGGTCATGAAGAAGGTGGAGGCACTGAGGCCCTGAGTGATTTTATAAAGAACACCTTAGCAAATATCCAGCACTATGGGTTCACCTTCACTCAGGACCCACAAAGCCCCACGTTCTGACAGATTTTGTTTATCAGACAAATTGCACTTAGTCATGCTTCATTCATTTTTCTCGGAGACTTCCCAGGTTACATAGACCTGAGATAATCTCCCCATCTCGCCGTCACCCCCCACGAAGTCACTCCATGTTTCTGTTTGCAATACAGTCTTACATGGATCAATATTAGATTTTCATGGTGCTCTTTGCATTTTGCAACTATTGCTTAAGCTGGAGACCCAAAACGAGCACTAGCTTTAGAGTCAAAGACTCCTGGATTCCAGTTTCAGCTGAGAGACTGTGAGCACATCGCCAGCCCACTCTGATCCTGTATCCTATTTGTACAATCACCTATTTCCCATCAATTGCAAGGCTGGAAAGAAAAGTGCCCACTCTGGCCAGTACACGGTAGGAGCTTAGTAAGCTTAAGCTCTCTTGCTTCCCCACTACCCTAAAGTGTTAGGGGAAAGACAGATGTGGGGAATGTCACCTGGGAAGCTCCAGCTGTATGCTTCACAATCCTACTGAGAGGTGACAGCCTGCTGGCAGCCCTGGCTCGCTCTCGGGCCTCCCCTGCCTTGGCTCCCACTTTGGCGGCACTTGAGGAGCCCTTCAGCCCGCCACTGCATGGTGGGAGCCCCTTCCTGGGCTGGCCGAGGCCAGAGCCGGCTCCCTCAGCTTGCGGGGAGGTGTGGAGGGAGAGGCGCAGGCAGGAACCGGGGCTGCGCGCGGCGCTTGTGGGCCAGCGCGAGTTCCGGGTGGGCATGGTCCGCAGGCCCAGCACTGGGAGCGGCCAGCGGGCCCCGCCAGCCCCCCGCAAGTGAGGGGCTTAGCACCTGGGCCAGCAGCTGCTGTGCTCGACTTCTCGCCAGGCCTTAGCTGCCTCCCCGCGGGGCAGGGATCTGGACCTGCAGCCCTCCACGCCTGAGCCTCCCCCCACCGCCCCGCTATGGGCTCCTGTGCGGCCGGAGCCTCCAGGACGAGCGCCACCCCCTGCTCCATGGCACCCAGTCCCATCGACCACCCAAGGGCTGAGGAGTGCCTGCGCACGGCGCGGGACTGGCAGGCAGCTCCACCTGCGGCCCCCGTGCGGGATCCACTGGGTGAAGCCAGCTGGGCTCCTAAGTCTGGTGGGGACTTGGAGAATCTTTATGTCTAGCTAAGGGATTGTAAATACACCAATCAGCACCCTGTCTCTAGCTCAAGGTTTGTAAACACACCAATCAGCACGCTGTGTCTAGCTCAGGGTTTGTGAATGCACCAATGGGCACTCTGTATCTAGTTACTCTGGTGGGGGCTTGGAGAACCTTTATGTCTAGCTAAGGGATTGTGAATGCACCAATCGGCACTCTGTATCTAGCTCAAGGTTTGTAAATGCACCAATCAGCACTCTGTGTCTAGCTCAGGGTTTGTAAATACACCAATCCACACTCTGTATCTAGCTAATCTAGTGGGGACATAGAGAACTTTTGTGTCTAGCTCAGGGATTGTAAACACACCAATCAGCACCCTGTCAAAACGGACCAATCAGCTCTCTGTAAAATGGACCAATCAGCAGGATGTGGGTAGGGCCAGGTAAGAGAATAAAAGCAGGCTGCCCCCCCCGCCCCCCCCCGCCCCAGCCAGCAGTGGCAATGATGCTTAGATTCCCTTTGACGTTGTGGGGGTTTGTTTTTTTTGGTCTTTGAAATAAATCTTGTTACCGCTTGCTTTTTCAGTTCACGGTGACTTTATGAGCTGTAAGGCTCACGGCGAAGGTCTGCAGCTTCACTTCGGAAGCCAGCGAGACCACCAACCCCCCTGGAGAAAGGAACAAGTCCAGAAGCACCACCTTAAGAGTTGTAGCACTCACGGCAAATGTCTGCAGCTTCATTCCTGAGCCAGCAAGACCACGAACCCCCCAGAAAGAACAAACGCCCACCACCAGAAGGAACAAACTCTGGACACGCCGCGAGGCGTGTAACTGTAACACACACCGCGAGGGTCTGTGGCTTTATTCTTTAAGTCAGTGAGACCAAGAACCCACCATTTCTGGACACAATGCCAATGAAAATTCTGAATTAGGCTTCAGTTTACCATCTACAAAATGAGACAGGACAGGAGTGGGTAGGAAGAGGAGCTTGGCTTTGTTAGTTTAAAGTGGGCTGGTCTGATTGTGTAACGCGGGCTTTTGTTGGCTCCAGCCAACTCCCCAGGCAGGGCTTCACTTGCTCTGAATGTCTTTTGGCCAAGTCCATGGCTGTCGAGGGTTGGGGTGGGGTGGGGAGGCGGCGTGGAGGATAGTGGGGTGGGGGTGGAGGAGGGTGGGGGTAGAGGGGGGTGGGGGTGGTGGAGAAGCAGTTCCCCCATGTAACCTGCAGGTGGCACCAGAGCAGCGCAGGATCGTGGGTTCCGCTCCAGCCTTCCAGGAGACCCAGGCAGGGCGTGGTAGGGCGAGGCAGAGGTGGTGCAGAGCGCTCAGCTGCGCAGCAGCATGAGCGTGACTACAGATCAGGCCGCACCGTTTAAAATGGATACATGGGTCTTCTGGCTAACTTCCTGTCTTTGGTAGGGTGATCATATGCTTTATCATCCAAATCCAGACACTTAAGAGAGTGAAAGGGGCACTATAATAATTGCACGAGGACAGCAGACATAACTTTAGCTGTACCTTGCAAACCAGAACATATGGTCACCCTACCCTCCGGTCACTTTTTCTTCTTTGTTTCCATTCTTTTAATTTTTTTCCCTTTTAAACACACAGCATTATCTTTCCCTGAGCACCATTGTCTTTGCAAATGCTCTTGCAATCGGGATATTTTTGACCTGGCAACATGCATATTCAGTCTGAACAGTCTCTCTGAACCTACCCCAAAACCTGGTTTTAGCTTCCAGGCAGAAGACTCTGTTCCCTGGCTTGCAACCCCCATGACTCAAGAATGAAAGATGTCAGAAGATGTCACAGGTGGGACAGTGGCTCTTATCTCAATTTTGGTGCCTCTTTGCTAAATGTATTCCTGTAATTTTTTTTTTTTTTTGAGACGGAGTCTCGCTCTGTCGTGCAGGCTGGAGTGCAATGGTGCAATCTCGGCTCACTGCAAGCTCTGCCTCCTGGTTTTATGCCATTCTCCTGCCTCAGCCTCCCAAGTATCTGGTACTATAGGCACGCGCCACCATGCCTGGTTAATTTTTGTATTTTTAGTAGAGACGGGGCTTCACCACGTTGGCCAGGCTGGTCAGAAACTCCTGACCTCAGGTGATTTGCCCGCCTCAGCTTACTAAAGTGCTGGGATTACAGGCATGAGCCACTGTGCCCGGCCCTATTCCTGTAATTTTGTTCTGAGTGCTCATTTCCTTCGTCTCTTTTAATTTACGTATATTGGTTTATTGAATTGCAAGTAGACAAGTCCCATTAAGCAGGATTCTTGTATTTCCAAGATCATCTCATTACTCCATTCAACCCCAAATTAGCATGCCATTTATCCCCTTGTTTCTGAACCCTCTTCACTTAATAGTCTTGAAAACATCCATCCATTGCAAAAAGGACTCGAACTGTTTTCACGTCCATTTTTAGTTGATTCATTGATATCCAAGTAATGATTTGTCTAGGGGAGTCATTAGTAGAGAACTGTGCCGTTAAATTTAGTTTTATAGTTGGATTCTGCTAGTTAATATCTCTCTCTTGTCATTCTCACATTGCAACAAATGACTATGGTTCCTGTCTTAACCTAAAATCCAGGTTAGAAATTTGGTTTTATCTGAATAAGATATTAATAGATAATGTGAGAAAAATAATTTACTGAAACTTTTCTCAGCTAAGAATGACACTCGTCGTCATTAAGCAAGTGGAAAATTGGGCTATAAATATATAAACTCTTAAAATATTATGTTTAGAGACAAGGTATTCCTTTTTTTTTTTTTTTTTTTTTTTTTTTTTTAGTAAAGCATATTTGCTATGGTTGGAATGATTGTGTCTCCTTTAAAATTCATACTGGAACTTAATCCCCAATGTGATAGAATTAAGAGGTGGAGTCTAGGAGATGACTAAGCTGTAAGGGAGGAGCCCCCTCATGAATGGGGTTAGTGACCTTATGAAAGGGCTTGAGGGAACTACCTAGCTCTGTTTTCTTTTGTTTTTCTGTCCTTTCCACCATGTTAGGACACTGTTCAAGGTGCCATCTTGGAAGCAGGAGCAGCCCTTGCGAGACTACAAGCCTGCTGGCCCCTTGATCTTGGACTTCTCAGACACCAAAACTGTGAGAAACACATTTTTTTTCTTTACCCGTTACCCAGTCTCAGATATTTTGTTATAACACCACAAATGGACTAAGACAGTATCTTACATACAGTGAGGTGCATATACCTAAAGTTACAACTTTGTACTATCGTTTTTTGGTTTGTTTTTTGTTTTTGAGATGGAGTCTTGCTCTGTTGCCCAGACTGGAGTGCAGTGGCAAGATCTTGGCTCACTGCAACCTCTGCCTCCCGGGTTCAAGTGATTCTCCAGCCTCAGCCTCCTGAGTAGCTGGGATTATAGGCGCCTGCCACCACGCCTGGCTAATTTTTGTATGGTAGTAGAGATGGGGTTTCACCATGTTGACCAGGCTGGTCTTGAACTCCTGACCTCAAGTGATCCACCTGCCTAGGCCTCCCAAAGTGCTGGGATTACAGGTGTGAGTCACCACGCCCAGTCAACTCAATAGTATTTACATATGTGCACACTCATGTAACCAACACTCAGCTCAAGATACAGGATGTTCCCATCAGCACAGAGGGCTCCCTCTTGCCCCTTCTCAGTTGCTGTCCCCTCACAGTTAACCAGGATCCTGACCTCTGTCACCATGGATTAGTTTTGCCTGTTCTTGAACTTCATATAAATGGGATCATTCAGTATGTGCGCGTTTGTGGCTGGCTTCTTTCATTCAACAGAATCCTGTGAGATTTAGCCACGTTTTGGGTACTGGTAGCTGTTTATTTTTCTGGTTGTGTAGTTTTCCATATTTCATTTATTACCCTTCTATTTTTGTCTCTAACTCAGTGTCTTTTGGGGCCTATTGGTCCTTTTTAGCTAGATTGATACTAAGCGTCTTCTTATCAGTGGAGCTTAGGACATTTTAGAAGATGAAAGCCTAATAACCCCAAGCCCCCCAATCTTAAGCCAAGTTTCCTCCTCACGCCTGCTTCAGTTGCTCTTCTTCATGTGGTATTTTTTCCCTCACAAAACTGATGGAAATTAAGAAACCCAAAAGCTCTTCATCATGTTATCAGCTTAGGGACGCTTGTCATCTGAATAACAGGGTAGATATTTATCATCTGAAATGTTAAAATAACTAGAGCAAACACTTATATAGCACTGACTGCTGTTCACAGTGCTTTACATATATTATTTTCCTCAAAACAGCTCTGTGAAATAGACACTATTATTGTCATTCCCACATTTTAGATGGGGAAATGGAGGCACAGAGAGACCATGTAACCTTGCCAAGGTGGTAGGGCCAGGACTTGAACCTGTTTTCTGGTTTTAGAGCCTGCACCCTTCACCACCACACCATATTGTGTAGCATGATACTTCATGTGGTTAAAGTGTTTTCTTCTATTTACCTGGGAGCATTTTCTGAATAATTTGAATCTTATAAATTTGCTTCAAAGAATACAAGTAAATCAAAATGGAAGATCTGATACAGAATGTGTAGCATTCATGAATAAATTATAGGACTCTCTGGTTTTAAATAATAATCATTTGCTTCCCTTGTGACTTTTGTCAGGCAGGGCTGTAATGCGCTCACCTCATTTTCCTTCTCTTCAATGGGAGGAGATGGGCTCAGAGACAGGCACAATTTATCGTAAAATCTGATCACACTTTCCCTCACCATCTGGAAGCTGGAGGTAGGTTTGTGAAATCTTAATTGAGAAAGAGTTGAATGCTGCTTGTAGCATAGTGAGTTTAAAAAAGGTGGTTTTTCTCCCCAATTCTGTTGCACAGGGCCCTGTGAGTTTTGGCAATTAACATATGTGGCCAACAGTTTTCTCACAAAGATTATCAGGGTTCTAGAGGAAATTATCTTCCAGTTTTAATCTGCTGCTTAAGTGCTATATTTCTTTATAGATGAACTAATTAATTCTTGGTCACTTGTTTTTATTAGACATTTCTCTGCCTCTGTACGCTGTGCTTTGTCTCTTTATGCCCAGCCCCGGGTTTTATCTTCTAACTGCAAGAAAAAGGTCATTGAAATTTTCTCTCTCTCTCAAACTCCTGGGTTCAAGTGATCTTCCCCTGTCTGCCTCCTGAGTAGCTGGCATTACAGGTGTACACCACTGTACACACACACACACACACACACACACACACACAAACATGCATATACACACACAGACATCCAAATGTATACACACAGAGACATACACATATCCACACATACTCATTAGATATACATTTACACAAACACACACGTGCACACACACATATACACACCTTGTTTCCATCATCTTCTCAGGACTCGGGGCTCTCAGAGAGTGGAAAGAGTCTCATACCATGAGTCCAGGATCAACTGTGCAACCTTGCCCAAGCATCTTCCCTCTTGAGATCTTGTTTATAATAATAAACATCCTTACCCACCAATTAGGGTTATTTTGAAGATAGAAAGGATAACAGGGTGATGGCATGTTGTATAGTTTCAAATAAAAGTTAACATTGACCAAAAAAGAGGTCTGGCCTTTGTCCTAGACTCCTGGGACGTAACTGTCAACATGTAATACCTGATAGGAATATGTTTGCGTGGGGATCTTAACTCATGATGGCTGGTCTAATAATAATAGTTAGGGTGGGGACTAGCCAGGCCAGGAAAAGCAACTAAGTGATTTAGAGTCTGGGCTTTAGGTCATCCCTGGAAGGACAGGAGACTGGAAACTGAGAGCAGCCACATGGACAATCAAGCATGCCTCTGTGATGAAGTTCCAGTAAAAACCCTGAACACTGAGGCTTGAGGGAGCCTCACTGGCTGGGAATACTCCATGTGTATTGGCACATAGCAAAGCTGGGAAGGCAGTGCACTCTGACTGCATGGGGAAGGGATAATGGACACTCTGTGCATGGTACCCTCCTGGACTCAGCCCTATGCCTGGTGCCCTCCTGGACTCAGCCCTATGCCTTTCTTCCCCTGGCTGATTTTAATCTGTATCCTTTCCATGTAATCAAACCACAGCTATAAGTATAATAGATCTCTGTGAGTTGTAGCCAGTTCTTAGAGGTAACCAAGCAGAGTTGATCTACTGCCTGCTTGAAAAAGCTATTTAAAAATCCCTAAACCAAAGAAGACCAGATCCCTCATGAATCTGACCCAGGAGGTTTTGAAGCCAAAGCTGAGGGCATTTGAAGCCAAAGCCTGGCTAGACAGAGATAAGGCTCCTGGGAGGGAACAGGTGCAGTCCTGCTCAGGCTGCAGTGTCCCCGGGCTACAGCTGGACAAGGGCTCCCTCTGGGTCACAGCCTCTAGGGACAGAGTTTGGGGCAGGTCGACTGATGTGTAGGACTCTGGTGATGAACTCAACTGGGAAACTCTGTGGTAATGGGAAGAGAATGGTTTTGCTTTTCCAAATCATCTACCCGCTGCATGCTTGGATCCACATGGGAACTCAGTGTGGAAACTACATTTGAACAGCCTAAGCCTGAACTCTGGGCCATGTGTCCAGTTTCCTGGCCTCCAGCTTTGTTCACCCCTTATCCCCACCCATCACTGATGCCAGATCCATCCTCCCAAATGTCCTTTCATCATGTTACCCTCCTCACCACCTCATGGCATCTTCTACACAACAGGAAATGCCTCCCACCTCAGCCTGGCATTCAAGGTTCTTTTGATGTGGCCGCCACTCACCACCGCACCACATCTCCCTGTGGGCCCTGCCAACTTGGATCAATTTTTCCTATCCATGAGCTGAACTTTCCCACCTCCATACTGTTGCTTACACTGTGACCTTCCTGTGCGTGTTCTTTTCCTCCCTCTTCCCAAGTCCAAATGCTATAGACTGAATTGTGTCTCCCAAAAGTTCATACTTGGAGCCCTAACCCACTATATGATTGTATTTGGAAACAGGGCTCTTAGGAGGTAAAGTTAAGTGAGGGAGGAGGGGCAGAGCAAGATGGCTGAACAGTAGTCTCTACCAATCATTCCCCCTGTGAGGTGGCTGGCTTCAGGTGAGACCCAGCACATTCCCAGCTATGGTGGCTGTGGTGAGAGATTTCTTCTGCTTGAGAAAAGCAGAGGGAAAGGTAAAAGGGACTTTGTTTTGCAGCTTAGGTACCTGTCTGGCCACAATGGGGTAGAAAGCACCAAATGGGCTCTTGTGGTCACTGATTCTAGGCCTTGGCTCTTAGACAGCATTTCTGGACCTGCCCTGAGACAGAGGGGAGCCCACTGCCCTGAAGGGTGAGCCCCAGGCCTGGAAGTGGGCTTAAGAGCCCATGGGCCCTAAGAGAACATCGACAGTAGCCTGGCAGCACTCCCTGTGCACCTGTGGTGGTGGCCACAGGGTGAGGCTCCTCTGCCTGTGGAAAGGGAAAGGCAGAGTGGGAAGGACTTTGTCTCATGGTTTCAGTGTCAGCTCAGCCACCTTAGAATAAAGCACCAGGTAAATTTCTAAGGTTTTTGACCCCAGACAGCATCTCTGGACCCGCCAGGGCCTGAGGAAACTCGTTGCCCTGAAGAGAAAGACAAGCCTGGCTGGCTTTGCCACATGCTGACGGTAGAGCCCCAGGGCCTCGAGTGAACATAGACGATAGCCAGGTAGTGTTGACAGTGGGCCCTGAGTGAGACCCAGTGCTTTGCTGGCTTTAGGTCTGACCCAGTGCAGTCCCAGTGGTGGTGGCCATAGGGATGTTGTGTCAGCTCACCCCCAGCTCCAAGTGGCTCAGCAGAGAGAGAGGGAGGGAGGAAGACAGAGAGAGAGACAGAGACAGAGACTGTTTTTGGAGAGAAACTACAGGTAAAGAATAAGAGTCTCTATTGCCTGGTAGCCCAGAGAATTCTTCCAGATCTTATCCGAGACTACCAAGGCAGTTCCTCTATGAGTCTGCAAGAACCATAGCATAACTGGGCTTGGAGTGTATCTAATAAAGATACAGTTGAGATCACAACACCCACATCCTTTCAAATACCTGGAAAGCCTTCCCAAGGGTGGGTACAAACAAGCCCAGGCTGAGAAGATGGTGGCAGCTTGAAATCAGCCATGGAAGATTTGCACCATGGAAATGGCAAACACTACAGAACAGACTTCTGTTCCCTCCCCGACAGAGAGCCCCTTGTGTAACAACAGCACTCCACTGCCCCATCCCTGAGCAGAGCGCTGTGTGTTGCAGCAGAGTGGGGGCAGGTGTCTTCTCCCTTGGGCTACAGAATACACATTTTTTTTCCCTCAGCACATGGATCATTCTCAAGGATAGACCATATCTTAGGTCACACAACATGTCTTAAAACATTAGAAAAAAATGAAATAATATCAAATATCTTCTCTGATCACAATGGAATAAAACTAGAAGTTAGTAACAGGAGAAATGTTGGAAACTATACAACCACATGGAGATGAAATAATATGCTCTGGAATGACCAGTGGGTCAATGAAGAAATTAAGAAGGAAATTGAAACATTTCTTAAATGATAATGGAAACACAACATGCCAGAACCTATGGGATACGACAAAAGCAGTACTAAGAGGGAACTTTATGGCTATAAACACCTACTTTTAAAAAGTTGAAAAGCATCAAATAAACAACAATGCACCTTAAAGAAATAGAAAAGCAAGAACAAAGCAAACGCAAAATTACTAGAAGAAAAGAAATAATAAAGATCAGAGCAGAAATAAATGAAATTGAAATGAAGAAAAAGCATCAATGAAAAGAATAGTTGGGTTTTGGAAGAGATAAATAATGTTGACAAACTTTTAGCCTAAGTAAGACTAAGACAAAAAGAAGACACAAGTGAATAAAATCTAAGATGAAAAAGGAAAATTACAACTGATACCGCAAAAATTCACAGGCTCACTAGTGGCTGTTATAAGCAATGTATGCAAAGAAATAGGAAAACCTACTAAAAATGGATACATTTCTAGACACATCCAGCCTGCCAAGATTGAACCGTGATGAAATCCAAAACCTGAACAGACCAATAAGAAATCATGACATCAAAGCGGTAATAAAAAGTCTCCCTGCGAAGAAAAGCCTGGGACCTGGTGCTTCACTGCTGAATTCTACCAAACATTAAAAGAAGAACTCATACCAACCTTACCCAAACTATTCCAAAACTAGAGGCCTTACCCAACTATTCCAAACTCATTCTACAAGGCTAGTATTACCCTGATACCAAAACCAAAGATACATCCAAAACAGAGAACTACAGGCCAATATCACTGATGAATATTGATGCAAAAATCCTCCACAAAATATTAGCAAATTGAATTCATCAACACATTAAAGTTGGGGTGCAGTGTCCCAGCTTCACTCAACCCTTCCCCTTTTCCTGTGATCCCAGGTGGCTGTGATCCCAGGTGGCAGCGGTGGCGGCAATGTTGGGGTGTGGGCCTCCCAGGACAAGGGGAATGTGAGTGTGCCCTTCTCTTGCCTCCTGCCAGGCGTCTGTAACCTGGCACCAGCTCTGGCCAGGTCTTCAAGTAAGGGACCTGGAGATGTTCTTTTCCAATTTCTGGATTGGGAAATGGAGACAAATTCTGGGTACTAGAGTCAGAACTAAGATGAGGCTGAATCGGGAGAGTCTGGGGTCCTGAGAGGCCGAGACCTGAAACCCTCTAGATCGTGTGGGGAGCTGGGTGTGTGATCTGGCCAGTTGTTTCTCCCTGTGCCTCAATGTTCCAGGTACCCTTGGAGGGACTGAGATCCTGGGGATGCCTGGAGCCTGGCTGCATGGCCTGGCCGCCCTGATGCCCTCGTGCTCTCCATGGCAGGCCAGCAAGGCTGAGGAGAATGTCTCCGACAGCTTCATGCACTCCATGGACCCACAGCTGGAGCAGCAAATGGAGACCACTCAGAGCCTGGTGGACTCCTATGTGACCATTGTCAACAAGACCGTGTGGGACCTCATGGTTGGTCTCACGCCCAAGACCATCATGCACCTCATGATCAACAACGTGCATGCACCACCTCATGGGGGCAGGGGCTCCTGTAGCACTGGGGACACAGGTGGCCGTGTTGGCCTGGCAGAGATGACAACCAGCCCTATGGGACCAGGTGCAGGGAGAGGGGCACGGTCCAGACCAGAGCTGTCCCATAGAACTATAACGTGGGACTGGGCACAGTGGCCCATGCCTGTAATCCCAGCACTTTGGGAGGCCAAGGCGGAAGGATCGCTTGAGCCCAGGAGTTTGAGACCAGCCTGGGCAACATAGTGAGACCTGGTCTCTACAAAAAAATTTTAAAAATAGCTGGGCCTGGTGGTGGCACGTGCCTGTAATCCTAGCTACTCAACAGGCTAGCCTTGGAGGATCACTTTGAGCCAAGGAGGTTGAGGCTGCAGTGAGCAGTGATCTCACCCACTGTACTCCAGCCTGGTGACAGAGCGAGATCCTATCTCCAAAAATTAAAAACTGAGTAGACAGGTGTCCTGGTGGCATGATAGGTCCTGGGTCCCCTCCCAGATCTGTGACCTTGGGCAGGTGACTTTTCCTCTGGACCTCAGTGTCCCCATCTGAGTGAGAAAAAGCGGTGGGGAGGTGGGTCTTCGAGTCTAAGCAGTGTAGAAGCCGCATCTGAAAAGCCATACCCGGGGCTCCAAGTCCAGCGTACAGCCCCAGCAGGACCTGGCGGCGTGGCCAGGGTGGCACAGGCATCAGGTCCCAACCTCCTTCCCTCTTTGCCCACTCTCAGACCAAGGAGTTTATCTTCTCGGAGCTGCTGGCCAACCTGTACTTGCATGGGGACAAGAACATGCTGATGGAGGAGTCGGCAGAGCAGGCACAGCGGTCATGAACACAATCAGCACGCCCACGGGGGCCCATGGACAACTCCTGACTGCAGGTGCAGAGCATCCTACTGGATGCAGGTACCAGGGCTGGCCCCCACGGCCCCAAAGCCCCCCAGCCTCCATGGCTAAGACTGTGGGCTCTTGGAACAGGCTCCATGCCCAAGTTGGCAGATGTGGGTGCTCTCTAGAGTCCTCGGAGAGGGCAGAGAACTCATGGTTTATGGTGTAGGGGCTGGGAATGTGGAGGGCGTTGTGTGTGGGGCTGGACTCTGAGGCGGCCAGAGGCCTAGGAATGTCACCTGGGCACAACATAACTGTCGTGCAGTCTGAGTCATGCTGCCAGGGCAGGGTATCCAGTTCCCAGTCTGGGAGTGCCGAGAGCCAAATCCACTGTAGAGCAGGGGTGATAGTCAGGGTCCCACCTCCTCTATCTGTTGGCAATCCAGTGGTGATCCTGGATAAAATCTTGAGAGTCCCATACACATGGTCATCCCACAACACACCTCACAGGCCAGGCAGGAACACACAGCCCCCTTCCCTCCCTCCCAGGTACCACCATAGCTGCTAGCGTGTGACTGAAGGCAGGGTCCCTGGCCCCTGCTGAAACACTACCGCCAGCCAGCGGGCTCATTCACCTTGGCCTGTTGCTCTTAGGGGTCACCTGTGCTATTCAGCCAAGGAGACCACAGTCCCTGCTGGCCCAGCTGAGCTCCACATAGCCAGCCCACCCACCTCCCCTGCCACAGACTCTCCCTCTTCTGCTTTTCCCAGCAGGAGGGGCCCAGGCTCACCTATGCAACCTGCAGGCCCCCACAACCAGCTGAGGCTCCCCTCTTAGACTTATAAGTCTATGGCCAGTGGCATATGCCCTTCCTGCCTCCCCCAGGGTCCTTTCAGAGGGTCCTGGGCTTTCTGACCACCCAGAGGGGCCCCTGGCACACTCCAGTCCAGCCATCCCTTTTAGCTTCACCATCCTGGGTCAAGCAGTGTTCCTTTTCTATCAGGCCTGGTGGCTGTTGGGTGGGGCTCCCCAAGGTGAGAGGTGGCCTTGGGCCAGTGGGTTGGAAGGGAGGGGGCTGAGCATTGGTCTGAACTGTGGCTGCACTGCCTGGGTGCCGTGGGAGAGGCCAGTGTGTGTGGGCTGGGGAGGGCCGCCGCAGCCCCCAGGCACTACCTGTGAAGCTCCGGCTCCTCCCTCCATCTTCCTCCCCTTTTCCTTCCAGCCTCTCTTTTCCAGGAACCTTGCCACACCTGCACCTGCGTCCTCCCCTCCCCGGCCCTCCCACAGCTGCTGCAGCACGCCTGTGCTCTGTGCTTGCCTCACCAGCTCTCTGCTCACTTTTCTCTCTCCCGTTTTCTCTTTGCTTTCTCTCCAACTGCCAGGTGATCAGGTCAGGCAAGTCCATCCTGTCCTGAGAGCCCCAGGTTCCACTTTGACCTCTAAACAGATCCTCCTCTTCTCGGAGGCCTCCCTTTCCAAGCCTGCCTGGGCGGGTGTCCTGTGACTTGACAGTGGCTCCCCAGCCCCAAAGCCAGCCCCCTTCATCTGTGACTTAGTCTGTCGTAGTGGTGAGCTGACACATCCAGGTGTGACCCTTGCTGAAAACTTGTGCCCCCTCTGTGGTATGCCCCTGCCCTGTTCTATAAATATCTATAAATACTCATATGTATATATACCTACACATGGCTGACCGCCTCGCCTCTAGCACTGGGAATCTGTCACCGTGCTGTCCTTGTGGAGTCTTGTGGCCCAACAAGACGAAGGTCTCCCCTGACACTGCCCCTCCAAAGTGTGCCACCTCCAGTGAGCCTCCCTGTCATGTCCGGCCTGTGGACAGCCAGCCCCCGCCATCCCTCCCACCCCCCACCAAGAATGGGGGTGCTGTGCAGGCAGCTGTGTGGCCTGACAGTCTCTACCAGTCCTGCTGTCCCTCGGCTGAGAATCAAACCCATTTCTGGATGATGGGGAATGTGTCCTCTGCTAGCTGTGTTCTCTGTGGAGTGCAGGGGAGGGAAAAGGCCAAGCCATTTCTAGGGTGCTGTTGGGAGGAGTGAAAAGGCCACACACCCTTTCCAAGGGACACTTTTCCTGGAAAGCCCCTGGAGCTTAGCTGGCTTTTATCCTGCGAAGCCGGCTCTGGCCACTAGGGGGCAGGGCCATGAACTCAGCCTGGAGGAGCCTGCGGGGCAGCCAGCACTAACAGGCCACCAGGTACACTGGAGGGACAGACAGAACAGGCCACCGGGTGCAGACAGGCGAGGGAGGCAGGGGGATGGAACGGAAGATGCCTGGGGTGGAAGTCAGTGCCCTTGGGTGCTGGTATTTGTCTTCCCGGCCACTGCTACATCAGGCTTCTGAGGCTGTTGGCTGTCAGGGCGGGACTGTGCCCTATAGGCGCCATGGCAGTCCCTGTGAAATCCACCAGGTGTCACCAGGCAGCATACAGGTAACAGGCCTGGAAGGTCCCCAAGAGCCCAGCTGGACATGCTCAGACACTCTAGGGCTCCTCGTTCAGTGGCACAAACTCCAGGACCCAGTGAGGGACACGGGAATCCACCAGGCTGAGCAGTATGGCTAAATCCATTTACTCCAAAATGAAAAGCAAAATAAACGGGAGTCACATCACCAGGGAGCCACAACCCCATCCCCGCCTCCTTCCTCTGTCCTATGCTATCAATAAATAAGTTTCCCAGCCACAAATAGTGATTAGAACCTCCTCCTCATATGCCAGCTCCAACCTCCTCTAGGTACAATACAGGGGGTGGCCCTACCCCCTGGAATATACAAAATGTCACACAGATACTATATGTACACTGCGGAAGGGGGTCCACCCCAGCAGCCTGTGCCCTCACCTGCTCTACAGTTAGCCCCACTGTCCCGCCTCAGCTGCCTCTCTGAATAAGAAGATGGGAGCCCCCTGAGGGAAAAGTTGCTTCGGTGAGAGTAGGGAGGCCATGAGGCCTCCTCCAAACAAACCAGCTCTACCAGCCTCTGGCTCTTAAATAATAATCATCATCATCCAGAAATTTAAGGACTCAGCCCTGGTCAAGGTGGCAAAGGGTCTGTTTTTCTCCCCCCATTAGACAGGGGTCTTGTCTTGCTACCCTAATGGTAAAGGGGTGACTGGGAGGGGGTGGTAGGAGCATGGTAGGGACAGAGACTCCAGCCCCACTTCTCCAGGCTTATGCTGACAGGGGCCTGCTTTTATTTATTTTTATCCCATGACTTATTTTTTAATCCCATAATTTCTTTTTCATAATACTTTAAGCTTTTTTTTTTTTTTTTTTGAGATGGAGTCTTGCTCAGTCACCCTGGCTGGAGTGCAGTGGCGCGATCTTGGCTCACTGCAAGCTCCGCCTCCCAGGTTCACGCCTTTCTCTTGCCTCAGCCTCCCGAGTAGCTGGGACTACAGGCGCCCGCCACCACGCCCAGCTAATTTTTTTTTTTTTTTTTTTTTTTTTGTATTTTTAGTAGAGATGGGGTTTCACCATGTTAGCCAGGATGGTCTCGATCTCCTGACCTTGTGATCCACCCGCCTCGGCCTCCCAAAGTGCTGGGATTACAGGCGTGAGCCAGCAAGCCCGGCCCTTTTTTTAAGCTTTTCATAAAACTTTTACGTTTTTTCCACAACTTTTTTTGCCACAACCTTTCCACAACATTTTTTATCCTGTAACTTTTTCATCCCACAACCTTTTTTATCCCATAACTTTGGTTTGTGTTCTTCAAATAAACACACTTCATGGTTACATTAAAATTTTATAAAAATAAAAACCGATTATCTCATGCCAAGCGTGCCCAGCATTTGCACAGTCTCAATACCTTTAACACCACAGTTTTCAAGACACACAAAATTTTAAGGCAAAAACAGCACTTTGCAACAATTTAATAATTTATTACATTACAGTAGCATCACAGTAGCAGTGAATAATGCCACTTTAGGCAACAGTGTTTCAGTATTTCCATTATACATTCTGTTTACAAGAATTCATAAATTGGTAAAAGTCATTCTAAGAAAACTTGGCAAATAAAGCTTTGCATTGGAATTGGCATTTCTTTCTCTACTTTTCCTTCCCCCAGTTTCTTTCTTTTAAACTACAGTATTCATATTTTAAAATGTCTTAACTTATTTTAAAACTTAAGATAGCAGTTACATTTTTGAATAGTTATATTCTTTTAAAATGACTCTTTAAGATAAAGTTTTAGAGAAACTATTATGGATAGGACTGATTTACATTTTCACATTTTCTAAATATCAGCTTTGGTTTTAGAACTGACTTTTTTTCATTTCTGGAAAACCTATCAGATTTAATCAAATACTTTAAAAATGATTATATATTGCAATCTTTAAATCGGTTTTTAATTCTTTACTTCCTACAGAAATTCAAATTTATTCAGTTGAACCCACACTTTAAAATTCTATGTTTCTGATTAAACTCTACCCTTCTAATGTTGCCTTCTAAGCAAATTGAACGCTGCCTTATACTGAATGAGGAAGAGAACAAATACTTGGCTGAATGAGGTATTGCAAAGGACCACATGCACTTTGAAGAAAGACTTAAGTTGTTGTCATATGATTTACATGCTATTTAATTTTTCTTAAATATATGACAGAATACCTACACAAAGAGTGGTATTTCAGTTAATATAGTACATTCATTTTCCAGACTGACATTCAGCTTAAATATGCCGGTGTGTGATTTAATCCACAGGTACCTGATGAACACATTATTGTCAGATTGGTTGCAGGTGCTAAAGGCTAGCTGAAGATCATTCCTAGTCATTTATATTTATCAGGGTAAAAGTGAAGTGATTGAACTATAAAAATACCTTTGAAATAATTTATCAATGTATTAGGTAAACCCAGTTTCAGAATTATAAAGAAAAACTGTTAGACCAAATAAGGTGGCTAATTAACAGTGGTATGATTTCTAGCCCGAGGGTCTAAATTGGACTCAAACTGTCTTTAAACTGAACTCAAAGAATGCAAAAGTGGCAAGTTCAGAAAATAAAAGGCAAGAACAGGACTTGAAGTCCATTTTAAACCCTCGGGCTAGAAATCGTCCTACTGTTAATTAGCCACATTCGTTGGTCTAACAGTTTTTCTTTATAATTCTGGAACTGAGTTTATCTAATACATTGATAAATTCATACAATTTGGAAGAGTCAGTTGAAGTCACAAGGACTTAATATTTGCACTCTTTCACTGAATGCAGGCACATCTGTTATTCCATCTGTAAAATCGTATTATTGCTCTCCTATTAATGTCATATGTATAAAAGTATCATGAGGATGCCAAATGCTAAAAATGGAGATGGTCTAGTAACTAGAAATGCCCACCCCAGGGAGCGCACACACATCTCTCCCTGCATCCTAATACTGTGACGTATTTTGGAACACAGACATTAGAACTTCATGAACTTTTAGCTGTTGATTCTTTCCCAAGCATCTTAAAGTTATGATTTAGGCAATGTATGACTGAAATAATTCACTCATCACGTATAGGCACATTAACATAAATATGGCACAAAATATGCCTCTAACTGAAACTGAGAGGTATAAAAACATATTTCACTCTTTGTGAAGAACTTTGTGAGGAAACATAAGTCTGTCATTGTATAGACACTTTTTCTCATAATACTTGGACATTCACAAACATTAGATTGCACTGCAGCTTGTAAACATTTTAAGTTGCATAAACTTCGCCTTGATTTTCATGTGTAGTATAATACTGTCTACTAAAACTCCTTTTTGTTTCAACTAAGTACTCTCACATATATTGGTTTATAATAATGGTTGTTATTATTTTTAAAGTGTTTTCCATTCAAAGAAAAGAAGTAAATTCCTATGTCAGAGTAACTAATGTGGCTGAAGAATAGGTATTAGCCAGAGAGGTCTAGATGATAAAATCAATCTTCTAGCCTCAAAGAAGCTCCATGAACATAGAGGAAGGCCAGGTGTCACACAGCTTTCCTTCACTCGAATTCATTCTTGACTAGAGCCTGTATGCCTCTTCCAGGGACATTTAAACTCTTAAAGGATTTCTTATGATCTTCACTAAATACCTTAAGAAGAATGCCAACCAGTGCCCTTTTGTGTACTGGGACATATACTCGTGATTAAAACAGGTAACATGAACTCTGACTTTAAAATGTATTGTAGATATAAATGCTCTAAGCTAGAAAAGGTTTTCCACATCCACAGTCAATGATGGGAGCCTTTCATTCCTCAGAAATAATCCCTTTTTAGGTCATCAAGAAAGGGTACAACTGCTGCAGCTCATGATGCAATATCTTCATGAGCCCAGAGCACATACAAATCCTAAGGGAACTACCATAGTACAGCGCTCATTCTTGGCACCAGAACAAATGAAACACACTCTATCCTGCACACACCTGCCAGAGCAGGCCACTTTCCTCTTCTGTGAGATTTAAAAAGCTCCCCAAAATGTTATTACTCCCATCCCCAATACACAGAAAATAGGGAAAAGGCTGTTTCCAGTTCTTGGCCTTTAAACAACTCTAAATGTCAGTACTCACAGTGGCATATTACAAAGTAATAAACAGTGCTCAATTGAGGGCAAACCACATATTGAGCTAATGAAGAGCTCACTGTGGTTAGGATTCGATCAAACGTAATAGCAGAACATAAGCACATTTTATCTGAATTCTGGAATGAATATACATGCTGCAATAACATTAAAAAAGCATGGCAGCCTGTTCCAAACCAGCCAGAATAGTTTTGTGCAAATTAGTGGGTCTTTGTGTGTTTGAATTCCCACCACCTAAGGGCAAACTCGATATGCATACTAATGACCTACAATTATCAAATTAAAAATAAAAATGCTAAAGGATGCCAGAAAGAACATCAGGGAAAGACCAACTCTCCCTTAACTTTTTACAAATAAATTTAAACGGTAAATTAGAAACACAAATAAATGTGAGTGGCTCTAGCATTCAAATGGAGTAAATGAATTGTGTAGGAGATGAACCCCGTAACTTTTTGTTGTTGTTGTTGTTTTAAATTTCTTGACCAGCTCTTAGAAGATGATGATGTTTATCTCCCTGTTCTCGGCTGCCTGGTAGAAGAATGGCACGCAGGGTTTGCTGGGCAAGCCTGGGTGCTCCTAGGTGTCCTGCATGACAGGAGACAGCTGCACGATCTGCTGTACAGTGGGGTTGTCATGGGGAGAACCCTCCCTGGCCGCTCCTGGTGCAGGCTCCACGTTGTTGTCCAGGCTCACTTCATAAAAAACTTCGGAGAGAGGGAGGCGGGGGTCTGAGCACAGTGCGAGCCTCCCCTGCCCCTGCCTGCCCACCCCGCCTGAGAGCTCTACTCACCATCCTGCTCACCGGCAGCCCCAAGTTCCTGGGGGGCTGGGGCCCCTGGAGTGGGCTCATCAGCAGGGTTCTGGGCAGCGATGAGGAATTTGCCATGCCCCTCATGGTTGCCCACAAGGGGCAACACCAACTCTTGCAGCTCCAGCAGCTTCACCTGAAGGGAGGGGTGCTCAGCTCCCACCCTGGAGCCTGCACCAGCGCCCATGCCCACCCCCAACCCCGCAGAGATGTTGCACGCCCTACCTTCATCTCCTCCTCCTTCTGGGCCAGCCTGATGACATCCTCCATCTCCTGGTGCCGCGTGTTTGGCACTGCCCCCTGGCTTTCATATACGGTGAAGGACTCTCCTGTGAGAGGACACAGCTCAGACACTAGGGTCCCTCCGACGGCCCTGCAGCTCCCCGTGCCCGTGCCCTGGCCTCCCGCTCACTCATGCCGTCTGTCACTCCAGAAGGCTGGACGAATCCAAGCTCTCGTCTCTCCACCTGCTCCGTCCCGTCCGCCTTCTCCTTCGGGAGGTCCATAAAGCTGCTCTGGAGCCAAAATAATGGGGTCACATCTCGGGAGTGACCTGTTCTGCCCCGCCCCCACTTTTCTTGGCCCATGCCAGGACTCACTCCCTTTCAGCTTCACCATGGCCTCCTTCAGGGCCCGGTAGCTCTCCCCACACACAAACTCACCCCCACTCCCTGGGGCTGGGGCCTCTGCCTCTGGCTCCTTCCAGGCGAAGGCCAACAGATGAGCCAGGTGCAGGCAGCACAGCCTTCACACCTTCCGCTGCCCACATAGCCGTGCCTGCTCCTCCTGGGAACTGGCTCCAGCAGAGGTGAAAAATGCCACTTGAAGGCAAGAGGTGAGTATTCTTGTAGGGGCATAGACAGAACAAATGAGGCAGGGAGGTGGAGAACAACCCCTTCCCTTGGGGCCTCAGAGAGTGCACCTGTTGGTCACAGGTGACAAAGTGTCTGACCACTGGCTCCCGGAAGGGGTGAGGGGCCAGAGCAATCAGAAGGTGGGAAAACCAAGAGCATAAGGGGGTCTGGGAGGGACCACAGAGGAAGGTGGCAAAGCGGGGCAGGGAAAGTCAGGCTCACCGTGGCCTCCCGGCTCTCCAGGTCCTCTGGGATGTTTGGCGTGGGCCGAGGCGCCTCCTCCTCCTCACTGTCCAGATGTTGTCCTCCATCTCCTGTAGGGAGGTGGCCAGAGGGGTCCTCAGACAACCCAACAAGGGAGGTACTGTGGGCCCACCTCTGTCCCCACCCTGACTGTGTAACCCTGAGCCAGCCTCTCCCCAGAGGGGAGTGAGCTGCTGTTCTTTATTTTTCCTTTTAAGAACCAAGATCTTGCTATATTGCCCAGGCACAGTCCCACTACCGGTCGGTGCGGGAGTCCTGACCTGCTCCCTTTCTGATCTGGTCCAGTTCATTCATCCTTAGGCAACCTGGTGGCCCCCTGCTCCCAGGAGGTCACCATATTGATGCTGAACTTAGTGCGGACACCCGGTTGGCATAACGACCAGCTGTTCTAAAGGTCTCTTCCAACCCCTCAATCCTATGCTGCTAACAGTCCCCCCTTCCTCCTGGGGCTCTCTCCTCTTCCTCTGAGTGGTCTCCTGTACCTTCTCCAGGGAGAGCCACGAGGCTTAGCTGGGTCTCTAGCTGTTGGTTCTGGTGGCTGGCAGCTTCTAGGTGCTCCTAAGGGGACGGGAAACAGAGTGAGAAGGCACGGAGGTTGCCAGGTCATCCCCCTCGGGGCCCCGTCCTCAGCAACTCCCTCCCCTGGGTCTCCTGCAACTTTTGTCCGGCCATCTCAGCCACCGCTTTGCCCCAAGCTTCCTGCTGCTGCAGCTGGTCCACGAACTGGGTCTGCAGCAGTAACTGCCTGTGCAGCGCCTCCTTCTCAGAGGTCAGCTGCTGATAGGTGGCCATGTACTGCTGCAGGTGACCCAGGTACTAGTCTCGCTGCTGCTGCAGACTCTGAGACTCTTGGCTCTTCAGCTCCACCTGCAGGAAGACCCTGGGCATGAGGGCACATGGCGGCTGGCTTCCAGATTCTGGGCCCATTAATAGGGTAGCGAGGGCACCGTGGGGCTCTGTCACCTGCCCAGGACCCTGGTCCCTTGCTCCAGGCCTAAGAGGCTTCCTCCCTTGCCTAGAACCCCATACCTCCTTCCCCAGCCTCAAATCTCATGTCCTTCTTCCCACCATTTAAACTGTAGGCCACAGACTGGTGGAAAAGCAGAGGGAGCCAACCACCATCTGCTAAGTGTGCTACATGCCTAATGCTTTCCAGGTATTCTCTCATTCAATCCTCAGCACCTCTGCAAGGAAAATGCTAACTTCCTTTTGAAGTCACAGAAACAGAGACTTAGAGATGAACAGTAGTTGAATGGTGACCAGTGGAACCCAGGCCAGAATCCAGTTTGAATCTAAGGAGGCTTTTTTGTTTTGTTTTGAGACAGTGTCACTCTGTGGCCCAGGCTGGAGTGCAGTGGTGCAATCTCAGCTCACTGCAGCCTCCACCACGTGGGCTCAAGCGATTCTCGTGCCTCAGCCTCCTGAGTAGCTGGGATTACAGGCATGCGCCACCATGCCTGGCTAATTTTTTGTTGTTGTTGTTGTAATTTTAGTAGGGGTGAGGTTTCGCCACGTTGGCCAGGCTGGTCTCAAACTCCTGACCTCAAGTGATTCTCCTGCCTCAGCCTCCCAAAGTGCTGGGATTACAGGTGCGAGCCACCGTGCCTGGATAAGGAGCCTCTTGTACCACTGTCTCTTCCCCTGTGATTGGGGGCTCCATGTCTCTAGCTGGGATGATGATGTCCAGACCTGGGAGGAGCCCAGGGCTACCCACCTCTAAAAGTCAGAGGGCAGGAAGCAAGAAACAGTCATAGAGCTGCACTGGAGGGTGCTGGGGTCACCTGCCTCCCAGCTGGAGCTGCCTTTGGCCTGGCACCTCCCCTCCCCAGAGGCTGGTGCCCGCCTCCCAGCCCTTCTTGGATGGGGTGGAGGTTACCATCTCCTTCACCTCGTCTAGCTTCTCCTGCAGCTCCTTTACTTGCTGCTCCAACTGCAGTGCGCTCTTTTTCTCGTTGTTCTGGACAGAGAGAAGCAATCAGTGGCCATCCACTGCAGCTGGAGACACCAGACCTTGGTGTCTGCCTCCCATATCACCAGGAAGGGTGGAGGCAGGTTAGAAAAATCATCCCTTCTCCCCCACAGCCATCAGAGCAGAGCCCGATGAGCTGTAGCTCACAGGTGCCTTTAGAAGTAGCATTTCATGTGAGGGCTACACTGGCCCATTTTACAGGTGGGGAAACAAAGGCCTGGAGGGATAGGGATGAGGGCAGGCTCCCCAGGTGGGGCAACCCACCAGATCCTCGAAGCTGCACTGTGGCTCGGCCAGCTGCTTGTCGAGCTTGTGGTTCTGGGAGAGCGCGAGCCTCTCCTCCTGCTTTTGTAGCCTCTCCTCCTTCTTCCACAGCCTCTCCTCCTGGTCCCACAGCCTCTTTTCCTGCTTTTGCAGCCTCTCCTCCTCCTTTCGCAGCCTCTCCTCCTGTTTGCGTAGCCTCTGCTCCTGCTTTCGCAGCCTCTCACCCTGCTCCTGTAGCGTCTTCTGCTGCTCCCGAAGCCTCTCGTTTTGTTCACACAGTCTCTCCTGCTCCCGCACTCTCTGCGCCTCCTGCTCTCGGAGCATCTCCTCCTGCTCCTGGAGTCTCTGCTTTTGTTCCTTGCTAAGGAGACTCAAGGCCTGATTGTTTTCCACCTGGGACTGGAGCTTTCCCTCCAGACCTTCCACCTCCTGCCTCAGGTGTTTGGCCTCATCTTGTAGCTGTTCCACCACAGAGGTCACTGCTGGGGGCGCCAGGGATGGGGGCTCAGCTGAGAAATGAAGCAGACAATAAGGGCCTCTGGATTCCCCAACCCCTCTACCCACATCCCCCTCAAAAAAAAAAAAAAAACCTCCTCTTGATGCACAGCTCCTCTCAGGCTTCCCAAACTTGGCCTCACTGCTAATCATTCCTCGCACCCAATGGTAGCCAATTTCCAAGCCACTTTCACATAGAGAGCACTGTGGGTGGCTGACAACGGGCACTCCTCCCTCTTTGCTGATGGGGACCCTGAGGCTCATGGAGATGACAAAACTTGCCGTCTCCTGGCACAGACCTCTTTCCCTCTGCCTCAAAGCCCTTCCACCCACCCACCTCCCTGGGGCATTCTAAGCCACCCCCACAGACCTCTGATGCCAGTCCTGCTCCGAGGTCACACCAGCCCCATCTTACCCATCTGGTTTTTGAGTTCGGACAAGCTCCTCTCCAGCTCCTGTATCCGATGTATGTCACGCTTCTTCTCTTCCTTCAATGTTCGAGCCTGCCCAAAGCACAGGGGAAAGGGCCCTGGAGAGAGGGGCTGGTGGCTGGACAGGCTACCATCTCATTCTCTGTCCCCATCTCCACAAAGCCCAGACCCATGACCACCTCTGGCTGTACTATTCCCATTTTACAGATGCCCAGAAAGATCCAGTGACCTATCTAAAGTGGGGGCTGAAGGGTCAGACCTCACCTCCACCGACATTTTCCACATCCTCTCCTGCCACCGGGCCCTCTCTCCTTTTATGTGTTTAGCATATTCGTCTCGCTCTAGCTGGACTTGTTTTAGTGACTCTGTCACCTGCAAGAAATGGGCACAGAAGTTAGGAAGGGCTGTCACTGGTCCTCACCTGCTCCTGGCCACCTGGGGTCATCTTCCTTCCACATCCCTCCCTCTGCAAAGCCTCACCTGTGTCACGTGTGCGTTCAGCAGCGCCCGCTCCTTTATGGTCTGCTGTAACCACCGCTGGAGGACCGCTTCTCTGCAGCTCGAGGACTGGATGGTGAAGAGTGAGAAGTTTTGATCTGGGGAGCTCAGGCAGTGCCCCTTAAAAGGGCTAGGCTCAATATACAACTCGGTCAGTAAAGGTCAAGGCATTTCCAAGCCCGTGGCCTGGTTATTAAAAGAACTCAGTAAAGTTGGAAGGGAGAGGGAAAGAGATAGAATTTACAGCTGGCTAACAGAGGCCCAGAGAGATCAGATAATATTGCTATTGTTATTACTGTTATTACTACCACTGTTTGAACCGTTATGGAGTGCTTCACCAGGTTCCATGCTAGCAATCCCATTTAATCCTCACAACCACCATATGAGACGGTTACTAGGATTACCTCTATTGTGTAGATGAAAAACATCGAGTGTTCAAGGTTAAGTGCTTGCCTAAGATCACTTAGACAGAGCTGGGATTTGAACACCCAGGTCTATCCTATTCTCTAAGCCCATTTTTCTTGCTGGGGGTGGGGACACAGATAGGAAGGGGGAAATTAATCTTTTGTTCACTTTTTGAAAGGATGATACATTCATATAGTCCAAAACTCAGAAGGTACAGAAGGGAGGTGTCTCCAGGCACCCTGTTACTCTCTCCTGAGTTTTTTATGAATGCTTGCAGACATGTTTTTGTATATTATCATAGTACACACACACACACACACACACACACACACACACACACCCCTTTCCTCTCTCTACAGAAATGGTAACATACTAAAGGTGCTCTTCTGTACCTTCACAGAACAACTACCCAATACCCCACCTAGGACTTGGCCAAGGCCACAGCCAGGAAAGGGCAGGGCAGGCACTTGGCCTCTGAGCTCTGCATCCAGTGCTCACTCCCCACAGTGCCCCCCAACTCACCCACAGCAGCTGACTCAGCCCCAGGCTGCCTCTAACAACCATACACAAAAGTAGTGAGAAATGACCATGCTGCCTTCTGGGCAGGACACTCCATCCTGCAGAAGGGACCTTTAGGCTCACTCCTCTATCTGGGAAGCCAGGCTGCCAGGGGATGGGGCAGCTGGTTGGACTCACCCTGTCCTCTTCCTGCTGCTGTGTAGACACAGCACAGAGAGCCCGCTCCAATTCTTGAATACGCTGTAAGGAGTATTGCAGGCGGCCAGCCAGATCCTTGGACTCTTCTGTAATGAGAGAGGTTGAGATGGGGCCCAAAAGACTCCCCCTAAAGACCTGTCAAAGTGCCAGGTTGAAGGATGACGGGATGCCCAGATTCCCACCTTCGAAGTGTCGGGCAGCACGTTTAGTATGGTAAAGGGTGGTCTTCAAGTCTGCCTTTTCCAATGTGAGGATGTTGATTGTCTGGAATTGAACGTTTGGGAGAAAAGCCAAGGAAATGCTGAAAGAGAAGGAAAGAAACATTCTCCAGAGGACAGGAGAAAGCTCCCCACCCTCCACTCACCTCTAACCGCTCCATTTGTGCTTTGTGTATTTCATTGTTTGTTTTCTTTGCCTGTAGGAAGAGGAAGACAGAGCTCTTATCACAGGGAGGCAGAGATGGCACAGCAAGAGACATGCCCCCAGAATGCCACCAATGCCCCAGGACAGGCCCACCCATGGGACCAGGTTATCAGGGACCCTGTGGGGATGGGGTGGAATCTGATGGGTGAGCCTTCTTCCCCAGGCTGGGAGTGGGCAAGATGAGACTGGCGCCTCTGCATCTGAGTGTCCCCCAAACCCAGCAGTCATGTTGTGAGCAAAGAAATCACGTTACTTCTTCCAGCTGATGTTCCACTTGTTTCTTCTGCTGTTTCTGTGGGGAGAGTCAAATTCAGGTGACTGAGAGTGGCCCCCTCAACTCTATTCCCCAGACCTGGAAGCGGTAGGCAGGGTCCAGGAATGGATTTTAAAGGCAACATTCTCAGAACCAATGGCAACACAAACTGGTCAACCCTCTTCAAGCTCCCAAGGACAGAGGACTTGGGTCTTTGTTGGTTTTTGCCCACAGCCACAGAACTCGAAGTCTGAATCTGGATTCTCTTGAAAGGACAGTAACATAAACCCCTAGAGAGGGAGTCTCAGGAAGGCCCACCCTTCTGCCAGCTTGTGATTTAGAAAGGTGCCTTCATTCAACAAATATTTACTGAACACATACGGGCCAGCTACGGTTCTTCACAGCAGATATAGGATGGAAAAGGACAGACAGGAGCCCTTGGCCCTCAGGTTTCCATTCTAGGGGCCTTTAAATCTCAGGCTCTCAGAGCTAACAGAGAACTCTGATGCTCTACCTCCTCCAGAAACACAAGCCCAAGGAGGACAGGTGGCTTGTCCAGACTCAAAGCAAATTAGGGACTGAGTCAGGGCAGAAATACAGGGCCCCTGACAACCAGTCAGGCTAGCGCTTCCCTGAGAGGTGACAACCTCAGGGCGTGTGTGGCAAGGACTGGAGCAGGGGTGTCTGGAGAAGAGAGAGTCGGCAAAGAGGGCAGTGACAGAAGAGCCATGCTGCGTGCTCCTTGCTCTGGGGTCCCTCCAGGTGAGGCCTGGGTGCTCCAGCTCCCCATTTGCCCTTGGCACCAGGGGCCCCCAGCCCCTTTCTTCAGGGCCCCAAGGGGAAACTAAAGCCCAGGATTGGCAGCATGGAATCAGGGGACCCCACTGGACTTACCAATGATTCTATGTTTTCATTGAGTTGACTGATTGTCACTGAGCTTGACTCCAGGGCTACTGCTAGTTCTTGGTACTGGCTCTGAGGCACATGCAGAGAGGAGGAGTTGGAAGAGGATTGTGGGGAGAGGTAGAGAGAACAATCATTAGGGCTGGGGTGTGTGTGGGCTGTCTCAGCTGGCAGAGGGTCACCCAGCCCCCACTGTGAGAGGAGGTTGGAGGGCTGGCCTGCAAAGTCACTGCACCTCAGCCCAGGGCCTCTTACTTCCAGATCCTTCAGGGTAACAGATGATGCAGGAGTAATAAAAATGAGAAATTAAAAAAAAACTTACATGGGAAATAGTTATGTATATGGAGAAAGTATAAAAACAGCAAGGAGCCGGGCACAGTGGCTCACACATGTAATCCCAGCAGTTCAGGAGGCTGAGACAAGTGGATCACTTGAGGTCAGGAGATCAAGATCAGCCTGGCCGACATGGTGAAACTGCATCTCTACTAAAAATACAAAGAGTAGCCAGGCGTAGTGGCAGGTGCCTGTAATCCCAGCTACTCAGGAGGCTAAGGCAAGAGAATCACTTGAACCCGGGAGGCAGAGGTTGTAGTGAGCCGAGATCGCACCACTCCACTCCAGTCTGAGTGACAGAGTGAGACTCTGTCTCAAAAAAAAAAAAAAAAAAAAAAAAAAAAAAGAGCCCAAATCCCACGTGCCTGCTCTGTACGTTATTCCCAGATTACTTTTAAACTTTTAGGCGTCACCATTTCCAAGATAATAAAAGACGCGGGGAAGGAAAAAACCCAATCAATCAAGCAGGTGAAGAAGCAGACAGAAACAGGCTGAAGGTTAATGGCAGCAACATAAAACAAGGCAGAGGCCAAGCATCCCCCAAGCCAGAGAAGCCTCAGGGCCATGCACAGCTGTAGACAGCAAGCCAGAGAGGGGTCTTGGCACTGCCTCACCTTCCACTTGTCCAATGGGGGAGCACTACCCCATTGGAGTGGTTAAGGTTGGACACCCGCACCTTCAGAATGTCCTGAATCTACAGGAGGTGACAAGGGAAAAACAAGGGCAGGGGGTGAAAGACAGAAGTGGCTTAGAGAGAAGCAAGAAAGTCAGGGTAGGAGGAAGATGTGGGTTCAGGAAAAGGAAACGCTGAAGAAGAGCAGAGGAGATTAAAACCATGGCCTGTGCCATTCTTCCAAATGGCCACCTGCTGCCTTGCCAGGGGCAGGAAAAAATAGATGGAAAAGTCCCCCGAGTGACGCAGTCACAGAGTGGAGTCAGCTGACCAATGCAGATCTTAATACGCTCACTGGACCCCTCTCCTCAGGCCCAGGACATGGGCGATGAATCTGGTAGAGCTCCAGACCTCCACCTCCATTAAAAAAAAACAGACTCCTGAGTAAGAGTTCACTTGAACTAAGGGGACTTCAGCTAAAAAACAAGTTTGAAAGACACTGATCTTATCCAGTATCATCTTACAGAGGAGGAAACTGAGGCCCAGCAGAAGAAGTGATTTTTCTGTGGTCACCCAGCAAGCTGGTGGCAAGTTAGACCTTCTCTTGCTCCTAGTGCCTTGGGCTCTCCTCACCACACCCTGGGCCCCCTTCAGTGACTCCTAGAGGGACAGCCTGATGGCAAGTGGCTGTACTCATTAGCCCAGCTTCCCCTTGCGAGTGGGGATCAGGAAAATCAAACAGCAATGACCATTTCCTGGGTATCCTGGGTGTTTACAGCAGGCCACGTACTGGGGGTTAACATGAAAACAACAACAATAAGGAATCTCATTTAAACTTCACAAATGGAAGTCAAACAATACTACCCCTATTTTACAGATGTGAAAAGAGAGGCCCAAAGAGCTCAAGCAACTTGCCATAAATCAGATCGCTAGCAGATGAAGAAGCAGGATTCAAACCCAGAATTCTTAACCAGTACCCAGCAATCTCAACAATTACCCTCTACTGCCCCTTGGGCCCCCTGTCCCCAGGAGCCTGGCCAGCCAAGACTCACATCCCCAGGTGAGTGGCAACCACCGGAAGTGGTTGTCTCAGGGCTACTGTCAGTTTTTTTCTTTTTTGTCTTTGCTCCTGCTGGAATACCAGGGCTCTTCCTTTGCTGATATTCTTTTAGCTGTGGGAAAGAAGAGCAGTAATACTCATGAGAACTACCAGCCCTTACAGCCACACCCTCCTTACAGTTTTTGCAAAATACTCTTATACACCATCTGATTTAATGCCACCAACAACTGTACAAGGTGTTGTCACAATCACTTAAGTGACTGAGAGGGATGGATATTATGGCTAAAAAAAAAAGTGTGGGGGGGCAATAATGGAACTTAAACTCAGTCTTCTGACTCCAAGCTCTGGGGTTTTGCCATGAATCAGCAGCTGCCGGGGACCAAAACCAGACGCAGAGGTAGAAAAGTAAACATTACATAGGCATGAACTACACGCTGTGTGGTTTAGAGTCATACATCCTCAAATGCCTGTTAGTGTGAAGAAGTGCACCAGTATCTCTCAAACTTTTATATCAATGTGTCCTCATGGCAGAAGGCAGCTTTTTTGTTAAATCTGGGAATTTATCAGAAAGAGGACAACCCAAGTCTCATTTCAGAGAGAAGTCTGGTATACTCTTAGAAACCTATGTGAGGGTCACCCCTAAGTACATTAATGTTTTTTCTCTCTCAAGAGAATCAAGGGAAACTGATGCTTCAGAAAGATCTCCCACATTTATCCTGTGGCACTCAATGTACCCTAAGTTGAGATGATATGAGGAAGATTCAAGCTGTCAAGTTCAGTTTCCCAAGACCTATTCCACAGAAGATGAGCAAATCTCACTTCAGAGACCACTGACTGAAGGGCAGTCTGGTCCCAGAACCGTGGAGAATTAGAATATGAGGTGGAGAACTCGGAAAAAAATGTTAAAGTCTCTCTGGAGAGTAGAAGCCTGGGAGAAAACCAAACCAAACCCATTCTCCCATTACCACCCAGAGATACTGTCAACGTTTTGAGCTCACAGGGGAAGTGTAGGCTTTTCACACTGTCGATGTCTATGTGAAGGGAGTAAGGCAGCCTGAAACCTCTTGCTCCTAGGTCCCATGGTCCCCATTTCCCTTCTAGCTGGAAATTTGTGCTGTGACCAGAGGAACCAGAAATGGGGTGAGAATGCTTAGGGGACTGGGTTATAAGATCAAAGGCCGGTCTTGCAGCAGTAATGACAGTTCCTAGGAGGACTGTGACATCACTACATTCCACTCCTCCTGGGGGTGGGGGAAACCTCATCAGTGCAATGGCTGAGTTGCCGATCCACGATGGGGGAGGGGGGACGTGGGGCTGGGACCCAGGTCCTTGGAGATGCCAGTCCAGAGAGCCCAGGGAGGTCGGGCTTGGGTCAGCAGGAGGGGAGAGCAGAGTCTGCTCAGGGAACCCCAGGAGTCACCAGCCCAAAGTCACCCCGGGATGACTGGCGATGCTGGGGGGTTGGGGCTGGGGGACCCAGGTCCTTGGAGAGGTGAGCCCAAAGAACCCAGGGAGGTTGGGCTTGGGGTGGCAGGACGTGAGGGCTGAATATGGAGCAGGTATCCCCAGTAGTCATCCGCCCAAAGTCACCGCAGGGTGATTGGCGAGGGCAGAGGCTGGGCTGCTTGCTGAAGGGGCGGGGCTGACTGACAAGACGTTGGTGGGGGGAGTCCAGAGGCGCCGGGGTAGGGGGGCCCAGCCCGGTGTGCCTCAGGAGTGGTATGGACTCTGGGAGTGGTCTTGTCATCAGAGGGGATCTCTGGCTAGGTTGGGGGGCCATGACCTTTTTCTTGGCTTTTTACCTTTTTCTTGGCTGCTGCCAATTTATTCTGTCGAGATTCTTCTAACATCATGGGGTGGGGAGGGAGGTAGGGTTGGGGCCACATCAGCGAACACCTCCAGTCACCTACAAGGCTGCTGTGTGACTGAGCCAGAGGAGGCGTAACCAGGGCCACACTAGAATGCAGAATAGGGGTGTGGCCTTAATGCTCCAATCCCATTGGTCAATGAGAAAGATGAAAGGGAAAGGAGGCGTGGCCAGGCAGCAGTGTGCCCAGAGGAACCTGTGACATCACAAGGAAAGCTGCCCATGCGACTGCTGTCCCTGCCCACTTGGGGAGAGGGGCGGGGCCTGCCTACTCCGGGAGAGGGGAGGGCTGGTTTTTGCTTTAAAATGTTAAAAATAAACTTTAAAAAAATATGTATTTATACTTTATATATATGTGTGTCAGTGTGTGTGTGTCTACATGTTCCTCCAGAGCTGTCTTCATTATCCAGCTTCTATGCATGGTCTATGATTTTGGCCTACATTTTTCATCTTCAGAGGGAGTATAAGAATTACCAGTATTACCCCAGTTAAGACACAAATCCTATAAAAATGGAAAATCCATAGCATGTTTGATGATTAATGAATGAAGTGGACTATATTATCCAACATCCCAATAAGGTAAAATAATCACAATGATTTCTCGGCTTTGGAAAAAACATTTCTCTTATTCTCCTACATTATTAAGATTTTTTAAAAAACAAGAAACATGTCTAATATCTTTAAAAACACAAAGCTTTTGGGCCGGGTGTGGTGGCTCACACCTGTAATCCCAGCACTTTGGGAGGCCTAGGTGGGTGGATCACCTTAGGTCAGGAGTTCAAGACCAGCCTGGCCAACATGGTGAAACCCTGTCTCTACTCGAAATACAAAAACTAGCCAGGTGTGGTGGTGGGTACCCGTAATCCCAGCTACTGGGGAGGCTGAGGCAGGAGAATCACTTGAACCCGGGAGGCGGAAGTTGCAGTGAGCCAAGGTCACGCCACTGCACTCCAGCCTGGGTGACAGACTGAGACTCCATCTCAAAAAAATAAAATAAAATAGTCAAAAATAAATAAAAACACAAAGCTTTCCATTTAATAAGCACTCAAAGCTCTTTACTGGTTTAAAGCAAATACAAGGCCTATTTTTCTAGAATCACCTGGCCTCTCTAAGCCTTGCAAATGAAACTGAATTTCTCACTTGATACTTGGCTATGACTTGCAATCATGAAAACCAAGAATTGTGTTATGTCACTGTGTATTGATTGTTACCTGAATTCCACACTAGGCTGGGATCAAGGGTTGAATCTTTCATGATTTGCTCCATAACCTGTGAGCGTCTTTTCCTACACCAAACTAAGCTTTGTTCTAGAGTTCTACAATTTACAGTTAGTAGACAAGAGTGGTTCTCAAAAATGTAGTCTCTGGACTAGCAGCAGCAGCAGAACCTGAGAACCTTTTATAAGTGCAAATTCTCAGGCCCCACCCTGGACATGGTGAATCAGAAACTCTGGAGTAGGGCTCAGCAATCTGTGCTGCAGTCATCCCTCCAGGTGTTCAAGAACCTCTGGCATACAGCAGGCAGAAAAATGTGTTTCCTTCTGTAGGTCCAAAGCCAGGGATACCATATGTTCTGTCTTGATATGAAACAATGGCATGCAATTAAAAGACATAAATCTCCTTCCTGCTCCCACCCTCCATCCAATGTGTTTTATTTTTATGAGTTAAATAAGAAAACAAACGGCAATCAGAGATTCAGCCTAAAAAGTATGTTTACAAGTGTCAGTTCTCATCCAGCCTGATCTCACACAATACCATTTACACCCTCTTCCCTCTCAGGTTTTTTAAAAAGTGTCTTCACAATGTAAGTCTCGGGCACACTAGCAGTTCTATAATAAAACACCAAGTAGATCAGAATGTCCAAACTTACTAGAGAAGAAAAGTGGAATCACTGGCTGTATTTTCAAGTTGCATTCAACAGGAAATGTAAGTTTTTCATTCTTTTCACCTTCACACTTCAATAGCATTAAATCAGAATACTCCATTCTTCCAAAGCCTCTAGCCAGGCAAAGTTTTACTGTATTACTTCTTGCTTTCAATAGATATAAAGCAGAGTCCTGGTAGGCACATTTTGTATGCCTGCAAAGATGCAGAAGTAAACAGTTCCATCTATTCAATATTAAAACAAAAGTCCTGCAAACCTCGGATGGTGAGTGTAATACTTCAGCACTAGCACCAAAGCCTCAAATATAAACAGATACCAATATCACCACTAGCAAACAAAATGAGCCCTCGGCCAGGAGCAGTAGTTCACACCTGTAATCCCAACACTTTGGCAAGCCAAGGTGGGAGGATCACTTTAAGTCAGGAGTTCAAGACCAGCCTGGGCAGCATAGTGAATTCACATCTCTACAAAAAATCTTAAAAATTAGCTGGGGGTGGTGGCACACACCTGTAGTCCTAGCTACTTGGAAGGCTGATGTATGAAAACTGCTTCAGCTCAGGAGTACGACGCTGTGGTAGCTATGATCATGCCACTGCACTCCAGCCTGGGTGACAGAGCAAGATCTAGATAATTACAGTCTGTCCTGCTCCTGTTTATGTTAAAATGCTTTCAATCAGCAGGATAAAAATTAAGTGAAATGTGACTTGGGAGCTTGGCCAGAAAATAGGCAATGGAGAAACAGGCACTTCCCACAAGAATAAAAATGGCCAATAAGCACATAAAAATGATTCAAGGCCAGGGCCGTGGCTCACGCCTGTAATCCCAGCACTTTAGGAGGCCGAGGTGGGTGGATCACCTGAGGTCAAGAGTTTGAGACGGGCCTGACCAACATGGTGAAATCCCATCTCTACTAAAAAATACAAAAATTAGCCAGGCATGGCGGTGGGCACCTGTAATCCCAGCTACTCGGGAAGCTGAGGCAGGAGAATCGCTTGAACCCAGGAGGCAGAGGTTGCAGTTATCCGAGATTGCACTGTTGCACACCAGCCTGAGCCATAGAGCAAGACTCCATCTCAAAAAAAAAAAAAAGTTTCAAAAGCACTAGAAACCAAAGAAATACAATGAAAACAATGAGATTTTCTCCTTAAATATCAGCAAAGAGGACAAATGGAAACGGGATACTGGAGCTCTGCCCCTGTTGGGAGTATAAACTGAACCAATTTTTCTGCAGGATAATTTGAAAATTTCTATTAAAAATCTTAAAACTATTTTATGTTATTTTTCTCCAGAAATTCTACTTCTATGACTTCAGCCCCAAAATGCTTGCTTGCGTCCATTAAAATATATATATAAGAAAATTTACTTCTGGGGTGGCAATGATTAACTTAATACACATCGAGCTTTTAAAAAGATGATGCCAAGGATATATTTACTGCCATAGAAATATGCCCAAAACATAGTGACAAAAGACTATATATTACGATTCTACTTTTTAAAATGTTCATATGCATAAAAAAATATAAAAAGCAACAAACCAGAATGCTTTCAGTGGCAAAATTAAAGACTTTTCTTCATATTTTGTCTTCCAAATTATTACAAAAAGAATGCAATTTTCTTTATAATCAGGGAGAAGTATTATTTTCATTTATTTACATATAAATTTCTTTTCTTTTCCTTATTTCTTCTAATGTATGTATCACATGTACCCTAAGAGCTTGAATCCCTACTTCTTGAGGTAAATCAGACCATTTCTGTCTCTATCAACTTGCCTTTTTTGGACATTTCAAATCAACAGAATTATACAATATGTGGTCACATGTCTGGCTTTTTACTTAGCTAAGGTTTTTGAGGTTGGTCCATGACATATAACAGGTTTTGGTAGTTTGTTCCTTTCATTACTGAGTAGAAGTCCATTGATGGATATATACCACATTTTGTCAGCAGAGAACATTTAAACTTTGCTTTCAACTTCCCGTGGTCTAAATGAAACCGCTGGAACACAGGACTTACAGTGAAACCTGCTGTGCATGTCAAAAGAACTACTTATCAGAACCAGCTTTGTCATCAGGAGCCTGAACTGCTGCAGAAATTTTTATCATTTTGCAACTTCCTTTTTACAAGCAGCTTTTGTGCTACTACACATCAGGACTTTTGAAGCATCTGATACATCCATCTAATAAGTATGAGCATGTGTCTGAGTGGACAAGTACAACCATCTATGCTACACTGCATATTTTTTCCTCCCCCAGACTGGACCAGGGAATCTCTCAACTTTCTAGAGTATCCTGTCTCCATTGACAAAGCTGAACAGTATTAAAGATCCTGCTGCCTTTGTTAGGCAGATTTGGAAGGGAGGCCCAACAGCAAGGGTGGAGAGGAAAAAGAGAGGGGAGCTTGTGGAACAGGAAGCCCCCTGGGGTCTGCACATGGCTCCCAGCTGTTGAGGATGTTGTGGATGGGGAAGTGCTGATGGTGTCCCGAGGCAAGCCTAGCACCTGCACTGGGCCCAGAAGGTCTTGACTTTGGCCCCTTACCCACGTTCCAGAAGTGTTTACAAGCTGGTTTTGCTTTTCTTCTTTTCCCAAATAATCATTACTTGGTAGTTAGTTATTAACCTTTCTTTGGGAGAGGGACAGAGCTTTAAAACTGAAGAACATAATTTTCATTAAAATATCAAAAATGGAAAAAAGTTACTTTGTAAACAATTTGCTATACAAACCAAATGGCAGCTGTTGAGAATCTCAATAAAGTGTTAAATGCATTTGCTGCTGTTAGAAGAAATACAGTAAAAATATTTAAAATAAAGAAAAAAATTTGCTGGCAGTGGTACCATTTGCCCAAGGTTGGGTTGCTGTGTCGTCATACTGTGGTGGGGGGTATATGTGGTGTATATGTGTGAAACTCTTCATCTCAGGATGGATCATAATGTGAGCTGCAGTTTTCCTTCCAAATAGGGTTACAAAGTAGTAAAACATGGGCTTGGAAGTGACAGACCTGAGTGAATCAGCCAAGCTTAAAGAAAAACCCAATAAAATTAACTTTTAATAATCCTGACGTTGGTTTTTGAAACAATAGATACAATGATTTACTCTAAGCATCAGGTTATGATTTTGAATCAGTAATACACACTGTCTCGACCTTTTTCTTTTTTTATGGAAACAGAGGTTTCACCCAGAAAACTCCAAAACAGTGACTTTTTTTTTTTTTTTAAGACAGGGTGTCACTCTGTCGCCCAGGCTGCAGTGGAGTGGTGGATCTCAGCTCACTGCAGCCTCGACCTCCCACCTCAGCCTCCCGAGTAGCTGGGACCACAGGCACCACCGTGCCTGGCTAATTATTGTATTTTGTGTACAGACGGGGTTTTGCCATGTTGCCCAGGGTGGTCTCAGACTTCTAGGCTCCAGCCGTTCACCCACTTCAGCCTCCCAAGGTGCTGTGTGTACAGGTGCGAGCCACTGTGCCCAACCTGCATTGACTTTTTAAAACATAAGTTCAAGCATCTCTTCCTAACTCCTTTAATTGGAGGTATCTCTTCTCTCATTCTCCTCATCTTTGGTGTTCCCCCAGAGTTCACTGCTGTCTGGATGTACAACATATATTTCAAAGTCAAGGCTGGGCTGGGTGCAGTGGCTCACGCCTATAATTGCAGCACTTTGGGAGTCCAAGGCAGGCAGATCGCTTGAGTTCAGGCAAGGTAAGGCAGGCTCCCAAGGCAGAGACTGAGGCTGACCCCTGCAGCCCCCTACTGCAGGGAGGAACACCGGGATAGGCAAGGGTCTTAACCTAGAAAGCCCCAGCAGTTCCTGTGACCATTGAGGCTTGGCGGTGGTGGAACCCAGGAATGGTCTTTGAACCCACCACCTGGAAGGGGAGCCAAGGATAGTCCTGGCCCAAAGGCTCCCCTACCTGCAGGCAGTGTGGAGGCCCAGTGAGTGGACCCCAGGAGCCCAGACCATGAGCTTACCTGGCCAAAGACAGCAGCCAGCACCAAGACACGAAAGAGGGCGGGTAGAAAGATCATCACATAGGGGTTGACTGCGGCCGGCACCAGGTTCCTCTGTACTTCTGGAACACACAGGCCCCTCCTTCCTATCCCTGAAGTGCCCCTGCCCCTACCCCAGCACCCTGAAGACCAGCCCAATATATGCATTTGTCCTGGGTCAGCCCCACTGTCCAAGCAACTGCAATTTCTCACTAGAGAGCCAGGGCAGGGCAGGGTATAGGAGGGGTCCCTGGAAGATGCCCCCCAGAATGCCCTGATGCCTAAAACGTTCCCCGTTGGGCCTTCTCAGGGAGGGAGGGTTAAGACAGCCTTGTTCTCTCCAGCTACCTCCATCACCACTGGAGCCCTTACGGGCGTCAGGGGAGAGAATTGGCTCACTGGAGCCAGGAACAGCATGGACACAGCCCTGGGGCTGAGGCTAAGTGGGCTCTGGGAGACCGTCACTCTCTCTTCAAGCTTTGGTCTCCTGGCCCTCTACAAGCCAGGCTGTTTCAGGCTTTGCGTTAGGCCTTGCTCAGAGACAGAGTTGAAACACAGCTGGTGGACACAGTGGGCTTTAGGGAGGTGGCACGTACCTGGGGGTGGGGGCTGGGTAACAGGGAACGGAGGCCCTGGGGCTAGCATGGCCTGTCTGGAGGTGGCACAATGGGACCTGCACCACATGAGGACAGAGGGTCCACCTGGAGGAGTGGATCAGCCAGATGGCCACCAAGCTGGATGGCCACCGCCAGAGCCTGCAGGACAGCAGAGGGGGCTAGGAAGGGACAGAGGACAGCTGAGGGGCAGGGAATGTGGGTTCCTCCATACAGACACTTGAGTCTTCCCTAAGTGGGTCTTCCCCATGGGGGTGAGGGGGCATTCAAGACACACCTCCAGCCCACCTCAAACTATCACAGGAGGCCACCACCAACTCACACAGGCCAGTTGCATTCTCACAGTGACCCCAGAACAGCACAGCCCTGTCTTTCAGATAAATAAATGGAGAGAGTGATGCATATCACAGCCAGGAGCTGGGACTCAGACCCAGGTCCAGCTGCAGTGCTGCCTCAATGGCTCCACCTGCACCTCCTCCGGGACTCAGTTCCTGCTAACAAATGAACACTTGAGTATGGGTGAAATAGGTGCTATTATCCCTTCTGGCTGCTGGGGAAAGGGAAGCAAGGCACAGATGACTTGCCCAAGGCCAACATATCATGACTGGTTCAACCCCATCTGTCTCAGCCAGCACATCCCCATGGCAGAGGCTTTACTGTGATCCAAACCTGGAAGGTGGCACTCCTTCCAATGTCCCACCCAGGGCACAGAGCATGCAGCCCCATGTTTGGGGAGGTGACAGGGTGGGGAGGTGACAGTGTGGGAAACAATCTGGCTAGGCGAAGGCCTCATGGAGCCCAGGGTTCCCTAGGACCAGGAGAGCTCTGGAGCCCACACTGACACCCATTGGAAACCTGGAATCCACACCTGCAGGAGATCAGGAGAGGGGTTCGGCCTCCGATGCACCTGCAGCAAGGTGAGACAGGCACAGGTGGGCGCCCTGCTTCCAACCAGTGTCAGGTGGGCAGGAAGCAGATCTCCTCCCTGACCTTCCTCTCCTGCCTCCCCCAAGCAGAGGAGAAGGGGCAGCCGCCCATCAGGCCATTGCCCAGATTGAAGCCACTGAAGCTAGGTCCCAACAGGTGAGTGTGACCCCTGACTATCCCAGGCCCGGCCCAAGGCAGTCATGTCTCTGGTGAGGACCTGGTAGACAGATGTGATGTCCCCAAGTGGTTCTATAAACCTTTTGAGGATAATCAAGGAAATGGGCAAGAACATCATGCTCAGCCAAGAACCTGATAGGCACAAGGGGGACCAGGGCAGGTAAAAGTCAGTTTGGGTTCAGGCCTGGCCCCTGGAAGGATGGTGGATGAAGAGCCAGCCACGGTGAAAGGGAATGGATGGCCACGGGCTGGGTGGTCAGGACTGTCAGCTCCTGCAGCCCCTGCAGAACATCCGCCCAGGCCTGGCTCTGTGCTCAGCGTTCTGCGTGGAGCCACAGGTGCCTGGACACCGATCTCAAGTAGGGATGGTGGTAAGAAAGGTACTTGTGGCCACAGGTGGGCACCTAAGCATGGGACAGAGGGGTATCATGCCCCAAAGAAATCATAGAGGCCAAGAGCTTAAGCATATGTGACACCATCAATAAATCCCCTTGTCCTGGGTCACGTCAATTAAGTCAGAGCCTACCCTGACCCTGAAGCTGCAGCTCAGTCTGGTTGAGACACACAGAGATGTTAGTGCTGGGCAGGGGGCCTGGCCCAGCCTGCGATGTCCAGCAAAGCTGTGGGCTGGACAAGAATCTCTGAAGATTAGTCCAGGACAAGGACAGCTGTGTCTGGGCAGGGAGTGGGGGCAATGCCCAGGGGGCAGGAGACCTGAGGACCTTTAGGTAGGATGCCAGGTCAGGACGTGCAGAAGAGAAGGTGGCATGGCAGCATCCTGCCCGAGGCCAGGCTATAAACCTCGGGGCCGCCCCGTCTAGCCTAAACCATGCTGACACCCAGATGCCATCCTTCAAATGTGAGGCAGGGCTGGGAGAGCCCCCAGACCCCTCATCCCTCCCATCCCAAGCTGGTTCCCATCCCTTACCAGAAGGAAAGTGAACTCTTCTATGGGACACAGCCTGCCAGGTTCTCTATCACCTGGGGGAAGGGGCTGGGGGAAGGGAGAGCTGCAGCTGGGTGAGAAAGAACCCAGGTCCCACTCTTTCCCTATCTGACAGGTGACCTCCGGCAAGCTGCTTTCTTTGCCTGGGGCTAAGGAGAGTCACAGGGGAGCGGCCAGGTTAAGAGGGCTCCACCTTGGAGCCCAGAGCTACCCACAGAGAAAACCCCCCATCCTCCCAATTCTGCTCCCAGCTCATGCTGCTGGGATAACATCCCCCCCATCAGAGAGGCCGTGGGAGGCAGAGGCTGACCTTTGCTCCTTCAGGCCCCTCAGCGGGTTTGGGTCCACCTTCATCATGATCAGGGGGCGAGTCCCTGGGATTGCAAAGGTGAGGGACAGCTTCTTGGGCTCCAGGTGCTCCAAGGGAGACCCTGCAGGGCACCAGAGCTAGAAGAGTGTTAGGGAGGCTGGGTGCAGTGGCTCAGGCCTGTAATCTCAACACTTTGAAAGCCTGAGGTGGGCGGATCACGAGGTCAGGAGATCAAGACCACGCTGGCTAACACAGTGAAACCCCATCTCTACTAAAACTACAAAAAATTAGCCGGGTGTGGTGGCATGCACCTGTAGTTCCACCTACTTGGGAGGCTGAGGCAGGAGAATCACTTGAACCCGGGAGGCAGGGCTGAACAGTGCTAGGACCTGAGCTCTGCCTGGCCATGGTGACTCTGAGCCACGTAACCCTACGTTAGTCTCAGTCTGTCACTGTGTCTCACGGGGGATGTCAGCATTACTTTTGGAGTCAAAGTAGGTAAGCCAGGGTAACCAGAGTTCCCTGCAGGGACCAAGACCAAAGGATGCAGGGGCTGGGCCTATCCCAGAAGGTCAGGCTGGACGAGGGGCTCCATGAAGTTGGGGCAGCTGAGGGCCTGCCCTTCAGGTTACAGGCATCTGGATCCTGGTCTAGACCCTCATATGCCATCCAGAGACCCAACCCTAGGGACCCTACCCAGGCTGGTAGCAGAGAGTCGATCCTTGTACTCACCCCACCAAAAGCTCTGAAATGAGGGGGCCTATGGGTGGGGGAAAGACTCTTCAGAAAAAGGTTCTCAGGGTCAGGGAAGGTTTGAGCTGGGCCTTAGGGCAGCCAGAGAGGCAGGTGACAGGTCTCCTCACAAAGCCTGCCAGAGAATGCAGGAGGAACACAGGTGTAGTGGTGAGAGTGTTCTGGAAGACAGCAGGAAGCCTCCTACTCACTGATGGGGCTGAGTGAGGTCAGGTCCACACACCAGGAGAAGCTGGAATCCACACACTGGTGCACTTTGTTTCTTGTTTCAGAGGCAGGGTCTTGCTCTGTTGCCCAGGCTGGATTGTGGTGGTGCAATCACACCTCACTGCAGCCTGGACCTCCTGGGTTCATGCAATCTTCCCACCTTAGCCTCCTGAGTAGCTGTGACTACAGGTGCATGCCACCATGCCTAATTTTATTTTTTTCAAGACAGGGTCTGACTATGTTGCCCAGGCTGGTCTGAAGCGATCTTTCCACCTCAGCCTCCCAAAACACTGAGACTACAGGGACAAGCCAGTGCTCCTGGCCATGCTGGTGCATTTTCTGCCATGGTGCACAGGAAGTATGAGCTGGGGGGCAGAATCTGCTCCTGGACCTCTACCCAGGCCTGCACCCAGACTGACCCCTGGGCTGTAGGGAGCAGGTGTGGAGAGAATGCAGCGAGCAGTACGGGTTACCCAGTGATGGAGACCCAGGCTGGGACTAGGAGAGATAGGGCTCCAACCCTCAGCCTAGTGGCCCTGCCCAACCCCTTGGCGCCAAGATGACTTTCTAGGAAGCCAGGCATGGAGGCCAGCATGCACCTGAACTGAGGACAGAAGATTCTGATGAGAGGGAGGGGGAGGCCTCTGACATAGTTTGGATACTTGTCCCATCCACATCTCGTGTTGAAATGTGATCCCCAATGCTGGAGATGGGGCCTATAGTGTGAGGTGTTTGGGTCATGGTGGGGGATCCCTCATGAATGGCTTAGTGCCCTCCCCATGGTAATGAGTGAGTTTTCTTATTTTTTATTTTTTTATTTTTTGAGGCAGAGTCTCGCTCATAGCCCAGGCTGGAGTGCAGTGGCATGATCTTGGCTCACTGCAACCTCCACTTCCCAGGTTCAAGTGATTCAATGAGTGAGTTTTCTATTAGTTCACAGGAGAGCTTGATGCCTCCTCTCTCTTGCTTATTCTCTCACCATGCGACATGTCTGCTCCCTCTTTGCCTCACACTAGAAGTAAAAGCTTCCTGAGGCTTCACCAGAAGCCTAGCAGATGCTTGTACAGCCTACAGAACTGTGAGGCAAATAAACCTCTTTTATAAATTACCAGTCTCAGTGCCAGGAGTGGTGGCTCATGCCTGTAATCCCAATATTTTGGGAGGCTGAGGCGGGTGAATCACTTGAGGTCAGGAGTTCAAGGCCAGCCTGACCAACCTGGTGAAACCCTGTCTACTAAAAATACAAAATTAGGCGGGCATGGTGGTGCGTGCCTGTAATCCAAGCTACTTGGGAGGCTGAGGCATGAAAATTGCTTGAACTGGGAGGCAGAGGTTGCAATGAGTTGAGATCACAACATTGCACTCTAGCCTGGGCCACAACAGCGAAACTCCATTTCAAAACCCTGTCTCTACTAAAGATACAAAAAATTAGCCAGGCATGGTGGTGCATGGCTGTAATTCCAGCTACTCAGGAGGCTGAGGCAGGAGAGTAGCCTGAACCCAGGAGGCAGAGGTTGCAGTGCCCTGAGATTGTGCCACTGTACTCTAGCCTGGGCGACAGAGCTAGACTTCATCTCAAAAATAAATAAATAAGCCAGTCTCAAGTATTCCTCTAGAGCAATGCAAAGCGGACTAATATAATGTCTACTGGACCTGACACTCAGGGAAGGGCTGGTCTTTACTCTGCCATTAACAGCCAGACTATGACAGAGTTGTTCCCCTGCTCTGCCTCAGTTTGTCCTCTCTCAGCTGAGCAGAGCAGGGATAATTGCTTCTCATGTGGGCCACAGGACAAAACAAAGCCCTGAGTCCCACAGGAAGATAGGTGGGCTATGTCCAAGGGAAGACAGAAGTGGGGCAGTATTTTATGTCCCCAGGGTGGCAGAGGGACATGGAAAAGATGCCTCCTTTGTGGACAAAGGAGAAAGGAAGATAAGCAGAGAGGCGCCAGACACCCGCCTCACCCCCACCTCCCCCACCCCACACCAGGCCCATTCCCACTCAGCCCCCAACTCAGGCTGCACCATTCCCCTTACGGTCAGCATGACTTCCCAGCCAAGCTGACAGAAGCTGACAGCTTGGATTCATCAGGGACAGCGCGTAGTGTAGGTGATGTGCAGGATGGAAGTGGAGAGGGGAGACGGGAGCCGTGGTGTCAGGTCTGGGGCTGCCAACATGGTACCTGCCCTGGCCGTGGGCAGACCATGCTGGTCCACCCTGCCAGATGTGGCCTCTAATTCTAAGGTCTCTGAGTTCCAGGCCAGGACTGGAGCCATACTCCCCTTGGGGACAGGGGACACAGTACACATAGACATTACTTGTGCTTTGGGCAAAGCCAGCTGGACAAATGAATGAAAGGGGCCCTGCTGGAGGGTAAAACTGGGCCTGGACTACTCAGACCTGCCTCTGTGACAGGACGGTCCCATCCTTCCAATCAGACTCCTGAGCTGGAAGCCTACCCAGCCAGGGAGTGGGGAAGGGGTGGCCTGCAGTCTCCCTTGAGTCTGTAGCCCCTCCCACCCAAGTCAGCTCCATAAAAAAAGATGCAGAAACCCCAAGTGCTCCTCCCAGCTGCTGGCTGCTTCCCGGCATGGCCTGAAGGACCCTGGATGAATCAAGACAGGCCTGCCAGCAGCTGGGGGAAGGGGGAAAGCTGGGTCCCCAGGGTGGATGCCTAGCAGGAACGTGCAGGCATGGCGAGTGATGGGCCCTCAGGGCTGAGCCCCTTCTGCCCAGGGGACCTTGGTGACACACCTGCTGCTGAGCTCAGCCCAAGGAGTAAGAGCCTGGTGCCAAGTGGCCTCTCTGCTTATGAAGACAGTCCTGGGATTGTTACCCCTCTGCCCAGGGCTCAAGTATCCAGGCTGGGGAAGGGCCAGCAGTCAGAAAGAAGGAGGCCGTGGGTGTGGGTCCCCTAGCAGTCAGGGGCCTTGGTGGACTAAGCCCCTATGAGGGGGATGAGAGGGAAGGGAGACTGAGCTGTACCCCCTACCCTGAGATCTGTGGTACCAGGCTCCAGAGGGGGCCCCGGGGGGAGACCAGCATGACAGGAACTGCTACGATGCCTTTGGGCACCTACTCTGCAGGGCTGGGCCAGCCTGAGGTTGGCAGCAGAGGGGTGGGCCAGGGGCCACAAGGAATGAAGCTTTGTTTGGTAGAGCTGTGACCCTCTTCATCCTCTTCTGACCCCCCAGCTGACCCTTGTCCTCAGATCTCTGCAGAACTTTGACCAAGCGGTGGTGGAGGAATTCCAGTGGGTCCGGGGTGGCCCTGGGTGACCCAGGGCTCATACCGGGGTTCTGGGGTTGAGGACAGGAGGCTGGAAGAGATGACCTCCCCTAGTCCCCCAAGGCTGCACAGACCCCTGAAGTCTGTGATAATCCTCTCAGCAGGCTGGACCCACTGACCGCCAGAGTGGGTGCCACCTTCTTCAGGGTGGCGCCAGCCCAGGCCGTCATGTGGCACTGTGCACGCCAGGGCCTGCACACCCTGTGGGAGGCAGCGGGCGTCTTGGTAGACACGGTCATCCTAGACCTCGGTCAGTACCTCCTTCCCTCTGCAGGCTGCCTCCCTCTGTCCCTCTGCCTCCTCCCTTGGGCTCGCTGCCTCCACATGCCCTGATCTGAAGCCTGCCTCCCCTCCTCATGGAGCCCTCTAAGGTGCTCCTAGCCCCAGCTCTCTGGTCCCGCAGCAACTTCTGGGCCCAGATTCTGTCTTCTCAGAAGTCTGAGAGGCAGAGCCCCGCCTGGCCATAGCCTTCTTGCTCTGCTCTAGGCAGTCCTAGCCCCAAAGCCTCCAGCCTGCTGGATGCCTTTATCTCCAGCTATGCCATGGCTCTCCTCATCCTGGGCCTCCTGCTCATCACAGTTGCCCTTGTCCTGGTGAGTGTCTGGCTTGGCCAGGGCTCCTTCCTGAGTGGCAGGCTGAGCCTTTGACGCCTTGAGCCTTTGAGCCAAGCTGAGGGGTGAGCAGGCCCCTTTACACCCCTGATTTCCCCATCCAAGCCCAGCGTCTCCTCATCCTCCAGCTGGGGCCGTGGGATTTGGGGCCAAAGAGTTGGGCCTGATCCCAGTGTCCCCGCCCTTCTTGTCAAGGTGCTAAACTTGAGGGCATGCCTTGGGTGCTGACTTTCCCAGGAACTCAGAGCCAGAGAGGGCCAGGCACCAGCCTGAGGCCAAACAGCCAGGGGCTTCTTCCTTCCTAGACCCCCAAGGACTGGACTTGCAGGGCTGGGACAGAGGTGGGGTGGGGGAAAGCAATGCCTTGTCAACCCATGCAGGGAGCCCCACTCCCATCCCCAAGGTGCACAAAGTCGAGAAACACCCCTGTTCCCATGTCCATGCTCACTCAGGGCCCTGCTCCAAGTGCTTGGCACTCACACCAGCCTCCTGTCCTCCATGCCACAGGTATCGGTCTCATTTACAGAGGGGGAAATGGTGGCCAAAAGCCTCCCCCAGCACACACGGCTAGACCACACAGAGGTCTTAGGTGCAGCTGAGGGGTCCACAGTCTCTGCTGTCCCTTCTGCCACTCGTGCTGCCAGGGACCACGCTTTGGAGAGGGAGGAATGAGAGTGAGCTGGGTGCTCACACATGGGGCACGGGGGACTAAGGAAGGGTCAGCCAGGAGGAAAGGGCAAGGTCTGATCCTGTACGTACACATCACAGAGCGCGCGGGGTCAGGAGACCGAGGGCCACGTCCCGGCTCTGCGGCTGCTCGGTATGTGACTGCGGTTAAATTGTCTCCCTGGACTCTCCACGCACTTTGTGTGCTGCGTGCACCTTCTAGGATGAGCCCGGACCCTGGCTGGCCTCATACTTACTGCGTAGGCTGCAGACCCGCAAGTGCTTCTGCAAGGGGCTTTGCTTCTCCTCATAACAGCAGCACGGGCTGGCCGCGTGCTCTGGGGGTAGAATGGAGAAGCTCTGGAGGTAGCAGGTGGGGGCTGGGCTTGGGCTCCTGGCCCAGACAGGGCAGGGTACACCTCAGGGTCACAGGGCCTGGCCCACTCTCTAGCAGCCCTTGGCCCACAGGCTGCCCAGCTGCCCACCCACAACCCGTACCTTTGGGCAGCCCCAGCTGCTGCAGTTCACTGGCCAAGGATTTGCCATCGACACTGTGCTTGGCCGCACCGGAGAGGATGAAACTCAGCACTGCCACTGTGGCCTTCACATCGCCTGACTCTCAGGGACCCATGCATGGGACAGGGGGTGTCACTGTGGGCCCAGCCACCTCCCTGTTGCCCTATTAACTTCAGCTCAAAGCCCCCAGGCCTCCTGGAGCCATAGGCACTGCTACTGCTCCACCAGGAGCTGGCAGAGGACAGGAAGGTGGGACTGTCAATGTCTTTCTTTCCCTCATGCTCCTCCACTAGGGAAGGCAGGTTAAGGATACTGCTGGGATGTGTGTGTTGGCGGGGGGGTGGGGGGCGGGCTCTGTACCAGGCACCAGGCCGAGGTCCCAGGGTTGCCTGGGGCCTGTGAACTCAGCGGGGTGCTCACCAAACTTGGCATCAGCTGTGAGTTTCAGGATCTTCTTATACTATGGGGAAAGGAGACCTTCAGGGGGTGCCAGGTCCCTGCTCACCAGCCCCTCACCCCCAGCCTGGATCCTGCAATAAGGAACAGACAGGCTGGAAAGAAGGAAGGGAGGTACCCAGAGAGGTTGAGAGGCTGGCTCACCCGTCTCCCCGGGCCTAGTGCAGAGTTTCAGGGCAGTGGTGGTCATAAGGTCATGGGACAATGGGGTGCTGGATCTTGTACTCACATCAATTCCCTGTCCCAGCAGCTCCTTTAGTACCTGGCTGCAGAGCAGCTGCAACTTCACAGAGGACTGGAAAGGAAGTCCTTACATCAGCCAGGCTGGCAAACCTCACCCCTTCTTCCTGGGGACTGGCTCAAAGCAGGCCAGCCACTGATCAAGGTCACAAAGCATGGTAGCACAGGCTGAGAGCACTGAGGCCCTAGCCCCAGAGAAACCTCACCATCCTCTACAGCCACAATCCCCAGCCCAACACCCCTCCTCCACCCAGTGTAGACCCTGTGCACTCAACCATCTTGGCCAGCGTGCTGATCTCTGCCAGGACCCGGTCAGGACAGTCCAGATCACCACAGAACCGAAACCTCTGCAAGGGAGGGAGGCAGGTAATCAGGCTGGAAAGAAGACTGAGGTGTGGCCAGGATCCCTGTGTCTCCCACACTGCTGCCCAGCAGGGACCCCTGGTCCCCGACATAGATGGATACCCTCTGGCCACTTGTTCTCCCCTATCACCAGGCTGTTGAGTAAACTCTACCTGACCCACCCTGCCACCAAACCCTGCTCTGAGGTCTACTCCAGGCATTCATCTGCTCAGCAAACATCAATTGAGCACCTTCTCTGTGCTAGCTCCCACTCTAAGTGCTGGGGGTACAGCATGGGATAAAACAAAGTCCTGGGCCTCACAGAGACGAGTGAACTCTCTCCCTTCTTCCCCATACCCACACAACTCCAGCCACTCCAGCTTCCCTGCTGCAGCTCAGGGACACCAGCCTTGCTTCCGCTGCACTCTCTATGTGGCTTGCTATCCTTTATTTCATTCCACTCTCTGCTCAAGTGACACCTCATCAGACCAGCCCTTCTTTTTTTTTTTTTTTTTAAAGACGGAGTCTCGCTCTGTTGCCCAGGCTGGAGTGCAATGGCACAATCTCGGCTCACTGCAACCTCCACCTCCCGGGTTCAAGCAATTCTCCTGCCTCAGCCTCCCAAGTAGCTGGGACTACAGGCATGCGTCACCACACCCAACTTTTTTGTATTTTTGGTAAAGACAGGGTTTCACTGTGTTGGCCATGCTAATCTCGAACTCCTGACCTCAGGTCATCTGCACACTTTGGCCTCTCAAAGTGCTGGGATTACAGGCGTGAGCCACTCCACCCTGGCAGGCCAGCCCTTCTTGATCATACTTCCTAAAACAGCCCCTAACACAAGGAAATTTTGGGGGCCGGTGGATATATTCGTTATCTTGATTGTGGTGATCCAACAGTCAGGAAGATTTGGCCTTTACTTGTCCAGACTCATCTTTCCCTAACCTCCAGATGATACTCTCCCAGCTATGGGAAATGCATTCATTCCTGGGGAGCCATGCTCTCTCTCACCTGAAGTCTCTGCACATGCTGTTCCCTGTCTGAAGACACACGCCTCCCACCGTTGCCTCCCAACCCCTGGTACACAAACTGTACTTCAGCCAGCCAACTCCTGCCATCGCCTTTAAGGTTGAAGGCATCCTCAGGAAGCCCCCTTAGCACTACACACAAGGCGCAGTTAGGTCTCTGCCCCTGGAGCCTTAACTATGACTGCCAATTCAAGCCTCTGATTTCCCCTTCCCGCGGCAGCTCAAGTCCTCCCAGTGCCTAGTACAATTCATGGTATAGACTAGGCACTTTGAACCTATGGATGGATGGATTGGATGAATGGATGGATAAGTATCAGCCCCAAAACTACTACTTTCTGGATCTGAAAAGAGCGGAGTGGCTTCCTAACAGTGTGCAAGAGTGAGCCTGATTCTAGCACTTTCCTGTCCAAGTCCCACAGCAGGGCTGGGGAAGGGGGTGTCCTTGGGAGGTCCTTTTGGAGCTAGAGAAGACCTGAAAGGACTCCCAGCTCCAGACAAGCCCTAGTTCCTGCCCCAGGAGTCAGGGGCCCTTCCTTCCGCCAGGGAAGCAGGGAACTCTAAGCCGGCCGGCCTGCTCTGTCTTACCCGCCCCATTCGGGAGAGGGATGGCGGTGGACTTTTCTCTACCAGACCTGCTGCCCTGACGCCCGCACACACTGTGTTTGCGGAGCGGCCAGTGCAGACAACCTCAACCCGTTTCCGGAGCCACTGGCGCCCCCTCATTCCCGCTCCAGCAGCCCATGCCCGCTTCACCCCTGGTGCCTCATACATCGCGCGAGGAAGCCAGGGCCCGGGAATTTCTTTTTCCGGTCCCGCCAGGTCAGCTGAGTCGACGATCACGTGACTTGGACTAACGGCCTCTGGCGGGGCGGGACCTGCTCGAGTGAGGCCGGGAGCGGACCGCAGCCCGCTGGAGGTGCCGGGGGCGAAATGCTGGCGTCTGCTCCTCCGTCTCCCAGAATCCTGCCCTGGAAAAAACCAGCGCCAACCGCCGGTTTAACTGAGGACGGATTTAAGGCATTACGAAAGACAGTGGAAGTTATTTCTTTTACTTTTATTTTCGTTAACTTAAGGGGGTAGGATCCCGGGAGCCAGGGAGATTCAGGTCATTGCCATGTTTTCCACTGTTAAGCGAATAGCATTATACACAGCTGCGGGCTGTGGCAAAAAACATTTTAAAAACTTTTCAAATATATTACACATACAGAAAATTGTACCTATTAGAAATATAAAGCTTAATAAGTTTTCATCAACTGTAGACCTCACATAACCAGCACCCAGATAAGGAAATAACCAGGTAACTTCTTCAAGTGCATGGGTATTTTATTTCATTTTGATGAATCGTCTAGGTGCCTAGTAAAAAGGGCTGTCATAATTAACATGCTCAGGAAAAACTCCCCACAGCTTCAACATCACTAGATCTTATCTTAATTTTTGCCAGTCTGATGGGTAAAAAAAAAATCGGTTGCTTAGATTGCAGTGGTAGTCTGATTACTGGTAGCTTTGAGCTAATGGGTAGTCTAGAACAACTAAGTTTCCGACGTTGACTTGAAGAGGCAAAAACAAAAAGACAAAACAACAACAAAAATACATTAAAGAATAAACTAATAACCAAAGAAGAAATTGAATACAGTCGTCGCTTAGTAACCTCAAGATACTGGTTCCAGGACCCCAGAGATACCAAAATTCACAGATGCTCAAGTTCCTGATATAATGTGGCATAGTATTTGCATATAACCTATGCACATCCTTCCGTATACTTTAAATCATCTCTAGATTGCTATAATACCTAATACAACATAAATGCTTTGTAAATAGCTGATATAAAGTATTTTTAAATTTTTGTGTTTTTTTATTGTTTTACTTTTTCCAAATATTTTTGATGCACAGTTGGTTAAATCCAAGGACCCAGAACCCGAGGATACAGAAGGCTGACCATAGTTTGAGCTCTCTCCTCAATTCCATGCCTATCCCATGCACCAGGTGCAGCTGGTTTTATTGTTGCAGGCTTTCAAGTTTTCAAAAGACAGACCTCATGACAAGTAAACTGCTCTATAGAATAGAAATAGAAAGTGTCCCAATTCATGGTAAAATTGAACTCATTTCTGAAGAGTTATTTTACAAATCATAAGCACTATCCTCTTGAAAGCAACAGTGTGTTAAGTTACTAGACTATCCTATACCATGTCAAAGAAAAATTTTAAGAACATAAGACCTGTAATCATAGCACTTTGGGAGGCCAAGGCCAGTGGATCGCTTGAGCCCAGGAGTTCTAGACCAGCTTGGGCAACATAGGGAGACCCCAGTCTCTACAAAAAATTAGCTGCTTGTGCTGGTGCACACGTGTCATCCCATCTACCTAAGAGGCTGAGATGGGAGGATCTCTTGAGCATGGGAGGTGGAGGCTGCAGTGAGCCATGATGGCGCCACTGTACTCCATCCAGCCTGAGCAACAGAATGAGACCATCTCAAAACAAAAAAAGGAAAAGAAAAAAAGCTGGGTGCGGTGGCTCATGCCTGTAATCCTAGCACTTTGGGAGGCCGAGGCAGGCAGATCACCTGAGGTCAGGAGTTGGAGACCAGTGTGGCCAACATGGCAAAACCCGTCTCTACTGTAAATAAATAAATACAAATTAGCTGGGCATGGTGCTGGGTGCCTGTAATCCCAGCCTCAGGAGACTGAGTCACAAGAATCGCTTGAACCCGGGAGGTGGGGGTTGCAGTGAGCCGAGATTGCACCACTGCATTTCAGTCAACTTGAGCAACAAGGTGAGAAAAAAAAAAAAAGATGTAGGAATGGTTCAACTTTTATTTCATGCTGTCAGTAGGTTAAAGAAGAGAAAAATGGATAGTTTTGGGACCATTTTTTATTTAAAAAGAAAATTAGGAACAGATGAAAACTGTCTTATCTTAAGAGTATTTGAAAAACAAAACAGCAAATTTAACATTAGACAGACAAAATATTTAAATTCAGAAATAAAGTTAAAAGGTGGGTGGTGCGCCCTTTTAATGTCATACTGAGCATTGTTTCATAGATACTTGTTTTACTATTAAAGATTGACTATTTAGAGCAGTGTTTCTCAAACATTAGAGTGCATCCTAATCACTTGCAAGGCTTGTGAAATGGGCTGCTGGGCCCCACACCAGAGTTTCTAACTCAATAGGACTGAGGTGGGGCCTGAGCATTGCATGTCTGTGTTCCCAGGTGACACTGGTGCTTCCAATTTGAGACCATGGTTTGAAAACCACTAATGTAGGGAAATATACTAGAGAATATGTTATGAATATATGTGAGAATATGTATATATGTTAACGTACAGATTTCAGTACAGTAGAAAAGATAACTCCCAAAGATGACAGTTTTATTTCCCAATAGGATTTTTTTTTTTGAGTCAGAATCTTGCTCTGTTGTCCAGGCTGGAGTGCAGTGGCATGATCTTGGCTCACTACAGCCTTCACCTCCCAGTTCAAGCAATTCTCCTGCCTCAGCCTTCTGAGTAGCTGGGACTACAAGCACCCACCATTGCGCCTGGCTAATTTTTGTATTTTTAGTAGAGACAGGGTTTCACCATGTTGGCCAGGCTGGTCTTGAACTCCTGACCTCAGGTGATCCACCCACCTCAGCCTCCCAAAGTGCTGGGATTACAGGCCTGAGCCACCACGCCCGGCCTCCCTTTAGGATATTAACAAGTTTTGTCTCTATCTCAGAATGCATTTCGGAATGCCCTTCCTGGAGCACTACAGACACTGTCTCTCAAAACGCTCCTTGAACTAGCTTCACCGTGTTGCTGACTCCCTTGTAAATTAAAGAAAATATCTTATACGTATTCCTTCATTATTTGTATGAAAGTCAAGCTTTTCATATTGTGAAAATTATACTTCAGGCTGGGTGCAGTGGCTGATGCCTATAATCCCAGGACTTCTGGAGGCTGAAGTGGCTGGATCACTCGAGGCCAGGAGTTTGACACCAGCCTAGCCAACATGTCGAACCCCATGTGTACTAAAAACAAAATCAAAATTAGCTGGGCATTGGTGGCACACACCTGTAGTTCCAGCTGCTCGGGAGGCTGAGGCACAAGAATTGCTTGAACCCAGGAGGCTGAGGCTGCAGTGAGCCAAGGTTGCCATGAGCTGATATTGTGCCACTGCACTCCAGCCAGAGCCAGAGTGAGACTCTGTCCCAAAGAAAAAAAAGAAAGAAAATTATACTTTGATACAGTATGCTAATATAAAGGATATGATATGGCTTGGTTCTGTGTCCCCATCCAAATCTCACCTTGAATTGCAATAATCCCCACATGTCAAGGGTGGGACCAGGTGGAGATAATTGAATCATGGGGGTGGTTTCTCCCATGCTGTTCTCATGATAGTAAGTGAGTTCTCACCAGATCTGATGATTTTATTACAGGCTTTCCCCTTTGCTCGGCTCTCCTTCTCTCTCCTGCTGCCCTGTGAAGAGGTGTCTTCTGCCATAATTGTAAGTTTCCTGAGGCCTCCCCGGCCATGCAGAACTGTGAGTCAATTTAAACCTCTTTTCTTTATAAATTACCCAGTCTTGGGTATTTCTTCATAGCAGCATGAGAATGGACTAATACAGTGTACTAATAACAGCCCAGACAGTAGTATACAGGTACTACTATACTTTGATGCTAGAGGTATTCCCATTAAGGTCAGGAGCAGTATGTGCTATCATTACCATGATCTAACATTGTTCCAGAGGGTTTTAGGTCAGCAGTTCTCAACTGGAGGTGATTTTGCCGCCCTGGGGATATTTGACAATATCTGAAATCACTTTGGCTGTCACACTGAGGAGTGCTGCTGGCATGTGGCAGGCGGAGGCTGGGGATGCTGCTAAACATCCTGCGAGGCGCAAACAGCTCCAGAACAGAGAACTGTCCAGCCCTAAACATCAACAGTGCTGCTGTGGAGAAAGCCTGGTCTAGACAAATAAAACATGGGAAATCCATTAACATAAATGTGGGTGGATAATAAACTGGTATTTGCCAATGGCAGTCTAGCTAGGAGGTCCAAAAGGAGCACCTGAAGAACAGTTAGATTTTGCAGGGGCTGCATGGTGGCTCATGCCTGTAACCCCAGTGCATTGTGAGGTCACATTGGGAGGATCTCTTGAGGCCAGGAGTTCAAGACCAGCCTGGGCAACATAGTGAGACCACATCTCTACTAAAAATTAAAACATCAGCCAGATGTGGTGCTGCGCTCTGATAGTCCCAGCTGCTGAGGTGGGAGTATCGCTTGAGCCCAGGAGTTGGAGGCTATGGTGAGCTGTGATCATGCCACTGTACTCAAAAAAAAAAATTTTTTTTCTCTGTTGCATATGGGGTCTTGCTATGTTGCCCAGGCTGTTCTCAAACTCCTGGCCTCAATCAGTCTTCCTGCCTCAGCCTCCGAAAGCGTTGAGATTACAGGCGTGAGCCACTGCCCCTGGCCTTACAAAATAAAAATTAAAAAAAGAAGTTACAGGATGTTATGTGGCCCGTTGAAAGATGTTGGAAAACAGTTGCGCATGTGACCCCGCTATAACCAGTTATAAAAGTATCAGGATTAAGAAATGTACTGCATCTGGCTTTCCCAAGTTTAGGATCCTGCTGAAAGAATGAGATGGATCTTTTCTTCCTCCGCTCCTCACCTCCCTGCAAGAACCAGGACTGTGCATTTTGACGGGCAGGCTCTTACCCCTGGCAGGCCACAGGGGGCATGCAAAGCATTTCCGTGTGTGTTTTCTGAGTACTCGGATAAAGACCCCTGTCCAGGCCTTTGTTTAGGATATTTGGCCCATGGAGGAATGAGGGTGGAATCACCTGGGAGGGGCAGAGGCTTCGAATGGAAGGAGGAGTGACCTGAGCTCCAGGTTCTGGGCCTACACTTTGTTCCCATGCAGCACCCCATTAGTGGTGACTGGGGCCTGGAAGTCAGGGACCTTGGTGGCCAAGTGTTAGGTGGACAGGAGGAGCTGAGGGAGGTGAGGGGCATCTCTCCAGGACCGCCCCCCGCCCCGTCCCCAAATCAATGCCCTCTGATGGCTCAGACATAGCCCCGGCCAGCAGCAGTGTGGGTCAGGAAGGGCGAATGCAGTCAGCACGGATCTGCTCCATAGTCTCCACCTCACTTCATCTCAGTTTGGAAGGTGTGAGTCCCCGCAGCACTGATAGGATATCCTGTCAGCTGAGAACATTCAGCTTGATTTAGAAAGATAAGGTGGGACATCTCTTGGGCATGGCATGTGGAGCAGTGCCATCCCTCTGTGGCAGCGAGCCAAGCAATAAACCAGAATGTGCAAAGCCTGCGTCCCAGAATCACCATTCCTGGAGGAAAAGCCTATATTGTCAAGATGCCCACTCCTCAGTTAACCCAAACATTCCACCCAGCCTCGAAAACCAGTAGAACTTTGACATTAATATACTAACCCTCAAGTCTATACAGAAATGTGTAAGAATAGCCACATACTGTAATGTGCGGTCATTGAGAGAGAGGAGGCCGTCAGAACAAATGGAACCAAGTCTAGAAACATGTCTGTCTAGGCGCAAGATTCCAGCATGTGTGTCAGCCAGGGAAGCAGACCAGGAGGAGATATTTATTAAGATTTAAAACCGGGCTCCATGGCTCAGGCCTATAATTACAATACTTTGTGAGGCTGAGGTGGGAGGATCACTTGAGCCCAGGAGTTTGAGGCTGCAGTGAGCTATGATCGTGCCACTGAATTGCAGCCTGGATGACAGAGCAAGACCCCGTCTCAAGAAAAGTGCTCAGATGCACCCTTACATGAAGCCACCTTGGGTACAGCTTCCAAGACTGGTGAGGCCTTACTCAGGACCAGGGGGCCCAGCCCTAGCTCAGCTTCTACCACCTGAGTGGCACCTGGAGGTGGTCACAGTGTCCTCAGTCCAGTCTCTGTTGGGTTTCAGATCCCCTGATCATCATGCCTTTTTTGCCCAAGCTCTGCCTCATTATGGCCTTCAATGACCGCAGCCTCTTCCACCTCCCCAAAGGGACCCCTGCTCATGCTCTCCAGCCCACAGGAGTGCCTGCTTCTCCAGGAAGCCCATCCTGTTGGCTCTGGGCTCTATGTAGGAGAGCTGGGCAGGCTGGATCCCACCACTGAGTTCAGTCTTGGGGGTCTCCACCCATGCTAGGCTTCCACTGATGGGATATAAGTGGCCAGGGGGGTTCTTTACGTCCACACAAGAGCCCCATGGTGACCATGAATGGGGTTCTGAGAGGTTAAATGACTTGCCCAGGGCCCCAGAGCTGGCTAGAATTCCTGCACTGCCATATCCAAGGCCACGTTTGGGCCTCCCACCTGGGGGCCCGGACACCCCTCTGCATCTACTAGGCTGGGAAACACATGTCTGCTGCAGCTTCCTCCCAGTGACTTACAGCAGCTGCAGATTTCTGGGGGGACTTCTACGGGGCCCACCACAGCAGAGAGCCGAGAATTCTTACAGAGCCCTTCATTCTCTCTCCGCCCCCTTCAGCTCCGAACTCGTACTAGTTGCTCTGATATAAGAACAGACCTTGGTGAGGGTGTTGGGGCTCTGGTCAGTAGCCCAGGCCTTCAGGAATCAGGTGATGTCAATCTGGAGAGGAGGTGCCTGCTGGAGGGACTGGGGGGAGCAAGCATGGCCCAGGGCCCTGGCCTCCTGCAGGGGCAGCCCCTCTTCCTTCCCAGGGTCCCCTGAGAATCCAAAGGCATCCAGGGTAAAGTGCACTGTTCAGCTGTGTCCTGGGGTCCAGGAAAGCCAAGGAGAAGTTGCTCCACCTGCTGTCCACCAGGCATCCCGGCAAAGAACAGTCTCAGCCCACCCCAGCCCAACACCAGATCCCAGGAACTGATCCACCTGTAAGAGGGCAGCATAAGACTGCCCCATTGTCCCCAGAGAGTCCCCTCAGTCATGGGCTGTGACCAGGGTGCAGGTGGGCCCAGCAGGCTGGCCCAGTGTGGGTATGGCTGTCCATTGGTCCTCTGAAGAGCCTCAGGGGCTTGTGGCAGATGATGTGTGTCTGGGCTTGGAAATAGAGGATGTCCCCCAGCCAGAGGGCAGGGGACACTTGTTTTGCATTCCAGTCCTCTGCAAGGACAGGGACCCCAGGCTCTGGGCACTCCAGCTCTGCCTGCCCTACCCACAGCTTACCACCATTTGGCCCAGGCAAATCGTCCTGGCTCCCACAGAGGGAGCCACCCTTCCCACCTCCTGATGTTTGCCCGCACCAGTCAAGTTCCATTCTGGAAAAACCCTCCACGTCCTTGGGAAGGCACCTCCTCCTTGACCTTTTCAGAGCTATCGTCCCCACTTTCATTTTCTACCTATCATTCGATGCAGAGACCAGCTTCTTCCCTGGGCCAGGGCTGCTCTGGAGGCAGGGAGGTCGTGGCCAGGCCATGGGGTGTAGCAGAGCACTGGGTATGGATCAGGCTCTCCAGGTACACCTGGGCAGAGAAGTCAGAGACCCACAGGTGAATGCCCCTCCTTCCGGCCCCACCCACCTCACAGGCAGAGGGAGGCTTCACAAGGAGGTTGAGGTAAACAGGAGAGCCCGGGTCACCTCTGTCTGATCTCCTGCCCTCTTAGGAGAAAGCCAGAGGTTGGAGCTGGGAGGTGTCGACAGCCCTGGCCCAGTCCAGGTTTCACTGATGAGGCTCAGGGAGGGGCGGGGTCAGCCCAAGTCACTGAGTCCATAAGGGAGGGTTCTGACCATAACCCAGGACGCTAGAGTTAACTGAGGCTGCATCCCTTTCCCACCCAGACCAAGGTAGGGCTTCTGGCTTCTAAGGCTGAGGCCCAGCACACCTCTCCCTCCCCTTGCCTGCAGCTGTTGTCACACATCAAAAGTGAGCTTTTCCCCAAGGGGCTGGAGGCACAGCTCCTTGGACTGGACCAGGTGGCCAATCCAAACAAGTCCCTGTGTGTCCCCACCAGCCAGGAATTCTCACGCCGCACAGCAGCTGGGGGCACCAGGATACCCTGGGGGATTCCAGGGATGAGCCCTCCCTGAGGCTTCCACAGCAGCACTGCCGCCCCCAGACCCCCCAAAGCCCCATGTCCACGCAGCCCTCAAGAATCTGGCCCCTCACACACACCTGCCCCACTCCTCCCACCTGGCTTTCCTGTGAAAAGTGAAACTGGTTCCACCTGGGCCAGCTGGAGAAGGGCCTCTGGAAATCACCATTTTGGGGATTCATTCCAATCATCCATTCATTTATTCACCAAATACCCACTGTCCACCTTTCTGTACCAGGCCAGGGGTAATGGGTCAAGCGGAACACATGTCCCAAGGAGTTTTCCTCTCTTTAGAGACAGACAGGTGGACTCTCAGACTATGAGGTGCCCTCTGGGCTAGGGGGTGCCCAGGGCTGGATGCAATGTAGGGCCTCGCCCACAGGAGGTGCTGGTGGGTACGGACGTGGAGGCCACCACAGGGTGAGGGTATCCAGACAGAGGACCTAGCATGTGCCCAGGCCCAGGGTGTGACCTGGGGCAGGTGCGGGGCTGCTCTATCTGGAAGGCTTCCTGACTCTGCCAACAATAGGCCGTGGCTGGATCAGGCTTCATGTCAATTTTTAACATTTAATACCTTTTGATTATGTAACTAAACATTATTGTGTTAAAAATTAAGAAATATAGAAAAGTTAAAAACACAAAAGACCAGCAAACACCTTCTCTCCCTAAGTAACTGCTTCAACAGTATTTTCTGACTTTTTTTCTCATGTATCTGCAGCTATAAACATAAGTTGCACAAGATAGTATCCTTCCCCATATTCTGTTTTGGAGCTGGATTTTTCACTCAGCAGTGAATAGAGGCAGGCTTTAAACAGGCCACGCATTGTGAGGGCCCTGGGAAAGGAGACTGACCATGTTGCTGGGTGACCTTGGGCAAGTCTCTCCCTCCTCAGAGCCTGGATTTCCTCAGTCCGGTGAAGGGCAGGAAGGGCTGCAGTAGGACTACATCAGCGCTTCCCAAACTCAGAACCGCCACGTGGAGCTGTGTGAGCTGTCACTGCACAACCCCAGGGGCAGGAGCATTCTTGTCACAGCCTCTGTGAGTGGGGCTCCTGCCCAAAAGTGTGCTGTGCCAACCTGGGGCCCACAGGAGGATTTTAGGCGATACGGGGATGAATTGATTTTTACCATTTCCTTCTATCTGTAGTGAATGAGACCGATTCTCACCGGGAGGGCTTGTTAAACCACAGGTCGCTGAACCCACGCCTCAGAGGTTCTGATTCAGGAGGTCTGGGGTGGCGCCTGAGAATCTGCATTTCTAACAAGTTCTCAGGTCATGGGGATGCTGATGCTGTTGGCCCAGGGACCACACTTTGAGAACCACTAATCACAAATTTCCTTTTATTCATTTATTTATTTAACGCAGGGTTTTGCTCTGTCTCCCAGGCTGGAGTATAATGGTGCAGTCACAGCTCACGGCAGCCTCAAACTCCCAGGCTTAAGCAATCCTCCTGCCTCACTTCCCAAGTAGCTGAAACCATAGACGCATGCCACCACGCCCGGATGTTTTTTTATTTTTTGTGGCGACAGAGTTTCACCATGTTGCTCAGGCTGGTCTTGAACTCCTTGGCTCGAGCAATTCACCTGCCTTGGCCTCCTAAAAGTTTCCTTTTTAAATACATGTATTTAGGTTTTAAAAATGAGTTGACTTAAAGCACAAGAATAGATCTTCAACACTAACCACTGGGGAAATGCAAATTAAAACCACGTAAGATATCACTACAGATCTATTAGAACAGCTCAAATCAAACATAGTGGTAATATCAAATAATGGCGAGGATGCAGACAAAACTAACTCATACATCGCTGGTGGGAATATAAAATGGTACAGACACTCTAGAAAATAGTTTGGCAGCTTCTTTAATCAAACATACACCTCAATATATGACCTAGCAATTGCTTCTGGGCATTTGTACCAGAAAATAAAACTGATGTCTGCATAAAAACTCATACATGATTGTTCGTGGCAGATTTATTTGTAATAGCCTCAAACTGGAAAGAACCAAATATCCCCCAATAGGTGAATGGTAAAGCAAACTGACATATCCATTCTATGAAATACTATTCAACAATAAAAAGGGGACCAGGCACGGTGGCTCACGCCTGTAATCCCAGCACTTTGGGAGGCCAAGGTGAGCAGATCATTTGAGGTCAGGAGTTCGAGACCAGCCTGGCCAACATGGTGAAACCCTGTCTCTACTTAAAAAAAAAAAAAAAAAAGGCTGGGCATGGTGTCTCTCACCTGTAATCCCAGCACTTTAGGATCCTGAGGTAGGCAGATCACCTGAGGTCAGGAGTTCGAGACCAGCCTGGCCAACATGGCGATACCGCATCTCTACTAAAAATACAAAAAAATTAGCTGGGCGTGGTGGCGGGCACCTGTAATCCCAGCTGCTTGGGAGGCTGAGGCAGGAGAATCACTTGAATCCAGGAGGCAGAGGTTGCAGTAAGCCGAGATTGAGATCGTGCCATCGCACTCCAGCCTGGGCAACGAGAGGAAAACTTTGTTTCAAAAACAACACAAAAACAAAAAACAAAAGCCAGGTGTGTTGGTGGGTGCCTATAATCACAGCTACTCAGGAGGCTGAGGCAGGAGAATCACTTGAACCCAGGAGGTGGAGGTTGCAGTGAGCCAAGATCGCGCCACTGAACTCCAGCCTGGGCGACAGAGGGAGACTCCATCTAAAAAAAAAAAAAAAAAAAAACAGAAAAGCAATAAAAAGGAGCATGCACAACTTGGATGTATCTCAAAGGGCATTTGCTGAGTAGAAAAAAAAAGCCAATCTCAAAAGGCCACATACTGGGTGATTCCATTTATATAATGTTCTTTTTTCGTTTGGTTTTTGTTTTGTTTTTGAGACAAAGTCTCACTCTGGCCCTACTGGAGTGCAGTGGCATGATCTCGGCTCACTGCAGCCTCCACCTCCTGGGTTCAAGTGATTCTTGTGCCTCAGCCTCCCGAGTAGCTGGGAGTACAGGCGTGCACCATCATGCCTGGCTAATTTTTGTATTTTTAGTGTAGACAGGGCTTGCCATGTTGGCCAGGCTGGTCTCGAACTCCTGGCTTCAACTGATCCACCCGCCTCGGCCTCCCAAAGTGCTGGGATTATGGGTGTGAGCCACCATGCCAGGCCTCTATTCATTCATTCATTCATTCATTCATTCATTCATTCTTTGAGACAGAGTCTTGCCCTGTGGCTTCCACCTCCCAGGTTCATGTGATTCTCCTGCCTCAGCCTCCACGTAGCTGGAACTACAAGCCCGTGCCACCATGCCTGGCTAATTTTTCCATTTTATAATGTTCTTGAAGTGAGAAGATTATAAAGACAGCAGATTAGTGGTTGTCAGGAGTAGGAATAGTGGAGGGGAAGAGCCTGGAATAAGTACAGAGGAATAGCAGGAGGGGGATTTTCGTGGTGGTAGAACAGCTCTGTATCTTGATTGTAGCAGTGGTTAAAGGAGTCTACATACGTGATAAAATGGCATAGACCTAGACATGTGACATTGTTAGATATTGTTCTACACTAATACAAAATAGAACCTTTGGAGGAAACTGAGTGAAGAGTACATGAAACCTCTCTGTACCATCTTTGAAATTTCCTCTGAATCTATATTTCCAAATAAAAGGTTAAAATTTTTAAAGTTGCTTTAGGCAAAAATATTAAATAAAAATAATATTGATTGTATGCAGGTCTGGAAAAACCTTTGACACATTGGATGACTGGCATCTATAACCCATTCAATGCACAATTGCCCCTGGCCAGGCCGTGTCCTAGGCTAGGTCACCTGCTGGAAGATAGGACTCTGGACTATGTCCTGCTTGGCTTTAGAGTAGAGATGCCAGATAAAATATAGGAAGCCCAGTTAAATTTAGATTTCTGATAACAAATAATTATTTAGTAAGTATGTACCATGCATATTTAGGACATACTTATACTAAAAATCATTTCTCTAAATTCTCTTTTAACCATCTTCACCAAGGGTTGATATTTCTCTAAATTCTTTAACGTATGTATGTAGTTACTTTAAAGCTCTTGCCTGCTAATTCCAATGTGTGAGCCATTTATGGGTCTGCTTTTTTTTTTTTTTGGAAATGGATTTTTGCTCTTGTATCCCAGGCTGGCATGCAATGGTGCCATCTCAGCTCGCTGCAACCTCCACCTCCCAGGTTCAAGCAATTCTCCTACCTCAGCCTCCCGAGCAGATGGAACTATAGGCGCATGTTACCACGCCCAGCTAATTTTTGTATTTTTAGTAGAGATGGGGTTTCACCATGTTGGCCAGGCTGGTCTTGAATTCCTGACCTCAGGTGATCCACCCACCTCAGCCTCCTAAAGTGCTCAGATTACAGGTGTGAGTCACTGTGCCCGGCCCTTTTTTTTTTTTTTTTTGAGACAAGATCTCACTCTGTTGTCCAGGCTGGATTGCAGTGGCATGATCTCAGCTCACTGCAACCTGCACCTCCCAGGCCCAAGCCATCCTTCCACCTCAGCCTTCCAAGTAGCTGGGACCACAGGCACATGCCACCAGCAGTCCTGACTGGTTTCACGGAAGACAATTTTTCTACAGACGGGGTCAGGGGTGGTGGTTATGGTATGAAACTGTTCCACTTCAGATCATCAGGCATTAGATTCTCATAAAGAGTGTGAAACCTAGATTCCTCACATGTGCAGTTCACATTAGGGTTCACGCTTCTATGAGAATCTAATGCCTGCTGATCTGATGGGGGGCGGAGCTCAGGCAGTAATGCTCGCTGTCCACCACTCACTTCCTGCTGCGCAGCCTGGTTCCTACCAGGTCACCGACGGGTACAGTCCACAGCCTGGGGGTTATGGGCCCCTGCACACCACCACACCCAACTCAGTTTTGAATTTTTAGTAGAGATGGGGTTATGCCATGTTGCCCAGGCTGGTCTCAAAGTCTTGAGCTCAAGTGATCTACCTGCCTTGGCCTCCCAAAGTGCTAGGATTACAGGCATGAGCCACCATGCACGGTGCATCTGTTTGTATTGACTGGTTTTCTCTTAATTTTAGGATATATTTTCTCGCTTTTTCACACATCTAGTATTTCTTGAGCTGTTGGACGTTGTGAACCTTCATTGTAGAGATGTGGGTTATGTTATCCTACTCTAGTGTTGAGTTTTATTTTGGCAGGGAATTAAATTGCTGTTGGGTTAACTTGATCTTGAGTGTCAAGGCTACATTTTAGGTTTTGTTAGGGTGAGCTGTTTTTCAGTTTTGCTCTTATTCCTAGAGAATCTTCCTTAATCCTAAGGCATGGCCTTCTAGGCCCTCTGTGAATGTCTGGGATATTCATCAAGACCTGAGATTCCAAGAGTGGAGACTCTGGCTGAGCCAGAATTCAGATGTGTTTCCAGCACTCTGTGACCACTGAAATCGCTGTTTAGCTCTCAGCTCCCCATCAGCTGTTCTGTGCTGGGCCTTGCAGAGTCTCAATCCACACATTCAGAGTTTGGGATTTGGCCAAGGACCTGCAGCAACCTCTATAAGATTTCTGGGGCTTCTCCTCTGCAACTCCATCCTTTCTGATACTCTGCCACACACATTTTAGCAGCCCTGAGCAGCAGTCTCTGTTTCCTCCACCAAACAAGACTGATCCTCATTGCCTGAACTCTGCTTCCTCATGCTGTCATTGAGGGTTTAGAAACTTTCCCCACCAGAAAAACACAGCAGTCACTTCATGTGATTCCCTTCTCTCAGATTGTACCTGGAACTGCCTATTGCCCAATGGCTGAAGACAATTTCTTCATGTACTTTGTCCAGCTTTGTAGTTGTTTATGCTGGGAGACCATCATCAATACAGGTACTCCATCATGGCCACAATTCGAAGTACGATTAATATCATATTCATTCTATTCTAAAAGTAGAGAAGACAAAGACCAACAGTTCTAAGAAAAATGGAAAAATATATATGAAAGTTCAAAGAAAAAGAAGCGCAAATGCCACTGACACACAGGAAAAAATGTTTAACTTCACTGATAATAAGAAAGATACAATTTTAGGCCGGGTGCAGTGGCTCACACCTGTAATCCCAGCACTTTGGGAGGCTGAGGTGGGAGGATCGCTTGAGGCCATGAAGTGGAGGTGGCAGTGAGCCGAGATGGCGCCACTTGGGGTGACAGAGCAAGATCCTGTCTCAAAAAAAAAAAAAAGATACAGATGTAAACAACATCCTGCAACCTCTACATGTGGCCATGATTGCTAACAGGGACCAGATTTGCCTCCCACCTTGAACAACTAGAAAAATGGAACAACATATATAAAACAATAGTTTTCAGACATCAGAGAACAGGTCGAGCAGAACTATGATCCCTAAAAGAAGGTGAACCCTACAGTGTCCTCAGTTTACTGCCGGAAGCACTTACAGGCTCCAATGCAGGGAGGGAAATCCAAAGTCCAGTGGTCTTGGTGGATTGAGGAGACAGAGATCAGAGCTTGGGAAGATCTTCAAGGCTGGTAGAATTTGTGAGGTAGAGTACCAGGGAGGAGGTGGGAGAAGAGAGCACATGAACTCTGGAGAGCTATGGAAGATGCCCTCAAGCCTTTGGCAAAGGGCTGATATGGATGTATGTGAGAAGAAAGTACCCAGGGAAAGAACTGCCAGAAAGCAGACAGAAGAATCCCCGGAGCTCACAACAGGCTAGAGAGAATTCATATTCTCACTAGTCAGAATGAAAACACCTCATAATACTTAGGAAATGGAAGAGAAGCTTTAGAAAAGTATTGCCTTAATAGTGGGGCTAAATGAGCACTGGAGTAAAGGCTTCTCTGAAACTGTCCTAACAAAGATTGAAAGCAAACCTTGATAGATCCAACTTATTTAAAGTAACTTAACTAGTGCTGGAACAGAGTCCCTCACTATTTAAAGGAAAACAAAATCCAGCAGTCACGACACAAAAACACAATGTCTACCAGTAAATAAAACATTGCCAGGCAATGGCCAGGCACAGTGGCTCATGCCTGTAATCCCAGCACTTTGGGAGGCTGAGGTGGGCAGATTGCATGAGGCCAGGAGTTCAAGGCCAGCCTGGCCAATATGGCTAAATCCTGTCTCTACTAAAAATACAAAAATTAGCCAGGCATGGTGGTACGCAACTGTAGTCCCAGCTACTTGGGAGGCTGAGACACGAGAATCACTTGAATCCAGGAGATGGAGATTGCAGTGAGGTGAGATCACACCACTGCACTCCAGCCTGGGTGACAGAGTAAGACCCTGTCTCAAATAAATAAATAAAATAACAGGCAAAATAGGGCCTATAACCAGGAGAGAAATAAATCAATGGAAATAGGCCCAGAAATGACAGAGATGATGTAATTTGCAGACAAGGACATTAACATATTATAAATATGCTCCATATGTTCAAGAAGGCTAGAAAAATCTGAACATGATGAGAAGAGAGAAATAGAAGATATATTGAAAAAAAAAAAAAAAAACAACACAGGCTGGGTGCGGTGGCTCACACCAGTAATCCCAGCACTTTGGGAGGCTGAGACACAAGGATTGCTTGAGCCCAGGAGTTCAAGACTAGCCTGGGCAACATAGGGAGACCTATCTCTATAAATAATTCAAAAATTAGCCAGGCATGGTGGCATGCACCTGTAGTCCCAGCTACTCAGGAGGCTGAGGCAGGAGGATCACCTGAATCCAGGAGGTCGAGGTTGCAGTGAGCTGTGATTGTGCCACTGCACTCCAGCCTGGGCACATAGTGAGACCTTGTCTCAAAATAAAACAAAGAAGAATTACTAGAGACGAAAAAGTTAACTCTGCAGATATGGGATTAAAAGCAGTTAAAATACTCCATAAGGACAGGTGTGGTGGCTCACGCCTGTAATCATGCCAGCACTTTGGGAGGCCAAGGCAGGAGGATTGCTTGAGGCCAGGAGTTCAAGACCAGCCTGGGCAACATAATGAGGCCTCATCTCTACAAAAAAAAAAAAAGGAATAAAAATTTTCAAAAAATTTAATGAAGGCAAAATAAAGACTTTTTCACACAAACAAAAGCCAGGATAATCACCAGCAGGCCTGCACTCTTGAGAAGTGTTAAAAGCAGTTCTTTGGTCAGAAGAAAAATGACACTGGATAGAAATTTGGATCTACACAAAGGAATGAAGACCACTGACATAATAAATACATGGATAAATAGAAAAGATCCTATTTTCTTATTTTTTGATGTCTAGAAATAATTGACTGAGGCAAAAGTAATAACATTATGGGGTTTATAACATGTGGAAGTAAAATGATGATGAGAATGGCACAAGGGACAGGTGGGGAAATGTAAGAATACCATCATTATAAGGTGGCAGTCACAGTTGAGGGAGGTGATAAATCTCTGTGATTCCACCTGGAATACTGCATTGCTCCTGGAAGTGGGAAGAGGGAGTTTCAGAGACTTCCCCTGGGCTCTTCCTACTATAGTGGCTCATACCCACAGGTCAGGGAGTAAAGTGAGAGCTCTGTTAGCTTCTAAGCATACTCATATCAATTGCATATTTAGGGACAGAGAAATGACAACCAGATGGGGCTGCAGCCTCTTCATCCAGGGATCCATTTATTACCTAGCCTTCACATGTCCTCAGTCTTACTGGGGAGGGGACATGGTGGCATTGTGGATCTTATGGTGGCACGGTCAGCTCTAATCCTATATGAATGACCCTCAAACAGTCTGGGTATTCCCTTTTCATCAGCTACAGTTACTTTCATCAATGACCCCAGATCCCTTTGGAGAAGGACTGAGGTAATAATTAATGAATATCATGGGGTAATGTTGCAGGATCTTTTTCTAAGAATACCCAGCCTCCCCTACAATCCATGAGCTATAGGTCTCAATTGTCTCAGTCTGAAAACTGGGTAGGAAATTGCAATTTTTTGTTGCAACCTTCTGTGGCCAGATCTTGTTGATGTTGTTTCCTGAATACACAAATCAGGAAATATCTTAGGGCTCACACCTGTAATCCCTACAATTTGGGAGGTTGCAGCAGGAGGATTGCTTGAGCTCAGGAGTTTGAGTCCAGTCTAGGCAACATAGCAAGACCTCATCTTCACTAAAAATTAAAAAAAAATAGCCAGGCATGGTGGTACATGCCTGTAATCCCAGCTACTTGGGAGGCTGAGGTGGAAAGATTGCTTGAGCCCAGGAGGTTGAGGCTGCAGAAAGCTATGATTGTGCCACTGCACTCCAGACTGGGCTACAGATTAAGATCCTGTCTCAAAAAACAAAACAAAAGAAAAAACCACCCTAGTCAACTGCCTATGTAACTCTCCCCTGGAATGCCATCAGTTTGTAGCTAACACAACAGCTCCCTGGAGGTCAGGGCATCCTGGCTATCACTCTAGCCTTCCTACCAATTAAGTTAATTACATCCACCTTGTGGATGATGGTGAAGGGCCACCACCTGGCATCCACTGTTCTCACCTTCCACCATTCCCACTGACACCACGAAGCCTGGTCTCATGGCAGCATCTCCTCTTATCGATCCCGGCCTACCAAGGATAGTGCCACTGAGTCTCTCAAACATTCAGGTGCCCTTCTCGCTAGTGTCTGCTGGCATATAATGAACTGTTGGGGGAAATTCAGCCAGATATCAGGCAAAATTCACCCCCGATATTTCACATAGGTTCTTTTCTATTTTCCCTAAGTGTCGGCTGGTCTGAGAAATAAAGGGAAAGAGTACAAAAGAGAGAAATTTTAAAGCTGGGTGTCCGGGGGAGACATCACATGTCAGCAGGTTCTGTGATGCCCCCCGAGCCGTAAAACCAGCAAGTTTTTATTAGTGATTTTCAAAAGGGGAGGGAGTGTACGAATAGGGTGTGGGTCACAGAGATCACATGCTTCACAAGGTAATAGAATATCACAAAGCAAATGGAGGCAGGGCGAGATCACAGGACCACAGGACCGGGGTGAAATTAAAATTGCTAATGAAGTTTCAGGCACGCATTGTCATTGATAACATCTTATCAGGAGACAGGGTTTGAGAGCAGACAACTAGTCTGACCAAAATTTATTAGGTGGGAATTTCCTCGAAAATAATGGGGCTGATAGAGTATCCAGTGTATCTTAGTTTTTGGATAATTATCACTAGGCATTTGATAGATTGGTTGGAGCATCTGAAAAAATGGGTAGGTAATTGGCAAAAAGAAAAATAAGCAAATGAAGGGGAAAAATCTGAAGCTATTATTATTATTATTATTATTATTATTATTGAGATGGAGTCTCACTCTGTCACCCAGGCTGGAGTGCAATGGTGCAATCTTGGCTCACTGCAAGCTCCGCTTCCCAGGTTCATGCCATTCTCCTGCCTCAGCCTCCCAAATAGCTGGGACTACAGGTGTCCGCTACCATGCCCGGCTAATTTTTTGTATTTTTAGTAGAGACGGGGTTTCACTGTGTTAGCCAGGATGGTCTCGATCTCTTGACCTCGTGATCCATCCACCTCAGCCTCCCAGAGTGCTCGGATTACCAGTCTGAGCCACCGCACCTGGCCTGCTTTTATTATTTTTAATCTACACATAATTGTATATATTTATGGGATACAGTATAGTATTTTTATACATATGTACAATGTGTAATGATCAAATCATAATTAGCATCTCCACCACCTCAAGCATTTATCATTTCTTTGTTCTGGGGGCATTGAAAATCCACTCTTCTAGCTATTTAAAAATATATAATAAATTGTCATTAATTATAGTCACCCAATAGTGCTAAAGACACTAGAACTATTCCTTCTATCTAGCTGTACTCTTTTTTTTTCCCCAGACAGGGTCTTACTCTGTCCCCAAGGCTGGAATGCAATGGTGCAATCACAACTCACTGTACCCTTGACCTCTTGGGCCCAAGTGATCCTTCCACCTCAGCAGCCCAAGTAGCTGGGACCACAGGCGTGCACCACCATGCCTGGCTAATTTTTAAATTTTTTGTAGAAATTGGATCTCCCTATGTTGCCCAGCCTGGTCTCAAACTCCTGGGCTCAAGTGGTCCTCCCAAACTGCTAGGATTACGGGTGTGAGCCACTGCACTCAGCCATGTACTCTTGTATCTGTTAACCTGTTAGCCAACCCTTGGCTACCCCCTCCCCCTTACCCTTCCTCACCGCTAGTAAACACTATTCTAAGCAAATAGATCTTAAATGTTCTTACCACAAAAATAATAATAATAAAAGTATGTGAGGTGATTAAAATGTTAATTAACTTGATTTAATCATTTCACAATGTATGCATATATCACATTGAACACTGGAAATATACACAATTTTTATTTGTCAATTATACTTTAATAAAGATGAGGGAATAATTGAATATAATGTTAAAACAAAAAACAATTGCAAAACCTAAAGAAAATTAATAATCTAGAGCAGACCAGCCTTTTATACATGAGGTCACTGAAGTGCAGAGAGGTGAACTGACTTGTCTCATCTTACACAGCAAGTCACTGGCAGAGCTTGACCTGAAACCCAAAGCCAAGCGTTTTCTATTACCTCCAGGTCCTTCAGGCCAGCCCTCCCAGGGCTCGGCCTTGGGAATTGGTATTGGTGACAAAGGGAATAAAGAGGAACATGCATAGAGCTCTCCATTTAGATTGACATATTCACACTGTGCCAGGGCATCAGCAAGAAACAGTGCAGGCTCCAAGCGCTTGCCCCAACCCCATCCTCTCTCATAACCAACTTCAGCTAAAAGGTCTGAGAAGATAAGGGAATCTTAGGTGACTCTCACTAGGGTGTAAATGACTCCCACCATGATTTTTATCTTATCAAGACATAACTCTAAAAACAGTTTGATGGATACGATGCCAGGCAGTAGGATGAAGACAGATGGGGAAACTGCCTACCTTAGGTCAGGAGTTTGAGAACAGCCTGGCCAACATGGTGAAGCTCCATTTCTACTAAAAGTACAAAAATTAGCCGGGTGTGATGGCGTGTGCCTGTAATCCCAAGCTACTCCAGAGTCTGAGGTGGGAGGATCGCTTGAACCCGGGAGGTGGAGGTTGCAGTGAGTCGAGATTGAACCACTGCAAACCAGCCTGGGCAATAGAGAGAGACTCCATCTCAAAAAAAAAAAAAAAAAAAAGTCAGACCAACCCACGGGGAGGCAGAGGGTAGGTGAGGGGGGTGTGGCTGGGTTTACGGTGGTGCACTCATAGAGTCGGCTTGGGAACAGGGAGCTGTGTGTGTGTGGAAGTTAAAAGATAGGCTTTGGAGGGACCTGGCTTTAAATCCCAGCTTTGCTGTGTGACCTTGGACAACCTGCTTACCCTTTGTGATCTCATATGCAAATGGGGGTGATAATGCATACTTCACAAATTGTGAGGATTGAATGAGACAGCATATAGAAAGTACTAAATTTAGTGATTGGCAACACACTAAAAAATAACTCTATACACCCAGCACCCTAGACCAGAAGGCATTGTGCTGACTCCCAGAATGCACTAGAAAGCAGTCTGCTTCTTCCCTTCCTGCCCTTCCTCTCCTCTCCTCTGTTCTCCTTTCCTCTGTTCTCTCCTTTTTTCTCTCCTCCCCTGCCCACCCTATCCCTCTTCCCTTCCCCTTCCTCTCTCACTCTCCTCTCCCCTGATTCCAGCCCATTTAGTATCTAGGTGACTCTATCCCAAGCTTCTTCTCCTGGTGCCTTTGTCCCCATCTCTCCAAGCCACCTTGATTGTCTCCTCTACCTGACAGGGTCACCCTGCTGGCTGCAGGCTGGAGGGATTTATAGCAATTCCCTCCCTCCTTGCCTGCACGGGGCTACCAGACAGCCGGAAGATATGTGGGTTGGACACAGTGGGGCCCTGGGAGAGGCAAATAAATACATCAAGTTCCCAGCTGAGTCTGGAGATAAGGACGCAGGAAGATGGGGCTGCAGGATTCACAGATGCTGCACTGCACGGGGTCACTCTTCATAGCCTGATTCCTCTGGCTTCCCCAGGAAAGTCTATTTGGGGCACTTTGAAGAGGACACAGAAGAGGACAGCACCTGAGCAATCTTTTCCTGGGAGGCGCTGCACTGAGGCACCCTTCCTCAGCTTGGATTTGGTAGGGACAGGCTTGAGGAGTGAGAATGTGACAGACCCAACCCCAAGATGAGGCAGGAAGGAGGGAAATTGAGCCCCACAGCACAGGAGGGGAAACTGAGGCTGAGAAGGGAGAAAGACTTCCAAAGTCTCACAGGAAGTCAGTGAAGAGAAGTTACAGTCCCCTAACCCCTGATCTACCACTTTAGACCCCCTTACACTGAATTGTGCCTGGCTTCCCCCAGACTTGGCCATTTGAACTGGCCTTGCCTGGGTACAGAATTCCAGGTATCTCTGCAACATGCCAGGATCCACCTCAGGGAGGGTTCTCCTCCCTCCAGATCTCTGCCCCAGCCAGCTGCCTGATGAGATGCCCTCTCTATGGGGCCTGATTTGGGGTCAGCATCCTATTATAGATAACTCAAGGGTACAACATCAGTCTCTCCCACACATGGATGGGATTCTGTTCTAGTGCCCGTGGGCAATGGAGTGGGGGTACGGGGGACTAACGCAGGAGACCTGAAGTGGGGGCGCCTGTCCCATCCACCCCAGAGACAGCTGCCCTTGCCACTGTCGAGGCCACACCTGCCCAAGAGCCTCAAGGGCCTCCTAATCAGCAAGCTCACCCACAGCCACCAGGCTTGGCACGTCCTTGACCCAGACTGCCCAGATAGGCTGGGGACATTTCCCATTCCCAACTGCTCTGTGACCTCTCTTTGGCCTCTGTCTCCCTCCCAGTAAAGTGAAAGGGATAGAGGACCTCCAGGCCCCAAACTCTGATGCTGGGTGACTCTCTGATCCTTGAAGGCTGTCATTGCATCTCCCTAAGGTGGGTGCAGACTTCACAGAGTCTTTCCAGGCTACTAGAGCTGATTGCCTACAGGCAAGGAGAGGGGAAAGTGCTTGGGAGTCCCATCCCCCAGGGGCAGCCCTTGGCCAATGTCTGACTGCTGTGCATCTGTGGAAGTGAGCTTCCCTGCCTCTCATTGGGACAAACAGGATTCATTTTCATTCTGGAGCTTCCTGGGATCAGTCCAACATTGAGACTGTGCCTGAAATCACACCTTTGCTTAGCTTCTTCCTCTTCCTTTCCTACTTCCCCTTCTCTCTTCTGGTTGTTTTTCGCTTGGGCAGTTTTTTAAACAGCCACCTGCACACAAAACATTGTCTCAGCTCTGCTTCTGGGAAGCCACTTTCAAGAGTAAATGAAAACAGTCTATTGAAAGCAAGAGACTGAAGGTCTGAGGGAAAAGTCAGTTTTATTTCAGCCCACCAAGTGCCCTCCCTGTGCTGTTCTGGGCTTTGATGGGGACAGTGGAGGGGAAGGCCCTGCGCAGCCCCCCAACCCCAGGAGCTTTGAGTCTGGGGGATGGAGGAGGAGGAGGAGACTCTGGGCCAGCCCTCCTGCGGTCTGCAGGAGGCCACAGGAGGTGGTGGGGGGTTCTCTGAATGTGTGTTTATTGTGGCCTTTCTGTGTCCTGTGATGGCCCCACGGAATGGAGGACTGAGAGTTGCAGAGCAGGAAGGGGTGGCAGCCTTGTTCTTTCCTGGTCAATGTGCCAGGCTCCCAAAATATTCAGTGATCAGATTTTAACCTCAAATAGCAGTGCCCCAACCGCCCCTGAATCTTGCTATGGAAAGAGCCTTTGGTAAGTGTTTTGAAGCAGGAAGACTCCCTCTGCCCACAGAGCAGTGCACAGCAGTTTGGGGGAGGGGCTAGCTCCTGGGACCCAAGCGGGCCTCAAGAGATGAGGCGGGAGGCGGGTTGCAGTGTGATGGGAGGGGAGACACAGAAATTGCCAAGGGCCATGAGGAAGAGAGGAAGCCACAACCCCAGGCTCCCAAGGAGGGTGTCTTCCTGCAGGAAGCCCTGTCAGATGGCAGCCTGCGGCCCAAAAGCCCCAACTCAACCTGCAAACTGGCTTCTTCTAAGGCCACAGCACCCAAGGGCCTCAAGACACACATCTAGCCCATTCCCCTACCATTGCATGGGTGGAAACCTAGAAGGAGAGAGGGCAAGGAGTTGCTTAAGACCACTTAGAGAGTTTGTGAAGCTGGAGTGAGCTTTCAGGTTGTGGAGCTCCAAGCCCAGTGTGGTCTGCCCCACTTTGCACTGCCCCACATTTTTCCTAAGACCAAGGTAGAATTATTCCTCCTGTTTTCCACCTCAACAGTAAAAGTGCCTCTCTTCTCTGCCATGGGACTGGGAGACATGTTCAGGATGTGAAGTCATATAGGGACATCTTTGAGTTCATAAACATCTCCTGTTCATAAATATCCGACTAAAGACTGAAGCTTCCACTGCTCCCAAAATAGCTTTGGATCCCAGCACAGGCATTTCCAAGAACAGATTTTTATCCTTTCAAGAATTCCGTGAAAGAGCTGGGTGCGATGTGTGCCTCTAGGCACAGCTACTTGGGAGGATGAGGCAGGAGGATCACTTGAGCCCAGGATTTGAGGCCAGCTGGACAATACAGTTTGATCCTCAGCCCAAATAAATAAATAAGTATAAAAATAAATCAATCGATCCAAGAATTCTGTGAAAGCAAAGAATCCTCTGGTTTGTATGCCTACCAGAGTTTCCTGAAGTTGGTCACACACACTGCCCTGACCCTGACTGTGATCTCAGACTGTGGATATAGATTGGTCTAAACTCCAGATAAGGAAGTATCTAGTATGGTCCATTATAATCCTGGTCATTCTCATTTCAATTCATTTTGATACAATATTAGGCTACTCTGAACATGCAATTCCCCAATCCTTCTATTTAAAAGGGATTTCTTGCTTGTAGTGAGCCTTGGGATTGACTCCTCTATAGCCATATCAGGGCCAGATAATTATTCTGAACCAATCAGTTTCATCCCCTTCACCAGTGACTGGTTCAGAGATAAACAGTCCTATGACAATAGGTGTCAAGACCCAGGGGAGAGGCTGTGGCTTCGGAAAAGAGAAGCCTGTCTTTCTAACCCACTAGTCTGTTAACATTACGTTTGTGGCTGGGCACAGTGGCTTACACCTGTAATTTTCAGCACTTTGGGAGGCTGAGGCGGAAGGATCACTTGAGGTCAAGAGTTTGAGACCAGCCTAGCCAACATGGTGAAACCCTGTCTCTACTAAAAATACAAAAACTAGCGGGGTGTGGTGGCACGCACCTGTAATCCAAGCAACTCGGGAGGCCGAGGCAGGAGAATCACTTGAACCCAGGAAGTGGAGGTTGCAGTGAGCCAAAATTGTGCCACCGCACTTCAGCCTGAGTAACAAGAGTGAGACTCCATCTAAAAAGAAAAAAAAACAAAAAACACAATAGGTATGTTTCCTTGGTGGCTCCGGAAGCCCTCCAGTGACACCAAGGCACCAAGGGACCCAGTCCTTGGGCTGGAAGCCCTATTAAGGGTGGCAGAGGGGAGAGATGAAAGAACTTGCAACTGCTGATGTCACTGAGCCGCTGAATCAACAGCCGGGAAGCCAGCCTTGCTTCCTGCTTTGTGAGACGATACACTTAATACTTTCCATCCTTGGGGGTGGGAATCTTGTTATTTGCCGATGGAAATATTACACATCATCCCCAGCCCCCACTCCCCTGCCTCACCCGGCCCTACCCTTTACCATGGCAAGTCCTGCCACGGAGGAGCTGGCTGCCTCAGAAAATCTCTTGGGGAAACCAGTCCTGCCTGAATTGGGGTGGGATTGCCAAGCATTTTGCATCCCGCCCCCCTTACTTGTTTTTTGGTGTTTTTTTGTTTTGTTTTTTGTTTTCGTTTTTGTTTTTGTTTTGAGACAGAGTCTCACTCTGTTGCCCAGGCTGGAGTGCAGTGGTGTGATCATGGCTTATGGCTGCCTCGACCTCCTGGGCTCAAGCGATCCTCTGGTCTCAGTCTCCCTCCAGAGTAGCTGGGACCACAGTTGTGTGCCACCACGCCCAACTAATTTAAAAAAAATGTAGAGATGAGGTCTGACTATGTTGCCCAAGCTGGTCTTAAACTCCTGGGCTCAAATATTCCTTCTATCTTGGCATCCCAAAGTGCTGGGATTACAGGCATGAGCCATCTTGCTCAGCCATGTTCCCCTTTGAATGCAGGAGTATCGCCTCTTCCAGGCAGGAGTTCCTCTTATTCAGTGAGACAAGCACAGACCCAGATAATTACATGAGCTGCCACTGGAAGAGCTGCTGTTAATTTTGATGGCAATAAAAGGCCTTGCCAGTACGTTAAGCTAATTTCATGAAAATGCTGGGAGGAGGGTCATGGGCTGGATCCCAGATTATTAATAATGTCGAGCTTCATTTGAACCATTCAGAAAATTCCTCTCAGTTGCCTCCAGCAAACTGCAACAGGTTGCTACTTTCCTCTGAAATCAACAGTCTTCTCATAGGCAAATGTGGATTTTTTTGTTTTTCCCTAGAAAATAATTAAAGTCACAAAGTCCAATAAATACTTAAACAGAATGTAGTTTTAATTAAAAACCTTCCACCAAGTCTGCAGTTGCGGGTCTCTCTTTGCAAACAGGCATGCTGACAAGCATCAGTCTAAGTATCTGAAACTAGAAACCTTTACAAATAATAATAGTAAATCTGGTTTCTACATATACCCATGGTGTGTGTGTGTGCAAAGGGGGTGGTGGTGGTGAAGAGGTCTGGGGGCAGAGCCAAGGTGCTCCCCTGTGGAGGAGGCAGGACACAAGCCTGTAGGGGTGTGTGCAGCAGAACCTTTTATCAAACTTGTGTCCCACTCTGCAAGGCAATAATAATGGCTAATTCAGCTATTATATAAAAAACGTATCTCAAGTACTGAGCACTAAGTGTCAGGTACTAAGTGCTTTGCGTACATTGATTCATTTAATCCTCAAGGTGACCGAAAAGCATAGGTATTTTTTTTTTTTTTTTTTTTTTTTTGAGACAGAGTCTCGCTCTGTCGCCCAGGCCGGAATGCAGTGGCACTATCTCGGCTCACTGCAACCTCTGCCTCCCGAGATTCTCCTGCCTCAGCCTCCTGAGTAGCTGGGATTACAGGCATGCACCACCACGCCCGGCTAATTTTTGTATTTTTAGCAGAGACGAGGTTTCACCATGTTGGTCAGGCTGGTCTCGAACTCCTGACCTTGTGATCCGCCCGCCTGGGCCTCCCAAAGTGCTGGGATTATTACAGGTGTGAGCCACCGCGCCTGGTCAGTACTCTTATTTATGCCTTTTTTTCTTGAGGCACAGAGAGGTTAAATAGCTTGGCTAAGGACACACAGTCAGTACATAATGGAGTCTGACGCTAGGACCTGCCCGCCTGACGACTACATAGAACCTGTACAAGGAAAGGCCGGAGGAGGGAGTATAAACAGGGCCTGGCTTCCCTGAGGAGTGATCTTTCGACTGGAAATTAGAAAAGGAAAGCAGCTTCTTGAGGGTGTGGGGCTGGAGAGAACATTTGTGTGTGTGTGTGTGTGTGTGTGTGTGTGTGTGTGTGTGTGTGTGTGTGTGTGTGTCTGTGCGCGCAGAAGCTGAAAGATGGGAAGTAGTGAGTGTTCAGGGGCTTCTGACTGGAGGGCAGCCTTGGGGAAGGTCTCCGCAGCCTTAACCGGCTGCTATGCTGGGGATGTTTGATGCCCATCTGGGCCCCGGCTTTCTTATTCTCAGAGGCCCTTCCCACATCTTTAGGCAAGTCCATTAAATCCTCCGCGTGCCACATTAAAATACAAGGGCAAGTACAACTCTGAGTGCAGTTGCAACAGAATCGTTTGCACAATGTCGCATGTCTTAAACATTCAATCAAACATCGATTACTTCCAATTTTGCAGTTTTCTTTGCCCCTGTTAGCGCCAACAGATTTTTTTTTCCAGATCTCAGACATTTATTTTAATAGGCCCCTGACAAAGTCATAAGACTCAGAGAGAAGGGAGAGTGGGAGAGGTGTATAGGAAGGTTTTGTGCCAGGGACTAGTCGCTCAAGAATTAGGAGACGCCCTGGGCACTGGAAACTACGCAGCGCGAAGTAGGGACAGCGCCTGTGTTGTGTAGTGGACCAGAGGTTGCTGATACCTGGGACATAGACTGGGTGGGCACGGGAAGTAAAGCCTCGGGACTTTGGTTAAGCGCGCCCCACTGGCGTATCGCGCCGCGGGACTGCAGAGCCGTGAGCAGCGGTCGCCTTGGTGCAGGGTTCCAGCCACATCTTCCTCGCCCAGCCAGCACCCTCTGCCGTTGACCCGCCTCTGCGCCCGGCAAGCGGCTTCCAGCAGGGGGCGCGCGCGGACCAGGCTTGGGCCCTAGAACAGCGCGGATGGAGTCGCTGGAGCAAGTCCCCAGATCCAACCGGTTTCAACCCTCCCCACCCTCCCGACGCTCCGGGTTCGCGACGTTGAAGTTAAGGGTCGATCCGCAGAAAGCGGCCAGGGGCTCCAGCTCTCCATTCCTGGGTCTGTCTGGGGTCGGCTCCAGCCTGGTTAGAAGCCTTAGTCTGGATTCGGCAGATTCTGAATCTGGGACCCTCTGCGCTAGCGGCTTGGAACCTTGTCACCCTCCCCTCCCCCACCCCTACTTCCACACACCTGATTAGTTGTCTGTTTCTTTAATGATCAAAGACGTGGGCGGCGGCGGGATGAGGTCTTGGTTCCCGGCTCCACAGCCCTCCCTAACTGTCATTATTAACGTTATAAACATTAGACCCGCTTCTGCGCGCCGGACGGCGCCGGACGAGGTGCGCGCAGTCTTCTAGCTGAGCTCGGAGGCAGATCCAGAAGTCGCGGCTCCCACCCCAGGCCTCGGCGGACTCTGCCTGGGGCGACTCGGGCTCCAGCCCTGCCCGGGCGGGCACTGGGCTCTCCAGGGTCGAAGGCAGGGGTAAGGGGCGTCTTTCCCCCAGGGCAGCCTCCGGGAACAAAAGCATTTGCTGTAGAGTGAGCTAGAGCCTCCGGGCCCGCGGGAGTCAGCTCCCGCCCAGGGGTGGTCACCGCGTCCTTAACCACCCCAGGAGCCCCGTCTCCCTGCCGAACTCCTTGGCTTCTGCAACCCTGTCAAGACAGCAAGGAAAGGGGGTCTTCCCTGGTCCTCGGGCCCCGAAGTTTCGGGGTTGCTTATAGGACGGGTTCCTGCAGTCCAGGGAAGCTCTGGGCAGATAGCGAGCCCATTCTCCCTTCCATTACCCAGATTCTGCCTCCCTGCGGAAGGCAAAAAAGAAAGAAAGAAAATAGGTAAAAACCGGCGGAGGGCCTTGAGCCTCCCCGCCTGGCGCCCCTCACTCAGTCCCGAAAAGTCCCCTGGACACGCCATGCCGGACCGGACTCAGCTCCCGCTGCTGGGCCCCTGCCTCCAAATATCCTTCCCAGGCACAGGCTCCCAAGACCGCCCCCTCAGGGTTCCCAACACCCGGACAACTGCCCAAGACGCCGCTCCCCGCCCCCACCCCCACCTTGTTCGGCAGACAAAGAAGGGTGTGCTGGCCCCGCCGTCTGCCTCCTTCTCCCGACCCCACAAGGCCTAGAAACCTCAGGGACTCACCCCGGGCTAGGGACCCAATCCTGGCTGTCCCACCACAGGATCCCCGGCAGGGACGGGTCACAGTGCTCTCACCCCTCGACCATTTTCGAAGACACCTTCCCTGAAAGGCGCCTTGCGCCCTCCCCATGGGTCGGCGGGGGGGGACTCCAGGCCCGAGCAGGCGGTGTGAAGTTCTGTGTTCTGAACTGGGGCTGAGCAAGATGCGATGGTCTCAGCCCGCTGGGCCGCCCGTAGCGACGGCAGGAGTAGGGGAGAGGGAGGGACGCTTGGAGTGTGAGCGCACCAGTCTGTTCATATTTAATTTACAAAGCAGCCTCGGAACCCCGGGCCGGGTGGTCTCTTTAGACGCTGCGCTCTTAGCCTGTCTCTCTTCCCCACCCCCTCCCCTAGCTCATTAAGATGCTCAACACTCAAATCGGGGTATTGATCTCCACGGAAGCCCCAAACCCTCGCCATCGAGAGACCCCCATGGCCCGGGGTGATGGCTGTGGGGCTTGGTGCTCCCAGAGAGCTCAGTGGCTACAGAATGGGTGGGGATTCTGCGTGTCTCCCGGAGCCTGAACCCCTTTCCTGGTTATGGCCGGTAGCTGTCTCCAGGGCTAACGTGGGCAGCGCAGGGGGGCGGAAACCGGGTTTTAGCCAAATGCCTCGACATCGCCGCGCCTCCGCCTCCTCGTCGCTGAAAGAAATGTCGGGGTTTCATCAGAGCTAGGGAGCGACAGTCGGGAACAGCGAGTCTGCCGAAGCCGGCTGTTGTGTGAGGGTGTGAGACGGCGGGGCGGTGAGGGGCCACCGCGGCTTGGGGGATAGTGCGTGTGGGGTTGACCGTGTGTCTGCTTGAGAGGCTGTGAAGATATGGGGGGCAGATATGGGAGAAATGCTCGGGCCTGAAGTCCCCAGCCCACCGTGCTCAAGAGTAGCGGACGTTTTGCCACCATCCTTGTCTGTGCTACTGTCTGCTGCAGCTTCCGTGCCCCGTTCTCCTGGAGCAGGCAAGACCTGGAGTGAGGTGCTTGGGTGCGCTCGAGAGAGCTTCCCCCTGCTCCACCTGTCCCGCGGTGCGCGCAGGCCAACGCGTCGGGCAGTGGGCTTCAAGCGCTGGTTTAGCCACAAAAGACCAGAAGTAAAGAGTTCCGGCTTAAGAGGCTGGGCAGGGCTGCGGTGGGCTGGGGAGGGGGGTGTCCCTTCCCAGCACGCCCTGCAGGGCTGTGCGTTCTGGTGTCGGGTTAGACTAGCAGGCGGGGCGGGGGGGTTGGGGCGGCGGGGCGGGGGAGACTAGGGCTTATATCAGCCCAGATCCAGGCAAAAATGGTAGGGAGGGTGCGGCGCTCTGCTAACACTATCAATTATGCATCATGTTGAACGTGGCTTCGGGGAGGAGGCGGCTAGCAGCGGGGGGTGCGGGAGGGAAGGGTCCGCGCGAGCTCGGCTGCGCGCAGCTCAGCGGGTCCCGCTCGAAGTCTGTCGGTGCCACCGCCTGCATTTGCAAAAAGAGTTTAAAGGCAAAGACACGCCTTCCCCCCCCACTTCAGCCGCGCGCCTTTCCTTCCCCCAAATTCCTCAAAGATGGTTTGTCTCACGTGTTGCAGGGCGTAAAAGCGGCTTGCATTCAATTAGCAGCGAAGCTCGCGGGCGCTGGCGGGACAGGCGCGTGAGGGTGAGTTCGCGTGAATGTGTGTATGCGTGTGCGAGAGGAGAACGGTAAGTGTCCCGGGTGCAGGTGTGCCCGTGAAAATGCGTGTGAATGTAGCAGGGGCTGAACACATTGATGCGATTATTACCTGACCATGGATGATTGTAAACTGTGAAGGTCGGCTATGGGGAGGGTGTGAGGGACTGTGTGCGCGAATGTGTTTGAACGTGGGGTGGGGGAGGTGGTGTGATCAGGGACAGTAACAATGCCAGCGGCTGTGTAAATGTGGGGGTACGTGGGTTATGGGGGTGCAGTAGGCTGCGAAGAGCCCAGCCAGGACAGTGGGCGTGGGATGCCCCTTATGACCGACGTGTCTTGGCCTTGGGGAGGGTCTCCGTGGCTTTAACAAAAGTAGACCAAGCAGGAGGCGGGAGAGGCTATGCGCGTCCCCGCCAGGCCCGGGAGTGCGCAAGGACTTTCTCCAACCTGCAGCCAGAGAGGTGGGGGAAACGGACGCAAAAGGAAAAATTGAAGTGGTACTTTGGGGCCACCAAGTCCCCAAACTTACCTGTCCCTTTCTTTGCCCCCCGCCCCCCGTTTTCCCCACAGCCACAACACATGCGTGTATCTTGCTTGGGCTATCTTCCCTGCTCTGCCACGCCGGGTCTGGAGAAGGGGTTTCAGCCCCAGGACATTTACTGAGAGTCGGCGAATATTGGGTAAGCAATGGGGGCCACCCCACAACCTTGACCCAGGTGGGGTTAGGTCCAGCCTAGGGCACCTGATGGGGTGCGGGGCTGGTGGGGGTGCTGTCTGGCAGGAACCGGGAAGGGAGGGAAGGGACCCTCCCAGAAGAGCAAAGGCAGAGTGAAGGAGCAGGTTCCCAAAGACAAGTTGTGGGAGGGGCTCTGCCAAACCTGACAGGCGCTCCAAATGGGGGCAGGGAGTCTGTGCAAGTTCGTTTGTGTGACCGGGCTTAAGGTGTTATGGGGAGGGGGTCCTTAGGCACCGCAGAGCTGTGGAGAAAGGCGCAGAATCTTTCATCTTCTCCAGCTTCATTAGCTAGTGGCAGCCCCATGACCTGTTGGCTGAGGACGCCTCTGCCCAATGGGAGCCGCCTGAGGGACCTGAGAGGAAGCTCTAGTGACCGCTTTCCCAACACACCTGGTCCAAACATGGGGGAGAACCTCCTTCCCCGTAAGGAAGGTTGGCAGAGCAGCCCTTCTTCTCCCCTCACAGGAGCTGCAGCCCCGGGCAGGTGACTTTGGCCTTAGATGCAGTAGGGCATGGGGATGGGCTTCCCCAGATCCCACATCTCAAGTCGTGCAGTGCAGGTCCTCCTATTGCTTCTCTGCTGGGTTTCGGTCACAGTGGAGGGCTGTATGCACACACAGGCACATGCCTGTGTTCTTGTGGGTGGGTCGGTTCGTGTGAGGACTTGTGTCCTTGTGTCTGTCAATTGTCACAATGGACAGGAAAGCGCTTTGTACCGTGGTGGAAAACACGTACAAATGCTGGTTAAGAGAACAATGAGGTCTGCAGGGTCTATTGTGTCCATGTCTGGGTGCATATGTGTTTGTGAGTTTAGGAAATGTGTTGTGAGCCTCCTAATTGAGCATCAGGTCCTCTAAACCCCTGCAGAAGTTGGCGGTTTGATTATGAAGCCCCGCGTCTGTTTGTATTGTTGTGTGCCTGCATGGGCGTGTGTGCGAGTGCTGTGCGTGGGACAAAGGTTCCAGGGAGGACAGCCAGTCACGGACAAAAATGTCCTTCTTGGGTAGGATCCATTTCACCAGGTTAAACGAAGGCTTAGAAACACAGAGAGGGGTACGTGAGGAGCCCGCTGGAGATGGGCGAGCTGCGGAGCCCACGGAGGGGCCAGCTCCAGCGTGAAGGAAGGAGTAGGAAGAGAAAAAAGGGCGATATACCGGGCCGCTGGAAAAGGAAATTAGGGCCCTGGGAGGGAGCATCCGTTGAACCTCGAGATTTTTATTGACCTTCACTTCAGAGAGGCTCCTGGCCATAGAGGAGGTTACCGGAGCCCTGGAACTAGTGCTAAACGGGCTTGCGGAGGCACAGCTTGATAGGGGAGGTAAGCTGGGGTTCAGTGAGTCACCTTCTTTCTTCTTCACCTGGCTTCCATCTGCAGGAGCCGCGATGTTCCCCCTTCGGGCCCTGTGGTTGGTCTGGGCGCTTCTAGGAGTGGCCGGATCATGCCCGGAGCCGTGCGCCTGCGTGGACAAGTACGCTCACCAGTTCGCGGACTGCGCTTACAAAGAGTTGCGTGAGGTGCCGGAAGGACTGCCTGCCAACGTGACGACGCTTAGTCTGTCCGCGAACAAGATCACTGTGCTGCGGCGCGGGGCCTTCGCCGACGTCACACAGGTCACGTCGCTGTGGCTGGCGCACAATGAGGTGCGCACCGTGGAGCCAGGCGCACTGGCCGTGCTGAGTCAGCTCAAGAACCTCGATCTGAGCCACAACTTCATATCCAGCTTTCCGTGGAGCGACCTGCGCAACCTGAGCGCGCTGCAGCTGCTCAAAATGAACCACAACCGCCTGGGCTCTCTGCCCCGGGACGCACTCGGTGCGCTACCCGACCTGCGTTCCCTGCGCATCAACAACAACCGGCTGCGTACGCTGGCGCCTGGCACCTTCGACGCGCTTAGCGCGCTGTCACACTTGCAACTCTATCACAATCCCTTCCACTGCGGCTGCGGCCTTGTGTGGCTGCAGGCCTGGGCCGCGAGCACCCGGGTGTCCTTACCCGAGCCCGACTCCATTGCTTGTGCCTCGCCTCCCGCGCTGCAGGGGGTGCCGGTGTACCGCCTGCCCGCCCTGCCCTGTGCACCGCCCAGCGTGCATCTGAGTGCCGAGCCACCGCTTGAAGCACCCGGCACCCCACTGCGCGCAGGACTGGCGTTCGTGTTACACTGCATCGCCGACGGCCACCCTACGCCTCGCCTGCAATGGCAACTTCAGATCCCCGGTGGCACCGTAGTCTTAGAGCCACCGGTTCTGAGCGGGGAGGACGACGGGGTTGGGGCGGAGGAAGGAGAGGGAGAAGGAGATGGGGATTTGCTGACGCAGACCCAAGCCCAAACGCCGACTCCAGCACCCGCTTGGCCGGCGCCCCCAGCCACACCGCGCTTCCTGGCCCTCGCAAATGGCTCCCTGTTGGTGCCCCTCCTGAGTGCCAAGGAGGCGGGCGTCTACACTTGCCGTGCACACAATGAGCTGGGCGCCAACTCTACGTCAATACGCGTGGCGGTGGCAGCAACCGGGCCCCCAAAACACGCGCCTGGCGCCGGGGGAGAACCCGACGGACAGGCCCCGACCTCTGAGCGCAAGTCCACAGCCAAGGGCCGGGGCAACAGCGTCCTGCCTTCCAAACCCGAGGGCAAAATCAAAGGCCAAGGCCTGGCCAAGGTCAGCATTCTCGGGGAGACCGAGACGGAGCCGGAGGAGGACACAAGTGAGGGAGAGGAGGCCGAAGACCAGATCCTCGCGGACCCGGCGGAGGAGCAGCGCTGTGGCAACGGGGACCCCTCTCGGTACGTTTCTAACCACGCGTTCAACCAGAGCGCAGAGCTCAAGCCGCACGTCTTCGAGCTGGGCGTCATCGCGCTGGATGTGGCGGAGCGCGAGGCGCGGGTGCAGCTGACTCCGCTGGCTGCGCGCTGGGGCCCTGGGCCCGGCGGGGCTGGCGGAGCCCCGCGACCCGGGCGGCGACCCCTGCGCCTACTCTATCTGTGTCCAGCGGGGGGCGGCGCGGCAGTGCAGTGGTCCCGCGTAGAGGAAGGCGTCAACGCCTACTGGTTCCGCGGCCTGCGGCCGGGTACCAACTACTCCGTGTGCCTGGCGCTGGCGGGCGAAGCCTGCCACGTGCAAGTGGTGTTTTCCACCAAGAAGGAGCTCCCATCGCTGCTGGTCATAGTGGCAGTGAGCGTATTCCTCCTGGTGCTGGCCACAGTGCCCCTTCTGGGCGCCGCCTGCTGCCATCTGCTGGCTAAACACCCGGGCAAGCCCTACCGTCTGATCCTGCGGCCTCAGGCCCCTGACCCTATGGAGAAGCGCATCGCCGCAGACTTCGACCCGCGTGCTTCGTACCTCGAGTCCGAGAAAAGCTACCCGGCAGGCGGCGAGGCGGGCGGCGAGGAGCCAGAGGACGTGCAGGGGGAGGGCCTTGATGAAGACGCGGAGCAGGGAGACCCAAGTGGGGACCTGCAGAGAGAGGAGAGCCTGGCGGCCTGCTCACTGGTGGAGTCCCAGTCCAAGGCCAACCAAGAGGAGTTCGAGGCGGGCTCTGAGTACAGCGATCGGCTGCCCCTGGGCGCCGAGGCGGTCAACATCGCCCAGGAGATTAATGGCAACTACAGGCAGACGGCAGGCTGAACCTCCGCCCGTCCGGCCCGCCCATTCCCGACCTCCACCTAGGGTGCCTGGGAGCAGCAGTCTAGGGCTGGCAGGACTTATGTCCCCCGTCCCCAACCTTCACCTACTCCTCCCCCTTACTACTCCCCAACCTTGACTACCAGGGACTTCTATTAGGGAGTGGGCCGATTTCACCAGTCCCTGCTACCCACGGCTGCCATTCTCCCTGCGGGCTGAATCCCCTTCCCCGCCAAGCACAGTGTTTATCTTACCCCATGCAAGACTCCACCCGCAGACGGTGGGCGATATCTATGTCCCTCCATTCCCGTCGCGATTATCTGCGAAATCCACCCCGCAGCCCGCCCCACCGTGGGCTCTGGAGCCAGAGGAAACGAGCGAAGACTTTGGAAACCTCGCGGTAACGCGGTGGTTTCGGGGGCCAGCCAAGGCCAGTGGAGTGCTGTGGGGTCCCACCTCGACCCCTCCTCCTCCCTTTCTTTCTTTCCTTTTTTTTTATTTTTTAATTTTATTTATTTATTTATTTATTTTTTGACGGAGTCTTGGTCTGTCGCCAGGCTGGAGTGCAGTGGCGCGATCTCGGCTCACTGCATCTTCCGCCTCCCGGGTTCAAGCGATTCTCCTGCCTCAGCCTGCCTAGTAGCTGGGACTACAGGCGCGCGCCACCACGACCAGCTAATTTCTTCTATTTTTAGTAGAGACGGGGTTTCACCATGTTGGCCAGGATGGTCTGGATCTCTTGACCTCAGGTGATCCATCTGCCTCGGCCTCTCAAAGTGCTGGGATTACAGGCGTGAGGCACCGCGCCCGGCCCCTCCTCCCTTTCAATCCCTACTCCCAGAAGCCGGGATTCGTGGCAACCCCTAGTTTTTAGTTCCAAAGCCTCCTGCCGGCAGGGAACCAAATCCTTCTGTCCTCCCACCCCCACCCCACTTCTGGCCAGTTGGAGTCCAGCCCGGTGCCTGGGGCGCCTTTCAGCTCCGCGCTCAGATTTTCCTGTTTTCGTTGTTTTCAAAGACAGCGACATTTCGGGTCTGGTGCTAACACCCCCTTCCCAGCCTCTGGGAAAATCGAGTGTGTGTGTCGGGGGGTAGGGAGGGAATGCGTTTTCTGTCGTCTCTCTCCTAACTTAAAGCGCCGCAGGACCGCGCGCCCCTTGGCGGCTGAGCCTGTGGACTTGGTCGCGGGCCAATTTCGTTGTCCGTGTGTTGGGCTTTCCGGAGGTCTGTGCGCCCAACAGCGCCGCTCCCGCGGCTCCACCCGACCCAGACCCTAGCTGGAAAGCGCCGGAGGCGGAGGAAGCTGACTGTGGCCTCCCGGGCCGCGGCTCTCTGGAGGGCTCGCGCCCTAGTTCGCACAAAGCCTGCTCGTGACTGTGCGACTGTGCGACGGGATCCGGATGGAGCCGAGCCCCTCCGTCCTCGCGTCTCGGTCCTCGCGTCGCCCCGCCCCACCCGCCCCTGCTTCGGCGGGAATCGTGTTTGCCCGGCGTGTAGTCCCTGACAAGCGTGCCCTGTAGGAGAAAAGTCTGTGTCCTGTGAAGTGTGACCGTGTAGTGTAGGGGGGCGGGCGGGGGGGCGGATGGGCGGGGAGGGAGGGAAGGGGAGGGGCGCGGCGCGGCGACTCGGGGCGGGGTTCTTTTTTCCATTTTGAAAGAAAGCGTCGGGGTTGGGGTGGGGGGAGTTTCAGTCCTCGGGATCAGCCCTCTCCGCGAAGCGCAGCACAAGCGCGGGCCTGGGACGGAGTAGCCCCCCGGAGCCCGTGCCCTTTTCTAAACGCGTCTGTATGCAGTCAATAAAACAATCGATTTGAACTGGGCTCGGTGACTTTTTGTCAGGGGACAGAGGGAGGAGGCCTGGGCGATGAAGGAGGAAACCGCGGAAGGAAGGAGCCCCCCCAGAGCCTCCCGTTGGAATCTTTTGAGTGATTTCCTGTTTGCGTGACCATCCTGTGATTTTTTTGCCAGGTGTTTGCACCCAGCCCTGCTCTTAGTGTCTCCAACTCCAGGGTGGGGTGACAAAAAACGAGGGCAGGCTGCAAGTGAGTAGGGGGAGGTTGCAGGAAAGGAAGGCGGGTGTCTGCAGACCCTGAACACAGGGAGTCTGAGTGTGCGTGCAAGTATATTTGCACTCAAGGGTGTGCGGCACCCTCTTTCACTTGAGACTGTCTGTGTAGTGGGGTGTGGCTGTATATGGTGTCACACTGCCCAGTTTCTGTGTCTCCACATCAGCCTTTGAGTTCCCTGAGAAGCCGGTGGGAAGAGGATGGGATTCATAGGGACAAGACCGCTGTGGCTTGCACAAGAGAAGTCACAAATAACACAAAGTACAGAGCGGGCAAATGATGTAAAGCAGGAAAGGGGGAGAACCTGGCCAGGCCGATTGCCCAGAGCGAGCCGGCACGTTTGGCCTGGGAGCCAAGTGTGTGCGTTGTGTGGGTGGGTGGGGAGCACTCAGTGAATGATGCATGCACAACCGTCAGGGTGTGCCAAGGGGGTGCACCTGGGGAATCAGGGTTGAAAACACACTGATTTCATAGTCCTAGAAAGGGGCTTTCTTGGGTGAGGAACAGGAGAGACAGGGGGATCAAGAAAGGAGACTGTGCTCCTGGCCAGCCTAAAACACACGGGTTGGGCTGCTGTGTGTCTCAGCTGAATCCCCCTAAGATGGGAAGAGGCGGGGAAGAGAGATGGAAGAGGAAAGCAACAGAAATGGGAAGCAGATAAAGATTCTCTCTCTCCCCTCCCTTCTTCCTGCTTCCAATTTCTTGTCCTCTTTTGCTGTCTCTGTGGGTCTTCCTAATTGGACCAGTCCAGGCTGGCAACAGGCCCAAGTTCCAATGCTCAGGGTCCTACCCCAGCCTCAGGTCTGTCCTCTGGCATAGGTGGTGGCTGTGACACTTCTTGGGGCCTGAGCCCAGATTCCCTTCCCAGACCAGCAAAGCTGTTTTCTTTCTTTTTTTTTTATTTTTTTATTTTTAAAATAGATCAGTTTTATTCTGCTAGTTCCATAAAAACAATGTAAACACAAGCGTTCTGTACATCTTCTTGGTGAATTCACATAATGCTTTGTTCCCTGATCCTTTAACCTCCTCGTCTTCTTCCAGTCATTTTCTGTTTGGACCACTGGCCACAGGAGTGGAGTGGGGTTGGGGCTTAGGAGAGAGCAATGTGGCTTTTTCGTATGACTTGTTTTATTGCTTGCCCTCTCAGCACACTCCTGTTACTCCTAACACAAAGTCTGAGATTTAAGCCCTTAAACCTGTAGGTTTCACCATCAGCTTTTTCTTTTTCTTTTCTCTTTTTTTTTTTTTTTTTTTTTGCATAGGCATTACTAGGGATGTGAATGGGAGACTGGTATAGAAAGTGGTGAGGAGCCGAAGCCAAGAAATTGCTTTAAACACAAGATGAAAACGCTCTGTTCTGTACACAAAGAATCACCTAATACTGGTGTGAGGCATCTCACTTAGCTGTGGAGAAGTCCTTGGAATTAGATCTCAGAAAGACAGTTCCAGCTTTAAGACAGTAAAACCTTTAGGCAATGGGCTAATTGCCTTAAAGGAAAGAAGAGTTCTACTTGAAAGAGCTTGCAGGTGAGAAATTGTCCTACAAAGATTCTTAGAAATGTTAGCGGAGATAACTGACATGGGTAGCTGTGGGCCAACCAAGAACTGTCAACAGCCCGATCTCATAGCAAAGCTGTTTTCAAGAAAAATTCCCTTCTGAGGGCCACAGCCTGAGCCCTGCTCCTGGTCACAGCCCAACACTGCAGTCCACCCCACTGCCTGGGACACAACTCAAGAATATTATCTCTTAGGAAGACACCTGTTTTGTTCTACCTGCAAATCCTACCGCTGAGCACGGGGCAAGGACTGGCCCAATTCCTAGGGCCTGTTTAGGAATCCAGCCACGTGATTGCTTCTGGGAACAGGCCTGGCTGGGCCAGTGAGTGCTCAGCAGTTTTGGTGCAACTCAATCATCTGGTCATGGGTCTCTTGTGGGAAGACAGGCCCCTTCCTTTCCCTCCCTGTCCTAAGAATTGGGGGCCCTCCTCGAGACCCTCTAGGATCCTGAGTGCCACTAGGGCAGGTGGAGAGGAGGTGAAAGCTCTGCCCCTCTTTGTCCAGGGCCACGTATCCTAATGGATGAGCAAATACTACTCAGCTAGACCTTGTGCCTTCTGGGCTTGGCCAGGCCCAAAGGCTCCAACCACAGGTAGGAATGAATACGTGTTGGAGGCCAAGGACCAGGGTGCTGGGACACTCTGCCAACTGCCCACTGAAATCCCAGCCCTCTCAGGAAAACTCTAGTTTCTGTCCAAATGTTTGGCCAATGCACAGAATGGTCCCCAGCCTCTGGCCTTCCTTCCTACCTCTTTTTAAATGTAATTAATTTAACTTATTTAATTACATTAAAATAAAATGTCTTCCTTTCATTTCCTCTCCCTCATTCCTCTCTGTTCTTTTTTGAATTGTTCCAGTTCAACTACCAATTTGAGGTTGAATTCATTTTCACAGTGTCCCCATCAGGTGGTTGTAAAACTCTGGCTTATACTTATCCAGAGATGGGGAGCTCACATTCCACTCCCCGCTTCCAGGGAATCAGTTGTTTAGCAGTTTAAAATGTGTCTCTGCCTGGGTTCCACCCCTCAGGCCTGACTGCCACTGGCAAGTTCTCTGGGAGAACCTACCAGGTGTGGAGGTGTAATCTTCACCTCTGACCCTCTCTCCCTGGCTCCAAGGCTTTCCATTCAATGCAACTTTTTTGAGCCTTTCCTGTATGCTTCATGTGCTGTGCTAGCTTCAATCTCTCCAGTGTGTCTTGCTGTAAAACTTATTTGGATACTACATGGGAATGGAGTCTAACGGCTTGAGGAGTGTGTGTGTGTGTGTGTGTGTGTGTGTGTGTGTGTGTGTGTGTGTGTGTCTTGAGAGACCTGGAAAATGGTCGGAGAATGCAATATGACAGCAGTAGCCTCAGAACTCAGAGCAATTTATCAGGAGCAGTAATTCTCTGAGTTACAGAAACCAGATGGCCAGGATGTGGCCTTGAATCAGATCAGAAACCTGTCTAAAGAAAGGTTATTTGAAAGGAGTGCCTCCTCCCCCTAAATGTTTCCTAAAGATCAGCTGAAATGAGAACCATCTTGAAGATCATTAAAGTCCATTAATATAAAAGAACAAAGGAAGGCAGGGCTTCTTTGAGAAAGAAGCAGCTGGGGTAGGGTCCTCTGGTCCCAGATCTTGTGTCTGGAATGCAGCCCTCCACCCATGACATCAAAATAACAACCACAACTAAAGCTAACATCTCCAAAGATTCGTTGTCAGTACATATATGGCCTGTGACTTCCTGGTAGACATCTCAGTTTTTCCTCCTTGATCTCAGGGAAATGCATTTTGGTAGGTAGAGGGAAAGGAGTGGCATCTTGCTATGACTACCCTGCCCCACATTTGTTAACAGAGCCCCAGTTATGAGACATTCCATAGGGAAAAAGGGACCTGCTCTCTGCACAACAGGAGGTGTCGCCTGCAAAGAAAGGACCATGACTATGTAAGCACAGAGCAAGGGAAACTGGGGGATCTCCTTTCTCTGCAGAAATCCAAGCCTGTATTCTGCAGAAAGCCAAGCCCTAGTACCAGGACATAAGAAAGGCCCCTTGTTGAGGCTATAAATTGCCAAGTCTGACCTAACAAATACCTTTACCTTATACATTTCCAACATAAAGGTATAGATAAGAGAAATCCTGCTGGGCAGTTCGGAGGAAGCAAGTGGAGCCATTTCAGTTGTAATGTGTCAATTCATTGATTACATTTGAAATGTAGCCACCCACACCTATCTGTTCAATGATAAGATTTTGCCTTAGGACTCAATAGAGAATAACATTATATTGAAAATGAAAGATCTGCTGTGACTGGCATATAGAAGAGATTAAATTTTAAAATGTTTTGCAATATTCGCATTTTGTTCAAAATATGACCAGTGTTCCTAATGAGACTTGATATGGATTTTTTAAAAAGCCATCCAAAGGCCCCATGATGGGCACAAAAACAAAACCAACTTGTTGGGTTAAATTAGTTGGAAAGACTTTGTATCATTCCATTGTTGAATAAGTAATTTATGGGATTTAAAGACAGGACGATTTTGAAAATTGTGCTAATTGTGTGTGCTTTGTTTGAACATGTGAATGTAAGTTTAATAATTAAGTTTAAGTCCACATAGAACAAGGAGAGAAAAAGTGTTTGTATTTTTATCAACTGTTTACTGCTTACATGTATTCCCTTGTGTATTAGGAGTTAATTTGGTTTTGGCAAATTAAATGCATTTTCTCCCAGCAACATTCTCAAACTGTTTCTTAAATTGAATCTAAAAGCCATTCAAGGCATCCAGCCATTTGAGAGAAAAATTTCTATGATTATATAAATTACCGAGGAACTTCGTAAGAATTGATCATTGTCGAAATGGGGAGAGAATAGGAATGGAGAATTAATTATCAAATGCGTCTTAATAATAGAGGCTTGTCACACATCTAGACTAAGAATGCTAATAGTCACCACCTAATATTAGTATAAATACTAATAATACCAATAGTGGCTAACATTTATTGAACTCTTACTATATTTCAGGCACATACTATGGATCTTACAAGCATTATTTTGTCATTCCTTATAGTGATCCTGTGAGGTAATATTATTATTCTAATTTACAGGCAAAGAAACCAAAGAGCACAGAGGGTTAGTAGTTTGTTGAAGATCACACAGCTGGCAATTTGCAGGGTTGAAGTTTGTCCTTTTGTTATCTGACTCCAATGCCAGAGATCTTAGTCACCAAGCCAAACCTCCTCCTGAAGCCTCTACAAACCAGTGAAGTATAGAATAACATATTTTCTATATGGTTAAATTTGCGGCTAATTACAGAGTTTGTCTAGAAAAAGGATTTCTCTTGCTGTTTCTCTTATTTCTCAAAATAGCATTTTTTTTTTTCCTGATTATAAAAGTAGTGCAGGCCAGGCGCAGTGGCTCATGCCTATAATCCCAGCACTTTGGCAGGCCAAGGTGGGCAGGTCACTTGTGATCAGGAGTTTGAGACCAGCTTGGCCAACATGGTGGTCTCAAACTACTATTTCATGTCTCTACTAAAAATACGAAGAAATTAGGCAGGTGTTGTGGTGTGCGCCTGTAATCCCAGCTACTCTGGAGGTTGAGGCAGGAGAATTGCTTGAACCCGGGAGTTGGAGGTTGCAGTAAGCGGAGATCAGGTCACTGCATTCCAACCTGGGCAACAGAACAAGACTCTGTCTCAAAAAACAAAAAAAAGAAAAAAGAAAAAGAAAAAAAGAAAAGAAAGAAAGAAAGAAAAGAAACAAATATAAAAATAAAAGTAATGCATGCTTCAACTAGAATTGTCTTTGGTTGCCATTGGGAATGTAAATGGGCATAGCCACTTTGGAGAAATATTTGGCAATCTAGAAACATTAAAGATACACATACGTCTGACTCAGTAATCTCACTCTTGGGTATATACTCAATAGAAATGAATGTTTACATCCATCAAAAGACAGAAGAGTCCTTTGGTGGATGCAAGTGCAACGATGTTCATAGCAGTTTTATTTGTAATAGCCCCAAATTGGAAACAACCTAAATATCCAACAGTAGAATGGAGGAAGTAACCTGTAGTATATTCATACCCTGGAATACCACAGAGCAATGAAGAACAAACTGCAGCTACACACAACATGGATGTCATCACAGTGAGTGAAAGAAGAAAGACACAAAAGATTATGGAATGAGTGATTTAATTTAAAGGAAGTTCACATACAGGCAAGACTAATTTTTGGTGGAAAAAGTTGGAAGGTACTAACCGGGATTAGGAGAAGGCTCAAGGGAGACTTCTGAGATTCTAGAAATGTTCTATACCTTGATCTGGATGGTGGCTACATGGGTGTATGCATATGTAGAAATCCATGGGCTACACACTTGAGTTGTATACTTTATTGAATTTGTTATACCTCAATTTGTGTGTGTGTGTGTGTGAGTATGTGTGTGATGGAGTTTCACTCTTGTCGCCCAGGCTGGAGTGCAATGGCGTGACTTCGGCTCACTGCAACCTCCAGCTCCCTGGTTCAAGTGATTCTCCTGCCTCAGCCTCCTGAGTAGCTGGGATTACAGGCACCTGCCACCACACCCAGCTAATTTTTGTATGTTTAGTAGAGATGGGCTTTCGCCATGTTAGCCAGGCTGGTCTCAAACTCCTGACCTCAGGTGATCTGCCTGCCTCGGCCTACCAAAGTGCTGAGATTACAGGCATGAGCCACGGTGCCCAGCCCTTATTATACCTCAATTTTTAAAAATGGAAAAATAACCCTTGGAAATCAGGCACCAAAGTAATACGTGCTCCTTATTGAATAGCACTGTCCGATACTAGCCACTAGCCACATGTGGTTATTTACATTTTAATTTTAATTAAGGTGAAATAAATTTTAAAACTTGTTCCTCAATCCCACTAGCCACATTTTAAGTACTAGGCACATTGCTAACAGCAATTGTTTATTTGGACAGCAGAGCTATAGAAAATTTCCATCCTAATGGAAAGTTCTATTGCTAGTGTTGTTATAGGAAATTGAAAAATATAGAAGTGTATTAAAAAAACAATTTATTATTTATAATTCCCTCATCCAAAAAATAATGTATTAACATTTTATGTTAACTTCTAATTTCTTTCTAAAATAAATTTTATTAAATTACAAGAGTAACATATGAATGCATTCTTGTCCTAAGATAATTAAATATTGATAAACTGAAACTCTCTTTGACCATTGCCTGCAATCCTAGAGCTCTCCCCAGTGGTAACCACTCTTACTAGCGTACTATGTACCTTTTTATTTTTTTTGAGATGGAATTTCGCTCTCTCGCCCAGGCTGGAGTGCAATGGCGCTATCTTGGCCCACTGCAATCTCTGCCTCCTGGGTTCAAGCAATCCTCCTGCCTCAGCCTCCTGAGTAGCTGGGATTACAGGCATGTGCCACCAAGCCCAGCTAATTTTTTTGTATTTTTAGTAGAGACGGATTTTCTCCATGTTGATCAGCTGGTCTCGAACTCCCAACCTCAGATGATGCGCTCGCCTCGGCCTCCCAAAGTGCTGGGGTTACAGATGTGAGCCACCACGCCCTGCCTGGTACCATGTATCTTTTCAGACCATTTTCGCAGGTACTTATAAACATGATGTCTGTGTATGGAAATACACAGCAGAGCCATTAACATCACCCTGACTCAAGGAGCTTCCACCTGGTTCAGTTCAGTCTCCCGAAGTGCACAGGAAGGGTGTTATCCCCATCATCCACATCCCACCCAGTGTCTAGGGCTCTCTTCCTATTCATCTCGAGCTGCTGTGGTCCTGGGATATTGTGAGAGGGGACGTCACATGGGGCAAGTCAGATGGTCACTAGGTACAGTCACACTGCAGAACTGGCAATGCCACTCCTGTTGGGTGTTCCTAGGGCAAGGTGTAACTGTAAATCCAGGGGAGCCATCACTCCACACTGTCTGTATGAAGAGCTAGCCTGTGGTGCAGCTCTCTAGCCTGAAGGTGGTGCTTCCTAAGGTAGAGTCTAGGAGGTCTGCAGGCATGACTCAGCTCCCTCTGGGTCCTCTCGCAGAGGTCCTTTGCTGCTTTCATGAATGCCACACTGGAGCATGGAACCCTTTTGTGAAGCTGCCCCAGATCCCCTTGGTACCAACATCATCATTTTCTCTCTGGTATAAGGCACAGGCTCCGTCTGACTCAGACCAATGCACCTCTCAGTGTTTACCTTTTGAGTTCAATTCTGAATTCACGAATTTTTAAACTTTCTTCATTTTAATGTATGCATTTACAGCTATTAATGTCCTCCTAAGTACTGTTTTAACAGTATTCCCCAAGTTTTAATAGGTAGTGTTTACATTGCCATTTAGTTTTAAATATTTTATTTCTGTGAGATTTGTTCCTTGACTCATGAATTATTTAGACATGGGCTGTTACATTTTCAAATGTATGTGTTTTTTTTTCTGACACTTTTGTTTTTGATACCACTTGCATTACCTCGTTGTCAGAATACAGACTGGGTGATGCTGATTATTTGGTAATTATTAAAACTTGCTTGGAGGAATAGGATGTAGTCAATTTTTTGCAAATGTTTATATAAGTTTGAAAAGAATATTTATTCTTGAATTATTGGGTTATGATTTTTATATTTTAATTAGATCAGGCTTGTTAATATTATTGATTACATATTCTCTATTTCCTCACTTAATTTTTTGTTTGCTTGTTTTATTAATTTCTGAGAGAGGCATGTTAAAAATCTCTTATGATTTTAGACTTGTCAATTATTTCTTGTAATTCTGCTCATATTGCATTGTATATTTTTGAGGCCATGTCATAAGGTGTATACCTTTTTGGTTAAATTTTTGTTGAAGTCTAACACACGTTCAGGAAAGTACTTTCATAAAGAGAAAATACCTCTTATGACCAGTACCCATATCAAGAAAAGAAAATTACCAGCACTCCTGCAGCATCTTCATGCTCCCTCGGAGTCACTCCTCCATCCCCACTCTCCTGACTTCTAATATCATAGATTAGTTTTGCCTGTATTGAAACCTCATATATTCCAGGAGTCTTCAAAATGTACACGAAAAATGCATATTATGAAAAAACTAACCATGATTTCAAAATGTTTTCACTAACTTGTACTAACTTGTTATAACATGTCTGAACAGGATCTAGTTTGAGGCTCTAAGAAGGATAAGATATGAGTTTGAAAAGAACCTCCATTACAGCAACATGAGTTCTGCTAAAATCAAAGCAAGAATGAAAATCAAATTTATGGTGAAGCTTGGGTGGAAGAATTATGAAATCATTGATACCTTAGGAAAAGCTTATGGAGACAATGCCCCAAAGAAATCAGCAGTTTACAAATGGATAACTTTTCTTAAGAAGGAATAAGAATATATTGAGGATGAAGCCCACAGCAGCAGACCATCCATGTCAATTTTTGAAGAAAAAAATCTTTTTTTTTTTTTTTTTTTTTTTTTTGAGACATGGTCTCACTCCTGTTGTCCAGGCTGGAGTGCAATGATGTGATCTCAGCTCACTGCTCCCTTGACTTCCCAAGCTCAGGTGATCCTCCCATCTCAGCCTCCAAGCAAGTAGCTGGGACTGCAGGTGCGTGCCACCACGCCTGGCGAATTTTTTGTATTTTTAGTAGAGGTAGGATTTCACCATGTTGCCCAGGCTGGTCTCAACTTCCTGGGCTCAAGCGATCCATCTGCATCAGCCTCCCAATATGCTAGGATTACAGGCATGAGTCACTGTGCTGGCCAAAAATTAATCTTGTTTGTTCCCTAATTGAAGAGGACTGACAATAGCACAAAAAATATCCAATGCCGTAGACATGTCAGTTGGTTCAGCTTATACACTTCTTACTGAAAAATTAAAGTTGAGCAAACTTTCCACTCACTGGGTGCTGAAACCATTGCTCCTAGATCAGCTACAGACAAAAGCAGAGCTTTCAATGGAAATTTTAAACAAGTGGGATTAAGATCCCTGTTGCATTCTTCAAAGAATTGCAACAGGAGATGAAACATGGCTTTACCAGTACCATCCTGAAGACAAAGCACAATCAAAGCAATGGCTACCAAGATGTGGAAGTGGTCCAGACAATGACAACAGATGTTTGGGATGCTCAAGGCATTTTGCTTGTTGACTTTCTGGAGGGCCAAAGAATAATAACATCTGCTTATTATGAGAGTGTTTTGAGAAAGTTGGTCAAAGCTTTGGCAGAAAAATGCCCAGGAAAGCCTCACCAGAGAGTCCTTCTCCACCACAATGCTCCTGCTCATTCCCCTCATCAAAGTGGGCAATTTGCAAGAGTTTCAATGGGAAATCATTAGCCATCCACCTTACAGTTCTGATTTGGCTCCTTTTGACTTCTTTTTGTTTCCTAACCTTAAGAAAAATATTTTAAAACACCCATTTTTCTTTAGTTAACAATATTTAAAAGATGGCATCGACATGGTTAAATTCCCAGGACCCTCTGTTCTTTAGAGGTGGACTAAATAGCTGGTATCATCAGTTACAAAAGTGTCTAGAACTTCGTGGTGCTTATGTTGAGACATAGAGTTTATATTTCTTATTTTTATCTTTTAATTCCATTTTTCCACAAATGGTTTGAAGTCTTGTCATATGCTCAGCTTTGGTAGATACTGCCAAACAGTTTTTCAACATGTACCAATTTACACTTGCACCAGCCGTGAGAGTCCTCATCAAACTCAGTATTATCTGTTTTTGGTTTTAGACATTCTGTTGGGTGTGTAGTGGTATTGCATTGTGTTTTTAATTGGCATTACCCTGACAATTAATTAAGTTGAATACTGTTGTTTCCTGTCCATTTGAAAATCCTCTTATGTAAACTGTCTTTCTCTCTTTTTCATTGGGTTGTCTTTTTCTTATTGATTTGTAGAAATTCTTCATATATTCTGGGTATGAGCTTTCTGTACAGAATGTCTTCCCTCTCTCTTCAGCTTCTCTTTTCACACTTTTTGTAGTGTCTTTTTATGAAGAGCTGTTTTTAGTTATAATGTGCTCCAATTTATCAATTTTTTCTTTATGGTTAGAACTCTTTAGGACCATATTTAAGAAATCTTTGCCCACCCTAAGATGATGAAAATATTCTCCTATGATTTCTTGTGAAAAACATTATGATTTTACCTTTTTTATTTCCATCTACAATGCATGTGGAAGTTACTTTTGTATAAGGAGTGAGGTGGGGCCAAGATTCATTTTTTTCCCATGTGAATATCCAGTTGACCTAACACCTTTTATTGAAAAGATTATCTTTTCCCCCACTGTAAGTAAGGCCTTAGCACCTTTGTCATCAGTGAGGTGACCATATATGTATGCATTGTTTTTCCCCTTGCAGTCCGGACTCGGCTTCTGTCATCACATCTCTTTGTCTGACTCTCTTTGCTGTGTCTCTCTTCCACTTTTAAGGATCCTAGTGATCACATTGAGTCCACCCAGATAAGCCAGGATAATTTCCCCATTTTAAAGCCAGCTGAATCACAACTTTAATTCTGTCTGAAGCCTGAATTCTCTTTTGCCATGTAACCTAACATATTCTCAGGTTTGGGGGATTTTTTTACCATTGATTTTTGAGAGTTCTTTATGTATTCTAGATACTAGAGAGTTCTTTATATATTCTTCTTTTCTTTTTTTTTCACTCTTGTTGCCCAGGCTGGAGTGCAATGGCATGATCTCAGCTCACTGCAACCTCCACCTCCCAGGTTCAAGGAATTCTGCCTCAGCCTCCCGAGTAGCTGGGATTACAGGTGCACGCCACCACGCCTGCCTAATTTTGTATTTTTAGTAGAGTTGGGGTTTCACCATATTGGTCGGGCTGATCTCAAACTTCTGACCTCAGGTGATCTGCCCGCTTCAGCCCCTACAGAGTGCTGGATTACAGGCATGAGTCACTGTGCCTGGCCAAGAGTTCTTTATACATTCTAGATACTAGTCCTTTGCTGGATATGTGATTTGCAAATGTTTTCTTCTATTCTGTAGCCTGTATTTTCATCCTCATCAGGGTCTTTCACAGAGGAAGACTTTTAAAAACTTTTTGATGAGGTCAAATTTATCAAGTTTTCCTTTTATGGATCATACATTTGATGTCGTCTAAGAACTCTTTGCCTAGTCCTAGATCCTGAAGATTTTCCCCTATGTTTTTGTCTGAAAACATAGTTATATGTTTTATAGTTGCACATATATAGTTTTATAGTTGCAAGTTATACTTTTTCAGTTAATTTTTGTATAAGGTGTGAGGTTTAGATGAACCCATTGTCTGTAGATGTCCAATGTTTCCAGCACCATTTGTTAAGACTATCCTTCCTTTGTTGAATTGCTATTGCACCTTTGTTAAAAAATCAGTTGGGCATGCTTGGGTGGGTCTATTTCTGGGTTTTCTATTCAATTCCATTGATTTTTGTATCTGTGCCTCCACCAATAACACACTGTGTTGATTATTGTAACCACATAGTAGGACTTAATATCAGGTAGAGTCGTTCCGCCTACTTTTTTTTTTTTTTTTTTGTAAGATTGTTTTAGTTATTCTAGGGGCTATGTCTTTCCATATAAATTTTAGAATAAGCAAATCTATGTTTACAAAAGAAAGACAAAGACATTGCATTAAACCCATAAACATTTTTACAATGTTGAACCTTTTAATCTGTGAGCACATGATATTGTCTCTCTACTTCTTTAGGTTGTCTTTGACTTTTTTAATCAGCATTTTGTAATTTTTAGCTTGCAGATCCTGTATGAATTTTATTATGTTTGGCCGGGCGCGGTGACTCACACCTGTAATCCCAGCACTTTGGGAGGCCGAGGCGGGCGGATCACGAGGTCAGGAGATCGAGACCATCCTGGCTAACATGGTGAAACCCCATCTCTACTAAAAATACAAAAAAAAAAAAAATAGCCGGGCGTGGTGGCGGGTGCCTTTAGTCGTAGCTACTCAGGAGGCTGAGGCAGGAGAATGGCATGAACCCGGGAGGCAGAGCTCGCAGTGAGCCGAGATTGCAACACTGCACTCCAGCCTGGGAGACAGAGCGACACTCTGTCTCAAAAAAAAAAAAAATTGTTATGTCCCAATTTCTTTGGGGGTGTTCATTATTAGTATATAAAAAGTGATGATTTTTGTGTTGATCTTTTTTTTTTTTTTTTTTTTTTTTTTTTTTGAAACGGAGTCTCGCTCTTTCGCCCAGGCTGGACTGCAGTGGCGCTGTCTTGGCTCACTGCAAGCTCCGCCTCCCGGGTTCAGGCCATTCTCCTGCCTCAGCCTCCCTAGTAGCTGGGACTACAGGCGCGCGCTACCACACCCGGCTAATTTTTTTTTTTGTATTTTTAGTAGAGACGGGGTTTCACCGTGTTAGCCAGGATGGTCTCGACCGCCTGACCTCGTGATCCACCCGCCTCGGCCTCCCAAAGTGCTGGGATTACAGGCGTGAGCCACTGCGCCTGGCCTTGTGTTGATCTTATATCTGCAACCTTGCTGAACTAACTATTGGTTTTAAGAATTTTTAGTATTTTCCTTGGGATTCTCTAGGTGAATTATTTTATTTTATTTTATTTTATTTTATTTTATTTTATTTTATTTTATTTTATTTGTTTTATTTTATTAGACACAGGGTCTCACTACGTTGAGACCAGGCTGGTCTCGAACTCCTGGGCTCAAGTTATCCTCCCACTTTTGCCTCCCAAAGTGCTGGGATTACAAGTGAGAGGCACCACACCAAGCAAGATGTTTTAAATGTTATTTTTATAACCAATCCTTATTTTTATTTATTCACATGATCATGTCTTCATTATCACTCCTAATGTTGTTTTTTATGTCTCCTCTCTTTTTTTCTGTTAAGATTCCCAAGCTGTGGTCTTTTCACAAAACACCTAGCTTTTATTTTTATTAATCAACTCTACATCTTTTTCTGTCTAGTTCATTAAATTTTTTTTTTTTTTTTTGAGACTAGTCTTGCTTGGTCACCCAGGCAGGAGTGCAGTGGCGCAATCATAGCTCACTGCAACCTCCACCTTCCAGGTTCAAGCGATTCTCCTGCCTCATTCGGCCTCCCAAGTACCTAGGATTACAGGTGTGCACCTCTACATCCAGCTAATTTTTGTATTTTTAGTAGAGTTGGGGTTTCACCCTGTTGGCCAGGCTGGTCTTGAACTCCTGACCTCAATTGATCCAATCGCCTCAGCCTCCCAAAGTGCTGAGATTATGGGTGTGAGCCACTGCATCCATCCTAGTTCATTAATCTCTGATTTTTATCTTTACCAGTATTTTTATTTCTACTTTCTTTGGATTTATTTATTTTTCTTTTTTCTAGCTTTTTGAGTTGAGACCTTAGTTAATTTTTTAAACATTTATTGCTTTTGGGTGAATCCATTGGTTATAGATCCCCTGCATATTGTTTTGGATGAATACTGCAAGTTTTACTATGTAATGTTTTAAGTGTTCTTGTAAAAGTTTGCATCTCAGTATGATGATGAAAAAGTTCTAGAGATGGATGGATGGATGATTAACTACAATATGAATGAATGTAATGCCACTGAACTGTACACTTAAAAGTGGTGAAAATGTTATGTTACGTATATTTTACCACAATGAAAAGTTTGTAATTCTTGTTTGAGTTATTTCTTTAACCCAATAATATTTATATACATATTTAAAACTTTTCAGGATCATTTTGTGGTTGCTGTTGCTGTTGCTCTTGTTTTATTTGACTATTCTTTTTTTTGTTTTGTTTTGTTTTTGTTGTTGTTGTTTTTGACGGAGTCTCGCTCTGTTGCTCAGGCTGGAGTGCAGTGGTGTGATTTTGGCTCACTGCAACCTCCGCCTCCTGGGTTCAAGCAATTCTCCTGCCTCAGCCTCCTAAGTAGCTGGGAGTACAGGAGCGTGCCACCTTGCCCAACTAATTTTTGTATTTCTAGTAGAGTCGGGGTTTCACTCTGTTGGCCAGGCTGATCTCGAACTCCTGACCTCATGATCCACCCGCCTCGGCCTCCCAAAGTGCTGGGATTACAGGCGTGAGCCACTGCACCTGGCCTATTCTTTTTTCAGCCCTAATTTTATTACATGTGACTTGTGAAGGTGTCATGTATGACTTCTGTTTTTTGAGTTTTATTGATTTCTTTTGTGAGCTAGTACATGTTTAATTTTTTTTTGAAAATTTTGTGTGTGCTTGAAGAGAATATGTATTTTCTTATTGGGTAAGATATTTTAGATTACTTTTAAGATCAAGTTCCTTAATTTTTATCAAACCATTCATATCCTTACTTATTTTCTATCTGACCTGTGGACTTCTGAGAGGTGTATTAGAAATCTCCTAATTTGATTTGAGATTTGTTTTCTCTTTATATTTCTGTCAAAGCTATATTAGTAGATGCATGAATGTTTGTGCCTATTATATCTTCTTGGTGAACTATCCTATGTTTTAATATGAGTAGCCTCCTTGTTCTTGTTCTTTTTATTGTGTTTTGCCTTGACTTTCTCTTTTTTCTTTTTTTTTTTGAGACAGGATCTCACTCTGTCACCCAGGCTGGAGTATAGTGGCATAATCTCAGCTCACTACAACCTCTGCCTCCCAGGCTCATTTGATCCTCCTGCCTCAACCTCTCAAGTAGTTAGAAGTACAGACATGCACCACCATGCCTGGCTAAATTTTGTTGCGGTTTTTGTAGAGATGAGGTTTCACCATGTTGTCCAGGCTGGTCTTGAACTCCCAGACTCAAGTGATCCTCCCGCCTCAGTCTCCCAAAGTGCTGGGATTACAGGCCTAAGCCACCACACCCGGTCCTGAATTTATTTTTCTAATATTAATATTCTCACTCCCACTTTCTTTTTAAAAATATATTCCTAATATATCTTTTTCTAGTGTTAGAATTCATTTTTAATTAATAATTCTCTAAGGTTTATAATGAGAAAACAGTCCCATACTTTATCTCTGATTCCAGTTCCTAGTGCTTTCCCTTCCACTTTGAACTTTTTCAGTTTTTTCTGCTGTTTCCTACCATATTAAAAAATAACATGCTTTCCTGTTATTTTTTCAATTTTATGTATCACCTATTGACTTCCTATGGAGGTTGAATAAATTCGTTCTTTCACAAAGACACAAACACACTCAACTTTCCTTTCATCCTTCCAATATGATTAAATTGCAACTTTTGCTGAAATGATTGTTCCAATGTTTACATTATAATAATTATGCAAACACAGTTCACAGCTGATCCATGTACTGAATTCTGTTTTTATTTCTTTTCTCATACAACCTTTCTTCTCCCGCGGTTGATAATTACCTTGTTTTTTGTTTTTTTGTTTTTTTATTTGTTATTTTCTTAGTTTCTATTACGATATCCTAAAATTTATTGCAGAAGTATAAATTTCCCCTCAATATGTTTTAAAAATTAGATATTTGATCAGTTTCTTTTTCTTTCTTGGAGACACTCCCAGAGCTCCCCATCCTTCTGCTCCCATCCTGGCTGCTGAAGGCCTGATGCACAGCTGTCATCCTGGGACTTCCGTGCACCATCATCCCTGTTTCCGGATCCTCTGTCTTCCTCTTCTTGGTTTATTCTCTCTTTTTGATGGAGCACATTCTCTAGAGAAGCAAGAGAGGATCTTGATCTTGTGAGGCCTAAAATTATGCAATTATACAGAATCACAAATGGAAAATTAGACATCAAAGAAATGTGGGAAAAGAAATCACAACAAACTGCAGTTTTTGAAAATGGTGACAATTACCACAAACCACAAAATCCAGGAAAGTAGTCGAACATTAAACTACATGACATTGCTTTATAATGATTTTCTCCTGAACTTTTAGTTGTATCTCTGAAGACCTTTGTATCAGTTGACCTTCAATCAAAAGCAGAAGCAGATCCTGCTAGAAGGATATGTTTCTCTCTCTCTCTCTCTCTCTCTCTCTCTCTCTCCCTCTCTTTAAATGGATTTGCTGTAGGGCTTCAACATTACACAATTGTGGAAGCTGACTAAGCATGCTTTGTAAGGCTGTTACCTTGCATCTGATGCTGGAGTTTGAAGTCTGCAGGGCAGGCAGGGTGGAAAGGAAGAGGGAAATAAAACTCCAGGGAGAGCAAGAACAAGCTAGAGTCCAAGAACATGAGGTGGAACCTATAAGGACAGAGCAGAACTGTCTCCAACCTTGATGATGTGGGTGTCTTGTGGGAGAAGCTGGTGCCCTGCCTCGCAGAGCTTAACACACACCTGGGCCAGGAGTCAGAGCAACTGAAAGAGGATCAGGAGAAGTTGGAGGAGGTACAAGCCCAGCTGCTGCCCCATGCCCAAGAGGTCAGCCAGCAGGTAAGCAACCAAATGGCTGCTGCCTGTCTTCCACCCTCTAAATCACCTTCAAAAATGTCTCTGTGGCTGGGCGCGGTGGCTCACGCTTGTAATCCCAGCACCTTGGGAGGCCGAGGAGGGCGGATTGCTTGAGGTCAGGAGTTTGAGACCAGCCTGGCCAACATGGCAAAACCCCGTCTCTGCTAAAAATACGAAAATCAGCCAGGCATGGTGATGCACACCTGTAGTCCCAGCTACTCAGGAGGCTGAGGCACGAGAATTGCTCGAACCTGGGAGGCGGAGGTTGCAGTGAGCCAAGATCAAGCCCTGCACTCGAGCCTGAGCCACAAGATGGGACTCCATCCCCAAAAAAAAAAAAAAAAAAAAAAAAAAGAAATATCGTGTGGCCACCCTACTTGGAAACATTCCAGAAAGGCAATTCTGAAAAAAACAGTTCAGCCTAGCCAAGTTAACATAGTACAAAGCCACTGTGCTTCTTCTTAATGGTAATGGTTTGTAATAATTTCCAGAAAGAAAAATAAAAAGACAATTCAGTATTTTCTTCAGTATGTTTGATCAAAATTTGTTTTTTATTATTGGTGATCTTGAAGTTATAATACTATTGCAGTTTTGTGTCCCACAGACATAGGGATTCTGATAAATTCGATTTCATGTGATTCTCACTCAAAAATAAAAAAAAAAAGTGCCCTGACAATTAATAGTTTTGCTGGACGTAGAATTCTAGGTTTGAAACTATTTTCCCTTAGAATGTTGAAGGTGTTGGTCTATTTTGCAATGTTGAATACATTATTGACAGGAGAGACTGCTGGCTTTGACTAAACGTTAATGAGAACTGAGTACTCTCCTCGCAAATTTCTATATCTAATGGGAAGGGTTTTCCCTAGCCAAGCTTTTTGGCTCTGTACATCTCAAAATTTGTTTTTTCTCTACTACCCAGCTGCTTCATTGCCAAATGCCTTAGAACAAGTTCATTTTTGTTTTGTTTTGTTTTTGAGACAAGGTCTTGCTCTGTTGTCCTGGCTGGAGTACAGTGACATGAACACAGCTGACTACAGCCTCGACCTCCCAGTCTCAAGCAATCCTCCTGCCTCAGCCTTCCAAGTAGCTAGGACTACAGGTGCACGCCACCACACCTACCTAATTTTTGTATTTTTTGTAGAGATGAGGTCTTACTATGTTGTTCAAGCTGGTTTCTTAACGCCTGGCCTCAAGTGATCCTCCCACCTTGGCCTCCCAAAGTGCTGGGATTATAGATGTGAGCCACCATGCCAGCCCAAGTTCATATTGTGATACATTTGACCCTGACCTTTCATGTCACAATGCCTGTGAGTCAGCCCAGTGGACAGCAAGAGTATTCCTAAATGGTCATTTTTACAATAGGACAACTACCACATGGAAGAGAACTGAGGCGCCCCAGTCAAGACAATTACTGACCCCCAGACATGCACGGGGGACATCCTGGAGTCTCCAGCTCTGGCTGAGCTGTCAGCTGACAGCAACCACATGAGTGCTCCCAACAAGATCAGCAGAAGAACCACACAGATACCAGCCTACAGGACTATGAAAAATGATCAATCATCTTCATCTTAAACCATTAAGTTTTAGAGTGGTTTGTCATGTAGCAATAGATAACTGAACACTTGTAAATCATCTAACTGGATTTTCAAAAACCCAATTTGAATGTCTTTCCTTTAATTTATAACAACTTATTCATAATTTCTTATACTTAATGATATGTTTGGGTTGATTCCTGACACTTTGAGTTTTCTATCGGCCATGCTTTTTTGCCTCCCACCCCCATTTGTGCCCTTTGTTAGATAGGTCAGGTTTTATTTATGGTATTTTTCTTCTTACAGTCAGGAAGTTATAAATCCTATTTCCATTCTTCGGGCTTTTCTATTCAAGAAACAAAGGAATATATCTGTTTCTTCATCTTTCTTTGGCGATTGGGTGTGCTTCGGGTTTAATTAGGTTGAATTTTACCCATCAGAAGGAAGCTACTGTTCGTGGCCTAGAAAACGATAAAGTATAGAGTAAGGCAATCAAAATCACCACAGGAAAGGAGCCCTGTGGGTCTGTCTGTGTGTGGATGTGTGAGCGGATGGTTATTAGAAAATGGTTGAGGAATGCAGCTCATCAGCTGAGGCTCGGTGCTCATCAGCCACCCATCTGACACTCATCAAAAGCATCGGTTGCTGGAGATTGACCAGGTGTCCGCAGCGGCCTGTTTCTTACCGTCTGCTTTGGCTTGGCCAAGGTTTAGGCAGCTTCTCTCTTTCCTCCAGGCTTCTGAGGTCTGCTTTCCTCCAAGCCTGAGCAAGCATAACAGAAAGTGGATTGTGACCCCTTATCAGCTCCTCCTGGGAATCGGCTGACCCTGTCTTTCCTAGGCACACTCCCGCCAGACCCCACCCCTTGTGTGGCCAGCTTCCCTTCCAAACGTTTGCTTACCTCTGCTTGTCCTCTCTTTACCCTGTGAAAGAAAAAGTTATTTCTGTTTGATTTTGAGACACTCACAGATTTCTGAGATGGGAGAGTTCTCCATATTGCAATCGTCTTTCTAATTAAAGCCTCTCCCTCCCTCTCTAATTCTGGATTTGTTTTTATTTGACAAAATATAGTCACCATTTTCTGGGGATGAAAACTTAGTCAATATCAGAAACCTGACTGCAGTCAGGAATAGAGCTCATTCACCTTTCTTCCCTAGAACTTAGACTGTGCTTGAGGCATAGTGGGTACTTCTTTATGTGTTTTATGAATGAATGAATGAATGAACGAACAGATGCTGAACTCAGGAGACAGAGAAGGAAGCTGGGAGAGCTGGTGTCTGGCCTCTGCTTGCTCCAGGAGCTATGTTCTCCCTGTTCACAGCTATAGCTGCCAGGGATTCTGGAAACACATCCTGCTGCCATGGAAATGAATGCAGTCACAGAGTGGGAACAGTTAAGTTACTTTTCTGAGAGAGTTACATCATTTAGAAGCAGATCTCTAAAAGTCCTTGCTCCTGCAGGAGTTGGTGACTGAGTGGCAGTAATTGTGTTCACATGGTTAACTATGACAGTGTCACATGAAGCTCAAATAATGGGTTGGAAACGCACAAATGATTGCTAGTTGCTTGAGCTCTCTGCTAGCCCTTGCCTTGCTCTCTCCATATTTACTTTCTCCAGCTTGCAACTGGATATACAGACGTGTCTCTGCAGCAGCCTGGCCCACCCTATTGACTGAGGCAGGAAGTTGATCTGCGGGTTGCAGCTGCTCTTGAGGAAGCTGAGTCTACTAAAATCTGTTCACCCTTTCCCTGACACTGCTGCTGAGGCCGGTCCCCATCCCCGGCAGCTTCGCTGGGCCTTGTTTATCTTTTCATCACTCTTGACTGGCTCTGGCCTATTTCTGGATCTCATGTCTGTCCTCTGACAAACCCTGCCTCTCTGCCAGCTTTCTGGAATCTGTCAATCTGAGAGGCATGGGAAAACGACATTGCCCAACAGAACCAGCATCTCAATGTGGCAAAAATAGACTCATCCAAAGCAATCTGGGCATACACTAATGTCCCCAGCACTGAACATCCCCAATCACTGGTTTCCCCCATCTGATTAATTTTTTCCCCATAGAGAGGTTTTGCAAACATTTATGCATCTTTAAGCATTTTAGTGATCTGATTTTCTTAATTTTGATGGATTTTTCTTTTTTTCTTTACCTAAAAATATCATTTGAATCCATTTTCAGCTGATTATTCCTTTTTTTCTGTTTGTAATAGCAACGAGCTAGAAACAAGGTAATTATCCAACAATAAAAGACATTTTCCCTCCACTTTGTGTGCTCTTTGATGCTCATGCTGCAGGCCGAGGGTCACTTATATCCTCCCACTGGCCTTATTGCTGGCTAACCCGTGACCCGGTAGCCTAGCCCTCTGTCTTTCCTGGGAATCTCTTCCAACCAGCTGACCTCTGCCTGGTCCTTCTTAGTTTGACAGAGCACCTGTTTGTTCCTAGGGTGCCGAATGGAGCACTGTCCTTCTCCTGGATAACTGATGACAAAGATGCATCCAACCTGCACACGCAACATGCTCCCTCTTCCATGAATGCCGGTTGCACCCGATGATCTGCGCCTGCTCACTCTACCTGCCTCCCTGCCCAGGGCAGAGAACTGAGGATGTTATGTTAGTGAAATCCTCAGATCACTCACAGCGCAGAACACTCCCCAACTTCTCTCCATCATGTGTCAGGCCCAGAAGCAGTTACAATCATTACAACATCACCTCCCACCTTTCCATCTACACGGTTGAACAGCTGTGCATTAGTCTAGAAAAGTCACCCTGAAAACTGGCTCTAGTTTGGGGAGGTGACATGCTCTTGCTTTGTCCCCAGAGATGTTCTTCTGTTGTCCTTGCAGTGCAGGGAGTACCTCCTGGGCTGTGTGCAGCAGCCCTGCCTGAGGTAGGGGAGTGCTGTTCACTAATATAGATCTGAATCTCACCAGTCTAGGAGGGGACAGGTACTTCTAAGTCAATCAATCAATCAATCAATCATCAGTCAATCAATCTTTCAAGTTTTCTCATCTTCCAAAAAGACACTAATGCCCAGTTGAAAGTGGTAGCCACTCAATTCACCTGGGCTTATCACACAAACAAACTCTCGTTATCATATTTTTTCCTTGATGCTGTATGAAACTGAGTGAAGTCACATTTCCTGATTCAGAAGTTGCAACTGAAATGGCCCAAGTGGGAACAAAAGGGGAAATTTTGATAACAGATGGGTTGACCCTTTATGGTATAGAGCTGATTCTGAGAACTACTCCAACAAGCATGCATTCTAAACTCTATCAAGCAATGTGTGGAATCACGGCAACAAAAACATGTTCTCCCTAGCTCTTAAGTATTTTTTATTTGGAAAATGGAGTTTCAAGTTGTTTTCCTGACTTCTATGAAGATTGTGATGAAATTGCAGAATATATAAAACAAAAGATTGTTGATATTGTGTTCAAATGCAAACTAGACTGCTCATCTATCTGCATATTTGGCAAATGGTGCAAATGTAAATATTGGAAAATTCCATTCAGTCTATAAACTTACCAAAGGAAATTTTAAAAATTTCCTGCTAAACGTCCTGACCCCTCTGTACCTTTTACATAACACTGCTAAAAAGAGGTATGATTTGCCTACTGTGACATTGACAGTTTCATAATGACATTTTTGGTTAGTTTTCAGTTTCCTCAAAGCATGCAGAGGCGCTTTATGAGATTTTTGATTTTTATGGGCGTGGTAGGAGATAGCCTTCTTAGACATGCCTACAAGATGTCTTGCAGAAAAGATGTTAGCATGTTGGCCTACTATAAAATCATATTTTCAAAGTGTAGGATGAGAAGAATGTCCTTCACTACTTTGGAAATACATTGAGGATGAGAACAGAGAAAAGGATTACTGTAAAATGGAAATTTATATGCCGTTTCTCCAAGACTGTTTCATAATCTTTAAAAAAGCTACAGAAAAGGATGAACTAAGTGCATCTAACTCGTTCCATTTAGGTGTAGGTTGTGACAAAAACTCATCTAGTGAACAAATGACTCATTTCTTGGAAATAAGACTGCTTTGAAACTTAAAAAATTATCACTAGGAAAGGACAGCCAAGTTAAACAGGATTTTCTCAATTTCTTTACTAAAACTGTAACTTATTTGGAATCCAGCTTCAATTTCACAAGTTCAAAGTACCTCCCTGCTTTGAAACCATTTTTTCCAGAGAAAAGAGGCTTACCTTATGATGACATCCAATGTGCTTTGAAGTGTTTTAGAATGACAGACATTTTAGACATCGATAGCCTGTGTGATTAATTTATTGAAGCAAAAGAACTGATTGACGAACAGCTGGCCTACCAAAACAAGCCCATAGATACAGGGGATGGACATTTATGGAGAGGTGGAAATTAACTCCTACAAGTCTAAAAACCTGCTGTTGCTAGTAAATAAAAGCCTAGGTACTCCATGCCCTCACACAGTATTGTTGAGAAGCTATTTAGCATTGTGTTATCACATCAGACTGACACTAGAAATCAGTGTAATGTGGGCTTGAGAAGAGCAGAGCCGCAGGCCAAAGTGAATGTTATACTTATCTCCATTCAGTTTTATCATTGCATAAAAGAAAGGATGGGTGTCATAAATGCCACAGGCAATTCAGAGAACTATTATTAAGACAGGAAGCTGAAAGAATAAAAGGCATCTTACTGTAGCATGGGACAGAAGGAAACTGACATTAAGGCATCTTACTTTAGCATGGGACAGGAGGAAACTGACATTTTTAAAAAATCAAATATATGAAATACCTGTTTCATCATTCCTATTCTATTTTCATTTTCCTTTTTAATTTTTTGCCTTCCTTTTTTTTATTCTTTTCCAACTTTTAAGTTTAGGGGTTCATGTGCAGGATGTTCAGGTTTGTTACACAGGTAAACGTTTGTCATGGTGGTTTGCTGCACTGATCATCCCATCATCTCAGTATTAAGCCAGCCCAGCATCTATTAGCTATTCTTCCTGATGTTCTCCTTTCTCCCACCCCTACCCTCTGACAGGCCCCATTGTGTGTTGTTCCCCCGATGTTTCCATGTGTTCCCATCATTCAGCTCCCACTTATAAGTGAGAACATGCAGTGTTTGGTTTTCTGCTCCTGTGTTAGTTTGCTGAGGATAAAGGCTTCCAATACCATCCATGACCCTGCAAAGGACATGATCTCATTCCTTTTTATGGCTGCATAGTATTCCATGGTCTATATGTGCCACATTTTCTTTATCCAGTCTATCATTGATGGGTATTTAGGTTGATTCCATGTCTTTGCTATCGTGAATAGTTACGTTTTCCTTTTTAGAAGTCTTATGTTTATATATCTTAATAATATAAAATAAATAGCCTATAAACCTTAAATATTCAATAAGGACTTTTAAAAAGTTAAAAACAAATTGCCATATACAAGGATAAAAACAGTGTAAAAATATTGTTTTATTTTTTCACACATATTTAATTGGTCTTACTATTAATTGTCACTACTTGTTATTAACTAGTCCTATTGTCTGGTTTAAATAACATTTATATAACAGAAAGGTAAATAAATCAGAATATATAATTTCAAATAAGCACCTATCTTCCATATTTTATGGTAATATTTTAAAATCAATGGCACATCCGTGTATAATTATTTATTATATATGGTATTATGGCTTTTGTATTCGTCTGGCATGGCATGGCATGGCTGTGTCCCGGGTTGTCTTTCTAAAATATTGGTGATCCTGTCTGTCACTTGCATCATGTTTCTTTTTTCTTCATCATCTTCTTCTTTTTTTTTTTGAGATGGAGTCTCTCTCTGAGCCCAGGTTGGAGTGCAATGGGGCAATCTTGGCTCACTGCAACCTCCGCCTCCGAGGTTCAAGCAATTCTCCTGCCTCAGCCTCCCAAGTAGCTGGGATTACAAACATCCCCCACTATTCCTGGCTAATTTTTGTATTTTTAGTAGAGAAGGGGTTTTGTCATATTGGCCAGGCTGGTCTCAAACTCCTGACCTCAGGTGATCCACCCACCTCGGCCTCCCAAAGTGCTGGGATTACAGGTGTGAGCCACCACGCCTGGCCCGGCATCATGTATCTATGGTTCCATCCACATGGCTGTCGTGCATATCAGTAGCTCAATCCTTTAGACTGCCGAGTGGTGTTCCATTGTATGGATACAATGAGCCCCTGGTGGTGGTGGTGGTGGTGGTGTTTTTATCCATTCACTAGCTGATGGATATTTGGGTTGTTTCCAGTTCTTGGTGATTATAAACATGTGCATAAAGGTTCTTGTGTGCACATTTTTATTTTTCTTGGGTAACTGCCTAAGTGCAGAATTCGTGGGTTATATTATGAATGTATGTTTTACTATGTGAGGAACTCCCAATTATCTTCCCAAGTGGCTGAACCATTTTTGCATTCCCACCAGCAGTGTATGAGCTGCTTTGCATGCTAGTTAGCACTTGATAATTTGTTTCATTTTTAAAAATTTTCAGCTATTCTAATAGATGTGTAGTGGTATTTTCTTATTTTAAAATTTTATAGCAGTCATTTTGATTGGCATTCACAACTGCCTCAGAGGGAACCAAGACAAAAAGAAAACATAAAGAAAGAAAATTCTGCCTGTGGAGCGGAAGAATGGGAACAGGTGCGGAAAGGGTCCCAGGAATGGGTATGACATTGAGCATATTCTGGGTAAAAAATCAGCTTTGGCTGAGGAAAAGTGCCCCAGGGAGGTGGGGGGTTATGTCAACCAGACTGCCCCCTCTCCCAGAGCTCAGACCCAGGGCTCTGAGAGTCCTCAGGTCTTCGTGTCTCAAGAGGAAAAAAGGAGTTGGGGTGGGGGGAGGGCAGAAAGAGTTCTGCCCTTTATTATTTATTATTTATTTATTTATTTATTTATTTATTTATTTATTTATTTGAGACAGGGTCTTGCTCTGTTGCCCAGGCTGGAGTGCAGAGACATGATCATGGCTCACTGCAGCCTGAAACTCCCTGGCTCAATCGATCCTCCCACCTCAGCCTCCTAAGTAGCTGGGACTACAGGCATGTGCCACCACGCCCAGCAAATTTTTTATTTTTTGTAGAGATGGGCTTTTGCCATGTTGCCTAGACCAATCTTGAACTCCTAGGCTCGAGCAATCCTCCTGCCTCAGCCTCCCAAAGTACTGGGATTACAGGTGTGAGCCACCACACCTGACCCAGAAAGCTTATTTTTGATGGGCAGTGTCCACGTCACCATACTGTGAGCTCCATGAAGGCAACCCATCGTCACTCTTGTCCCCTGCTCTGTTCCCACACCTGGCTTACTGCCTGTCTCATGGTTGGAGCCCAGGAGGTACTTATGGAGTGGATGGAATAATGAATATTTCTAGACCGCTGAAGCTGCTTTAGTGAACGTCACACAGAACAGTGACTGCACTCTTTCTGCCAGTCTAGTGAAAGCCCCCTTTGCTTGCCCTAGGCCCAGTTTATGACCCATCTTGTCATTTCTTCACCACCTCTCACACCTGTTCACTTTACTACCCCTTCCCTCACCACTGCTTCTTCTCTGGGCTGTTGACATAGCCTCCTTACAACTCTCACAGCCTCCCCCAGTCCTCTTCTGTCCCCCAGTTTCTAATCTGTCTTATCTTTGCCAGATGTTGGATTCATAAGCCTTGCTCTTATCCTGACCTGTCACATCAAAGCCCCTGTACTGGCTCTTGATATCCACAAAAGAAGAGCCAACAGGAAACTGGCCCCAGCTCCCTTCCTATATCCCAGCTCCCATTGGCCCTCTGGAGGGCTCTTGATTTTGGTCAAAGTCTATCTGCATGTTTGTTGTTGTTTTTTGTTTGTTTGTTTGTTTGTTTTTTGAGACGGAATCTCGCCCCGATGCCCAGCTGGATTGCAATGGCACGATCTTGGCTCACAGCAACCTCCACCTCCCAGGTTCAAGCGATTCTTCTGCCTCAGCCTCCTGTGTAGCTAGGATTACAGGTGCAACCACACCCTGCTAACTTTTTGTATCTTTAGTAGAGACGGGGTTTCACCATGTTGGCTAGGCTGGTCTTGAACTCCCGACCTCATGATCCGCCCATCTCGGCCTCCCAAAGTGCTGGGATTACAGGCATGAGCCACTGCGCCCAGCTGCCTTCATGTTTTTAAAACTGCCCTTTCCTGCTGAAACCGAACCTATCCTGTCTGCATGGCCTCTCAAAAGAACGAAAGAACCAGGGCTTCGGGATCAGAGAGATGTGGGTTCAAACTCTAGTCACCTATTTCCTAACCAAGGGGACATTGAAAAATTCCTTAACCTGAGTCTCAGTGCTCTTTTCTCTAGATGGGCAATAAAAAGTACCTACCTTTACTTGGGAGGCTGAGACAGGAGGATCCTTTGGGTCCAGGAAGTTGAGGCTGCAGTGAGCTATGAAGCACCACTATGCTCCAACCCGAGTGACAAAGGGAGACCTCATCTCTAAAACAAAACAAAACAAAAAAGTACCTACCCTGGGTTTGTGTAAGGAGATGGTATGTATAAAGGGGGCCTGGCATATACTAACAATGTAGGAATTTAAAACATAGTAGATATGATTTTTGGTAATTCCTGCCTAAAGAAAAAAAGGCTAAAAATAAGGGTATAATTAATTAATTGTTTTCTAATTCTTTCCCAGCCGTAACACTGAAGGTTGCTTCCCTAGGGAGGGAATTACCTGGGTAGAGATTAAGTGTGGGTGCTGCTGCCCCCAGCCTAATGGGTCACATGCCCTAAAGAGAAGCTGGTCAGTCACAATGCTCCCTCCAGCTCCTCTCTACCTTGGGATAGAGGCCTCATGGGTTAAAAGACCAACCAAACAACAACAGGACACAATAGAGAAAATAGCCAGTGAGGGAGAACTTTTTCATCCTTTCCCACAGACATATGGGATCATTTCATGTGTGAACATCATGAAGGAGGAAGACAAAGACAAACAGAAAGTGGTCCTCCTAACTGGGTGCTCCCTGAGGGAGAGGCATGAGCCTGATGATGATTGGAGATTGCTATGGTTTGTATAATAGTGTCTCCTCTGAAATTCATGTTGAAACAGAATGCCCCATGCAACAGTATTAAGAAGTGTGGTCTTGAGGTCGTGATTGAGTCACGAGGGCTCCATAATCATAAACGGATAGGGTTAGGGGGTTAGGGCTCTTATAAAAAGACTTGACAGGCCAGGTGTGGTGGCTCACGCCTGTAATCCCAGCACTTTGGGAGGCCGGGGCAGGTGGATCACCTGAGGTCAGGAGTTTGAGACCAGCCTGGCCAACATGGTGAAACCGTCTTTACTAAAAATACAAAAATTAGCCGGGCATGGTGGCAAATGCCTGTAATTCCGGCTACTTGGGAGGCTGAGGCAGGAGAATCACTTGAACCCAGGAGGCAGAGGTTGCAGTGAGCAGAAATCATGCCACTGAACTCCAGCCTGGGCAACAAGAGTGAAACACCATCTCAAAAAAAAAAAAAAAAAAAAAGACTTGACAGATGGAGTTCACTCTTTTACTGCCCTTCCATCCCTTCTGCTACTTGAGACCATGGCATTCCTTCCCTCTGGAGGATGCAGCAACAAGGTGCCATCTTGGAAGCAGGGAACAGCCCTCAGCAGACATAACCAAACCTGCTGGTGCCTTGCTCTTGGACTTTCCAGCCTCCAGAACTGCGAGAAAATTAATTTCTCTTTTTTATAAATGACCCAATCTCAGGTATTTTGTTATAGCAACAAAAATGAACTAAGACAGAGTTGCTCCAAGAAGAAGACGCTTAAAACCTTTCCAAAGCAAATGGGTCTCCTTGGAGTAGAAAGCTCCCCAACATCAATGAGATTCTAGAGGGAACATTATGATCACATATCAGGGAAGAGAGTGAAGCTTCAAATGGGCTCTGATTAGATGCTCTCTAAAGCCCAGCTTCATTCTGGGTTCTGCAACTGAAGAGGCTTTAGGGTTAAAAGGGCTTCCAGTTGCTTGAAAAGCAAAAATAAAAAGAAGAAGCTCATATGTCAATAAGGTAAGTCATTAAGAAAGTAGGTGCTTTTAATACCAGGTAATGTCAGCATAAGAATATGTATACAAAGGTGGGTTATTTTTAGTATTGGTTGAAGGCACATTATTCTTTTGACAATTAGAATAAAGAAAGCAATTAGAAACTCCAGGAAAATGAAAAGCTGTGCAGAAAAAGCTGTAGCCCAAATATAAAGCAAATGAAATGTGGCATGTCTTTGAGCAGCTGATGGAGCATAAGAAAATTGAATACATTTGACCTTGATGCTAAGGACCCCTTCTGAGCAGCCTGGGCATCATGACATTGGATCAGAAAGGAAAGAAATGTAATTCTTGGATATTCCTTGGCTCAGCGGTGACAGTGAACTGTACTCACACAGGCATGAGAATGTAATATTGGTTTATTGATTTTTTCAGAGTCAATTTATGGACAAAATGCAGCTGTTATAATAATGACTTCAGAATAGTATCTAAATGTTATCATCATTTAAAATGTAAAAGTAAGACTATTAAAGACTTGAGAGATAGAGGAGAGATAGAAGTCGGTTTCTTATTTTACATAGTGGGAAGTCATTCGATTGTATCTTCACTCTATGGAGTAGGATGTAGGTCTATTACTTAGAGCTCAAAGGTAACCAGTGGAAGAACCAAGAATATTTTAACTCGCAAAAACCAGGAGGAATGAAGAGTGATGAAAGGGAGCCATGCGTATGAACTAAAACCTTGTTTTTCCCAGCAGAGTGAATGAGTTTCCTAGGACTGCCATAACAAAGTATCAAAAACAGTGTGACTCGGCCGGGCGTGGTGGCTCACACCTGCAATCCCAGCATTTTGGGAGGCCAAGGCGGGCAAATCATCTGAGATCAGGAGTTCAAGACCAGCCTGGTCAATGTAGTGAAACCCTGTCTCCACTAAAAATACAAAAATTAGCCAGGCTTGGTGGCAGGAGCCTGTAATCCCAACTACTCAGGAGGCTGAGGCAGGAGAATCGCTTGAACTTGGGAGGTGGAGGTTGCGGTGAGCCACATCGCACCACTGTATTCCAGCCTGGGTGACAGAGCAAGACTTCATTAAAAATAAATAAATAAATAAATAAAAATAAAAAACAGTGTGACTCAAACAACAAAAATTTATCATCTCACAGTTCTGGAGGCTGAGGTTGAAATCAAGGTGTCAGCAGGGTTGGTTTCTGCAGGGGAGGATCTGTTCCAGGCCTCTCTACTAGGATCTGTTGCTTGCTGGCGATCTCTGGTGCTTGCAGATGCACGGCTCCACCAGCTGCTTTCATCTCCATTTTATGTTCTCCCTGTGTCTTCACCTTGTCTTCCTTCTGTATCCAAATTTCTCCTCTTTATGAGGACACCAAGAATTCTAAATTTTGAATTTGGCCTTCCACGTAGTTATTAAGACACATTTGTCATGGATTGGAGAACAGAACATATTAAATCTTTTGTAGAATTTATAACTTTAAAATATTTACACATATGGCCAGATGTGGTGTCTCATGCCTGTAATCCCAGCATTTTGGGAGGCCAAGGCAGACGGATCACCTGAGATCAGGAGTTCAAGTCCAGCCTGGCCAACATGGCCAAACCCCGTCTCTACAAAAATACAAAAATTAACCAGGCGTGGTGATGGGCACCTGTAATGCCAGCTACTTGGGAGGCTGAGGCAAGAGAATCACTTGAACCCAGGAGGCGGAGGTTGCAATGAGCCAAGATCATGCCACTGCATTCCAGCCTGGGCGACAGACCCAATCTCAGGTATTTTGTTATAGCAAGACAAGAGTGAGACTCTGTCTCAAAAAAAAAAAAAGAAAAGAAAAGAAAAGAAAATAGGCCAGGCGAAGTGGCTCACACCTGCAATCCCAGCACTTTGGGAGGCCGAGGCGGGTGGATCACATGAGGTCAGGAGTTTGAGGCCAGCCTGACCAACATGGAGAAACCCTGTCTCTACTAAAAATACAAAAATAGCTGGGCGTGGTGGTGCGTGCCTGTAATCCCAGCTGCTCAGGAGGCTGAGGAAGGAGAATCACCTGAACCTGGGAGGCAGAGGTTGCAGTGAGCCGAGATCGCACCATTGCACTCCAACCTGGGCAAGAAGAGTGAAACTCCATCTCAAAAATAAATAAATAAATAAATAAATAAAATATTTACACATATGGTATATGGGCCTCCAATTATTCTTTTGTCACAGGCCCTGCAAATGTTATGGGCAGGCCTGACGTGTGTAACCACAGCCGAAGAAGAACCAGAAACCATCAGTTGTTGCTCTGGAGAGTGCATAAGAGAAGGCGAGGGTGGGAGAAGGAGGATCGTAGTGTTTTGTTAGAGGCCTCTCTGTCAATGTGATGCTCTGTTTTGCCATTTGCATGCTTCACTTCAATAAAACTTATGAAAATTATCCAAGTTCTCACCTCCTCCCTTGAGTCTTCCTGATCCGCAGCTCTCACCTCTCTTCTCTCAGCTTCTACAACCCTCAGCAGCTGTGCCGCCTTCTGTCCTGCTTGGCCTGCTCTCCCAGAGGCCCCTGAAGACAATACCACCTCCCCAGGCCCACTGGCCACCTGTCTTCTTGTCTCCCCCGAGAGGTTCCCTGGGCTGAGGTCAGCACAGCCTGCTTGCCCTGCCTCCTCTTGGTCAGCATTCTCTGCCAGAGCTTCTCTCCTCCCTCCATCTCTAGCCTGGTGCTCCCACCTGTACCTCCTGGTAGCCCCTCAGGGTTGGGAGAAGGCCAAGCTCTGCCCACAGTCTCTGTCTGGTGGCTGGGGGTGGGTGGGGAGGTGTTGCATGGAACAGCGCTGCAGCCTCACCTCTTCGTGAGAAGCAGGTGTCTGCCAAGCCAGATGGGTTTCTGCTGTCAGTGAGAGGCTCCACCTTCCTCCTGACTGTCCCAGGCCTTTGCCACCACTGTTCTCTTTATGTCTCAGTCTCCCTCCCTCCCCCTTCCCTCACCCTCGCTTTCTGCTGGGTCCCCCCGTTTCTCCTTTTCTCTCTCTCTGCATTACCCTCCAAGCCCTTTACCCTCAATTCCATCTTCCCCTGGAGCAGAGGGATTATTGTGACTCCCCCATTCCAGACCCCAGATCCTGCTTCATCCTCAGGGTTAAACTAACCCTGCCCCACCCACTCAACCTGCACCCGCGTCTAATCCAGACCCTTCATGCTGACCCCTAACAAATGGCCCTTGGCCCATTCCTAGTGCCCCACAGCTAACAGAGGGTCGTGATCCTGACCCTATAGCACTGGTTCCAATCTAGAACTTTAAACTGAACACTCACTGTCATTCATAACACTCCCCAGTCCCACCCCTACCCTTTGGGAAGGGCTGGGGCTGAAAACTCGAGGTCTGTGATGTATCCTGGGGGTGCGGCCAAGTTCTGCATTCCTGGAAACTGGGACTGGCTTGGGGAAAAACAAAAATAATTCCTATGAAGTATGCTTCAATTGGTGCTACTGCTGAAAATAGTCCCTGAGGATGAACATGAAGGTCAGGAGAGAGCAGTGGGAATGGTGCCAGGAGAGGGGACCAGAAAAGTGGCTGGAGATGGCCCTGAGTGGAAGGGCAGTGACAGTCAGCAGGGAGGGCTTAGGAGGCCCTGGGCAGACGGAGGAGGGAGGAGAGAGGGGGGCAAAGGCTCCAGCTGGAAGGTCAAGGTTATTGTTCATTCATTCCTTTGTTCAGCAACTATTTGTTAAGCACCTACTAAGTGGCAGGCCCTTTGCTGGGCACTAGGGGGATAGCAGTGGACAGAACGAAGTACCCACCTGTGTGGAGCTCACATTCAGATTGCGGAGATAGACAGGAAACACACTAACAGAGATGTCAGGGGAGGGGAGGGAAGAAGGACAAGTAAGGCAAGGTGAGGAGACAGCAAGGGACAAAGACTGTTTATATAGAGTGGCCTGGGAAGGCCTTTCTGGGGAGCTGGCATTTGAACAAACCTCAAAAGACAAGAGGAAGGGAGCCCTGCAGGTGTGGACAGACTTTGTCCAGTTAGAGGAAATAGTAGGAGCAGCAGCCCCAAGGTGGGAGCAGGGCACACGTGGGGCTGCACACAGTGAGCAGGGCCAGAGCAAAGGGGGGTGAGGCCAGGGAAAGTGGCCAGGTTGCCCACCAAGGCTCACCTGGGTTCCTAGGTCAGAGATCCTGAGAAGAGGGGAGAAGCCCTCATGCCCAAGTGGTGGGAAGGGGTGGAGGAGAATGGGGAGGAAATGGGAGTGAGGCCACCCCAGGTAAGGTCAGCTGCAACCTCTGGGCTAGGGTGACGCCAGAAGAGAAGATAGGGCCTGCAGTGCCTCTCCCCCATCCACAGCCCTGGGTGCACATGCCACGAGCTCCTGCTCACTCCACCTCACATCCCCACACTTGTGCATGAACAACACACACACATGGAGAATAGTCACAGGCTCACCTTTCACATGCATGCACACAGAAATTGTGCATGAACACACGCATGCACACGGGCCCCTTGTGTTAGTGTAGACATTTTTGAGAATTCTAAACAGGCAGAATATAGGGGCCAAAGGACTTTAGACCAACTCTCACGTATGACAGAGGCACTAAGGCCTAGAAAAAGGAAGCCTCATAATTTGGTGACCTAGGCAGATCACTCTATGTCCCCCCATGCATGTGCATGTTGTGTGTGTGTGCGCGCGCACACACACACACACACACATGCACGCACGCAGTCCCACCAGCTGTCCAAAGCTCCTTCCATAACCCTATCTTCTCAACAGCCTCTCTCTCCCAGGACACCCACAGGCTTAACCAAGTCCCACCAGGAGTGCCCCGAGTTTCCTCCCAGCTATTCCAGCAGGCTGCTGGGGGGAATACAGTGTCGGGACCAAGATAGACTCTGCCCCTCTTGGTGGGATGGCTACAGCCCACAACCACAGCTGACCACAGCAGCCCCCGACTGCCTCTCTCCTCTCAGAGCCTGTTTCCGGGTTCAGACCTTCTTCCTCCATCTCTCTTTCTGGGTCTTTCTCCCTTGCTTCCTTTCTCTACCTCCAGAAAGGAGGCTGTGATTCTCTGTTTTTCCCTCTCTTTCCTGGTGTCTCTCTCATTTCTCTGTTTCTCTCCAGTTTTCTGTCTCTGCTGGGCTTGTCCCTCTCGCTCCATCTTCTCATCAGGATCTTTTTTTTTGCCTTCCAGGAAAAGCTGACGTGGTGCCCCTGGTCAGTGGGAGTGAGGCCTTCTGGGGTGGGGGAGTCCTGGTTGAGCAGCCACAGCTGGGGTGCGGCTGGCGCCCTGGCTAGGGGCAGCAGGAGCAGGAGCAGAGCGAGAGGCAGCGGAATGGGAGGAGAGAGGGCTGGACCTCTGCAGGCAGGAAGGGGAGCAGGGGGAAAGAAAAACTGTGGGAGGGAGTGAGCCCCCCTCCCCTGCTAGGGTGACCAACTGTACTGGTTTGCTGAGACTGTCTCGATTTTAGCATGGAAAGTCCCATGTCCCAGAAAACCCATCAGTTCCAGGTGAACCAGGACTGTTGGCTGGTCACCCTACAAGCTGCCAGGGACCCACAGGAGACAGGGCCAGGACTCACAGGAGGGGCTCCCAAGCTTGGCCTCCTAGTTCTGGGGACAGTCAGGGCCGCACATACTCACCAAGGGTCCCCATCTCAGGCCTGAGCCCAATTTAGAGGAGGCCAGGAGAGGGGAGATGGCAGCCCAGACAGCCCACAGGAAGCTCCCAGCCTGAAAAGATCAGGGAGCCCGACTTCTGACTTGTCTCCCTGCCTGCTGGCATGATCTCCTGTGAGGTGGGCTTTACAGAAAGAACTTGAGCTCTGACAGCAAGAGAAGAGCAGAGGGGCAACCCAGGAGGTCATACGCCCCATCCTCAGAGGCCTGCACAACTGCTCCTGGGCTCTGCTGAGGAGCAGGCCCACCTGTCCCACTGTGAGACACCTTGGAGAGTCAATAGTCCTTGGCTGAGATCCTGGCGGCCTTATTGTCCTTCCTGGTGGAAGCGGGTATGGCCACACCTTGCAGGCAGTGGCAGGACCTGAGCAGACCAGGAAGATACATCAGTGACCAGCACGCACAGTCTCATTTCTGCCCAGGTGGGCTGGTCCCTCCCACTTTTCCCGCCCTCAGCCCCCCACATCTGTTTTGAGGTGGGAGTCTGAGCTTAGTGTTTGGCTGTCATTAAGGTCTTAGGTAGGGAATGAGGGGACAGACTCCCTGCCCCCAGAAGGCTGCTGACATACTCACCCACCCAACAGAGCATGGGTCTCCTACACTGTATGAAATATTCTCTAAAATGTCTTGGGCATGCCCCTTCCCTAGCCTGGGCCCAAAGGCCCTATCTGTAAGTTGATGAGGAGATGAAGTGGGTGAGCTCTAAAATGCTTCCTTCTGATGACCACCCAACTTGTCCATCATGCCATGAAGGGGGCGCTTACAGAGTGTCTTCCCTGTGCTGGAGATCAATAGCACCTGGGAAGTTAAGGCCTCTGCCCTCAGTGGGCTTCCTCTCTAGTAAGGGGTCGCACATTAAGCACGCATGAATAAATAATCACAGCTTATAGGAGGAGCTATGAAGAAAAGTCAGGAATGTCTGAGAGAACAGTCACTGGGAACTGAGGGCTGAGGAGGTGCTTGTACTCTGACCCTGATGTGCTTGCAAGGAGGGAGGTGGGGTGGGAACTATGAGCTCCTCAGAGCACCCTGGAGGTAAAGCTGGTGGCACAGACTTTGTGCAGGTGAGGGTGTGTGTATGGGCTGTGCAGAACATAGTGAAGCCCCCTCCACCAGGAAGCCCTCCCTGACTGACACTGAGGTCACTGAGTCTCCCCTCTGGTTTACTGAACCCTGGATGTGTTTCTTGCAGCCTCTGGTTGGCCCACCAAATTCAGGACTTTCCTAGAAATTCTCCAGCACAGTCAGGATGATGCAAGAGAGGGCTTCCTCTGCAGGGGAAAGAGAGGGTGCTCTCCATTGGACCATAATAATATCCTCAGCATCAGACTCGGGTGTTTTGCAGGCAGCATGCTGGGGACTTCTGTGGCCTTGCTTGGTGACAGGGAATGGGGTGTGATGAGCTGGGGCAGGCTTCCTGGGGATGCTTTCAGCCAAAGATGAGCCCTGTCTGCCCTTGGCCCTGCTGAGAGGGTAAGTTGAGTCATGAGCAGAATTCAACCAGTTATCAGATGGAAGGCCAAGGAAGCTTGGGGAGGGCTACTGAGGGGATACGGTAGGCTTGTCTGTGGAGAGCAAAATTCTTCAGTCTACAAAGTTCTTTTCTGGGCTCCTTCATCTTTCGGTTTCTCTTCCAGCTCCCTCGTTTTGGGCCTCTTTTGTTTCCCCATTCCCCTCCCCTGGGCCTTCCCGTTTGGAAAAGGGGTCACATATCCTCACCCTGGAGGCGTCTGCCCCTTCCACACAGTTGGTGTTGGAACAGTGGAGCTCAGAGAGGCCGATGCTGACCGCGTAGATGTCCAGCACCAACAGTGGGATTTTGGGCCCTGTGGGGGACACAGAGAGAACTCTCCGGGAGTGCGGCCCCTTGGCCTCCCCTCTGGGTGCCCAGTGGGCAGTGGGCCTGGGTGGCTCAGAATCCCAGCCAGGAGCACTGAAGGTCAACAGGCTCCCGCCCTGAGTTTTCTGAGCCAGGCCTCCCTGTTTCCTCCCCAGCCAGTGGGGAGCGCAGTGAGGGGCGGGGCCTGGAGTCTTGGGAGCTCCCTGGACAACAACATGCATTTAGCGCAGCTCAGTCTCAGAGCCAGCAGGATATGTTTTCTTAAAAAAAAAAAAAATGCCTAACATCTTGGCTTTCACCGAAGGGTTGGTATCTGCTTTGTACACTTTGGCCTTCTTGGCTTTTCACTGAAACACACACACATGGATGCACACTCACTTCCACACACAAACCCACACCAAGACAGACACACACACACACTCACACACAAACTCATGTACATGGTTTCATACCCACATCCATGCAAACACACATACAAATCCAGAAATACGCACCCTCACACCCACAAACTTGTACACACACACACACGTATACACACCAACACACATACAACCCTGGCTTGGACAAAAGCTTCCCGTTTTTTCTTGTTTGAAGTGGAAATCTCCCACCTTCCATGAGATTCAATTTCTCGCCCTTCCCCCGCTAAAATCCTCCTGGCCCCATCATTTCTTGGGTCCTTTCCAGACAGTGCTGTGTCTTTAAGGAAGTTGAAGCTGCTAAAAGTGAGTGAGAGAGAGAGAAAAAACACAACCCAAAAAAATTTGGCATCTCTTCCCCCCTCAAGTTTCTGGTGTCACTTATGAAACACAGGTCCTTGTTGCTGCAGAGAAGCAGTTGTTTTGCTGGAAGGAGGGAGTGCGCGGGCTGCCCCGGGCTCCTCCCTGCCGCCTCCTCTCAGTGGATGGTTCCAGGCACCCTGTCTGGGGCAGGGAGGGCACAGGCCTGCACATCGAAGGTGGGGTGGGACCAGGCTGCCCCTCGCCCCAGCATCCAAGTCCTCCCTTGGGCGCCCGTGGCCCTGCAGACTCTCAGGGCTAAGGTCCTCTGTTGCTTTTTGGTTCCACCTTAGAAGAGGCTCCGCTTGACTAAGAGTAGCTTGAAGGTAAGCCAGTGGGGAGGAGGGCTCCAGGGCCAGCGGCGGGAGCGGGAGGCCTGTTGGACATAGGGGCTGGTTCCCTCTTGGTCCATCCCTGCTGGTCTGAGGTGCGTGGGACAATCCCTAGCTTGGAGCCGTCCAGGGGGCATCTGCTTCTTCCACAACCCACAACTGAGGCCCCAGAAATCCCAGCTGCGTTTGGGCTGAGCCTCTGGCCTCACCCAAGTCAGCTGAGAGGTCCTGGCGGGGGTTTATTTAGGCAGCTGCCTGGCTAAGTTTGAACAGAACAGGCCACGGGTGTGATTCCACAGAAAAGGCCTGGTGTCTGCTGCGGTCATGGCCGGAGGAGCGGGAGAGGGCGGGTGGAGTGGATGGGGGTGGTGTGCACTGCACAAGGGGCCTCGTCTGGGCCAAGGCAAAGCATACCTATGGGGGGCTCCGGTGGGAGGGACTGCGGCCAGGATGTGGGAGGGCAGGGGGAGGTTCTGCAAAGTGCTGGGGGAGGGGGGTGGCTGGAAAACAGATTTCAAGTCATAAAGTCAGCTAGGAACAGGCCGAGGCAGGGAGAACTCTCCACTCGGAGGAGGAGCTGGGGTCCTCTTCCATCCCGTCTTCATCCTGCCTGGCTGCGTGACCTCGGGCAAGTCTCCGCCCTTCTCTTGGCCTCAGTTTCTCCTTCCGTAGGATGGGGGCGGTGGGCTAGGTGGTGTTGGGATTTAGCTGGGTTATGTGGGACAGGGCCTCCTGATGGGAAAGAGCTCTGGCTGGGCTTGTGGGAGGAATGAGTCCCTTTGGCAGGTTCTCGGGATCCCCTGGGTGACATGCCTTTCTCTGCAGGAGGCACCATGCAGGAGCTGCATCTGCTCTGGTGGGCGCTTCTCCTGGGCCTGGCTCAGGCCTGCCCTGAGCCCTGCGACTGTGGGGAAAAGTATGGCTTCCAGATCGCCGACTGTGCCTACCGCGACCTAGAATCCGTGCCGCCTGGCTTCCCGGCCAATGTGACTACACTGAGCCTGTCAGCCAACCGGCTGCCAGGCTTGCCGGAGGGTGCCTTCAGGGAGGTGCCCCTGCTGCAGTCGCTGTGGCTGGCACACAATGAGATCCGCACGGTGGCCGCCGGAGCCCTGGCCTCTCTGAGCCATCTCAAGAGCCTGGACCTCAGCCACAATCTCATCTCTGACTTTGCCTGGAGCGACCTGCACAACCTCAGTGCCCTCCAATTGCTCAAGATGGACAGCAACGAGCTGACCTTCATCCCCCGCGACGCCTTCCGCAGCCTCCGTGCTCTGCGCTCGCTGCAACTCAACCACAACCGCTTGCACACATTGGCCGAGGGCACCTTCACCCCGCTCACCGCGCTGTCCCACCTGCAGATCAACGAGAACCCCTTCGACTGCACCTGCGGCATCGTGTGGCTCAAGACATGGGCCCTGACCACGGCCGTGTCCATCCCGGAGCAGGACAACATCGCCTGCACCTCACCCCATGTGCTCAAGGGTACGCCGCTGAGCCGCCTGCCGCCACTGCCATGCTCGGCGCCCTCAGTGCAGCTCAGCTACCAACCCAGCCAGGATGGTGCCGAGCTGCGGCCTGGTTTTGTGCTGGCACTGCACTGTGATGTGGACGGGCAGCCGGCCCCTCAGCTTCACTGGCACATCCAGATACCCAGTGGCATTGTGGAGATCACCAGCCCCAACGTGGGCACTGATGGGCGTGCCCTGCCTGGCACCCCTGTGGCCAGCTCCCAGCCGCGCTTCCAGGCCTTTGCCAATGGCAGCCTGCTTATCCCCGACTTTGGCAAGCTGGAGGAAGGCACCTACAGCTGCCTGGCCACCAATGAGCTGGGCAGTGCTGAGAGCTCAGTGGACGTGGCACTGGCCACGCCCGGTGAGGGTGGTGAGGACACACTGGGGCGCAGGTTCCATGGCAAAGCGGTTGAGGGAAAGGGCTGCTATACGGTTGACAACGAGGTGCAGCCATCAGGGCCGGAGGACAATGTGGTCATCATCTACCTCAGCCGTGCTGGGAACCCTGAGGCTGCAGTCGCAGAAGGGGTCCCTGGGCAGCTGCCCCCAGGCCTGCTCCTGCTGGGCCAAAGCCTCCTCCTCTTCTTCTTCCTCACCTCCTTCTAGCCCCACCCAGGGCTTCCCTAACTCCTCCCCTTGCCCCTACCAATGCCCCTTTAAGTGCTGCAGGGGTCTGGGGTTGGCAACTCCTGAGGCCTGCATGGGTGACTTCACATTTTCCTACCTCTCCTTCTAATCTCTTCTAGAGCACCTGCTATCCCCAACTTCTAGACCTGCTCCAAACTAGTGACTAGGATAGAATTTGATCCCCTAACTCACTGTCTGCGGTGCTCATTGCTGCTAACAGCATTGCCTGTGCTCTCCTCTCAGGGGCAGCATGCTAACGGGGCGACGTCCTAATCCAACTGGGAGAAGCCTCAGTGGTGGAATTCCAGGCACTGTGACTGTCAAGCTGGCAAGGGCCAGGATTGGGGGAATGGAGCTGGGGCTTAGCTGGGAGGTGGTCTGAAGCAGACAGGGAATGGGAGAGGAGGATGGGAAGTAGACAGTGGCTGGTATGGCTCTGAGGCTCCCTGGGGCCTGCTCAAGCTCCTCCTGCTCCTTGCTGTTTTCTGATGATTTGGGGGCTTGGGAGTCCCTTTGTCCTCATCTGAGACTGAAATGTGGGGATCCAGGATGGCCTTCCTTCCTCTTACCCTTCCTCCCTCAGCCTGCAACCTCTATCCTGGAACCTGTCCTCCCTTTCTCCCCAACTATGCATCTGTTGTCTGCTCCTCTGCAAAGGCCAGCCAGCTTGGGAGCAGCAGAGAAATAAACAGCATTTCTGATGCCCCTCCGTGTCTGCCTGGAATTTTGTCTGGATCTAGGAGCCTCTGCTGGGAGATAGGATCAGGAGCTGAAGAGTCAGGGCAGCCAGCCTGCCTGCCCACAGTGGCAGGGGCCTCTGAGACTCCAACAGACTGTGGAGGCACAGGAGTGCTGGCCCGATGCTGTGTCAGGGGCTGGGCCTTGCGGTGAGCTGAGCTGCAGATGTTCCCTTCCTCCAAACCATCCCACAGGACAGCTGGGGGCAGGAGCCTGGGGTGGCTGGCGACCCTGAGCAGCGCCTGATGTCAGCAGTGGCTTCAAGAGAGGCATTTTGGAAAGGCGCAAGGAAATGGAAGTGCCTGGGTGGTAGCTCCTCTTCCCTGTCCTGCTCCTGGAAGAGATGTTAGGAATGAAGAGGAAAGAGGGGACAGGTGGGGCAAGATGGAGGAGACAGATGAGGAGAAGGGGACACAGGACAGAGGAGGAGAAAGCCCCAGAGAGACTGGGAATAAGAGAACATATTTACATATTTGAGGGAGAAACCAGGGGGGAAACAAATCGTACTTATCTTTCTCCCAAAGAAGAAATGGTATTCCAAGAGGAAAGTCCAAATGAGGACTGCAGATTCCCTGTAGGAATCTTTCCCCACAGAGCAAGTGGATCAGTAACTGGCCTGGGCCGTGTGTGTGTGTGTGTGTGTGTGTGTGTGTGTGTGTGTACAGCAACCTGAGCGGTGCGTGTGTGTGTGTGTACAGCAACCTTCAGCCTCTCCAGTGCATGTGTGTGTGTGTGTGTACAGCAACCTTCAGCCTCTCCAGATGAGGAGCATAAGGATGAGGTCCTAACCTGGAGACTCTGCACAACCTCCTATCTGTGCCAGGTAGGATATATGTCTTCCTACTGCCTCTATCCCATCCCTTTCAAGATCGAGGATGCTGCATGCAGAGACAATGGCCTGGGGGAGAGGCTCTGTGGCCTTTCTCCAGAGCTCCCAGAACTGCTGAGCTCAGCAAAGTGGAGGCAGGATGCTAAGGAGTCTGGGGTAGCAGCTGTGAGCCTTGGCTGCTGGCCAGCCCCATTCCCTCCCTCCAGGTCCACATACAGCACCTCCCCCTGCCCACTCTCCCCTCATCAACTTGCAGCTCCTGCTGAGCTGATGTCACCAGCAGCATGTATCAAGAATGACTCCTAATCTAAAATAAAAGTTGAAAAAAATGACTCACGTCTGGTGGAAAACAGCAGGATGGAGCCAAATTCCATGCGCTAGGCCACCTTGGGTAAGTCATTGCCCACGTCTGGGCTTCAGTTGCCTCAAAAACCAAATGACATGGTAGGACTAGGTGCTACTTCATGGTCCAATAGACTCTGATTGCCTAAGGCTTGATATTCCCAGCCTGACTTGGACATCCCTGGCTCCATTCCTAGCTGAGTGGCTTGGCTTCTTGGAGTAGGACATGGACCTAAGACCTAACACAGGGAATGGCTGTGCCTTGAGTGGACTAGCTGCTCCCCTGCTTTAAGGTCTTCCGTGGTCCCCACTGCCCTCCAGGTAAAGCCTGAATTCCCCACTTAGAGCCTCTCTGACCTGCTCCTCCAACAAGCGCACCCTTCCTTCCTCTTCTTGGAACAGCTATTTAATTGTTCCCTTAATGTTCCATGGTGTGCCATCCTCTGCACCTTTGCTTATACTGTTCCCTCCGCCCAGGCACCCTTTCCCTGTTCTTCATTTGGCTAAGTCAGTCTTTGAGAGTGGGCTCTGGCATCACCACCTCCAGAAAGCCTTCCTGGATGTTCCCCCATCCCCAATGTGAACAGGCCCCCTTTCTCTGGGAACCTGGATTCTCCTCCCCTGAGACCCTGTTAGTTGCTGAAACAAGGTCAGGAAGCCTTTTTCAACGGGCTGCAGTGGGATCACAGTGTGCCCTCTTTGGCCTCCTCGGGGCAGCCTTGAAAGTGGGTTTCAGGTCCCTGACCCCACCCCTGGCTTTACAGGTATTTGAGGCTGTAGCAGGAACCTGAGCTTGGGGCAGGGGACTGTTGATCTCCACTAACTGTGCAGGCATTTCTCAAGGCCCTGCTGACCTAGATCTGTAGGGTGGCCACATCTTCCTACCCTCTGTAGCCCCCAGCCCCTCAGTGGACCCAGGGCATGTTCTTTATTCATATACCCCGCCCTCCACCTCCACCAAGCCCCCAGTAGGGAAAAGACCCCAGTCTGTCTCCACCCTCCTTTCCCCTCCGTATTCTCATTCTCCTCCCATCAGGACAGCCTACGCTATGTCCCCCCATGTGACACGCCCCTTCCTACCTCCACACCTGGAGTCACACTGCTTCCCCAGCATTCCTGAAGTCGCTTCTCCTCCCCAGATCCTGCCCCTTCTTCAAGACCCAGAATAAGTCCCACTTCCAAAGCCAGCATTCACATGGCTCAGGGGTGGCATCATAGGGTCCCCAGTCTCTTTGCCACCCAAAAGGATGCAGCTATGGGTTCTGCCTTCCACCCAGTGTCTGGCCCAGCATGTGACCAGAACACCCCAAGCCCCATCCCCATCAATGCACAGTGTTCCTGACAGTGTAGGCGGGGTTTTCCCTGCATACCCCTCCCGCTATGAGGACAGTTTCTCAGGAACAAGTTTATTGCAGGGAACACACTAACCTCTTTCATAATAGCCAAAGGCATAAAAACTACAAAAATATCTGGCTCTCGAGTGTGGGCAGCTCAGTGTGGGACCTGGTCTGAGTCATGACTTGGGCTGCCCTGCAGGCCAGAGGCCCGGGAGCTTTCCGGCCACTCCCCAGAGAGGTCCGTGGCGCTGAGGGGGTGAGGAAGTGCCTTGGCTGCTTCCACAGCGTGAAGGCCAAGGCTGAGGTGGAGCTGGGCTGGAGTGGTTCCAGAGAAGGCTTCATCGAGGCCCTTCAAGGCTGATGGCAGAGCCAGGGTAGGGAGACGCCTGGATGTGGCTGCCCTGGCTCAACTGGCTCCTGGACCAAGGCCCTAACCCACCAGTTTCTTTCTCCAGAACCCCTGCTGGCTCTCCCATAGCCAAGTGGGTGGAGCAGAGCCCTCCTGAGGCTCCCAGTGCAGACAGACCTCCACCCAACCACAGTGATCCGGAGGACCTGCTGGCTGCATGGCTGGTGTGATGCTGGGAGGAGAGCCGGGGAGGGAGGAGGATGGTAGGCAGGAACATGCCTCAGCACAGATGGGCAGGTGGGTTGACCTTCCCTGCCCTCAGGGCTGGGCACCATTGGCACCCAACAGGGCCGTCTTGCGGAAGACCTGCAGGGTTGGGTTGTGCAGCAGCGTGTAGGCCAGACCCCAGCGAGCCCTGCCGCGGCTGGCCCCGGGCCTAGCTCCCTTGGCCATGGAGTCCTTTGTCTGTAGCAGCTGCATCCCTGAGAGAGACGGACTTTCTGTGAGTCACTCAGCAAACACCCAGCCAACCCTCCCTGGCCCTCAGACCTGATCAGAGAGCCTGAAAATCCCAGGCGTGTGCAGGTCGTGAGGCTTAGGATGTCCCCTGCAGGCAGCACATGGAAGTGGGGGGTGAGGTCTGTGGATGGACTGGAAGCTGGGTGGGACAAGGGTCTGGAGCTGGCTTAGTGTCCCCTCCCTACACACACTTCTGGGCAGAAGGAAAGGAGGAGTCATACTCCCTGCCCCAAGGGAGAAGCGGGGGCAGTGACGGAGCCCCTTAGGAAGGCAGCTGTTTCATTCTCTCTGTGTGCACACATATGGTGTGTGTATGTGTGTGTTCATATCATGGAAAAAATCACCCTGAGATCAGACCAGGAGGGGTGACCAAAGGCAGCCAAGGAAGAGAGGAAGTGAGAATTTTCCTGGCGCTCACTCTGTGTGCTGGGGAGGGGCACACATCCTTCCTAGAAGAAGCTGGGTAGGCTCTATTCCCCCATTCCCAGTGGGAGGGCGCACCTTCGTCTTCCTCCCCTGGTCTGAGGCTGTCCTGGGGGGCTGCCATGGTCCTGGGTAGGAGGCTCTGCGCTTGCAGGAGCAGGGAGCAGAAGGCTGTCATGGCTGGATGCGACTGGCTGACTTCAATCTTCAAGAAGTTTCGGTACGTGTAGTAGCCTGGGGTGGGGTGGCGGATGGCAATGCTGGGGGAGCAGGGGCCACACTGGAGGCATCCAGACATCCCCTAACACACACACAGGGAGTGCACGTGCACTCCCTGCATCCAAGCATGTCGACACACCAAGCACGTGGCACATTGGCTGCATGGGCACGTGTGGACCTGCTAGAACACCCCACATCCACTGCACGTGCTGCAGGGCCACAGGAGGCACAGCGCAGGGGCACACAGGTGGCACATGCAGCTACAGGCATCGGTGTGAACTGATCAGCTGGCACGGCCCTGGGGCAGGGCAGATGCCTTCCTCACTGCTTGGGTAGCCTGAGCAATCCTCCAGCCCCGCCCAGTGACCTTACCGGGGTCGAGAGTGGCGGCTCTCGGTGGCAGCAGGCTGAGGTCCATCTGGCCAAGGTGGATGGCGTTGTAGAGGGCAGAGAGGAGCACTCGCCAGGTGGCCACCATGGCACCCACCAGCACATTGAGGGGGAAGAGAAGAAAGGTGGCTGCATAGAGCACTCGCCTAGGATGGGAGAAGAAAGCTGAGGCAGGCCGTTCCCCAGAGCTCCCTCCCCAGGGTCAGTGTCAGACCTGGATGCCCAGAACTGCTGTGTATTTACTGAGTGCCTACCATTTATTGCTATGTCTTCTGTGCACCCCACCCTGGGCAAGGCCTTCTCTCTTTCAACCCACCATGCTGGGAGATGGGAAACTGAGGCCCAGAGAGATTGGGAGACTTAGCCAAGGCTGTCAGCTATTCAGTGGCAGAGCTGGGCTTTAACTCTAGGTCCATCTGAGTCTTTCTATGACCCTGATGCCTCCCACCTCCCTTTTCTGGGTCCCCTGTCTGCTAATTCCAAGTTCCCCTGGGAGCCAAGGTTCTCCCACAGACTTGTCATCTGACAGGGAACTCCCTTGCTACAAAGTGGGGAGGGGCATGGTTTTAAGGAAACAGAGGATCCAGGGGAGAGCAGTACCGATTCCCAAAGCAAGAAAGGTTCACGGGGGTACTTCCAGCCCCATGCCGGGTATGTAGAGAGGTACTTTGGAGTGGGCTGAGCCATTGTCCCTTTTCTCTATGGGTAAGGCAAGCTCTTTCTACTATCATCTGGGTTCCTTGATAGAGAGAAGGGATAGATGGCAGTGGAGGGAGGACACAAAAAGAGAGAGACACCGAAGAAGAGGCGAGGGCCTGAGGGAGCCACAAGCCCAGATGCCACCTCACCGGTTGGTCAGCTGTGGGTGTCCATCATGAGTCTCCAGGAAGACCCAATGGGCTGCCATGTTCTGCAGGATCACAGCCAGGGCCAAAGTCAGCCAGAAGGGCCTGCCAGTGGGGTGGGGAGGTGGTCGCTGTTAGCGGACCTCTAAGGAGTCCCTGAGCCCTCCATGTCTTGTTTCACTCACCACGAGGACTCCAGGGAACGGAAGAGCAGGAGGTTCCTGCCATGGAGCACAGGCATGAGCACCAGGAAGGCCAGGGCCGTGGTTCCCAGGAAGAAGATGATCTGCTGCACCAGGAGCCCTGCCAGGGGCGGGAGTGGCAGGGGGACAGAAAACAGGTTCCATGAAAACTGGCCATCCCCGCTGCCCCCAGAACCAAGGGCTTTGGGATTGGGCAGGCCTGGTTTTAGATCTCTGCTCTGCCACTGCCTAGCTATGCTGCCTTGAACAAATCACTTTACTTCATTGAGCCTCAGTTTCTTCCTCTGTAAAATGGGGATAATAGTCCCTACCTCAGAGGCTGTTGTAAGGATCCAATGAGATAATGTCTGTGGAAACTCTTAAAATCACAAAATACTTTGCAAATGTTATTTCCCTCCAGTTTCTCCTGAGTTTGAGTTACTGGGGGATAAGGCTACATATTAAACTGATGTTTGCATTCCTTCAAGCCAGAGCCTGGCATACGGTAGGTGCCCAAGGACTGTCTATTGAAATAATCTGGCCAACTGATTAGAGAATGATGTCTACAAAAGGGCCTGGAGGCATAAGGGCTACCAAGAAGAGACGCTATGACTTTTGTCCTAGTAATTCATCTACTCCTTTACCATCCTTCTCCTCCCGCAAGGAGGTGAGAATGGAAGGAACTGGAGGGAGAGATACAAGGCCCTTGGATGTGCAACCCAGGCCACAGCCCCTCACCATTCAGAGTGCTTTTCTCACTGCAGTACCCAAGGGGAGAGTCAGAAACTTGGGGCTGGTAGGGGTCCTGGAAGGTTATCTGGTCCAACTCTCTCAGGGCAGGACCCCCTTTGCAGACTGCAACAATATCCATGGAACTCTGCTTGCATACCCCCAGTGACAGGGATCTCATTACCTTTGTAGGTAGCCAAATGTGACACAGCCCTTTCTTAAGCTGGAGCGCAGTGGTGCAATCTCGGCTCACTGCAACCTCCACCTCCTGGGTTCAAGCGATTCTCCTGCCTCATCCTCCCGAATAGCTGGAACTGCAGGTGCACACCACCATACCCGGCTAATTTTTGTATTTTTAGTAGAGACGGGGTCTCACCATGTTGGCCAGGCTGGTCTTCATCTCCTGACTTCGTGATCCACCTGCCTCAGCCTCCCAAAGTGCTGGGATTACAGGTGTGAGCCACTGAGCCCAGCCAGGAATGTACCATTTTGAATTTGACACCTCCAGACCTGGGTCCACCCCCATGTGAATACTTGGTGGCACCCAGGGTTCATCTCCATGTGGAGGGTACACACTCAATTTCCCGAGGGCTCCTGTACCCCCATCCTGAATAAGCTTCTTAAGGGCAGGGAAGGCAGGGGGGTCCCTCCTTCTTGCTGCTGCCCCAGAGCATTCCCAGACAAACTCTGAGGGCAGTACTTGCTGAGCACTCTTCTCCCCAACTGAGGCCAGTGTCTGAGGGGAGGCCCAGGCCAAGGCTGGGTGTGGCGGGCAAGGGAGGCTCACCAAGGCAGATAAAGGCTGTCTGGTAGGCACTGAAGCTCATCCAACAGAATATGGCTTGGCGGGAGGGATGGGGACTCCGATGCAAGGGACTCAAGTCCAGGGCAGCTCCTCGGTGCAGAGCTCGAAGGTTGGTCCTGGGGTGGGAGCCAGGGAGGCAGAGACCTCAGGGAGCAACACACTCTTCCTAAATCCTCCTCTGGGCCAGCAACTGGCCAAACTCCCAATAGAATTTCAACTCACAGCCATCAGCAGGGAAGCCCAGAACTGTGGGAGCCAGGAGGAGGCCACTAACCCAAGATATCTGGAAGAGGTGATATCTGGGTAGTCTTAAACAGTGAACGAGGAATACAAAACGAGGCAGAAGGCTCAACCTGAGCCAAGTCAGAAAAGTGAGAAACAACAGTGAGAATGGAAGTGACACACAGCACAGCCAACAGGTAAAGAGGCAAGGCAAGCACAGGCTGAGGAGCCTTGAATGCCAGAAGAAGGAGGGGTGACCTGTGGAAAAAGATCCCTGGGAAGAGCTCTGAGACCTGGCAAGTGCGCAGGAGACATGGGCCAGTTCTCTGACATGGGTAAGTGCTCGGGCTGCCCCTTCCACCTGCCCTGGGCCTTCAGTGCTCCTCACCACTCACCGCTGCAGGGCAAGCAAGGTGGCATGGCGAGACCCGTACCACCTCTCCAGTGTGCTATGCCACCAGGCTACCCCTCACCTACACTCTCACATGGCAGGGCCACCCCAGCCTCTGTTCTCGTCCACACAGTCCTCACCTCCTATCTCCTTCCATTCCCGGGCAGGTGCAGCTTCCCCAGGCCACCTTCCCTCTCATCCAGCCCACCCGGTGGCCCCTACTCAGGGGGCAAGCTCCACTAGCTGCCCTGAGTTGGTGGTGCCCTATGTCCCTCACACTCACAGACGTTTCCCCAACCAGACAGGAAGGCCCAAGGGCAGGACCCAGCCCCACCTTCTCCCACTGCAGCGCAGCCACGCACAGGTGGGCTCCATGACAGCCCGGGCCGGCAGAGCCCTTCCCTCCCTCCAGGCCCAGGGCCTCCCCGCAGGCCCACAGGACTCCCACTCCTTCCCCACCTCGGCGCTGGGTGAGCCAGAGTCTGTCACTCACCTGTGTGTCACCAGTGAGCGCATCAGGACCAGGAAGGTGAGTAAGCAGGACAAGACCAAGGCTGAGATGTAGCACACTGGTGGGCAGAGAATGAGCAAAGTGAGAGGTCAGGGTCTGGAGAGTCTCCTGGAGGCCTCAGAACCCCTGCCAGGGTGGTGCCTTGTGGGGAGTTCCCCCTGCCCCAAACTGAACTCTGTGTGGAAGCCTCTTGGCCCCACCCCCAGGTCTCAGATGCAGTGTAAGCCAATGACTTCGGCCACCCCATTCTTCCCAGTGACATACAGTGGTCAAGAGATGAAACCAGCTCTGAGTCTGCAGACCTAGTCCTCACCCTGCTGTTGCTGCTTCTATTGCTGTGGGACCTCCATCCAACCTGGCATCTGCCTCCAGCTTCACTGCTTCTTGGCCATGTGGCCTTCAGGAGGGCACTCCTTCTCCCCAGGCCCCCATTTGCTCGTGAACATACCGCACGCCGTTATGCTGCCCAGCTCTCAGGATAATGTGAGCCATAAGGCCCCATCCACGTCTGCACTAATGGTCTTCGTTCAGGGCATAGAGGGTGTGAGTCCACATCGGTGTGGACTGAGTCCATCAGAATAGGGAGGCAGCCGCTGTCACCCAGCTCCCTCACCCTCTCCCTGGCCATGCACACAATGAGTGTGTGCATGATGGTGTGTCATGAACAAGCCTGGGTGTTTAAGAATTTCAGGGGTGCAGGCTGCAACTCTCCCACCTTACGTCCACATCCAGTCTTGCTCTGGACTGTAACAGCAACCCCGCAAGGTTAGACAGAAGAACTGTTCCCACTGGGCTGAAGAGGAAGCTGAGGCTCAGAGAGAGGGCTTCGCCCAGACAGCCATGCTGCTAGGAATGATAGAGTGAGGTGTGTAACCATTTCTAAGCAGATCCAGAATGAGCCTGAGATGCCTGCACCCTGATCTCATCAGTCAGTCCAGGGAAGTGTTCCTGGTGCCCGTGTCACCACCAGAATCTCAAGGACGGGGAGAGCAAACACAGAAAAGGTGAGTGCTAGTTCCACATAGCCACAGGGATTAGAGTGGTGGATCTCAGCACCGATAGCGCCTTTAGGATCACCTGGAGCTGCTAAAACTCGCCCATAGCCCAGCCTGCACCCAAACCAGTTAAATCAGAATTTCTGTGGGTGGGACCCAGCCTTAGCCTGTGAAAGCAACACTGGTGATTCAGTGTGCAGTCAGGACTGACAGCCACTGCTCTGGGGGCTTTCCAAAGGCAGAGCCTTCATGATTTATTTCCATCAGAAATGAATTGAAATCAACCAACCAACCAATATTTATTGGGTGCCTACTACAGTGGTGATCAAACTTTGCTTGCATGAGAATCACTGGGACTGTGATCCCAACACTTTGGAAGGCTGAGGCGGTGGATCACCTGGGGTCAGAAGTTCGAGACCAGCCTGACCAATATGGTGAAACTCCGTCTCTACTAAAAATACAAAAATTAGCCAGGCCTGGTGGCGGGCCCCTGTAATCCCAGCTACTCGGGAGGCTGAGATGGGAGAATCACTTGAACCTGAGAGACGGAGGTTGCAGTGAGCCGAGATTGTGCCACGGCACTCCACCCTGGGAGACAGAATGAGACTCCGTCTCAAAACAAAACAAAATTAGCCGGGCCTGGTGGTATGTGCCTGTAATCCCAGCTACTCGGGAGGCTGAAATGGGAGAATTGCTTGAACCCAGGAGGTGGAGGTTGCAGTGAGCCGAGATTGCACCACTGCACTCCAGCCTGGGCGACAGAGCACAACTCCATCTCAAAAGAAAAAAAAAATCACTGGGAGGGCTGTTCACTCAAAGAGGCTGGGCCCCACTCTGAGAGTTTCTGATTCAGTAGGTCTGGCACAGGGCTTGAGCAACGGGAATGTTAAAGCCACCAGGTGCTTCCCAGATTCAGCCAGGGCTAAAAATGATGCTACAGAAACCTAGGCCCTTCTGCTGGTCCCTAGCTCCCTCCTCCAGGGCCCTCGCAGGGACACTTTTCTCAGAAGCAAGGTTGGGAGAAAGCACTGTGCATGCATAGCTCCAGCCTCTGTGGTCCCCCTTCTGGAGCCAGCTGGGCTGCAGCGAGGGCACATTCTGGACCATTTGCTGCCAGGAGGTGAACAGCCCGCCTGCTGAGCCTGGCCTGGTGAGTGTACAGGCTAACACAGGGTTGAAGGGTTAGCAGCCCCCTTGGCCACAGGCCTGGCCTTTGATCTCCATCCATCTACCTCCTACCTCTCTCTCCCTCCACTGGTTCCCAACTTGGGCACCCCCAAACCCCAGCACTCACACAATCTTCCTGCTCTTTGCCACCTCTGGGATCCTGTGCCTGCCTTCTTCTGGGCCCTGCTTTGGGGGATAGATCTGTCTTCCCTCATGTGATTGAGGGCCTCAAGGGCAAGTGTTCCTTTTTCACTCCAGCACTCATTTTGCAGTTGGGGAAATTGAGGTCAGGAGAGGTAATGCACTTTGCCCAAGGTCACTCAGCTTGTAAGTGATGGAACAGAGATTCTAATCTAGTTTGCCTGACTCAGTCTGAGCTCTCTGTGAGTGATGCCAGGCTTATGGTCCAAGTGCTGGGTGGCAGTCCTAACAGAAGCTCTGAGCTCAGAAGACATTAGCTCCTTAGGCGAAGGACAGACCAAGGGACACTGGAGCCCAGGTTGCGGGATGGCTTTGGCCGTATCTGTAATCCTCCTGGGCCTCAGTATTCCTCATCTGCAAATTTAAAGAGTAACTGTTGCTCTGTTTGGCCCAAGAAGATTCAAAGTGGGAGCCTTTGAGCTTGGAAACTGCAACATGCAATTAAAAATATAAGACATGATGAGTGGAAGCAGAGTCCTTTGCCCTGGATGTGTCTCATTTTGTCTTTGAGCCTCAATGTCCTGCCCTGTGAGCTGGGATCAATGATGCTGACCTACAGGGTCACTGTGAGCAAGGGTCTGAGGTTGGTTGTGGGCTGACCTGGACCATGTCTGCACCTGCCTATGAACCAGATTGCAACCAGCTCAGAAAATCTCCTGGGAGAGGACATTTTCAGCTCACCCGGAACTTGTCACCTGTCCAGTTTGTTGCCCTCAGCAGCAGTTCCAGGGCAGCCTCTAGTACGGGAACTGAGGTGCTCACGGAGATGGTGGAGGTGGTCAGGGAAGGAAGTGGTCACTCCGTGCACCTCTGCCCACCCCCCACTCCCTGCCCCGCCATGACCAGCATGCCCAGGTCTGTAGGATAAGGATGATGTTAATGGTCAGGTACAGCTGCGGAGCAGCTACACCTCCACCTGCAACGCTGGCAGCCCACGCTCTGACCACATGTTACTCCTCAGAAGCCGGGGGCCCATCCGTCCCAGCCTGGGGTCCCCAAGTAAGCAGAAGGCGCATGCCTCCTGAGTCCTCAGCACCGGGCTTTGTCCCAAGGTGATGGAGAAGGCCCCCGCCTAGGCTTCAGGAGCCCTGCGTTCTCTTGGCTGCACTCTGCCCTGCTGGATGGCCTCAGGCAAATCCTTCCCCATGTGTCAAGTGGGGACACTTCTCAGTCCCCTCCACAGCGCTGTTGGGAGCGCCCAGGAGGCAGAGTAAGTAGGTGGCTGCAGGAGGCATCAGACCACAGAAGGGGAAGCCAAGATGGTTCCCTGGTTCAGGAGCTCATTGTCAGAGGAGGGAAGGAGAAAGGAGACGGCCCCAAAAGACAGGGAGTGGGGAAGAGAAAGCCTGTGCCCTGCCCAACGCCAGACCCCTGCCACGAGGATTCGCTCAGAAATCCTCACCATCTCCCTTCGCCGTCTCTTCCCTCCTTCCCCACCCTCAGCTCCCCCATCCCATGGCCTTCCTCATCTCCATGCCTGGATAGTTGGTCAGAGACACTGGGGGTGGTGGGGGAAGATGCCACAGAAGCAGGCAAGGGACAGGAGCTGCTGAGATGTCCCTTCAGGTTTCATGGAAGCTCAGAACTGGAAGCGCCAACTGCCACAATTTGGAGATGAGGCAATCGAGACCCAGAGAGAGGAAGGAATGTGTCCAAGGGCCCCCAGTGTGTCCATGGCTGACTAGGGCATAGACCTTGGGTCTCCCCGCTTTCATTCCCCACTGCAGCCCTCAGGGGCTCCCTGGAGGCCTCACCTTCCAGAGCCCACAGATGGTGCTTCACCAGCTCCACCACCTCCTGCTTGTCCTCGGAGAGCACGATTCCAAAGCCGGCCAGCAGGTAGGAGACATCCGTGGTGACCCCTGCCCTCACCTTCTGGATAGTGGGTACCACGCCCACCAGCAGCAGCAGGGCCACCTGGAAGAGCCCCACAGTGAGGGCCCCATCCCAGGAAAGGGTTTTCTGTGCTAACAGGGGAGACGCTGGGGAAGAAACTGGCAGCACACAGGCCCCAGCCACATGCCCATTGCCCATCAGTGTTCTTATCTGCCCCTTAGAGCAGGGATCTCACGCCTCTAAATGAGGACATTACAGACAGGTGCAATCACAGCCTAATAGGCCAAAGGCATGCCTTCGAGCACCGTAACTTCATATAGTCAGCCCTGCGTATCTGTGGGTTCCACATCCACAACCAACCAATTCAATCAAGCGCAGATCAAAAATATTTGGGGAAAAACCCTCAATAAAAAATAACAATTCAATACAAATAATACAAATAAAAAATAATACAGTAGGACAACTTCTTCTTTTTTTTTTTTTTTTGAGATGGAGTCTTGCTCTGTGGCCAGGCTGGAGTGCAGTGGCGCGATCTCGGCTCACTGCAACCTCCACCTCCCAGGTTCAAGCAATTCTCCTGCCTCAGCCTCCTGAGTAGCTGGGACTACAGGCCCGCGCCACCACCGCCAGCTAATTTTTATATTTTTAGTAGAGACAGGGTTTCACTACATTGGCTGGGATGGTCTCAATCTCTTGACATTGTGATCCGCCCGCCTCAGCCTCCCAAAGTGCTGGGATTACAGGTGTGAGCCACCACACCCAGACATAGGACAACTGTTTACATAGCACTTATGTTCGATATTATAAGTACTTTAGAGATAACGAGGTATACTGGAGAATGTGTGTAGGCTATATGCAAATACTACACCATCGTATATCAGAAATTTGAGCCTTTGGATTTTGGTATGGAGGGGTGTTCCTGGAACCAACCCACCTCAGATACTGAGGGATGACTGTGTCTGCACCTCTATCTATTTACCCATCATCTATCTATCTAAACTTTGGAATGTAAAATTTCTGGTTTTTCTATGTTGTGAAAGTAAATGAGCACAGGAATTAAAGCTGGACAGACTTGGATTCAAACTTAGGCTACGCTGAGATATTAGCTGTGCAGAAACTTGGCCAAGTCAAATTCACCTCTCCAAGCTTCCATTCTCCCCATCTGTAAAGTGGAGAATAATCATACCCATCTCCCAGGATTTTAATTGTTGTTGTTGGTTTTTTCGGGGTTTTTTTTTTTTCGGAGGTGGTGAGGCAGAGTTTATCAAACATGTTGTCTTGCTAAATCTTCCCAATTACTCAAAGAGGAAAATTATTCTATTTTCTCCTTTTTACAGATGAGCTAACAGGTTCAGAGAGGTTATATAACTTGCCCAAGGCCACACAGGAGGTAAATAGTGGAGCTAGGATTTAAATTCGTGTTTATGTGGCCTCCAAAATTAATGCTCCGAGTCACTTCATGAGTCCAAGAGTGAACACCCCGGCCCTTCTGGGTAGGCCAGAACTCCCAAGATGGCCTGCAGCACCTGGTCAGGGTTCTGGATGGAGCACCTGGAGAGCTGGGTTGGGCCGGAACTGCTCCAGGCTTGGGGGTTGAGGGCAGGGCTCCAGAGGCAGATGGCAGTACAGGGTGAGGGACATACCTGGTAAATGGCCGTCCCTGTCAGTGTAGCTGAAAGCACCAGCTTCAGCGGGAGATGGAATCCTGTAGTCCTCAAAGGAAGGAGTATGGTGAACAGCACCACTCAGGCCCGGGAGCCCTCCTCCCTCCCAAGGGGCCCAGGAAAAGGGCCAGCAGGACCCTAAATGACCAAGGCCAGGCCAGGGTCTTCCCGCTGTCCCAAGCTGGTAGTTGTCCCTCTTGATGACAAGGATTCTGGGGAGCAGGAGCCAGTCCTCCACTGCAGCCATTCTGTGCAAGGGAGGGTAACGTCCCCTGTCACGCTCGGCCTCAGCTCCCAACCCCATACCTGGCTGTGGAGTGTAGATGCAGTGTCTCAAGCAGACGCGGGCCCAGGACAGGAAGCCATGCTTGGAGGTGTGGTAGCTGCAGAAAGACCCAGGCAGGTGCGGGGTCCTCAGGGGAAGCCCATTCCCTGAGGGCCAGCCCCAGAGGCTGGTCATTCTTCCCCTCTGCCCCTGCCATGCTGCCCAGTGCCAGCTTCCCAAGCACGGCTGCTAACCAGCCCAATCCATTGGCCCACAAAGGGTGTGTCAGAGACCCCACCTGCTTCCCAGCTTCTTCCTGCAAAGGAGGTTCCTCAGATATTCCTCAGAGTAGCTGCTCTGCAGCCCCTGTGGAGACAGACAATTGAACAAGCAGATGAGATCTGCCTCGACCCATTCGTGGGTCCCTGGCTCAGGGAACTAGAGTGTTCACCAAGCAGGTGCTCCATAAAAACCTGTTGGCCATGGCGGTGGTGGTGAGTGTGGATGGGGCTGACCTGTGGGGATGAGGTCCGTGCCCTCCAAAGCTTCCCTTTTCTCTCTCACAAATACAAGGCCAGTCTCCTATCAAAGAACCATCAATGCCAGGAAGTTCTTCCTAAGATCTGTCTCCAACTCTCGCCTGCTTTACTCAGTCACATCTCTTCACCGTTTCTTCCCACCCCTAGCCCTCTGGCCTCTGCTAGCTGAAACTGGGGCAAAGGGAAGCTTGTGTCCCACGGGCACATCCTAGACCAGGACACAGAAGAGGGTCATTCCAGGTCAGACACCCTCAGGCTTCTCCTGCTGCCACTGCGCAAGGGAGATCACAAGGGTGACCAGATTTGTCTAAGCCACATTCCAGGCCTTAAGCTGCCTGTGAAGTAGCAGAGGCCCATGGGAAGATGGGGTGAGCCCCTGCCTGGAATCACTGGGAGAACACAGGCTGTTGTCACTTGTTGCCATGACAACCCTGGGATCCCGGGCAGGAGTGGGTCAGCTCAAAGCTTGATGGGGGTCCTTTGAGACTTAAACCTCTTTGACCAAAGTCCAAAGAGGATTGTACACCTCTCAAGCCTGGGAGGAAAGGCTGGCAATGGAGAGAGAGATGGGGTGGTGGAAACCCTGGAAGAGAAGGTAAAGGGGCATGCCTCAGGCACTGTGTCGTCCCGGGGGGCCGCTCCCTTTTCAGAGCCAGCTGTAAACAGGAGGGGACACAGGCTTCCTCGAGGGGTGTTGGCCTCAATAGGCAGGAGCTACAAGCGCTCAGAACTCCCTGCCTGCCACGTGGGAGCCGAGTCTGGAGTCCGTGGGCCTTCTCGGACCAGAGTAGCCCAAAAGGGACCCGGGGTTCTCCATCCTGCCTAGGGATCTCACTCACTCTCTGGATTCAGTCTGACCTTGCCGAGTTAACACCCGGTCCCAGCCCCTCTGCTGAGCTCCAGACTTTGAGCAGTACACCCTCAGGACCAAGCATCATCCCAGGAGCACCTGCTCCTCCCTCCACCTTCCCTGGGCCAGCAGCTGGCACCACCACCTACCTGCTGGCTGGCCAGGTGCCTCCCATCAAGCCTTTCCTTCCCCTGCCCTGTCTGAAGAGAAGCCACGCCCTTTGGCCTCTATGTCTTAAGACTTTCTCCTGAGTCTGTTCTTCTTTCCCCTTTGAGGGTCTCTGCAGAGCTTTCTTCCTCCTCCTCTCTCACCAGAAAGAAGTAGTGGACCCCGCCCCCTGCACCACAGTCCCAACACCCGGTGCAGGTTTCACATTGCACTGCAGGTGTTTTGTGCCGCATCTGTCTCCCCCACCACACTGGGAGCTCCTGGAGATCAGACACAAGTCCATCAGCTCCAAGTCCACAGCACTGAGCCCGGGGCCTGACATATGGTAGGTGCTTAGAAGGCTTTTTAGTGAGATTGAAGTATCTTCTAAGAATTCTCTTTTACCATGATGCATTCATCCATCCATCCTTCCTTCCATACATCTTTCCTTCGATCCATCCATCCATTCATCCATCTATTCAAAAATTCAAAAATATTTGCTGAGTATCTATTAAGGGCCAAGACCCACCCAGTGCTGCAAATATAATGAACAAAACAGACACAAAACTATCTCTTCCCCTTTACTCATGCTCTTTCCCGTGCCTACAATGCCTGCTCCTTATTCTCTCATCACTCTAGATCTCCCTGTCCTTCAGGCCCTTGTAGAGTCTACCTCCTCTAGGAAGCCCTCTCAGCCCTCCCCTTTATCTGAAATTATTCAACCACATCCAACCTAGAGTTGACTCATAATGGAGTTCTGCCCTGGGTGCTTCCTGAATCATCTCATTATGTGCAGAACTCGGATTAGGCACAAGGCTCCAGGCTGTCTCTCCAGCCAGATCTCAGTGTTTCACAGACAGAGATATGACTCTCCTGGCTTCTGACTCAGTTCTGCTTTGTTAAGTCCCTACTATTCACACAGCCCAGTGCCGCGGGTATCCTGGGTGCCAGTCAAGGGCCCAGTCCAGCTTTTGCCTAGGGAGGGAGGACTAAGCAGTCACTCAGCAAACATTTTCTGAGCATCTATTCTGTGCTGGGCCCTACATCAAGCACGGCCATGTATCTGGGACCACAGATACGGGGGAGTAGGGCTGTCTTGGGTGCTGAGGAAGAGCTCATCCCAGGCCTGCCCCTTTACCTTGGAGCCTGCTCCTGTCCTACGGCTGAAGCTTCTCACCAGCTGCACAGGGTACCAAAGGCTCAGGAATCCGAGGCCCAGCAGGAGAGGCAGGGAGGCCAGCAGGGAGTAGTACTTGTAGATCTGGACAGACAAACACCCAGACAGACTACTTTCCACCTTCTTCCCCCAGCCAAGAACCAGAATCCGTTGCCCTTCCCACCTCACACTGGGCCCTGAGGGTGGTCTGGGGGGCCATGGGAAGGCTTCAGCTCTATGGTTCCCAACCTGCCACCCAGCGCAAACCTGCCCACTTCCCCTTCTCGAGCCCTGCAGAGATGCTCACCCCTCCCCCAGGCTCCTGGATCCCCACGGGCCTGAGAGGAGCCAAGAGGAGGAGATCACTTGATTCCCTCCTGCCCCCCACTGGAAAGGACACCTCTTTCTGTTTCTGTGTTCCCGGAGCATTAGGAACAGTTCTGAAAATCACACGAAAGCCTGCCTTTGCCTACATATAGTTTTCAACCTGAGCATCAGGAAAGTCTATGCCCTACTCCTCAGGGCTGAGGCCTTCCTGGGGGTGGGCTTTTTGTATACTCATTCATTTATTTGTTGGTTCAATATACTTTTATTGAGAGCTTAGTATGTGCCAGGTTCTAGGTGGTGAAAAAAAGCCACCAAGTTCCCCCTCTCAAAGCAACCTCTTAGTCTTCACCTCCACCCTGAGGGACTGGTGTTATCAGCTCCATGGACGGATGGAGAAACGGTCTCAGAAAGGTGGCACTGTTTCCCCAAGGCACTTGGTACCACCTGGCATCATTTTGTTTGCGTGTCATGTCTGCCCTTCTGAAGTGACGGCTCTTGGGAGGCTAGGGACTGTTTGTCTTGTTCATAGCTGTAGTCCAGTGCCTGGAAATGTCCCTGGTACAAAGTATGTGCTTCAAATATGTTGTTGAATGAATGGGTGAGTGAATGAATGAAGTGGTGAAGCTGGATTCACACTCAGGTTGTCTGGCTCTAAAGCCTGTACCATCACTCTTTGAGTTCTAGACTGGACAGCTTCACAGCCCCAGCCAGCAGCCAGTGAGCAAGGTCCTGAGGTTCCGGAATTCTCCTCTCAGCCCTCTTAGACCATCCCTGACTTCGCACTTGCCGGCCTCCATCAAGCTTCACTCCCATTCCCTCTCCAGCCTGACCAAAGGGAAGCTGGGGGATCACTAACACAGGCATTGGGGGTGGGGGCCATTTCAGGCTTTCTCTTCCCCCTACTCTGCCCACTTCCCCTTCTCCGCCACCTCCTAGACTTAAAGTTCCTGAGGGCTGGGCCCAGCCACCTTGTTCCCTGCCTCTCCTGCAGAGCAGCCAAGCTTGGAAGGGGCACATGTTTGAAGGCATGGAATCCCATGCACAATGGAAGGCTGCAGGGCGGCCCATCATAGAATCAGAGCTCAAAGGAGGCACTGTGGTTTGAGTAGGTTGCTCTGTGCGCCCCTCTGCCCTAGGCCATTGTGATCAGCGGTTACCTTGGGCACCTGGGGACACTCTGCCCTCTGCCAGACCTGGACCCCAAGGTGGGCCCAGGACAGCGTGCTGCCGAGCAGGTGTGCAGCTGTGTGGCCAGCCGTGGCACAGGCAGCCAGAGGGTAGTAGAGGGCAGCATAATAGAACAGTCCCAGTATCTTCCAGGCCCCTGGAAGGTGAAACAAGCAGAGAGACCCATGCTGGAGGGGCAGACATGGGGCCTGCAGTGAGCCCACCCAGGCCTCTCTTCGGTCTCCAGCTTCCAAGCCCTTCAGCACGTTCAGTGGGCAAGAACACTAGGTTCAAATCCAGGCTCTGACTAGTCTCAACTCTGTGATCTTGGGCAAGTTACCTCTTGGAGCCTCAGTTTTCCCATCTGTAAAATGAAAATAATCACAGTATATTAGCAAGGGCAAAATGAGAAGGTGGATATATAATGCTTAGCATGGTGCCTGAGCAAATACTCAATTTAAGATACTACTTCCCTGGCTCTCAGTTCCTCCATTGCAAAATGGGGCTAATATGCATACTTTGTAGCATCGTTGTAAAGACTGGATGGTCTAAAAAGGTCACGTCTCAGGATAGCAGCCCATCTCATTGACAGCTGTTCCTGTTACTCTCATCTCCTTGAGCCAAGCTTAAAACTCCGAGACCCCACCCTACCCCATCCCATCACACCAACCCCAGGGCCTGGGGGTCAGTGGGTACCTTGGCTGGGTGCTGAGGCGAGAGTCAGGAAGGGCAATGCGTCCTCGTCGGGGAGCAGCAAACACAGGGAGCTCAGGAGGACCATGAAAACAGCAGCAGGCACTGCCCGGGGCCTGTCCCCAGCCAAGAAATCCACAGGGCTAGCACAGAGGCAAGGACAGGGCAGGAGGGAGTTGCTCAGCCCCTGCACCCCCATTACCTCCCAGCTGTATTCCATAAATCAAGGAGGTGGAGTCAGTCCCACTTTCTAGATGGGGGAATAAGGCCCCTTCATTCATTCATTCCATAGATATTTGTGGAGTGCCTCTTATCTACCAAGCTCTGGGCCCCGTGCCAAAGGGACTTGGGACACACATACAGTGGGAAGAAGCCCTAAGACTGCTCCTCCGCCCACCCTGGAAGCTCCAGGAAGCAGCCACCTCCACACTAATTGGTCTGTCTGAGCTGGCAAACCTTCAGAGAACTCAGCGAGTCACAACATCCTTGTACAACAGCCGCCGCCCTGGGCTGGGTGTGGACCCGGGGCAGAGGGCAGACAGCGGGCATAGCTGTCCCAGGCATCACCCTTCTGGGCTCAGGGCAAGCCACTCAGACCCACAGCTTCTGCACTGCAGCTTGCATTCATGCTCTGAGAGGTTCATTCTCCCTCAAACACTGCCCCAGCCAGGGCAAGCTCTTTCTGGGGCCAACCAGAGACCCCAGGCTGGTTCCCCACAAAACCAGCACAGCAAGACCTGCCTCGGTGCACAGTCTGGGTCTGGGATGTGAAGCTGTCTACACCAAGGAGCCACCCATCACCTGCCCCAACCCTTTGGTCTCTCGCACACTAGCTTGCCCAGCCCCATCTCCTCAGGATCATGCCTGTCCAGGCTCTGGAGTCACAGGGCTGAAGGAGATAGGAGAAGAAAGCTCCAGCTATAGGGGCTAGATGTCAGTCCCCATAAATCTGCCTTCAAGCATTAGGGTCCAGGTGATACCCTCAGGGAAGATGACGGTCAAGATGGCATTGGGATGGTCACGTCAATCCACACATGGAGGGCTGCCTGAGAAGGTACACTCTGACGCTGGGTCCTGTCAGGCTTGTTTCCCTAGGGTCTGGGTTGGAGTCCTTTCTCCCAGGCGGGCTTGAGCGAGTCCCTCCCCCTTCCTCTGGGGGTCCTGACTAAACCTGGAGACCTAGGTGGGGGTGAGGAAAGCTCCAGGCTGAGGGCGATAGGGATGTCATTAAAGCCAGAGCTGCCTTTTAGGTACCTAACAAATCACCCACCCTCCCAGAGGGACCCTGTCAGCTGGGTCCCCTGAGTGGGGGTGCCCAGGCCATGGTACAAACCTGGGCAGGCCGGGCCTGCCACGCACACAGTCAGGCCAGAGCTGGCGGCGCCTCACCAGCATGGCCAGGAGCAGCAGCACAAGGATCTGAAAGGAGAGTGCAGAGGAGGGCTTGGGGTGCCCAGGCCTCCCCTGAGGGTCTGAGTTTGAGGGCTTGGACTCAGGCCCCAGGATATCCCCTACCTGCCCAGTGCACACTCATGTGACATCTTGGGGACTGGTCAAGGGGTGACAGACATCTGGAAGGTTGGACTTGCATCCTGGTTTGGGCCTCCAAGCTGGGAGAACTCCCAGATAGCTCCCCCCACCCAGGATCTTCCAGGGCCCCCCTTCACCAGCCCCAGTGGGGAACACAGGTCCCACTGCCCAGGCTGGCAGCAGCTTGCAAGCCAGGTTCAACTTGGGTTGGACTCACTGACAGCGAGGCCAGGCAGGCGTGGTACAGGCCGGGTGGTATGCTGGTGTGGCAGGAGGGCACTTCCCTGCAGAGCAAATGAAGGCTGGCTCAGGCCTGCGTCAGGCCCCCCTGGGTGTGCAGATGGGTCTGGGGTTCAAGACTGTTCACACTGAGGCTTTACCCACTACCTCCCTCAACCCTCTGATCCCTCCTACACAAGCCTTCCCAGTCCCACCTTCTCAGGGTCATTCTGGGGCCCTCGTGTCCCTGTGATGTGCCAGCCCCATGCCAAGCTCTGGGGTTATAAGACTAAAGGACATGGGAAGCTCCCAGGGGAAGCAGAGTAGACCGGCTCGGCCTGATCACTTATTCTCTTTTTTTTTTTTCTGGAGGGACAGGGTCTTGCTCTGTCACCCAGGCTGGAGTGCAGTGGCTCGATCTCGGCTTACTGCAGCCTCAGCCTCCTGGGCTCAAAAGATCCTCCCACCTCAGCCTCATGAGTAGCTGGGACCACAGGTGTGCACCACCATGCCTGGCATTTTTTTTTCTGTATTTTTAGTAGAGACAGGGCCTCACCATGTCGCCCAGGCTGGTCTTGGATTTCTGAGCTCAAGCAATCCTCATGCCTCAGCCTCCCAAAGTGCTGGGATTACAGGTGTGAGCCACTGTGCCCGGCTGAGCACTTATTCTTGCTCACCCAGATGCTTCCTGTCCTTCAAGGCCTCCCCTCTCCAGGGAGCCCCTCTGACTGCTCCTGGTCTCACAGACGTCTTCTCAGAACTGCAGTTGAGCACACTACCTGGGTCAAGCAGTCAAGGGTTTGGCCCTGTGATTCGCCCTCTACTCACTGCCATCTGAGGTTGGTCTGTGACTAAAATGATCTCCCCTGGTCCCTCTCTTTTCCTGCTTCCCTCTCATTGAGAGCCTCCATGGACAGCCATGCAGGTTGCCCACTGCACAAAGATGCTCAGCCAAGGGAACGAGCAGGCCACCCTGCTCACCAAACCCAGCACCTGCTGAGCTGAATGCACCTAACTGGGGATCCCTTTCTCTAATTCCACAGAGGCTCCCTATGGCCTGGCAATGGTCCTGCACTCACCCTGGCTGAGCGCAGAGGTAAACCCACAGTGGAGATAGGGGTCACTGAGGACAATGAAACCCTCCGCTTCCCCAGCAGAATCATGTGGTGGAGAAAGGGAGTGAGGCAGGAGTCCTGAGCTCAGGGCTGGCCCTGGCCCTGGGAGAGTAGGCAGGACTGGGTCCCTGGTGAGCAGTAGAGCTCCGGGTTTTCCCAGCTTGGGCCTGGGAGAGCCAGAGGGAGGGTGGCAGCATGGGTGAGGCCAGTGGGGTCTGGTGGGCGAGGGCCTGAGATGGAGCCTGGGCTGCCGCCAGTCCCTGCCTGCACAGAGGGCTTAGCCGCCCACCAAAACGCCCTCCACTGTATGAAGAGAGGCATCAAGGCTGCATTATCCAGGGGAGTGCAGAGCCCTGGGATGCTCTGCTGGGTCAGCTCGGTCTGTCCTGCTCGCTTTCTCTCAGGAAATCCCAGCGGGTGAGCGGTGGGAAAGAAACCAGTCACTTGGTGGAGAGGCAGAGTAAGTCAGCTCTGGGCAGCTTCTTGGCCAGGAGACCAGCCTCTTCCCAAAGTAGAACTGGGATCGTGAGTAGCAGCCACACTGACTCCAGTGTCAGCTCCCCACCTCCAGCTCCAAGGCCTCTCACTCTGGTGCGTAGGGCAGCCCTCCCTCTCAGCCGGCATCTCCCCGCATGACTAGGTCCCGCTCCACCTTTACACCTGGGCCCGGCAGGGACTTGGAAAACTGTCCCTGGAGTAGTTTGACCATTTTCCTATGGACCTTACCCCAAACCACCCCTACCCCCAGAAATGCCCTCCAGGGCCCTGCCTGGGGGAGCCTCTGGCCCTTTCTGTATCACCTGAGGTCCCCATCTGACCTCTCAGCTCAGTGTGAGGGGTCAGATGGGGATCTCAGGTGGCATAGAAATGAGCAAATATTTGGCTAGTGGCTTGTGGCCCCACTTTTTGTGCCATGGGACAGGCAGGATGGCACAGACATAAAGACCTTGGAGAGGGTGGTGAGCTTGATCCTGGGACAGGCACAGCAGGTGCTGAAGGATGCAGAGGAGGGAGAACTTTGGGCAAAAGGAGGTGGTATCTGATTGGAGTTTAAAAAATGGTTAGTGGCTGGGAGCAGTGGCTCACGCCTATAATCCCAGCACTTTGGGAGACTGAGGCAGGCAGATCAACCAAGGTCAAGAGTTTGAGACCAGCCTGGCCAACATGATGAAACCCTGTCTCCACTAAAAATACAAAAAAAATTAGCTGGGCGTGGTGGCACGCACCTGTAATCCCAGCTACTCGGGAGGCTGAGGCAGGAGAATCACTTGAACTGGGGAAGCGGAGGTTGCAGTGAGCCAAGATCGCACCACTGCACTCCAACCCGGGCAACAAGAGCGAGACTCCATCTCAAAAAATAAATAAATAAAAGTTGGTTAGCATCTCTTTAGGCAAAGAAGGGGAGAGGCAGCTCCAGGTGGAGGGAAGTGCATGAGGAAGCAGAGAGGCAGGCGACAGGCAGCGTGGCTGGGGCTGGGCAGGCCTTCCAGTTTGATTGCAGCCCAGAGGTCAGGTGAGATGAGGTTACAGCAAGCATGGGAGGCCCCAGGAAGCCACTGAGGGTGTTTGAGCCATTGAATGTTCTGGATTTTAGGACATTTCTGTGGCTGACTCCACTGCCATCAGTGTTCATCCACCCCAACTCCAGCCTGAGAGTGCTGGGGCACTGGGCACTCCGGAGTTCTTCAAAGCTCTGATGCAACATGTCCCCAGGGTGTCTGACTCACACAGACAGAGGTGAACCCAAGTTCATTTCCTTGGGATTCCCCTGAGCTCCCAATTTTCTGCTCCCACTTTGAGGGCAGGGGGATGGCAGGCAGCTCAATTGGTTTGGCTAAGTAAGTAGATTCAAACAAATCTCTTTATTCTTATGGATGTCATGCCCTGCAGTGGGAGAAAGAAGCTGAATCTTCTAGATGTCACCCACATGAGGGACTGGACTCCCCATCACCCAGTGCCTGACATACACACAACTTTATTCTGAGACAACAGCTATAGACCACAGCTACATTTACAGGCACCTGGCCCCCAGCCAGTGCCCAGGCCCTGAGGCTCCCAAGGACACAGCTTCAGATTAGAGCCTTCACCTAGGTCAGAAACCATCCTCATGGGTTCCTGGGCCTGTCCTCATTCTGGTCTCTCGCAGGCCACACATACACAGCAGGATATGTGGAGCCCACAGGCTCTCGGTCAGTCAGGCAAGATGAGTGGGGAGCACGCCCTTGCTGACTGCAGGCTATTTTCCAGGTGGTCAGAACCCTGAGTCCTCCAAACAACAGCTCCTTCCCCGAGGCCTGGGTGGAGCCTCTGTCCCTGCTGGATGACCCAAGCCCAGCCAGGCCGCAGCCCCAGCCCCTGGGGAGGCACGCAAGGATTTTTCCTTCTCAAGTTTCAGGTTTTGATGGAGAACAGATGTGCACACATCTGGCTCGGCAACCCCCAGCCTCACCTTTCTACTTCTCCAAACCGTCAGACAGAGCAGGGAGATAAGGGATGGGGCCAGGCCTGGGAACAACAGGGGAGAACTGGCTCTGGGTCCTACACAGGCAAGACATCCTGGCAGGAGGTGGGGGACACAGAAGGGGCCCAGCTCCTCCACCAGGGTGCCCAGACTAAACCCCGGTAGAATGGACCCAGGCAAAGCAGCTGTGGCTGGGTTCTCAGGCCACCCTGGGGCGGGCTGCCTTCCTGCTCCCACCCTCACCTGGGCTGGCCTGAGCACTTCTGCTAAAGGGAATAGGCTCTCCTCATCCTCTGAGACCATCCAAAGACAACAAGGGTGCTTGTTTCCTCAGTGACTTCTCACCAGGCTTTCTCCCTTTGGTTCTCTGCCTTCCCCGAATCCCCCAGCCTGCCCAGAGAACTTGACACTTGGAAACACCACACCCAAATGCTCACCACAGAGACCAATAACCCCTTGAAGGGAGGTCTGCTTGCCTCAACTGCTCTCAGCAGCTTCTCCATCCTGGCTATGGGCCAGAATCACCCAGGGAGCCATCCCTGCAGATCTGAATCATCTGTATTTTTAACACGTCACACATCATACCTAAGGTGACCAGCCTTAGGTGTCTTAACAGCAGGGTGAGGGATGTTGTTCTCATGTAACAGAGGCAGAGACTGAATGAACCCCAGAGAGGCTGTGACTTGCCCAAGGTCACACAGCAAATGAGTGGCAGAGCCAGACCTAGCAGCCCCTGCCCAGGAGCTGCTCCCTGGCCAGTTGCAACCTCTGCCATCACCCCATTCTGATGGCTGACAGAGTGAGGTGGGGTGGTTCCACACTTACCCCTCTGGCTGGAGCTCCTCGCCCCCCTGGGGCTCATCGATGTACCAGCTGCCATAGGAGTAGTCCTCTGTGGCCCCGGGGGAGGTCTGGTTCCCTGCTGGCTGGGACGACATTCTCTGGCCCTTCTCCTTTGACCCCAGGCGAGAGAAAAAAAAAGCCACTACAGATGTGAAAAGAGGCTTAAAAGAGAAAAAAAAAGAAAGAAAGACGGAAAACCCAAACAAAGAAACATTTCTCTTTAATCCTGAAGGTTACTTTCTTACTTTTAGCTCTCTGGGAAAAGCCCGTCTGGGACTGAGGGCCTGAGCAAGCTGGCACGGGAAGAGGACAGGGCCTCTCGTGTCCCCTCCTCCCTTCCCGCCCATCGCACTGGTCCTGCAGAGATAGCTGTCCCCTTGGGGCCCCGGGGCTCCCGCTGGCGCATCTGTCTGACCAACCACCAGCAGGCGTGTGTTCAAAGGACCATTTTCAAAGAAGGCTTGTCCAGTCTGAGCTGCCTAAAGAGACGCCCCTTCCTTCCCCTTTCCCAAGCCCACCTAGACAGACCCACAGACACACCAGAAGGGAGGCCCAGGGAGGAAGGAGTTGCAGAGATGAAAGGGTAGGCAGCCCACGGCCAGCTCCGCACTGCCTGCCTGGGCCCTCCCAGCTGGGCTCCCTTGAGCCCCTCCCCCAGCCTCAGCCTGCCCCTTTCTGGCCCCTTTGGGCCTCGGTGATGGAAATACACCATAATCCTTGACAAAGCCCCCCTCCTGGGGGAGGAGGCCCCAGCACCATTGGCGGCCTGAGCCCTGCAAGGGTGTGGCCAGGAGCCACCCCCACCCCCGCACCTGACTTCACACACATACCTGCCTTCAGCGCCTGCCCCAGAGCTCCCAAGCCCCTGCCCGCCACATCTGCAGTGCCGCACACAGACAGGAGACCAGCATTACAGCAACAACCGAGTGAGACGGACCGCTGGGGCTGGGCTGGGGCGGAGGCAGGGAAGGGGAATCTGTCCGTTTCTTCTCCTAGGGTTTCCATGAAGGAGGCAACATGTGTCTCATTGGTAAACCCTTTTTGTTCCTACAAGTTGATTTCACAAGGAGATAACTCACCCCCACAAGGCGGAAATTAGCTCTTTAAACACAAACCAGACCCACGGGTAGGCAAGAGGAGCCCCGCCTGCCTCCTGCTCCTCCTGGAGTGAGGTTGAGGGTGAGCAAGGGAAGGTCTGGGCCAGGGAGGAGGGCTCCTCCGCATTCTCCCTCCCCAGGAGCAGGACCCTGCCCCAGCCTGGAGGAAGGGGCGAGAGGCAGAAGAAGGTAGAAAGCAGTTCTCAGGCCACTGTCCCTGGTGGAGGTTTAGGCCCCTAAAACTGTGAGGGTCTCTGTCCTTCCAATACCCTACAAGGGGCTTCGGCTTGGACCCTGTCAGCTAAGGCAGTCATTCAACAGCTTTTTTAAGAAGACATTATTCATTTAGTCTTTTAACTTAAATTTATTGAACACACACTATGTGCCAGCACTGTTCTGAGCCCTGAGGCAGGAGAGATGACAGTTCAGCGGGGACACAGCCAGATAACTAAATCCCCTCCAAAGTCTGAGGGTTACAAAGGGAATCACAGGTTGAGCTGGTCTGTACCATGGGAAACCAAATTTAGTCCAAGAGCATTTGGGGATGGGGGGAGATTCCTGAAGAAAAGAACCTTTCCGTGGTGATCTGAAGGGCAGGGGAAAGTCCGCTGAGCAGAGGGTGGCAGGCTCAGGATGGGGATGGGGGTGGGGGAAAGTGTGTTCCCCACAGAGGAAACAGCACGGGTGAAGTCTCAGAGTAGACAGGGCTTGAAATCCTGGAGGCTCTCTTTCAAATTCCCAAGCCTGCAGGGCAGGATTAGGGGCTGAGCACCCTGCTAGCCTGAGTTCCTCCCCCTTCTTCCCAAATGGCCCTTCTTGCAGGAAGAGGGCTCTGTTGCTCTCCACCATCCCACAGAGATATCAGCATCTGCTGACTCAGAGCTGAACCCGAGCTTTATTTGATGTAATGAGGAGCCCACACTGGCCCTTCTGATCCCAGGGATGCGGGAAACTTGCCTTCCAGGCGCGAGTGTGAGCTCCCGGAGGGCGGGACTCTATCCCTCCCACCCCTCCTCCTGCCTTCCCCTGATGCTCAGCGCCTGGCCCTTGGGTAAGAGGGACTTCAGAAATTGAGCTTGGCAAAGCCATTGCTTGTTCTGGCGGCCAGTATTCATTTGTGGGCCTGTCCTATACAGGCGGCTGCTGTGCCCTGAGGTTCACCAGCTGGGCTTCCCAGAGTCCCCGTGCCCACACCAGAGGCCAGCAAGCCCTTCCCTGCTCAGGGGTCTCAGACTGTTACCTTAGGGAGCAGCCAACTCCCATCTGATTTTAAATCCACCTCCAACCATTGGAGTCCAGTTCCAGACAGGGAGCCCACTCCCTCTACAAGGCAGCAGTGTCAGGGGTTAGACATCCTTGCCTATCAGAAACCATGCCCTTTGGCCAGGTGTGGTGGCTTACACTTGTAATCCTAGCACTTTGGGAGGCCGAGGCAGGTGGATCACCTGAGGTCAGGAGTTAGAGACCCAGCCTGGCCAACAAGGCAAAATCCCATCTCTACTAAAAATACAAAAAATTAGCCGGACGTGGTGGCGCACACCTGTAATCCCAGCTACTAGGGAGGCTGAGGCAGGAGAATCGCTTGAACCCAGGGGGCAGAGGTTGCAGTGAGCCAAGATCGTGCCACTGCACTCCAGCCTGGACAAAAGAGGCAAACTCCATCTCAAAAAAAAAGAAAGAAAGAAAGAAAAGAAACCATCCTCTTCCTTGGAGGAAGCCTAACTCTGCCTTCCCCAGGCTGGTTTGGCAGCGAGCAAGATGAGTCAAGGCCTGCACCAAATGGAACCTGATGTATGGTAGGGCTTAGGGGAGACAACACCAGAGGGGAAGTGAAGTGGGGGAAGAGAAGAGAGACGGGAGTTGGCTGTTTGAGACAAGGTGGTCAGGGAAGGCCTCACTGAGAAGGTGGTGTGTTGCTGATACCAGAGGGGAGAGAGGGAGGTACCAGTTGGGCACTGTGTTCATCTGTTTCGCATTGCTGTGAAGGAAAACCTGACTCTGGGTAACTTAGAAGGAAAGGGGGTTTATGTGGCTCACAGTTCTGCAGGCTGTGCAGGAAGCAGCACGGCACCAGCATCAGCTTCTGGGGAGGGCCTCAGGAAACCCACAATCGTGATGGAAGGTGAAGGGGGGTCAGGCAGGACACTTGGCAAGAGAGGGAGCAGGAGAGATGCCAGGCACTTACAAATAGCCAGCTCTCACATGAACTGATAGAGCGAGAACTCACTCATTACCACAGGGAGGGCACCAAGCCATTCAGGAGGGATACCCCGCAATGACCCAAACACCACACACCAGGCCTCACTTCCAACACTGGGGTCACATTTCAACATGAGATTTGGAGGGCACACACATCCAAACCATATCGGGCACTGAAGAAAGGCAATCAGGTTGCCTGAAGGAGCCTCCATCTGCCCAGGGGCTGCAGCCAGGCTGGCAGAAAGGGACCCCAGCTGAGCCCAGGCACAGTCCCTTCCCCACCCCCCACGGAGAGCCCAGTGCCAACAATACCACCTCCCTCCTCATGGGAAGACACAGAGGCCACCAAGGGAGGCCCTAAGCAGAGGGGAGGAAATGGTGAGCTTCGTCCTTTTCCCCTGGTGGGGGCCTAGCAAGCAGAGCGCAGCCTTGTGCCTGGTACTTTGGCCAGGGCATAGCTGGAAGGTCCAGAGGTAAGGGCCAGGTTTCTGCATGGCAGTGGAGAACGCCTGGTTGGGGAGGCCACCTAGCCGGATTTGAACCCTGGGACTGGCTATGTGGCCTTGAGTGAGTCTTTTCCTCTCTGTGGGTCTCACTGTCCTCTCTCAAATCCGGCCTGGAGATTCTCCAGTTGTGAACTCTCCCCACAAGGCCCCCGTCCCTGCACACCAGTAACCAGTTGTAACAAGAAGGTCACAGAGAGTGGTTGTGACTTCCTAGGTGCCCCCATTGCCTCCCACCTGCCCCCTCCTGGCCCCCAGCTGCCCTGCCCAGTCTGGTGCGGGCAGGGTGGGCAGGCTGGGTTGAAGATCCATGGATAGCGGGTGGCCGCGTGGCTCAAGCTGCAAGGTGAGCCCACTTCTTGAGCCCAAGGTACCTCCTCAGCTTGGGGCTAGAATCGCTTGGAGCTCCCATCTGCAAAATGGGAGGCTCGGCTCTGAGCTGTTAAGAAAGATGCTACCTGGGAAGACGGCAGGAGGCAAGAAGTGTTAGGAAGAGAAGGATGGTAATGATGTGCCCCTGAAGAATTTCTCCAAAGGCCTGGGCAGCAGAGTCAAGGGCCTGCCCTCTGGAGCTGGCTTTAAAGGGGCACTGATACCCAGGAAGGCCCAGCCCTGCCCTCAGGAGAGCAAAAGTGCTCAAAAGACAGAACTGCCAAAGCCTGAGGAGCGGGGAGGGAAAGGAGGAGATGGCTTGGGCAGTCTTGCAGGCTCCCTGGAGGAGGGGGCCTGGAGCAGGGCCCTGAAGCCATGGAAGATCTGGAATGGTAACAAGAATGAATTGACACGTGTCTCAGGAGTGCCAAGAAGGGAAGTCTGAGAGACAAGGAGAGAGTAGCATAAGGGTCAGGGCAGGGCTCCCTCGCTGTGACCAGCATGAACCCACGTGGGCACTCAGATGAGGCTGATGCCAGTATCCAAGGAGCAGCTCAAACCAGCAGGTCTCCCAACTGGGCACAGATTGGCGGGTGGCTAAGCCCTGCTCACTATGGGAGGAGGTCCTAAAAAGCTTCTGGACTCTGAGCCAGTGAAGGCCATCTGCCATTTGGGCTTGGCACAGAGCTGCTATGCCCCTCGGGTTGGAGCTGGCCCATGAAGGCCTTGGGACAGGGCTTCCTTCCTCTCATGTTTTTGTTCAAGTTGATTAAACCTGAGGAATTTTTGCATCCAGGAGCAGAGGCCCACGTGCATTTCTGCGGGAGCCTGTGATTATCAAATCCTCAAAGGGCAAAGTGCCAAGCTTAGAAGAAGCTAACAGCAGGCCAGAAGGAATGGGGAAGGCCAGCAGCATCCCCAGAACCTCAGAAACATCCCCTCAAGGACTCCCAGATCTCCCAGAGAACCTCCAGAATCTCAGCAACATTTCTGAGTTTCAGTAATGCCATAAGAAGCCCTGCAACCTCAGTATTGCCCCCAAGAAGCCCCAGACCTTCAGTAACACATCAGAACCACTGCAACACCTCAGGACACTCAAACTCTGGCAAACTCAAACTCTGGCAAATCAACCACAGATTGGAACAAGATGTTCAAAAGCCTGTGACCATTTGCAGAAAGGCCAGAGACCCCCGTTGCTCTCCACCCTCCCATCTCAGCCCTTGACTCTGAGTCCAGCAGCAAACCCAATAGTTTACAATACTCAAACCTCAGGTACACCCCCAACTTCGATAGCACGGAAGAGAACACGCAAGAGAGGCGTTCCAGGAGTGGGGGGATGGCCACTGTGCCCACCTGTGCAGCCCAGTCCCCTTGAGAGTCCATGAATAAGCAGCCGAGAGAGTCAACCTCATGCGGGCCCGTGAGCTTGGGGTGTGCCCTCAGTGGCACAGCACACTCACACACACATCCAACTGCCCTTCGCACACATACGTGCTTAATTCTGGCACCAGACCAAGTCTGACTCCACACAGTGGGCTGGAAGGCAGTGTCGTCGGCTGCCGTGCTCACGGCAGGAAGAGTATGGGTGACTCTCCACCTCCTGTCTCTCTACCTCCTACCTCCCCTGCCATGTGGGAGGGTCAGAAGCACCATCTGATGTGCCCTTCCTGCAATTCTCATGCCCCCCTCACCAACAGCATCATCATAACATAAAGGATTTAGACCAGGCTGTTCTGGTATGAGGGTGGACACTGGTGAGGAGGAGGAGGGTAGCCGGCTGTGCCAGGGGAGCAGCATGTTCTTTCCCTCCCAGAGGGCTAGGCTAGTACTGACCTGGAGGAGGGAGGCAGATTTCAGCTCAGAACAAAGGTAGCCTTCTAGAGTAGTGAGGCCCCCATCAAGGGAGGCAATCAAGAAGAGGCTGTTAACATCAAGATGCAACAGAGGGCTTCCTGCCTTCGGAGGACTAGACACAAGGCCATGAAGATTCCCCAGCTATAAGAGCCCCACGTTCTCCGTTCCCAGCACGTTCCTCCCTGGGCTGGCCACCGTGGTGTGGCCTTGAGATGTAGGCTTTGTGCTGCCCTCCTTCCTCACTGAGGACATTGACTGCTGGGCAGATCCCCTGACTTCTCTCTCCTTGTTCCCTTGCTGACCACAGGACAGGGCTCTCCACCAACCTTTTGCCCACAGCCAGTCAGATCCAACTCAGACAGGACTCTGCGAATGTCTCCTGCCTTTTGGAGCTCCTGCTAGCCCCCCAGTGTCCCCTGAGGGCAGCCCACCCCAGGTCTCCAAACTTACTCATCAGAATTGCTCCAGCCCATCACTCTGCTCACTTCCTGCCCCTAGGCTCTGACTCCTGCTCACTTCCCACCGCACACCCCATGTGCCTTCTCGCTGTTCCCCGACCTGTTCCAATCCCACCTGGCCTCCCAGACTTGGCTCCAGCCTACCTCCAATCAAGCGCTCTCCTGACCTCTCCCTTCCTTGTCTCTTTCCTTTCCTTTATTGATCTCTCCCGGAAACTTGTCCCTCCAGGCAAGCAGGGTGCTCCCAACACGGGGCCTTCTCCTCTGAGCCCAGCACCAGCTGGGCTGGGATCCTAGAGGGGTGGCTGGTTGTGTGGTCTCGGCAGTTGGCCCTGAGAAGTGTCCCCAGCACCTGCTTTAAAAGGTGTTTGATCTGCTCCTCCCGGAAGGCAGCTCCCCCCTTCTCCAGTCTGGCTCTGCCCCTCCTCCTGCCCTCACAGACCTCCCGCCCTTGATTCCGGGATCAGAGGAACCCACCCCACCCCCATCTCCAGCTCAGGCACAGAGCAGGGGCTGGGGCCCCACACAACACACAGGGCGGCTTGTCTCCAGCGGTATAGCCTCTCCACACCCCCAAACCGTTTGCTCGAAACTTGATCTCCTTGGCCCTCAGAGTCACCTCAGTGGAGAAGCCTGCACAGGGCTTTGATGGCTGAGTTTCCCCAGATGTGGCCTTAGAGAAGCTGAGGAACCCCCTACTTACCTCCATTTGTCCCCATCCATCACTCCCAGGGGGCCACTGCCTGATGAATTGCCAGAGGGGAACCACCAGCTCGGCTCTTAATAACCGGATCTGCATCCTGCTGCTGCCCAGCTGGGCTGAGGGCCCTGACCACAGCTAAGGGGAGTCATCACAGGGCTTCAGGGCTGGAATTCCAGGTATGATCTATTCCCAGGGGAAGTGAAAAAGGCCCCCTCGGAGCTTTCTCTTCTATTTCTCACTTCTCACAGACAGGCTGGGGTTCTGGAGTCCTGCTCTTCACCCCAAGTACATGCCTGCAACCTCCAACGCTGCTGGACAGTCGGCTGCATCCCCCCTCACCTGAGCACAGGCTCTCCCTACCCCTCCCTCCCCTTCCTAGAGGGGGTATCCTGCAGGGATGCAGACAAGACTGGGGAAGGAAATGGTGCTCAGAGGGTGCTCCACCTAGGTGCTGTGGCAAGCAGGGCAGGGAGAGAGTAGATAAAGGCCGGGCCAAGAAGCGGGGCCCTAAATTCTCAGGAGAAGGGCCCTGGAGAGGCAGTCTCTTCCTTGAAGGAGAAAGGGAGTGCCATCTATAAAAAGGTGGGACCACAGGCTTTTGTATGTGAGATTGGCTTCCAATGATAGTAAAAGACCCTGGAAGAGAGAAGGACAATGCCAGAGCCAGGCCTGCCCAGGAGAGGCAGGGAGAGAGGGAGAGAGAGAGCAGCTCAAGCCGAGAAAGGGAAGCAGCCAGCCAGCTTGGATCTGATCACCATCTTGTCCATGGAGAAGAGGATTTTTAGTTCCAAAGGGTTAAACCCACATAAAGAGAAAATTAACCTTTGGCACACTTTTAGGAATCCATTCCCAAGGAATGCCTGCATGCATATATATGGAGACAAAATTCCCAAGGCCGTTTGTAATGGCAAAAATAATTGGCAACAACCCCAATATCCATCCATCAATGCTGATAAGTTGACACACTGAAGTACTATTTTGCTGATAAAAAGAATGAGGTAATTCTCTGGACTGACGTGGCAGAACCTCCAAGACATATTGCCAAGTAACAGTAACCAAGAAAGCAAGTTGCTGAACAATACATAAATCGTGATCTCATTTTATGCTTCTTTAACTAGGTAGACATATGTGTATGTATGTGTGTACACATAAAAAGTGAATCTGGCAGACACACAGCAAACTGTTCACAGTGGTCACACTTGGGGGAGGGGTGAATTTTGGAGAATGAAGCAGGATTTTTCACTTGTTTGAAATGCATATTTTAAAACTCATACTGCATGTGTAATTCTTTTTAAATAAGCCTGCTGTGAGTAAGGAGCTGTGAAGGCATCACTGAGCTGTGTGAATTTGATTCCGTCCCCAGCCCAATATTGCACACTTCCCAGTCTCCCTTGAAGCTAGATGTAGCCCTTAGACTAGGTATTGGCCAGTGACTTGGAAAAAGAGTGTTGAGCACAATTCCCAGGTTGTGTTCTCAAAAAGAGAGGTGTTCTCTTTACCCCCTCCTCCTTCTAGCTGGGTGAAAAACAGTTGTGATAGCTGGATCTCAGGCAGCCATCTTGGACTATGAGATAGAAGTCATGAGTTAAGTAGAATAGAGCAGTAAGTTACTGGCAAAGACAGAGCCTTAGCTAAGGCCAGATTATAAGGCTGAAGGAGACTCCTGCTGTACCCCAGACTCCAACACATCCAAAAGAAACTTAAGCCCAGAGAGGCCACATGATGTGCCAGGGTCAGTGACTGACCTAGGGGAAGTTTTGCCAGAGATTCCCCCCCACCACTACGCACGCACACGCACACACACACACACACACACACACACACCTCACTGCTTTTTCCCCCAAGAACATTCCTTCCTAGAGCTTGGACTCCGTTTCATTCTATGGCTGGGAGACTCCTTCTGGGATTGAGGGAAGGCCCCAAGTGTTGATTAAGCCAAATTGCAGGATTGGGACACACCTCTCAATACTCTGTCTGATAACACAGCAGAACCCCTGCCTACTGCTGGGTCTCTCTGTCAATATCTGCCCCTGGCTTTTTTTTTTTTTTTTTTTTTTTTGAGATGGAGTTTGGCTCTTGTTGCCCAGGCTGGAGTGCAATGGTGCTATCTCAGTCCACTGCAACCTCCGCCTCCTGGGTTCAAGCGATTCTCCTGCTTCGGCCTCCCGAGTAGCTCGGATTACAGGCATGCACCACCATGCCCGGCTGAATTTTTTTGTATTTTTAGTAGAGATGAGGTTTCTCCATGTTGGTCAGGCTGGTCTCGAACTCCTAACCTCAGGTGATCTGCCCACCTCGGCCTCCCAAAGTGCTGGGATTACAGGTATGAGTCACGGTGCTCAGCCCCTTTCTCTCTTTCTATCTGGTTGTCCTCCTGTCTGCCTTTCTGCCCCTGTCCATCAGTCTCTCTGCCTGTCCCTGGTATGCCACTCTCTGTTTCACCCTCTCTGTGTCTGACTCAGTCTCCCTCCTTTCCTTCTGTCTCTCTCTACTTTCCTTCTGTCTCTCCTCCTCCTTCTTTCTCTGTCTAACTCTGTGTTTTCTCTCTATCACTCTCTCTGTTGTTTCCTTTTTGTTTCTCTCTCCTGCTCTTTGTTTTGCTCCCCACTCCCCAGTCTGGCTGTGAAGTTTGTGTCTCTCCTCCTAAAGGTTTTAGGCAGTACCTTTTCTAAGCTAGCCTGGGCCATGCCTAAATCTCTGATCTTGGGCCTTGTCTTGTGCTGACTCAGTGCTGCCCCTGCCATCTCCTGCCCTCTTTCCCGCCTTACCTGCTCTGTCTGTCCCCAGTGCTGCAGGATGAGTGGCGCTGGTCTCGGGATCCGCAGAGTCTACAGGGCCCTGGGCTTGGACACCGTCTCAGGGGTTTGTGCCTTCAGAGCCTGGTGGAGCAGCCAAGCAACTGGGCACATGAAGACAAAGGTCAGTGCTGCTGAGCAGTAAGGCTACCTTCTCCCTCCCGCCAGACCAAGAACTTTAGCCCCTCCAAGGCAAGTCTGGCAGAGGGGGGCTGTCAGGGCAAGCCCAGGGATCACTGATGCTGCCCTAGCTCCCCTCCTCCAGCTCCTGCTCAGCTGGAGGTCAGAGCAAAAGGACTTGAGGGATGACCCAAGACTTTCCTGACAGTGCTTGGTGCTGGAGCCCGGAGCAGGAGGCCAAGAGAGGAACGGAGTGCCATCCAATGGCACTGGCGTGGCAGACAGGATCACAGTTACTACTCATGGCAGAAAGCTTCAAAGTAGCCAGGCCCCTCGGTGGAAGGAAGAGACGAGGCTTCTAATTTTGTTTTTACTACTTACTAGCTGAGTGACCACAAATGCAGCCTGTTGGAACTCAGAAAATAACACCCGAAAATGAAAGCCTCAGAAGCAAAAGTGACCTTCTAGCCTTCTCCTGCCCTCCTGTGTCTCAGGCCCGTTTTCCCCCAAGGACGGACATAGAAAAGAGAATCCCTCCTCCTCAAGGCGGGTTATAGAAATCAAAACCCCTTTTCCCCAAAGCTAGCCATAAAGCCTACAAACTCTAACTTTCCCCAATTTCTGTGTAAAAACTGGCCACAAATAAATTCTCAGGCCTAGGTGGGGCATGGTGGCTCACACCTATAATCCCAGCACTTTGGGAGGCCGAGTCGGGTGTATCATTTGAGGTCAGGAGTTCAAGACCAGCATGGCCGACATTATGAAACCCCGTCTCTATTAAAAATACAAAAATTAGCCAGGCAGTAGTGGTGTACACTTGTAATCCCAGCTACTTGGGAGGCTGAGGCAGGAGAATCGCTTCAACCTGGAAGACGGAGGTTACAGTGAGCCGAGAACGCTCCACTGCACACCAATCTGGGCGAGAGAGCGAGACTCTGTCTCTAAAAAAAAAAAAAACAAAAAAAATTCTCAGGCCTACCTTGTTTGATTGTAGGTCAGACCTCCATTCCAGAAAGTCCTGCCCCATACCCACACCCAGAAGGAAGAAATGCATGCTCAGAGGGGCCAGGAAGAAATCCAGAGAGACAGGCCTTGCTGGGTGTCCCCACTCCGTCTATTCACATTCGATCATTGCCCTTTTTGTCCAGTCATATCGCTACACAGCTGTCCATGTGTCCTTGAAACTCAGCATAAAAGTGGACAATTTTCCCTGTATCTCTGGGTCCTTGTTCTGAAGGCTCCTGTGTACATGTTAATAAGGTGTACACCTTTCCTCCTATTCACCTGCCTCTTGTTGGTGATTTCTAGCCAACCTTCAGAGGGTGGTGGGGAAGCTTTCCCCTGGCCGCTGCAAGCCCCTCCGTGTTCGGGGTTCCAGTTTTCCCATTTGTGTGACGGAGGGAGACTGGCTGCCATTCTTCCCTTTGCTGGTCTGAGCCTGTGATCCTGTTGCCCTGTGGGCCTCTGGCACTGTGGACTTGAAGGGAAGGGAGTGGGAAGTGGGCCTGGGGTGACGTACCCCTGCGGGGGAAGGGAGGCTGCTGCAGGGGGCTGGGTGCTGAAGGCCCAGGGTGGAGCAGTGATGATCGCATGATCACCTAATCGCAGTGGCCCAGGAGTCAGGAGATCAGAGGTCTATCCCTTCACTAGCCACGTGCTCTCTCTGCACCTCAGATTCTGCGCCTGTGGAAGGAGATGAGTCCCAGCCCCAGATCCTTGGCTCCAGAGAACTCATGGGCTCCCTGCTTGCCAGGATTCAGCTCTGCCTAGAGGAAGGAAGTAAAGTGGGGGTGGGGAGGGAGTTGGAGGTGGATCGTTGAAGATAGGGGTCTCAGAGCCCTCAGGGGCCATGGGGGTGTGTCAGCGGGGGAGGTTGAAAGGAGCCATTGTGGGAAGCAGGAAGGGGGCCCTCTGGGGTGGGCTAATTATAGGCCCTGGCTCTTCCAAACAAAGCCAGCGGCCTCTGAGTGGCCATTCTTTGGGGGAAGAAAGAAGACTGGAGGGCCCCATTAAGGTCTTTCACGCTGGGACTTTGGAAGGTGGCTTGGAAGTTCGCCTTCCAAGGCTGCTCCCTTCCTGCCTCCCTCCACTCACCCCAGCCCACATCCCTTACCCCTTCTTGAACCCCTCTGGGGAACCAGGCCCTGCCCCCCAGAGACAGTCTCACCTGGAGTTTAAACTTTTTGAAAACCGTGGGAGGCTGAATCAGGGAGGCAGCCAGGAGTAGAGAGAACCCTGAGAAGGGAGGAGGGATCTGGTGCTGCCCTGCGGCCCTGGGCTCAGTTTCTTCATCTGTAAAATGGGCTTGCCGTCTAGCCCTGACTTGCTGAAATTCACTGATGTTTCCAGATTTCTACATAGAACTGAGGCCAGACTCAGAGATGCCTGAGCATCAGGGTTTCTGCCTCCTGTCCTATTTACTACCCTCCAACACTGGTACCCTCCCTCCTCACCACCTGCTTGCCCACTGAGGCACCAGGTTGCATCTCTGAGTCTAAATTTGACTCAAAAGCCCAAATGGTCTTTGCTTGTCACAGATGGACTCCAAATGAAATAGCCAAAAGAACTCTTATTCCTTTCTGCATAAGTAGAAGCTGGGTTGAATTTCTTCATCACTTCATTCATTCATGCATTCATTCATTTATTCATCCATAATGCTTTAACCATTTCCCAGGCACCTATCCCTCGCCCAGCGTGGGCACACAAACATGATTCCTGAAACAACATTCAGGGCAATGAATGATGACTTGTGTGGGCAAGTCATCATTTGAGACAGGAGAGGAAAATGCAAAATGGGATGGAGGAGGGAGTCACTAACCCGGGTCACAGGGGAGGAGGCTTTTAGCCAGTCTGCAGGATGAGTAGGGCTGCTGTCGGGTGGAGCTGGGCAGTTTGGGTAGTGGAAATCACACCAGCAAGGGTAGGGAGGTGAGAAAGGGCAGACCTGGCCTGGAGCAAAAGGGAACCTTCCCCAGGACATTATGTTAAGTGAAATAAGCCATTTGTGAAAAGACAAATACTGTAAGATTCCAATTCTATGAAGCACTGAGTATTCAAATTCACAGAGACGGAAAGTAGAATGGTGGTTGCCAGGAGCTGGGGGGAGGTGGAAGAAGTTGTTGTTTAATGGGTGTAGAGTTTCAGTTTTGCAAGATGAAAAGAGTTCTGGAGATTGGTTGCACAACAATGTAAATTTATTTAACACCACTGAGCTGCACATTTCAAAGTGGTTAGGATGGTACATTTTATGTTATGTGTATTTGACTACAATTTTTTTTTAAAAAGTAACTGTACACACACACCAAAAAAAAGTACCTTCCCCAGAGATAATGGGAGAGGGGAGGCAAGAAATAGGAGTGGGTGTGGACATTAGGTGGTGGAGGATCCTAAAACCTTGCTAAGGCCAACAGAGCCACCTCAGATTCTTTGTAGAAAGTTGGAGGGAGGTTAGCCGGGCGTGGTGGCGCATGCCTGTAATCCCGGCTACTGAAGAAGGCTGAGGCAGGAGAATCGCTTGAACCCGGGAGGCAGAGGTTGCAGTGAGCCGAGATCTCGCCACTGCACTCCAGCCTGGGCAACAAGAGCAAAACTCGATCTCACCAAAAAAAAAAAAAAAGAAAGAAAGAAAGAAAGAAAGAAAAAAAGTTGGAGGGAGGGAAAGAAGGGAGAGCAAGGGGTATGTGGGAAGTATTGAAGGGACTCGGGATAAACCGGCGTGATTCTGAGCGTGGGCCCTGCTTGCAGGGGATGGGGCCAGGATACGTGCACAAAGGTTGGCCCTAGGGCAGAAGCAACTGGACTCCTATCTTGTAACATTTCTGCTGGTCACTTCAAATATGCAAGGGAAGAGAGCTGCTATTACTGAGTCACTAAGCTCCAAGACCTCAGACCTGGCAGAGGTACACCACCGCCTCCAGACCCACACTGGTTGGCCATGCCCAGCCGCTGAGGCAAAGGTTTCCAGGTAGTCTCTGCCACCTACCCTCTCCCCAAAATGGCCATACTGTGGTCTTTCCCGACATGAATTATAGAATTTCAGACTATCAGAGCTGAGAGATGACTTATCTGCCCCACTACCCCAATCATACAGATGGGCACACTGACACCCAAACAGAAGGGATCTCCTGAATTTCACTTACAAGTCAGGCGACTAGAACTCTTTGTCTCAGCTTCTCCCTGGGGGATCTGAAGAAACTGAATTTTAATCATTGCAGAGGAAGCCTGCTGTATACATTGGGACCTGTAGCTGGGCTGGCCAATACCACTTTTTTTTTTTTTCCCGAGATGGAGTTTCGCTCTTGTTGCCAGGCTGGAGTGCAATGGTGCAATCTTGGCTCACTGCACTCCAGCCTGGGTGACAAAGTAAGACTCCATCTCAAAAAAAAAAAAGGTAAACTAAGGGCTTGCTCCCTGAGAATAGACACTGTCTCCCTTCCCTTGAGACTCCCCTACACCCCAAGTCAAGAACTCTTGAGAAAGAATAGGCATATGAACAGGCTCTCCCAGAATGGGAAGTTCTGGATACCACGTACCCATGAGCTCCCCACACCAGAATCTTCTTCCTTGTCCCTGCTCTAATTTTTTCCATAGAACTTAACATCTTCTAGCATACATTATAATTTACTTATTTTCCATATTTAGTGTTTATTTTTGTCTGTCTCTACCCACCTCCCCCACTAGAAGATAAGCTTCAGAGGGCTGGAGTTATTGTTTGGTTCACTGCTGGATTCCAAATGCCTAAAATAGTATCTGGCACACAGTAGGTGTTCAAGAAATATTTGTTGAAGGAACAAATGCTAAAAGGAAGGGATCGATGGAAAAAAACTTCCCTGGGTCAGGCCCAGCTTCCTGCCTTGTTACCTGGTTTCTCCTCAAACAAACAGAGGTGGGTGGGGAGTGTCCCTGAGCACCCAGCCTGCAGGCTTTCAGACTGGGTCCAGGCTGGGCTGTGGGTGAGAGGGTGCAGTGCTCAGCCTGGCAGTTGGTCTCTCAGTGGCCATGGCATTCAGGGGGCCTGAACCCTGGGTCTCTGCATCCCTGCTGAGACAGAGGCTGAAGGCCGAGGAGAAGACGCTGGATCTGGAGTTCGAAGTTTTGAGCGTGGGGTTTAATGAGGCGGGTAGATACGCCCTGAGACTGTCAGCAGAGAACCCCCTGCAGGTGGGCTCTGGGGCTGGGGTGCAGTTGCAAGTGAATGATGGGGACCCCTTCCCTGCCTGCTCTGCTATCACTGATGTCATTGAGCAGCAGGAGCCTGGCCAGAGCCTCACCCTCACCAGGAGCAAGTTTATCTTTACTTTGCCCAAAGGTATGAAGTAGGGGTGGGGTTTGGGGGAGAGAAAGACCCTGGAACTCCTGCCTGAGTCCCTTTCTGGGACCCCAGAGAGCCTCAGGAGAACTGGGAGGGTGGGGTCAGAGCTCCAGACTGCATCCCAAAGCTCTGCCGGTGTGACCTTGGGCAAATTCTGGGCCTTTGTAACCCGTGCCTCCTTCAGTGTGGCATGGGGACACTGGTGCCTGTCACGCAAGGTCAGGTGAGAAGGAAATAGAAGGGCAGATGAGAGATGGCTTTGTAAATGTAAAAGTGCTGAGCACACAGTGGGTTTGGGGGCCAGTCCTGAGCAGTGGACATTACACCGAGTAATATTATACTCAGCCCTGTGTGCCTGTCCCTGAGCCCCACTAGATTGTGGGTATGTTGGGGTGGACAGAAATGAGGGGACCTGGGCCCTGCCTTCTGGAACTTCCAGAGCAGGTGGAGAGGAAGGAACTCCAAGCAGAGAAAAGTAAAGTGAGCTGGAATGAGAAGGAAATCCATGCCTAGACTAAGGCCACCCTGGCAGGCTGCCTGGAGGAGGAGGGATGTGAGGGAACAGGGAAACCAAGTCCCAGACTTTAAATGGCTATAAATCAGGGGCAGGCTGAACTCTTCCCCAGTCTAGGAGTCTATGGTGGTGGCAGGACCTAGGATCATCCCACAGGCTAAGCCCTCCCTTCCTCACCCCTGCCCGGTGGGCTTGGATTGGGCATCAGCAAAGGGAGGGAGCCATGGGTGGGGCCTAGGAGGGAGTCGCCTACCAGGGAAATCTTAGCCAAGACTGCTTGGCTTTGACTCAAAGTCTGGGCAGCCCAGGTTTCCCCAGGGCCCTGCCTGTCCTCCTAGTCACCTGGCAGATGCAGAGAAACCTGAGACCATCTCTGAGCCCTGTGTTCCCTCATCCAGGTTTCTGCAAGAATGACGGGCAGCATGATGCTCAGCTGCATGTGGAGGCACTGAGGCTGGACGAACCCTTGGGACGGGCAGCCCAGCGGGTGGGTGAGGCCATCTTCCCCATCTACCCGAGGCCAGACCAACCCCGCATGAACCCAAAGGCTCAGGATCACGAGGACCTGTACCGCTACTGTGGCAACCTGGCTCTGCTCCGGGCTAGCACGGACCCCACAGCCCGACACTGTGGGAGCCTGGCCTACAGTGTGGCCTTCCACGTCCACCGGGGCCCTCAGCCTCCAGTCTCAGACAGCCCTCCCAGGGCTGGCCAGCCAGAACTGATGTCACCATGCCCAGAGCCCCAGCTCCCCATACTGCAGGTGGGTGCTTCCCTGGTCCCAGTTCAGGTTCTGGGCTCACCGGGTACAAGACCCAGCCTCCGTGATAAGCCAGGCTACCCCCTGTCCTGAGCTGAGCTGAGCAGAGCAGCAGAGCTCCCAAGGCTGCCATGTTCAGTCTGAGGAACGTGCAGTCTGAGGATGGACATGGGAGTCCCAGTTACAATGGGCAGACAGAAAATGGGGCAAAGGCCACACAGAGCAGGGAGCCAACCAAGTGGGGTTTCTTTTGCCCTGTGGGTTAGTGTCCCCTGAGACCCTTCAGTTCCCAACCTCGTTCTCACCAGTTTTTGTGGGAGGCCCCGAGTGACCAGGGGACAGAAGCCTCCTCTGTGTGCCCACCCTCAAGCCCATCTAGCATCCACCCTGACCAGGAGGGGCTCAACCCCAACCCAGGACCCAGGTGAGAGAGTCTAGTCCTTATCCGAAATATAGGAGGCTTCTCCCCTATGACCATGTTCTGTGACCAGACAGCATGTCTAGTAGGCCTCACGCCAGCACAGATAGAAGCTGGTAGAGCAAGTAGTAGCCCATTTGACAGGTGGAGAAACAGGCCCAAGGTATGCTTGATGCCATTTAATGTCAACAACATTTCCTGGAAACCTTAGTGTATAATAGTGCACAGAATCCAAAAGTGACAGCACCTAAGCTCAGGGTGTCGCCTGGCTTGAAGACAGTTGGGTATAGTGAGGGTATCATCTATGGTCCTGTAGGGCATGCCTGGCAGGAGAGTTCTGGTGAGGGATTGTACATGTCAGATTTTGGTGACTAGGAACGGCTTCTTGGAAGAGGGTTTATTTGAGGTGAATCTTCCCATTCATTCCTTCATTTACCCTTTTATCCATTCATTCATCCATCAGACATTTGTTAAATGCTAACTCCGCCGACTGCCTGCCAAGTGGGTAAGACTTAGGGATAGCAATACTGGGCTTTGGGGAGGGTATTCCAGGAGGAGGGACCATGATACACTGGCTAAGAGGAAGGGAGAGGTTCCGCTGGCAGTAGAAGATGAGCAGAGATTGGAGCCAGAAGTTGACAACCAAAGGCTCTTGGCCCATCTGCGGTGCTTCTCTCCCTGCAGTGCATTGGTCTGGTGCTGAAGTGGAGCCCAGGTGGTGGACTGTCAGGCTGGGAGAGGGCCTGGGGATGGGAGAAAGTGGAGGGAGTCGAGGGCACCAGGAAGAGCAGAGGTGGATGTTCATTTCAGGAGGCAGTGGGGAACACCAGAGGGGTTTGTGCAGGGTTTGTGCGGGAGAAAGACCAGATCTGAGCTGTGGTTTAGGCCAAGTGATAGGGCAGCATGTACCAGGATAACTACGAGGATGACCAAGGACGCAGGGACCCAGGGACCAGCTTCTCTTGCCCAGTCACTCAGCCTGTTGACATGGCCCACTATGGCCTCTGTCCATTAATTCATTCATCAGTCAATCAACACATACTTTTGACCACTTCCTGCACACCCAGCTCTGTGCTGAGTGCTGATCTTGTAAAATAAAATGCATGTCACCTGCATTCCTAGGTGACATTCTGTTCCCTTAGACTGCAAGCTCCCTGACTTCAGGGCCTGGTGTCCTACAGTTTGTCACAGGACTAGGCACACAAAAGCTGTGAACTCGGAAGAAGCTGTCCCCTGCTCTCCAGGTCCCAGAGTGCCCTGGCCACCTGAGCCACAGGCCACGTGGACGATGCTCTTCAGGCTGCAGTTCTGAATGTGTGCGAGGGAGGGGAAAGGGGACTGGCGAGATGGCTGAGTCGAACTCGGCAGCTCTAATTTCTGTTATTTAAAGCCATCATCTCCCCACCATGCTCCCTCTTAAAGTGTCAGATGTCTGCTTCTGCCAAGACAAGAAAATGGCTTTCAAGGGAGAGGAAAATCGCTTCCCTGGGGGAGAGTGGGGGGAGAGTCAGCAATCATAACCCTGACGACAGGGCCAGGAAGCACAAGGGAGCAGACAATGAAGACAGGTCCTTCAGAGAATACAGGGGCTGTTTCAGCTCCAGATAACTTGCTCTAGCAGTTCAGGCTAAGGAAGGCAGGCACCTTTCTGGTGCTGCTACTTGGAGGCTCAAAGGCACAGCTGGAAGGACAGCAGCAAGAGTGGGCTGTCAGCGAGCAATATTCAGATCAAAGCTACGGATGGATTTCTGGCTCCAGATGCAAATGTCTAGGCTCAAAGTCACCTCTTCCAGGAAGCCTTCCCAGCATTGATTTTATCCCTCCCAAGTTATCCTCAGTCCTGACTGTGATCAGGCATTTCAACAATTGAATCTATTCAATTCAGAACTTGGTTGTAGGCTCACAAGTTGTTCTCCAGTTTGTGTAGTGTGTGGCACTGGTTTTTTTTTTTTTTTTTTTTTTTTTTTCACCAGAACTGATGATGGTCATGGGGGGCAGTGGAGCAGGGGCAGGAGAGCAGGATGAGCAGGAATGCAATAATCAAGATGATCCAGAATGAGAAGGAAGCGGAAGACAAGGCTCAGTGTGAGACCAGGGTCAGAGCTCAGCAAACTTCCACGACTGGCTTTGAATCAGAATCATTTTGCTTCTCAGCCACGGCCCCTGGGTTACACAGCCTTAAATGGCCCTGCCAATGCTGGTCACAGCATTCCCTAGTCCTGGAGACTCGGGAACTAAAACAATCAATTCCCCTGAGCAATAAAATTATGGACAGTGAACACCTTCGCTTCTCCAGTCCCCAAGCTTCCTGCTCTGTGTGGGTGGGGAGGTGATGGTGGGAGGGACTGTCCTCCATGAATATTTCCAGCATGCACAATCACAGCTCCAAGATAGAGGTCACTCCCTGAGCCCTTGACCCAAGGATGGGGATGCTGGGAGCATGCAGGCAGGGGCTGCAGAGGGAATTTACCCACCTAGAGGGCTAACTATTTCCAGGTTCCTGCCAGCCAGAGCAGCAGCCCTTCCCAGAGGCTCAGGGTGCTTCCTTTCTGGGTAGAGCTCCACTACACTCGTCCCACCCCCTCAGCGCTGCCTCCTGTCACCTCTTGGCAGGTTTGAGACCATAGAGCTATGCCTCTCCAGCTCCCAGAGCCTCTCCTTCCCCGGGGTAAGGGGGAGTTCATCAGACCAGATGAGGGTGGCCTGTTCGGTGCTGGACAGAGCACCCCGGGGTGAGGAAAGCAGCAAGGTGCAACCCAAAGCCGGCAAAAAGGCCATCAGATGTGACTCGGCTGGACATTTTTAGGGGAAAATGATGACTCTTGGAGGGCTGGAAAGGGCGGGGGAGACCACAACAGCTGTGGGCCTGGGGCTGGGCTCTCAGAGGCCACAACGCTTCTGGTACCTCACTGCCCTCTCCAAGAGATCCCTGAAAGTCTACTGACAGTCTCCCACTGGCATAGCTGTTCAAGAGGGAAACTGGAAATTCCCAGAGATATAATTTCTGGAAACGCAAATTTTAAGGTTCCTTGTTTGTAGCTCTGGGAGCCATCCTGGGGGCTCCCTCGCTAGAAGGCCGGGAACTCCCTCCCACACAGCTCTGAGCTCTGGAAGGAGAAGGAGGGGTGCACTGCTCCTCCCTCCCCCAGCATTTACCTCTTCCCAACAATCGCAGTTTTGTTTCATAGAAACGATTTCGTTTCCCAGGAGCCTTTTAAATGACACTTTCAAGGTTGTTTTTTTTTTCTTTTTCTTTTCTTTTTTTTTTTAATTCCTTCCGTTTAAAACACCTTTTTTTCCCCCAAGGGGAAAAAAAGGAGAAGAAAAGCTAATAAAGCAATCACCAAACGCCAAGCACCTGGCTCTAAGCCTGTGGATTCTGATTGTGAATTTGGCACCCACTGGCTAGGGGGCTTTCATTAAGGAGAAGTGGAGGGGAAAGGAGAGCGGCCACGGAGCTGTTGTGAACGGCTTTCCTAGCGTCCCCTCGGCCACCCCTACCCCCATCCCACCCCACTCCCCCGACCCCCGCCGCCTGCATGTCTCTGGTCCCAGTTCTAGTTGGAGCTCCAGGCCGGCGCTCTCCCAGCCCCAGGCATCCTCTTGCCTTTAAGGCCCAAGCACTCCGTCCTCACTCCCCCCGCCCCCATGGCCTGCTTTTAAATTCATTATGCCTTTTATTGCTCGCGATTGCATACACTATTTCTATTGCCCTGGAGACTGGAATGGTTCAAGCAGGGAGAGGCACATGATGTGGATTTCATTAACTTTACTCTTTACTGCCCGTTTAATCTCAGGGGTGCAGCACGGGGGTGTGAGTGGGGGCTGGCGTGGCTGGGGAACTGGGCACCTCTTCGTTCATGCCCCATCCCCTCAGTGCTGGACCCTTGGGTTAGCTGGTTTCCCTCATCTTCTGAAGCCTCCCCTTCTGCCACTCCCTCTGCTCTCCTGGTGAGGGGAGTTGTCACTGGCCCATTTCACAGGTGGGGAAAGAGAGGCTCTAGAAAGCAATGCTTGGGCTGCTACCAACAAAGTGGTGGGAGGTGGGGAAGGTGAGAACAGGTTAGATCAGGACTGCCAGCCCCTCCCAGGCTGATGTCCCAGCCCTTGGGTACTGGGGTTCCCCCTCCTCCTCCTTTCCTGCGCTTCACCAAACACAGAGGACTGGAGGCCAGTCAGCTCCTCCTTGCAAATGAGGCAGTTTTATGGGCTTTAGAAAAACACTCCAATTGTTCCCTCAATTACCCTGGAGCGGATTGAATATATTAATCTCTCTCTTAACTCGAGTTAGAGACTCTGCTGCCACCCCTCCCCCAGCCACCAGTGCCCCTCTACAGGCACGTGCCAGAGATTGACTCCCAGCCCCCACCCTCTGGGCCTCAGGCCCGAGCAGGTCAGCCCCGTCCAGGCAGCATGCTTCTGCTGAGGCTGTGCCCACCGCCAGCATACACACACACACACACACACACACACACACACACACACACACGCAAGCATGCACACACACACACACACACACAGCAGACAGCAGACAGCTGCTTTACATTTCTCCATCAATTTACATTGATTTTCTCCTCTGCCACTATTTGGAAGAGCCTTTTCCTTGAGTAAACACGATCATGGGGGCTCCCCCTTGAGTAGGGGGTGGGAAGGGGACTGCAGGCAGCTCCCCCTTCTCCTCCTTTGACAACTGCCTCCAGCTTAAACACACTCTGCCCCAGGCAGCTGAGCCCCGTTAAAAGCTACCTGAGGTTTCCCTTTGTAGCTCGATTTTCTTTTATTTCAGGGGAACAAAGGCACTGTCATGGCGTTCTCAGAGAATGCTGTCACCCACGCAGGGAGGGGTGCAGACCGGCACCATGGCGGAGAGAGAGGTGGGGCAGGCAGGTGCTGGCCCTGGGGAGGCTGGGGTGGGGGGCACTTCCAGCCCCCACTTCACCCCTGCACCTCCCACCCTGTCAGGGAGAGAGGCCAGGGGCTAAATACATCGTGATCACCCTGCAGGCAGCCTGCTGGCTCCCCTTCCTCCTCTGGGTGCGTTGAAACACTCTCCATTCATGGGGTCCCTGAAGGAGAGCCCAGAGGTCCTGGGCAGCATGGACGAGACTCAAAATTGCACAGTTTGAGGGAGTCCCATATTTGTGTCCTTGCCCAAGCCTGTCCCTCCACCCCTGTGCTTCCAGATTTCCATGTCATCTGTATATGCTTTTAGGGTCCTAACAGGGTCTGTGCCTGGAACTCAGCAGAGTAGAGGATGGGAGGGATTTGGGATTCAACCAGCTTAGGGTGAGAGGCAGGTGCATGGAAGTCAGGAGGACCTGGATGCTGATTGGGCTCTGGCATTGATTTAGCAGCGTTTGACCTGGTGCAGGTTATATAACTTCCCTCAGCCTCCACTTCCACGTCTGTAAAATGGGAGAGAGCAATTTCTGTGCCCTTTATTGCTGGCAAGATGAAATGAGCTAGTGTACAGTTAGCCTTGCCCTGCAGTAAGTGGTTAATAAATTCCTGCTGTTCTAGTAATGATTTGGGATGTCTGTATTGGGCAAAGAGGATGTGTCTGGGCCTTGGTTTCTGCACCTAGAAAATAGGATTGCTCCTTCTTGCCCAGCCAGTCTCCCAAGGGAGGGGTGTTAGGAGCTTGTGAGTCTCACTGTGTCTGGGCCCAGATTCCAGGTTGCAGGGTGGAGAAGGCCAGCCCAGCCTGGGTGCTAGTCTGGGAAGAGCCTCCATTAGCAGATTGTTGTAACCGAACACACCAGATGGCCCTGCTGTCCTCCTTCATCTCTGCCTTTCCTCACCCCAGCCAGGGGCTGACGCTGACTCACACCTCCTGGAGGCGTGTGTGTGTGTGTGTGTGTGTGTGTGTGTGTGTGTGTGACAGAGAATGATGTGGGGGGAGATGGAGAGGAAGGGGTTGCCTGCCTCTGATGTCTTCCCAACCAGACCAGCCCCAGCCCCAGTGAGCAGCTGATGGGCTCCAGGGAAGGGAAATGTGGTGGCCTTCTCATCTCCAGAAATTATCTTCACAGTGAAGGAAGCGGGCATAATGTGCAGGAAGGCCCAGTGACGATGGCCTTTTCTTAACCTTACACCCATGGAAAGCGGATGTGCCCCCAACTCCTGAACACCCTCCACCCACCCCCAACTCCATCCACCCTCATGGATGCTGCGACACACAAGGACACATACACATGCACACATACGTGAATATACACAGACCTCCAGCATCCTCAACATGCAGAGACCCCCCTACCCTCCACCTCCATCTCAATGATAGATTCACCCCGAGACACCAATGGACATGCCTGGGAAGCGCACATCCTCCCACACACAGACTCGCACCTCCCTGGATCTCCTGCGTCTCCCTGGTTCCATCTCTGTACAACAACCCCAAGTGCAGCACCAGGTGAGAAAGGGACTTGGGGACATGGCATATGTGATATATGAGGTGAGATTAAAACCCTGCGTGAAACCCATCTTTAATATACCTCTGACAGTGGATTAGGGTGGGGAGCAGCAGGGTAGGAAGGCTGACAGCACCCAGTGAGCCCACCCTGGCCCTGGTGAGGGGTAGGGCTGTTAGGCCAGCCCAGCCACCCCCAGCCTGGGTCCTGGGCTAGTTCTGCAGAGTCCTGGGGTCAGGAGCAGCTGAGGCCAGCAGGTACCAGGCCCCGTCCCAGGGAAGATGGAGAATGCGTGTGGGACGTCCTTCCTCCACCTGGACCTGACAGCCTGCCCTGGGCTCCAAAGGTCCAACCTCCCTCAGCCTGAGGTGATGATCATTCATTCATTCATTCATTCACTTTCCCAAGCAGTAAACTGGGTTGCTGTATGTCCAGCCTTCAGGGAGCTGCCAGGCTGGGCAGGGAGAGGAAATAGGAGGAGTTGAGGAACAATCACTTTCCAAGCCGATTGTGGAGGAAGTGGTGGGCATGAGCTGGGTGGTCGTCAAGGACTCAGTCTGTTGGAGGAAGACAGTTCTGCTGGCAGTCAGAAGACTTAGTTTAGAACCTCATTTCCCAGTTGCATATGAGCAGTTATGACTTGGAGCAGGTCCCTTACCTCCCTGGGCCTCAAATTCCTCATCTGTACGATGGACAGAGTCCTATCTACTAACAAGGAAGTTATGAGGCTCAAGTGAGGAAGAGATTGGGAAATTGCGTGGTGCTAACAACCCATCCCACAAATGTCAGGGAGACAGTTGCACCCTGCCTCTATGGTGGGGTGGGATTCCAGCAGAGAGTGGGGAGAATGGTTTTCAAGGGTGAGCCAGGCACGGTGGCTCTCGCCTGTAATCCCAGCACTTTGGGAGGTCAAGGCAGGCAGATCACAAGGTCAAGAGTTCCAGACCAGCCTGACCAACATGGTGAAACCCCGTCTCTACTGAAAAATACAAAAATTAGCCCGTCGTGGTGGCATGTGCCTGTAGTCCCAGCTACTCGGGAGGCTGAGGCAGGAGAATCGCTTGAACCTGGGAGGCAGAGGTTGCGGTGAGCCAAGATCACACCACTGCACTCTAGCTTGGGCAATAGAGCGAGACTCCATCTCAAAAAAAAAAAAAAAAGGTGGAGGACAGTGTGAGCAAAGGCGTGGAGGTATTCGAGGGACAAGCAAGTAGGGGGGAAACAGGAGGTGGAGAGAGCTGGTTCGTAGGATGGAGGTGGTAGGGAGTTGCAGGGGATGCCAATGGAATGCACAGGAGGTGCCATCTCTGAGTACTTCGAGCTCTGTACTATCCCCTCTGTACCAGAGGCTGCTCTGGGCCAGGCTGGCAGAGGTGGAACTTATATCACATTTGGCAGCCTGCAGAGCCCATTGGAGCATCATACTGGTCTTGGGAGGTAGGCAGGGTAACCTTGATAGAGCCCATTTTCTGAAGCAAGAAACTGAGCCCCTAGAGGAGATAGACAGCTTGCCCAAGGCAGTCAGTAGCAAGGTCAAGCTGGAATCCAGATCACCATATATTTTGGTCTTTCTGAGCCAGTAGTCAGCACACAGGTGGGAATGACTAACAGCATCCTTTCCCAGGGAGACTCACACTTTGCAAGCTGTTCCTTAGCCCATTTGCAAGCTGTTCCTCAGCCCATGCAGCACTAATGCTGGGCTTTCTGGGCACGTGAAAGGATCACGGGGAAGCACTTTGAGGGAGGAGATTTCTTCCTGGTGGCCCCAAATCACACCGAGTCCTGCCAAGACAGGTTACTTGGTATTACGCTGGCCCCAACAATGAGTGCTCATTTATTGCACTGAATGGTTTGGGAGCAAGGCTGGGGATGGAGTTGGGGCTGTCAGTGGCTCAGAGTCCCAGAGCAAACTCCCTGAACCACTGCTGTTGGCTAATGACACTTAGAAAAAAGTGTTGCATAAGTAGCCCTGGCCCATAATTAAGGCCTTTCCACCCTGTCTGAGAAGTGACAGTGAGTTACAGTCAAGAAGGTTCAGTAGACAAACTTTGGACTCAGGCTTGAGTTCAGGTTCCTGGTCTGCCTTGCAATAGGTGTTCCTGAGCAAGTCATTTTACTTCTCTGACTATTTTCTCATCTGTAAAAGGGGGATAATGATGTCTACTTGGCAATGTGGTTGTGACAATTAAATAACATTCTAGCCTCAGTGCAGTCCAAGAGGTCTCGGAGGAGAGGGGGTTCCAAAGACTTCCAGAACACAGGCAGCCTGGAAGCCACCCTGATTCACAGCCTTGGAGGCGGGGGTGGGGGGATGGGCCACCCATCTCCACCCCATTACCTCTGCAGAGAGGTGTTACTGATTCCTCCATGCAGGAAGCATTTGTTGAACCCTGATTCTATGCCAGGCCTGGCCTCTCAGAGCTCTTGGAAAGACAGGAGCACCACAGGGAGAGCACTGCAGTCCCTGGGTATAGAAGGGGAAGCAGCTGGACCCACCTTGTGGAGGCTGAAGGCGCAGTAGAGGGGTGGAAAGTATTTGATCAGGGCAGAAAGGCAGAGAGGAGAGTAGTGATGGGCTCTGGTTTCAATCCTTCTCTGCCCCCTCCAGCTGTGGGACTTCACCTCTCTGCACCTCCTTTCCTCATCTGTAAAATGAGGATGATAACAACACTCGCCAGCAGGACTGTTGAATTCAATGTGTAGTAAATTTAAAGACTATAGCCAATGCTCACAAAACGCTGGCCATTCTCGTGACGCCGAGTGAATGGCAGCTTGCCAGGTAGGCAAGGGTTGGACGGAAAAGCTTGAATAAAGACCCAGGGGCTGGAGAGACTGTGGCTTCTTTGGGGAACTTGGAAGCTCTCTGGGGAGCCAGTGATTGTGGGAGCAGTTGAGGGGCTGGGCCATGGGGCCCCCACTCCTTACCCCACCCGGAAGCCTGGTCTTGAGTCACTATTGGGCCAGTGGAGCTCACGGATGGGCATGGGAGCGAGGAGGTTGTAGACATTATTTTAATCTTCCTCTTAAAGCATAATTGCTTTTTGTCGGCGGGTGTTCCTGGAGACGCCTCCCCGTGGGATTGTTTTCCAGGCTCCTCTCTTCCAGGAGACAGGCAGGGGCCGGGCCAGCTCCACGCTGCATTAATACGCTGCAAATGCGATTTCATGGCCTCAAATGAGATTAGGGCCAGAGGCTCTGCTCTCTGGTAGAGATGGCGGGTGGTGTGAGCGAAGGGTGGCGGGCGCTGAGCAGGGAATCTGAGAGGGAGGGAGCCCGGGCTGACTTGGCCTGAGTGAGCAGTTTCCTGTAATTGGAGCCCCTCGGACTTGCTGGCGCATCCCGGCTGCAGAGCCAACCCTGAGGCCCTGTCCAGTGGGCGAGGTACCCAAGGCTGTCACCCCCACCCCCAGGCTCCCCACAAGCACCTCAGTAAGGAGAGTGCTGTGATTAAGGCCACAGTCTCTGCAGCTAGGTGGCCTAAGTCTGAAGCTTGCCTCCATTTTCTTATCTTTAAAATGGGGACAACAAGCTGGGGGCGGTGGCTCACGTCTGTAATCCCAGCACTTTGGGAGACCGAGGCAGGCAGAACACTTGAGGTCAGGAGTTCGAGACCAGCCTGGCCAACATGGTGAAACCCAGTCTCTACTAAAAATACAAAAATTAGCCAGGCGTAATGGCAGGCACCTGTAATCCCAGCTACTTGGGAGGCCAAGGCGGGGGAATCGCTTGAACTTGGGAAGCGGAGGTTGCAGTGAGCCAAGATCCCACCACTGCACTCCAGCCTGGGTGACAATTGAGACACCGTCTCAAAAAAATAGAAATAAAAATAAAATAAAGTGGGGACAATAGTAGCACCTACCTCATATGTCATTGTGAGGACTGAGTTAACGTATGTAAAACACACAGAATATTGCTCACTGTTAGCTATTATTATGAGGTTCCTATACACACCCGTGCATGCCCTAGCAAGGCGAGAAGGCACTGGGGGCTTGGACTGTGGAGAGGGAGGGTTTGGGGGAGCAGGCATCACTGTCCCAGGCTGAAGTAGCAGGAAGGAGGAAGATACTTGACACAAATGTCATCCCTCACTCATACATCAAGCACCCATCTGGTGCCAATTCTGCACCAGGCAACATGCTGGGCCCTGGGGACATGGTCCCCGCCCTTGGGGAAGATAGATCCTGTCCCAGAGAAGCCCACAGTGGATCATGAGCCAGGGCAGGGGAGGCCCATGGGCTGTGGATCTGATGTCCCTGAGGTCGGGTGGGGGAAGGTTGCAGCGAATCTTTGTGCAGGTTGTGCACAATTCAATTGTGTCTTGAATTATTCAGGCTGGCTGGGGAAGAGGGATGGCCCAGGCACATGGAACAGTAAAGGTGAAGGCCTGAAGGCTGGAGAGACCACTGCTCCTTCACAGGGACCACAGGCATGTCATGAGTGTGGGTGTGAGGGCCTGGGGTGAGCAGACCAGGAGGCTGGCAGGGGTCCCCTGCAGTGATGGGGTCCTACTAAGGTGTTTTTTGAAGCAGAGGAGGGCCTTGGTCAGATTTGGAGGTTGGAAGAGTTGGGGTGAGGGGACACAGGTTTGCTGGAAACAGGTTGAGCCTATTGTCCCCACCCCAAGGCCTCTCTGCCCTCTGAGTAGACCCCCCACCCAACCTTGGCAGAGCACTGCTTCTGCCCCTCCTGATGGAAGGAAATGGCAGGCAGCTTCATTGCTCACTCCTTTATTCAGTCCCTTGTTACACGAGTTATTGATTTTTCAAAAGAAAAATGCCCAAAAGCAACGTTGCATCTTTAGCAAAGTGATTTATGACATGATGGAGGGAGCTGGGCCGCCCCAAATGAGAGCTGTGGTTGCCAAATGCCAAGAGGAATCCTTCAACATGGCAATCCATAAACGTGCCTGCTAAGCAAATGGAAGCCGCGTTGTCCAACAACGAGAACATCACACTCTACTCGTCACCCCCAAGTCTCCTGTTGCCAAAGCTTGGGCCAGAGGTGCTCCATCTTGGCATACATTGGTGTAAGTGTGAGGGAAAGCTCACTGTGGGGCTGCCTACCATGTGAAGGCATCCATTCTCTTATCTAATCCTCGCCACCACCCTGCACAGAGCCTGCTGGTAGACCTGCTCTGCAGATGAGGAATGGGAGGCTCTGAGGGATCAGGGGGTTTGCCCAAACCCTCACTCCGGTGCCTGGCAGAACCAGGGTTAGAGCCAGGCCTGACAGATTCCAAGTCATCATGCTTTTTTTCTTTGCTGCCAAATCTTTTTGCCTATTTGGTGGTGACCAGAGCCCACAAGAACTAGGTGCAGCAAGAGAGGGTCAGGACTATCACAAAGTCTGCTCTGAGACAAAACACAGATACACAAGGGTTTAGCCCAGTAGCCGTTTACTGAGCTGATAGAAGTCACCTCTGCACGGCAAGCAACCAGGGAAAGGTCAGAAGGGCAGGCCCCCAGAGCCTCCAGGATCCCACCCTGGCCCACTCAGCAAGCAGACCCTAAAGACAGCAGCCTGCATCTAACAGGCTTAGCTGGAAATGGGAGCGAGCTACATTAGTGATAGAGTCACAGTCTGGGGTGTTATGACCCCACCAGCCCTCATAATCAAACAGCCCTGCAGCCCCTCTGTGCTGGATAGAAGTGATGTCCTCCAGGCCCCCTGGCTCTGCCCTTGCTTATGGGGGCCGGCCAGCCATGCCCAGCTGAGCCTCTGGGGCACACCACCTCAATCTCCTTTGACACCAGTGTCTGCAGGCTGCACTGCCGCAGAGCCATTGGTCTGGCCTCATTCAAAAGGCCAGGTGTTTTCATCTCTGGTCTTGAATTTTTCATGCTGCCCCAGTTTCTGGAGAGAGGAAAGGAGAGCTGCGACTCCTTTCCCAGAGTGAAAGGAAAAGGCAGCGTGGTTTGGTGGTAATGATCTCGGACTTTGGAGCCAGCAGGCCTGGAGTCAAATCCCAGCTGTGCCGCCTCAAAGCCGTGTGACCTTGGGCAAGTCCATTCCCTCAGAGCATTTGTGTCCTCACCTTAAAAATGGACTCTGGCCAGGTGCGGTGGTTCACGCCTGTAATCCCAGCAATTTGGGAGGCTGAGGCGGGTGGATCACTTGAGGTCAGGAGTTCGAGACCAGCCTGATCAACATGGGAAACCTTGTCTCTACTGAAAATACAAAAAATTAGCCGGGCGTGGTGGCATGCCTATAATCCCAGCTATTGGGGAGGCTGAGGCAGGAGAATCACTTGAACCCAGGAGGCGGAGGTTGCAGTTAGCTGAGATTATGCCACTGCACTCCAGCCTGGGAGACAGAATGAGACCCTGTCTCAAAAAGAAAAAAGAAAAGACTCACAGCAATAACTCCGGGAGCGTAAATGTGAGGATGAAATGACATGGCGCAGGTCAACTCTTGGCATGAGACCTGGCACACAGTAAGTGCTCACTAAAAGTTGGGGGTGTGAAGGGGCTGGTGGTGACGATGACAGCAGTAATACCAGGACATCAGGCGGGGCGAGAGATTGGGCCATGGAGAGGGGCTCACACAGCAGGTATATCAGCCAGGGTCCTGCCAGGAAAAAGAAGGCATTCAAATTCAGGAGCTTGAGGGGAGTTTAATAAAGGGACTATTTACAATACTGAGGGTGGGGTTTAGGAAAAACAAGAGGGAGACTACAGCGCCTTGGGGGCTGGAACCTGTGAGAAGCCTTCCCTGACTCCTAGGTTTGAAGAGACAAGAGGGAACAATGACCATAACCTGGAAAGGCACTTGTATGGAGAGAGTTGGCTGCCAGGCAGAGTCCAGGAAAGTGTGCCTCTCTCCCAGAGCCCCCACACTTGGCCTTCTCTTTTCCTGACTCTTGCCCCTTCCCCCATATCTCCCTATCACTCTTTCTCCATTGCTTTTGGGCAGCTGAGTTGGATGAGGTGGGAAATGTAGGCAGTGTGATTTTATAGCAAATGGCAGCTCATAGCTGTGTGATCTTGGGCAAAATGTTAACCCTCTCTGAGCTTTGGTTCCCGTCCTTATCCAGTGGGAGAATCAGGACTGCTCTGAGGGCCGAATGAGACCATGAAGGTAAAGCTCTTAACGCGGACAGTGAAGTCCCCCAGACGTGCTTGCTTTTTTCCCTGCTAACCAACTTTGGACTTGGTGAGTTCTCCCCCACTGGAATGGGCCAGAGAAGTGAGAAATGGCCATGGGGTGAAGTCTGCATGTCTCCACCAGCGCTTGAGCCTTCACACCCACCCAGACCAGATATCATCCCAGGCCCACTTGCCCTCTTCTCTATCCCCTCTCTGTTCCCGGCTTCCAGGCCCACGCCCATGGCCGCACCTTTCTCAGGTAGCCCTTCAACAGAAATGTCCCCTTTCCTACCTAAATCCAATGTGTTCTCAGGGTCCTGCTCAAGGCCCTTCATCCCGGAGGCCTTCCTCGACCCCTTTATCTCCTGCTCTGAACGTGTGTGCAGTCCTCCTGGTCCACAGCAACACCTCCTGTGTGTGTGCTGCTTCTGGAGCTGCAAGTTCACTCCTGGTATGTAAGAAACATGAGGCAGGGGCGTGGGACCAGGGCAAGTCCCTGCCCCTCCTTTGATTATTTTGACTGTTGTCTACTGAAGCATTTCCTTTAGAGGGTCTCTATGCTCCCACTGCCACGCACCCTCGGCCCCAGTGGTGTAGACAGCAGGTCTTCACTTGTTGGCTGAAGGATGGAAAACTCTGAGAGGGCTCCCCGCTCTGAATCCACCGGCTGCTGGCCAGGACCTTCGAGGGCTGCTCTGACCTCATATAAGTTATGAGGCTCAGCCTCAGGAGTTTCTGCAGAGAGATTGGAGAGCTGGCTTTGCCCTGTGCTTCCACAAGGGCTCTAACTGGGCCCCTTGAGGCCAGTTCACACCCCACCCCTTAAGGTGCTGAGCTGGGTTTAAACTGAAGTCACTGCCACCCAGAGCTGCACTAGAGAGAACTTGCCAAGCCCAAGGTTGGTTAGCAGGGAAAAGCGAGCATGCCTGGAGCTCATAACCATCCGTGTTAAGAGCTTTACCTGCGTGGTCTCATTCAGCCCACAGAGCAGCCCTGATTGCCTCACTGAATAAGGATGGGAACCAAAGCTCAGAAAGGGTTAACATTTTGCCCAAGATCACACAGCTTTGAGCTGCCATTTGCTACAAAATCACACTGCCTACATTTCCCACCTCATCCAACTCAGCTGCCCAAATGTGGGGGTGGGACAGGACTCACAGGGAAGGAAAGGCCAAGTCAGGAGGCGGGGGCGTCTCTGGAAGACAGACACACTCCCCTGAGTCTCATTGCATGGGTAGTTTGTCCTCACAGGCTGCTTCCTCAGACTCCAGGCCCCAGACATGGCATGAGGAAGCAGGGCTGACTATGAGCCACATCTGTCTACCCAGATTCTTCTTGCTGTCCAGCCAGCAAGATCCCTCCTTCCCCAAGAGCCAGCCCCAGATCCAGCCTCAGGGGCTTGCCCCTCCCAGAACTATGGGCTCTCTAGTGGCCACATTTAACCCCTGGCCCCTCCTAGTGATATAGCTCCAAGTGCTGTCTCCTGTGGGTAGGGGGTGGGCACAGTTATCTATTAGCTGTGAGATTAATCATTCCCTGCTCTCCCTCACCCTGGAATCTCCCTGAATCATCACAGCTTGGGGCTGGCCCCTGGACATTTGAGGAGCAAGCCCACTTCTCTGGGCTGGGGATATAGAGCTCACCTTGCTGGAGGAAGGGGAGGAGAAGGTAGAGCAGCTGGGCTCATGCTGCTAAGGCCTTCTCACAGGCAAGGAGGAAGCAGCTCTCGGGGGAGGTTAGGACAGGCACAGGAGCTGGTGTCTCAGGGGTCCTTGGTCTGGGGAGGTGAACAACCAGCAAGTCAGGAGGTAGAAGGGCCCTACTGGTGGCTGCTGAGTGCACAGGGCCCACTTGCACCCTGGAGCCAGACGGCCTGGAACCAGTGCCCAATCGCATTATCTTCCCAGGCAGGAAGATGGCAGGGGCGTGGCTGCAGAGGCAGAAAGCTCAGATGCCAAGGAGGGTAGCTGGGTGAGAGCCCCGAGCCCCGGGGACTGAGGCAGAGCTGCAGGGCAGGGCAAGGACCACAGTGAGGCAGGCAAGGTGGCCAGGGCACAAAATGTGAGGCTCTGTGTCGGGAGCGGAGCGCTCGCACAGCCCTGAGAATGAGTGCTTCATTAAAGTTTGCTTCCTAGGCACCTGGCTTGCATCTTCAGTCCTGCTGCTAGAGAAGGAGCAATGGCTCCCCACCCCCTGAACCTGCTGCCCTAGCCTCCTAGACTAAGCAGGCCTGAGAGGTTGGGGGAGATGCGCTCTAGAGAGACTGGGGGAGCAGCCACTGAGACCTTTCCACACATACACACTGTGCTGGGACATGTTGGCCCACAAGGGAGATAAAGCACAGTGCTCACAGCCAGGCCATTCCTGGTCAGGCCCCCAGCCCCAGAGCCCCAGGAGTACCACTCTTGGCAGGCCTAGACGGGGAGAAAATTAGGAGTGGGGTTCCTGACTACCATCCCCCACCAGTGTCTGGGTGACCTTGGCTGGTCCTTTCAGTTCTAATCAAAAGCAAAGCCTCAGTTTTTCTGTCTCTAAACTGGGGAGAACCACATCCTTGCTGCTGCTCTCTCTGGAGTGGGGGTAGAGAGGGAGGCTGGGAGGCCTCTGCAAAGCCGGAGTCTCCTGCCTCCTGGCTGCCAGGCTGGTCCTGCTCTTCGGCCAGATTAAAAGAATCTCCAACTTGGGGCCCAAAATAGGTAGAAATGAGGCAGGCCACAGGGGCCCCCCAAACACTTCTGAACACTGCCCAGTACCCCAAATCCCTCCTCTTCTAGCCCAGGATTTCTGATCATTCTTCGAAGCCCAGTTCAGACCTCACCTCTCTATAGAGCAACCCCCCACCCCAGGCCAAGGACTAGTCTCTCTTCATTCTGCCATCTCACCTCACCAAAAGCACTTAGGACCCTGCCTGGCGTGCAGCAAATGCTCTTTGTCTTTGTAATAATTTCTTGCAGTGCTCAGAACTGAACCATAATCTTTGGTTCGTACTCTAGTGCCATCACTGACCCATCATGGCTTTCTTTAATTGTTTAATTATAATTTATTTTCAATAATGTAATGAATTTCCATTAACTGACCACCCAATCTAAAAACCCAAAAGTTTAGAATGTATGCTCTTACCCTCTTCTCTCCCCGATCTTCCCACCCACCCTCCAAGAAGAAACCATCCTCTTGAAGTTTGTGTTTATTATTATCAAATAAATGGAAGACTATAGGTACCCAAAGAGGCACGATGGCTGGTAGATTCTTCAACAGAAGTAGCTGTTTTACCGATCAAGCTGCAACACTCTTGAGAGCAGTGTCTGCTTCCTCTTTTGCTGCAGCTTGAGCAGCATGGGGCTGGCCACACCACAGGGTTGGTGGAGACTACTTGAGGCACCAAGAGCAGGAAGGGTGGGGCCTGAGTGCCAGGCGGCAGGTGGAACACAGCTCCAGGAATAGGGAAAAGGGCTTCGCGTTCTAGCTCACTGCACCTGGACAGGTGCCTGTGTGACTTCGGCCCTGCCCTGTGACATCACACAGTGTTGCCCAGGTGACCCAGCTAGGTGGAAGAGCTTATTGTTTTCCAGGCCTGGGCAGAGACAGGGCCCCCCTGCCCCATCTCTCCACCGTCCTAGGTGTGCCAAGAGTCAATTGCCTCATTGCTGACCCTGTCCAGCTGGCCATGGCCCTCAACCCCCAAGGCCCTTCCACCCACAGACCATCTCGCTGCTGAGAGATCCAGGACCTGCTCCCACCTGGCCACCCTCCCCCTCCCCCCACATCCAGGCCCCAGGGCTGGTGTGTGGCACCCCTGAGACCACATTGACCTCCATACTGTCTACTACCCATAAGGACTCCAAGACGCCCAGGCCAGCTGTCTGGGCAGGACTGATTCCTGATCACCCACTGATACCAAGTACTCATCCCCAAGATTGTTAAACAAGGCCAGACACTCCTGGCCTCAAGAGGATGGGACTGAAAAACAAAAAGGTAAGGCCAGGGGCATGGGCCATGCACCTGCATGAATCCGTCCCTCCTTCAAAGTCCTTCCTTCAAAGTTTTGTTTGCTCCTTAATCATGACAAAAGCTTCCCTTCCCTGGGTCTCAGTTTTCACAGCTGTGAAATGGGGAGTGAGGTGGTCTCTGTGGCTCTCCCAGGTTAGCTGCCCTATACTCTTGGGCCACACGGGAACTGGAATGCAGTGTACTTGCAGGTGTTGTCAATGCTGACCACCCTTACCTGGTTGTTTCTGCACTCTTATTGCTGGGGTCACACAGTCTGAGAGCCCACTGAGATGGTTCATTACCCCTGTCCAAGATCTCCCAGGAGATTCCCAGGCTGCTGGCTTGGCAGCCCTGATGCCCCCATTGCCCCCATGCTCTCCAATCCCTGGCCCTGATTTTCTGGGGCCTAGGCCCCTGTCCTGGAACACAGATGCTTGGGTCTCTGAAGAGAAGGGATTTTTGTGTGTTTTGTTGATCACCGTATCCCCAGCACTCAGAACAGTGCCTGGCACATAGTGGGTGCTTAATAAAAAGCTGTGGCCCAGCAGCAGGGCTCTGTCAGGAAGGGACTAGAATCTCAGTGTGATGAGATGTAAACAGTTGAATGTAAGGGACCCCTTACCTTCCTCTCACTAGCAAGGCTGAGCCCCTGCCCTAGATGGTGTTAACCCACAGGGATAGCAGAAGGAGCTGAGACCAAAGGCACACAGATACTTGCAAATGGGGGATACCCTCTTTGTAGTTACACTCAGGTTGAATAAGCCAAATAGCTGGGGGTGCCCAGGCCCTAGTGTGATTTCCACTTCATTACTCTTGATTTTGATGTCTCTGGTTCCTGATGTTCTCTGCCCACAGCTGCCCCCCACCCCCTGCAGACTCTGCCCTCCCCATTAAGCCTCTTTCTGTAATGCCACACACTCAGAACCGGTCACCAGGTTGACCTGGCACCCTAAGCTGCCAGCTGGTCCCCACCTGCCCCACAGAGCTGGATTTGGGGATCTGGGGAGTGTGCGTGGGAGTCCTGAGGAGGAGCCAAGGTTGCTTTGATTAGTAGCTTTGAGAAGCGCTTTTGATAGCTGGGTAGAATCGCCTATAAGGATGCTCATCATGGCCGGGGGTGGTGGCTCACGCCTGTAATCCCAGCACTTGGCGAGGCCGAGGCAGGAGTTTGAGACCAGCCTGGCCAACATGGTGAAACCCCATCTCTACTAAAAATACAAAAATTAGCTGGGTGTGTTGGTGCACGTCTGTAATCCCAGTTACTCAGGATGCTGAGGCAGGAGAATCGCTTGAACCTGGGAGGCAGATGTTGCAGTGAGCCGAGATCACGCCACTGCCCTCCAGCCTGGGCAACAGTGTGAGATTCTGCCTCAAAAATAAAAGGACGTTGGCCAGGCCTGGTGTCTCACTCCTGTAATCCCAGCACTTTGGGAGGCCAAGGCAGAAGTTCGAGACCAGTCTGGCCAACATGGTGAAACCCCGTCTGTACTAAAAATACAAAAATTAACCAGGCGTGGTAGCGGGCACCTGTAATCCCAGCTACTCGGGAGGCTGAGACAGGAGAATTGCTTGAACCCAGGAGGCGGAGGTTGCAGTGAGCCGAGATAGCACCACAGCACTCCAGCCTGAGCAACAAAGAGCAAAACTCCATCTCAAAAAAAAAAAAAAAAAGGATGCTCATCATGTATATATAATACATATTTGTGTTTCTTCTTTTGTGAATCCCCAGTTCATGTTTTTTAAATTGGATAATGTTTATAGGTTTCAGTGCTCTTTGTATACTAGGGATATTAATCCTTTTTTAAATATGCAGCAAACATTTTCTCCTTTTTTTCTTTTCTTTGTATTGCAGGGCATTTTGGACCATTATAGAAGTTAGTATAGATTTTTAAAATGTAATCAAACCTATCCCTTTTTAATGATTTCTGACTTTTGTGTCATCTTTTGGAATGCTTCTCTGCTCCAAAGAACATAATTCCTCTTGCTGCCACCAATGGATACTCAGATTATGAGTTCAGGGGGGCATCCACTGTGGAGCAGAGAAGGGATCCACATCCAAGGAAGCATGGTTAGAGCACAGCAGAGACAGCAAGAGTGTGGGGTCAGACAGACCCAGCTTCCAGTTCCAGCCCTGGCCTCACTAGCTAAGCTGTGTGCTTTCATACAAGAGGTTTACTTTCTCTGAGTGTGCTTCCTCACCTGTGAAAGAGCTTTCCCCTGGCCGCCATAACTCTCAGGCAAGTTTAGATGTTGAAACTAGAAGGAACATGGGGGACCATTTTTAACTGAAAGTCCTTGTGAAACTGCTGGGAAATAGCCCCACTGCAGTCAAGTAACTTGCCCAAATGACAGATCCGGGCAGCCAGGCACCCTGCCTCCCAGCCCAGCCCCGCTCCAGCTAGTGTGACTTTTCAGACACACGGCCCTTCTAGAGGGCAGAACTGGGCTCAGCTCCTCAGGCCTCCCAGGCTGCTGGAGGATAGGGAGGAGTGGGTGGAAGAGTTTGTCTCCTTCCATCTCTCTCCCCACCAGAACCAAGTTAAGCACCCCCCAACCCACCCGCGGGAGCTGAATTCAAGGACCATTAACTCCCTGTTGTTCCTACCTCCTCCTCTCACCCTAGCCCTTCCCCCCAGCACATGGATCCAAAAATGCCCTAAGTGATGGGCAGTCCTAGTTCCCCTGCAACATCTGCTGGCTAATCCTGGCCTATTGAGGGCAAGGCTGCCTGTCTGTTTGGATAAGGGCACTGGAGTTAGCAGCTTCCAATCTTGCCAGGCCCAGTGGAGTAGCTGAGAGTGCTGAGCTTTGGAATCAGGCTTGCTTCGGTGCTCACAGCCCAGCCTCTCATCCACTGGCTGTGTGGCCTTGGGCAGGTAAACTGGCCAAACCCCTGCCTGGAAAAGCTGCCTGCTGATCTCTGCACCCTAGCAGTGTTGGGTGGGTTAAGTGAGAGGGAGCCTGAGAAGCTGATGGTGAGCATCCAGCTTTGCTCCCAGCCAAGAGGAGGCATGAATTCCCTCCCCAGGGCTCACCACACCCCTACAGATGAGTTTGTGCAAACTGAGAGTTACGGGGGGGGTACCCCATCACCCCCAGTTCCCTACCACTCATGTAACCCAGTATATGCATTTTCTGTTCCCTCATCAATCCTCTAGTGCAGGCCAGGGGTAACAGATGGGTCGAGGACATTGGTTCTGATGCAGGACATCTCTGAGGGAAGCCTGCAGATTCCCATCCAGACATGGGAATAAAAAAGGGATAGCAGGAGGTTAGCAGCCCTGGCCCACCATCCCCCTTCTGGCCTTACCCTTGGCCCCAAGCCTCCCTGGCCCTGGGCCCAGCCTGCCCAGCGGGCACATGCCTGCAAGCCTCACCAGGAGGCGCCAGCCTGGCAGTTGGCCTCATGCCCAGAACTGAAACACAATAGTTCTCGCCAAACTTCCTGCAAGCTTTATTCCCAGAAGGGAAGGCTGTCCCCGAGGGGAGGTGCAGGGGAGATAGAGGAGGAGCCGGTGTGACTCCTGGCCAGGTCTGCAGATGCCTAGTTGGGCTCTGGGGCTGCCAGGGAGCCAATGAGAGCCCCTGGACAATGGTCTTACTCCTGGGCCCTCCCTTTCATGGCCCTAGGGAGCTCATGAGAGGCCCTGTGCCCTCACAGCAAGGTGAATCCATCTAGGAACATGAATCACCCCTCCCAGCCTCACTGCAGGAACTTCAGGCACAGTAACCACTGGAAAGGCTGAATCACAAACTATTCCAGACATTCCCATTGGCCAGGTGGGAAAATCAAGGCTCAGGGAGGTGGTACAGAGAGGTAGGGCCAGAGCTGAGCTGAAACCTAGGTCTTTTTTTTGTTGTTGTTGTTGGAGTCTCACTCTATCACCCAGGCTGGAGTACCATCTTGGCTCACTGCAACCTCCGCCTCCTAGGTTCAAGCAATTCTTCTGCCTCAGCCTCCCGAATAGCTGGGATTACAGCCTCATGCCACCGCACCTGGCTGATTTTTGTATTTTTAGTAGAGATGGGGTTTCACCATGTTGGCCCGGCTGGTCTCGATCTCCCAGCCTCCAGTGATTTGCCCGCCTCGGCCTCCCAAAGTGCTGGGATTACAGGCGTGAGCCACCACACCCGGCCAAGTTGAAACCTAGGTCTTTTTGCCCTGAGGCTGCCAGCCTTACTCCTGTGCCACTAAACCAGGAGAGCAAGGCTGCTGGGGAGTGGGGGGGTCATGGTGGCCTGCATGAGGGTGGATATGGGAGGAAGCTGCCTACCCAGGAGGGCAGGGAACAGCACTCTGGCTGCTCCTCCTCCTTCACCTCCAGGCAGGGGCATCTTCCCCTCCCCTCATTCTCCCCTGACAGGAGCATGGGGGAGAGAAGGAGGGGCAACCCTCATCAACACCTCTGTAGATGGTGACAGGCCCTGCTGGGTCCTGGAAGAGGGTGGGGGTGGCCTCCTCAGTCAGAGGAAGGAGAGGGGGGCCTCTCTGCAGGACTGGCACTTCTGATCTGGGGGGCATGTATTCTCACCTCCTAATTAGCCATCTTGCTAGGCAAGGACCACAGCCTGCACCAGGCAAGCCAAGGGAAGTAGGGGAGCAAGGCACAGGGATGACAGTTCTGGAGTGACACCCAGGGTGGAGCAGAGGAAACAGCTAGGGCAGAGGCGGGGAGGCAGGAGGGAGCTTGGTAGGTGTGAGAAACAGCCAGGAGGCCAGTGTGGCTGGAGCGGAGTGACCCACAGGGCCCGTGGGACAAGATGAGGTCAGTTTTCTGGGCCAGCTCCTGGAGGGCCCCACGGGCCATTGCAAGGCTCTGAGAGAAGCAGCAAGCTACTTCAGGGTTCTGAGCAGAGGAGAGAGAGGGTCTGGGTCCAATCTGTAAAGGCTCACTCTGGCGATTGGATGGGGTGGACGGAGAGTCGGAGAGGAAACAGAACTCCATCAGAGGCGAGTCGGGACATACAGGTGTCTGGGACCTGAGTGCTGACCTGAGGATGCTGAGAAGGGTCAGAGTCCAGATATAGTTTGAAGGTGGAGCTGACAGGATCTGCTGAAGAACTGGATAAGGGATGTAGAGGAAGAGAGGGAAGAATCAGGAAGGACTCCAAGATGTGGGGCTTGAACAACTAGAACAATGGCATCGCCATTAACTCATTAACGAGTTGGGGCAGACAGCAGGAGGAGGGGTTTGAAGGGGAGTCCAGAGTTCGTTAGCTTTGAGAGGCCAGTAGACCCCCAAGGGGAGCTGTTGAGGGGGTGTGTGGCTCCGATTGGTGGGCACCCCACGCTACCGTGAGAAATGGATGAAATAACGTTCCTAAAACTCCTCGGGGCAGAGCAGAGCCTCAGGCACTGTGCCCTTTTCTTTCTGTCTGCCTGAGGCTTCCAGGAGCCAAGGCTCAAGGTAGGAGCAGAGCAGCTTCCAGATAGGTCGGTCCAAGTCCTCATCTCCCCACTGGGGAAACTGACTCTCAGAACATGGCTGGCTTTGGGGCCCAGCATGGTGAGAGGCAGAGCTGGTTTAAACCTACCTCTCCTGACACTCAGGGCTCCTCAGGAGCCGGCCATTCTGAGCCAAGGACCCAGCCTGCCGAGGCTGCCACCAAAACCAGAGCCCGTCCAGGGCCCAGGTCCTTGCTCCTGTCTGGGCCTCAATTTCCTCTCTATGTAATAGGACATTGTTCTCAACCCCACCCAACCAGGGCCTGCCCTGGAATGCAGGGTCTGACAGGCTGAGCTTTCCAGAGATGAGGAACAGCCTGCCAGTGGCCCCTCAGGGCCCTGCCTCCACCCTGAGGAGGTCCATTGCTCCTCTCCCAGAGCCAGGAGTGCCCCTCTATGGCCCCTCATATCAGCTGGAGGGACAAAGGGTAGGCAAGACCTCCTACCACGGGAGGCCTATCAAGGGTTAATCTGTGTCAGATTAACTGGAAGTGGTGAGTCAGCCAGCCGGCCAGTGGAGGACCAGGGCCAGGGAGGACAAGGACACCCCTGAGCCACAGCAGCCTCATGGCCACACCCCTCCCCACCCCACCGCGTTTATATGCCCAGCTCTGCCGTCTTCTCTGAGTCCCCACTGCCTCCCCAGTCAAACTGAGCCACCTCTGGGCCTTGGAAAGCTCTGCCCCTTCCCGCTTGCTGCCTTCGCTCCAGTGTTCTGCTCCTGGCCTGTCCTCCCTGACTCCACTCCTGCACCTTCTCCCAACCCTTTAAGGCCTCCTCCTCCCTGCTGTCTTCCCTGACCGCCTCAGCCGGCCAGGGCTTTGTCTTCTCTCAGCAGCTCTCGTTAAGATGGTCCTTTGGGCCATGAATCCACAAGTTACTAAGCTGCTGAGTCCCTGCTTGGGGCAACTGGTGTAGGAAGCCCCCTGCATGGGCAGGCACCTCTTCCTCCCTAGTCCGCAAGTTTCCTGGGTAGAAGACAGGTGGGGCATCTGGGACAGACACATGCATTCACCTCCACGTAATGCACTGAATGCCCCCATGAACGTGGAGAAGCTTTGTCAGCTGTAAAGTGCTGTGCACAGGAGGGACCTGAGGTGATGGGTGAGCTGAGGTGAGGTTACAAGATAGACTGAAGAAGGTGGCCCATTGTTAGGACTGCAAAAGCAGGTGGGATTTAGGAATTACAGACGAGGACACCTGCGAAAGCTAAGGCTTAGAAGTGGGACCAGACTTGAAAGGTGAGGTGGCCTGTCTCATCCTGCAGGAAGGGTAGGATCCAGGACTAGAGGAGAGGCACTGAGAGAGACGTGGGATGGGGACAGAAGTAGGGAGAAAATGGGGCCAAGGCGACTGCCTTGCAGAGTGGGCGGAAGGGTGACAGAGGGAGGCAGGCACTTGACGGAAGCTGTGAGTGGCTAGTGCTAGAGGGTGGCAGTGAAGGGAGGTGCCGCAGCAGAGGAGGCCACTCAGGGCCAGGTGCAGTAACTCATGCCTATAATCCCAGCACTCTGGGAGGCCGAGGCAGGCAGATCACCTGAGGTCAGGAGTTTGAGACCATGGGGAAATCCCGTCTCTACTAAAAATACAAAAATTAGTTGGATGTGGTGGCACATGCCTGTAATCCCAGCTACTGTGGAGGCTGAGGCAGGAGAATTGCTTGAACCTGGGAGGTAGAGGCTGCAGTGAGCCAAGATGGCACCACTGCACTCCAGCCTGGGCAACAGAGCAAGACTCTGTCTCAAAAAAAAAAAAAAACACTCAGCCCTGGCTCTCCCCACAGAACACTGAAGACCCAGAGGAGCCCCTGATCGCCTCCCAGAGCACGGAACCTGAGATCGGTCACCTGTCTCCCTCTAAGAAGGAGACCATCATGGTCACCCTCCATGGGGCTACCAACCTGCCTGCCTGCAAGGATGGCTCCGAGCCGTGGCCCTATGTGGTGGTGTAAGTAGCTGCGTGAGAGTGGGGGCAGGGGATGGGTTGGGCTGTGAGCAGAAACCAGGGGACAGCTATTTGGAATACTAGCACCCAAAGGCCCAGGACTGGGACTGTCATACCCAGAGGGGAGGAGCTGCTGTGGGCACTACCTGGCATCTCCGCTGCTGCATGGGAAGCTGCTCACCAGGGCTGGGGAAGACAGGGTGCCAACGGATCCAGAGAGTCACCCCTCCCCACCCCACACCAGTGGGGCAGGGATTGGTCACAGCTCAGCTCCAGTGGGGCAGGTTCCTTGTATGCAAAAGTCTGGGCTGGGCTCATGGGCATGATGGTCAGATTGGGGAAGGGGAAGATTTGGGACCTGCCTCTCCTGACTTCTGGGTGCCCCACCCCACCATACCCAGCCCTGGGGTAGGGTCCTCATAACCACCCTCCCCTCCTCCCCTCCTTCTCCAGTCACTTCTATTATGGGGACTCCCCTAGTTCTGGGCCTTTAATGCACCCCACACACCCCCTCCAGCCAGCTGCTGTCAGGGTACACACTTCCCCAGCCTGGCACCAAGGCCTGCCACGCCACGTCTATGCCCACCTCACGGGTCTCACTTCTTCCAGAAAGGCGCCAAGGGGCAACACAATCTCCATCCAGCCAACCTTCGCTGGGGACACTGAATATTTGCTCAATCTTTATTATAAAGCACCCTCCAAGGAGCATGTCACCCCTAGACCTTCTATAGACAGACGGCGGGAGCCTTGGTGGCCTCCCACCAAGCCACCCTATACTTCCCCTCCCCCACCAATACTGGCACCATTCAGTTCCTGCCAAGAGTCTGTTGCCCACATTTCCTTTTGGGGAGTGCCTGCCCCAGCCCACTCACCAATGCCTGCTGAAATCCTGCCTTCAAAGCCTCCTCCTCCAGGCAGCCACCAGAGTTGAGCTCTCCCTCTTCTGGAGCTCCACAGCAGTGGTGACCCTGGTCTGAAGCACTTTATATCAACATGGTTTATGCACTCCTCTGGGGCTCCCTGAGGACGGATCTCCTCCTCCATTTCCCTCAACAATGCATCCAACATAGGCCTGAGCCCAAACTTAGGAGCCAAGGAGTGACTGAGGCCAACACCTGGTTACTATGATAAGTCCCTGCCCCCCCAGGGCCCCCACTGTGAAAGGGGGGTAGAAGCTGTGCCGAGAGCAACAGGTGAAACACTTGCCTTAAAAGCCCCATTTGTGCCAGCCCAGCTCCTCGGCCATCCCTCCCCCAACTCCATTTCCGTGGTGAGGGAAGCACAGGTGGTGGGAGCAGGCTTGGCAGGGAGGCTGGTTTCTAGCGGGGAGCTCGCCTTCTCCGCTCAGCTATTTCCATAAACCAATTATCGCCGATCATCTCGGGAGATTGAGGCCCTGACTGTCACCAATCCGGCCTGGGCGGCGGGGCGGGGAGCTGGGTGGCTGTGTGGCTCCTAGGCAGGCACCGCGACCCGCGCCATCACCCGGTTGCCATGGGAACGCGCGGCAGGAGCCTAGGCGACACGAGCCTGGGTGGGGGTTCGGAGAGCCGGGCACACCCCGAGTCCTCCTGCACCCTCCCTGTGGCTGCGGCACGTGGGGCGGGAGGGTGGGGACAGAGAACGCGGGGAGGGGGGAGGGGAAAGCACTTCGCTGCACCCTTCTCCAGCTGGGAGCAGCGCCCGGGCCAGGCTGCAGCCTGCGTCCCAGGGCTCCAGACAGGCGAAGCTGCCACCAGCTCGAGGTGGTGCTAATGAGATGCAAATGATGGGAGAAGGAAGGGCTTCTGAGAATGTGAAGGCCGAGCTGTCAGGACCTGAAGGGGGCTTTCAGTGCTCACCCCCAGCCCCAGGCAGAAACCCCAGAGGGAGGATCCAGACCCTCAGAGGCCATAGAACCTGGAAAGAATTTATATCCCTGCACATCTGATTACAAATAAACAAGTAACAAAGCACACAATAGGCATAAGAAAGTTCATGAAAGTTTTCGTTTTGTTCATGATGAATATTTCAATGCTTTTTAAAAATATGTATTTGTGAAGACTTCAATGTAAGACCTGCAACTGTAACACCCCTAGAAGAAAACACAGGGGAAAGGCTCCTTTACATTGGTCTTGGCAATTAATCTTCGGATATGACACCGGAAGTACAGGCAACAGAATCAAAAATAAGTGAGACTGCATCAAACTGAAAAGCTTCTGCGCAGCAAAGGGAATAATCCACAAAACAAAAAGGCAGCCTATGGTATGGGAGAAAATATTTGCAAAACATGTATCGGATAAGGAGTTAATATCCAAAATATATGAGTAACTCATACAACTCAATAGCAAAAAGACAAGTAACCCAATTTAAAAAATGAGAAAAAGACCCGAATAGACATTTTTCCAACAAAGAAATACAAATGGCCAACAGGCACATGAAAAGGTGCACATCGCTAATCATCAGGGAAGTGCAAATCAAAGCCACAAGGAGATAGCACCTCACACCTGTTAGGATGGCTGTTCTCAAAAACACAAGAGATAAGTGTTGGTGCGGGTGTGGAGAAAAGAGAACGCTTGTACACTGTTGGTGGGAATACGCAGTAAAATGGTGCAGCCATTATGGAGCACAGCACGGAGGTTCCTCAAGAAATTGAAAATAAAACTACCATATGATCCCGCAATCTCACTACTGGGTATATATCCAAAGGAAACAAAATCAGTATTTTGAAAAGATATCGGGCCGGGCGCAGTGGCTCACGCCTGTAATCCCAGCACTTTGCGGGGCCGAGGTGGGCGGATCACAGGGTCAGGAGTTCAAGACCACCCTGGCCAATATGGTGAAACCCCATCTCTACTAAAAATACAAAAATTAGCCGAGCGTGGTAGCAGGCACCTGTAATCCTAGCTACTAGGAAGGCTGAGGCAGGAGAATTTCTTGAACCTGGGAGGCAGAGGTTGCAGTGAGCCAAGATTGCGCCACTGCACTCCAGCCTGGGCAACAGAGCGAGACTCCCATCTCAAAAAAAAAAAGTAAAAGAAAAAGAAAAGAAAAGATATCTGGGCCTGGTGCAGTGGCTCATGCCTGTAATCCCAGAACTTTGGAGGCTGAGGCAGGTGGATCATCTGAGGTCAAGAGTACCCCTATATTCATTGCAGAATTATTCACAATAGCCAAGATATAGGATCAACCTAAGTGTTTGTTGATGAATGAATGGATAAAGAAAAAATGTCATATATATATATATACACACACACACACACACACACACACGTCATATACATATATTTGTATATACTTGTGTCATATATACACACACAATTATATATTGTATACATATATATCCACATATAGACAACATATACACAATGTAATATTATTCAGCCATAAAAGGGAGGACATTCTGCCATTTGCGATAATGCAGATGAGCCTGGAGGACGTTATGCTAGATGAAATAAGCTAGACACAGAAAGACAAATACTGCATAATCCCACTTAATGGAATCTAAGATAAACTCATAGATGCAGAGAGTAGAATGGTGGCTGTCAGGGGCTGGGGATGAGGGAAATGAGGAAATGTTGGCCAAAGGATACAAACTCTCAGTTTTGGGATGAGTAATTCTGGGGATTTAATATGCAGCAGGTGACTCTAGTTAATGATACTATATTGTGGCTGGGCACGGTGGCTCATGCCTGTAATCCCAGCATTTTGGGAGGCCAAGACAGGTGGATCACCTGAGGTCAGGAGTTTGAGACCAGCCTGGCCAACATAGTGAAACCCCATCTCTATTAAAAATACAAAAACTAGCTTGGCGTGGTGGTGGGCACATGTAATCCCAGCTACTTGGGAGGCTGAGGCAGGAGAATCACTTGAATCTGGGAGGTGGAGGTTGCGCTGAGCCGAGACTGTGCCAGTGCACTCCAGCCTGGGCGACAGAGTGAGACTCCGTCTAAAAAAAAAAAGATATTATATTATGTATTTGAAATGTGCTAAGAGTAGATTTTAAGTGTTTTCACCACATACACGAAAGGTAACTGTGAGGTGATAGATGTGTTAACTAACTTGATCATGATGATCACTGCGGAAAGTATATGTGTATCAAATCATCACTGTGTACATTTTAAATACATCTAAATTTTATTTTTTATTTGTCAATTATGCCTCAATAAAACAGCGAAAATATGTATATATATTATATATATTATATATAAGTTTACATTCTTTCCAAGCATTTTTTCTCATCTTTTTGCTGCCCCTGTTTTTTGGTACCCTGAGCTTAGTCTCCTGGCTTGGTTTCCTGCCCTCTGCCATCCCATCTTCTCTCACCTGAGGTTGGGGATGGATATCCTGGGAATCCCTGTCTCAGCCTGGATTCTGTCCTTCTCTCTGGGTTTGTTGCATCCCTAGCAGGCAGGACCACAGTTGCAGGGATCGGGGCAGGGGAAGTAGTGAAGCACAGACCTGAGAGTGCCCCAGAACTGTTCGTTCATTCATCCCCTTAGTGGGGAGCTGAAGAGGGTTCAGGCCCAAAGATGGTGCTTCTCTTGTTTGGGGCATGGCCATTTCACCCCTTAAGGAGGCACCAGGCTTGAGCCCATATAGTAATAGGCACATCCTCCAGCCAAAACTATTCCAGACCAGCAGGCACTTGGCTCATCTTGGGGGTCAGCCTGTCTTCATCTAAGCCACTGGTTGGCTTCCAATCTGACCCCACTTCTCCACCAATATAGCTTCTCTGTAGTCACCAGTGACCACCATCTCTGACCCTGCATCCAACGGGCATCTCATCTTTTGCGATCTCTCAGGTAAAGGAAATAATGTATACAGTGGTCCATTGCCAAGACAAAGTGCCTTAAATCAGCTTAGATCAGCAAACTACAGAAGAAACCGGATATATACTAGGCCCCTGCTTGGATAGCCAACGCCTGCTTGTCGGCAGCCCCCCACCCTCCCTGCTTAGTCGCCCTCACCAGAACAAGAAGTTTAGTCTAAAATGAAAGTTTATTAGTCTGCAAAATAGCTCATTTTGTCTGTTTTTATCAGCCCGCCCAGCTGCTTAGGTCATAAGCCAAATACTTGAGGCCGGGTGCAGCGGCTCACACCTGTAATCCCAGCACTTTGGGAGGCCGAGGCGGATGGATCATGAGGTCAGGAGATCGAGATCATCCTAGCTAACACAGTGAAACCCCGTCTCTACTAAAAATACAAAAAAAATTAGCCGGGTGTGGTGGCGGGTGCCTGTAGTCCCAGCTACTCGGGAGGCTGAGGCAGGAGAATGGCGTAAATCCAGGAGGTGGAGCTTGCAGTGAGCTGAGATCAAGCAACTGCACTCCAGCCTGGGTGACAGAGCGAGGCTCCGTCTAAAAAAAATAATAAAAAAATAAAAACAACTTGAATAGCCCCTGAGCTAACTAGGATTGCAGTGCATTGTGGGCTGCAAAAAATGCAATAAGACAACCCAAAAACAAACAAACAAACAAACTTAAAGCTAACAATCAATAGGTGACATCTGGGAAAACTGTGACCCCGCAGTATTCACCCTATGAGGAACCGGGGGAGAGACCCGTGCACTAGGGGTAAATTGCTTATTGAAACTGTGCTGGGTGTGCCTGCCTATCAGACACCCAATCTTGCAAGACCCGTGTTAAAAGTCTCAATTTCGCTGTTCCCTGGGTCTCTGAGTCCATTCTTTGGGTTTGGACGGGTGAATTTGTTTATTACACAGAGGCAGCAGCCCCTCCAGACAACTCAGTCTCTTTGAAGCCCTTTCTCCCCCTCCAAGTTACCCCACTCTCCCACCTTCCCCTATGGCCACATCTCTTGATCTCGTCTACCTGACCTTAAATGTTAGCCTGTCTCAGGTTTCTGCCCTATGTGGCTCTTCTTTCTCTAGCCTGTACTCTTTTTCCATGTGATCCCACCCCATCCTGGTGTCAGGAATCACATTCTTCCCTCATCCAATCCATCACCAAGTCATGTCCATGTCTCCCGGTCTCTCGGATTGAGCTGCTTCTCTCCACCAGCTCCACCACCGACTTAGGCCACCGCACTATTTCTCCAACTGCTCTTGGTTCCTCTACTCTTGCTCCCTGAAGATCCCTTCAAAGGCAGGTTACCATTGGGTACTGTGGTGCCATAGTACCAAAGGAACTCAGTGGCTTCCCATTGTTCCCAAAGTAAAGAGGATTCCAGGCTCAGCACGGTTGGGTCTTTGCCGGCCCCTCCAGCTCCCCAGCAACAGGACCTCCACCTCCCTCTCTTTGCTCCAGCCACACTGGACATCTCTCCGTTCTCTGAGCAAACCCTGTTCCCTCCCACCCTAGGCATTCTCAGAAACATTCTGAGAAACATTCCCAGAAACATTCTCCCTTCCCCTTTTCCCATCTCAGCTGTCCTCACTGATCTCCCAGATGAGGCCAAATCCTCCCTCATTACATGTTTTCATGCGACTCTGTACCAGGATATGTGCTTATGCACTTTATGTGATTATGTGCGTACTCTTTGCCAGTGCCTCCCCATCCCGCCTCCACTGTGCCCCACTAGTTCCGTGGACAACCACCAGGTCTGCTTTGCTCACCATTTTATTCCTATCATGAAACACAGTATCTGGAACATAGGAAGCTGTCACTAAATAATCGTCGAATGAATCTGGCCCTGTTTCTAGCTTGCTGTATGACTGTGGGAAAGTTACTTTGTCTTTCAATGCCTGAAAACCTCACCTGGGAACCTGTCTCAAAGGGCTATAGAGATGGTGGTGCTAGACAGTGTGAGATGCTGCGGGTCTAAAGCTCTACAGGGGGAAGGGGGAGTCCTGAGCAGGCTCACAGTGGGCACTGAGACCTATCATAAGAAAGCCACAGGACAGTGGAAAGAAGCCAGGCTGGGTACAGGAAGACCTAGCATCTGGCCCACTGCCCCTGACTCCCTGTATGAACTCAGGCCAGTCCTTGCCTTCTCTGAGCCTCAGTCTTCCCATGGCCAGGATGTAAGCTTTGGCCTGCATGCTGCTGCAGGCCTGCCTGGCTGGCTTGTGTTCTGGCCTGGGAAACACTCTCAGTTCTTTAGAGAAAACAAGAACCCCAGCTCTGCCACCCGAGACAGATTCTGTGCCCAGGTCTACTGGGCCAGTCTCCAGGCCCAGGGTGTCCCATGACTGGTCTAGGCCTGGCTCAGTGCCCTGGGGCTTGAACAGTACCCAGCACCTGTCACCCAGCCTGACACAGAGAGACCTGCCAGTCAGAGCACAGCAGGGACCAGGAAGACAGTGGCACTGACAGGCACGGGGTGCCCCAGTGGACAGGATGAGATATGGAAAAGGGGCTAGCCAGGAGATGGCCTGTGGGGTTCTGACCCTTGGCCAAAGGCTGCATGTCAGGGCTGCCAGCATTGGCAGCTGCTTCTTCGGCTGCCTGCTGCCCAGAGCTAATGAGTGGGGACAGAGCCAGGACTCGAAGGGGAAGGCGCTGCTTCCTCTGTGCATGTGGGGCAGGCTTGGGATGGCACAGGGGAGGTGGCACAGATCAGGGCCAGCTAGAGTCATACTCAGAGGATCCTTGGTTTTCTTAGATAAGCCTGAGAGCCCTGACCCTGGCCCTACACTGAGCTTGACCTTGATTGTAGACTGAGCTCAGCCCTGACCCTGGTCACAGACTGAGGCTGGCCTTGGTCACAGGATGAGCTCTGACTCTGGTGACTAATTGAAGAAGATGTTAAAAGTAGGACAATTGTTTGAAATCCTGGCAAGAGGGGGGATAAAGAAGGTTACAGTTATCAAATACTCACCATACCCCTGAGAAATAAGCTAGGAGTGTATTGTGTGTTTCATACAGTTTAATCGCCACCCAGTCCTATAATTGAGGTATAATATTATCATTAAACCTCATTTTACAGATGAGGTTCCTGAGGCTCAAAGCATTTCCATGACTTGCCCAAGGTCACAGAACTAGTTAGTACCCAAAGGAGGATGCAGGATCCAGGATTTCAAAATCTAAAAGCTCCCTCCACCTCATTCTTTGCCTTGATATTTCATGCCGTGGTTACCCCTTTTGGAAGGGGGGTTGTTGAGACAGGATGCTAACCCAGACTTCCAGAGAAGATGCAGTGACTAGTGTGGAGACCCATCCTGGGATCTGGAGTTCTCCTTCCTCCCTGTCTGGCTGGGGGCCTTCAGTCAAGGACCCCTGAAGGCAGGGATCTGGGCAGAGTGGGTGGAGGCTCACAATGACTCACAGGTGACCCATGGGCTTGTCTCAGCAGCCAGAGGGTTGGGCTCAGCAAAAATAACAATAACACAGTGACAGTGATCATGGGATAGTCCCAGGAATAAGGCAGCCCTCACTTGCTGATGATGTTCCACTCGAAGCTCACTGCGAGCTCGGCTATTTACACCCTCTGGTTCTAACGGTGCAGTCCTGGAAGCAGGCTGCGTTATTCCCATGTGATAGTGGAGGAGGCCAAGGCCCAGGGGAGAATGTGGATGTGTCTGAGGTCACATGGCTGGCCAGTGGGAGTGGAGCAGATGAAGATGACTATTCCCATCTGGCCGCTGGCTCCTACAGAAGCCAAGGCTCCTTCTCTTCCAGCAGGATCCCCATGGGAAAAAAGACAAGGGTGGGGAGCAGGCCTGGGGTGAGGCCTGGGAACCAGGGTCTTCATCTACCCTGCAGGGCCCCCACACCATGGTTTGATTTTCCACCCACACCTGCCCCCCATGACATCAGTTCCTGGAGACTCAGAACCTCAGAATTTTTGTTCAGTGAGAACTTCCCTTTGTCCCAGGGTTATAAACACAGCTGGTGTCAGTGGTTGAAGGATGGTTGGCCTGAGAACCATCCCCAGCCAGACCGAAGCCATAAGGATTCTTTCCAGATGTTCTCCCATCTCTGCCACCTGGGGCCCCTAAGGTGTTCTCATGCCTGAAACCCCCATTCAGACTCAAGAAGCATGAGTTCTCCCCCACAGGCTTCTTCTGGAATCCTGCATAACAGCCTCAGAGGGCATTCATGGGGGAGATTTGGGGCCATGAGGCAGGCCAGAGGGGGCCTTCCTGGTGTCCTCATTGCATCCTGCATGGGCTGTCTCCTCTGCTTACTCCTGAGCATGGGCAGAGCGGCTGACAGCCTCCTCCTCCCTCCCTGGTCATCATGAGCAGCCAGGAGGCTTGGTGATCCCTCCAGACTTTATGTAGCTTCCCTCTCCCTAGCCTGGCCCCCGTGGGTCCCAGGGTCACATGCCACAGGGTCTAGCTTGTAGTGGAGTGAGGGAGGCCATTGAGCAGGGGCTGGGGCTCTGGGCACCGATTAGGCTCCTCCTACCCCTGTGTATTCCCTGATTCTGTCATCCTTCCATGCACACACTTAAGTTTCCAGCAGAAGGAGCTGCCCTGGAATCCCGTTGATCTCCTCGTTCCCCCCCTCCTTCTCTGAGGCTCCCCCTATCCATCCAGAAACCTGTGAGATACTGAACACCATTATCAGGGAGAAGCTGAGCTCAGAGATGCTTAGGGGATGTGCCACACAGTCAGCAGCAGTGGAGCCGGGAGCCAGAATTCAAAGTCAATGTCTTCAGGGCCAATCTACTTATGCAAATCCTGTAGTTCCTGGCATGTGATGCAATAGAGAGAGGAAGCAACTGTGGCAAACCAGAGAGCACCTGGCTCATTCAGAGGAGTAGCCCCTGCCCGTCCTACTGATCTCTACATGGAAGAATGAGGGCATGGGTTGTCAACCCTCTTCATTTTTGTTTATGTTTAATTATTAGGTTTTTTTAATGTGTAGAGATGGGGTTTCACTGTGTTGCCCAGGCTGGTTCAAACTCCCGGCCTCAAGTGATCCTCCCACCTTGGCCTCACAAAGTGCTGACATTACAGGTGTGAGCCACCCTGGCCAGCCTCTCTCAATTTTATTTATTTTATTTTTTTATTTTTTGAGATGGAGTCTCACTCTGTTGCCTGGGCTGGAGTGCAGTGGTGTGATCTCAGCTCACTGCAACCTCTGCCTCCCAGGTTCAAGAGACTCTCCTGCCTCAACCTCTTGAGTAGCTGGGATTACAGGCGCGCGCCACCACTCCCAGCTAATTTTTGTATTTTTAGTAGAGATGGGGTTTCACCATGTTTGTCAGGCTGGTCTCGAACTCCTGACTTCATGATCTGCCCGCCTCAGCCTCCCAAAGTGCTGGGATTACAGGCGTGAGCCACTGCGCCCGGACGCCTCTCTCAATTTTTAAAGAGAAACCAGAAATCCAAATGTTTGTGTAAAATCAGCCAAGTTTTACTTTCAGGCCAAACACCTCTGGTCAGTGAGGATCTCTGGGCCCCTCATTGTTCCTCTCCTGAACCCTCAACCCAACTCGGACACCACCGGTGCCTCCAGCTTTGCTGACTGGTCCCCCTCTGCCAGGGGAGTGACCTCCCAATGGCTGTGCATCCTCCACACATGTATAAGTAGGCATTCTCCTTTCTTGAAGCCCCTTCTTTCCTCGCCTCCAGGACAACTCCCTCTCCTGATTTTCTACCCTGTCTCTGGCCACTCCACTGTGGGATACTCTTTGTCCCAGTACCCTGCGAATGTCAATGCTCCTGGCTCAGTCCTTGGCCTCTCCTCTGCATCTCTACCCTCCTTCTTTTTTTTTTTTTTTTTTTTGAGACGGAGTTTCACTCTTGTCACCCAGGCTGGTGTGCAATGATGTGATCTCGGCTCACTGCAACCTCCACCTCTGGGGTTCAAGCAATTCTCCTGCCTCAGCCTCCTGAGTAGCTGGGATTACAGGCGTGTGCCAACACACCCGGCTAATTATTGTATTTTTAGTAGAGACGGTGTTTTGCCATGTTGGCCAAGCTGGTCTCGAACTCCTGATTGCAGGTGATCCACCTGCCTCGGCCTCCCAAAATGCTGGAATTACAGGTGTGAGCCACCACGCCTGGCCTCTATACTTTTTAAGAGATCCCCCCTCACCTAGGCATCCCCCTTTCCCCCCATCCTGAAAGCCCCAGAATCCCTGGATCCAGCCCTCTCCTGAGCTCCAGTTCCATAGACCCACCTGCCAATATACGTCTCCACTCAGACTCAGCCTTCCTCATTGATCTCCTCATCCTCCCTCCTTCTCGAAACCTGTGAGATACTGAGCGCTGTTATCAGGGAGGAGCTGAGCTCAGAGATGCTTAGGGGATGTGCCACACAGTCAGCAGCGGTGAGCCAGGAGCCAGGACTCAAGCCCACGACTGGTGAGCCTGAACACAAAGCTGTCTCTCTGGTCTTCAGCAAGCCTGGCCTGGGAATGCTCAGGAGGCCCTGGGGTTTTATCCCTGGGAGGGCAGGCTGTGGCCTACCCCTTCCCTGTTCCCATACAAAGGTGGGGACAGAGGAGCAACTGGCCCTGAGTGAGGAGAGGAGCTAGTGGGCATGGCCCCCTCCCTCTCCTGTCGACTTCCCAGCGGTGTGCTCCTGCGGTGCCCTGTGGCGTTGGAGGAGTGGGGCCTAGGGACTAGCCGGGGACTGTGGCAGGGACTCTCAGGATGGTCAGTGTGGCTAACAAAACCAGACCTCGATCCCTCCACAGCACCCTGGAATGGGACAGAGAGACCAGGGGCCAGGCTGGACCGAGGCGCTCAGTGCCCCCTGGGCCTGGAGGGAGCCCAGTTCCCCCACTTTCCCCCCACAGCTGGGTTCTGCTTCCCCACTTTGGGGACACGCTCTTGGGACAGGACTTGGGATCTGAACCCTCCTCCCAGCCAAGAGCTATTTCCAGGACAGTTCTGAGGAGCTGCCACTGGCTCAGCAGCCTGGGCCAGTGAGTTGGCCTGGCAGAGCTTGAAAGGAGGGGCTGCCACTGTCCCACCTGATTTTCCAGTGGTCTGTCCCTTCTTCTTTCTTTCAGCAAACACCTGCTGGGCCCCACTTTGCCCAGGCAGTGGGAACTGAGCTCCAGCAGCGACAAGACAGGTCCCTGCCCTTGAGGGGTGAACAGTCTAGTAGTGGTGGTGAGGGTGGGGAGGCGCCAGGAATCATAATGCTGTCCCCACTCACTCATCCTTTGCCCACAGTCTCCCAGGAAGGCGGCCATCCAGGCTCCAGTCGCCAGCACTAGGGTATCGGAGCCCCTCAGGAGGCTGGGCTCTGTGTCTGAGCCAGGGAGTGGCCCCAGACCTCAAAACGTGGACTGAACACCACACGAGTTAAGCAGGGAATGAGAATCAGAATGACAGGAATCAGAAGAGTCCGGTGATTTCTGTGAGGTCAGGAAGTTCGACTTTATGTCTGGCCCACGTTCCTCCTGCCCTAAGGCTGCGTACGGGAGAAAGGGGGTACTCGAAAGAGTGGCTGTTCAGAGTGACCGAACCATTGAGAGGATTCCACGTCCTGGCAAGTCCTGCTGGGTTGCTCATCCAGGCCCACACCTTCCAAGGGGACTGTCATTGCCTCCCCATAGGACTGTGATGGTGACTGACAGGTCCACCCATTGCGGCCCAAGAAGGTGGCTCCCAGGGCCCCTCACCAGCTATGCCACAGGACAGGACACGGCATGACACTCCAAAGGCTGACAGATGGTGCAGACAGCGGCCCTTCCTGACCCTGCATCGCCTCCAGCCTCAAAAAGAGCAAAAAAGTATCTCTGGAAAACAAGGAAATCCCCTTCCCAGAAGAGGGTAGAAGGTGCAACAATGCCCAGAACACCGGCACTTAAGCCTGACTTTGGGCCATCACAAAGCTCTGTGGGCTGTGGCTTTCTCCTTGTCCGCCATGGGTGGAAAGGAGGGGTACCCACACTTTTGGATGAAGTGTGAGTAGTGGTGGGGTGGAGGAGCAGCATCCTTGTTTGACAGGAAGATCTTTGCCTTTGCTAGAGTGCTTCTCAGAGTTTCTCGGAAGGTGCCCTTTCTTTTTCCCAGAGCAGCCCCCATGCCCTGCAGGCAAGGGCAGGGGAAGAGCTGGGCCCTCAGGGACTGGGAGCTGCTGGCCTCCAGTTGGTGCCCTCCTTACTCCAGAGTCAGTTATTCTGTAAACTGAGGCCCACCTGCAGTGTTGTAGCACCATCAGGAATTAGTGATGCTTCATTAGAGTCCAATTAATAAATGAAACCCAGGATGAGAGTCCCTCGCGTTGCTGAGAATAACAGCCCTGCTCATGCCTTAAGTGGCAGCCTCCTGGGGCTCAAAACCCACAAGGACCAGCTGCCCTGCCGTCAGCATGGGGCTGGGGGAGGCGGCAGCACAGACTGGGGGCCTTGTCAAGGCTGTTGTCTGGTGAAGCGGGGGCGAGAAGAGAAGGGAGCTTCAGCACTGACTCCCTGCCTCAGATCTCAGCTCCTCCTTTGAGGAGTCCCTGGGCACAACCCCCTGCCCAGCAATCCCAGGGGAGCTTGGCTAAGGCCAGAGGTGTGAGGGCTGGGGCTCTTCCCTCCTGCCTGCCTGGCTTCAGAAGACACTGATTGTGGCCACGGCAAAAAGGGGCCTTGAGAGGGACTCGGGGGAGAACCACAGCCTCCCTCTCCTGACTCCCCCAACCCATGCTCCGAAGTCAGCACCTGCATCAGCCAAACAGCCCCCCTCAAGCCTCACCTTCTCTCCTCTAAGTGGAAAGATCCTCCAATCTATCTGTTCAAGCCCTGCCTTCTCCAGGTTTAGGGTCAGAAACACAGGAACCCAGACTTTGGCCACCCCATTCAGATGACTGTCTCTGCAGAAGCCAACTCCACACCTCCTGTTGCATAAGACTGGGCTCCTGGATTGGGAAGAGGTCACTGGGTTTTTCAGAGCTTCCAGGAGTGGAGGCAGGCCTAGCCTATGGCCTGGGAGTCTGGCAGCCTCTTGGACTTCTGGAGGATGGGGGAGGCAGGCCTCCCTGGCTCAGAAGTTGGCATGGAGGAAGCAGGTTGAGGAGAATTGCCCTACCTTCTCAGGAAAGATTGAGACCCAACCATTACACCTTGACAGCTGGCCTGCAGGACTGCCAGTTCCCTCACCTCCCTCTCAGTTTCCCAGGTGAGCCAGCAATGGGTTGTGATGGGCCAGGTCAAAGGTGCCCAATACCTCCTATTCCACCATCCATCCACTTAAAGGTCTGCTCCTTATCCACTATTCCCAGTGCCTGCCTGACTTCCCCAGTGCCAGGGGCTTCTGGGAACATCACTCTAGTCTCTCAGGATTTACAAGCCTGCCCAGCCAAGACCCCAGCAGCCACAGCAGATCTGAGTCAGGGCCCTCCCCTTTCCTTTGCTCTCTTGGTGGCTGTCCTGGGATTGGCACTCAAAACAAACCAGGCCGCCTGTGCCCCAGCTTCTAAAGCTCTGCCCAGGAGGCGGCCAGGTCTTGACTATTGTTCATGATTTGAGGCTTTGAGGGAGCCAGAGGCCAACAGGACAGGCAGGGCAGGTGGGGGAGGTGGGCTCAGGTGTGAATAGAAGACCCCAGAGGCAGCCTGAGGACTGGGTAACAAGAGTGGGTACAGTATGGTACTCACACCTCTCTGGGCAGCCTTTGTGCACGTGCATGTGTGCATGTATGTGTGTGTGCATGCATTTGTGCGCATGTGTGTGCATGTGTGTGTATGTATGTGTGGATGTGTGTGTGTGTCTCCTGGAGTGAGGGGGAAAGCGGCTCATGAGCACTCTTGCTTTCTGTCCATCAAATCCCATGCTTTTCCGATGCTCATTTCTTCCACTCACAGCTGCAGCCCCCGGGAACCAGATGACATATTTTCCCTTAGTCATGACCTTGCAGAAGGAAAGCAAAGTCCTTGTTCCCTCCCACTCACAGCTGTGCTTGAGCCTGGCCCCCTTACACCCTGCTGGGGTGGGGGCCCCAGGAATGCCTAGCTGGGGACTGGAGTTTGTCAAAGACACACACACCCTTCCAGCAGCCTGGAGGGTAGGCCAGGTTGAGGGAGGTTTATGTTTTCCTGCAGCTTGGTCTCAGGGCTGCTGCACTCTAAACCCAACTCCAGTCCTATCCTGGCATGGCTGCCCATGCTGTGGCTGGATTAAATCTGGCCCCGAGACAGCAGGCACCACCCACTAGCTCCTCCTGGCCCTGGATGCCTGGAGCCAACGGGTCCAAGTCAACAGGGCAGGTCTTTGGGGGGACAGGGAGGGGGGTCTCTCCTTGCAGACAGCCTGTGGAGAGGCCTAGGGAAGCAGGTCTTGGTGAGGTCCCCTGGGTTCTAAGACTGCATTGGGAGCCCCGAGAGAGCCTGGGGACCTGGAACTCAGCCACGTGCCCATCTGCGGGGTGCAGAATGGGGCTGGGAGCAGGGAGTGAGCTCATCCCCTGCTCCTATTCTGTGAAGAATCAGAGGCCCTTCTTGCTCTCCAGATTCTAGAATAGCATCAAGACCCGGAGGAGTCAGCTGTGCCAGGAAAAGCCATTACCCCGAGAGCCTCCCTCCACCTGCTAAAAGCCTCCCCCTTCCCCTGGGGCCTCCCCCTCCCACCCAGTTGCTTTATCTGCACTCACCTAGCCCTGATGACCTTCATATTAGATGGGGCAGGGAGGTGGGGAAAATAGTTGCTTAACTCTTTCTCTGCTGGAGGAAAGTCAGCACCTGCTCCCTTGCCTTGCCCCGTCACCTTTACCCACCTCTTTGCACCTGGGAATTCCTCCTGCCACCCTCCCAGGAGGGTTGGGAGGATACGAGGACAGTAGAAGACAGGCTGGCATGGGGTTCAATCTGAATCCTGTCACTATGTTGCCTGTGACTTCACACCTTCATTTGTGTCTTCTCTGTGCACACAGAGCCACATGAAGATCCCTGGGAATCCCCCAGGAATGTGTCCATGCAGGTGCAGTTTTGTGTCCAGCTCTGGGGTTGACATCTGGGTGCAGAAGGACTGACTTCTTCCTGACACACCCTTGGCGCTTCTGCTTTTCTGCTGTTTCTGTGCAGGTCCCTGAGGAGGGAGGCTGTGAGGCCTTATTGTGCACTAACTATATATCTATAAGTAGCAGATCGGGTGGCTGGGTAGCACAGGGAGGCTGCTGAGAGCCTGAGGTCTCTGACTTTGCTGGGGCAGCTGTCAGGAGCGGGAGCCTAGGCACAGAGCGTCATGGGAGGTACTTAGATTGCACCCCTTGGTCAAGCATGGTCACAGAGCCGGAGGGAAAAAGGGACCCGAGGGTGGAGGGAGCAAGCTGAGCGCCACGTTCCTGCCAGGCTTCTGCCTTCCCTCTCTAGCCTGGCAGCCTCCCACACACCACTTTGCGGGTGTGAGGAGTCCATTCTGCAGAGCCTGCAGGGGTGTGTCTGGATGGACGCTCATCTGAGAAGGACTCCGGCTCTCTGGGAGATGCCCCTTCTCACCCCAGCTTGTACTCAGTGCTCCTTCCCCTTCATGCTGCCCTCAGGCAGGTCCTCTTGCAAAAACACCCAAGCTGTTTTGTATCACAAATGAGGGAATAACATGAACTGGGGCTTTCTGGATGCCAGGAGCTGAACATGCTTTCTTTCCAGTCCTTATAACACTCTCTCAGGGCGGTACTATTGAAAAAGGAGGAACTTAGTAGGTGCAGAGGGGAGATGATCTCGCCAGGATAAACGCGGGCTCCAAACCCAGCTCTGAATCATTCCCAAGCCTGTGCTCTTTCCAGGATTCCACACCTTGGCCCGAGCAGCCAGACATTCCCAATTGTAGACCCAGAACTGGGGGCATGATGGGGAAAAATCACGCCACGGCAAAGGGGCTGGTCACAGGAGGGTCAATAAGGCTAAGCTCTCTGGTGCTATGGGGTAATAACAGGAATCATATTTATATTTTAATAATTTAAGGTACTAAGAATTATTAACACTTTCTTGGTACTTAGCAATGTGCCAGGCACTACACATATTCATTCGTTTCCTTCCCACAACCGCCCTGCAGGCTGGGCACCGTTAGCATCTCTGTTTTATAGATGAAGAAAATAAGGCACCACAGGTTCTGTACCTTGCCTAACATCACACAGCTGGCACGGGGTAGAGCTGGGATTTGGAACCCAAAATGCCCAGCTGCAGGGTCCTTCTTACAATCACTGTGTCATACTGCCTCAGTCAAAGCACAGCAGGAGTCCTCAGTTGACCCCTGGAACTTGGAGATGGAACTCCTGCAAGCATGGTCACCCACAGAAGAAGGGCTCCTGCAAGCATGGTTACCCACAGGAGCAGGGCTGTGATGAGTGGGAGCAAGGAGCCAGGTCACAGCGTCACTTAAGTCTAAAGGGCAGAGGGAACAGTGAGGGCCGGGGGACTCCAGAGGGCTTCTTGGAGGAGAGGAACAAGCTGGGCTGGGAAGAACCATGTTGGTATTGCTAATGCACAGAGAAGGTGGGGTCTGAGCCAACTGGCCTGCCCCACACTCCCTTTGGGGTCCTTGAGGGTGAAACAAGGGCTGGTGGGGATGACGTCTTTGTTCCCATCCTGGGGTACCATTAGTGCGTCTTGCCTCCCTCCGCAAGGTGTGTGGTGTGGCTCCCCCTGCTACAGGATCTCTGGGATGATTCCTCAGCCCATGACTGCTGCAGTTAATGGAGCAGCGCTGGGGATGGCCCTGGCCTAGTAACCTCTTCTACAGAAGAAGTATTCACTCTCTCCCTGAGCCGTTTGACGGCTCTGGATCTCCGATATCTGTGGGGTGCACTGGGATGCAGAGGGCCCAAGCTTACCTCTCACCTTATACAGCCTGGTCCTGAACAATCTGAGTGCTTGAGGGCTGGAAAGCCCTTTCCACCACCCCCTGCCCCCAGGCCTGGACCCAGCTCCAGGTTTCCAGCTCCAGGGGCCCAGCCCAAGGCCCTGCACACAGCAGGCATCTCAGAAGGCAGCAGGATGTGCGTGCTTCATTGCAAGCATTTAGAACTGGGATTGCCGGGTGGAGCCTGGAAATCTGGGCCAGAAGTTTAGGGAAATAAGGTGAAGAAGAGAGGACAGCCAGGCGGGGCATCGCACAGCCACTCTGCCCAGAGGATTCCTCCCACCGAAACAGAACCTAGAGAAGAGGGAGGCCATGCACACGGGCTCCTGCTGGAGAGCCCTCCCTGGCAAGGGCTAGGAAGTCAGGCGGGCAAAGCATCTACCCTCTACCCCCATCCCTACCCCTGCCCTGAGCCTCTCTAAGTGAGAGGCTTGTGACTAAGTGAAGGCCTCAGTAGTGGCCAGCGAGACAGTGTGGTCACCTGGGCTGGCAGGAGAGCTGGGGGAGAGGCCTGGGATGACACAAGTGTCTATGCATGGGACAGAGCTCTCCATATTCTGTCCACCTTTCACTCAGATTTATGGACAGTGGAGCCTGGGATGGGGACAAGCAGCAGACAGAACCCCTCCCTTTGACTCACCCTGCCCCTGCTCTCCCCAGGAAAAGCACATCTGAGGAAAAGAACAATCAGAGCTCCAAGGCAGTCACATCTGTGACCTCAGAGCCCACCAGAGCCCCTATCTGGGGGGACACGGTGAATGTGGAGATCCAAGCTGAGGATGCAGGGCAAGAAGGTAAGCAGGGGCTGGGCAGGGCCGGCATGTGCAGGCAGGGTGTGAACACAGCCAAGGACTTAGAGCAAGAAGCAGGCTCCCTCTCACTGCAGCTGGTAGCCACCTGAACACCTCCTTGGGCTCAGTTAAAAGCACTTAGAAAAAATCATAATACTGTCACGCCTCATCTCCCCATCCTGCTCGAAAAATGAGTTGTTCCACATAAATGAATTTTCCAGACAATGCAAGCTTATCTTTTTTATGACTGTTGTTATTATTTTCATGGCTGTTATTAGCGCTGTCTCCTACTGAAACAGGACATTACAGCTTCCTGGCACGTCCCCACACATCACTCATTGGAGTCACCACCTCCCAGGAGGAGCAATGCTGCTCCCATTGCTTAAGAGAACATCGAGGTTCAGGGAATTTAACTGGCTTAAGCTTAAGACCAAGGACCAAGGACTCAGCATTGCATGTTCTTACTGCAGCTCCAGGGTTCCCGCTGCTTCCATTTGATTTTTTAAAAAATATTTGAAATGTCCCTAGAATGGATCCCTATTCCTGCCTAGTCCTCCCCAGGTGTCAGCCTGAGCCACGAGGTGCCCATGTACACACATGCATGTGCACACTTATATTTACTTTCACACTGTGGGTCTGTTGGATTTCCATTCTCCTGGGGGAGCTCAGGCTGGACACAAGGGAATACTGATTGGCTGATGCCCGGGTAGGGGGGCATCGCATCTGGCACTGCCAGCACAGACTGGAGGTGCCTGGCGATGTCTCTGATCTTATCTAGTCAGGACCTCAGACTTGCTTCTTGCAGGTGGTCTCTCCCTGAGAGGACAGGCTTTGCCTCTCCCCCTTGAAATCTTGCCAGGACCTAGACAGATCTCCTTGTTCTCCTCACACAGAGCAGAAAGCCAGCTGAAGACTATGGGAGAGGAGAAAGGAAACAGGAAGGGGAGCCTCCGTAAAAGGGGAAGGAGCTAGTTCTAGGTCAAGCCAGATAATTTTTCTTTTCTGCCTGTAAAGGGATAGGTGGAGCTGTTGGGATGCTTTAAGAAGATGCAAAAGAGGAGGAAAAATTGACCTAGGATTTCATGCAGAGGCACATGCGTGCCTGTGTGTGCATGTCTTTGTGAATGCCTGCATGCTGGTTCATGCGCATGTGTGAATGTGGTGTGTGCTGTGTCTGTACTTGTAGGCATGCATGTCTGTGTGTCTTATGTGTGTGTGCGCGTGGGTGTGTCTAGCTGCAACAGTGTGGTTATATGTGTGTCTGGATGAATCTGGATGGTGGTGTATGCCTTGCAGTGCACAAGTATGTATAGATCGTGTGTGTGGCTCTGTGTGTATGCATGCATGTATTTATGTGGCTGGTGGGAAGTTAGAGGTTATGATGAGTGGACCTGAGCTGGGATCCTGCCCTGGGCTCTACATACTTGGGGTAACAGAGGAAAAAATGTAATAAGGTCAGTGACCCCAGGGCCCATCTGTGCAGCAGAGAGAGGGGCAGGACTAACTGCAGGAGGGACAAGAGAGTGGGGAGGCCTCATGGGCAGGCAGGGAATATTGGCAGGCATCTCATTGCAGATTGAAGTAGCTGGATGCTTGTTGGAACCGGTTGCTGTGGTGATGTCTGCGGTGGGGGTGGGGGAGATGGAGGCCAGGCCAAGAGGCGGGGGAAGGGTGGGAGGTAGCTCAAGGATGTGTTAATGAAAAGCAAAGGGGAGTTTCAGACCCTGTGTCAGGGCCAAAGCAGGCGGGTGGCAGAAATAGCTTGTTGGCCACACAAAGGGAACGGTGGGAGGCCGGAAGGGCACAATGCCCAGAGAGGAAGCTGATGAAGTGTGTTTGTAGCATGGAGACAGGAGCAGGGAGGAGTGGCTGTCCATTACCCCCAATTCCAGCTCATCTGCTGGCTGCCCACACAGAGCTCCAGGAATAGCGGGTGGGGAAAATGTACGGCACTCACCTCTCGTTCAACCTTGGCAAATCCCAACTGGATCTGGGGACTCTTGGTCCATGGCGAGTTGGCATAAGGGGCTTCAGCCTGCACAGCTCCTCGTGGTGCTTTGGCTGGGAGCACTGGAATCTCCCAGTTGAATTTCCTCAGGTCTGCCTACATCAGGGTTTGTGTTTGGAGAGCTGCAGATGCTTAAAGAGAAGGAAAATAGTGACAACCACGAGGAGCATTTGCACAGAATGTTACAGCTTGAAAACACACTCTTCTCCCTACAACAACCCAAGGGGAGAGACAAGGCTTTTTATTAAAGTGTTGACATTTTGAAGAGCAGAAACATGAAGTTCAGAGAGGTTAAATTACTTGCTAACAGTCACAGAGCAAGTTAGTATTCTGGTACTAGAACCCAGGTCTGCTGACTTCATATCCCTTACCTCAATCTCCCTTCTTCAAGCCAACCTCAACACCTTCAGTGCCCTCTCCCCCTTCTTTCCTTTGAGCATGGATCCCATATGACAAGCTCTTGAGATACCTTGGCAAGTGTTCAGGGTCGCTGTGGGGAAGACAGAGAAAGAAGAATACTTAATAAAGCCCTCAGCTTCCTTCTCCACCCCAACATCCAAATGACCCATCCAGTTCCAAATGACCCATCCAGTTCCAAATGACCCAGCGGCTGAGCCCGCTGAACCTGCTGAGCCCTCAAGGGCCAGCTGCTGTCCCTGGTGCTGAAACCCCTTGTCTCAAGAGAAGCAGAGGGCAAGGGTCTCCCCAAGTGTTTCCCTCAGGCACACCCCTCCGCCCCATCCTCCCTTTCCTGTTCTCTGTTTTGTATCCTTTCTTACCTCATCTCTCTCATTCTTTCTCCATCCCTCCTCTATCCTTCTCCTCCTTTTCTCCCTCCCCATCTCTTCTTCCTCCTGAAATCATAGACTTCCAGAATATAAAGATGCCTCAAGTGTCACCAAATTCAACCCTTCCTATCATCTACTTTCTAGATGTGTTATGTTGATCAAGTTATATAACCCTCTGAGCTCCATTGTTCATATTTTAAGAACAGAGATGATGATACCTACCCGGGGGGTTGTGGTGAGAATTTGTTGGAATCATGGCTGAGACATGCCTGGCACATAGTAGATACTCACTAAATAATCATGACAGTCCCGCTCACTAAACAGGACTGTCATGATTATTTATAGGACATTGGTGTTCTTCTTAAAGTTTTTACCGGCCGGGTGCGGTGGCCCATGCCTGTAATCCCAGCACTTTGGGAGTCTGAGGCGGGTGGATCACTTGAAGTCAGAAGTTTGAGGCCAGCCTGGCCAACATGGCAAAACCTTGTCTCTACTAAAAATACAAAACTTGGCTGGGTGTGGTGGCGGGCACCTGTAATCCCAGCTACTTGGGAGGCTGAGGCAGGAGACTCTCTTGAACCTGGAAGGCAGAGGTTGTAGTGAGCTGAGATCATGCCACCACACTCCAGCCTGGGTGACAAAGTGAGACGCTGTCTCAAAAGAAAAAGTTTATACCAATATTCATGCCATTTTATGAGAAAATATAGTCTCTTTGGAGGGTGTTTACTAAGTGGTGCATTATTCTTAGTATTTAGACTAGTTTTCCCTTACTTGTAGTAGACTTTTATTGATAGCTGTATTAAAGGATTTCCTTGAGCAGATCACTTTTTCTTACTGAAATTCAGTTTCCCCACCTGCAACATGTGTGAGATAATCTCTCCCCATCCTGCCTCAAGAGCTGGCATAAGTGTTTGTGACCAAGGGAAAGAGTCTTATTCCTGGAAAGAGGTGCTATGCCTGCTTGCCTGTGTATCTCAGTGTGTGCACATGTGTGTCTGTTGCCACAGGGGACTGGACTCAGTTCTGTGTGTGTCTATCTCTGACCTGGGAGTTTCTAGACCATGGGAGAAAATTGCATGTTGGGGTCCTAACAGCTGCCGGCATGGAGCTTTGCCCTGTGCAGGGGCTCAGACTGTGCTTGTGGGTTTGTGTGCACAGGGGTGATCCACACATGTGTGTGCATGTTGATTCCTCAGTGTGGCCCCTGCTCCCTACTCTCAACAATGTCTCTCACCTCTCACTGTCTCTCCTTACTGGGAGAGAAAGGGATCCATTTAAAAATAAACCTGGGCTCATTTTTTCTCTTTCCAGATGTGATCCTCAAGGTGGTGGACAACAGAAAGAAACAGGAGTTGTTGTCCTACAAAATCCCCATCAAGTACCTGCGTGTCTTCCACCCCTACCACTTTGAGCTGGTGAAGGTGAGTCAGAGGCCTGGGGAAGTGCCGGGAGAGCAGGTGGGAACCACCTTGAATGTCCCCAGCTATTCCCTCGGAGCAGCCCTGAGCATCCCACACCCACCCACAGCATGACAAGTCTAGGACCATGTGGGGCTCAGGAAACATGGCTCCTGGTACATACACAGGAATGGTGTCTACAAGAATTTGGAATTCTCCAAATTCATCTCTGTAAAAACAGCTGATTATTATAGGACAACTGCCACATTAAATGAATATACCAATTAAAGATAGATTTTGATTACAAAAATGTTAAAAGAGCGGATCTAAAAATCAAAGAAACACAATATTTACCGAGTACCCGCTGCTTGCACGCCCTGTGCTAGACATTTCACACCCCCTCTCTAATCCTCAAGGTAAATTACATTTTGCAGACATGGGACTGGGACCTGGGGAGAAAAATCTCCTCCTCCTGGGTCACAGAGCAAGTGAGCGGCAGAGTTGAGGGTGAGCCCAAGTCATGCTGTCTCCCAAGCCAGTTCCTTCTGAGCTGCCTCCACATGCTGCCTTGGCCAGAAGGCCCAGGAGAGTTGGGGGGTACATGGAATAAAGCATTCCCTGGAATGCACCCCTGGAGTGAGCAACTGGGTCCAAGCCATGGACTGAGGGGCCTGAGGCTCCTCACTCCAAGGTTGGGCCTCCCAGGCCAGACCCCTGCCTGTCCTCCCTCCTAGTGCTGAAGGGTAAGGGGTAGAATTCACTCTCTCATTGCTCAAGGACTTATGAAGCACCTACTATGTGCCAGGTAGTGAGCCAGAGATGAACAGAAGCATCACATTCCCCTCCCCACTGTGCATTCCAGACCCTGAAAGTGGTTGAGAGTAAAGAACAATGTGAAGCCAGACTGTCGGGGGTCCTAGACCAAGTTTGTTGCCTCCTAGCTGGATACCCATGGAAGCCACTTGGTCCCCAGGCCTCCATCCTCACTGGCAAAGCTGGCACAGTCGTTTTGAGGATCTCAAGCAATGATAGGCAAGGTTCCTGGCATACAGTAGGTGCTCAGTTTGGTCAGTTACCCTCCCCCATCCCTCCTCCGGGCCAGCACTGAACTTTCTTCTAAGCATTTCTTCAATCATGGCACCAGGGGGCTTTACCTTCTCTTAGGCCCCATGAGGAACCCCAATCCCAGGGCTTCAGGATGGGCCATGCAGGGAAGTAAAAGAGAGATGTGCTACTCACCCTGGGAGACTCAGCACTTGAGCTGTAATTCTGGGGGCATCACCCAGGCCCCCTGGCTGTCTGTTCACTTACAACCCAGGCCTTGTTATCACATCTTTACTGGAAAGCAGACAGGCAGTGGTCCTTGTGAGGGTGATGAAATATTCAAATGGAAAAGGGAAGATTTATTATATTGATCTCCTTGGAAGGGCTCACAGGGACCATGAGCTTTAATTATCAGCTCGGAGCCCCAGCGGAGCAATGCCAAGTGATTGTCTGCAGAGGGCTGGATTTATGGCCAGGATCTGCCCCTTAGACACTCTCCTTCCTCTGTGTCTTCTGCCCCAACCCTGTCTCCAGCCCACTGAGTCTGGGAAAGCCGATGAAGCCACTGCCAAGACCCAGTTGTACGCAACAGTCGTTCGGAAGAGCAGCTTCATACCCCGCTACATCGGCTGCAACCACATGGCTCTGGAGGTACCAGGGCTGGGGCCCTCTGGGGTGGTGGTGGGGGTGGGAAAGGGCCAAGCTTTGAGCAGGCCCCACGCCTTGCCCTTAGCCCCCTCTGGCTGACCTGAGGGTGTGGAGCAGAGATGTCAAGAATGGAAAAAGCAACCAGGCCTTTCCAAAATAGCAAAAGGAGTTGTGAAGACAAGCCCTTTGGCAGGGATGACAAGGATGAAGATGCTCAAGCCTCTTCTCCTTCCCTCTCTGTCTTGGAGGTGGCGGGGAGGGGCTCAGCCACACTGCTGCTCCTGGTGTACCGTCTCTGTGCTGCAGTGGGGACCAGAGCCTGTCTCCCCGAATCTTATGCTAGGGGCAGGGGAGAAGCCCCGTGCTCCCCCTGAGCCCACAGCCCAGCAGTTTCCTGCTCTATTCTTCCCCTCCTGGGATAGTGCCTTGGCCCCCAAGCAAAAGTTTAGGGCCTCCTTGAGCTTTCCTTCAGCACTGTGTCTAAAGAGGTTTGACTGGTCTGGCGATTAGGTATTTAGTTTATTCATTCATTTATTCATCCAGCAACTGTTTACAGAGCCTCTTCCATTAGCCAGGACAGGGCTGAGCCCACCTTGGGCCTGGCCACTGCCCCTTGACCCATCACCATCCACCCCCTAGGCCAATTAGCAGCTTTGGGAGGAACTCTTGATGCTCAAAGCAGACATGATGCAGGGACCTGGCCCCTCTCCCATTCCCCCCAACTTTCAAACTGCCCATGGGTGACAGATTCAAATTCAGCTATGGCCTGAGTATGATCAGGGTGGGAGCCACAGGACCCAAGCTCTGAGCTTCCACCTACCCAAACATGGCTGATCTGTTCCTATCCTTCCCACCCCCCTACTTCCCACCAGCACCGTGGGCCTGGCAGGGAAGGAAGCATTCTTTTGCCTTCTTTCACAGCCAGGGACACTGAGACCCAAGGGGAGTATGGTATGGGAGCCAAAACTCCTAACCCACATTTCTACTCCCCTACAGCCACCCCTCTGATGCCAGCATATCAGACCTACAGGCGCCCTCTGCTCCCCGCCACCTTCTATCACGCCCTTTCCTGAGGACAGCCAGCAATTCACACACACACAGAACAAGGAAGAGGGGCAACAGCCTGGCCTTGCTGTCCCCAGGCCGCACCCCACAGGGAGGAGGCCACATCCCCAAGACACAGGCAGAACTTTAGGGCTGCTGTGGAGCTGCCCCACCCCACCCAGCCCTCTGACTTGCCTGGTAGAGCGGTAGAGTAGGGGCCTTCTCTGGCTCACAGCACCCTGCCCACTCTCCTGCCCCAGCACAGATGCCCTCTCCATCCGTGCGACAGGTATGGCCACAGAGCAGCTGCCTGCTCCTGATGGTGAGCGCATGGCAGGAGCAGGAACTTCTGCTACTTCCCAGGCTGTCATGAGCAGGTGTACTTGGGCAGCTGTCTCATTCACACCTGATCAGAGTCCACACAGAACAGGTGCAAATTAGCTGCCACCACCCCCTTTTTAGTCTTACACCTGCTGGGGAGCCTGTGAGCAATAGGGCCTGCCAGCCTCCAGTGAAATCCCTCAGCCCCAGACCCCAGACCCATCCAAAGTGTGAAATGTACCATCAGAGATTCAATCCTTTGAATGTGATGAAGGGATTCAGTCTCCAGAGCCCTCAGTGAGAGCTGCGAGGCCCTAAGGACTATTGTACGTGCCCATCAGCTCACACCTGTGTGGGGTTAGAGGTGGGAAAACCAGCTGAGATGGGTATTGAAAGAGGAGCCTGAAAGGAGGGTGCGGAGGGAGAAAAGGGAGAATGATCCAGAACAAGCCTCACTCCTGGGCCCTCGCCAGCCACAATGGGTTGGTGGGAGCTGCAGGGAGTCTGAGTAGAGGGATCAGCATGTGCAAAGACCCTGTGGCAGAAATAAGAGGGGTAAGTGGCAGGAGTAAAAGAGTCTGGAGCAAGAAGACAGGGGCTGGGGGCCTGTCGGGAGACACGGCAGAGGGGCTTGTGGGGTGTCGGGCAGGGAATAACGTGACCCAGTTCATTTTTAACAAGAGCACTTTTGCCATCATGTGTCAAATTGCCTGGGAAAGAGGATGGATTAGGGAAAGGAACAGAAGTGGAGAGGCTAGTGAGGAGGCAGAGGAATCGAAGGAGCAAGAGGAATGAGAGCCGAGTGGGAGGTGGGTGAGGGCTGAGGGAGAGTGGGAGCCATTGGTGGATACAGGGTGAGGGTCAGGGTCCGGGAGATCAGGGCCTCTTAGGCTGGCAGCAGAGGCGCATGGGGACAGACTCCCTGTCTCCCCTGTCTGCCTTCCAGTGTCCCCCAGGCCCAGACTGAGCAGGGGGTCAGTGAGGGTTGGAGCAAGGTGACGCTGTCCACTCCTGCTTTGTAACCTCCTGCTGGGACCCCGCTCGGCTCTCTGAAAGCTGCGCCAATAGAAGCCTGGAGTAGAGGAGAGGGCAGTCAGGACTGGGAGGCAGGGAAGCCTTTAGGGGGTGACAGAGGACTGAGGAGGGAACAACCAAGGGCGGTCAGGGGAGTGACAACCGGGATCTGATGAAGAAAGAGGAGCCCAGAGATGCGGATGCTATGATCCTGTTCCAAACCAGTACTTCCTGGGGAAACCAGCAAGGCAGGAGAGCAGGCACCAGGGTGAGCAGTGGAGCAGGCACCAGGGTGATGGGCACGAGGGAGGCAAGGGGAGCCTGGCTGTGGCCGCTGATCTCAGGAAGTTCAGCATGGTCGGAGAAACCAGACCTGGGCTTCCTGTCTTCAGTTTATAAAGTGCTCTCTCACAAACGATCTAATCAGAGACCCCTCACAGCCCTGGGAGGAGCCTCATTTGACTGACAGAAACCAAGGAGCTGGAACACCTAGCCCTACCCCTAGCCCAACCCCTCCCCAGGAGCCAGTGGAGGGGCCGAGGTTAGAACACAACCTCCCTTCCCAGGACCCAACTCTCATCGTACCCTTTCTCCCCAAAGAAACTAGTGTAAGAGATCCATTGGTAAATCCCAGGACAGAAAGCGGGAGCAGTTGCCTCAGCTCGGCAGAGAAGGCTTCCTGAGGGAGGGCAGCCTGGTGCAAAGCAAGAACCGAGTAAGGCAGGGAACAGGGAGAAGCAGGTGTCAAGTGTGGAGGCAGCCATGAGCTCACGGATGGGGAAAAAGAGGGTAGGCAGTCTGGCTGGCTGTCTCTGGAAGGTCCCAAGGCCACATGGTGTTCACCTGCCTCCTCTCCTCTCCTCTCCAGATCTTTCTCCGGGGAGTCAACGAGCCCCTGGCCAACAACCCCAACCCCATAGTGGTGATTGCCCGGGTCGTTCCCAACTACAAGGAATTTAAGTGAGTGGGGCCCAGGTGGACCTGGGTGAGGAGGGCAGAGCAGAGGGCAGAGGAGGGGGTGAGGCTGTCATTGCTGCCATGGGCTGATTCCAGGACCTCCGGCAACCCCTCTACCCCTAAGGCCCTTCAAGCCTCTCCATTGGGTCTGAGGTCCCAGTAAGCTTCCTGCAGCAGACCATGCCTTTCTTTCCCCAGGGAGAGCCCAGGCCCCTGGAAAGGGGCAGCTCAGTCCTCTCCTGAGAGCAAGCTGGAGGGCAGGTGGTGGGGATGAGTGCCGATACCAGGCCTAACAGCTAGAGAGTGTGGGGAGGACAACAAGAGGGGTCCTCATTCCCTGCTCAGGGAACCTCAGCCCCTCCAACCTGCCTCCCTGCCTCACACCCACCACCTCCCCACTCCCCCTCCCACTCTAGCTCAGGGCCACAGGCTCCAGCCAGTGGTTGGCCCCAAAGGCCATCTTGGAACTTCACAGCCTTTAGCCCTGCCGGGCGGAGTCTCCTCCCTCCTCATCCTGGAGGTCTCCCTGGTCCCAGCCACAACTCATCCCCTCCTCCCCTAGACCTCCTTTTGAGTCTGTTGGAGTCACAGTCCTCAAGAGGAGATTCATACTTTGCCACACAGTGGGAAATTCCCCTATGAACGTGTGCTCTCTGCCACAGCACCGACTCCTGGGAGTCAGGGTCTGTCTTGGTCACTTCCAACTGGCCCTGATGGCCCAAGATGACTCCCCTACTTCTCTGTATCTCCTGTTGAGTTTTTATGACTTATGAAGCCCCCTTGCTTGTTGGAGGAAGGAAGATGATTGATGCACGCCCAGCCCAGTGGTCCCCACTTGTCGTGAGGTCCAGGCCCGAACTCGGCGGGATCCCTGCAACTCCCTTCTCTTGCATCAACCCAGAGTCTAAGCGGGGGGCCCTGGGCTGCCAGGCTCAGGTGCAGAGCCCAGAGCACTGACCCTGTCTCCCTGCCTCCCCAGGGTCAGCCAGGCTAACAGGGACCTGGCCTCTGTGGGGCTGCCCATCACCCCACTGTCCTTCCCTATCCCGTCCATGATGAACTTTGACGTGCCTCGCGTCAGCCAGAACGGATGCCCTCAGGTATGTCTCCTCCCCAGTGGTTCCAGCTTCCTGTAACTACCCCACACATTCACTGTTCACTCACTCAGTGAGTCAGTCAGCAGTTCCCTTGACTATCGAGTAAGAGTTGACTGAATCCCACGGCATACCCAGTGCTGTGCTCGCCTGTGCGGCAGAGAAACTGCCCTCCAGGAACTCTTGGTCTGGTGAAGATGGGAGTCACGTGGGTGAAAAAGTTGAACATCAACACAAGATAATGTATAATCTAATAACAAACTGGGAGGGCCTGTCAGGGCTATCACATCAGAGGAGAAGATACAAAAGGACAAATATATGATTCCACTTATATGGGATACCTAGAATAGGAAAATTCAGAGTCAGAATGTAGAACAGTGGCTACAGGGGCTGGGGAAAGGGAAGAATGGGGAGTTACAGGTCATAAGTACCTAGTTTCCGTTTCAAGTGATGAAAAGTCCTGGAAATAGATAGTGGTGATGGTTACACAACAATACGAACAAATGAATGCATTTAACATTACCGAACTGTACATTAAAAATGGCTACAATGGTGAATGTTGTGTTACGTATATTTTAACCCAGTAAAAAAATTTTTTTTGAGACAGAGCCTCGCTCTTGTCTCCCAGGCTGGAGTGCAGTGGCGCAGTCTTGGCTCACTGCAACCTCTGCCTCCCGGGTTCAAGCAATTCTCCTGCCTCAGCCTCTCGAGTAGCTGGGCTTATAGGCACATGCCACCATGCCTGGCTAATTTTTATCCTTTTAGTAGAGACAGGGTTTCACCATGTCGGCCAGGCTGGTCTCGAACTCCTGACCTCAGGTGATCCACCCGCTTTGGCCTCCCAAAAGGCTGGGATTACAGGCATGAGTCACTGCGCCCAGCGAAAAATTTTTTTTAATCAGAGGAGAGGGATGTAAAGCCTGGATTAGGGAAGGCAGTCTTGAATTTTTTTTTTTTTTTTTGAGACAGAGTCTTGCTCTTGTTGCCCAGGCTGGAGTGCAGTGGCACCATCTTGGCTCACTAGCAACCTCCGCCTCCCAGGTTCAAGCAATTCTCCTGCCTCAGCCTCCCAGGTAGCTGGGATTACTGGCACCCGCCACCATGCCCGGCTAATTTTTGTATTTTCAGTAGAGATGGAGTTTCACCATGTTGGCCAGGCTGGTCTCAAACTCCTGACCTTGTGACCTGTCCACCTCGGCCTCCCAAAGTGCTGGAATTACAGGCATGAGCCACTGCACTCAGCCGGCAGTCTTGAATTTTTAACAGAGGAAGGGTTGGTACAGGTTGGACACAGCAATAGCACAAGTGTGAGGTGGAGACAGGCAGGCTATGACCCATGTCAGGGCAGACAGGAGGGCTGTGTGTTTGAGTATGAGGTTGGGGGCGGGTGCACGCACAGAACATGGCTGGGTTCAGGGGAATAGCCAGATTGGTCTCTTCTCATGATCTGCGCTTCACTGCCAGCTTGCCCTACACGATGGTCCCAACATTCCTAGGGGCCTTGGGGGACAGAGGGATTTTTGGAGGTCCCTCCTATTGTCTGCCCACCAGTGCTTATGTCTGGCATAGCAAAAATAGAACAAGACACCCCTTTGGAGCCCAGGCTTCATTTAAAGGCAAAGACATTTGAAGAAGGCTCAGACATGGGGTAGAGTGATGGTGGTGGGGAGGAGTGGGACAAAGGGGGACCCTGGGGACAGAGGCTTCAAACCCAAACCAATCCTTTGCCTGATTTCCCTAGAGTTACCTCACACATGGCCCTGCATTTGCCCAGAAAATTAAGAACCAATCAGCAGGCTGTCCCAAGGGGCAAGAGGCACTGCCTGCTTTAATGAGTGTGCCCCCTCCCACCCCCAGGCTTTCTCTGGCTGCCTTTGCTGCCTAACTAGTCTGGGTAGGAGAGGTGCCACTCACTACAGAGACTTGTTCCCAGTGCCTTTTGCATGTGTGGGACCCGGTCCAGCAATGGCAGGACACCTGTTGAACATCACCCAACCCCATGGCAGCTGGGCCAGGTTGGGAATTTGCTGGCAGCTGGCACAGAGGTGCCCAGGTGCAGCAGTGAGAGAACAGGAGCAGGCTGCTGTGGTAAGGAGGGGTGGGGATTGCCCGGGCAGAGCCATACCTGGAGGGGCACCAGTCAGCAGCGTGAGCTCAGTCTTCACACAGACCCCTGCCCTGTTCCCTTTGAGCGTCAGTCCCCTCATCTCTACACTTGAGGGGGTGGGATTGGACTTGGTAATTTTAGGGCCTGCCCTCTCTGACATCTTGGGGGGCTGTGATTTCTCACCAACTGTCACTGTGCAAAAGCACTGTTTGACCTGGGTTTGACCCCAGCTCTGTAACTTACTGGCTGCATGACCTTTGGTAAGCTGCTCCTTTCTCCAGACTCATTGATTCCAATCTGTTAGGAGAACTCAAAGGATAATCTTTGCAAAGTGTCCAGGCCCAGGGTCCAAGGTAAATGGGTTCCACTCTTAACAGAGCTGTACCTCCCCTAGTGCCAGTGTCCCCTCTGAGGCCAGCCTCACCACTGCCCTTTTCACATCTGGCTCCAAGTAACAGAAACCCCAACTTGGATCGGCTTAAATACTAAGGATATTTATTGTCACACACCACATCAACTCACGACATAGAATGCTGCCAGAATTGGTGGATGCTCAGGCTCAGAAGCATCCTCGAGGTCTCAGGATCTTTCCAACACCCCGAATTACCATCTTCAGCTGGCTAACGGCTCATGGGGGCACTTCATCCAAATAGAATGAAAGACCAGCAGATAAGAGGCAGCCTCTCTTTTTTTTTTTGCGACCAAGTCTCTGTCCCCCAGGCTGGAGTGCAGTGGCGCAATCCTGGCTCACACTGCAACCTCTGCCTCCTGGGTTCAAGCAATTCTCCTGCCTCAGCCTCCCGAGTATCTGGGATTACAGGCGAGCGCCACCATGCCCAGCTAATTTTGTATATTTAGTAGAGATAGGGTTCAACCATGTTAACCAGGCTGATCTTGAACTCCCGACCTCTGGCGATACGCCCACCTTGGCCTCCCAAAGTGCTGGAATTACAGGCCTGAGGCACCGCACCCAGCAGCACCCTCTCTTCTTGTAGGTGGTTTTAAAGAGCAACTGGAAACCAACCTTACCCAGCCATCCCTCAGCAGACCTCCTTCCTGTCTGATTAGCCAGGATTGGGTTACATGCACTTCCCTGAGCCAATCACTAAGGAGGGGTGTGGCTCTGCCTTGCTGGTATAAATGTGGAAGGTTATGGAGGCGGAGCCACCCGAACCCAAGGGCCATCTGCTGGTGATGAGGCAAGGAGGGGCATGGTGGTGGGCTAGGTGGCCCTCAGTGGAGCCTGGTGATGATGGCAAAGGCTGAACTGGTGAGTTAAGGGGTAGATGGCCTGTCGGACTTCACCTGGTCCAGCCTGCTGGAACCAACATAGGGTGGGCCGTGTAAGTTACTCCTACCCCGGCACCTTGGAAGGGGCCCATTGCCCAACAGGCTGCTCCTGTTGTTCTGGTCTCCTACAGAGCTGGAGTGGAGCTCCGGGAAGCCATGTGTGCCCACCACCATCCCCTCCTCTCTCAGCCCCACAGCTGGCCTGTCCCCAAGCTCTCCTGGGGCCCCTTCCATCCCCACAGACCCTGCCCTAGTGCTAGCCTCCCCTCAGGCCCCTGCCATCCATTCTCTGAGGAGCAGCCAGGGCATCCCCTGCCTAGCCCTTCCCCTGGGCCCCCTGTTACTATCACGACAAGGCAAATCCCACTCTCAGCCAGGTCCACAGGCCCTGTGCCCTCCAGCCTCCTGGCTTATGGCTCCAGCTCATACAGGCATTCTGCAGCCCCACTGGACAGCTTGCTGTTCTCCACACCCACACTGCCCCTTCCCACCTCCAGCCTCCACCTCTGCTGCACTCGCAGTCTGGAATGGCCTTCCTCTTCCTTACCTACTGCCCTTGTCCTTCAGGTCCTCCCTGAGGAATGGGGTCAGAAGTCATGGCTTTCTCCTCGCACACCCCAGCTCCCACAACCACAGCTTGCTTAGGACTCTACATGTTTGTGTGTGTGTGTCTGTCTGTCTGTCTGTCTGTCTGTCCCCTATCCTCCTGGATGATGGTGGGCTACAGGGTCGGGGGCAGAGTCTGGCTCTACAGCACCCCACAGGCATCTGGAATGGAGAAGCCCCCCAGAGTCAACATTTGCTGAGTTCAGTGAAGTTGAACTTACATCTTAATAGCAAAACATCCATTGTCTCCTTTAACCTTACAACAGGCTTTCAAAGTGAGGAGTTTGAGGCATATCCCCATGGGATGATGGGAAAAGTAGGTCCCAAAGAGGAGAAGGGACTTGAAGGCCACACAGCAAGGTTGAGGCAGACCCAGACCCAGAGCCAAGGGGTCCTAGATCCCTAGAGACCCCAGCCCAGCATCTGCTCCCAGCAGCTACTCCTCCAGATGGCGGCCACTATGCCTGGGCAGAGCAGGCAGAGGTGGATGTGGGTGGGCCCAGGGGAAATAAGGCGGTGGGCGTGGAGGGGCCATGGAATGAAGGCTCTGTCCCCAGGGGAAGCAGGTCTGCCTCCATGGCTGGGGGTTAATGGCTTTTCTGAAGATCACAGCTGAGGGTTAATGACATTCCATAATTCCACTACCGCTGTGGCCCTTCCATTAGCATCTGCAGGCGATGCCTGCCTCTCCCCGCCCCCATCCTGCACACACATCAGCCACAGTACCCTCACCAGGGCTCTGGCGTCAGACTGCAGGTCTTCTAACTTTGAGTTCCCACCACTCCTGCCTGCACATGCACAAGACAGGCTGACCCTCCCTCCCCAGTCCTAGGTCTGAAGTGATCTTTCCTAAGTGACTTGCCCTGGGAAACTACTCAGGGAAAGGGCTGTTCCTTATTGGGCCGGCAGCCACTCACCACCTCTGGCTTCATAGGCTCCATTTAGACACATGAATAGGTCCCAGAAAGGGCAGCTAGCGTCTACTAAATAACCCTCTTCCAGGGTAGGAGCAAGGTATGGACGGCAGGGGACTGAGTCACAGGTGCCCCAATGCCTGGCAGACAGTCCCAGCCATGTGGACCCTCCTGCACCCAGGAGAATGGGGTGACTCTGGGAGGGACATGGTTTGGGGATCAATCTTGAAAGATCACTCCCAAGCCCCACAGAAGTCAGAACCAACTTCTCTCACCGGACCTGTTGGCCAAGCTCCCATAAGAAGTGGGATGTTCCCATCATTGCAGTCTCTGTTCAGGTGTCCAGGGCACCCTAGCCCTGCAGTGACTGCAACCCATCTCCCCAGGGGCAGGGGCAGACACAGCTGAGCCTTGGGCTGGGCCTGGACAAACCAGGCCCATTAGTGTGACCGTCATCAGCACCCTGCCACTGTGGGGAAGTGGACCTACACTGATATTTCATGATCCTGCATCAATAACTCCTGGAGCCGCAGTGCATTTGTGCTGACCTTTTCGAGCAATGACTGATTCCTGTGGGGGAGCAGGAGGTGGGAGCGGCTGCTACTGTTGCTGACAGCCCCTGGCTGGGGAACAGAGGCAAGGCAGCCACTTGGTGGGTCTGTAGCAACGACCCGCAGCCCCGCCCTGTGCTGGGACCCTGCAGGGCTGCCTGCTGGGAGTTATGGGCCGATGGCCATCTCCCATCTCCCACCTTCTGGCCTTGGCAGATGCTGGGCCTCCCCCTGGAGTCTCTCCTCATTTCAGGCGTCCTCTGCACAGGGTGTGCTCAGTGCCACTCCACATTTTTGATTGTGCTGTTTTCCCATCCTGAAGACCTTTATCCCTCTCTTCACCCAGCCAGACCTTCCTTCAGAGCCTTTCTCTGGTTCTGCTTCCTTTAAGGAGGCTTTTCTGACCACCCATGGGAATATTTCATATAGCTCTCTTATTGGGCAGTGCTACAGTTAATACTGTCTTGTTTCATTGTTTAAATCATACCCATGTGTGTGCCCTAACTGCTGACCTAGGGTGCCATCAAGTCCCCCGAGTGCCCACTGGCCCACACTGCGGGCACACGGAGCCTCTGTAGTCTGCAGAGATGTCTTGGCCTCTGCAAGGGGCTGGGGAAACTGTGTGGGAAAGAGAGGGGCTGGTGACACAGACAGAGGTCATGTCTAACTTGGCATCTGTGACACCACCAGCCATGGGTGTGAACACAGATACAACACTTTAGGAAAACAGTTTACCAATAATGAATGAGGTGTCCTAAAATACACATGTCCTATAACCCAGCAATTCCATTTTAGGTAGTTGTACTAAGGAAGTAATTTGCGACATGAAGATATGTAGCAGAGAACGTTCAATGCAGTGTTATTACAGGGAAAAATGGGAAGGAAGAAATCAGGGCACTTGGACATGAACTTCATATCCTGAAGTTACTCAAGTCATGGGTAATGAGCTTTCTGTGACTTTGGATCTGCTTAGGTTTTACTGGCAAATGAAAAATGCAGGATGCTAGAATGGTGATTATACACAAAATATACACAGAAAAAAACTAGGAAGAAGCACAGTTTTATGAATTATTGTGTTTATCATAGGAACACAGGAGCTGTTTTTCTTCTTCCTATTTTTCTGCATTTTCCTAAATGTATTTATTAGGTGTGTGCTGCATTTATTTGTTTATTTATTTATTTATTTATTTTATTTATTTAGAGACGGAGTTTCGCTCTGTCACCCAGGCTGGAGTACAGTGGCGCAATCTCATCTCAGGGCAACCTCTGCCCCCCCGGGTTCAAGCAGTTCTCCTGCCTCAGCCTCCTGGGTAGCTGGGATTACAGGAGTCCCCCACCACACCTAGCTAATTTTTGTATTTTTAGTAGAGACAGGGTTTTGCCATGTTGGCCAGGCTGGTCTTGAACTCCTGACCTCAAGTGATCCACTTGCCTTGGCCTCCCGAAGTGCTGGAATTACAGGCGTGAGCCACTGTGCCCAGCCAGCTTGCTTTTATAGTTGGGAGAAACATTTGTGACAAATCTAGATACACAAAACCAAATATCTGTGTATGCCTTGATTTGGGAGAAGCTGTGGCCCCCACCACCTGCTCCTACCCTCTCCCTCCAGCTGTCCAAGCCTGGGGGACCCCCAGAGCAGCCCCTGTGGAATCAGTCCTTCCTCTTCCAAGGCCGAGATGGAGCTACCAGCTTCTCAGAAGACACAGCCCTGGTGCTGGAGTACTACTCCTCAACTTCAAGTACGTGACCCCTGGTGCCTCGCCAGGGCAGCCATGCCTCAGGAGATCTGTATTATGAAAGGGTGTTCAGACCATCCCACCTCTGCCTCCCACAGGGATGGATGGTTCCCAGGTGTCCAGGCGGCTTCCTAATGCAGGCAGAGGAGAGCTGGCTGCGTTCCTTGTCCACAGGCCAGGACACGTGGGCCTGTCCCATACTAGGTCTTGGCCCCAAGCTTTGTTTTATTGCACCCATCAGTGATGGGGGAGGGCTGGAGCCCTCGGAACTCACAGAGAGGGGTGAGGGAGATGGGCTTCAGAGACCAGCTGATCCACAGTTTTCTGCACTGTGGGATTGAAGCCCCCAAAGGGTAGAGATGAGGCTGATGTATATAAATTCCCAGACACACAGAGTATGTTTAGAGTTGGCTTTGAGTTCACAAAGCCCTGAAGATGAGAAGAGGATGTATGTGCAGGGAAAGGCCAGGAGGCAGGAAAGCAGGCAGCGGGAGACAGGAGGACTGGATGTCAGGTATTAAAGGATGGGGCCGAGGTGGGGGCTTTGGCAGGAGCCCTAGTTGATCCTTCCCCCACAGTGAAAGGCAGCCAGCCGTGGACCCTCAACCAGCCCCTGGGCATCTCTGTGTTGCCGCTAAAGAGCCGTTTGTACCAGAAGATGCTGACAGGGAAAGGCTTGGACGGGCTTCACGTGGAGCGGCTCCCCATCATGGTGAGCCCCCTGCCCTGAACTGGGCCCCTAGCGTGCCCACCTGGCCCCACCCTGCCTCACCCTGCCCCACCTCACCACACCTCCATAGGAGAATTTGGCTTCTCCAGAAGCTTCTGTCAAGGCACCCACCAGGGAAGTCACCCAGTCTAGAAGTGAGGAGCTCCCTGGAACCCCAGAAGCCAGTCTTGCCTCTGGGACTATGACGAACCAAGCCAGAGAAATTGCCCCTGAGCAACTTGGGAGACAAGTACAGGGTGACCCTGTGAGACAGTGCAAGAGTTCAGGCTTTCAGCCAGCCAGACCCTGATTTGAACCACAGTTCAAATCCTCACTGTGGAAATTCAGGCACATTACTGAACCACAAGAGTCCTCGTCTGTAACACAGGAGAAGCATGCCAAGTACACAATCTCTGTGTATAACAAGAGAGTTCAGAGCTCAGGCTCTAGAGCCAGACTGTCTGGGTCCAAATTCTGGTTCCACCACATACCAGCTAACATGACCATGGGAAAACTACTGAAAGTGTCAATGCCTCAGTTTCCTTGCCTATAAAATGGGTACATGGCAATAGCACTTTTTTCATAGGGTTGCTGTGAGATTTCATGAGAAAACCCATGGAAAGCACTTAGAGTAAGTTCTCAACAAGAATGAATAATATCGTTACCATCATTCTCTATTCCTATGCCACCATTTCCCCTAAAATACTTCTGGCCATCCTGACATAATAGACCTCAATGAATGAGAATCTCTCTGTCAGATGAGCCTGGTAGTGCCAGACAGGTCTCTAGAGGGGTTTAGAAGGGGTGGTGTGGAGGCAGTTTGCGAGGGCAAAAGCAGGAGGCCAGCTCCCACCTCCCTCCCACCCTCCTGGGTGCAGCCCGCAGGTGACACCTTCCAGAGAAATCTAGAACAGTAGGTGGGGCAGAGGCGGAAGCTGCCCTGGCCAGCATGGTCTGAGTGCTCCCTTTTCCTCCCCAGGACACCAGCCTGAAAACTATCAATGATGAGGCCCCCACAGTGGCTCTCTCCTTCCAGCTGCTTTCCTCTGAGGTAAGGCTGTGGGCCAGGGGAGGGTCAGGGCCAGCAGGCACATGTCAGTGAGATCCAACTTCCTTCACAATTGCTGGCTTTGTTCAGGGACTTCTGGGAGGATGGGACTACTACTTTGGATAGAAACGTCTAAGGGTGATTTGAGACTCCAGACAAACGTAGAGAGAGCTGGGATTAGGAAGAGGAGAGTTGTGAGCAGAGGGCCACCCAGACCTTGGAGTCAGCCTCTGACCAAGCCCAAGCCAAGTCTGGCTCACTGGGATCGAGGTTCTGCAAGGGTGAGCTAGGATATCAGTTTTCTATTGCTTTATAACCAAATTAGCAGCTTAAAACAATGCCCATTTATTAGCTGACACTTCTATATGTAGGTCCCATGACACAGGGTGGCTGGAATCAAGATGTTGGCAGGGTCACATTCCTTTCTGGGGATTATGGGGAGGAATCTGCTTCCAAATTCATTCAGGTGGCTGCCACAATCCAGTTCCCTGCAGTGCCGGACTCACATCCCGGTCTCCTTGCAGGCTGTCAGCCGGGGCAGCTCTCAGCTCCTGAAGGACGCCCACATGCCCCCTCACAATGGCCCCGTTCATCTTAAGCCAGCAGGCATGTCCAGTCCCTGTCACACCTCAAAACTCTGACTTCCTCTTCTGTCAGCAGCCACAGAAAACTTTTAGAGGTGCTTTTAGAGGGATTTTAGAGGGGCTGGTGTGATAAGGTCAGGCCATTCTAATCATCTTCCTATCTTAAAGTCAACGGTGCCATGTAACAAACATAATCCCAGGAGTGATCAGTCATCATATTCACGGGTTCCAAGAATGAGGGTGTAAAATCTTGGAGGCCCGTTTTTGGAATTCTGTCTACCACAGCTGGGTTGGTCCAAATGTGAAGACACCCAGGGCTAAGCCCTGCCTGCTGGATGAGCCTCGATCCCTCTCGCTAGCTACACCTGGTCTCAGCCCAGCTTAGACCCTGCTCATTTGGCTGCAGTGCACATGCCAGGCACCCGCTGGACTTTCCCTCTTTCCTCTCAGTGGTGCTGGGATGTGAGTAGTTTAGGACCATGAACCCAGAAAGTGTTTGCAGGGACTAATGTCCGCGCCAACCCACTCCTGCCTTCTTCCCACGCAGGAAAAATATCCACCAGCTCTGGGGTAGCACTTGGCTCTGTGACCTCACTCATGAAGAACACAGGGAATCCTATGGTGTGGGGTATGAGGAGTATATCTGGGTTGGTACCAGCCTGAAAGTGCCTTTACAAGGCCTCTGGAGAGGGCCTGAGACCCCATTAGCACTCCCTGCTATAGGTGTTCAGGATTGCCCTCTCAAGGGTAGAAGCAACAAACCCCAAGAAAGAGGCACCAGAATCTTGGAGAAAAAGGTCACAAACTTCCCAGTTTGGAGCCCAACCCTCCGGGGCCTCTTCCCAAGGTATAGAGTCTGCCTGTGGCCACTGGCCACTGCCAGCCCCTCCCCACCTCCCTCTGTCTCCTGCCCCTTCCACTGGGCATGTGTATCCTGGGACTAAAAGGAGCGTCAGGTGCCCCTGGTCAGGGGACTGACTAGTGGGCCCAGGCAGGCAACAGGCAGGTGGGCAGAACAGTTTCCCCATTGCCCAGGGGCTGGGCACAAAGGTCTCCAGTAATGAATTATTCACCGGAGCTGTGCTAAGTGCAGAATTAATCCCTTTCCTTCCAGCTGGCGGCCTCACTAAATTATCCCTCCAAGTCATGCGGGAAAATGCTGCCGAATTCATTTAGCTGCTGAGTGTTTTGATCTGGGCCTTGTGATTTTAGCGTCTCCTTCCCCCAACCCCCTCCCCCTGGAGGCGGGTAAAAAACCTTTTAGTAATGGATTTCTGAGAAGAAAGGAAAAGAAAGGGGATCAGGATTGGGTGTGTACCAAGAAAATAGTACTAGCAGAAATTCAGATTCTGCAGCCAAGAATTCACACACACACACACACACACACACCCCCTCTACATATACACTCTCAATCACGTGTGAATATCTACACACAGTCACAGACACACAGATGTGTGCGCACATACCTTGGCAAGAAGGATGCACACTCTTAACACATATGTACACGCTCTCACATACATGCAAACTGACACACAGATGTTTTCACACCTGCAGTGGCACACACGGAAGCTAAATCTCTTTGTAGTGGAACTATTTCTTGGTAAACTATCTGAGAATTGGCCAATAACTGACTCCCTTTGATTCTAGAATCTTGAAGACCAATTTAGGAGCCTAAGTATAAAGTGCTAATGTGGTTAAATTCACCATGAAGTCCTTGCAGCTGCAGCACCCATTCATTTATTCTTTTATTCCATGTATATTTGATGAGGAGTCACTGCATGTCAGGTAGCATGCAAGGCAAGAAGTAGAATTTTGGCTGCCATTGTGGATTGAAATGGGGAGAAGGAGGGGTTGGCAGCCATGGACCTCATTTTGATTTGAGCTCACACCTTCATTGGGCTTGGACATGGCTCTCTAGTGTCTGAGACCTTTTGGCATCCTTCTCCCTAAGGGATGGCAGGAAAGTGTTGAGAATTCATGAACAGGTCAGATGGCATTGCAGCTAAATCTAAAGGGGCCCATCCCCTTCTCCATCCCTCATCACCACCTTCACTGCAATACCATCATTGTTCTCTATGCAACTGCAAACATTTCTGAAGCACCCACATGAGCAATTGCTGTTCTGGATTTTAGGAATATTACACTGAAGAAGAAGAAGAAAAAAAAACAATCAGGCCCTGTCTTTCTAAAGCTTGCATTCTTAGCAGGGAGTATGGAACAGACAATAAAAAAATAATTCATGTCAGCTAATGATAAAGGGTCTGAGGAAACTCAAACAAGGTGACATGATACGGAGTCCTTGAAGGGGCTATTTGGACTCCTCATGGTAGCTGAGTACGGTGATGAGCTAAGCTGCTATAACAAAGAGATCAGGTTCCTGCCCCCTTATTGTTGCGCCTAAGGTGTTGCCTGCAACTTCATCATGGAAGGTACCTGGTATTCATCTCTGCATCCTAGACTTTGGGAAGGCAGCAGCAGGGCTGGGGCCATCAACTCTTCCACCCTTTAAATCAAATATTGCATAATGGGTCCAGAAGCCACCACCTGACACCTGGAGGTCTTAGAGTCCTGTGGACACTCCAGCTGCCGAGGCTTGTGATATTGGGCCTCTCAGGCCCCTCGTTCACATGGTCAACAACTCCATCCTAGGGGTAGCTCTTTGCATGTGGTCAGACATGGTCAGTGCTGTCACAGAGCGGAAATGCTTCAGGAGAAATGAATGCGCGTGCCGTATTTGGGCCCAGCCCCAGTCTGAGGACATAGGCTCTTTCCATGAGCCTCCATGTCCAGGAGTTTTGGGCACAGGCTGTCCTGGATAATTGGACATTTTGGTGAACACAGCTTCCCCACACCCGCCACTACCACGTCACCCATTCTCAGAGCTTTCAGAAGCAGCATGGTGAAATTTGCAAATAGGCAGAGACAGCAGTGGCCTCTCTCAACAGCCCACACTGGACAGCAATCTCCCTGGCAGCACGTGGTCATCCCAGTCTCTCCTCCTGTGCTGCCATGACAGACAGCTCACTACCTCCAGAAGCAGGCCTTCCTATGGCTGAGTGATAGAAATGGCCACCCCACATGATCTCAACCTGCCTCCTGGGGACCTCCCTCTGCCCCAAGCTCCTGGCTTTGCCCCCGAGGCTGCAGGGCGACCTCAGCAAGCCTCCTACATAGATCACATAGTCAGCCAACACTTTTGAGGGCAGACTAGATAACAAAGCCTGCAGACTCAGTGAATGGCAAGAGGTGGTGGTCTCTGGTTTGGAATATTGCACTTGAAGGTGGTTGGTTGGTGATGGGTTCGTTTTTCACCCTCTGGTAGGACTTCTCTAGTCATTTGCTGCTTAAAGTGATCTGCATTAAGATGGCTTGTGTGTGTAGGTGAGTACGTATATGAACACACACAGATCACACAAAAACTAGAAAAACATGTACACTCATATACAAAAACACATACACAGAAAACTTCCCTTTATTGCACATTCAGTGGGGACTGGCCTTTGAGGTCCATTAGGCTCTAAAAATCCATGAGTCTGGCTGGGTGCGGTGGCTCACGCCTGTAATCCCAAGACTTTAGGAGTCTGAGGCGGGCGGATCATGAGGTCAGGAATTCAAGACCAGCCTGGCCAACATGGTGAAACCCTGTCTCTACTAAAAATGCAAAAATTAGTTGGGTGTGGTGGTGGGTGCCTGTAATCCCAGCTACTTGGGAGGCTGAGGCAGGAGAATAACTTGAACCTGGGAGGTAGAGGTTGCAGTGAGCCAAGATCATGCCACTGCACTCCAGCCTGGACAACAGAGCAAGACTGTGTCTCAAAAACAAAAACAAACAAACAAAAAAACTCCATGAGCCTATGGCTACTCCACATACACACACACACAGAAACCTTTGGTCTCCTCCATTCCTCCTCTGATCTCAGCCTCTTCTCTTTGAAGAGTGTGATGTGGTCTCTGGGGAGTCTACACTTCCCCAGGCAAAGCAGCTTGGCTCTCTTAATGAACTGGTTTCGAGATCCCACAGCATCCTGGGTGCCCTCCAGCTTGCAGCCAGCCTCTTTGAAGTGAGGCCCACACTGCCCAGGTTTCCTGGGCTGACCTTGTGGATTGGAGCCTGGCATGCACACAGTAGGTGCTCACTGCATCAGTTCCTGCCTCTCTGCCTGGAAATGCACCTCCCCATGAGGTGGGACAAGTTCATGCCGTCATCTGGGTATACAGCAACATTTCTCCTCTTGCATTTAAGATTTGGGATCCATCACCTTGCCCAGATAGGGCACCAGGCAGAAGTAGGGCCTCTCAGATGGGTGGCCACACCCTCCTCAGCCCACAGCCCACAGACATGCTGGGATGACGTGAAACCCCCTGGCTTCCTGGGAGTATAGAGAGGGTGCATTTGAGGAGAGGTGGCAGTGGCACCTGCTGCCACCACTGAGGGGAGGGGCAGGTGCCATGGTCCCATCTGACCTTCCCCCTCCCTCTTCCCCTCATAGGGAGAGAGGGGGGCAAGTCTTTGATGCTACTCTGGTGGCTTCTTTTCAGACTAGTTACAAAGATCTCTCTGGAGACCAGCCCAGAGTGAGGACAAGTGGCCACTTAGCAAATATAGAGGAAAGGGCAGGGGACAGGCAGCATCATGCTGGCTTTTGAAGAATTTTTATGGATTTTTTGTAAGCCACACCTGACACCCCTGAGATGGTCCTTAGAGAAACTGCAACACAAACCTCCCTCCATTTCTTCCCCAAGCACAGCGGCCTGAATGGGCCAGTGCCCAGGGCAGCACAGCAGTCTCCTCCACTGGTTCTGCCCTCTGAAGGCTCTGTTCCCACCCCCAAGACTCCATCTGTGAAAACACTACCATAAGGATGGATCCAGAGAGAGAGACCCTTTCCCTGCCACTATCTCACACCATCCCTCACTGCCCTCCTTTCCACACCCAAAGCCTCTGCCCTCCTATCCTCTCATTGCCTCAGGTCATTTGGCAGGAGGCAGAGGAGACAGATCCACCCCTTACCCACAGGTGCCCTTTCCCTCACCTGCTCAGGTTCTAGGTCCAGTGTAGAGCTCTTCCCATCCCATCCAAAGAAAACTTAGAGCTGGGCGTGGTGGCTCTGGAGAGATTAAATCTGTATACCTGTAATCCCAGCACTTTGGGAGGCCGAGGTGGGCAGATCACCTGAGGTCAGGAGTTTGAGACCAGCCTGGCCAACATGGAGAAACCCCGTCTTTACTAAAAATACAAAAATTAGCTGGGCTTGGTGGCAGGAGCCTGTAATCCCAGCTACTGGGAGGCGGAGGTTGCAGTGAGCCGAGATCACACCACTGCACTCCAGCCTGGGCGACAGAGCAAGACTGTCTCTAAAAACAGAAAACAAACAAATCAAAGGAAGCTTAGGATGGGGCAGGAGAGACATGAGAGTCTGTGCTTTCACAAGGCCAACCTGGCCCCCAGGTCACAGACTCTGTGTCGGAGCAGGGCTGGCCATCCCACCTCTCCTCCTGCGCTGCCATGACGGAGGCTCCTACCTGCTTTCCACAATGCCTGAATCCCCCTATAGTGTTCCCTGCCTTGGGGACAATATTGGCCTCCCTTGGTGATCATGCAACTCCCATGCTGCCCACTTCAGAGAGAAGGAACTGAACAGTCCCTCCAGAACACACACAGAGTTTGACAGACTCTACTTGGTCATTTCCCGACAGAGAGTTCATTACCACCCAGGATGCCCTCTCCATCCTCTACTAGCTCCCTTCTAAACTTCCTTCTGTCTCTCTTCAATTTCCTCCCCCTGGCCCTGCCTTTTCCTCCCAGAGGCCAACTCCAGAGAAGTCAGGGCCTGTCAGCCCTACTGACATTTGCAAACTATTTATGGCATCTCCAGCCTGAACCCACTCTCATTCCTCTTCCTCTTTGTAGCACTTGGTTTCTGATTCTTGTCCTGCTGATTGTCTCCTCTTGACAACATTCCTGTTAAAGTATCCCCCAAAACTGTGGGGCCCAATCAGCATTAGAGGTAGAGTAGGAACATCACTCCCTCTCTCTGAATACATTCTCCCCTTTGGTGCAGCTGAAGCCTAGCTTTGGTTCTATTTTAGTATTTATCAAAGCAGTGAGGGTCTGTTTAGAGCCAGAGTCCAACTCTGGCACATCAGTAAGCAGCATGTCTGCATCTTGCCTCCCTGCTGTTCTATACTGAACTTAGACAGGGTTTCTCTCCCCTGTGGTATTTCACCTTTTTTATCTCAGCCCATCTTCTAAGCTTGAGATCATTCTGGACCCTGATTTTATCATGCAACACACTCACAGCCCCATCTGTACCCCCAACCCCAAGCTCCAGGTCATCTGTGGAGGTGGCCAAGACACTTGAAGTGCTGCAATGTCCACCTTGTAAGCCTGTAGACCTGGGCTTGAATCTGGATCTTCCATTTGATCTTAGCCATCCTGAGTTTCACTGTTCTCATCCATAAAAGGGGATTGTAATCCCTACCAGCCAGGAACATAGTGAAGATTGAATGAGGAAGCATGTGCAGGTAACCTAGCACAGTGTCCTGCAGATGCTCGGTAAAGGGATCTCTTAGTGTCTTTCACCCAGGTTTCTGACAAACATGCTGAACTCATCAGGGATGAGGACAGGGCTCCTGGGGGAGGGGAGTTGGTGGAGCCCTGCGAACCCATCACTCGGTGCCCGCCCCTCATGACAGCTGCTCCACCAGCTTCGCATCCATAAGGACATCAGGAGGCCTTGTCAGGTGCTGAAGATAAACATCGCCAGCACCACATTTGGTCTCGCTGCAATTTTCTGAGAATGAAATGGGGGAAGAGACAGACAACCATCTCTCCAGAAGCCAGACTTGCTGAAGTCCTCAATGTACCCTGCCCTGAGTTGGGGGCTGTGGAGCCTAGGAGCTCCCAGGCCAGAATGGGAAGGGCTGGATGGAGAGGCATACTGCTTCCAATTGCTAGTCATTCAGAAGACCTGCTTTAGCTCATCTCAAATGTCTCACCAGGCTGGGCCTAGTGGCTCATGCCCATAATCCCAACACTTTGGGAGGCCAAGGTGGACAGATCACTTGAGCTCAGGAGTTCGAGACCAGCCCGGGCAACATGGCAAAACCCCATCTCCACTAAAAATGCAAAAATTAGCCAGGCATCGTGTTGTGCACCTGTAGTCCTAGCTACTTGGGGGCGTTGAGGCAGGAGGATTGCTTGAACCTGGGAGGTTGAGGCTGCAATGAGCTGAGATGGTGCCACTTGGGGGTGCTGGGGCAGGAGGATTGCTTGAACTTGGGAGATTGAGTCTACAGTGAGCTGAGATGGTGCCACTACACCCCAGCCTGGGCAACAGAGTGAGAACCTTTGTCTATTTATTTTTTTAAATGCCTCACCAACCACAGAACCTAGTGTTGCCTTGAGAATGTGAGCCTACAACTCCCAGCTGCAGATGGTGTGTATTAAGTCAGAATGCAGAGATGACTGAGAAAACTGGACATTGAACACTCCCTTCCCTTGCTCTGCTCTCCCTGTGAGCCCAGTGCATAATTGGTAGATTGAAGAAGGGGGAGGGAAGGAATAGAGAGAGACATGGCAGAAGCTTCTAGACAAAACTTCTCAGAAAATGGGAGTTGGTCTTGGGATTTCCCCCCTTCTGAAAACCCAACCACCTTAGTATAGACCTCCCTTCAGTGCTTTCAGCCAAGATGTATCTCTGGCCCAGCCAAGGTCATTCATTCATTAACCATTTGTTAGGTTTCTTTTCCTTTTTTTTTTTTTGAGATGGAGTCCTGACCTGTTGCCCAGGCTGGAGCACAATAGCATGATCTCGGCTCACTTCAACCTCCGCCTCCTGGGTTCAAACGATTCTCCTGCCTTAGTCTCCCCAGTAGCTGGGATTACAGGTGCCCGCCACCATGCCCAGCTAACTGTTGTATTTTTAGTAGAGATGGGGTTTCACCATGTTGGCCAGGCTGGTCTCAAACTCCTGACCTCACGATCCACCTGCCTTGGCTTCCCAAAGCCATTTATTAGATTTCTAACCTGTGCCAAGCAGTAAAGCACCCCAACAGATCACTATCACCCATCTTACTAAGGGTCCTGGTTGAGATTGGTGCATTGAATATACAGAGGTCAGGGCAAGCATCACAGAAAGGCATGGTTTGAGCTCTGTTCCAAATAGTGGGTTGGAAATTGGCAAAGCAAGGGTGCTTCAGGCAAAGGGACCCCCATGTGCAAAGGCATGGAGGCATGACAGTGTCTGGAGCACATGACATATGAGAACTGTAATGGGCAGTGAGACTAGAAAGCTAGAAGAAGTCTAGATTGTAGAGGACCTGGGTGCTAGGGTGCAGGGTGAGGGCTTTATCATAAAGTGGTAGGAAACTAAGAAAGGTCTTGGAGCAGCAGTAGGATGTGATTTCATCTGTGTTGGAAAGGTCTGTCTGCATGAGAATAGGGGAAACCCAAGGGAAAAAAATAAATTCAGAAAGCCAGGTTTCAGGGTAACAAGAGTGAGCCCACAGTCAAACCACTGAGCCACAGGCAGGACTTTCATACTAAAATCCCCAACAGAATTTTTAAAAATTCTTATCAGTGGCACCCCTCCTCTGGCCTCAAAATGTGCTTTGGGATTAACCCTCTAACACCACTTCTGGCAAATGAATCATGGCCCCACCAAGGATTAACACTGGGGCCCTTCTTGGCTGGGAGACAGACCCGGAGCTTCAAACCCCACTGCAGCTGCAAGAGCACGCAGGATGCCATAAATGAGGCTCGCTGTATGCAGGGGAGGCAGCAAGCCCTCTTGGAGGGGCCTGTTGTCTGAGCTTCGCCTACAGCTGAAGAGATAAGAACCTACAACTGCAGCCACAGGAAATGACAAAGCAGTGACTGATCGGGGAACTGCTGCACAGGGCTCATTATGGCGCTTGCCAGTGGGCGAGACACCCTTATCAGGGAGAAAATTGCATCAGGCCTCCTGAATTACTAGCGATTGGAAGCAGATTTCTTGGGACTCACTTTGTTAGATACCTAATGAGCGGGATACAGGCGGGCAGAGCCCAAAGCCAGCGGGGCGAGGGACAAATGTCTTTGTTAAACAGAATTTGTCAGTTTCCGCTTCAGGCCCCCTGGGGAGGGTTCAGGGCCAGCTAATTGAATTAAGAGCATGTGCGCTCCAGCAAGAAGGCTCAGGGCGGGGCGAGAGGCAGGCAGGCCGGAAGGCGGGCACTTTCAGCACCAAGGACAGCAGCTGCAGCCTGGCTAGTCAGTAATTGTGGGGCAGGCTGGAACTGCTGCATTTTGCATGATTGGGGATCTAGGGGATGGAATGGGTAGGAGGAAGGCAGAGGATGTTGTGGGGAGGAGGGAGACAGGTGACCTAAGAAGCCTCAAGCCTGTGATGCCATTGGCCTGGTCTGTCTCAACAGACCCAACTCTGCTAACAACAGTGAGTGCTGGGAGGAGTGAGGAAGGGATGTCTTCTCCCCAACCATGGCACTCACATGTGGTGTGGGCAGCTGCAACAACACAGGGAGCAGTGAGCTGAATGCTGGGTCTGAGCTAGTGCGTGGCCATGCATCTCTTTGAGCTTTCAAAGTCAATCTCCAATTATAGTCTTAATGAACCAGGATGTGCTGCAGCCACGAAGCCATGGGGACAGGGGCCACTTGTCAGCCCCAAGCTGCCCCAGCAGGCAGAGCAAGGCTTGTCAAATACAGAAGCAAATAAGTAGGCTTGTGGGGTGGGCCAGCAGCCCCCACCTTACCTGGAGGAAAGGAGAGCGAGGCAAGGCTGGGCTTGATTAGGAGGAGTTAGTCTTGGGAGGAGTTAGTCTCCAAGGCTCTTCCCATCCTCCACCCTGACTCACCATCTCCTATGGGTTGGCTCTTTCTATGGTCTCGAGCAGCCTGGCCCTCTCTATGGTCTCAGGCAAGCTCCCTTCCTTGAGAAGCAAGGGGCTGAGGGCATAATTTCCTTCCCCAAATGTGAGCTGATTGAAGCTGTGGAGTCTGGAGAGGCAATGCTGACCCTAAAGAAGGAGAACTATTAGGGAGAATTTAGACATGATGGATCTCTTGGTGCCCGTCACCTCACATGACAAAAGCAACTCCCTCTGATGTGCCCTGCGGGATCTGTGCTGTTTGGAGGTCTAAAGATTTCACTATAAAATTCACCTCTCCACCTTGCCTCCAAATCCCAGGCCAGGATGGATCCTGGCAAAGTTGAATGGGACAGGGGAATGGGAATGTGGGCAGAGACCTGCAGGCTGGGGAGGTACAGGCATGGAGCAGCCATGGGAGCAGATCCTGGCCAGGGCCAGCCCCAGGGTAGGGCAGGACAGAATCATTGAGTCTGGCAGGCACTACAGGAAGGGTGGCTGGAGCAGGAATGGGCAGGATAGACTTAAAGTCCATAGGTACTCTGCCTTGCCTGCCCTCCTTCCCCGAGCCCACCCCCACCTCACCCCATAAGAGACTGATGGGGTAAAGGCACTGGTCTGGACTGAGGGGTTGTTCCCACCTTTATTTTAGCTTTGTGATGAAATTAAATGGATTATACATGGTAAATTTCAGAATCCACATACAAGTACCTGGTGAGTGCCCAGCTCTGACCAGGGGCTCAGTAAATGTCAGCTCTGGGTTATTGCATTGACCCATCTGGTGCTGGGGCCACACTGAGTGGATGTCAGGGAGACAGGCTATGGGGGAGGGAACTCCTTTGCAATTGTCCCTGCTTTCAGTACTGATGGGGGCACCTCTGGAGACCTCTCCCTTGATTTCATTACTTCTACTTCCTCTCCTAACTGGATTAGATGGCAGTCTATGAAATCCAGGGCATAGAGATTGGCTTTCTGCCTGGAAATGAGCAGAAATGTCATTATAGGTCCTGAATCAGCATCTCACCACAGCCCCAGGGGCCACCTGGTCAATGGGAAGGTGGTCTTTGCCCTGTATTTATGCTTTCCTTCATTCTCTCCTGCATTCATCCATCCATTCATCCACCCACTCATTCATCCATCCATCCAATATGCATTTTGTAGCTCTTCCTCTGCAGTCAATCTAGTGTTCAGCTGTTCCGAGAAAGAGACAGATGTGGTACTTTTTCCTATCTAAAACACATGGCCAGAAAACCCTAAACCATCTGACTCAGATGCTACCCTGGGTGTCTTCACGTCAGTGGGGAGCCTCCAAGTGAAGCCTGCCCTCTGTGAGCCATAGCTACTGAGAGGACCAGGTGGGAGAGAGAGCCAGGCCTGATGCCCACAGACAAAACAGGCCCAGGAGTCTTGGTCATGAAGTGCAGTAGGTGGCCTGCCAAAGTCAGCCTCGGGGTCCCCCAGTGTCCCACTCTTCCCATTCCAAGAGTCTTATTATAGCTGCTTTCTCTTTGGCGTTGTCTATTTTGCACCCATTTGATGGGGAGTTGGGGGACATAGAGCCCAGACTTAGCCAAATGCCTCTGTGTACTTATGTGACTGTCCCTTACTCTATAGACATGGCCAGAAACATCTTCACATTAATGAATTTCTGCACAGCAAATTTTATTTGAAAGGGGCATAAAAGAATAATTACTTAAAGAATTTCAGTGGTAAAGTGAAGGGTCCTTGTCTCAATTCATTGAATTAGTATGCATGGACTTTCCTATAGAAGAACCACTTTAAAAGAGGCCCACCTGCATTCATTCCCTCTCTGGTTGTTCAGGGTCAAACACCTGGGCACCTCTAACTCTGAGCGCATCTGTACTGGTTGGCAGTGTGCCCATTGCTCTATTTATTTCTAGCACAAGACTCCAGACAGTGGAATAATTTGTCTGCTATGCAGCCAAGAGAGGATTCCAACAGCTGGTGCAGGGTGGAACTGGCTCACTTTTGAGGTCCCTGAAAACCCTAGGACTGCATGATTCTTTGAACAATGAGTATGTTTTAGAGATAACCATGAATTTCCAACAGGGCTTTAAAGTAACCCTTCCCCAAAGGGAGCACAGACATGTCCCTAAGCCCAAGGAACTTAAAATTTTATTTAAAAAAAAAAAACAAAAAAAAAGCAGCCAGGCACAGTGGCTCACGCCTGTAATCCCAGCACTTTGGGAGGCCAAGGTGGGCAGATCACAAGGTCAAGAGTTCGAGACCAGCCTGGCCAATATGGTGAAACCCCATCTCTACTAAAAATACACAAAATTAGCCAGGTGTGGTGGCGGATGCCTGTAGTCCCAGCTACTCAGGAGGCTAAGGCAGGAGAATTACTTGAACTCAGGAGGTGGAGGTTGCAGTGAGCCGATATCATGGCACTGCACTCCAGCCCGGGCAAGAGAGCAAGACTCTGTCTCAAAAAAAAAAAAAAGAAAAAAAAATAGCAGGCAAGTCTGGAATTAGCAACATGAAAGCACAGACAGCCAACTGCTAGACCAGAAGAACCCAGAAAACCTACAAGTCAGTGTGAGCTGAGACATCAAGTCATCCTTGGGCGGTGGGGGTGCTGGTATTTGAGTGGCATCAGACTTTAGACATATGACAGTGATAATCCTGCCAAGGGAGAAGGAGGAGAACGGGAAAAGAACATGGAGGGAGACGAAGGCTCATCAGAATATACAGAGAGGAGAGACTGTCTGCTTAATGGGTGGTAAGATTGAAGGATGATAGAGGAGATGAAATGGAAAATAGGTCTACATAGCAAAGGGTGTCAAAAGAGTGTAGGATTTTAGAAGCTGTTGTTACTGCACCAAGTGTGGGTGCCAGAGATGGCATAATTCATTTATTCTTCCACCAAAAATGTATTGAGTGCCTACAATGAGCCAGAGACTAGGGATAGACAAGGTTCCTTGCTGACATGGGACTCACATCCTAGCATGGGCATTTGCAGAAGGAAGGCAGTTAAGAAGTAAATGCATTTTTAAATTTTCTGGTAGAGTAGGTGCTATGAACACAGTAAAATGGGATAAATGAATAGAGAGTATATTGGAAGTGGGATTACTTTAGATAGAGTGGGCCTCTATCTCAAAGTGTAGGGACCCTCTGAGCAGATCACATCTGGGCTGAGACTTGAATGATAAGAAGGAGACAGCTGCGTAAGGATCCCTGAGGACCTCCAGGAAGAGAACAGCAAATGCAAAGGCCCTGAGGCAGGAGCGAGCTTGGCTTGTTGGAGGAACAGCAAGGGCCATGTATTTGGGACCCGGTGAGCAAGGGGCAGATGGTAGGAGGTGTGCACGGGCCAGCCATGCAGGGCCTCCTGAGCCATGAGGAGGAGAGGCTTGGGGTGTAGATGGTGTGCTTATGGTAGATGGGCACAGAGAAGGGGCCTGTCCTGAAGTTTCTCTGCACCTTCTCTTCTCAGAGACCAGAAAACTTCTTGACACCAAACAACAGCAAGGCTCTTCCTACCTTGGACCCCAAGATCCTGGATAAGAAGCTGAGAACCATCCAAGAGTCCTGGTCCAAGGACACAGTGAGCTCCACAATGGACTTGAGCACGTCCACTCCACGAGAAGCAGAGGAGGAACCTCTGGTGCCTGAGATGTCCCATGACACAGTGAGTGTCTCTCCCCAGGTGGGAAGGGCCGGGGCAGTGATGAGGCCATGGGAAGGGGACTTGACTGCCATCTGCAGGACTGCTTCATGCCTCAGGTGGCCAGTAGACCTCCCTCCCCTTAGGCACACTCTGCATGTGAGTTACCCCAAAGTCAAACTGCTGGGCGCTGTGGCTTCTTCGTTTGCAGGGTCTCTTCACCTTTTGAGTGGAACTCCCGTGTAATTTCTTTCAAAACAAACCCATGCAACACTTGTAAGCCAGGGTTCCATTTATGTGTGTAGGCATCAACTCAGAACTTCCTGAGGTGCATGGCCACTGGGTAGTGGGAAACACCTTTAAGAGATTCATTTTAGCTTATAACAGGAGAAACTGGGGCTCAAAAAAAGAGGACACCAGCTGGGCACGGTGGCTCACACCTGTAATCTCAGCACTTTGGGAGGCCAAGGCGGGCGGGTCACCCGAGGTCGGGAGTTCGAGACCAGCCTGACCTACATGGAAAAACCCCGTCTCTACTAAAAAAATACAAAATTAGCCAGACGTGGTGGTGCATGGCTGTAATTCCAGCTACTCGGGAGGCTGAGGCGGGAGAATCACTTGAACCTGGGAGGTGGAGGTTGCGGTGAGCCAAGATTGTGCCATTGCACTCCAGCCTGGGCAACAAGAGTGAAACTCCATCTCAAAAAATAATAATAATAATAATAAAAGAGGACACCAATTCTGGTGACATAGTCTGTGTCCTTGATCATGGGAGCTGCTGTGTTTTCCTGTTGCTGGTTGAGCAGATGCTCAGGAAGGGCTGGTGGAGGTGGCCAAAGTGACATCCTAATTTGCTGAGGAGTCAGTGCTGGGTTTCAGCCCTCGATGCAGAGAGCTAAAGAATGGGCTACCAAAGAGACAGTCCAGGGAGGTGCTACCCAGTAACCATGGCTGAATTATTGGGTAGCTTCCTCCCTTCTTCCACAGCGGGTCCCATGGGGAACGCTGCTCTGGAAGATCTTGAGAAAAGGCCCCAGACAAGGCCACCAGTCCACAGGGAAGTCCAAGCCATCCTCCTCCCAGGACCTGACCTCCTCCACCAACAGCCTCCTCATCTTCCCCTGGCACTTCTGCACCTTTCTGGAACATGTCCCATCAGACGAATAGGAAGGCTGGCTGTCTGCTGGGCATGCCCAGGGTTCTTCCACATGAGCACCCCTGCCCACCCTGGAGCAGGGCCATCCTGCTCAGGCACCACAGCACTTATGGGCCATCTTTACAATTTTCTCCCGTCACCTCTGGCCCTTGGGGAAAGAGCCCTTGGGATTAACATCCAGCTCAGTCATAAACTGCATTGAAAATAAAGAAACCCTGTCTTTGGAGATTTGGGGCAGCATGAATAAACCACTTGCTCCTGCCCTCTCCACATCCTGGCCTCGTGGTTCCCCCTTCTTGTGCCTCTAAGCAGAGGTAGTAAAGGAAAGAGAGGCCAGGTGCATGGCCTGCATCTGTAATCTCACTACTTGGGCAGGCCGAGGTGGGAGGATCGCTTGAGCCCAGAAGTTTGAGACCAGCCCTGGCAACATAATGAGATCCTATCTCTACAAAAAATTCAAAAAATTAGCTGGACTTGTTGGTGCACGTCTGTAGTCTCAGCTACTCAGGAACCTGAGGCAGGAGGATCACTTGAGCCTGGGAGGTCAAGGTTGCAGTGAGCTATGATCGTGCTACTGTACTCCAGCTTGGGTGACAGAGCAACACCCTGTCTCAAGAGAAAAACAAAATAAAAGAAAAAACAGGCCAGGAAAGAAAGAAGAGGGAAGGTGCCATCATGGGGAAAGGCACATGGGAAGGGAAGAGAAAGAAGGCATCCCTCCCTGGTCTCAGCCCTGTGGAGGGCTCAGAGCAACCTCTCCTGCTCAGCTGCCCCGGAGGGGCCAACCAGCCAACCCTCTGCCCTCCCCAAGCTAAGCCTCCACCTTCCCCCAAGGATGCAGACCTCAGCCCCTGACTCACACCACCTCTAGAAGCAGGAACCACAAGCACCTCCTGGCTGGACAAGCCTCTCACATCAGCCATCTGGGCACTGACATAGCACAACCAAGGAGGGGGAAGTACCCAGCCCTGCTCCTAGTACTGGGCATGGCAGGCAGTCCTTCGTTTGGAGTCTGCTGGGTAAAGCATCCAAGGTCTGAACTGAGGTCATTAGGTCTGAGAGTCTTTGAGAGAAACCAGATACAGATGTCTTAATACCATGGATTTGTCTGTGGGAAGTGAGACACAAATTGCTGGGGTGGGTTGGGTTGGAGTCTGCACTGTACTTATAAAACTTGATGATGATGATGATGGTGGTGGTGATGATGGTGATGATGATGGTGGAGGAGGAGCAGAGAGGAAAAAATAGAGTGGAGGAAGAAATGGCCTTTAAATATAGAATGGATCTGAGAGGTAGGCAATATAAACAATGTTTTCAACATCTGAAAGAATATTAGAATAACATGGGTAGAGGGCCAGTCTTGATTTTCTCTTAAGAATTAAACCAAAAGAGATGGGACCAGATTGCAGCTTGAGAAGTCAAGGTTAGCCATTAGGAGGAAGTGTTTTTTGGTTTTTTGTTTGTTTGTTTGTTTTCGAGATGGAGTTTCGCTCTTGTTATCCAGGCTGGAGTGCAATGGTGCGATCTCAGCTCACCACAACATCCGCCTCCCGGGTTCAAGAGATTCTCCTGCCTCAGTCTCTCAAGTAGCTGGGATTACAGGCATTCGACACCCTGGCTAATTCTGCCTTTTTTTTTTTTTTTTTTTTTTGAGACTGAGTCTCACTCTGTCACCAGCCTGGAGTGCAGTGGTACCATCTCAGCTCATTGCAACCTCCGCCTCCCGGGTTCAAGCGATTCTCCTTCCTCAGCCTCTTGAGTAGCTGGGATTACAGGCGGGCGCCACCACGCCCGGCTAATTTTTGTATTTTTAGTAGAGACGGGCTTTCACTATGTTGGCCAGGATAGTCCCAAGCTCTTAACCTTGTGATCTGCCCGCCTTGGCCTCCCAAAGTGCTGAGATTACAGACCTGAGCCACCACACCCAGCCAGGAGGAGGTGTTTTTGAGCAACAGTAACCATTGTGAGCGACAGAGGAGTAGGCAGAGAAAGAAGCAGCCTGAGCATGCTAGGCCGGGATTCTGGGAGGCTCTGAGTGATACCCCATACCCACAGACTGCAGAGGTGTTGTGAGCTGGGTCTGATGGAGAACTCACTCAAGCATGCCCACCCTGGGCATCACCCTCAGCACTCCCATCAGTGGCTCATTCACCCGGAGAGAGTGTTCCTGGTCCCTCTACCCTCCCTCTTGCTGGACACCTGGTGAGGCCTTAAGGACTGGCTGCTAGCCCTGGTTTGCTATCGGGTTAGGGCCACTCAGCCACCACCATCCAGTCCTTGAACTAAAGAACACACTGACTTACTCGCCTCTGGGCTCCAGAGCCCTGCCCAGGCCTGGTCCAAGACAGATGTTGGTAAATGCTTTTTGGGCAATGGAATAGAGAACCCCTGGCTGGACAGCAAGAGAATCAGAAAGAACCTTAGAAAGTATCTAGACTGATCCTCTCATTTTACAAAGGGTGGCAATGAGGTGGCCCAGGGATGGGCAGGAATGGGCCTGCCCAAAGCTTCCTGACATGGCAATCTCATGCCACCTTGCATCCAGCCAAGGAAATACTGGACACTACAGAGGCCTGTATGCTCAGTCAACCTGGCACCATCGGGTCCCCCAGAGACTCATAGAGTATCCAGGGCAGTGGGTATGCCCCTCTCCCTTACCCATCCCACTCTGTTCCAGGCACGCCATCCCTCCTTGTTCCTGACTCTTGACTACGTCCTTGTTTATCCTCTCACCTCTGGTTCGGTCTCCCAACTCATCATTTCTCTCTCTCACTCCCTCTCTCACTCACCTTCTCGCTCTCACTCTCTCGCTCTCCTCAGATTTACCAGGCTGGCTATTTCTACTTCTGACACTTTGCCCTAGTTGGGGCCTAGAGACCCAGCCCCCAGCCCCAGCTCCTACCCACTGGCCAGTGCCCAGAAGGATCATGGCAGGACCCAGACACACATGTTCACGTGGCCAGTAGATCCCAGTTACAGGCAGTAGAACGTGGGTGAGTAGCAACAGTGTACGGCTCCATGACAAGCACAGGTAGCCTAGCTGTGTAGCAATGGGTCACTCTTCCATAGCAACCAAACAAAATTACATAGCAATGGATGAACTCAAGCGACCATGAGGCACAGTGACAAGCAATCGAACGTGGCCGCGGAGCAGTGGAGTGTCGTTGCATAACAATAGACCCAGCCGTAGAAGCATGTCACACAGCCCTGCACCGCAGGAGGGTGCAATCACGGGAATGAGTACGGAGCACAGTGTGGAAGACGTGGGCAGACATACAGAGTAGTAGCACTGGGACACAACTGAGTAGCAATGGCACGGTCACAGTGTGTGTGGCTCCTGGACATGCGGCCAGGGAGCGGTGGCCGGCAGCAGGTCCCAGGGCTGGAGCAGCAGGCGCCAGCGACATGGCAGTGGTTGAGTTGTAGTCAAATGAAGAACCGCCTCCCTCACGCTGGGCCGTTGTCTCCGGCTGAGCCTCTTGGCCTCCCCTGATTTCAGGAGTGTGTTTGTCTATATCCAGTCTCATCATGCATTCCCCGGAGCCCAAAAAACAATTTTATCTCTGATTCCCTTCAGATCCGACTTCAGCTTAATAGGAAATTGAACATTTTCTGGAGAGAAAAGCGCTCTGGGAATAGATGAGAGTGGAGAAGAGGAGGTCTATGCCTCTCTGTGCAATGCTGCCTGCTGCCCCTGGCCCTGCCTGTCCCATCCCCATGGCTCACTAAGCCCACTGTGGCTCCCTGTCCCTGGATGTGCCCTTGATCTACCTCATTCCCAGACTGCAACCCAACCATTTCTTCTCACCTTGGAACACTTCGTTTTGATGCAGGCCTTTCAAGTTCCATTTGGTCAACATGGTACAAAACTCTGGTCCTGGGTGGGCCCATCAAGGTCAAGGTCCCATGGGTATGGTCTTGGGTCAAGTGTAGGGCCTCAGGCAGAGGTAGAGGAAGCCTTATCTCCCGTCTGAGTAGCTCAGGAAGCCATTGGGAAGAGGTGAGCCTTTAAGTGAGTGTGAAGAGTGAGGTGTTAAGGTTCATCCTGAACATGGCAACTCCCCAAATAGTCAACAGCCTGCAAGCATCTGCCCTCCACTCTCTGGGCACCCTGAGCCCATCTCACACGGAGCCAGGCCATGCCTCCTGACGCCAGGAGGGGAGCAGGTAAGGCGAGGGGGCTCTATGCCACCTCTAGATGGACCGACTTCCTCCACAAAGGGCTTCTGAAACACCTGCCATGTGCCTGGACTCCCCATTCCTCCAGCCTGTCAGAAAACCAGAACTCTCCACCCTGCCATGTGCCCAGCCCTGTGTCCAGCTGGGGCAGGGACATGGGGACAAAGAGGCCAAGGACCTCAGCTCTGAGAATTCCCCAGTGGACAGGAGCAAGCCATACCCGGGGAGACGATTAGTGGCACAGAGTAGGCACACAGTAAATATTTGGTGGGGGATGAACAGGCAAAGGAGGGGCATGGTTGGGACAATGTAGCTTTTTAACTGCCACACTTACCCAGCACTCCTGGACACACCTAGTGAGCCCTTAGTGAATGAGAGAGAGCTGGGGAGGTGGTGGATAGGGGGAGAGGCAGGCAAGGAAGTCTTCCTGGAGGAGGCAGACTATGCTTTGGATAAAGAAAGGCAGATGTGCTCATTTACTATGGAAGAATTGTGTATTCAGTGTTGTTTCCAGCACAGAAATTCAAGCACAGGGTTGCTTCCCTCCTCTTCCTGTCTCTCTCCCTGTCTCTCCTGCTCTCTCTCGCTCTCTCTCTTTTTCTCCCTCCCCCCTCTCTCTCTCCACCTCTCTCTCCTTCTCTCTCTCTCTGCCTCCTCTGTTTCCCTCCCTCCTTCTGCCTTGCTCAGAGGAGATTTGTGGCAGACCAGAGGGCCCTCATACCAGGAGATGAATAATTGACAAGGGTTGTTAAAAGATTCAGTGGAGTTTTTCCAACCTCCTTACACTGGAATAACTCATTTCTTTCATTCTGTTTTTGAAAGCCTTTCCCCCTCCCTCCACCTGTCTCCTCCACATCCCCGCCCCCTCTGAGCATACCGCTTTTGTTTCTCTTCCTTTCTTGAGTCTGCTGGACCCTAGAATGATTCGGCCTTAATCCCTCGGTTTCTCTAAATCCCCTTCCCCAGCTGTCCCCACCCCACTTGCCGTGCTCCGGAGGTGTAGGTTGACTTCAGCAGAGACAGCCCCAGATCATGAGTGCAGAGAGGAAGGAGGACCAGGGAAGCTGTGGCCTCTCCCAAGTCCCAGTGTGCCAGAGGTGGGCTCGGTCCTCAGAAAGGCAAGCCTCCCAGCACAGGGACCCCTTTCCTCGCAGGCAGGCGGAGGGGTGCTCTGGGGACGCTGGGTGACCATGTGCCTTGGTTTCTCCATCTTAGCATGCTGCTTACCCTACCCTACCTGCCTCTCAGGATCAGATGGGAGAGGTGAGGCCCCCCAGAAAGGGCGGCTGGCCGTGTAGCAGAGACACCCTGAGCCTAGTCCTTTCTGTCCGGCTGGCATGGCCCTGGGGTGACCACCCATCCCTGTCTGTCCAGGACTGACGGGTTTCCAGACTATGAGGTGTTCAGTGCTTAAACCAAGACAGTCCTAGGCAAACCTGGATGGGGGCCACCCTACATGGCACAGAAACCTCCCCTGTCCCAGGTCTGCCCCACTGGAGGTTGCCACACTCTCTACCCTGTCAGCCTCCCTCATCCACAGGGCATACTCCCCCTGCCCAGTCTGGCCCAGCTCCGTGCTGTCCATGCACTCATAGTGCTCCCACTGCTCCTGCAAGTGACCTTGACCTTCCTTCCCTTCTCTGGGCCCCAGTTCCTGCCTCTGACAGCACAGGCGGTTGGAGCAGATGTTCCTGAGTGCCCTGAGGCTCCTGCACTGTGGCTGCAGCCTTGGTCCTGCCCCCAGACCCACACCCAGGATGGGGTCTGCAGCCTGGTGAGGCCGACAGCAGAGCAGTCAGACCCGGCCTCCACTCCTCAGCACCACCTGGTGGCAGGTGATTAACTCTGAGCAGGAGTCTTTTGAGGCTGCCAGCAGCAGTCACCAGGGAAGGGACTTGGAGCACCCCTGCACACTACCCACTTTGGTGGCAACAAGCAGCAGGAACGTCAGCCTAGGGTGGTGACATTGCAAAGCCCCGGGAGCCTGGGATTGGCCCCCAGGAGCAGGAATAAGCAGCCCCCCCAGGGCCACTAGTTCAGGCACCAAGCCCAGCCTGGGAGCAGGGTCACCCAGGGTCTGGGAGTACGAGAGGGCCCAGGCCCCAGGTCCTTTGGAACCAAGAGAGGCTGAGGAACTACAAGAGAAACAGGGAGTGAGACAGAGACAGAGAGCAGAGCCAACCAGGGCCCACCCAACGGCCTCCAAACAGATGCCCTTGACTCAGTGTCCCCTTCAGGCCATCCCACACCAGCCACAAGACACGTTCCCAAAACACTGGCCACCCCAGCCTTCCTGCTGTGTCCCCTCAGTCTCCGTAGCCCCTGACTCTACTGCCCAGCGTGATTGCCCCATTTGCTGGGTTTGTGCTCTCTCCCAGTCACCTCTCCAAGCATCCCTGTTCTGTGCAGCACACACTCACGAGCTCCCGCCCAGGCCCAGCTCCCCGAAGGCAGGAAGGCTTCTCAGGGCCCCAGCCCTCCTCAGCTCCTCCCCTGCACTCCTGCAGGCCCCGAGCTGGGAGCACCGCCTGCTGACAGGGGCTGGAGGGGGTCCTACAATTAAATACTTAAGACAAGGCAACCGACCTAAGCCATGGCTGAGAACACTCGCCAGCTCTTTTCCCTTTCCTGTCCCTCCCCCAACTCTGACCTTTTTCTCTCCAATTCCTAAACACAATCACACACAGTGCTTACCAAGCATTTTAGCGAGGAAGGGAGGGAGGGAGAGGAGAAGGGTAGAAAGGAAGAAATAAGGATCACATCCCACATGTGTCTGTTACTTCCCTCTGCAGACCCCTCCTCTCACCTGCATAGCTCTTGCAGGTTTGTGTTCCATCTCCACCACTCCGAAGCTGTGTGACCTTGGATAAATCACTCCACCTCTCTGCTCCTGTCTCCTCATTGTTAAGTAGAGGGAACACTGTCACCCTGTCCACCTCTTGAGACTATGGGGAGGATTAACAAGAGAATGAGGGGCAATGTGTTGGAAACTGTAAAGGGCTGTCCACTTTGCAGGAGACTTAATAGTCACTGTGTTCCTGGGGCCCTGCGATCAAGGCGGAGAATAAAAAGGAAGCAAAAATCCCCCAGGCCTCTCCCTCTGACCCTTTCTCCGGCAGGGCTGTTCCCAGACCCCTGACCCACTTCTCCTCCCTCCTTCCCCCATCCCTCCGAGTCTCAGCGGGCCATTCTCCTCCTCCATCCATCACCTGAGACTAAAGAGATTAATAAACGAGACTCATAACTCAGCTGCTGGGATGCAGCAGATATTTACGGCTCCGTTTCAATTTGCAGAGAGATTAAGTGTTTGTCGATTTATTGTCTCTTGGTGTGTGCAAGCGGCTGAGCAAGGCCCCCTGCAGGCCAGTCCCCTCCCCCACTCCACACGCCCTGCACATGTGTGTGGGTGCCTCGCCTCCCACCCCCAGCCCCCAGCCCTGGAGCTGGCGGGGAGCCTGGTGCTGCTCTGCCAGGCAAAGCTATGAGCCAGTCCGGTGGGCCTGTCTTCCTGACCGACTTGGCCAGGTACCTAAGCTGATTTAGAGGGCCCACTCACACTCCTCCAGCCTTGTCCCTCCCCACCTGGCTAGGTAAATGTGCCCCAGATCCCAAGCTCCACGCTTCTAGAACACTCTGTCGGTACCCAAGACCCCCGAATGGGCCTGAACCTGCTTCTGCTTCTTCTTCTTCTTTTTTTTTTTTTAGACAGAGTCTTGCTCTGTCACCCAGGAGGGAGTAGTGCAATGGCGTGATCTCAACTCACTGCAACCTCCGCCTCCCAGGTTCAAGTGATTCTTCTGTTTCAGCCTCCCAAGTAGCTGGGATTACAGACACCTGCCACCATGCCCAGCTAACTTTTGTATTTTTAGTAGAGACAAGGTTTCACCATGTTGGTGAGGCTGGTCTCAAACTCCTGACCTCAAGTGATCCACCCGCCTCGCCCTCCCAAAGTGCTGGGATTACAGGCGTGAGCCACCACGCCTGGCCTAAACCTGCTTCTGAGGACTATGCAAGCTTAAATCTACACTTCTAAGGGTTGAATACTTTTGCAAGGGTGCACCCTGAGACCCAAGAAGCAACGGCTGTTTGCAGAGGGCACATGCTGGAAGCCTCCATTTCTGTTCTTGTACTGGGCACTACAGATATTAGGGGTGGGCCTGGAGAGGGGAGGCTTCCATAGAGAAAGCCCCCCAGCCTAACTGGGGAGAAGTCTGCAAAGGCCAAGGGAAGTGAGACAGCATGAAAAGGAGCATCACCCAGGGGCTAAGGGGGAAGTACTCAAACCCCAAGGATGAGCAGTGCTTCAGGAGCCAAGAAGGGGCCACATGAGCACAGGGAGCAAAAGTGTCTGGTGCCCCCAACCTCCTCAGACCCCCAGCTGTCTCTCCTTTCCCTGTTGACTTTGTATTCTGGCACAGGCACCTACTCATTCATTCATTTCTGGTACATGCACCTACTCATTCATTCATGCATTCATTCATTTGTTCGACCAGGGTTTTGAGCATCTACTCTGTGCCAAGTCTGGTTATCTCGCCCCACAGATTCCTCCACTCATTTGTGCAGCCCCAGCAGGTATGAGTTCCATTTCCACCTCCCAAGAGCTGTGTGGCCTTGAAAAAATCACTCAACCTCTCTGATCCTGTCTCTTCATTGTTAAGTAGAGGAAATACTCTCCCCGCCTCTTGAGGCTTTTCAGAGGACTAACAGGAGAGTGGATGGCAATGCACTGGAAACTGTAAAGGGCCGTCCACTTTGGCACTTTGCAGGAGGCTTATTAATAGTCGTTGTGTTCATGGGATCCCTCGAGACTGAGGGGGATGACGGAAGGCAGCACAACTCACCCAGGCCTCTCCCTCTGACCCCCTCTCCAGAAGTTCACCTCCAAGATATGTGACAGTCACATAAAGATAATTCCGTACAAGGGTCCCTGTGCTCAAGAAGTCCCAATTGAGCAGGGAGACACATCAAGAATGGCTGGAGGAGGATGTGGTCAGGACTGGGGCTCAGGGTCCTCAGGAGATTGTGGGAGCACAGAGGGGGTCTACCTAATCCTAACCCCCATCAACTCCCACCCCAGGCAGTGCACACTTTCTACAGAATGCCAGGGTAGTCTGCAGATGTCACTGTGATAAGCAAGAGAGAAAAGCCAACCAAGCATCAGTGGCGGTTAGCATGAAACCATAACAGATCTTTGATTTGTTGGTGGAAGGGAAATGAAATTCCTCTTGTTCCTGCAAGAGGAATCTGTTGATCTGTTGAGTGGGAATTACTAGTTAGTGTGTGTGTGCCTGTCTCTCTCCAGGCCTGGCCTGGGGTCTCACCAAAAGGCACTGTGGGGCCCCAGGGCTAGTCCCTTCCCTGTCTGGACCTCAGTTTCTCTATCTGTATTAATGGAGCGAATGCCTCCCTCCAGTGAGGGATGAGAAAGTCTTAGCGGTGTGGAGGAAAGAATGGATGGGATAGGTGGACTAGAGGACTGGTCAAGTCAGGGCCTGCCCTAAGTACCCAGAAGATCAGGCTCAGAGGAGATGAGAACGAGGTCACTCCGGGCAGAGGCCACCCAGAGAGAGAGAAAATTTACTGCCGAGAGAGGGTTGGGCAGGAGGAGCATCAGGAGACATGGAGTCAGTTCTGACTTGAGGAGTCAGCCTGACTGACCCCTCCCCTCCTGGGCCTCCGTCTCCCCTCCTGTGGAGTGAGGAGCCTGGTCTTGACAATTTCCTCTTTCATCCCAGCAAACAAGGCAGGCAGAGGTGGGACAGCCTCCTGGCGCTGCTCCTTAGTGAGATGGCCGGTGCTGCCAGGTCTTGCTGTCCATCCTTAATTAAATGGTGGGTGGGCGAGGCAGGAGTGGAGCACTCTCGGTAACTAAAGCCAAGATGATGAGGCCATAAATTGCTGAGGGCTTGAATCATCGATTGGTGAGGGTGAGGTGGACTATAGAACCAGGAGCGACTGGGAGAAAGAGTTGCTAACCTGGGAAATGGGGCTTGTCCCTTCTGTGCTCTGCAAGCACCAGCCCAACCTTAGTACTCATTTTAATAACACTAAGTGTTCCCATCAAGATTCACTGAGCTCGTACTCTGTACCCAGAACTTCGGTCACAATCTCATGTAATCCTCACTCCAGACTGAAAAGGAACATACAATTATCATCCCCACTTTGTGGGAGAGGAACCTGCTGATAGCACAATAACCCTCCCAGGGCCACCAGACAAGACCGAGGGGGAGTCTTGGTCCAACACAGGTTGGGGGTCTCCAGCCTAGCACTTGAGCCTTGGCCGAGCCTGGTGACTTGGAAGTCAGGAGCCTGGTGAGCTTAACTCACCATCTTCCCAGCCTATCTGGGAGGAAGAGCTGCCTCAGTTTCCTAGTAAACACCAAGACAAGCTCTGTGGCCTCAGGCCACCCCCTGCCGAGTTCCACCTGGAACATTTGAGAGTATAAGCAAGGCCTACATACCATATGTCCAAACCCCAGTAATCAAAATATAAATCAAGCAGAAGCTAGCAAACTCCTAAATATGTTCCATTCCTCTACCTCAATAAATACACCTTATGAACAACCTCAAAGAATTCTCAGCTTCCACACTGGCCCCTGGCAGTATGGCGAGAGCCACTCCCAGGCCCCCACCCCTCAACCCCACCCATCCCCTTTTCTTCTCACACAGCTCAATTTCAGTCCCACACCTATGAGACTCTGTGGGCTCTCTCGAGTGCATAAGGGTATACTGCCACCTTCAGGAGGACAGGCCCTGGAAGCAGGGGAGTGCCAGGATCCCAGTTACCCAGGGTGAGGTCTAAAGCGGGCACGGGCTCTAGGTGGGCACGTCCCCCTTGGGACCACTGACTCCTCACCCCATGGGAAGGGTTGTACCCCGAAGAGGGCCAAAGCAGGACCTTTCAACCCACGGGGCCCAGGGCTGGAGCCCCTCTTGTCCAGGGCTAAAGGCAGAACTGTCCCTCCCCCAACCCTCACCACTAGCTTGGTGACTCTATCAGGGTGCACTCCTGAGTTCAGATTAAATGTTTTTCAGTACAATCCAATTTCTTCCTGACACACGGACTAGAAAAGCCCAGTCCATGTGTGCAGACAGACAGACACACACACACACACACACACACACACATTTGGTGCTAAATATCCAATCAAGTCCGCAGATAATAGAGACCAGCCAGTTCACTCCCAGTTTAATCAGATAAAATGCTCATTCATCGGCTCCTGCCAGAGCTGCCGTCCCCTCCTTAGGGCGGAGTCGAGGGGGCGGGGAGGGCCTGTGGGGGAAGGGGCTGAGACCCGAGTGGCTTGAGCATGTGGGCTGCGCCTTTAAATCTTCAAGGAGGGGGGACAGCGTTGCCCACGGGGGACTAATTATCCTTCAGCCTTTAGCCAGCTCTTACTCAAACAGACAAAAGGGGGCTCAGCATCTCTGGTGGCACTAAGCCTCTGCAGCAGAATTTTTTTCACTCTCAGATATGCAAATCCACCTCCACAGGGTGGACCCTGGGGTTGGGCTGCAGAGGGGCTCGGGGATTTGGAAGGGCCAGGAAGAGCAATGACAGCTGGACCCTCTCAGAGGACTAGTTTGGGACTGGAGGCATCTCACTCTTCCTCCTCAGGCTGGGTAGGGAGCCATTCAGTAGGGAGCTGCCACGCTGGTAGGGAGGGTCCTGTGGAGGCCAAGATGAAGACCTCACCCTCCTGCCTTCTCCTGTATGTGGGTGGGGGGGCTCCTGTGGAGGGCCAGTGGGCTCACTCAGAGAGCTGGCTCAGGATCTGGGAGCTGACCGTCCAGATGGGGCCCTCCTGCCTACCTCAGCCTTCCTCCTCCTAAGACACAGCCACCAGGTGACCTGTCCCAAGCCCAAATCTAGACATGCTACCCCCCGCCCTGAACCCATGCATTGTTCCCTTGCCTGCAACAGGAGCCCCTCAGCCTGATGGGCCCTGGGGCTTCTGAAGCCCCTGCCTCAAGCCTTTACCTGAACCCAGAATATTCTACCCATGCTCAATGGCAGTGGTGCCTCCTCCCAGCTCCAGGCCTGTGTTCCCGGCTCACTCCACCTTGTACCCCTCGCCCACCTCCACACCAGGTGCCTGGCGTGCAGTGGGTGCTCAGTAAGTGTGTGCTCACTGAATGCACAGAATGCCCTTCCTGAGCAGCTTGGTGGACCAGGGGTGGTCTGGATCACAGAGGTGTTTACCTCCTACTCGGCTCCCAGCCAGCACCTACAGGAACCTCAGTCTCTTTAGCTGGGAAAGGGGGACAGTGCTAGCCCTTATCCCCAGGCTGGCTGTGAAAACCTCACAGTGCCTGGAGCGGCTTCTGTGAGCCATGAAGAGCTTCTGGCGCCTTTTTTTCCTACAGTGGGGAGTGAAGAGTACAGTGTAGGAGAGTGCAGAGGGTCTGGGAACAAGCTTCCATCTCTCTCGGTCCCTCCAAGACCCACATCTTACACCACTATTGGCCACTCCTTCAGGGAATCTATTTATCCACTACAAATGGATCTGTGCCCCACCCGTTCCAGACCCCCCAAGTCCTCCACCAGCCATCTCAACAGAACAGCCTGGACTTTAAGTATGAGGGGAACTTAAAAACTCTGGGAGAAGCTAGCGCAGTGGCTCACACCTGTAATCCCAGCACTTTGGGAGGCTGAGGCAGGAGGATCACTTGAGACCAGGAGCTTGAGACCAGCCTAGGTAACATAGCGAGATGCCGTCTCCACAAAATTTTTTTAAAAAATTAACCAAGCATGGTGACACGTGCCTGTAATACTAGCTACTTGGGAGACTGAGGTGGGAGAATTGCTTGAGCCTAAGAGGTTGAGGCTGCGGGCAGTGAGCCATGTGCCCGCCACTGCACTCCAGCCCGGATGACAGAGTGAGAACCTGACTCAAACAAAATAAAAACAAAAACAACTCTGGGAAGATGGTTAGGAGGCAGGACTGGAGATGTGCTTGGTGCAGAAGGTCTGGCTAATCAGAATTTGAATTCTGAGGCCGGGCACAATGGCTCATGCCTGTAATCCCAGCACTTTGGAAGGCCGAGGCGGGCAGATCACGAGGTCAAGAGATTGAGACCATCCTGAACAACATGGTGAAACCCCGTTTCTACTAAAAATACAAAAATCAGCTGAGCGTGATGGTGCATGCCTGTAATCCCAGCTACTTGAGAGGCTGAAGCAGGAAAATAGCTTGAACCCAGGAGACAGAGGTTGCAGTGAGCCGAGATCAAGCCACTGCACTCTAGCCTGGGCGACAGAGGAGACTCCATCTCAAAAAAAAAAAAAAAAAAGAAATTTGAATTTTGAGACCGACTCTGAGGGGCCTGAGGTGGTCAGGGGGCATCCTGAGAGAGCCAGCAGGGAGGGTACCCGCCAGCAGCGAGAGTGCTGCCCCCAGGAAGCCCCCTCCCTTCATTGCCACCTGCATCTGTGAGGTCTGGGCCCTGGATTTCCATTACCTGAGCAGTGGGCAAGGCTGAGCAGGCTGTAGAGAAGGTTCCCATGGGGGACTCTCAGGGATGGGGAGAGTGAGGTGTGAGAGGAACTGAGGCCAAAAGAGGCTGGGTGACAGGCAGGGGAGGTGGGGGGCTCTGAAAGGACCAACTGCCTTGAGGCTCAAGCCTCAAGAGGCAAAGCTGAACACAGGGATTACTGGGGTTTTGATGGCTGAAGCACTTTGTGAAGCTCTGGGGTGGCCTGGAGCCTGGCAGCAGTGAGGTGGTTTTCCGCAACACAGGGCTGGGGAGGAGGCTTGTGGCCTAGGCTGGAGGCAGGACCGTGATCTGCCTGGACAGGGCGCACGGGGCCTGTAGCACAGGCCTGGAGGCAGGACGGGTGGTCTCACCCCACCTCTGCTCTCCTGTGACACTGAGCTCCCATCACCCTGGTCCCTTCCCCTACCCATGGTCCCTCCCAAGGCTAAAGATGGTCTAGGCCTCCTTGGATCCCCCAAGAGCCCCAAATGTCCAGACAGGGCTCCTTCCCCCAGGGAGAGATGTGGCAGGTGCCCCCAGCATCTCTCCCCTCCACACCCCCTACCCCAGTGTGTTCTCTCCTGGCCTGGGTGAGGACAACAAATGGGACACAGTGGGCACATGCTTCGCAAAAATAATGAGAGGGAAGAATGTGAAAATGAGAGCCTAGGATTCAGGCCTGGAGAGCACAGTCATCTAAACAGACGAGGCTCTAATAGCAGGATCTCAACCCCTCCAGCTGAAAACGACCAGGAACACACATGCAGTTTAACAAAGTTGGAGTTATTCTGGGTTTATTGACTCGTTGTAGTAAGGGGGATGCAACCATGGGAGTTGCGGGGCATCCCAGAAAGAGTGTGTGGGAAAGGACTTCACAGATTCAAGCTGGTGTTAGGGGATTTGGGAAAGGGTTTGAGGAAACAGGCTTTGCTCTGGGTTAGATGACAGCGGGAGGCTGGCTTAGAATCAGCATTCTAAGAGTCGGTATCATAGGAGTTCTCATCGAGAAGGCAGGAATGATGGTCACTAATAAAGAAGCAGCAGTCACTCATATTAGCCAGGAAAGGGAGTTTGGTCATTTTTGTGGTTTGGACAATGACTATGTTTTATCTGTGTTCACACACTTTACAGAGTGGTCAGAGAGTGGTGTTGTGAATGACACCAGGGTCCAGCTGTGGCCGCCAGCTCCTGGCCACCAGGGGCCGCTTTTCTTTCTTGGTAGCTTCAGACAGTGACCGAGAAGAGATGAAAGGGACAGATGTTACTCACACAGCACATGCCAGGCACTGTGCTCAACACTAGACAGACCTTGCTCACGTAATCTTCACCACAGCCCTCTCCTCATTGTACAGATGAGGAAACTGAGGTTCAGAGAGGGAAGGTGCCCATCAGAGTCCAGAAGGACTGGCAAAACTAGAATGTAAACCCAGCTTATGTTCCCCTTGTTCCAAAGTCCCTTTCACCCCCTTGCCCTTGCCTAGAGGCTGAGCCTCTGCTCGTTCCTCGGAGCCACGTGGTCCTGAATAGTGTCCCTTGGACACCCCCGCTAGGCACATCTTCCTGAAGGGGTTCAGCCTGTCCATGGCAGGCCAGCCGCAGTGTCAGCAGCCGCCCCAGCCCAGGAGGGTCCCCCGTGCCTAGAGGTGTGAAGGGTAATGAGGCCCCGTAATTAAGGTTTCTGAAGACATGGCTGGGAGATTTATAGACAGGCTTTGTCAATAATTGTGCTACCGGCTGCAGATCCAGCGAGACATCGGTAAGTGCTCGTTACAGCTTCTCCCTGCTCCCTGCCCTGCCCCCGCACCACCCCTCCTGAGCCATCAGCCTGCCTGTTCACAGCGCCTATGTACACAGGCTTCGCTCAATTAATTTGCACTTGTTGGCGCCATCTGTTCTTTTCATGTGTCCTTATCAGGAGTGTGTGCGTCCTGCCTCCTGCTCAGATGTGACAGTGCAACCCTCCTCATACATATAGGGGCTTCCTGGGCAGGCTCACATCTCCCCTCTCAGACTGGGCTCCTCAGGGTGGGACACTGTCTCCCCCCTCAGTCTAGGACCCCTGAAGGCAAGGCCAAGTCTTCATCTTCCTTCACCTCCCCCTCAACACCCACAGCCTCTCTCTGCTGAGCCAAGCTTGGCCTGGACCCTAGCAAAACCTTCTGAGTCTGACCCCACCAGGCAGGGCCTCAGCCCTCCAGAGGAAGCCCCCAGACCCCAAACCAAACAATGCCCTGGAAGGCTGGCTGCCTCTGGGTGCTGGGAGGTAGGGTGTTTGTTCTGATCCCCACTCTGGCTCCCATAGCCTGAGCTTTGGCAGGTTCTTGTTACGAGAACAGTGACATCTTTGAGTCACAGGGGTGGGAAGGGGCTAAGAAGCCACTTGGAAGTCTCTGTTTCCCTTGAGCAGCATTGGTTAAGGGTGGTACAGGGGCCAAGGCTTGGACAGCTCCTAGAGTGGGGTGGGTCATGGCCTGGTGGCTCCAGGATGCCAGGGCAGGTGGCCCACCCAGATAACTGAGAAAAGGCAGCACCTCAAGGATGCTTTCCCTTGGCTCTCTCCCCATCCCGAGGTTTTGGGCAGCCAACATCCCAGCCTACTCTTCTCTGGGTCATTCTGTCTTCCAGAAGGCCTCTCAGTCCCTTCCAACCCCAGCACAGATTTCTTTCTTTCTTTCTTTCTTTTTTTTTTTTTTTTTTTTTGAGACAGAGTCTCACTCTGTCATCCAGGCTGGAGTACAGTGGCGCGATCTCAGCTCACTGCAACCTCCGCCTCCCCGGGTTCAAGCGATTCTCCTGCCTCAGCCTCCCAAGTGTCTGGGATTACTGGTGCTGGCCGCGATGCTCCGCTAATTTTTATGTTTTTGGTAGAGACGGGGTTTCGCCATATTGGCCAGGATGGTCTCGAACACCTGACCTCAGGTGATTAGCCCAGCACAGATTTCTAACCCCGGAGGGCTATGAATGCTGAGCTGGCCCTGCCACAGAAGTGCTAGGCAACTTCTTACCCTGTCTGGGCTCTGGGTCCTGCATAGCACATTGGATTTGTTTAGAATGCAACCAGACCTTATTCTGGGAGGGTCACAAGCATGCTTGGTGCCAGCATCCAGGCCCAGCCCAGTCCACTTTGCCTGCCTATAACAGGCTTGACAGCTGGGCCTTGGACTTACATCCAAGGTCCCATGACTGAACCCTGCAGCCGCTCCAGTCTCATCTCCTACCAGCCCCTCCTTGCCGCGTGTCCTGTCTGCACTCCCACGGTGTTCCAGGCTGCTGCTCACCTCCACACCTGTGCTCCTGCTGTTCCCTGTGCTAGGACTGTGTCTCCTCCTTATGCCTGTATCACCTGACAAACTCCTACTCATCCTTCAAAACCCATCTCCCGCTCTGACATACCCTCCAATACACCCTTGCCTGCACCCCAGGGTGAGGAGGGGGCTGGCTGGGGGGCTCCCCCGCTACTGCATTTGCCATACTGATTTACTATGCCACACTGCCTGCTCTCACATCGACTAGAATACAAGCTACTTGGGGACAGAGACCCCAAGCCTTGGCCACATCTGTGTCTCCAGTGCCCACCACAGGGCCTGGCCAAGTGGGCCTGCCAAAGAGTATATCCTGAACTGGGAGGACCTCAGTCCTTGGCCTGGGTGGGGGAAAGGCAGTGCTCACCCCTCCCCTAGAGATGGAAGGAGACACACTCTTGCCACCCTGGCTGCCCACTTATAGGGTCATGGCGACCTCAAGGCAGACAGTGGATTCAGTTAGGGCAAAATGCAAACACACATTTCAGGGGTGGGGGGCACAGAGCAGGGGGCTTTAACCAAGCTCTCTGCCCACCCTCCCCCTGCCAGCCCCCTAGTCTGGACCCATCCCAGGGCCCCTCTGTGAACATCACTGGCATCATGACGAGCCCTTTCCTGCAGACAGCTCCAAGCTGTGGTGGAGCACCTGGGGTGGGGATTTGGGGGTTAGGAGGGGTACAGTTCCATTTGTATTTCAGGCCCAGCAGCATTCCTGCCAGGAGAGAGTTTTAGAAATGGAAATGGAGGGCTGTGTTCCCTCAGCACATGTCCCGCCTCCGGGAGCTGGCATCTCTGCTCTCACATGGCCCATGTGCAGGGGCACAGAACCCCAGGTGCCAACGAGCCCCCTCCTAGGCTGCAGCAGAAGCCCACAGCCAGGCAGGGCCCAGAGAAGTCTGACAGCCTGCCAAAAGCAACAGCAAAAACCACCTCAGCCCAGGAGCCTCCCATCCCCCACCCCCGTGTGTCTGATGCGGTGGTTTTATTGCGGGCAGTGAGGGCATTCATGACAGCCTCAGAATGTATGAGCCAGACCTGGAGCCAGCAGGGGTAAGGGGAGCAGAGCAACTGTGCGACTCCAGGAGATGGGATGTGGGCTCAGTGGAGGCCGTTGCAGGGGACCAGGGAGGCATCTGGACCTTCTGGCTAGGCCAGCTTCAAGCTCGAGTTGCGGGGAGGCCTCTCCTACCAGCAGCTAAGCATGGCTATCAACATCCTGCGTGCCCCACCCTGAGTTCAGCTGAGCCTCTGGCCCTGCAATAGGGAGATCCCAGCCCTGATGAGTGATGAAGCATGAGCCCTGCCCTTGCGGACTCCAAGGCCAAGGCCAGTTGAGGACAGGAGAGCCAGCCCCAGGGTCCGGAGTGGTGGTGAAGACTCTGGAACCAGCTCACCCACTCCAAGAACTTCCCTAGCCTCCTCATACCTCACTCTCCTCCTCTGTGGAATGGACATGGAGAAGGCTACTTCATCAGGTGACTGGTGGTGAAGTTAGGCCGATCTATTTAAGGTAGTTAGAACAGTGCCCAGCCTATGGTGAGCTCTTGTTACCTGCCTGGTGCAGGCTCTAGAAATTCAGAAAGGAAGCCAAGAAGAGTAGGAAAGTCTTTTGTTAGGAGGTGGGCTTTGCAGAATGGATCTGCAGAGATGGGGGAAGGCGACTCTGTCCTGTAGGTGGGGGAACTGCGTGAGCAAAGGCACAGAGGCCGGATGCACTGAACCTGTTTGTTCCCCCAGAGGTTCTGAGGCCACAGGAAGTGGCTGGCGTGGGAGTGGCTGGTCCAAGGGGAGCTGCACTATTAAGTGTGGAGGGGGAGGGGGACAGGAGCAGGACCACAGGGACCTTGACCGCCAAGCTGGGGGAAGGAAGTGTGAATAAAGCCCCAATGCCACCAGGCATCTCTGTACTGCCCTCCTCTCCCTCCCCACTCCAGCCAGGCACCTGCCCTGTTTCCTGGGACCCCCTGAAGGAGGACATCCCTTAGCTCCACAAAGAGCCCTGCCCTAGTCTTCACATAGTAATTGTCTTGTGTGTCTCACCCAGTGATAAGGGGTGGGCAAGGGGCAGGGGTGGGGGCTCTTGAGCACCCGTTTTATAGATGAAATGCCTGAGACCAGGCGGGAGCCCCTGGGGCCTCCCTGGCTTCATGGGGCAGGCTCAAGTCCCTCAAGGGCGCGGCTTCCCTCCCTCTCAGCAGCCCACACTTGTTCTATGTCCGGTGATGGGTCCCTGAGGGTCCGCTGGGGCGCCCCTCCAGCCTCCCGCCAGAGCAGGGCTGGAAGACTGCCATGTCTGGGGCCAGGCTGAGCTCAGTGCATGCCTCTGCGTAGTGCATTATTGATGGGGCTTCTAATTGTGCGTTTCCCAAAGTCTACAGGCTTTTGATGAAAAATTCATGGCACGCCCGAGGATGGGAGCAGACTCAATCGATTGGCGCACAGCAGGCAGGGGAGGACAGGGCCCCTTGCAGGGAGGGGTGGTGAAGCCTGGTCTGGGAGGCTTCTTGCCCCAGGATCTTGGGGATAGCAGGGGGCACACACCCATTTCCCTGGTGGGGAGGCTGAGGGGCAGGAGCAGGAAGATTTAAGGCCCACATCTCAGTGCCAGCCAGTGACTGGTGCCATCCAGGGAGGATGGCCGACTCCACCACGGGCCTCCCTTTCATTTCCCTGGAGGGGTGCTAGACCCTCCAGAGCCCCTCATGAGAGTTGCACAGAGGAGGGAGTAATATTTCTGGAGCCACTCTTATATGCCAGACGCTGCTCGGACGTGTACACTCGCAGCCTCATTTAATCCCCAACAGCGTTATGAGATGGGCACAGTGATGCACTCCATTTTACAGAGGAGAAAACAGGCTTAGAGAGGTTAAGTGACCTGTCCAAAGTCACACAGCTGCTTAGTAACAGAGCCCACTATCTTTCCACTTCACCAGGCCCACTCAAATAAGAACTAATAGGAGTATGGGGATTGTCTTGTGCCACTCCCCTACTTGTCCCTATTGTTCAGAGGAAGTGTCCCCATTAAGAAAAAGTGGAGTGGGCCAGGTGCAGTGGCTCATGCCTGTAATCCCAGCATTTTGGGAGGCTGAGGCAGGTGGATCACGAGGTCAGGAGATCGAGAGCATCCTGGCTAACACGGTGAAACCCAGTCTCTACTAAAAAAATACAAGAAATTAGCCAGGCATGGTGGCAGGCACCTGTAGTCCCAGCTACTCGGGAGGCTGAGGCAGGAGAATGGCATGAACCCGGGAGGCGGAGCTTGCAGTGAGCCCAGATCGCGCCACTGTACTCCAGCCTGGGAGACAGAGCAAGAGACAGAGCCAGACTCCATTTCAAAAAAAGGAAAAAAGAAAAAGAGTAAGTGAAACATGAGGCCTGCAAATGAGAAAAGGAAGCGCCCTCCACAACACCGGCAGAAGCCAGAGGCCCCCCAACCCTGTGCAGAGTGCTGAGCTGGGCACCCAGCAGCAGGGGTGGAGATTTTGAAACGGGTAGAGGTGACTGTCTTGGCTTGTCCAGTCAGGGATTATTATTGTGCCACCATTGAGGCCCCAAAGAACACTGTAAGTCATCTATTCATTCATTAAACAAGTAAACAAATATTTATGAAGTCCCAGTGCTGGTCAGCATCTTGCTAGGTCCAGGTGGAGGGCCCTATCATGAAAGCCTTTGGGACCAAGCTTGTCTGGGACAGACAGGCTGAACCCAGTTCAGCTGGGGAAAGGCAGGCAGGCCCCTCCATGCCCCAGGAGGGGGTCTCCGCAACCCAGGCTGAAGCCAGTTATATCAGACATTCTGCCTTCATGACCAGGGCCGTTTCTAGGTGGCGGGCTGGCTTGTTTGGGTTTGTTTTTTTTTTTTTTTTTTTTTTTGCTTCCCAGTGAGTTTCTTTCAAAAACATCCACCCATGTCTCCGCTGAACTAAAGAGAAAGGAATTTGTCCAGAGCATCAGGAAAGCAGCCAGAGGAAGTCCCCAGGGACCAGGCGTGGGGCCCTAAGCCACACTGCAGCTGCAGGGAGGAGAGTGAGCCCAGCTTGTGCTGCTGCGGGGTGGGGAGGACTCCTGAGGGGACAAGGGGGAATCAGGGAGCAGAGAGACTAAGGGGGAGGGGGAGGAGGAGACTCAGGGACAGAGGGTGAGGCTCAGTGGGAGAGAAAGGGGAGACAGGGTATGGGGGTAACCAGGAGGCAGAGAAAGTGGAGAAGAGCGGAGGGAGTTGAGGGGGAGGCAGGAACCAAGGTGTAGCCAAGGGCAGGTGAGGGAGGAGGGACTCTGAGCCTGGGCCAGGGGAGTCAGAAGGCCGGAGCCCTGAAGGGCCCCACAGCCCTCCCCGGCCCTGCTGTCTCCATACAATTCTGTGGCCAAGGAGTGAACCTTGCATGATTTCAGCCACCCCACCCAGACACCCCCCACCCTGGAACAAAGGGGAAGTGGCCCCATGGGCCTGCCTGCTTCCAGCTCAGGGCTGGGCTTGGTCACCAGGCAGGCACTTGTTGTAGCAACAGTCCCTGGGGACCCATCCTGGGGAACAGGACTGCTAGCAGTAAAGATGGGGGAGCCAGGGCCCCCATCCCCTCCAGCCCCCAAGGCTGCCCCAGGCCTCATTGACAGCTTCTCTGTAAGTCGCCCCCTCGCCCACTGGTTCTGGGAAGATGGGTTGGCTCGCCTAGCAGCAGGTGTGTTGGGGTGTGTTGCCCAGCAACCAGTAGAGGTGTTCCCAGAGCCTCTTAAGTGGGAGGCAGGGTGGAGAGGACCAGGGCTTTGGCCCTTAGATGCCCGTGGTCACAGGAATCTTTTGCAAGGCCCCTGGCTCCAGCCTAGGCCACCTGAGCCCACACAGTAATCCAGAGAGGGAGGACAGAAGGGCTTCTGGGAAAATCCCTTGAAGTGATCATTGCCTCCTGCTAGTCTGGGCCCTACCTCTGGTGTCTTGGAGGTCCAGCCTTGGATCCTAGAAAGTGGCTGAGCCTGGGCTAGCCTGGGAAGGCTTGCTGGTAGTGCATGTGTGGTGCCGAGCTGTGAGGAGGAGTGGGTGTGGCAGATGGGGCATCCAGTGGAAGCAGCAGCTCAGACTGGGGGCTGGGGCCGCCCCAGTAAGTGCTAACCCTTCTGGTTTGGGCCCCAGTTGCCAAAGCATTTCTTCTTCCCCTTTGGCAAGAATCCCAGAGGACAACCCCAACAAGGGTCATTCCCCACAGGGTGCAGATGAGCAGGCACGGAGTGGGCAAGGGCCTCGCTTCGGGTCGTTCGACAGCTGTGGGCAGAGGCTGGATCAGAACCCAAGGTTCTGGGTTCCAGCCAGGGCTCTTCCCCCACCCAATGTGGGGCATTCCTGAGGCAGCAAAGCTCTAACCAGGGAGGATTCTGGCAGGAGGTGACCAGTGGGGAAGGGTTCTTTGAGGAAGAGTGAACAGGGCCTGTGAGACCAGGACTGGGGCCTGCCCCTCACCACCTGCTGAATGCCCAGCCCTGTACTCACCTGGGCTGAGAGCAAGGGCTGGCCCCAATCTGCTGTCAGCAGAGGCTGGACTCTGGCCCAATACCCAAGGAGTCATGACTGATGGCCTGTCTTGGGATAGCCCGGGGGTCTTCCTGGAGGAGGAGGGCCCAGAATGGAGCCTTGAGGGTCAGGCAGCGTTCAGAAAAGCCTAGGAGGGGAAGTAGGAATGGGAAGCCAGCATCTTCCAGGAAGCCCCGCCCCCACCCCAGCCCAGCCGGTCTCCATTGTCCCAGCCAGGCCCAATTAGCACCTGGCTCCTGCAGGGGCCAATTAGACAGGGGCTGAGGTCAGCTGCCGGCCAAGGCCCTGCCACCCCTCCAAGCTTCACCAAGCCAAGCACAAAAGCTTTCTAGGCATCATCTCTGCTGCAGCAGGAAGGGAAAGAAAGAACAGAAGAAAGGGAAAATTCACTCCTTTTGTTTCTTTGCCATAACCTTGGGCTGAACAAAGAAGCAACTGCCTCCCCTCCCTGGGAGGGCAGCTTCTGTGGAGCAGGAAGTCTGTTTTAAACAGCAATTTGCACAGATTTGTTGTGGTTGGGAGGCCCAGATGACATTCGAGGGGAACCAGGAGCAGAGACCTGGGGTGAGCAGGGCCCTGGTTCTAGAAACTCCTGTGACTCCCCACTGCGCTCTGTTCAGAAGCAGAGCTTCCGGGCCTGGCTGGTGCAAACAGGTGGGCCTGCTCCAGCTCTCTAGCCAGACAGACCTGTGTACTTTGCTGCCTCCAAAGAGCCCAGCCCACATGGGCCTCCACACCTTCCCTCAGTGTTCCCCACCTCTGAAGTCCCACCCAATCCAGTCAAATCTCACCTGCACCTCAAAGGCCCAGCTCCACCCCTCCCCTGCAGGATCCCCTCCCCAACCCTACCCCTGGCCTTGACTTGCACTCCTAGGGTGTGAGCCATGTCCCACACAAGGCCTGCCTCCCACCGGGAACTCTCTGAGTGCAGGGTCTCCCCACCCCCAACAGAGCTGAGCTTAGGGGTACAAACAGCAGCTGCCAGGCCCTGCTGGGGAGCAGGTGGAAGGGAGATATATGCCAGAGTCCAAAATGGGGTTTGGGAAGCTGGGGCCACCCTGGGGTGGTGACAGGTGGAGAAGGGGACCCACCAGTGCCATTGCCTCCTCCAGGCTCCCACCCCCAGGGCAATGCCACATCGCACAGACCACCCTGCCCTCACCTCCCTAACCCTGCCCTCTGTGTCTCAGGAGCGCAGCCTCTCCCACTGGGCTATGCCCTTGCCGCTTCGATATCCCACCCAGCCAATGAGGCTCTCAGTCCTCCCTCGCCTGCCCTCTGGTGGTGATGAGGTTCCAGAGTGAATGGAGGGAAAGAAAGAAGCTTGTCCTCATGGCCAGTGGGTTCTATTGTCCTTCAGTGGCTGGGAAGGGAGCTTGGCTGGGTGGGCAGTGGCAAAGAACTGAGAGGCCAGGGTCCCAGTGGCATTGGCCCGTGTGTTTCTGGGAGTAAGGGGACTTCTTAGCCATGGTGAGCCCCAACCCCTGGGAAAACACTAGTCCCTTTCAGCAAATTTTCAGGCACAACCTCCATCCTCCCCGACTTGTCCCTGAGACGGCCCCTCAGAACTGGGCTTTTGCTCCCTGGTCTCTGGAACTGGAGGAGGCCAGCATCAATTTGCCAGCTGAATTTTCCATTGTATTTTAAAGAAATGTGGTTAATTCGCTTTATTTTATTTTATCTTATTTTATTTATTTATTTATTTTTGAGATGGAGTCTTGCTCTGTTGCCCAGGCTGGAGTTCAGAGGCACGATCTCAGCTCAGTGCAACCTCCGCCCCACCCCCGCCTGCCCCCCAGTTCAAGCGATTCTCCCACCTCATCCTCCCAAGTAGCTGGGATTACAGGCATCCACCACCATGCCTGGCTAATTTTTGTATTTTTAGTAGAGATGGGGTTTCACCATGTTGGCCAGGCTGGTCTCAAACTGCTGACCTCAGGTGATCCACCTCCCTTAGCCTCCCAAAGTGCTGAGATTACAGGCATGAGCCACTGTGCCCGGTGTACTTTTTGTATTTTTAGTAGAGAGGGGGTTTCACTGTGTTGGCTAGGCTGGTCTTGAACTCCTGACCGTGAGTGATCCGCCCCCCTCGGCTCCCAAAGTGCTGGGATTACAGGCGTGAACCACCGCACCGGGCCAAGAAATGTGGTTAATTCCCTTTAAAAGTATTGGGAAATTTAGATTAGCCAAGAGAGACCTCTCTGACATTCAAAGGACACCTACAGGAGTTCTGTTTGGCAAATCTGGCAGGAGCAGGGTCTGGGTCAAAGGATTTGCCTGAGTAAGTCAGGGAGGCAGGGAGGCCCTTCCCTGCCATCAAGGTCTTTAGGAGCTGAAGGGGGAGCATGTGCGTGGCCCTTGGCAGATGAGGAGTGCCAGGCTGGTGTAGGCGAGAAACAGCTTCTGGGCAGAGGTAGGGAAGGCTTTGAAGATAGGGGCCCAGAAGGCTGGGCCCATGGGTGGAGTGGCCAGGGCTAAATTCTGAAAGGGGGTCTAGCTGTGCTGAAAGAGGTGGAAATTCAAAGTTGGAAATTTACCATGAGGGCCAGTGGGAGTCATTGGAGGGGTCTGGAGGCCAGAGAGGATGTTCCAGTTACCTATTGCAATAACAAACTACCCCAAAATGTTATCATTTAAAACGATAATTTTTTCTTTTATTATCACATCTCATAGCTTTGTGGGTCAGGAACTCAGCCACGGCACAGCAGGTCTAAGTCCTCAGCTGGGACGACCTACGGGCAGGGGCGGGAGCAGCCAGGGCTGGGTGGGCCTCGCTCTCTCCCATACACTTAGTTTGGGCTTCCTCACAGTCTCAGGGCAGCAAGGAATTAGCAGCTAGCAGGGAAGAATTGGGGTTACTGCAAGATGGGTCTCATCCCAAGCCCCTGTCCTCACCACTCAGCCCCAACATCTTCCCTGGAGCTAACCCAGGATAGAGGCCCCAGGTTCAAGATTCACTGAGTGACTTCAGGCAAATCTCTGCACCTCTCTGGTCCCAATATCAGAACTTGTGAGATGGGGGTTCCAGGGCTAGAGGTCTTGGAAGGCTGGCTGGACCACCTGGAGGAAGGACATGTGCTCCTGGAACTGGGGAGAGAGACAGCTCCGCACACACCTTCCCCACAATATGAGCTGTGGGCCACTCAGGTTGGCCTCATCCCACCACAGGCTGAAGCTGAGTGTCTGTGGGAGGCGGCTGCCCTCTGCTGACTGCAAAGGCAAACCACATGCAGATGGCCTGGGCCTGCCAGCGATGGATCCTGGGGATCCGGGGAACCCTGAGATTGGGTGGCCGCCCAAGGAAGGGGACAGAGGAGAGGGTGTGTGCCTGGTCCAGCAAACCCACCCTCTGCACCCACTTCAACACTAGCCAGACTGCCACCCACACTACCTCAGACCCAGCAACCTGTCTCAGGCCTCCTTCTCTGGGAGAGTGAAGCCCCTCCCCGCTCCTACCCCTGCTCCAGCCCATACCTCCCCTATGCATCCCTCCCTCTTACCTTCTAAGTCTCCAGGAAATCCTCTCTCTCCACCACTATGCCTCTCCTTGACCCTGTTTTCCTAGCTACCTTTGACCCTTCTCAACCTCACTGTCCCCTCAGACCTTACCCACAGCACCCAGCATTCAGAGCACTGGCCAAGGTCACTTCCTCCAGGCCACACCAAGAGGCTCCCTCTGCAGATCCGGAAACTGCTAAGCCTTCTCTCCTTTTTCCAAAATTCTTTTAAATTGTGAAATGTAACCCATTTCACAATTTAAGAAAAATTGCATTGAACATATAGAACATAATTATTATAAATTATTATATAGCAAATGTCCATGAAACCACCACCCAGGTCAGGAAACAGCATCACCAGCATCCTCACGCCCCTCATGCCCCTCCCAGCCACACCCCTCCTCTCCTGGATGTAATCACTCTGCCAGCTTTCTGTCCTTGCTTTGCTTCTTTATTTTTTTATTTTTTAATTATTTTTTTTATTTTTGGGACACAGTCTTGCTCTATCACCCAGGCTGAAGTGCAGTGGCATAATCTCAGCTCACTGCAACCTCCGCCTCCCGGGTTCAAGTGATTCTCAGGCCTCGGCCTGCCAAGTAGCTGGGATTACAGGCACCCGCCACCACGCCCGGCTATTTTTTGGGCTTTTGTGTAGAAATGGGGTTTCACCATGTTAGTCAGGCTGGTCTCAAGCTTCTGACCTGGAGTGACCTGCCTGCCTCAGCCTCCCAAAGTGCTGGGATTAAAGGGTTAAGCTGCCGGTTGGTTCACGCCTGTAATCCCAGCACTTTGGGAGGCCAAGGTGGGCGGATCATGAGGTCAGGAGTTCGAGACTAGCCTGACCAACATGGTGAAACCCCGTCTCTACTAAAAATACAAAAAAAATTAGCCCGGCATAGTGGCAGGCGCCTGTAATCCCAGCTACTCAGGAGGCTGAGGCAGGAGAATTGCCTGAACCCGGGAGGCGGTTACAGTGAGCCAAGATCACACCACTGCACTCCAGCCTAGGCAATAGAAAGAGACTCCATCTCAAAAAAAAAAAAAAAAAAAAAAAGTGTGAGCCACTGTGCCTGACCTGCTTTGCTTCTTTATACTGTCGCTACCTGAGCATGCCTCTCGAATCACTCTGGCCTAAATTTTCTATTTTTACCTTCATGGAGAGGGCACCGTGACATACACATTGCTTTGCACACGGCTCTTTTGCTCACCTTGATGTATGTGAGGTTCACCCACATCATGGTTTCTTATTGCTCTGAAGTATCCCGCTGTATGGGTCTCCACCTGCCCCTATCTCTGCCCCATAATTCCTCACTCACTTGCCAGTTCTTTAATGTTTTTATGAAGGTGAGTTTTGCTTTGTGTCCCATTCAGACCATCTCTAGCGGCGGGTTCATCTCCATCATCCAAGCCGCAAGACTCAAGCGGAAGGTGGTTGTCCTCCTTTTGAAGCCCTCTTGCCAGCCTGCTCTCGCCGCTTTTCCTCCTACCTCTCTGGCAATTGCGCTAGTCCTGAGAGCTCCTCTCCTACCACCCCTTGTCCTTGAACCCCCTCCTCACTCCACAGTTGCCAGACGCTGAAAATCTGCTCCCTTCCCAAGGCTCCAATGGAACCAGGGCTGTCCTGCCACCTGTCCCCCACCAGGATTCACTCCAGGCTTGATCACCATCAGCCACTGCTGGCCTCCTGCACCTGAGGCCCTGCAGGTACCTCACCCCTAACACGCTCCTCCCCCAACCCAGCTCCCCCTCCTTCCCACTCCAGACCTGCGCCTCCTCCACCCAAAGACCCCAGCTCCTCCTCTCCTCATCCCCCACCTCCTCCTTCTCCCCTCTTCCTCCTTCCCACTCCAGGCATGCACCTCTACCAAAAGGCCCCAGACTTCTCCCACTCCTCCCCCTCCTCCCCCACCTCCTCCTCCTCCACACTACAGGCATGCACCTCCTCCACCCAAAGACCCTAGCCCCCTGCCAACCTCCTGCTCTGCCATCCCCAACCCTCCTCTTCGTTGTTCACTTCACTCTGTCATGCTGAGTCCTCCTTGGTCTGCCTCCACCCAGCAAGGGTCCCTGGCTCCCTGCTCTGGGCCTCCATTCATTTCTCTGTCCATCTTGGTGGCCTGAGGCATCTTGCCACAAACCCCCTCCAGCTTAGGCCCTTCACTGGCCTGCAGGATGGAATCCAAGCTCCTGAGATTGGCCACACCCCTACTTACTCCCCAACCAGCACTCTGCCCTCCAGGAAGTCACCGACTTTGTTCCTGATCATACACTCTCTCTCCTCCCTGCCTTTGCCACAGTGTCTCCTCTGCCCAAGAGCCCTCTCCCCTACCCCGGGTAACACCTGCTCACCCTCCTAGAGTGAGCTCAGGCTATCACCACCTCCAGGAAGGCTTCCTAGACCTGGGGCTAGGAAAAGAGACTCCTGTAAGCTCTCCTCTGTCACAGATGTCACTGCCATCTCCTTGGTGTAGATGGGAGACCATCACAAGCAGGGACGGTCTGGGCTGGTCTGGGCTCCATGGCCCCAGTGTGGACATGGCCTTCAGCAACTGCTGATGACTGTGCTGCTTCCAATGTAGCCTTTACACTGAGTCTCTGTGACCTTGGGAACACTACTTCCAATCTCAGCTTCCCCATTTTACAATGAGTTTATAAGGACCCTAAGTAGCCACAGGTGTCATTGGATGCAGTGCCTCAGATTCTGCCAGAAGCACTTCTTATTTTTTTGCGGGGGGTGGGTAAGGGTTAAGCATTACCCTCTTTAGGCCTCCTGCACCCAAGGCCCTGCAGGTACCTTACCCCCAACACACCCTCCCTAACCCAGCTCCTCCTTCTCCCCACTCCCAGCATAAAAACAAAGACAATCGCCATTCCTCCTCCTTCGTGGGAACTGGTCCTCAGTTTCTATACAATGAAAGTAGTCACATCATCATATCTTCTGTGCCCACTGCCCAGGGTTATAATAAGAACCATTAAAAGTGCGACGGCAGGCAGAATGGCTCATGCCTATAATCCCAGCACTTTGGGAGGTCAAGGTAGGAGGATCTCTTGAGGCTAGGAGTTCAAGACCAGCCTGGGCAACATAGCAAGGCCCCATCTTTACAAAAAATTTAAAAATTAGCCAGGCATGGTGGCACACACCTGTAGTCCCAGCTACTTGGGAGGCTGAGTCAGGAGGACCACTTGAGCCCAGAAGTTCGAGGTTGCAGTGAGCTATGATCATGCCACTGCACTCTAGCCTGGGTGACAGAGTAAGTCTCCATCTTGGAAAACAAGAAAGCACTCAGAAGGTGGTGGAGGAAAAAGAGATGCTGTTGCCAGGCACCCTGTGTGCCAGAGCCTGGGCTGGCACTGTTCATGCCCCCTCTCTCTCCACAGCAACCCCCCTTGGGGTGGGGTGATTTTCCCATTCCACGGATGAGGACGCTAAGGCTCAGAGAACAGCCTCCCTTCCAGAGCCAAAGCGAAGGTGTCGGTGCAGCAAAGGCCACCAGCGCTCAGTGGCAGTGGGGCAATTCAAACCCAAGGACACCTGACATTTCTCACCTGGGCAGGATCTGATAGCTGGGTCTTGGATGGGGAAAGCGCAGTGTCAATGGGTGAGGAGAATGCAGTGGGCACTAGCCTTAGGCACAATGGCTTTGGAGTCAGTCCTTCTAGAGGAGGCTAAGCCTAGGGACAAGACAGGGAAGTGGCTGGTGCCTGACCCTCCCCCAGCAGACTGGAAAGTGGGGAGGGGGCTGGAGGGGAGGGATTGGAGCAGGGGAGTCAGCAGGACCACAACAGGAATCTGGGCCATGGTGTCCTTCCTGTTCTCAAGGCTGGGCTGTGACGCAGAGCATGGCCCTGGGGGTTGGGGAGGCCCAGCTCCAGGCTGTAGGGAGTGGTCAGGGCTGCTCATCTGCAGGCAGTGTCCTCCCAGACCAGCTGTGCTGCTCAAGGTCACTGCTGTGCGGGTGGGGGAAGCCGAGGAGGGAAAGCAGGTCCTTCAGTTTCCCACAGATGTAGAGGGAAGAGAGCATACAGACTGAGGGGTAAGCCAGGGCCGAGATCCCTCTCCATGCCCTGGGGGAGCCCTCTCTCTCAGAGAGCAGCCAGGCTTGGTGGGGGAGGGGGATAGGCACCTGTGGAGGCCTATAGGACTAGTCTCCGAGGAGTGGAGTCCAGCAGGGACCGTCTGACTGAGACAGGGACGCGGCCTCACCAGAAGCCATGCTCTCCCTCCATCTCCTTCCTCGCTCTGGGCCCCAGCTTTCTTTGTCTGTCAAAGCGAGGTGTTAATAACAGAGCTCTGGGCCAGGTGCGGTGGCTCATTCCTCTAATCTCAGCACTTTGGGAGGCTGAGGCGGGCAGATTACCTGAGGTCAGGAGTTCGAGACTAGCCTGACCAACATGGTGAAACTCCATCTCTACTAAAAAGACAAAAATTAGCTGGGCGTGGTGGTGCACGCCTGTAGTCCCAGCTACTTGGGAGGCTGAGGCCAGAGAATGGCTTGAACCTGGGAGGCAGAGTTTGCAGAGAGCCAAGATTGTGCCACTGCACTCCAGCCTGGGTGATGGAGTGAGACTCCGTCACAAAACAAAAATAAAAATAACAGAGCTCTGCTCATGCCCCAAAACAGCTGAGTTGGAGAACAGGAGGGTCTTAGAAAAAATGACCCTCTGAATGAGAAGAGGGGGTGATCAGACCCATGGGGTGGGCTGAGGAACTGGCAGCCCCCTCCCCCAGGACTCACTCCATGAGCATGCTCACAACCCGGTTATGGACAGGATCGTATTAATTTGCCACATGCACTTTCCTTTCACAATAGAGCGTGGCCATCTCTGTGTGTCAGTATAATAAAATCTGGGTCATCCTTTGTGACCACAGCCTGTGGTGCAGAGACTGAGCATGCCCTCATATAAGACCACAAGCTGTGCTGCAGTGAGCATCCCTGCATGCATTTTCCTGGATGTGTGTGTGCGTGTTTCGCTGGAAGCCAAGAAAACCCATTTGGATGCTGCTGTAATTGTCCAGGGCAGATATGCTAAGAGCTTGAACCAGGCTGGGCAAAGAAAGAAGGGGCCAAATTTCCTTTGCCAAAATATCGTGTGCTTCCTTTGGTCAGTCCCCCATCAGTAATGGGCTGCCATAAACTGAAGATTTAGAGCACAGCAAAGGAAGGGCCTGGGAGCTCTGGGGGCAGCAAGGAGGAAGAGGAAGGGGTCTGACCTGTTGATTAAAGCAGTGATTAGAATAGAAATGGGTGTGGAGGAGAGCAGCAGCCTCCAAATTATACCTGCCTGGGCAGGGGCTTCACGCACCAACTCTTGAGCCTCACAGCAACACCAGGCATCTCCGTGTGAGGACTCTGAGGCTCAGAAAGGTGAAGGGGCCTGGCTGAACTCACACTGCATGTGAGTGGCCAAGCTGGCCTGCTGATCTGGGCCTGACTGCAAAGCCCTGTGTGTGTGTGGTCTCTAGACAGAGTCTCTCCATTAACAATGCTGTCCGAGGACACCAGATGGGCAGATCTGGAGGAGCCAAGACCTGGAACTCAACAGGGGCAAGTGCTGGAGAGATGAACCTGGCACTGGTGCAATTAGAGGGAGCCCAACCAGAAGGCTAGACAGTGGCAGGTGACAAGTGGTGTCTGGTGGGCCCCTGCTGCCAGGAGACCCCTGCTCTCGAAGCCATGGCCTGCCATGCAGCAGGTGGGAGGCAGTGGCTGAGAAGGCAGGCCATATCCGCAGTCAGCATGAGGCCCAGGTGGTTGCTGGGGGCCGAGCTCTGCTTCCTGGAGGTGTGAGTCCCCACCCGTATGTACACAGCCTCCCACAGCTTCAGGAAGCCCACAGCCACAGGGGCTCAGCAAACGCAGGAGCAAACTCACTTCCCCATGCCCATTTCCTCCCCCATCCCAGCTCCCACCTGCTGTTCCTCCATCCAGACCTCTCTGGCTTCACATCGAGGTTGCAGTGAGCTATGATGGTGCCACTGCACGATCCTTTTCTATTTTGTGCTGTTCAGATTTAAGAAACTCCCTTTGTGAAACTTTATAAATAACAGTAGGGAATTTCTGCTTATAAAACAAATGCATATAAATATAGCCTATTAATTTTCATATATATATATATATACATGCACATGGGCAGGCATGATTTTTTCTCTCGATTGGGGATTGCACTGATCATTCCTTTTTGTAGCCTGCTTTTATCACTTCTCAGCGTATTGTGAAGTGTCCACATATGGAGGCCTCATGGCAGAATTGCACGGCTCTTCAGAACAGAGGCTCAAGTCCCTGCAGGCCTGGATTTCAGACCCTGGCTCTATCACTAATCAGTCTTGTAACTGAGCAAGTTACTCACCTCTCTGGGCCTTGGTTTCCGCATTGGTATAACGGAGATAATAGTACCTATCCACGCAGGTCTGATGAGAGGACTGAGGGAGGGCACATAAAAAGCTTAGAAGAAGACCTGGAACACAGTGAATGCTCAATGAGCATCAGACATTAGGATTGCTGTTGTTCCTGACCTCATGGCTGACTCCAGCCCCCAGCCCCACCTCATACCCCACATCCTGTAGCTGGATCCCAGCCTCCACTAAGCTCTAACCTGGGTCTCCCAGGGTGACCTTGGGTCCTCTGACTACTGAGCTGTTTGGAGGGCTGATGCCCAGTCACCTTCCAAGTGGCATCCAGTGGGATTTCTGAGAGGTTCTTCCCTGGGTTCTCAGTGACGTGAGGAATGAGAGGAGTTAGAAGATGGGGAAGGAGGAGGGAAAAGGTGAAGAAATAGCTATGATCGAGCCAGACCCTGCAAACCTGGCCCTGGATCTTCTCAAGTCTCCATTGCCCATAGGCCTCCTCCCCTGTGTCCACACCTGGGGTTTCCCCCTGAGTTGGTATCACAGGACGTGATGTGGCCCCGGGGAGAGAACATTAGTGTGGCTGCCCTCACATGGCCAGGATGGGTGAGGATCAAGTCATAACCACCCTTCCAGGGAGCTGCTAAGACTTAGGGCCATGGCTTGGGGCTCCTGGTGCTCACTGGCCTTGTGGGGGACCCACTGACTTTCAAGTGTAGATGTGGATGTGGGACCAGGGTTGCTATGGGGCAGTGGGCTCAGCTCTGGGCTCTGGGATCCACAGGAGATGAACAACTACCGGCGGGCCATGCAGAAGATGGCAGAGGACATCCTGTCTCTGCGGAGACAGGCCAGCATCCTGGAAGGAGAGAACCGCATACTGAGGAGCCGCCTGGCCCAGCAGGAGGAGGAAGAGGGGCAGGGCAAAGCCAGTGAGGCCCAGAACACGGGTGAGGATGTGCAGGCCACCAAGGGCACCCGGGCTTCTGCCTGGGCCCAGGCTCCAGGTTGTGCAATAGGGTGGCTGGGAGCTTCTCCCAGATGTGCATGCTGCTGGACTCTGGCAAATAGGAGCCCCTCGCCCACAGACACTCACACAGTCCCTGCCCAGCTGGGTCCTCTCAGGGATGGGAAACAGAGAATCCAGTCCCGTCCCAAGCCCTCGGGCCAAGGGATATCTGCCTTCCTGCTACTGACCATGCTGATTTGAGCTGGGAGAGGCTTCCTCCCTGAGCCAGCTCCCCAACCCACCTAACAGTGTCCATGAAGCAGAAACTGCTGCTGAGTGAGCTGGATATGAAGAAACTGAGGGACAGGGTGCAGCATTTGCAGAATGAGCTGATTCGAGTGAGCTGGGGCTTGTGGGGGCAGAGGGGAGGGAGCTATGGTGGGGGAGCATCGGGGTGAGAAGAGTCTGGGAGGAGAAGGGAGAACAGGCACAGAGGGAATGGAAGCACGGAAGAAAGGGGGACCAGCCTGGTGGAGGATTCAGCAGAGGGGCCGAGGTGGACCCTCAGGGCCAAGGTGGACTCCCAGGCACCCATTCTCTCCCCTTCTCTCCTCCCCCATCTCACAGAAGAATGATCGAGAGAAGGAGCTGCTCCTTCTGTATCAGGCCCAGCAGCCACAGGCCGCTCTGCTGAAGCAGTACCAGGGCAAGCTGCAGAAGATGAAGGCGCTGGAGGAGACTGTGCGGCACCAAGAGAAGGCAGGTGGCAGAGGGGCTGCCCCCGAGGCCAACTGATGATGGCAGAGTAGGGAGCCCCTGGGCCAGCCCAGCCTCTGCTCTGCTCTCCAGGTGATCGAGAAGATGGAGCGGGTGCTGGAGGACAGGCTGCAGGACAGGAGCAAGCCCCCTCCTCTGAACAGGCAGCAGGGAAAGCCCTACACGGGTGGGTCCACACCCTGATGTGATCAGCTCCCCAGCTTCTGCTCCACCCCTGGAGGCCCTGCCTTCCTGGAGCCTCTCAGCTTCAGGAGAACCTGCGAAGAGGTCCCCTGCACTCAGTTATGTCTGTGGGCCTGGGAGACCCAGGATTGCCCTGCTCCCCTCCTCATTCAGGCGCCCCATCCAGAGATCCCCTGAGCTCCCTCCTTCCCTGGAAGCCCCTCAGAACACAATTGGGATGCAGTGTGAGCCAGGCTAGAAAGAGGGTGGACCTCCAGAGGAGGGCCCTGCAGACTAGCACAGCAGAGAGGGCCTTCCCCTGAAGAAGGGCCACCTGGGGCAACACTTCCCAGCTCCTAGCCCCAGGATCCGTCGAATTATTTCCCCATACCGCCAAAGATTCTGCCTCTGCAAAGCAAACAAACAAAAATACTTTGATTAAATCAATGATCTGGGGCCAGGCGCAATGGTTCATGCCTGTAATCCCAGCACTTTGGGAGGCCGAGGAGGGCAGATCACTTGAGGTCAGGAGTTCAAGACCAGCCTGGCCAACATGGTGAAACCCCATCTCTACTAAAAATACAAAAATTAGCTGGGCATGGTGGCGGGCACCTATAATCCCAGCTACTTGGGAGGCTGAGGCAGGAGAATCACTTGAGCCCAGGAGGCAGAGGTTGCTGTGAGCCAAGATTGTGCCACTGTACTCCGGCCTGGGTGACAGAGGGAGACTCCGCCTCAAAATAAATAAATAAATAAATGATTTGGAGGTTTTCTTCCCCATCGATATTAACCAAAAGCCACCTAAAACTGCCAATCAGCCTCTGATAAGCAGAAAGGACCAGGTAACACCATATCAGGCCAGCCCAAAGCAAGGGATTTCCCTGAGCCTGCCTGTGCAACCTCACCCAGGGCCCCTGTGTGCCCAGCCCTGTGCTTAGCCTTCACCGCTGAGGGTCTCAGGGGCAGGAGGGTGTTTCTAGGAGCCTTTAGAATGCAATGAAAGCTGGGCTGGCCTTTCAGGAAGCCTGAGGTCATCCAGGAGTCTGGATGAGACTGAGAAGGCAACCTAGGGAGGGGAAACAGCCAGATCAAAGGCCCAGGGAGTGAGAAGAATTCCAGGATCAGAGAAGGGAGGAAGAGAGAGAGGTGAGGAGCTGAAATACACTGAAGACAAATGAGGAGTTAGAGAGAACGTTGAGGTCAGGTTCTAAAGAGCCTAGAAGGACAGCCTGTGTGCACCTGATCCCACTGGTGGTAGGGAGCCATTGAAGGCTTGGGAGTAGAGGGGAGGGGTGGCAGATTGAAGCAAAATGCTGGAGCAGATCAGGACAGGGACATGGGAAGCAGGAGAGCCCATCTCACCAACATCTGTGGCCGTGTCTCTAGGCTTCCCTATGCTCTCAGCCTCTGGCCTTCCCTTGGGTTCTATGGGAGAGAACCTGCCGGTTGAACTTTACTCGGTGCTGCTGGCAGAAAACGCGAAGCTGCGGACGGAGCTGGATAAGAACCGCCACCAGCAGGCCCCCATCATTCTGCAGCAACAGGCCCTGCCGGTAAGAGGCCCTTGACCTGGGCCTGCCTATGCCGGTCACTGGGTGCCCAGAAATCACCCATGGTACAACCCAAGTTGAAGATCAAGACCAGGAGCTAAGCTTCCCAGGGTCTCCAGTCTGCCTGGGGGCTCCTGGAATCAGCTCTCAGGCCTTGGTCTTTTTCTCCTGCGGAATGTGTGTCCCCGAACACTTCACCTTTAACCTCATCTAGCATCCCAGGAGAAAGCAAGCCCCTTGTTGACCCTTGGTCCCTGAACCCTGACCCCTTTTTCACCTGGCTGGCCTCCACCTGGACCCTACACAGGCCTCTCAAAACTCCCTTCTGGAGCATTCCCTGGTCTTGGTGCAGCCTTGGAGAGCCCTTTTCCATCCCAGGTGGACCCCGGGGAGTTGGGAGCAGGAGGAGACTTGACAGAGAGGCTACAAGAGACGCATGGCCCAGGCCACTCAGAGTGCACAGAGACCCTGCCCGCACAGGTGGGTGGCCCAGGGCCCAGAAATGCCCAGGCCCTGCTCCACCTCTGAAGATGCTTCAGGGGCCCCTTGCTTTACATAAACCCCAAAGCAGAACATTTGGAATCACAGAATATTGGGCAGGGCAGGGGCACAGGAGAGTTTTCTCTCCATCCCAGGACTCGCCGGAGGTGAGTTCTGTTGAAAGCACACCTGACTCATGGACATCCAGGTAAAGTGTGAGGGATGAGGTCAACTGCCTCACAGGTTCTTCACTTCACTCAAAGACTCCCAGTGCGTTAATTATAGGGGGCTCCCTAATGCATTTTACATTAAAAAAAATGTTGTGTCAAAACTTCGTATTCTCAAAATCTGTGTGGGAAACAGCTGTGAAAAAAGCACATGCCAGACCCTGTTCTGAACTTCCAGAAGAGGGTTCGGCCCAGGTCTGACGCTCTGCCTCGGGAGCTCAGTCTGAACTCAGGCCTGACTGGTTTCTTCCTCAATACCTTATGGTTTCCCAAGCTCACACTGCCACAGCCTCCAGCTGGGGCCAAATGTGAGTTTGTGCTTTGCCCACAGGATCTCCTCTCTGGTACTTCAGACAAGTTCAACCTCCTGGCCAAGCTGGAACACGCTCAGAGCCGGATCCTGTCCCTGGAAAGCCAGGTGGGTGAGATGCAGGAGTTGATGAGGCTGGATCAGGCTCACCACACAGCCTATAACCAGGGCTCAGTGTGTGAGCAGAGTCTAGGCTCAATCTATGACCAGGATCAAGGCTTAGTGTGTGGCCAGGGTCGGGGTTCAGTGTGCAACCAGGGTCAGGGCTCAGTGTACAACCAGGGTTAGGGTTCAGTGTGTAACCAGGGTCAGGGTTCAGTGTACAACCAGGGTTAGAGTTCAGTGTGTTACCAGGGTTAGGGTTCAATGTGCAACCAGGGTCAGGGTTCAGTGTACAACCAGGGTTAGGGTTCAGTGTGTGACCAGGGTCAGGGTTCAGTGTACAATCAGGGTCAGGGCTCAGTGTACAACCAGGGTTAGGGTTCAGTGTGTGACCAGGGTCAGGGTTCAGTGTACATCCAGGGTCAGGGTTCAGTGTGTGACCAGGGTTAGGGTTCAGTGTGTGACCAGGGTCAGGGTTCAGTGTACAACCAGGGTCAGGGTTCAGTGTGCGACCAGGGTTAGGGTTCAGTATACAACCAGGGTCAGGGTTCAGTGTGCAGCCAGGGTTAGGATTCAGTGTGTGACCAGAGTCAGCGTTCAGTGTGCAACCAGGGTCAGGGTTCCGTGTACAACGAGGTTAGGGTTCTGTGTATGACCAGGGTTAGGGTTCTGTGTATGACCAGGGTTAGGGTTCAGTGTATATCCAGGGTCAGGGTTCATTGTGTGACCAGGGTCAGGCTCTGTCTATGACCAGAATCAGGGATCAGTGTGGACTCAGGATCAGAGCTCAGTATGTTGTTGAAATGTCCATCTGTGTCTTGGTCAGGCTGCCTGACTGTTTGGCCCCCTCACCCTCACCCCGCCACCCCTGAGGTCTCGGGAAGGTGTCAAGCCCACATGGCCCAGAGCTTTGCTTTCTGCCTGGACAGCAGGCTCAGGCCCTGGTTGTCCTGGCCATCAGGGATTAGCCCTGCTGCCCATGGTCCTCCAATTGTCCCTCTCTGTGTCTGCAGTTAGAGGACTCAGCTCGACGCTGGGGACGAGAGAAGCAGGATCTGGCCACACGGCTGCAGGAGCAAGAAAAAGGTTTCAGGCACCCCTCGAACTCCATCATCATAGAACAGCCTGTGAGTGACCCCCCTGGAGTAGCTCCCAGGGGTTCAGGTGGTGGAGCAGGAAGCCACCGCACCCCCAAAGTCACTGGGCCCTGAGAAAAGCCATTGTGGAGCCAACTCCAGGGCTGGGGGTCAGGAGTCCTAGGCTCCCATTCCTGCTCCATTACCAACCGAAGGCTCGGTCTTAATTCCCCCACCTGTCTAAGGGGAACAGAAAACCCCTGCCAAAACTACCCTTTCCCCCATGGGGTGCTGTGAAACTCAAGGAGATGACTGTGGATGAGGGGTCCATGCAGGCATCTCCAGGATGCCCTGACACTGTGCTTTAGGACTGGCTGCGCTCATGGGCAGAGTAGCTTGTGGCCCTACCCCCCTGAATCCATAGAGCCTAAGATTCTCAAATTAGCACACCCTTCTCAGATGGCCACGATGTAGGCTCCACTTTGCCAACTTCCCGAGAACAAACAGGCCTGCTCACAACTGCCCCTCAAGTTCAACCCCGGGACCGCCCAGCCCCGCAAAGCAAAGACCCTGACTTCTCCTGCTCTTGAGCCAGCTGTGCTTTGCCCGTGGCCAGAAGCTCAGCAGCGGCTCCTGGGAAAGGCCTGGAAAGGATGAGGGAACAGGCAAGGAACAAAGGCAACCTTTGCACACTCACCTGAGCCCTGGGGACCCTTGGAGAAATTAGGTGTCACCTGCTGTGGCAAAATGGGTTTAGAAATCTTTGCCAGGTCATGGCCCACTGGATTCTGGATACTCTGAGGCCTGGTTTGTCAGGCAATATGCCCTTGAGCAGGTCACCCCCTGGGAATGGGGGGTACTCACGCACCCCGCTTTGCACACCACAGAGTGCCCTCACCCACTCCATGGACCTCAAGCAGCCCTCAGAGCTGGAGCCCCTGCTGCCCAGCTCAGACTCTAAGCTCAACAAGCCCTTGAGCCCCCAGAAGGAGACCGCTAACTCTCAGCAGACCTGAGCCCCAGAGCAGGCCTCCTTCCCTGTGTGCTGGGGAGTCTCATCACCGCCCCCTAAAAATGACGTTATTAAATGTTGTAGCTCTGTGAGCATTTTCCTCTTTCCTGGAGCAGGGCAGCCTGGGGGCCCTGCTTCCTCCTCCTAGACCTCACTCTGGGCCTGGGCCTGGGTCTTCTGCTGCAGCCTTACAGCCTCCCGCCTGCCCCAGGAGCCAGCATCTTTGGAAAGCCAAGGGCCACAGTGGACCCAGGAGGGTGGAGAGAAGAGGCCTTCCAAAGCAGGGGCCAGGGAGACGGGCCCCTTCCAGACCCGGAGAAGAAGCAAGGCCACCAGAGACCAGCTCTGTTGGGAAATACGAGGGAGGCTTGTCCTTTTCATCTGCCCCAAAACATCTATCATGTCTGATATTCCTTCTTTCAAGTTTGGTTTGTCTGTCTCTTGGAAAGGGAAAGACTTGGAGGCTTGAAGCCTTCCTGTGGCAGTCACGTATCATTGTGAAATACTCCATTAAGCCACTAGGCTGAGCTGGCAATGATGTGTCCAAATGTAGCCGGGGCAGGAGAGCAGATTGGGCCAGGGGAAAGGAGGCACCTACAGGGAGTCAGGAGGCCCAGGTTCTGGGGGCAAACAGGCTGTGTGACCTCAAGGGACCCAAGCAACCTCTCTGGACTTCAGTTTCCCCATCTATTCCATGTAGAGCTTGACCTCATTGGCTGTAAGCCTCTTTCCAGCTATAACATTTCTGAGTCAAAGCTGACTCAGGACCAGAGAAGAAAAAGGACACAGGAAGGAAAGACAAAGACAACAGGGAAGAGGATTTTGTGGTGGGGAAAGCAGAAGGGCTCCAAGAGTGGATCCAGATCCCACAGCTTCGGGCAGGAGAGGCCAGGCCAGCTGGACCACTGGCCTCAGCTGGACTAGCTCCCCCACCTGCCTGCAGGACTTAGACTTGGATAGCCGAGGGCCAAGAGGAATCAGGTCAGGAGTTGGGAGACCCCAAGGGATTAGGGGGCGGAAGTCGAGACCAGTGTCATTCAGTCCAAATGACAAACCAGCGGCTCTGCTGCAGAATAGTATCCCCACCTCCCACCCTTGGACAAGGGGGCGCAAGCCCCCAGAGCAAGAACACGAGGCCTGGAGCAAGCCCAGAGGAGGCCCGGGAATGGTAAAGGAAGCAGGCTGGCCTCTCATCCCCAGTCAGCCACCTCACACCAGCCCTTCAGTAGCAGGGGTTCTCACCCACAGTTCTCGGCCTTTGCCATGCCCAGGACTCTGGCTGGGCCTTGGCAGGAAGTCCTCATGCCCCACAGGGAACTCCCACCCAGAGTTCACCCAAGCAGAGCCCTGTGCGAGCCTTACCCCTGTGGGGCAGGTCCACTCAGAAAGGCAGTACTGGCCCACACTTCTTGGGGCCACCCACAGAACTCCCCAGTTCTCCTTTGTCCTTCTGCCTGATGCTTCTGTAGCTCCTGGCACAGTAGCAGTTGCCTCCCCTCCTCTGCCCCACTCTGCCTCACCCCTTGCCCCAGGGAGCCTGGAGTTGATTCTGCTGGCTCCTGAACTGCCATGGGTGAGGGGGTCCCAGCAGAGGTGGCTTCAAGTGTGGCTACCTGGGGTCTCCTGAGCATGCCCAGATCCTGCTTTAACACAGGAAGCATCTCCACGGGAGTGATGAACACCTAATGAGTCTGATGGAACGCAAGACACCACATGGTTCAGCTGTTTATTGTCTCCATGGGGTGGGTGAAGAGGAGTGGCCCAGCTGAGCTGAGGAAGGTGACCACTGAGAACCCATTCAACCTGCTGAGCAGGCTGGGCAGAAAGGAGCAGGACTTGGGACAGACGACTGAAGATGCAGAGACCCCATGGGCCCCACCCCTGGGCCTTCCTCCCATGTGGCTGCAGGCCATCCTCTCTGATCACTGCTGGGTTGCTTCCTGGTTAAAGGGCCAGAAGGTGAAGGAGATGGGCTTTTCAGGCATCAGAATGAGGTTGAATGTGGTGCCCACATCGCTGAGGTGTTGGATTTCAACTCTGAAGTTCTCCAGCATCTGAGAAAGGCAGATGGTAGGTTTAGGGGAGGGCAGGGGAGGATCTGTCTCCCTAGCCAGGCCAATTCACCCATAGGCAGTGCCTGTGGAGTGTGATTTGAGGAGTTCCAAGGAGTTCACCACCAGCTCCTGGTGTAACCCTGCACAGTGCCTGATAATGCACCCTTAGTGCTGCATTTCCTTGATTTAGGCCTAGACCTTAACTTGTCTACAAACCTCAGTCCTATCCCATCCCATCACCACCATGGGGAATGGATGGCCAGGGGCATCAGTGGGTGATGAGTGGTTGAGCCCGAAAGAGGGGGCAGCAGAGAACTGTGGGAGAGAGCGAGAGCAAGTAACTGGAGGTAGATGCGCCCCAGCACTGACATCCTTGGGCTCTGGACAGAGATAGGAGGAGGAAGATTGGTGCCTTCATTAGGGCCAGGGCCAGCCCAGGGTGCCTAGATGTCCCCAGCTTGACTCACATTGATGAGGAAGATGGTCATCTCTAGCTCAGCGATCCGCCGTCCCAGACACTGCCGCACACCCCAGCCAAAGCCCAAGTTCCGGAAGTAGGTGATGTTCTTGTCTTTGCTCAGCCATCGGGTTGGGTCAAAATTTTCCGGGTCGAAGAAGAAGGTGGGCTCTCGGCCCAGAGCATAGATGGCCACTTGCACCAGTGTCTGGGGCAAGGTGATCAGAGGCCTGAGTAAGCCCCACTTCCCCACAGCCCTGAGCACAAAACCCCCTTCCCTAGTCCCCTGCCCTCTCACCACCACTCCCACTCCCCAGCATGGCTGCCCAGCTCTCCAGGGCAGGACATTCTGCCCACTGTGCAGCCTTGAACAAGGCCCCGCCCCTCTGTAATCCTTACCCACCAAATGGGGATGGCTGAAGACCCAAGGCCAGGATGATTGTCCCACCCTTTCCTCAGACCCAGGCAAATCATGAAGTCTCCCTCCTAACCCTGGGTTCCAATAACATCCTAGAGGTCACCGCCCACCATGCCCACCACCTCTGCCCTTCATTCAGACTTAGACTGCTGCCATCAAGGGCCCCACCAGGGCCCCAGTGCCACCCTCTGTCTGCAATTCCAGCCTGCCCCAGCCCTCTCTGACTGGCAGAGCCTGCAGCCTGCTGGCTGCACCTACCTTGGCAGGAATCATGTAATCTCGAAGAACCAAGTCATTTACAAGATATCTCTGCAGGGTCACGGAGATGGGGTGAAGTCTGCGGGAGGAGGGCACTCAGAAGCTGATGGCCCCAAAGGCTGGACACAGCCGCCGGAGCCCCACACCCTGTGTGGCATCTCAGCCCTAGCTGCAGCAGCCTGGGGGGACCTGGGGGTAGGGCCCTGGCTCTATTTCTTTCTCCTCCAGACTTTTCACTTCCTGCTTCCAACCTCCTCCACCAGCCCATCCTCGTAACCCTTTCCCCGGGCACTTCCCTGGCCCTGCCCAGGGATTGGAGTTGGGGGCGGCATGGGTGGTTGTGGGCTTGCCTTAGTGTCTCCTTGATGCTGGCTTTGAGGAGGGGGACCAGCTGTAGCATCGTGGCCATGTCTCCCTGGGCCTGGTGCCGCGCAGCCAAGACCTCTGCCCGCAGCATATCCTGCACCTTCAGGTTGCGTGCCATCTCATACAAGTGCCACTGCAGGGTCATGGACGTCTGGTGGGGAGTAGGGTATACAGAAGACCAGGAGGGCCTGTCACTCCGGGGCCCCTTGAGGTCCTTGACCCCATGGTAAATTTTCATTTCCAAGAACCTCTTTCTCCCCGAACCCCATCCCAGTCTCCAAGACCATCCTCTGCAAGAGCAAAACACATTCCATTGTCTAAAAGGCAAATGTCCAAGAAGCCTTTCTTGCCGGCCAGGCAGGAACATTCAGGGCAGCACTTGTCCCTGCCCTCGTCCCTCATGTCACCAAAAACCCACCCATGTCCACAGTGAGTAGAGTGTCAGCTACACAGCCAATGCCTTCTTCCAAAGAATTCCAGAGGCCCTTAGAGGCCAAATCCTTCTGTAATGATTGCACTCCAGAATGACTGCCATTCCTTTTGAAATGCCTTGTTAAACAACCACCCCTCTTTCCAGTAGAACTTCCTAAAACCTTAGGCTTCACCTATAGCAACATGGCTTCAAGTAAGGCTCAAAGAAGCTGAAACCAGACCAGCCGGATGTTTCCTATCAGTGTTGCAATTAGGGTGTGGTGTGTGTTGAAATTAATCAGCTAATCTCAACGTAAGCCAGAGGCTGTGACCACTAGCCCTTCGCCAGAGATCTGAGTGACCCTCATCAAACCCCACAGTCCCAGATTCCTCAATGATGACAAACCAGGCCCGTTTGGGACTCCAGCCTGGAGCAGCCCTCCCTCCTGGGGACTAGGACATGGGTTGTTGACACATTATCTTACCAAGGATCATATTTTTGTCCAACAGACTTAGACACCCACCTCCCTCCTCCTGGCAGGGGCAACAATGACAAGCTGTGAGGTACCATTTATTAAGCATATATTATATGGCAGGCAGGGTCCTAAGCTGTTTACATATGTTACCTCGTTTAATACTCACAAACAAACCTCTAAGGTATGTTACCATCATCCCCCTTTTTCAGATGCGGAAACTGAAACAACACACAGCTCCTTCTCAGCTTAAAATCCTTGCCTGGCTCCCCAGAGCCTCCAGATGAAATACAGAGGCTCAGGCCTGAGCCACAGGGCCCCTCAACACCTGCCTGCTGCTCCCCAATACCCCACTCCCCACCTCTCTCCAACACACACCTAATGTTCCAGCTACATGGAGTGGCACACAGCCCCTGAAGCCCAGAAGTCTTCCCCACGCTAGGTCCTCTTCCTGGAATTCCCTTCCCCGCCTAAGAAGGAAGGATGTGCTCCCTCTGCAAGACTCTAATCAAATGTGTGTATTCATCTCAGTACTGCCAAGGCCTGCCATAGAGATGTACTTGGGATTTAATAAGGTGGTTAACTATGTTACTAGCTGTGTGACCTCGACCAAGTTATTTAACCTCTCTGTGCTCTACTTTCCTCATCTGAAAAAGGGGGATGATGGTAACATACCTTAGAGGGTTGTTTGTGAGTATTAAATGAGGTAACATATGTAAACAGCTTAGGACCCTGCCTGCCATATAGTATGTGCTTAATAAATGTGACCTCACAGTAATCGTTTCTTTGGTGCCGGTGAGTGATTTTTGAAGATCTCTTCTACGTAATAGACAATGAACTATGTTTAAGGTATGCTCAAAGGCTCCATTTGCAGTCTGTCTCAGGGATGGAAACTCCTTCATCAGAGTGTAACACAGATATAATACCTGGGAATGAAAGTGATTCACCCAGGGGGCTTGACATGTGCTTCTCCCTAGTCCTGAAATGCTATTCCTTCTCTCTCCTCCTGGCAACAGCCTGCAAGACACGCACGTTGAATTTTAGCTCCTCTGTGGAGCCTTCTCCGTGTCCTTCATGGCCACATTAGCCACTCCCCACCTCTCAGCTTTGTCAGTGGCAGGTGCTTGCCTCTGTCACTGCAGTGTGCTATTCCTCCGTTCACACTGCTGCCTCCCTGTTATAGGCTGAGCTGTATACCCCCTCCCAAAATTCATCTGCTGAAGTCCTAACCCTCAGAACCTCAAATGTGACTATATTTGGAGATAGAACCTTTAAAGATTTTAAAGTAAAATGAAGTCCTTGAGGAGGATCCTAATCCAGTTCTGATTAGTGTCCTCATGAGGAGAGACAATTCTGACACAGACACAGAGGGAAGCCCATGTGAGACAGAGGGAGAAGACGGCCATCTACAAGCCAAGGAAAGAGGCCTTTAGAATGCACCAACCCTGCCAACACCTTGACCTTGAACTTCCAGCCTCCGGAACTGTGAGAAAATCAATGTTTGTTGTTTAAATCGCCCAGTCAATGCCATTTTGTTACAGCGGCCCTAGCAAACCAGTACACCCCTCCCCTCTGAGCCACGTGAGGACATTTGAGGTCTACTGTATTCCTTTTGAGATGGAGTCTCACACTACCACCTGAGCTGGAGTGCAGTGGTGCGATCTCGGCTCACCACAATCTCTGCCTCACGGGTTCAAGCGATTCTCCTGCCTCAGCCTCCTGAGTAGCTGGGATTGTAGGTGCCCACCACCAGGCCCAGCTAATTTTTTGTATTTTTAGTAGAGATGGGGTTTCACTATGTTGGCCAGGCTGGTCTCGAACTTCTGACCTCATGATCCGCCCACCTCTGCCTCCCAAAGTGCTGGGATTACAGGCATGAGCCACTGCGCCCGGCCAGGACTGATTATTCTTAATATCCAAAGAAAGAAGTTTCTAGGGTGCCATGCTGCTATGGAAAGAGCACTGGGGATGCCTCTGGGCGTTGGGGGCACCGTAGGGTACTGAGGTCTGGAAAGGGGAGGAGGAAGGACAACAAAAAGACCATGGACGGCAGAGCCCACAGCAAATGCCTCGGCCTCCCAATGTTTCCGGGCTCCTGCCTGCTTCCCTGGATTTGAGTGAGTGTGTTCTCCACCAGGAGCTGGGGGCATTGTCCTCCATCAGCAGGGCTCTGATAGAGCAAGCCTCCAGAGGGGACCTCCTCCTGTGGAGACTCTACGTGGAACCTGGACCTCACCACCATGCCCGGCCACTCCTCTCTCACAGGCAAAGAAAAATAGCTGATCATCCTCAAATCATGCCCTGGGTGACTTGACTTTGACCCCACCATCTTAGGAGATTAGCGCTTTGGAAATGGAGGCAAGGAGGAAGACATATCCTACATGAGTAGGAACGCCTTGAACAACAGGGTTTCAGACAACGAGGGGCCTGGTGGGGAAGGGGCACGTGGGCACAGGGGGCAACAAGGTGCCGCCCCTACAGCCACCTCACCGTGTCCACCCCTCCTGCCAGCATCTCTGTGACGTTGGCCTTGATGTCCTCGAAGGACATCTTGCTGTCTCCCAGGAGTCTGTAGAGGATGCCACGGTAATCGTGGTGAACACTTCCTTTCTGTCTCAATTCCCAGTAGAAGTTCTGGGTGTATATGTCAGCTGTGGGGAAGGAGGAAAGAAAAAAGAGTGAGGTTCCCTGCAGGCGGGTGGGAAGGAGGGCAGTCTGTGGTGAAAGGTGGCACCAAGGGCCTGGGGATTCCGGAGCCCTGTGCTTCTTAGGCTGCCGTTTTACTGAGCACGTACTCTGTACTAAGCCCTTCATATCTGTTTTTTCATCGAATTCTTGGGGTATGTGACATCATCCCCATTTTACAGATAACAGAGGTGCAGAGACATAGTCACTTGCCCAAGGTCACATGGCTGTAAGGGGCAGAGGTGGGATTTGACTCTGCCATACCCTGACGAGCCTTCTCCACCCAACCTTCCCCATCTCTCCCACCCAAGTCCCTGTCATCCAGCACAGCCGTGGCTCAGACACTGGTCCTTTGCCCTCTGGGGAGCATGAGCTCCTTTGAAGAAGATCACAGATGTCTTTGCTCCTCTTTTTCCAGAAAAATCTAATAATCCCCAACAGCCAGCCTTCCATCCGCCATTTCCAGGGGTCCCAGGGCCTTCCTGACACCCACGCCTGCCCGCCACAGTGTGGGTTTCCTACAGGTCAAGTCAGCGCCCATTGACATAGCGTGGGACAAAGGAGCCGGCTGAGGCCTGGGGCTCCGAGGAGGAGAGCACAGCCAGAGAAGCCCTCACCTTTACTGAAAATCACGTCCCATGCAGCCACATGGTCCTTCCAGGTCTTGGTCCTGAACAGACGGAACAGGTCTGGGGGAAGGTTGAGCATGGGGACGCTGGTGTGGAACATCTGGTAGATGGCATCAATGAATCGCTGGGCCTCGGGGTTCACTACTTCCTCCAGCATCCCCTGGCGCTCCCCAAAAATGACGTTAGTGATGGCTGCAGGGAGAGGAAGAGGCTGAGGAGCCATTTCTGACGGGGCCATCTGAGAGCCACAACTCCCAGGGACTCCTCCACCCTCACCTCCCTCAGCACAAAGGATCTCTTGCCCCTACCCTCAGCCTCCTTCAGTAAATAAATTGAGGCCTGAGTCCCAAAGGGCTAAGATGCAAGGCTGAGAAAGCTGACCTCTGGCAACCACACAGGTCCTGCAGAGGGGCATGTGGAGGACCTGAAAGGTGGGAAGCAGGGTCTCCAGCAGAGCTGAGAGAGGGCCTAGCCCAGGATGCAACTGCTCTGCCCAGGCTTCCACCAAGAGAGATTCCTCATCTGTAATTGGCTGAATTGGCTAAATACTTCCTGAAACAGGTCAGAAAGGAGACTGAGGGTCATAAATCCCTGGATAATTAACCATCCAGGACCTAGTCTTGCTGGACCTAAGAAGTTACAACAGCCTCAAGTTTTCCCCACCTACCAGGTGAGTAATTTGAATACTGATTTCATACAAAGCTCTGGGCACCCCAAATCTCTTGCTGTGACCACACAATCTTCATCAAGCCACAGGGCCTTTGTATGTGTGGTTCCCTCTACCTATACTGCCTGACTTCCTTACCCCATCTAGATAACTCCTACAGATTCCTCAATGCCTACCTCAGATTAACCACTGAACTCTCCTCTACCCTACCAGACTCCAAAGGTCTATGGCCCAGGAGGTGGAGACTTGCAGAATGAAGGTCCAAGCCAAGCTCTGGCTTTGGCGGATGGTGGCAATAGGGACCTGTACTTTGGGGACCCTTGCTCCTACAGCACAAATGCCAGATGAGAGAGAATGCCAGATGAGAGAACCCCAGAGCAAGGGGTCTCACTCTGTTGCCCAGGGTGGTCTTAAATTGCCTCTGAGTAGCAGGCAGTGGAGGACATGATCAGCGGCTCATCCCAGAAGTCAGTCTCAATGCCTCTGCAGGGTCTGTACTGAACCTCAAGGTAAGAGAGTGAACACTGAGTCCTCCCACCCCCATGCCCACTGCCAGCCAGGTGCAAGCCCCCTTACACTCAAAGGCAAAGCGGAACAGGTCATCACTGATGTCCCCCGAGTAATTTCCGGAGCCCGCCTTCTTGATGCGCCTGTGCAGGACACTGACGAAGTCCCGAGACACTGCATCCAACAGGGGCAAAAAGTTCTTGGTGGCCTCTGGAGCCATCACCTCCTGGTTCAGGGCCACCCGGTCTTTCTTCCAGGCTGCCGACTTCCTGAGAAAACATGGGCCCACAAGCCCTCATGGTCACAGACCCCAGGCCTGGTGAACACAGAGGGGGCTGACTCAGTTTTCCCAGGAAGCTGAGTCACAGCTCACAGCATCCAGCACTCCCACCAGGGCCTCTGCCCTCACCTCTCCGAGCACCCTCTGCCTCTCACCTCCTCCCTGCTCTGCCTGGCTGGGAGAAGAGAAAGGAAAAAAGAGAGTGAAGGGGAACAAAACTCCAACTCCCCTCCACTCCCTCTGCTGAGGGCCAGGAACTGATATTCTTAGAACCCTTTGTGTAACTTTCAGTCTCTCCAGTCTTTGCCTCAGCTGCAGGCATGCCTTCCATGCCACTCCCACTTCCTCCTGGCCGATGCTCACCTTTGACACTCCAGGGCCCCTCTATATAACATTTTCTGACTCTTGCACAAACAAAATTGACCAGCCTCTCCTCCTCTGCACCCCCAACACGTCCCATTACTCACTTCTGTCGGGGGACCTCAGGTGCCCCGAACTGGGTTGGTCATAATAAACCTTAATTCATGCACACTCTTGAAATTCATCAATCCATGCAAAGTCCTCTTCGTGACTTGGGGGTGTTTTTGTTGATAAGAATATTATCACAAACTTACCACCCACCATAGAAACTAGGAACTTGACAGTAACTTACACTTGCCCTCCTGGTCCTTCCACATCCTTTGTTCCCTTCTAAGGAGACCACCCACTAGAATCCCTTGCTCTCATTTGTGTCTAATTTTATCTGATCTCCATTTATTCCCAAAAGGTACTATTACAAAATATATACTAGTGTTTAACTTCTTTTAAAAAGCTGTCGGTCAGACACAGTGGCTCACGCCTGTAATCCCAGCATTTTGGGAGACCGAGGCAGGTGGATCACCTGAGGTCAGGAGTTCGAGACCAGCCTGGCCAACATGGTGAAACCCCGTCTCTACTGAAAATACAAAAATTAGCTGGGCATGGTGGCGGGCATCTATAATCCCAGCTACGCCGGAGCTTGAGGCAATAGAATCACTTGAACCCGGGAGGCGGAGGTTGGAGTGAGCCAAGATCGTGCCATTGCACTCCAGCCTGGGTGACAGAGCAAGACTCTGCCTCAAAAAAAAAAAAAAAAAAAAAGAAAGAAAGAAAGAAAAGCTGTCATGCTTTGCCAGACTTGCTTTTTTCACTTAGTTGCACCGTTCCAAGTATCATCTGTATTGCTGTGGGAGACTGAGTCCCTTCATTTTGACTGGTGTGTACCACAATTCACTCACTTATAATCCTATTGGGCATTTCAGTAGCTTTCTGGTTTTTAATATCATGAACGGTACCACTGCAAACCTTCTACTACACATCCCCCAAAGCAGGGATACTCTTTGGAGTATATACCTGAAATCAAACTGCTATGTCACAGGTATGCAAATATTCCATTTTAGGAGAAAATGTCCAACCATTTTCCAAAGTAGTGGCTCCAGTTTACACTCCCACCAGTAACAGATGAGAGCCCCAGTTGCTCTGTAGCCTTACCCACACTTGATATGGTTACGTTTTACCTTTTCTTTTCTTTTTTTTTTTTTTTTTTGAGACAGGATCCAGCTCTGTCACCCAGCCTGGAGTGCAGTGGTGCCATCTCTCGTCACAGCAACCTCTGCTTCCTAGGCTCAAGTAGTTCTCTGGCCTCAGCCTGCCAAGTAGCTGAGAACACAGGCATGTGCCACCACATCGGCTAATTTTTTATTTTTTATTTTTTGTAGAGATGGGGTCTCACTGTGTTGCCCAGGGTGGTCTTGAACTCCTGAGCTCAAGCAATCTGTCCGCCTTGGCCTCCCAAAGTGCTGGGATTACAGGCATGAGCCAATGCGCCCTGACCCTCATTTTACATTTTTGATGGGGTGGGTATGGTGGCTCATGCCTATAATCCTAGCACTTTGGAAGGCTGAAGCGGGAAGATTGCTTGAGCCCAGGGGTTTGAGACCAGCCTGGGCAACATGGCAAAATCTCATCTATACTAAAAATGTAAAAATTGGCTGGGTGTGGTGACACGCACCTGTAATCCCAGCTACTTGGGAGGCTGAGGTGGGAGGATCACCTGTGCCGGGGGGCAGAGGCTGCTGTGAGCCATGATCAAACCACTGCACTCCAGCCTGGATGACACAATGAGATCCCATCTCAAAATAAAAAAAAATTTATGAACAATTTCGTAGAAAACAGTATCCACTACACTTAAATACACTGATCTGTCCCCATGTAGGACAAATGTCTCACTGCCCCTTTAGCCTGTATGGGACTCACGGTGGCAGGTCCCTGCTCTATTTGTCACTGTATCTCCAGTTCCTGGCACAAGTCCTGATTCATCAAGGATGCTCAGTAAGGTGGGACTCAGTGAGCAAACCAGTCAGTGAGAACTTTGCCAGATCTTTAATTATTCATTAGGATCTTCAGCATGGCCATTTCCCTGAAGGCTGGCAGAGCAATTCATCATCATCATCATCATCATCACCATCATTTGTTTTAGGGAGGCAGGAAAATGACGGGGATTCACCTAGAGGCCCTGCTAGGAGGCACAGGGCAAGCCTGGCCTCAGCCCCTCACCCCCAGCCTCTGCCCTCTCCACAGCTCCCCACCACCTCCCTCCAGTCCCTGGGAGATGGCCCAGGACTCACTTCAACAGGACTCCTATGGGTCTCTGGTAATACTGGTGATAGGCGACCCAGGGCGGGATGAGGAATCGTTCTGGGTTGGGGCCCTCGGACTTAAAGAGAAGGGCCACATCTTCAGGGTCGATGACATAAACCGACTCCACGTTGCCGAGCTTCTCCCTGGAGGGGTGGGGGAGAGGGGCTGATGGAAGGATCCGAGGAGAGCTATGGATACAGGCTCAGCACAGCTGCCTCACAGTTCCACAACTTGCTGACTGTGGGACCTGAGTCGAGGCCCTTAACCCCTCTGAGTCTCAGTTTCCTCTTCTGTAAAATGGAGACAAATACAGTACCTGTCTCGCAGCGCTGCTGAAGGACAAGACAATAGGAAGTATATGGATGTGACCTTTGTTAAACATTCTACAAGTGAGAGCTTTATGATCACTGTTGCTGCTGTCCCACAGCACATCCCCAGGGCCAGCCCAAAGCCACCCCCGAGCCTTCCATGGACCAGCAAGTCCTCCACTCCTTGCGCATTCTTCCTGTGTCCACACCTACAGCAGCCCCAGCTTCTCACCTGTCCACAGAGCTCAGAACCATGGCACACTTTCATGTCACTGCTAGAGTGACTCACTATAGCTTGCAAGGTAGGCCATATTCCAGGCCAAATCCCTGTCAGACTCTACAACTGAAATTCTGAGAGTGGCCACCCTGACCCTAAGAGTCAGAGGCCACCCAACAACACGCTTTGTCTCTATTAAAATAAAACTTCAGTAAAACATCAAGCCCCAACATACAGGCAGGGGAGACAGGCTTGCAAATCACTTTGCAGACAATCTGTATTAAATACAACTGGGTTTTTGTTGTTATTGTTGTTTTGAGACAGGGTCTCTGTTACCCAGGCTGGAGTGCAGTGGTGTGATCACGGCTCACTGCAGCCCTGACCTCCCAGGCTCAAGCGACCCTCTCACCTCAGCCCGGCCAAGTACCTGGGACTACAGGCACCACCATGCTTAATTTTTGTGTTTTTTGTAGAGATGAGGTTTTGCCATGTTGCCCAGGCTGGTCTCAAACTTCTGGGCTCAAGAGATCCTCCCACCTCAGCCTCCCAAAGTGCTGGGATGGCAGGTTTGAGCCAATGTGCCTACCCACATACAACTGTTACATATGACTGGTGTTCTTACATGAAGAGATGAGGACACGGATACACAAAGAGGAAGGACCATGTCAACACACGGGGAAAAGATAGCATCTAACTCCAAGGAGAGAGGCCTCAGAAGAAAGCAAGCAACTCAGCCAAAACCTTGATCTCTGACTTCTAGTTTCCAGAACTGCCAGAAAATTAATTCTGTTGTTTAAGCAAAAAATAAGAAATAAAAATACAACTACTAAAAAACAACAGAAAATTCCACTTCTTGCTAGCCTCTGCCTTTTATCGAAGAAAATTAAGATACACTTTTAGGCAAAATAGCATAAAAACATGGAGATACAAGCCAAGTGTGCTCATGTGTGTGCATGTTCTCTCTCTCTCTCCTCTCATAGTGCTGCTTTAACCACTGAGCCAGAAAGCCTGGGCCTACCTTGATGAGTTTCAGGCCTTCACTTGTTCTGTGGCCTCCCAGAAAATCCCCTCAGTGTTTTTCCAGCTACCATGTGTCTTTGCACTAACTAGCTCCATACCCCTAACCAAGTTCAGCCAAGCCCTTGAACTGCTATTATCATGATCAATTCCACTTCTGGGAATCTAGCCCAAGGCAATGATCTGACATCAGCAACAATGCTTGATGGATAAGGATGTCCATTGCAGCCTCATGTCTAACAGCAAAAAAGTCAAGAGTAGGTTGTATGTTCACTTTAAAGAACCCGCGAAAAAAAAAATCCATACTGTGAACTACTATGCTGCCTTTTAAAATTATATTAGAGGCCAGGCACAGTGGCTCACACCTGTAATCCCAGTACTTTGGGAGGCTGAGGAGGGAGAGGGAGGATCACTTGCGCCCAGGAATTCAAGGCTACAGTGAGCCTATGATGGCACCACTGCACTCCACCCTGGGAGACAGAGCAAGACCCTGTTTCAAAAAAAGTAAATATTAATAAGATAGATCAAGAAAAAGGAAGAAGATATAAATAAACGAAACGAGATCTTTCCCCAGAAAAGTCTGAGGACCACTGAACATCACTTTCTCTTAAAATATAAAATAATTTTATATTAGAGAGAGAAAAAAGGAAAGAATTCCTTGATATATTGTTGTGAGACAACATAAGCAGCATATGTAGTATATTCACATACCTCATGATACTTAAATGTTAAATCAATTGGAATTGATTGTATCTGACTTCAATTTTTCATTTGTGTTTCTCTGTATTTTCTAAATTGCTCTGTATAAAACAAGAACAGCCTTTGTGTTAGGAAAAAAACCCACAAAAGTTGTATTTTAAATTCCTCACATTTATTCAGAAGTTTATTGTTTATTAGCTATAAGTTCAAGTATAATGACACACAGAGCTGGAAGTCAGACAATTCCAGTTCCTGCCCTGGCTTTGCTCTCATGAGTTGTGTGACATTGACAAGACCCTTCTTCTCACTGGGCCTCAGTTTCCCCATCTGTAAAGTGGGGAAATAATAACACCAACTACAGGGATATGTTGCAAGATTCAGATGGAAGTGACTCAGAAAACAGAAAGATAATTAGGGTCTGGAGGCAGGGAACATAAGGCCAATTCACACTTGAGCTGTGACAGGAAATATCCTCTCCATAGGGCGTATGCTGTAAATGACTTTGTAACTTTACTTCATCCTCTCCATTTACATAAGGCATATGGAATTAACCAATGGAATGCTCTAAGGGGTATTTAAACTCCCAAAAATTCTGTTAACGGGGCCCCTGAGCTCCTACACTCAGGCCCCTCCCACACCGTGGTGTGCATTTTCATGTTCAATACATCCCTTCATCCCTTCCGTGCTTTGTTTGTGCGTTTTGTCAAATTCTTTGTTCAAGACACCAAGAACCTGGACACCCTCCACCGGTAACATGTATTTTGGCCAGCCAGCCAGGAGGAAGAGGTAAGCCCAAAGTTTGGGATTCGTTTTTCTCCCTTTCCTTTCTGCTCCATACAGGAGCTCTCTCTTTCTCTTTTCTGTTCCAACTTGGGACCCTTGCTGGGCCCCACCTAAACACGGAGACAACTGCAGGTTTCTGGCCGTGGCCAGTGAAACTAAGGGGTTTCCACGTGGAGAAGCAGCCTGACTGCCACCGCCCGGTTCGCTTAAGGGACCTGGGTCTTTTTTATGTTTTTTTTCTCTTTTTTTGTCTCTTTCTATTTCAGTCTTTCAGCGGCTGTTTCCTAGTAGCTCCTTGGAAATTGAGGCTGGGGTCACCAGTACTGCCTGAAGGTCTACGAATGAAAGGGAATAATTGCGCTGCCCCAAAGCGGGAGGGACTTTTTTTAAAAATCTTTTTTGCCTATGGTTCCTGATCCCTACATGCGGTGCTGCTCGGAGCAAACTCATAAATGTTTCTGGGGGCTTAAACCTTACTTTCTTATGCTAAATTCTTCCCTTATAGTGCTCAACTAGCTAAGGACAAAAAAAGCCCACGCAGCATCCAGTTCACATTACAGTTCATGGCTACTCTTATAAAGTTCATAGTATGCTCCAGAGGGGAAAGCCTGCATGTGATGCCCACCTAAAGCCAGAGACGTCTGGGACCCTAAGATTGGACCCCACAGGAGGATGCTCTGTGGGTCCTGCGGACCCCAGCCACTCCAAAGAGGATGCTCTTGGCAGAGGTTCTGAGGTCTAGCCCTCCTTAGAATTTTCTCTCCGCAGTTGCAATGCTGTTTGGCCCCAACATTGTTTGGAATCTGAAGTTTACTGTTGAATTGGAAAGTGGAATAGAGTTGCATGTATCCAGGCTTTTGTGCTGCAGCTCTAAGCAGGGGGCCTGGTTAACATGTGACACCCTGCTTTGAAGTCGTGGGAGGTTTGGCCTTTAAAAATCAAACTGCCATGGAGACTGCTTTAGCCAAAATTTTGGTTCACAGCCTTCATTGGATTATCTGTTGGGGCAAAAACTGGCAAGCTTGTATTGCTATCTCATGGCTAAGGTTCCAAGCTATTGAATCTTCGTTTATGTGTGTGTATACATGTCTAGATGTGTTTATTTGTATGTACACATTGTTATATGTTGTGTCTACCAAATTGCCTTATAAGTAAAAGAGCACTCATAAATTAAGTAAATAAGTCTAAGCAATTTTCAAGTTCACGTGACTTAAAGTATAACTTTACTAAACAAGCTAGCTTTAAAATTATTGGTGGAATAAAAATAGAAATGCCTTCAGTATTATCAGTATACATTTTGTTTGAATTTTATGTTTGTCTTTGCTATCTTTTTTTTTTTTTTTTTTTTTTTGAGACAGAGTCTCACTCTGTCACCCAGGCTAGAGTGCAGTGGTGTGATCTCGGCTCACTGCAACCTCCGCCTTCTGGGTTCAAACAATTCTCCTGCCTCAGCCTCCTAAGAAGCTGGGACCACAGGCACACGCCACCACGCCCAGCTAATTTTTAAATTTTTTAATAGAGACAAGGTTTCACCATATTGGCCAGGCTGGTCTTGAACTCTTGACCTTGTGATCTGCCTGCCTCAGCCTCCCAAAGCACTGGGATTACAGGCATGAGCCACCACTAGATATTCTTAAATGTCAGTGAATTCAACCTGGGAGCTGCTTGGGGCGAGCCTGCCTCCCCTTCTATTCAAAGTCTCACTGAGATAAATGCATATCTGATTGGTTCCTTTGGAAAGGCTAATCAGAAACTCAAAAGAATGTAAACATCTGTCTCCCACCTGTGATCTGAAAGCCTCCAAGCCCACTCCTTGCCTTGAGTTGTCCCACCTTTCAGGACCAAACCAATGTTCATTTTACATATGTTAATTAGTGTCTCATGTCTCCCTTGTTAAAAGTAAAAATTGAGTACAGCAAATGGGATAAATGCTTTAGGTAAACTTTTTGTGTAAATTAAAACCTTAAAGTTATTTTTGGCACTCATTTAATATCTGGGTCATTTCCAAGTAAGAAAGGGTTGTGATATGGGGAAATATGTTTCTAAAATTGTGGAATTGTTCTTATCTATAAATGCCCATATCTGATATTTCAGGATTTCTTGCTTTTTAGGGTTTCACTAAAATTTTACATTACAAAGGATAAGGTTTCTAGTTAACACGTAATTCTGTATACAAAAAGTGCCTGAAAGGGTTATTACTAAAAAAAGGAAAGAATAATTTTGTCTAATTCAGAAGTTATCTAAAAGTTAGTTCAAGTTACAGTTTTGAAAAGGTTATTTATGAAACAATGTAGTAAGGAACCATTAAGTAGGGGAGAAAGATGAGGTACAGTTTAAATAATAAAATATTCTTTAAAACCTGATAAAGAATTGGAAACATTTGGCTAATTAACATTTTTATAGTTAAAGCTCTTAGTCTTGATTAAAGTAAGAAGTATTGTAAAAATGCATTGGCAGTTTGGCAACTCTTTTTTTTAATATAGTTAAGCATGAAGCTGGATTTAGTGTGGAACCAAATTCCACATACATGCTTACATTGCTTCATACTATGTTTACTGTTTTGCATGGATAGTGCTGGAGTACTTATTGGTCATACGCCTAAAGTGAATTTGTTAATTGCACAGGATGTATGATAATATTAGTGAACTTAAGGATACTGAATTGTGTATCAGGAATAAAATATTCATTATGTGGGTTTTTGGGGGCCCTATGTAACACTGTAGCCTCCAGGGTAAATTGAATAAGAAAATTTAGGGTTGGTTTCCTGCTTATTTGTTTTTGCTTCTAGTTTTCATTTGTTTGCCATTTGTTCTCCTCTGACTTTGCTTGTGTATGCATGTATATAAAAACCATGATTTTTCTTAGTTCCTAGTGGAAGGTTTTCATTTAGTTCTGTGTTCCTGTGCATTTCTAGCAAGTCATCATTCATTCCATTTTTCTGGAATTCCCAAGCTACCTTTGTTGGGCCTGCAGGAATTAATGGAGCATACTAGCTTTTTTATCCTTAAACTAACTTTTTGGATTTTAGGCTTCCTGATACTTTAAGTGTGTTGAGTATACTCTCACAAATAGAATTTTAGTCATATTTCTCTCACTCTGCCTAGTTTCTCCAAAATTTGTAAACTATTTATGAATATTCTTAATTCATTGCAATGTGTTTGTTTGCATACAGTCAAGCAGGGTCCCTGGGGCCACTCAGGGAGAGAATGTCAGGCCTCTGAGCCCAAGCTAAGCCGTCATATCCCCTGTGACCTGCACGTATACATCCAGATGGCCTGAAATAACTGAAGAATCACAAAGAAGTGAAAATGGCCTGTTCCTGCCTTAACTGATAACATTACCTTGTGAAATTCCTTCTCCTGGCTCTTCTGGCTCAAAAGCTCCCCCACTGAGCACCTTGTGACCCCCACCCCTGCCAGCCAAAAAACAACCCCCTTTGACTGTAATTTTCCATTACCTACCCAAATCCTATAAAACAGCCCCACCCCTATCTCCTTTTGCTGACTCTTTTCGGATTCAGCCTGCCTGCACCCAGGTGATTAAAAAGCTTTATTGCTCACACAAAGCCTGTTTGGTGGTCTCTTCACAGGGACACGCATGAAATTTGGTGCCATGACTCGGATCAGGGGACCTCCCTTGGGAGATCAATCCCCTGTCCTCCTGCTCTTTGCTCAGTGAGAAAGATCCACCTATGACCTCAGGTCCTCAGACCAACCAGCCCAAGGAACATCCCACCAATTTTAAACCCGGTAAGCAGCCTCTTTTTACTCTCTTCTCCAACCTCTCTCACTATCTCTCAACCTCTTTCTCCTTTCAATCTTGGCGCCATCTTTCAATCTCTCCCTTCCCTTAATTTCAGTTCCTTTCCTTTTCTGGCAGAGACAGAGGAGACGTGTTTTATCCGTGAACCCAAAACTCCAGCGCTGGTCACAGACTCGGGAAGACAGTCTTCCCTTGGTGTTTAATCACTGCGGGGATGCCTGCTTGATTATTCACCCACATTTCAGAGGTGTTTGATCACCACGGGGACACCTGCCTTGATCCTTCACCCTTAGTGGCAAGCACCACTAATTTGGGGGGCAAGCACCTCCCTTCTCTCCGTGTCTCTACCCTCCCTTTTCTCTCCACTTTCCTGGGGGGCAGGCATCCCCCACACCTTCTCTCCATGTCTCTATCCTCTCTTTTCTCTGGGCTTACCTCCTTCACTATGGGCAAACTTCCACCCCTCCATTCCTCCCTCTTCTCCCTTAGCCTGTGTTCTCAAGAATTTAAAACCTCTTCAACTCACACGTGACCTAAAACCTAAACATCTTATTTTCTTCTGCAATGCCACTTAACCCCAATACAAACTCAACAATGGTTCCAAATAGCCAGAAAACGGCACTTTCGATTTCTCCATCCTACAAGATCTAGATAATTCTTGTCATAAAATGGGCAAATGGTCTGAGGTACCTGACACCCAGGCATTCTTTGTTCCCTCCCTAGTCTATTTCCAATGCAATTGGTCCCAAATCTTCTTTTCCCTCCCACCTGTCCCTTCAGTCCCAACCCCAAGTGTTGTTGAGTCTTTCCAATCTTCCTTTTCTACCGACCCATCTGACCTCTCCCCTCATCCCCAGACTGCTCCTCAGGTCACTCCCCAGCCAGGCTGAATCAGGCTCCAATTCTTCCTCAGTTTCTGCTCCTCCACCCTATAATCCTTCTATCACCCCCTCTCCCCAAACCCAGTCCAGCTTACAGTTTCGTTCTGCAACTAGCCCTCCCCCATCTGCCCAGTAATTTCCTCTTAAAAAGGTGGCTGGAGCTAAAGGCATAGTCAAGGTTAATGCTCCTTTTTCTTTATCCGAACTCTCCCAAATCAGTTAGTGTTTAGGCTCTTTTTCCTCAAATATAAAAACCCAGCCCAGTTCATGGCTCATTTGGCAGCAACCCTGAGACGCTTTACAGCCCTAGACCCTGAAGGGTCAGAAGGCTGTCTTATTCTCAATATGCATTTTATCACCCAGTCAGCCCCTGACATTAGAAAAAAGCTTCAAAAATTAGAATCCGGCCCTCAAACCTCGCAATGGGAATTAATCAACCTTGCCTTCAAGGTGTACAATAATAGAAAGGAGGCAGCCAGACAGCAACACATTTCTGAGTTACAATTACTTGCCTCTGCTGTGAGACAAAACCCAGCCGCATCTCCAGCATACAAGAACTTCAAAACGCCTGAACTGCAGCGGCCAGGCATTCCTCCAGGACCACCTGCCCCAGGATCTTGCTTCAAGTGCTGGAAATCTGGCCACTGGGCCAAGTATTGCCTGCAGCCTGGGATTCCTCCTAAGCCATGTCCCATCTGTGCAGGACCCCACTGGAAACTGGACTGTCCAACTCACCCAGCAGCCACTCCCAGAGCCCCTGGAACTCTGGCCCAAGGCTATCTGACTGACTCCTTCCCAGATCTTCTCCGCTTAGCGGCTGAAGACTGATGCTGCCCAATCGCCTCAGAAGCTTCCTGGATCATCACAGATGCTTTAGGTAACTCTTACAGTGGAGGGTAAGTCCGTCCCCTTCTTAATCAATATGGAGGCTACCAACTCCACATTACCTTCTTTTCAAGGGCCTATTTCCTTTGCCTCCACAACTATTGTGGGTATTGACAGCCAGGCTTCTAAACCTCTTAAAACTTCCCAACTCTGGTGCCAACTTGGACAATATTCTTTTATGCACTCCTTTTTAGTTATCCCCACCTGCCCAGTTCCCTTATTAGGTCAAGACATTTTAACTAAATTATCTGCTTCCCTGACTATTCCTGGGCTACAGCCACACCTTATTGCCACCCTTTTCCCCAGTTTAAAGCCTCCTTCACATCCTCCCCTTGTATCTCCCCACCTTAATCCACACATATGGGACATGTCTACTCCCTCCTTGGTGACTGATCATGCACCCCTTACCATCCCATTAAAACCTAATCACCCTTACCCTGTTCAATGCTAATATCCTATCCCACAGCATGCTTTAAAAAGATTAAAGCCTGTTATCACTTGCCTGTTACAGCATGGCCTTTTAAAGCCTATAATCTCTCCTTATAATTCCCCCATTTTACCTGTTCAAAAACCAGACAGGTCTTACAGGTTAGTGCAGGATCTGTGCCTTATCAACCAAATTGTTTTGCCTATCCACCCCATGGTGCCAAACTCATATATGCTCCTATCCTCCATACCTCCCTCCACAACCCATTATTCTGTTCTGGATCTCAAACATGCTTTCTCTACTATTCCTTTGCACCCTTCATCCCAGCCTCTCTTCACTTTCACTTGGACTGACCCTGACACCCATCAGGCTCAGCAAATTACCTGGGCTGTACTGCTGCAAGTCTTCACGGACAGGCCCCATTACTTCAGTGAACCCCAATTTCTTCCTCATCCATTACCTATCTCAACATAATTCTTCATGAAAACACACATGCTCTCCCTGCTGATCACGTCCAGCTAATCTCACAAACCCTAACCCCTTCTACAAAGCAACAATGCCTTTCCTTCCTAGGCATGGTTAGATACTCCACCTTTGGATACCTAGTTTTACCATCCTGACTAAACCATTATATAAACTTAAAAATGCAAACTTAGCTGATCCCATAGATCCTAAATTCTTTCGCCACTCCTCTTTCTGTTCCTTAAAAACAGCCCTAGAAGCTGCTCCCACACTAGCTCTCTCTAACTCATCCAACCCTTTTTCATTACACACAGCTGAAGTGCAGGGCTGTGCGGTCAGAATTCTTACACAAGAGCCAGGACCGCGCCCGGCAGCCTTTCTATCCAAACAACTTGACCTTACTGTTTTAGCCTAGCCCTCATGTCTGTGTACGGCAGCTGTCGCTGCTTTAATACTTTTAGAGGCCCTCAAAATCACAAACTGTGCTCAACTCACTCTCTCCAGTTCTCATAACTTCCAAAATCTATTTTCTTCCTCACACCTGATGCATATACTTTCTGCCCCGCTCCACTACCTCTCAGCAAGCTGAACTCATTGCCTTAACTGGAGCCCTAACCCTTGCAAATGAATTACACGTCAATATTTATACTGACTCTAAAGATGCCTTCCATATCCTGCACCACCATGCTGTTGTATGGGCTGAAAGAGGTCTCCTCACTACACAAGGGTCCTCCATCTTAATGCCTCTTTAATAAAAACTCTTCTCAAGGCCGCTTTACTTCCAAAGGAAGCTGGAGTCATTCACTGCAAGGGCCATCAAAAGGCATCAGATCCCATTGCTCTGGGCAATGCTTATGCTGATAAGGTAGCTAAAAAGCAGCTAGCATTCCAACTTCTATCCCTCACAGCCAGTTTTTCTCCTTCTCATCGGTCACTCCCACCTACTCCCCTACTAAAACTTCCACCTATCAATCTCTTCCCACACAAGGCAAATGGTTCTTAGACCAAGGAAAATATCTCCTTCCAGCCTCACAGGCCCATTCTATTCTGTCGTCATTTCATAACCTCTTCCATGTAGGTTACAAGCCACTAGCCCACCTCTTAGAACCTCTCATTTCCTTTCCATCATGGAAATCTATCCACAAGGAAATCACTTCTCAGGGTTCCATCTGCTAGTCTACTACTCCTCAGGACCCTCCCTTCCCTACACATCAAGCTCAGGGATTTGCCTCTGCCCAGGACTGGCAAATTGACTTTACTCACATGCCCCAAGTCAGGAAACTAAAATACCTCTTGGTCTAGGTAGACACGTTCACCGGTTGGGTAGAGACCTTTCCCGTAGGGTCTGAAAAGGCCACCACGATCATTTCTTCCCTTCTGTCAGACATAATTCCTCGGTTTGGCCTTCCTACCTCTATACAGTCTGATAACAGACCAGCCTTTATTAGTCAAATCACTCAAGCAGTTTCTCAGGCTCTTGGTATTCAGTGAAACCTTCATACCCCTTACCGTCTTCAATCTTCAGGAAAGGTAAAACGGACTAATGGTCTTTTAAAAACACACCTCACCAAACTCAGCCTCCAACTTAAAAAAAGGACTCTGTCAAGAATAGAGCCCAAAAACTCACCAACCAAACAAGTAATTACACTGAATCCCCTTGGGCACTCTCTAATCGGATGTCCTGGGTCCTCCCAATTCTTAGTCCTTTAATACCTGTTTTTCTCCTTCTCTTATTCAGACCTTGTGTCTTCCATTTAGTTTTTCAGTTCATACAAAATTGCATCCAGGCCATCACCAATCATTCTACATGACAAATGCTCCTTTTAACAACCCCACAATATCACCCCTTACCACAAAATCTTCCTTTGGCTTAATCTCTCCCACTCTAGGTTCCCACACTGCCCTTAATCCTGCTTGAAGCAGCCCTGAGAAACATTGCCCATTATCTCTCCATACCACCCCCAAAATTTTTGCTGCCCCAACACTTCAACACTATTTTATGTTATTTTTCTTACTAATATAAGAAGACAGGAATATCAGGCCTCTGAGCCCAAGCTAAGCCATCATGTCCCCTGTGACCTGCACGTATGCACCCAGATGGCCTGAAGTAACTGAAGGATCACAAAAGAAGTGAAAACGGCCTGTTCCTGCCTTAACTGATGACATTACCTTGTGAAATTCCTTCTCCTGGCTCATCCTGGCTCAAAAGCTCCCCCACTGAGCACCTTGTGTCCCCTGCCCGTGCCTGCCAAAGAACAACCCCTTTGACTGTAATTTTCCATGACCTACCCAAATCCTATAAAACGGCCCCACCCCTATCTCCCTTCGCTGACTCTCTTTACGGACTTAGCCCACCTGCACCCAGGTGATTAAAAAGCTTTATTGCTCACACAAAGCCTGTTCAGTGGTCTCTTCACAGGGACACGCGTGAAAGAGAGAACCCTGAAATCTGGCATGCCGGTGAAAGGATAAGAATTTCTTATGAGTCAGTCTCTGGGCTCTTTCCCTCTATGCAAACTGGTTAAATATAAAGTAGAAGTCACGTATATCTCCTCTGTAAGATTTTAAATTAATTGGTTTAATAATAATAAAAGCTTAAGTCAAATATTTTGTCAGAAAAGTAGAAAGTGTAATGCCTTTTAGTTCATGTGACTTTAGCAATAGTTGGGAAATAAAGACAGTTTTCAAGATTATTGGAAAAATACAGTTGTCTTCAAAATGTAAACATGTGGTGTACATTATGTTCAAATACTAGGTTTGCTAAATCCTTTAACATCATAAGCTACTCCTTTGGCTTTTGAAAATTGTTTAACTTGCCTGCTTTCCAGCTAGGTAAGGCCTGGGGACACGTGGAGTTAGCCATGCCCCTAGCTGTGCTGGAAGTAGTCAAACCTTATCAGAAACTTTATCAGAACTTACCAGTTTTTTTTGTTTTTGTTTTTGTTTTGACAGAGTCTCACTCTGTCCCCCAGGCTGGAGTGCAGTGGCGCAATCTCGGCTCACCCACAATCTCCATCTCCCAGATTCAAGCAATTCTCTGCCCTAGCCTCCTGAGTAGCTGGAATTACAGACGCCCGCCACCACACCTGGCTAATTTTTTATTATTATTTTTAGTAGAGATGGGGTTTTACCATCTTGGCTAGGCTGGTCTTGAACTCCTGACCTCATGATCCACCCGCCTCGGCCTCCCAAAGTGCTGGGATTACAGGAGTGAGCCACCGCGCCTGGCCTAACTTACCAGGTTTTATGTTAAAATTCGCCATTATAGGCCAGTCACAGTGCCTCGCACCTGTAATCCCAGCATTTGGGGAGGCCGAGGCAGGTGGATCACCTAAGGTCAGGAGTTCAAGACCAGCCTGACCAACATGGTGAAACCCCCATCTCTAGTAAAAATACAAAATTAGCTGGGCAAGGTGGTGCCTGCCTGTAATCCCAGCTACTGGGGAGGCTGAGGCAGGAGAATCATTTGAACTCAGGAGGCAGAGGTTGAAGTGAGCCGAGATCATGCCATTGCACTCCAGCCTGGGCAACAAGAGTGAAACTCTGTCTCAAAAAAAACAAATTTGCCATTATAACATGCAATTAAGACTACTAGAAACAGTTTTACATGCAAGGTGTATAAGAACAGTAGAAAGTGTTGGGGGTTTTTTTGTGTGTGTGGAAGGTTACAAAAGGTTTTTGCTTCTTTAAAATTTCTGAGTCATCATTTTGGCAAAATAAATAGTTTACGGTAATCTGGAATTCCAAAATCAAACTTCAGTTTCAAAATTGTCTTTCCTAATGCCTGGCTTTCTAGATGAATCAGAGGGCCCCTGAAAACATCCAGAAAAGAGGTAAACAGGATTATTTGACATGTTTAGGTACATGGGATTGACAAAATGATGTTAAATCTTCTTTAGGTTATATTTTTGTGAATAATATATTCCAAAATTGTATGGGATTTCTCAAATTCTAATGTCTAAGTATATGTTACCAATCACAATTATAATTATGTTAAGTTATTGTAAACCACAAAAATGACCAAATTTTCTTGTATAAAGCTACTAACCCACGTAAAACAACAACAACAAAAAATTAATTACATATCAAGAAAAGACTTTCATGTTAAACCAGCTAATACTGAAATTGTTTAAAATAGTTTATAACCTGTCGCTTTGCAGATGCCGTCACTGCCACCAGGAGCCCTGTACTATCAGCCATGGTCAACCCCACCGTGTTCTTTGACATCGCAGTCACGGCGAGCCCTTGGGTCACGTCTCCTTTGAGCTGTTTGCAGACAAGATTCCAAAAACAGCAGAAAACTTTCATGCTCTGAGCACTGGAGAGGAAGGATTTGGTTATAAGGGTTCCTGCTTTCACATAATTATTCCAGGATTTATGTGTCAGGGTGGTGACTTCATATGCCATAATGGCACTGGTGGCAAGTCCATCTATGGGGAGAAATTTGATGATGAGAACTTCATCCTAAGGCATACACGTCCTGGCATCTTGTCCATGGCAAATGCTGGATCCAATACAAACGGTTCCCAGTTTTTCATCTGCACTGACAAGACTGAGTGGTGGATGGCAAGCATGTGGTCTTTGGCAAGGTGAAAGAAGGCATGAATATTGTGGAGGCCACGGAGCGCTTTGGGTCCAGGAATGGCAAGACCAGGAAGAAGATCACCATTGCTGACTGTGGACAACTCTAATAAGTTTGACTTGTGTTTTATCTTAACCACCAGACCATTCCTTCTGTAGCTCAGGACAGCACCCTCCACCCCATTTGCTCGCAGTATCCTAGAATCTTTGTGCTCTCGCTGCAGTTCCCTTCCATGCCTAGCTGGACTGCAGAGTTGAGTTAAAGTTTATGATTATGAAATAAAAACTAAATAACAACAAAAAATTGTTTATAACCAATGCTTGATCCCATATTCCTAGGAAAACAATTAAAGCTTCAGGTATATTTGGTCTTCTGGTCAGCCATTTAAACATTTTATAAAGGGATTTCATTCCATTGTTATTTTCCATGCATGTTTTCTGGTTGTAGAAAAGCTTTCCCATGCAAGAGGGCTGATGTTATAACAGTAGATTATTATGCTACAGTGTATTTTCACCAGATTAAAAAAAAAAGCTTTTTATGGTTTGAATCTGCTGGAAACATCAGAGAAAGACTGTCCTTGCCATCTACACTATAACAAAACTTCAGGACCTTGAACTTTGGGTTCATAATCTCACAACTGAGAAGGGCCCCTCCATGCTCTTGGAGCTGTGCACCCACTGGAATGCTTAAGGTAAAACTAACTAGGGAAATTTCTCCCAAGAAGAAGATGACATCATTGATGTGAACAGCTTTTCCCAAGTTCACAGATTAAGACTTCTACTATCATGAAACTCTTATTTTTGAATATTTTTTCTTGCTTATGCCTTCTACGAACAATAGAAGTGGAAAAGGGGTCTGTTATGTGCACTTATGGGGAACATTTTTATTTGTGAAGGAGTTTGCAGCCAGCCTTATACATGGATAAAGGCCCAATGTATGTAAGAAACTTTAATGGTAGATGTGTTAGCTCATAATCAATCAAAAACAAAAAATTGATTCACTCCACATAACCCACATCGTGGGTTAAAGAGAACATTGCCAGAAGTCCTTCACTCTTCTGAAAGGGCATCATTTGTTAGGTCCTTTTTCCATGGTTTAAAGTAAAAGAAGCAATGATTAGAAATGTATCCCTCATGATAGGTTCCATAGCAAATTCTACTCTAAAGGCTACAGACTCTAAATTCTCTTGTGAAAGTTATAATAGAATTGGCTAAACAGCGAAGTATCTGTGCAGCTGCTGGCACTTGTGGCCTATACAGAAATACATCAAATGAAGACTATAGAAATTCAGTGGTAGGAGACTGACAAAGAAATTGATTAGTCAAGTCTCTCTCTGTTGCCCAGGCTGAAGTGCAGTGGCGTGATCTTGGCTCACTGCAACCTCCGACTCCCAGGTTCAAGCAATCCTCCTGCCTTGGCCTCCCAAGTAGCTGGGATTACAGGTGCACGTGACCACACCCAGCCAATTTTTGTATTTTAGTAGAGATGGGGTTTCACCACGTTGGCCAGGCTCATCTTGAACTCCTGACCTCAAGTGAGCCACCTCACCCAGCCGTGAGTAAACTGTATCTAGCTCATTCTTAGATCCATTTGATTTTAGGAGGTTTGGTTTATGGGGACCTTGGGTAAGGAGTATACTCCCAAATTCTTGGTATTATCCTCCTAATAGCCATAATAATGGTCTCCCTGACGAGCTGTATGCTCTCAAAGGTTTTAAATGCTTGCATGAGCCATCTCTAGAATGTCATATGGTCTCTCTTCAACTGGAATAACAGGAGCTCAAAGAAATATGCAACCATGAGGACACCATAACCTATAAATGACATGCTGAGACCAGAAACCCAAAATGATGGTAACTGAGAGTGGCACTGAGGCCCTAGGTTTTGGTCACACTCTCACCTAAGTGAAAACCTGATCAAAAAGGGAATTTTTTTCAACAAAATTCTGGGAGGCCGTTGTTTTGGACTGATCTCATGCACTAGGCCCCAACAAACCAAACAAAACCAAAATGGGGCCACTCATGCCAAGACTTTAAGGAAACACATAGATTCTAGAAAAGACTAGGTTTTGTTTTTTCTTCTGCAAATCACTACAACAAACATTTCTGACAGTATAGGTATCCACCCCCTAAAGTTTCCATTAAATCTTTTAACCAAATTCATTTCCTCTCACCTAGAGACCATCAAGCTTCAGATGATCATGTAACAAAGGTTCCAGCCAGTTCCAAGTGAAGACACCACCCCTGGACATCAAGAAGCTACCCTTCCTCCACTAGATAGAGCAGGGTGAGAGTTCCATGATCCCCAATAGGTAGGGACTATGCCCCAAGCCAGCATGAAGCAGTTACAGAAAAAAGACCATCGGTCCCTCTGCCTCCCATAAAGATTTATGGGGATCACATCTCTTGAAGGGGCAGATGAGGCAGGAAAATAGGGTCTGAAGTGTGAAGATCGATTCACACTTCAGCTATAACAGGAAATATCCTCTCCATAGGGTGTATGACTATGTAACTTGAATACTTCATCCTCTCCATTTACATAAGGTGTATCTGAAGTAACCAATGGAATCCTCTGGGGGTAAATGCCCCACAATTCTGTAACGGGACCTTTGAGCCCCTACGCTCCGCCTGCTCCCACACTGTGGTGTGTATGTTCATTTTCAATAAATCCCTTCATTCCTTCCTTACTTTGTCTGTGCATTTTGTCCAATTCTTTGTTCAAGACGCCAAGAACCTGGACACCCTCCACCGGTAACAAAGGGGCTTAATAAAATAAGGAGTTGCTACTGAGGGTCTAGGAAGTGGTGAAAAGGGAAGAGAGGAGGAAGCAAGGATAACTAGAGATCTATGTGAAGTGAGCACGGGACAGAAGCACTAATAGGCCTAGGAGAGAGGGGGAGGAAGGAGAGACCCAGCGGGGCGCAACCTCCCAAGCCCAGCACTCAACCTTGAATAGGGTGGGGTGCGGGGTGGGGGGAGCTCCCTGCCACCAACCAGCTATCAAAAGGGGCAGTTTGGACTTTAAAGGAGTTGTGAGAGAGGGAGGGAGCAGCTGAAGCCCCAACACAAACTAGCCTGCCTTCTCACCCACCCCCAGCCCAGTCATCAAGCCGGCCAACACATCTTACCCTTCCCTCTTCGTGACTGACCCATTGGAATGCTCTGAGTTGTAAAGACCTTTCACTTAAAGGAAAACGTACTGTCCCTCCTGGTCTCCCCTCCCAGCCCCCAACCACCCCTGCGCCACCTCCGTTCCCTCTCAACCGGACTCTTAGCAAAGAACCCAGGTGTGGCTGAAAGGCTGCCCACCGTGGGAACAGCTTTAGCAGTTTTCCCAGGAAAAAGCCACAAGCCCTGGAGGCACAGAGGCCCAAAGACAAAAAAAAAAAAAAAAGGCCTTTCCTCCTAGCAGGAAGCAAGCCCGATTCTTGGGAAAGGGAAGGGACAGACTCAGAGCCTCAGGGCCAAGGGGTGAGATCCAGCACCCCAGCAGGACAGGAATCTAGCTGGGTGACCTCTCTGAGCCTCAGTCTCCTCCTCTGACCATGGGGACAACAAACTTCGCTTGCAAGGTGTGCGGAGGGTAACGGATGTAGGGAGGCATTTAGTAGGGCTTGTTCTCTAACCACCTCTCTCCGAGAGTTTCAAAGGGAGTGGGATCTGGGGAAGGTTGAGGCCTCAGGCCTGGGAACTAGGAATACTTTCCCTTTTACCCACCACCATCCCAGGCCTGGAAGAAGATCAGAAGTTGGACAGGAGAGGTCCGGCCGCGCGGACGTCACCTTAGCGCGCCACTGTCGGCTCCGGTGGGCTCGGGTGAGCTCGGGTGAACGCAGCGAGCGAGGGCAGAGGCCAGCAGAGGCGAGGAGTGGATGCTGCAGGGCCGCAGGCCGGGCAGAGAAACGCATACCGGGTCGCTCCCTGCTTCGCCGCCGCCTCCTGGCAGGGCCAGCGAAGCCAGTGCTCCAGCGCCCCCGTAACACCTCAAAGCGCACGGAGTCCGTGTTGGGGAACTTGGCGGCAGAGTGACTGGGACCTAGGACCTGCGGTGGGGCCGCCGCCGCCTCCGCGGGGCCGAGCGCCTGGACCTCGCCCTGAGGTAAACGCGGGTCGACCCGGGGGGCGGATGGGCTCGGGCTGTGTCGAGGGGAGGCGGAGGTGAGCGACCCGCGAAGAGCGCAGGAGCAGGCCGGGGGCCACGCTAGGGCGGACCCAATTTCGGAATAGCGCGGCCCGGGCGGCGGCGTGCGCTGGGAGGAATGCTGGGTCTGTCGCTAGCGCCAAACTTGACCACGCTGCGACCTTTTCACTCTGTGCTCTGACCTTCAAATCTCCCTCCCCCGATTTTTTTTTTTTTTTTTTTTTTGAGACAGAGTTTCGCTTTTGTTGCCCAGGGCGGGAGTGCAGTGACATGATCTCGGCTCACTGCAACCTCCACCTCCTGGGTTCGGGCGAGTGTCCTGCCTCAGCCTCCCGAGTAGCTGGGATTATAGACCCCCGCCACCATGCCCGGCTAATTTTTTTTATTTTATTTATTTATTTATTTATTTATTTATTTATTTTTGTAGTAGAGACAGGGTTTCACCATGTTGGCCGGGTTGATCTCGAACTCCTGTCCTCAAGTGATCCGCCTGCCTCAGCCTCCCAAAGTGCTGGGATTACAAGCGTGAGCCACCGCACCCGGCCTTCTCCCAATTTTTAAAACTCGCTGGCTGGGCTGACAGCTACAGGGCCAGGAATTCAAAACTTAGCCTCACCAGTCTCCCCTCCTCAGACCGAGGAGGTTGTTTTGTTTTGTTTGAGACAGAATCTCACTCTGTCGCCCAGGCTGGATTGCAATGGTGCGATCTCGGCTCACTGCAACCTCTGCCTCTCCGGTTCAAGCCATTCTCCTGCTTCAGCCTCCCGAGTAGCTGGGATTACAGGCGCCTGCCACCACACCCAGCTAATTTTTGTATTTTTAGTAGAGACGGGGTTTCATCATGTTGGCCAGGATGGTCTCGAACTCTTGATCTCAAGTGATCCGCCCACCTCGGCCTCCCAAAGTGCTGGGATTATGGGTGTGAGCCACCATGCCTGGCCAGACCTGGGGTTTGGACCCATTAAAGAGCTTCCTTACAGATGGCTGGCGGTCTTGCCACCAATTGTTTCAAAAGTAGATGTCTGGTTTAGAGTACTTAAGACATTCACAGATTCAAATGTTGAATTTTGAAATATCCCTGATATATTTCTGTATTGTATTACCAAAAAAAAAAAAAAAAAAGAAGTTAGACAGGAGTTTGGAACCAGAGAACAGCCTGTTGGGGGAGTGGGGACTACAGCAGGGCTACCCAGGCCCCTCCTCCTCCCTGTCCCTTCGGCTCCCACCCTCTGCCAGGCTTACCTGTAAATCGGGCCATACTTCTGGAAATTCTGGACATGGTGAAGGTGGACTTTGTGTGTGCCCGTCTCCCTCCAGAAATGGTACAGGTTTAGCCAGCCATTGTCACCAGGAGAGGGGATCTCATTGAAGGGGCGAGGACTGCGGGTGGAGATGCCAGCTCCCTCGCCAGTGGGCACCCTGAGACGCCCCAGCCCCTCCCTGGGGGCACTCAGAAAGGTCTGGCAGCCTTTGACCAGGACTGAGCGTGGGGGAAGACCCTTGGCCAGCATGCTGTCCCCACAGCTGTGACTGTACCTGCTCCACTTCAGCGGGGACTGCTAGGATGACTGTAGCCCTGGGCCACCAGGGCCAAGATTATAACTACCAGCTCAAGGCCATACCAGAAGCTGATAAAATGTTCACGTCCTTCCTCCTGCTGCAGGCTCAAACCCGCAGACAGCTCCTCCCCTACTCGGTATGAAGGTTCAGTCTGGAATTTCTGCAGCGTGAGGTTCTCCAAAGGACAGGGAGACCCCTCTGTCTCTGCCCTCAGTGCCAGCCCTAGCAGACTCCTGAAATATCTGCCTGTGCTTTTGCCTGAGCTGGGGCCTCCCACTGGCCCCTGCAGCGGAGTCCATGCCCTGGCAGCCATTGGTCAAGACTGCAGACAACCTGTGTTTGGGGGAAATGAGGGGCCCAAGAGAAGGTCAGAGCTATCTTGCCAGCTTGGGCAACATACGTCTTAGTTATGGCCCCACTGTATAGACACACATCATTGAACAACAGGGATAAGTTCTGAGAAATGCATCCTTAGGCTATTTTATTTTATTTTATTTTATTTTATTTTATTTTATTTTAAGAGAGTTTCATTCTTGTTGCCCAGGCTGGAGCGCAATGGCACAGTTTCACCTTGGAACCCTAATCCTCGTCGTCTCTCCCCAGTTGACCCAGATTTGGGGCTGTAATTCAGTACAGCTGACTCAGAGGGGCTCTGGGTCCCTTGAGCTGAGGTCTGTGGTCAGGCTCCACTCTGGACACACTCTAAGACCTTGGCAAATCTGGTTGCCATGGAACTCAGGATGTCAGCTCTTCCCTGTCCACACACTTGATCTGTGCTGCTTTCCCCTCAGAGCTGCTTCCATACCCCCTCCCATCATATCATATCCCCAGACCCATCCTTCCAGCCCAGGTCAGCCCCCACACCCACCCCCCATCACCCTGCACCTACCACTTTCCCAAACAACAAGGGTCAGTCACCTGTAGAGTTTTCAAGTCATTTCAACAAAATTACAGCCCACTTGGTAAAAATGTGTAGGTCAGAAAACATACATGTGCCATGTAGAGCATTTCATGACAGCAATCTACACTATACCTTATACTTATCATTGGAAGGTACAACTTCTTGCTTTTTTTCCCCAAAATCTTATTTTCTGGCAAATAAGGCATTTAAAACACACATCTAAGAGACAGAAAATAGACTGGTGGTTGCTTAGAGCTAGGGGGATAGAGGAATTAGAGGATGGGACATAAAGTGTGTAGGGATTCTTAGGATGATGAAAATGAAAATATTCTAAAGTATATTGTGGTAATTATTGAACAACTCTCTGATACACTAAAAGCCATTGAATTGCATACTTTAAATGGGTGAATTGTATGGTGTGTGAATTATATCTCAATAGAGCTGTTACCAAACACACACACACACACACACACACGAGTGACATCCTCCTGGCCTCTTCTGTTGTATGTGTCAGCCCATAGATCACCCACAATGGCAAAAGTTGTCCTTACACAGCCACTTGACCCCAGACTCCAATACTGTTGAACCACTTTCAACAAATTTAGAGCAACAGTTTTTAGAAGAAAAAAAAAAAGTACTTATCAAGAGTGGTTGTTGCTCTTCCCGCTGGAGTGACCACTACCTCATCAGTCATGAACCTTCTGATAAAGAGAGTATGGAGAAAGCCTGTTTTGCCTCACTGATGACCTTGAGCCTGGAATGACATCAGCCAAGGAAGGCAGTGTCTCACGAGCAGCGGCAGGGTGATGAGCTTCCACAAAGAAAAGCAGTCTTCCAAGGACTAGTTTTTCCTCCAAGGGTCTCAGCACTGAGGTGACATTTATAACTTTCTGACTTAAAGTCAATCCCATTGTTCTACGCAGCCCCACATTCCTCCCTCAGAAGGAGCCCTAATCGATGTGGCATGGAAGAACTTGTGGTCCTCTTGGCAGCCACCCCAACTTCCGTTCAGGCCTCCGCACCTCCCCCAGTGTTGTGGGGCACTGACCGCCTCCCCAGAAGTGGCCCGGGCTGGAGGTTATTGCCTCATCCTCTCCAATGGCCATGGTCACATCACAGCATAGGCCAGCGATTCAGTTTGGGCCAATGAAACACAGGGAAAGGTTTGCTGTGGCTTCTGGGAGAATAGCTCCCTCACTTCTCTGAAAGAGCTTCCAGAAACACATCACTCACTCCAAACAAGGCTGAATGTATTAGCTGTTTACTGCTGCTTAACAAATTATCCCAAAATTTAGTGGCTTAAAACAATAAATGTTTATTATCTCACAGCTTCCGAGGGTGCAGCACCCAGGAGCAGCTTTTCTGGGTGACTGGGTGGCTGGGTGGCTGGGTGACTGGGTGGCTGGGTGGCTGAGTGGCTCATGCTCAGGGTTTCTCACAAGCGGCTGCCATCCCTGAAGCTTGACCAGGGTGTAGGATCAGCTTCCAAGCTCAGTGGATTAAACTGGCCCTGCTTCAAAACTTTTCAGTGGCTGTTTCAGGACTATTGAGAAGATTAATGAATGATACATACATTTCAAAATATATATATTACACATATACATGTGTATATTACATAATTTTTCCCTCCCTCTCTCTGTTCTTGCCAGTGCCCAAACTGAAATTTTCACCCTCTCAAAAGTGATGGGAAGTTAGGGTCCAACCCTCACCAAGCCCCTTACGATGGGCAAGTGAATCCTCTGCTAGGTGAGGTTAGCCTAGTGCTCGGCTATGCCAAAGTCCTTCTTGGCTCTCTCAAGACAGGCCCATACTTATAGTGCTTTCTCCTCCCACTCCTGCCTCCCACATTCTGTAACTATCCTATCATTCTCAGAGTAGAGGGTGTACACATTTAGACCCATCTAAACGTTGCCTAGGACGGGGAACATGATTTTATTCATTGCAGGCAGCTTGGATGGATAAACAGAAAATCCAAATCACAGACTTAAAGAAGATAGAAGTGTATTCTCTCTCCCATAAAGGATGTCCAAGGCTGGGCAGTCCAGGGTGAGTGTGTCAGTCCCAGCAAAATGCCAGGCTCCATCTTCCTGCTTCACCACGAAGACATTTGGTTGGCATTTCTAAGGCCACCCGATGGTCCAAGCTGCTGCTGGAGCATTAACCGTGTTGCTGGCCAGAAGGCGGAAGAACTCAAGAAGACCAAAAGGGGCCCTCCCTGAAGAGCCAGCTTCATTTAAGCCCCTTCCTCAAAGTCCCACACGAGTCCAACCATATCTGATTGGTGGGAACTTAACCACATTGAGGCAGGAGAATAGGGAATTAGGGCAACCAAGGATTAAGGTAGGAACAAAAGAAGAGCAGGTGCAGCCAGTTCACATAAGCAAAAGGCACAGCAGGTACAGCCAATTCTAGGCAGGATTAGGCAACATACAGGCCACATCTTCACTTCTGTGATAACCACAGGCCAAGTCGCCACTTAAGCCTCTAATTGGTCACGGATCAATCCTTCATTGGATGTAACTGATTGGAGGCCTCTGGAGGGCACCGGGGGTGTTCATGTTCTTTAGCTTAATAAAATCTCTAATTGAAGGGGCTCCTGAGCCACTTGCTCAAGCCCACTCTTGCTCTGTGAATTGTACTTGCACATCTTCAATAAATCTGTGCCTTCATTACTCCATTCTTTCGTTGCTTTGTCTTTTGTTGCTTTGTGCGTTTTGTTCAATTCTTTAACATGCCAAGAACCTGGACAACTCAGTCAAGACCTTCCATTCAGTAACCACATGACTGTACCTAGGTACAGGGAGGTAGGTACAGGGAGGCTGGACAATGTCGTTTTGCTCTGGATGGCAATACATCCGCTAGCAGAGGTGCTGGCCAGACCATAGACATAATAATACAGTTTTGTATCATGAAACAAGCAACGGTTTTGGAGCCACATGGACTCAGGTTCAAATCCTAGTTCAACCACTGAGTGGTCGCGTGGCATAGGGCAAGACACTTGAGCTACTTGAGACTTAATTTTTTCATATTTAAAATGGAGATAATCAGACCTGCCTCTCAGAGCTGTTGCAAGATAAAAAAAAGCACTTAAAAGATTCAGAGGTTCTCAAAGTAGCCCACCTAATATCATTGCCTTAAACATCACCCTCTTGCTCAGCTTAGGGTATGGACACCATACATGAAAATTAGGTGATTCTTTCCCTGTTTGTTTTCACATGCACAGCTCAGGGTATTTCACTAAGTCAGATGGTCCCCCCGACTCCACCCTATTTCTTTCTCTGAGGGCATTTCATCTGTTTCGGTGTCACCCCACTCTAACAGTTTAAAGGGAGGAGGGAGAGGCAAGGACCTAAGATGTTTGGAGAGAAATCAGCCCTAGAGATGGGACTCAAGGTTATGGCATTTCTCAGCTTAAGTATCAGATGTGGCTGTTAAAACTATTATTAAATAGATTCCTTTTGCTGTTTGGGGTTTTTCCTGTTTGTTTGTTTGTTTGGCCTTGGGAGGGGTCATGTGGCCATATGGTAAAGAGACATTCCCAAGGAAGGAATGAAACACATTGTTCCTGCCCGGGCCAGGGCTTATGTAGTCAGGGATTATGAAGACTGAATGTTCTGTGTCCTGGAGGAAAGGGGTCCCTGCTTTGGGGACTGTTTCTTTTTATGGATCCTGGGCTATTCCTTCTGTCCAACAAGAGTGAAATGAAGGGAAATACGGGACAGAGTTGACATAGCTTTAGGGGCAGGAGTAATTGGGGTAAAGGAGGGGAGAAGACTGGACCCAGAAGTCAAAGGCCCAGAGCCCCCGGCAAAGGAGTGTTGCCAGGTTGGGAGCCTCTGCAAAGGGCATCTCTGAGGGCTGTTCCTAGGGGCCCACCCATTGCAGCCCTCCTATGAGAACTTAACTCCACATGGTGAACTGGAACCTGAGCCCTAATCTTAGCTACCCAGGGCAGCCTCTCCCTGCTCCTCTAAATCCTCATCACTCCTGTAAGTCCAGAGGAACCCCCACACCCCAACTTGAAGGGTGAATGAGTACCCAGGCACTCCCTGCCTGGGTGCACACTGTGGCTCCTTGTCCCCCTCTATACATTGCCCAGGCTGGCTTTGAACTCCTGGGCTCAAGCAATTCTCCTGGCTCGGCCTCCTGAGTAGCTGGGAATACAGGCGCGTGCCACCGCGTTCAGCTTCATTTTTATTTTTACAGCTTCACTTCACTTCCTCAGTGCAAACATGTTAAAATATTAAAAATTTGCTGTAAAGTTTTTGAAAGGATATTTATAATTTTGCTCTTGAAACCATTTGGCTAGGAGTGACTGATTTAAATTACAATTGGGAATTCTTGTGAAATGAGAAAAACCTAGCCCACACATTCTTTCAGATGTAATGAAATTTTTATGAATACTAAATTTAACAGTTAATGAGGTTGATATAATGTTACAGTTGGACACTTGATTAAGAATTTATTGATTTCCATTTTGCAGTGTTCTTATTTGAGAGCCAATCATTTTTTCTTCAGCTGTGAAATATTCACATGGGCCCTTGGGAGGCCCCCGCTGCGGGCTTCTCTAGCGGGCAGTACATAAGTAACCAGGCCAACAGCTCTTCCCTGTCCTCCCCCTGACACACCTCGCACCCCTTTACACAGGCACATAAGGAAAAACACCCATCGTGGCTGGACCATGGAGACAGAGTCCAGTTCCAGAGGAGGAAGAGGATGGGGCCAGTCAGACAAGGGCACAGAAGCCATGCCATGCCATGTCATGTAAGCAAGAAGCTTCTTACTGCAACCAGTGGCTGGGGCTGCTAAGGGCACTAAGATTCAAGACCAGTGAGCCACGGAGGTTGGCATGGGCACCTCTTCCCTCCTGGGGACAGTAGGTAGTGGGGGCAGGAGGGGAAGGGCCACCTGCCTGGTTTACATAGTCGGCCACAGAGCGGTGGCCCACACTTATTCGACGACTATAGCCTCAGTGTTCCAGGCAGGTGTGCATGGGGCCAGCGGGCTATGAGAGGCTTCCACGTGGCACAAGGACAGCACCCCACAAGGAGAACATGAAAAAGCTAACACAGTAGCACAGGCAAGTGCACAGTACCCCAGCCTCCCCTCGGAACCAGAGGGCGGAGTGGACTGAGGCCACCCTCAGCCAGGTCTGCGGCAGAAGCTGAGGCAGAGAAATGCCACTTTGTCCTTGCTCCAGTCTCTCTCTCAGCCATTCAGATACCGCTTCCTTCACTCCAGAGCCTCAGCCGGCGCCTCTCAGATCAAACCTTGTGCCACTAGGTGGAGCCAAAGCCCACAGCAACAGCGCCGGGCTCGGACACCCAGCCGCCCGCGTGCAGGAAGGAGGTGGGCTCGCGAGGCAGGGGACTGGGGGCCCCGGGCTGAGTCTGGGCCCTACCGGGGGGCCAGGAAAGGAGTGGGAGAGCCAGCCACAGCCCACAGTGGACTTATTTGGTTTACATGGTCCGTTCCGTCCGAACTCGCACTGTAGGCTAAATGGTCCCAGAGCCAACCCCGGCAGCCGCAAATCCCCGTTTGTCAGATAAGGAGGCTGAGGGCCTGAGGGGAGGATCCAGGAGAGCCAGAACAGGGCTGAAGCCAGAGCCCGCGCCCCTGTCCACAGAGCCTTCCCCTGCACCGCTTCCGGGATGTATCCCCTGCCCGTGGGGAGGGCGCACGAGAAGAAGGTGCGGCTTCCAGAAGGGAGATCCTGGGAACGAGGCCGGGAGACACGCTTGGCTCCGGAGCCTAGGACTGGCTCCGGGGCACGAGCCGCAGTCCCCTCCAGCACCTCCTGGTGGGGGCCGCAGCTGGGATGCTGGCTTCGGGCGCCGGCGGCCGGAGCAGCGGAAAGCATCCACCTACAGAGGCTGCGGTGGAGGGGGCGGGGCGGGCGCGGACCCGGAGGCGCCGCATTGGACGAGGGGGTTGCTGGGGTTCTCGGATTGGCTGGCCATGAGGGGGCGGGACCAAGGCCAGGGCTGAGAGGCGTGAGGACCTGGAGCGTGAACGCGTGGGGAAGGCGCAGAGACCTGGCGCAGGTGTTGCGGAGCCTTCTGAGACTGGCCTAAGCTGCAGAATTGATCGAGCATCTGGAGTGGCCATCGGCCGTGTTGCCCGCAGACACAGGTGTGCTGCGACAGACCAAGCTCCAGGGTCCCTCAGGTAGCCAGGTGTGCGGCACAGCTTTGTCCCTCCCAGAACTCAGTTTCCCCAGCAGGGGGCCCGGGGACTATTCCAATCCAGTACTCTGGCCTGCCCCTCCCCTCGCTCTCACTGACCTCCCAGCAGCCAGACCAGGTAGGTATCCAGGCTCCTTCCTATCCTGCCCCCTGCCCCGCTCCATCCTCATCTTTCCCTTAAAGAAACCTCTCTCCAAGGTCCACGGTTACATCACATACAGCTTTGCACACCCAGTGCCCAGCACAGAACCCCCACCCTCTGTGGTTGTCCTTTCGCTTCTCGCAAGGTCCATGGGAGCAGGGGACCAGGCTGGGACAACATGTGGCCCCACCTGGTTGCTATAAAAGCTCAGGTAAGGAAGTTTACAGAAATATGTTGGGGTTACTGCACCTGTAAAAAGTGAAAATGGCCAATTATCATCAATGTCAAGAAGAAAAATTGCCCTTGTTGCCCTTTCACTGTAGTAAAGTGCTGCTTCCAACAAACCAGCACACAAATGCCAACCACAGGTGCATTCCGCTTGGGAGGATGGGGGAGAAACTAGTTGTTTGACTCTGTACAAGAACCAATCACCAGGTTTCCTTAAATGGCACACTTTCTTTGAAATCTGAAGCAAGAAATTACCTCTCCGGACACAACCAAGTTCATCTCGTGTCCTCTCAGGACATACAGCCGGGCTCCACTAGAGGGCAGCAGAAAGATGGAGATGCTCGAGAGAAAAGGAGACTTAAGTTAGTTCTCACCATCCGTGGAGGGTGTGAGGAACCCAATAAAAACCGTACTGGTATTAGTTCCTATTTGTTGACTGGTTACTCTAGGCCAGCCATCCCTCTGACTGATCTGTTAAAAAAAAAAATTAAGTAATTTGGGCCGGACGTGGTGGCTCATGCCTGTAATCCCAACACTTTGGGAGGCCGAGGTGGGTGGATCACCTGAGGTCAGCAGTTCAAGACTAGCCTGGCCAACATGGTGAAACCCTGACTCTATTAAAAATACAAAATTAGCCGGCCATAGTGGTGCATGCCTGTAACCCCAGCTACTTGGGAGACTGAGGCAGGAGAATCGCTTGAACCCAGGAGGGTGGCAGTGATCCGAGATCGCACCACTACACTCCAGCTTGGGCAACAAGAGTGAAACTTGGTCTCAAAAAAAAATTAATTTGATCCTGCCATTAACCCTATCAAGGTGGATACAATTGTGTTAACCCCATTCTACAGCTGAGGAAAAAAACAAGTTGAATAACTTGCCTAAGGTCACACAGCCAATAAGAAGCAAATCTGGGATATGAACCCTGAAGTAGAGCTATAAATCTGACATTCATAAACCTATGCAATTTTGCTTCCGTTGAAGAGGGAGGGAAGGATGGCGAGCAGAGGTGGCAGCTGAGGCCCCCACAGATATTACCCTTGTGGGCTCTTTAAGGCCAGTTCCAGAAGCAGGCACCAGACAGGAGCATCTAGCTAATTAAGGACCTTGGGTCATCAGGCAGGTAGGGTCAGAAAATCTGAGCTCAACCTGCACATAAACCCCACACACCTTGCAGGAACCTGTCCTAGCCCACCCATCACCATGGGTGGCCCAGCTCTCCAATACCCTGGGTGCCTGCCACCATGGTGAACCCTTGTAACCACTGTGTCCCCTCTGGCTTAGATGTGTGAAATTGACCTTGACCCACTCTCTTCCTTACCTTATAGGCAGCCTTGCCTGCCTCCACCATCAGCCAGGATCGGGCCTCCTCATGTCAGTCAAGAAGATGCCAATCAGCAGCAGCAACTGCTGCCAAGAAGCTGGAGTCCAACAAGGATCAAGGGGATGCTGGTGGGATCCTTTCCAGGGCAACCTTGAGAAGAGTTTCAGGCCAGAGCCTAATCCTTTCCTGATTTTCTTCCCAATTTAACATTTACTGAGCCGCTACTGTGGGCAGGCACCTTGCTGAGTGCACAAGGGGGACTTGCTGGGTGATCTTGAGCACACTCTTTACCACCCCCACCTCAGCTCTTGGTTAGTTTCTCTTCTGTAAACTAAGGTTGCAGAGACCAGGGGTTCTTTACTCGGGACTGAAGGGTCCCCTAAAATTGGGTGTGTGTGAGAACATCTTTCTGGGGCAGGGTTTCTCAGCCTCAGCACTATTGATACTTAGGGCCAGATCATTCTTAGATAGATCCCTCCCAGAACACACCTGTGGGCTGGCATTTGCGTATTGGTTTGTTTGAAGTAGCACTCTGCTGTAGTGAAAGGGCAACAAAGGGGCAATTTTTCTTCTTGACACTGACAATAATTGACCATTTCCAGTTTTTATAGGTGTGTTGTGACCTTTAACTCCAACACATCCCTGCAAACACCCTTAGCCCAAAATCTGACCTGTGCATTGCAAAATGCCAAAACCCACTAAATGCCTCTCTGAAGCCTCCCAGCCCCACGGCCTTTCCACCCACTCCACCTGCTGTGGCCAGGCTGGGAGGGGTGCAGGAAGGTGGCACACTGCCATGTACAATTTGGAAGAGGAAGAGCCAGGAACCCCTCCAGGCCCAGCTCTCTGTGAGCCCTGCCAAGGCCACCTACACCTGCCTGACTCTCTGGGGCCCCTCAGCCCTGGCCTGGGAAAGAGGCTTCGCCCAAATCCAAGATGCAGGCCCCTGCCACAGGGCTTACCTACACCCCTGTGAGAGCCCTGGGTAGGGGTCAGAAAATGGGGCAGAGGCCAGAGCCAGCACTGGGGGCAGAAGCAGGCAGTCCCTCCTCCCATGGTTAAGCCTGCATCCTCTCTCCTCCTGCGCGGTGGCCCTTCCTCACTGAGCACCTGCCAAATCTGCCAGGTGCGAAGCCTGCTGTCAGGGCCAGAAAGTCAGAGGCAAATTCAGGGGTGAGCTGAACAGTGTTTAACAACCAGGTCTCTGGACTGGGGTGAGGGGCCCTGATTTGTAGTCTTTGCCTATTTCTGTGGTGCAAATATTCCTACCCTGGCAGATATAAAGCCAGCAGTATTTTGTCACTGAGCGTGGAGCTGGTTCACAACATCACAAAGTGTGTGCACCACCAGGTGCAATAGACACAAATTACCTTACGAGCATGAATAATGGTAACATATAGTAAAATAATTAGGAAATGATGAGTTGCTAGTGGGTATTTCCTTTTTTAACAAAATGTATTTAAGGTTATATAATTTAAGTACCGACAATGACTGTGCTTAACAACTCGTTCGCAAAATTCTGAAAATGTGGCCACCAGCACCTATGAGCCGGTACCAGCTGGCTGCAGGCCCATCACTGGGAATTGAGTGTGGTCCCTGCTCTCTGAAGGCGACAGGTCTACCCAGGGTGGGCCGGTCTGTGGGGGGACAGAGGGATGCATGGGGGCCACGGAGAACCAGAGGAGACACTCTGTGCAGGGGTTCAGGGAAGGCTTCTTGGAGGAGGCAGCATTATAGAGAACAAAGGGGAGGGTAAATATATCCCAGAAAAGGGTAAGGAGAGAGTGCCAGGCTAGAGAGGACACTGGGGAAAGACCAGGAGAAAACAAAGTGTTTGGCGTGGTCCAAAAACTAAAAATGTGTGTCTCAGTCTGGCTGATGGGATGGCTGGGTTCCAGCCCAGGTTCTGCTGCTGATGCCTCTGTCACTTGGACCAAGTCCACTCCATTCTCTAGGCTTCTCGCCTCTGTCAAATTGGGGTCCGAACCAGATGGGTTCCAGGCCCGCTGGTGATCTAGACCCCCAAGAAGTCTGCAGAGGGGCCTTGTGAACATGTATATAGCTCATGGAGGAAGTCTGGCCCACAACTGACACTTCACAACCAGATCTTCCCCTCCCTCCTCCTCTCCCCTTCACCCGGTTCCCCCAGGTGATCCTGGAAATTCTGGTTTGGCTTCAGAAAGTAACTATAATTACAGCCTTTTTTTTTTTTTTTTTTTTGAGACAGAGTTTCGTTCTTATCGCCCAGGCTGGAGTGCAGTGACTTGATCTTGGCTCACTGCAACCTCCACCTCCTGGGTTCAAGCGATTCTCCTACCTCAGCCTCCTAAGTAGCTGGGATTACAGGGGGACCTGCCGCCATGCCTGGCTAATTTTTTTGTATTTTTTAGTAGAGACGGGTTTCGCCATGTTGGCCATAATTACAGTCATTTATAGAACACTTTGCTGCCTCTCCTAATTACCAAGCTGTGCAATTCCAGTTACGCATGTAAGGAAACATCTCAGGAACCCCTCCCTGGGGCCAGCCTGTCAACCGCAGCCCCCAGGCCAGCTGGAATGGAGTGGGAGTGCCCGTGGCTGCTGCTGACGTCTCCCTCCTGGCTTCCTTTCATGCCAGACCAGGAAGGAAACCTTGGTTCAAAGGCCTGCCCTGGGGTGGGTGTGGGATGAAGAGAGACAGGGAAAGTCCCTCAAGATGATGAGCTTGCGACATGGGGGAGGGGAGAGGGACTCCTTCTGGTGATGCAGAAGGCCTCCGTCTACACAGCAGGTGAGTCTTAGAATGCCGGGGCGGGTCGTGGTTTCACAGCATGAGTTAGAGCTTGTTCCCCAGGAAAGGGGCTGTTTAAGTTTAGAAAGCAATGGTCCTTCCACTAGGTACAGGTTCCCCGGCCTCATGTCCATCACCACCACTGAAGCTCCCTTAGCAACAGCCCTCACCCTGCAGAGCAGCCATCCAGCCCTGCCTCTGATGCCTCCTGTGACTGGGATTAGTACCCCAAGCCTCTGTGACATTTGGGTACTCCATTAATGAGAAAGCTTTTCTTCCATCAAGATAAGCTTCCCTCTGTGCAATTTCTTTTTTGTTGTTGTTTGGAGATTTTGTTGTTGTTGTTGTTTTGTTTTGTTTTTTTGAAACAGAGTCTTACTCTGTTGCCCAGGCTGGAGTGCAGTGGCATGATCTCGACTAACTGCAGCCTCTGGCTCCCGGGTTCAAGAGTTTCTCCCACCTCAGCCTCCTGAGTAGCTGGGACTATAGGCACACACTACCACACCTGGCTAATTTTCGTGTTTTTAGTAGAGACAGGGTTTCGCCATGTTGGCCAGGCTGGTCTCGAACTCCTGACCTCAGGTGATCCACCCGCCTCAGCTTCCCAAAGTTCTGGGATTACAGGCATGACCTACCACATCCAGCCTCCTCTGTGCAATTTTTTTCCGTTTTCTTTTTCTTTTTCTTTTTTTTGAGATGGAGTCTTGCTCTGTCGCCCAGGCTGGAGTGCAGTGGTGCGATCTCGGCTCACTGTAACCTCCGCCTCCCAGGTTCAAGCGATTCTCTGCCTCAGCCTGCCAAGTAGCTGGGATTACAGGTGCCCGCCACCACATCCGGCTAATATTTTTTTTTTTTTTTTTTTGAGACGGAGTCTCGCTTCTTTGCCCAGGTTGGAGTGCAATGGCACAATCTTGGCTCACTGCAACCTCCGCCTCCCAGGTTCAAGCAATTCTCCTGCCTCACCTCACCAGTAGCTGGGATTACAGGTGCCCACCACCACGACCAACTAAATTTTGTATTTTTTAGTAGAGATGGGGTTTCACCCTGTTGCCCAGGCTGGTGTCAAACTCCTGACTTCAAGTGATCCACCTACCTCGGCCTCCCAAAGTGCTGGGATTACAGGCACTAGCCACCACGCCCAGCCTATATTTTTAGTAGAGACGGGGTTTCACCATGTTGGCCAGGCTGGTCTTGTACTCCTGACCTCATGATCCACCCACCTCGGCCTCCCAAAGTGCTGGGATTACAGGCACGAGCCACCACAGCCAGCCTATTTTTTTAGTAGAGACAGGGTTTCACCATGTTGGCCAGGCTGGTCTTGAACTCCTGACTTCATGATCCACCCACCTCGGCCTCCCAAAGTGCTGAGATTACAGGCATGAGTCATCACGCCCCACCTCCTCTTTTTTTTCTACCCACAGGTCCCATCTCAAGTCTCTGGGGCTACTACTCCCTCTGCCCTGGGTGTGCCAATGGATACTGTCCCCCCTACTGGTCCTCTCCTGGACAGGTGTCCAGCTCCCCTAAACCTCGCCTGGTTCCTTAGCCCCACCAGTTTCTGAGACAGCCCTGATGTGGAGGCTCCCTGGGACTTCTCACTGTACATACCACCTCCCGCCAGGTGCCCACACTCAGTCCTAGGCACAGAGCTGGCAATCCCAAGGGGCTCCACTCCTGAGCCCCAGCATCCCACCTCCCACAACTCGACCATCTGGGTGGCCCCCAGGCCCACACCCATGCCACACCCAAATCCAACCCCACCAGCTTCCTCTGCCCCTGCCCCTCACCCCAGGCCCCTTTCATCCAGTCTTCAAAGCGTCAAACTGCTGCTCCCCCTGCTCCTTCTTCCAAGTGTCTCCAAACCCCACCCCTCTCTTCCCAGACCCCGAGCCCTGCCCATCAGGCCACCATCCTCTGTCCCCTAAATTCTGAAAAGGCCCCTCCCTGCTCTCCCCGCCTAAACCCGCCCCCTCCCATGTGTCCTGAGAGCAGCATAGCGTGGAGGTTAGGGGCAGGGCTCCAGTGCATTCCATCCCCTGCTCCTCCACTCACTGACTGTGTGGCCTTAAGCAAGCTGCTCAACCTCTCTGTGCATCGTTGTCTTAATAGTATCTCTCTCCTAGAGTTGCCTGTGAATAGTCTGGTTGCCAAGGAATTCAGAGTGGCCGATAGAGGACAGAAGGGAGGGGTAAAACAAAGCAGAAAGGGGCACAGGAGCCAGGTCCTTAAGTCCTTAAGACCTTCAATGCTCAACTAAGGCCTGGGAAATTTCTCCTGAGATGAGTGGAGAGCCTTCAGGATAGTCTTAAGTCTCTGATCAATGTTGTGCCTTTGGAATGTCTTGGTGCCTATGGTGCCTATGGAATGTCTTGCTTTCTTTCCTGCAGAGACTGAGAGCCCCTCCTGTCCCAGGGGTGCTGAGAGGTCTGTCTCTGGCTCCCCCACCGCTCCCATGTCTCTGCTGGGACTGGTAAGTCATGGAGCTATGCCCGGCAGAGTTCTCTTGCCAGACTCCAGGCCTCTCTCACCACAGGAGATCAGGACTGGACTCCCAGGGGTCTGACCTGACTTCCAACCCCAGGAGGGTGGGTGGTGTCCAGCGAGGGCTTGTCTAGGTCGTCCAGCCTTCCGCTGTTGGCCTCAGGGACCATCCAGGCAGCCTGCCCAAGTTACTCTTGACCCCTCCTCTGACACAGACTCTCCACCTACCTACAAAGCTCTTTCACAAATGTGTCATTATTTTGTTTAATCCTCATAACAACTCTGGGAGTTGGGTGTTATTATCCCATTTTACAGTTGGCAAACTGGATAATGTATGATGTCTTACCTACTCGCTAGGAGCCCAGTCACAACGGTTCATGCCTGAGTGGGAGGAGGATTGGGGGTGCTCCTCCACCCACCTCAGCCAGCCAGGCCCAGCACTGAGTGAGGGGCCAAGTGGGAGGGGAGGCAGCCTGTGGCGGCGGGAGGGGGGCCCAGGGAAGTGGAGGGCAGGTGGGGGCTGCTGGCACTGGGACCTGCCAAGTAGAGAGCGAGGCCAGAAGGGGCTGGGAGGCCTTGAGGGCAGGGAGAGCAGGAACGGGAATGAAGAGGCAGGCTAGGAGCAGGCTCCAAATCTGAAACCTGGGAGGAACCTCCTTGAGTCACCCTACTCTTTGTACAGATCAGGAAATTGAGGCCCACCCAGTCAGGAAGAGAAATTCGTCTAAAACCACTCAGCCTGCCAGAGACCAAGCCAGAATCTGTGCCAGAGCGCACCCAGGCTGTTCCTGGAGAACCCAGGAACCAGCCCCACGGGGCCAATCAGCTGGCACTGGGCTGACCAGCAGGCACTGAATGAAACTTCTAGCCTCCGGGCCTCTCTGGGTGGCCAGCAGGGGGCGGTACTGCCCCAGGAGTGACAGCTCCCAGACTCCCAGCCACTGCCCTCAGGCCCATCCCAAGGTCCCAGGGCAGAACCAGGGCTGGGGACACAGAAGGCATAGGTGGGAGGCAGGGTTTCTGGGGTGGGAAGAACAGCACACAGAGCTGAGCATGGGACTCCCCGGCCCCATTCTGATGCCAGCTCCTTCTAACCTGAGCGAGGGAGGAAACAAGCCCTTCCTTTCTCCTTGCACCTCCACCAGTTGAGAGAACATTCTAGAAATGCACCCAGCTCCATCCAAAGTCTGCTCTCTCGAGAGGGGAAGGGGCTGGAGAAGAGACTGTCTCCCAGGCCACAGGTTTCCACAGAAAGTTGTCCTGCAAAGGAGGCTAGACCTAAGGAGAAACTTCTAGAGGCCTCTATACTGAGTATCCAACCTCAATTCCGGGAGTGTCCCTTTCCCAAAATAATGCTCTAGGAGAAGGTGGGGAAAGGGTGGCCAACTGCAGTGCTATGTGAAGACAGGGGCTAGATGTCCTTATTGCTGTTTCAGGACCCTCTTAGGTGCGACAAGAGAGAATTTTCTCCAGGATGGCTAAAGAAGAGCAGGGGCATGGGGGAGTGAGCAGGGCCGCAGGGGTCAAGAAGATGAGCCACTCTGGCCCCCAGGAGAGATGGCCAGGGTGCAGGGGGCTCCGTGTCACCCCCATCAGCCCTGGGACCCTTCCCAATGGCGAGGGCTTGTATTCCTAACCAAACTTCTGGATCTGGTCCCAGCGGGAACCCCTGCTATAATGAGTGCCCCCAAGGCCTCCCTTCAAAATCCCAGGAGTCCAGCTTCTCGGGGCAAAAGCCCCACAGCAGCTGGCAATACAAGATCTAGGAGGCAGGGGATCTTGAGGCCCCAGGTCAGAAAGGCCCCACGCACCTGCCTCTCCCAAGATTTAAAATACCAGGGGGCTAGGGGTTCCCATCCCCTGCTACTAGGCTTCGTGGTGGTCCTCAGCCCCAAGCCCACTGTGCCCTGTGCAGCATGGACAGATGGTCTCCAAGGGGCCCCTTTCAGCACCACTCCCCTTGGTTTCCCATCAATGCCACCATACACCAAAGTTCACACACTGTCTACTGGAAAGCCCCTGTCAGGGCCAGTTGTCCTACAATTAACTCTTCAGTTCTCCCAGGCTGATGGTTCCACCACACAGAGAGCAGACAGGGTGGGCAGGGGCTTGGGGAGTCACAGCAGGCACCCAGGGACAGAGGGGCAAGGAAAATGGAGATGGGGGCACATTCAGGGGGTGGGGACAGCATCCTGGCAGGTCCCGGGCCTGCACCACCTGGAGGAGCCGGTGACTCACGGGGCTGACAGAAGAACTGAAACCAGACAGGAGAGTGCAGGAAGGAGGAAGAAACACCCACCAGGTAACCTGTGTCCTCAGACATGTGCACTTCCAGGCCAGAGTTTCTATGAATCAGTGTCTCTAGACACAACCACCTTGATCCCTTCCGTTGCCTCATGCTGACGTCTGAGTCTGGCCCGTGGCCATCTAAACCCCCGCACTCTGGTTCAACCACCATCAGGCCCACATAGCAGCTGCTTCAGATCAAAAATCTCCTCTTCAGGGGCTTTTTCACCAAGCTGATGGTAAAGGCAGGACTCCTGGGTCCCGGTGTCCACTGCAGCCACTCTGGCTTCCCCTTAGCCCCTCTGCACCCCCTGCTCACCACCTGGCCAGTGTTTCTGCTCTTCCTTCTGCCTAGCATTCCCCTACCACCCCTGCTTTGCCTAGCAGGTACCTACTCATCCTTCAGGTTTCAACCCATGTCACCTCCTCCAGTGAGCTTTCTCTGACCTCTCACCTAAGTCAAATCCCCCATTACATGTGCTCCTGGCACCATGCACCCCTCTCTGAGCCCTTTGTAGAGTTTAGTTGTGTGGTTAGTGATGAGTGCCTGCCTCCTGTACTACAGCTGAAGCTCCAGGAGGGCAGGGACCAGGGCCTGGTCTAGTTCACCCTCCATTGTCTCTGCAGCATGTGGCAGAGTCAGTGCTAGGCACATAGAAGGCCCTCAGTAAACGTGCTGTGAATGAGTGGGTTCCCCAGCCAGCTGGATGTCCCACGGTTTCCCCCACCCCACCCCATCTGGCTCTAGCTCCTCTCTGTGACCCTTTTCATCTGCAGTCCTTGGAGCCTCCTAATGGTTGGGCTCTGTGGTGGGGACCAGGCAACCTGCCCCTGGGGCCTCAAGATCAAGGCAAGACACAAGACTCAATACCCCTCCAACAGGTTACAGGGGCAGCCTCAGTGGCACCAATTGCTCTGACCCGTGACTCAGAGGAAGCCAGTCCTCCAGAGCCCACATCCAGTCCACATCCTCCTTGATGATTTTGCATCCAGCTGCTGTTCCAATCTCAGGGCCTATGGCCCTCAGGGACTATCCAGCCTCCACCTAGAAATCAGACGACCAGAAATGGTTAGGACCCAGCCCAAGGTCACACAGCATAGCTGTCACAGAGCCGCACCAAGAATCCAGGGCGCCAACTCTAGCATAGGGTTCTCCCCATGCTATAATAAATGTAGCTATTTTTAGGAAGTGAATTAGCAAGTCAAATATGAAGTCTACTAATAATACCACATTTCTGCTTTTCAGAGTCTTCATCACCTTATTTGCTCCTGCAACATCAGGGTGGGCTGGGCACTGAAGTAGGTGGTGAGCTCATCTGAAAGGTGTGGTCCAGAGAGAGGAAGTGACTGGTCCTGAAACGCAATAAGCCCAGCCTTCCTGCCCGCCCTGCTCAGTGGTACTCCCAGAGAGGGTGCAGTGCCCCAGAAGTCCCCTTCCCAGGGCCTGGCTGGCAGCCTCCCACCTGGGCAGGCTCCTCGGGGCACTCAGACCAGCCGCTGCCTCCCTCGCCTGTTGTCCTCTTGACCCTCCCACCCCATCCCCCAAGCTGAGGTCAGCCTCCTGCCTTTCCTGGCCCCTGGCAGACCTTGCTTCTGTGCTAGCTCCAGCCCAAACCTGCATTCTCACAGCCTGTGGGCCTCAGGTGGCCTCAAGGCCTGGCATCCAGTTGTATTTTTTCCCCTGCAAATTCCTTAGCACATGCCAGGGGTAGCTCTGAGCAGGAAGGCACGGGCAGCCAGCTTTGCAGCCTGAGCTCCCCTCAACTTGGGACCTCAGTTCCCCATCAAAAGGGACAACAGCCTCATCCCAAGAGGGGCTGGAGTTAGATCCAGCCCCTAGTCCTGCAGCCCCATCTCCTACCCCTTCCCCCTCCCCCACAGAAGCTCCTCAGACATCTGGCAGCACCAGACAGGGCTGGATGGACGGAAACATGAGGTCAGATCCTCAATTGCTTCCTGAGCCCTTCCCAGAGGAGCAGGGCGCTTCCCAACTGGGAAACAGCTGAGCTGCTCCATAAAGGAAACCGGAGAGGCGGGGAGGGATGGAGACCATTGCTGGCAGAGGAAGCGACAGCGCCCCTATTTCTCAGATGGGCAACTGAGCCACAAGCCATAGGCCAGCATGCTGTGGCCACCACAAGCCCCCACCTCTTGTGAAAGTCTCTACTGAGCCCAAGGGCCTAGCATGAGCCAAGGAGGGGGTTGGGCTATGGCTAAAAGGATATCTGGGCCAGCTCCCAGGAGCCTTGACTCCCAGGACAGGGACCTGTAGGGATGGGTCCTTCACTCAGACTCATGCTGGGGAATTCTGCAGTCAGGAAGGCTTCCCGGAGAAGGGTGCTGTGGGGGGCTCAAGGGCAACAAGGAGGGAGGAAGGCATTGAGATGGGCTCAGCAGGTGCAAAGGGCAGAGCAGAGGAGGCGCTCAGAGATCCCCCTCAGGTAACCGACCTGGCCTGTCTCGCCTCCCGGCACCGGCTGGCTTGCAGAGGAAGATCTGGGCTCATTGTCCATTGTAAGCTGGGTATGTCCCAGTAGCTCAGGCTCCTGGACCCTGCTGGGCCAGCAGGGAGGGGCGTTGTAGCAGGAGGGAGACAGGCCAGGCCATCCTGATGAGGAGAGAGGAGAAGGAGGGGCCTCCCCAGGGTGGCAGGCACAAGCCTGTCCAGGGAAACCCACAGCTGCACAGGGGGCAAGTGGGTGCCTCTCCCTCTATCCATTATCTGGCAGGATGAGATGGGCACTCTCCTTGCCTAGGCCCAGACCTGGTCCCCACAGCCGGGACCCTCCCACCCGGCATTGTCCTCCCTAGGGAGCCATGCTGGTTGTGGGACTGCGGCCATGCCTGGCAGGGGATGGTGCCGATGCTGACACAGCAAGAACCAGGCCAGCCGTGAACAAAGAAACATGGGAAGGGGCCACGTCTGCAGGAGTCGTTCCTGAGGTGGCGGCCAGCACCGTGGACTGTAGGCTGAGGAGGCACAGGACGGCCTCTCCCTGAGTGTTCCAGCCAGCATGTTCCTGATCAGATACTCGGGGGCCAAAGCTGATCAAGGCCCTCGGGGCACAGCTCAGTCCAAAAATCCCCATCACCTCCCCCCAGGGCCCAACCCCCTTCACTCGTGACAGAAAAGGCCTCTGAATCACCTCTCAACCCTGACAGCAGGGTCCGCTCACCACCCCCACTTTTTTTGCCATGATCCCCCTCAGGGTGGGAGGCGAGACTGGACAGGAACAGGGGAGCCCAGAAGGGCCCATCCTGGGCCCAAAGGCAGACAGCACCCATACAGCAGGGGCTGCAGTGCCCTGATTGGCTTGTGGCAGGTGTTGTGGGGGAGGCACCCAGTAGCAGGGCAGCTGGCCAGGTGTGGGAGCCCTGACGTTGGGCCTGTCACACAGCATCAGGGAAGGAGCTGCTAGTACCGGTGGGGCGAGGGCTGGGAGCCTCGGGGAAGCGGTGGCTTTTCAGCTGAGAGAGCGAGAAACATTGGCTGAAGTGGAGTTGGTGCCCCACTTTCCAGGAGGGCTGCCCACTGCCCGCAGGGCCCCCGGTCAGGGCGGGAGGGCTCGGCACCGAGAGGTCCACCGAGCCAGACCAGGCAGAGAGAGCACATGGACCGGCGGAGACCAAGGTCCCAGAGAGGTGGGGAACAGGAGGCGCCCCCTCCCCTGCCACATGAGGAAAGTGGGCATGCTGGGCAGGAAGGGAGGGGATGGTGCCAGAGAAGAGTGCCAGCGTCCAGGGTGAGGGAATGCCAGCACCATAGACTGTGGGTGGGGCAAGGTAGGCAAGTCCAGTGTGGCTCCAGGGTACCTCAGATGCTGAGATGTAAGCAGGGTAGGGACATTTTATCCATAGCCAGGTTCTGGGAGTGCCCGGGGACAGCATTACCCTTAGATGCAAGCAAGAAGGAGCCCTGCCCTGGCACCTGCATTCTAGAGGATTCCACTCCAGCCTTCCACTGGCCTTGCCCCTCCAACAGGGAAATAAAGTCCATGAGCCAAGGAAATGTGTCCACCCGAGCCCCACATCCCCCCTCCAAATGCAGAACCCCAGAATTCCCTGCCCACAGGGCCCCAAATCTAACTCCACAGCCCACGTGGGCCTTTCCGCTGGGCCTGCCTTCCTGAGAACCGACCTGCAGCGGGTGTGCACACCCCAAGGCCTCGGGAGTGGCCAAGGGGCAGCCACTGCTACGTATATGGATGGGTCTGGGAAGGTCACACACTGCCCAAGGGGGAGCCCGGGATGGGAGCTGGGGTTGGCTCAGCCTCTGCCTGCCACATTCCAGTCCTGCATTCCAGGAGCCCAAGAATTCTAAGTACAAACCTGGTCCTCAGGGTGTTATGAAGGTGTATTTGCTAATGTAGGAGGATAGAGCATATCCTATTTAGAGGTTGTTGGCTTGATTTATAACTTTGAAATATCCAGACATATAGTATGTGGGCCTCCATTTTTACTCCTGCCCTGGGCCCAGGCAATGTTAGGGGTAGGATCAGAGGGCAAGCCCTGGCCCCTGCCCCACCCCTCAGGAGACCCCTGCTCTCCAGCCAGTGAGCGCTGCCGAAGGAGGGCTGGGCAGGAAGCCAGCAGCCGAGGGAGCCCATATGCACCTGTGGACCTAGCTTCAGGGCTGGTGGGACCTAGCAGGCTGGGTCCTTGGGGCTAGGAGCAGGGGAACCCGAGAGAGCGCTTCTCCCAGGGTTGAGCTTCTGCTTGAAGCTGGGAAAGCCACAGAGAGGCTGAGCTTGTGGCCCAGGGACACCCAGCCTGGATGCGGCTGCTGTGCCCTCCCCCTGGAGGTCCCTCCTGCTTCCAAGGCTCACCCACCTGTGCATCCAGCTCGGAGCTCAGGGTGCTTCGATCCCTTTTTTGAGTTCATTCCTGTGGCCAAGCCCTTCCCCCACGGTTTCCCATGCTGGCACCTCAGGAGGATCCTGCCCCTTGTTCCCTACCCAGCTTCAACCCCTTCCTCCGAGGCTCCAAGCCCCCTCACCCCCCTCACTGCAAATCACCTTTCTTCCATTGGAGCCAGGATCTTAGCTCAGGGAGCGACCCCAGCCCCAGTATACAAAGAGAAGCCTGCGGCCCACAGTCCCAGAGCGAGGCTGCAGCTGAGCCCAGGCTAGGACGGGTCTCCTGCCCCACCCCTTCAGCTCAGGGGGCATCACCCACCTCTTTGGAGCCTCACAGACCCCCCTGGTTCAAATTTCCACTAACACTCTCTGTGATCTCCCACAAGCTGCTTTATATTCTGAGCTCCTTCATTTATGAAATGAAGATAATAAATTTTGCCTTGTAAAGTCGTTAGAGGGATTAGATAAAATACACGCATAGGCCAGGCCCTATGCCAAGAACACCTTAGGGCTGAGACCTCCTTCCCTGCCTCACTCTGGCAATGGACATTACTGAGCAGCACCAGGATCCCGAGGCCCAGACAGATGTGCCTCTTGCCCTCCAGGAGCTTCCCTCATGCTGGGAAAACAGACACCAGCCAGGAACCCGCAGGAGGCTCCCAGAGACGGGGAGTGTCCAGGAGGGAGACGAAGCTGGAGGCAGGAGGGGAGGGCAAGGGGTTGAGAAGGCTGGTCAAGGAGGGCCTCTCTAAGAATATGCCCTGAGGACCTAAGGGAACCAGTTGTGCAGCATGTGGAAGAAGAATGTTCTAGAGAGGGGGAACTCAGGACGGTGCCTTGCAGGTTCTCAGAAACGCCTGGCGCTTATCTGAGCACACACTCACGGACCCTGTTACCACACCACAGCGGGGCCTCTGTGTGGGGCTGATAAGGCCAGAAAAGATCTCAAGATATTTTCTTTCCTTTTCTGTGAGTGGCCTGAGATAGGCTGTGTGGGGACATTTGGCTCACGGCCTGCCTCACAGGCCCCCCCCGTCACCAGGGCACCATGGAGCACTCACTGCTGGACCTCCCAGTGGGGACTCGGGATTGGCCCCCGAGGGGGGCTGCCAGCCAGTGCTGGGGGCCCATGCGTGACGGGGCTGACCTGGCTCCCCTGTCGTGACCCACAGAGGCCTGCTCTCTGCTTGTGCAGTCTCTGCCTGCTCGAGTGTACAGCGTACAGGCTCTGGGCTCAGAGATGAGGGCTGGAAGCCAGCTATGTCACCTTCATTCCCTCACCTGTAAAATGGGGGTGCTGACAGTAACATCGTCCTCAGAGGGTTCCTGTAAAGGAGTGGGGGAGATGGTGCTAGAGCCTGGCTCATCCAAACGCCAGGCAAGGTGGCTCACGCCTGTAATCCCAGCACTTTAGGAGGCCAAGGTGGGCAGATTGCTTGAGGTCAGGAGTCCAAGACCAGCCTGGCCAACATGGCGAAACCCCCGTCTCTACTAAAAACACAAAAAATTAGCTGGATGTGGTGGCGTGCGCCTGTAATCCCAGCTACTCAGGAGGCTGAGGCAGGAGAACAGCTTAAACCCGGGAGGTGGAGTTTGCAGTGAGGCAAGATCGCGCTGCTGCACTCCAGTCTGGGTGACAGAGTGAGACTCCACCTCAAAAACAAAAACAAACAAACAAACAAAAGCTCAGTAGGTGCTACTTCCTTTCTTACAGGACCTGTGCCTCCTGGGATGACCCCCACCATCCACCCCTAGGCACCAGGACTGAGTCGGCTCTGAAAAGAAATGGGGAATGAAGCTTTGGGACTTGGTTCCTGCCTTCAGGGAGCCAATGGTCCAGCCAGGGGGATTAGGGTTCATGTCCCTTCCTGGGCCTCCAGGAGGTCATGACCTTCAAAGCAAGAATGAGGAAGCCCACGATGGTAGCGTGGGGCCCTGCATGAAGTGCCTGTGACGGGAGATGGAAGAACTCTGTCATATGTCCGTGAGAGTGAAAGGAACCTCAAGCATTCAAGGAAACCAAACCGGTACCCAAGATAGATGAAGAGATCAGGAATTTACCAGGTCACAGAGGCTTCTTGGCAGCCACCTGCAGGAGACGGATAACACCATGGCCAGGGCCCCCATGCTCCATACCGTGTCTGTGACCTCCACAGACTCACTCCACAATGTGACTTTGGGTAGGTCACAGTACCTGTACGGCCTCAGCTTCCCCACCTGTCAGATGGGAAGAACAACAGCGCCCTCCCCATGAAGCCATCATGAGCACCACACCAGGTAAATCATGACCTGCTCTCGTGCATGCAGGGATGTCAATGAAGACGAGTTCCTTTTCCCTGAAGTGATGAAAGGGACTTTTAGAAAAGAGGAAGTGGGTGGATTCTTAGGAAACCTTAGTTCCATCCCAGGCAAGTGGCTCTGATGATTCAGTAGGTGACTTCCAGGTGTTCCCAGGAGGCGCAAGCTACCAAAGTCATGTCCTCTCACCTGAATTTTCATCCAGCCCAACCCTGCCTCTGGACACCTATCCCCTCTTGGGACCTCGAGGCCAGGCCTGGAGAGGATGTGAACGCCTGGAGGCCCTCCCAAGCCCAAGCAGGAGGTAGACGCAGGGACAGTGGGCATCTTCCATCAGGCAGAGCTTGGCCAAGATTCCAGCAGCACCCAAAGCCTGCTGAGCAACTCACAGATGCCCATGCCTGGCAGGCTGGTCTCCATGGTCAGGCCCCAGCCTCTCTCTTCTGGGCCCCTCTCATCCTGCTCCCCAAAGTCCCACAGGCTTCCCTGCCTCCATGACTTTGCCAAGGCCACCCACCTGCCCCCGTACACTCCTGCTTCCACCTCTGTGCCTGCAGGCCTGCCCTACCTGGAGGCCTTCCCCTGTGTTCTATGGGTTTCTCACCACATGGTCTCATCAGTTATCTATCAAAGCGGCTGACGCTCCCTCCACTCCTGCCTCTGCCCCTCCTTGCCTCTGCCTGTGTTCCCCCTCCCATCACCACCTTAGCCTGTCTCCCCTCCTTCCTCAGGACTCAGGAGCCACTGAGGCTGTGGGGCACCTGCCGACATTCTGCCTGGCCTCCCTGGCTTCTCAGCCTTCCCCCACCGCCTACTGCTGCCTCTGGGCATCAAACCAGCTGCTTGAGTCTTTCCCATCCCACAGGACCCCTCTCTCAATAGCCCCACACCCCCACACCTCCAGCCTCTGCCCTCGGCTCTGGAAAGCACGGTCTCCACCCACTGCCTCCATTAACCCCCTCCTCCCCATCCCCTTAATTCCTGGGATCTAACCCCTGCCCCAACATCCCACCGAGGCCACTGATCACCTCTCTGCTGTTATGTCTGGGGCACTTCACTGCCACCCCTGCCTCCACTCCTCAACACCATTCCAAAGCACAGACCCTTTTTTCTTTCTCTTCTTAAAACATGTGCCCATACTCCTGGCTCCTGAAACGCCCACCCAGATTTCCTGTCACCTCCCTGCCCACTCCATCACTGTCCCCTTCAAGGTTCCACTTCCTCCTCCTGGGGCCACCCTCAAAGAAGCCCCACCCAGGGGTCTGTCCTTGGCCTTTCTCCCCTCCCTTGCCTCCACCCTGGGAGACAGACCTCTCCCACCCCTAGCCTGCCCCTCCTCCTGCATCCTCAAGCCCCCCACCCTCTGGCTATTGAGGTCCAGACCACCTCCAGGATGTCCCTTGAGATGCCCTCCCTTCTCTCTCCCTTGTCCTCAGCCCAGATGCTGAAAGGGGCACCAGCTTTCACCCCTCCTGATTTCATCCAGTCTCAAGCCGTTAGATGCTGTCTGTACTGTCCACACCCAAACAGACGCCTGACTGTCCTCCCTCCCCCAGCCAGGCCTCTCCTCAGCCGCCCACATGACACTCCACTTGGATGTATAACAAGCATCTCAGCCGTTCCAGCTCCCGCTCCCCACAGCACCCCAACCCGCTTCCCCCACCACCGCATTCTCCCCACCCCCGGCTGGCAGCTTTCTCCTTCCTGATGCTCAGACCAAAAGCCTTCGAGGCATCCCAGACCCCTCTCCCTCTCCCATCCACTGGCAAACCCTACTGCTCTAATCTCAAAGGAGACCCAGAGTCAGACTGCCGCCCCCACCCTGGGCCAGGCCCCCATCATTTCTCATCTGGATCATTGCAGGAGCTTCCTAATTGGTCTCCCTGCTCCCACCTTTTCACTCCTGCCCCCAGGTGTTCCCAGCACAGTGGCCAGAGCCGTCCTGTTCAGATATGTCACTGGATCGCACCTCTCCAGTTGACGCTTCCCAATGGCTCCTGTGTCGCTCTCAGGAAAAGCCGGGGAATTATTGCGTGCCCTGGCCTCCTTGCCTGCATCCTCTGCTCTCCTCCCTGCACCCTCCTCTCTCTGGCTGCACTGCAGAGGCCTCCCCTGGGGTATCAGTTGAGGCAGGCTGGGGTGTGCTGTGGTGACCATCCCTACTCACTGGGCCTTAAAACAGAGAGGGGCATTTCTCATTCCAGCTTCACGTCATGAGGGTCAGCAGGGAGGGCTACGCTGCATCGTCCTCTCTCATGACCATGTCGGGGACATCTGGAGCATCACCTGCTTCCAGGCAGGGTGAAGGGAATGTGGAATCACTCGCTGACTCCTGCATGCTTCAGCTCGGAAGTGGCACGCATCTCTTCCACTCGTATCTCACTGGCCAAAGCAGATTACACAGCTGGGCCTAACCCCAAATGGAAGAAGTGTAGCCCTTCCCTGTTTCCAGAAGAAGAGACAGGCACTGATGGACAGGGGTGACAGCCTCCCCGCTGCTGTTCCTCGAACGCGCCAGACACGCCCCAGCCCCGGGCCTTTGCCCTGGCTGTTCCCTCTGCCTGGAGTGCCCTTCCCCAAACACCTGCACAGCTCGCCCCTCACCTTCTTTCAGTCTTTGTTCAAATGTCACCTTCTTGATGACGCTTTCCCTGACCACCTCACTTAAAACTTCAGATGTCTCCTGGACACGGGCTGCCAATCCCCCTTACCTTTACTTTAGCTTTCCACGGTTCTAACAGATTACCTAATTACATATTTCTTATGTCTATTACTATTGTCTGTTTCCATCAGCTAGAAGGAAAGCCCCTTGAGGGCAGGGGCATTTGTTGGTTTTGGTGACTGATGTAAGCCCAGCTCCCAGGACAGTACCTGGCACCCAGTAGGCACTCTATACTTTTGCTGCATGAATGAGTGAATGGATTAGGGGCCCCACTCACCACCAGGTCTCGTTCCCACATCCTTCAGAGCTTTTCAATCTACACTTGAATCCCCAACCCAAACTCGCTGCCTTCCCCAGGCCCTCACTGTTTCTCGTCTGGGTCCCCAACTCATAACAGCCCCTGACTGTCCCCGGTCTCCAGCAATCCCCTTCCAATCCAACACCGCTGTGAAAGGCAGGATAGCAAGGTGATTCTGGCGTGGGCTCAGGGTCCTTTCTCTGGCTCTGCTGTTTACCAGCAGTGTGACTTTGGACTGGTTCCTTAACCTTCCTGTGCTCCAGTTCCACATGTTGTGATAATAGCACTTCTCTCATAGGGGTTACAGTGCTGAGAGGTTTAAATGAGATGCTGCATGCAAAGCACATTATAAATGTGGATTATTGCTTTACACTTGCCAGATCTTGGTACCAGACAAAGGAGATCCGAATCTGCTGAAAACTGTCCCTTGGCTCCTGGTAGTTTTCAGTTTCTTCTCTGCACCCAGGGGCCCTCCCAAGCTGGTCTCCTTCTCACTTGCCTGGTCTGTCCCTTCTTGCTCCCGGTCCCACCAAACTCCCCAGGGCCTCCTGAGCCCGTCATGCTGCCTCCTGCCCTGGCCTGGGCATTGGGTGTTTTCTCTACTCTTCACTGACTTTTACTTGCTTTCTTACTTAACAGAAATCCCAGAGCTTTTTTGCACTTTCATACACAGAAAACTTTCAGATTTTTTTTTCGAGACAGGGTCTCGCTTTGTTGCCCAGGCTGGAGTGCAGTGGTGTGATCTCAGCTCACTGCAACCTCCGCCTCCCAGGTTCAAGCAATTCTCGTGCCTCAGCCTCCCGAGTACCTGGTGCACACCACCACGCCTGGATAATTTTTGTATTTTTAGTAGAGACAGGGTTTTGCCATGTTGGCCAGGCTGGTCTTCAACTCCTGACCTCAAGTAATCTGCCCACCTCAGCCTCCCAAAGCGCTGGGATTACAGGCGTGAGCCACCGCACCCAGTCTCACATTCTTTTTAGAGCTGTCTTGAATTCCATCATGGGGACATACCATTGGGATATATCAGTCCCAAGCTGATGGCTATTAATGTTTTTGATCTTCTGCCATCACAAGTATGCAGCTTGGTGTGTGTGCATCTGTCATATTCGTTCGGGTGTCTCTGTAAGACAGACTCCTGGAAGTGGGATTACTGGGTCAAAGGTAGCTAGTAAAGCACGACGGGCCTTGCCAGCCCAGTGTGCTCCCCACCAGACCCAGGATCTAGCCCCAAGTCTGAGTGATGCAGAATTCACGCCCTCACCTCTGTGCCATCCTGCCTCCTTCAGCAGTAGGGCTGGAGCGCATGGTGAGGGGCCAGTTCTACTTTCTGCCTCAGTCAGGATCGGTCCACTTGAGCGTGATATGTGGGGGCCGAGCCGGGAGGCGTTGGAGCTAGCCGAGGAGATGAGGCCAGCCCCCAAACACTTCCAGAACACTCTGAGCCTTCATGAAGGCTGCAGGAGGGAGCATGGCCTCTTGCCCACATTCTCCCCACCTGGGATCTTCTCTCTGGCGGCTGCCTCTGCCTCCCCATCAGCGCCAGAGCAGGACTGGCAGTGGCACCCCAGGCACCAGTGAGCAGGCTACAGGGTCCGTCCCCACCTAGGGCTGCATGGTCAGACCCCTTGAAGAGGGAATGGCAGAACCTCAAGACCTTGGGTGGAGGGCAGCCCAGGAGAGCCAGCCCCAGGCCATGCCATGGCTCCGTGGCTCATGTGGGCAGCCCCCCACTGGCCCTCACAGAGGCAGAGCTGAGTCAGCAGCCAGGGTCGGGGTGCCTCTGAGGCCCAGGCCTACTTCACTGGGAGGTGTCCCTGCACAGAAGTGAGAGGGCTCAGGAGGGGCCTGGCTCTCTGCCTCTGCTGCTTCAGGAAAAGTCCTGCTCCTTGGCTGAGCCCTCAGGGTCCTTCTCCAGCCCCCTGCCCACCGCCTGCCCTCCGGTCTCCTACACCCCCTCACACTCCAGTCAGTCATGTGGAAATGCTTGCAGTTCTCCACATGGGTTATTCCACTGCCTGCCTCCACGCCTCTGACCACGCAGCTCCTTCTTTTCCAGCTAACTCCCACTTGTCCGCAAAGACAATTCAAGAGTCCCTTGGAGCAGCCTGTTCGCACCTATGCACTCACACAGCACCTTGTTTGTTTAGACCCGCCCAGTGCCTCACAGCAACCCCATCTGGGTTCACTGTCAGAGCTCTGAGCCCACGGGGCTACTCGTCCCAAAGGCATACAGCATGTCCCAACATCTGACTTCGAAGCTGGGACAGGCCTGGCTCCGGGAGGGACAGAGGCTTCTACCTGGGGTAGCTGAGCTGTCCAAAGAAGTTTCAGCCATGTCGAGCCCCTGGCGTTGCCGAAATCCCCCACCCCACGGTGCCACAGCACCAGGGCAGCCCCTAGGAAAAGCCAGCCCCTCAGAGGCCCTGTGCTAAAGACCAGAAATTGCCCCTGGGTCTCCGCAGGAGTTCTGCAATGGGGAAGTGAGCCCTCCTGAGGCCTGGCTGGCAGGAGGCTCTTCAAGGCCAGCATCATGTGGACTTCCCCCAACCACTCGCGTTTCTGCACAGCAGCCACGGAGACCTGGGGGCTGCTGAAAAACGAGATCAGAAGGCAACGTCAGCCTGAGTGGGCTGAAACCTGAGATGAGGAAATGAGAAGACGTCAGGGGGCTGGAGGACATGGGTTTGAGGACAGCCAGCACCCAGCACTGCAGCTGAGGCCTCCTGAGGGAGCCAGAGGGAAAGCAAGTCCCCTCCCTGCGGCCTGAGTCTCTGCCAGTGCCCAGCACTCCCAAAGGATCCACCCCAACCTGAGAGACCCCAAAGACATTGGAGCAGCCCCAGACACCTCCTCCCAGGGCCACAAAGGCCCCTGACAAGCCCACAGCAGTCCAAGGCCTCCAACTGGAGTCATCTTTGGTAAATCTGGGGCCCATCAGCACCCACTGCCCTTCCTGGTGCCCTAAGCATGCTGGCAGGGGGACTGGAAACTGCATCCCAGTTTGCAGTGGGTGTATGTCTCATACACCCACAATACCTGATGTGGGCGTGACTCACCTTGGGGACCTGTGAGTCAATAAGGGTGTATGAGTAAGGGGCAGAGCATTTCAACTTAGTCCCATAGCACATGAGCTCACTAAGCAAACATTACCTATGTCTAGATTTGGGGCCAGTCACTACCCACTGGAGGCTGTGGGCTCCAAGGTATGGCAGCAGGGGAGGCCAGCCAGGCTCTGCCCAGCTTGCCCCTCCTTGTGAGGACGGACCCAGCCAGGCCTCCCGCATCCGCCCTTAGACTGGGGGACCCTGGGTGGGGGTAGAAAGGGGGACTGAAAGTGGTGTCTGGAGTTAAGCCCATCTCCTCATCCCCCACCATGGGGATCAAGATGGGGGCTAAGAGTCACCCCACCACCACCCCAACCCACTCTGAACGCAAAACAGAAGGGGACAAGCAAAACAGAACTGAAACTGGGCAAAGGAGAAACAGGTCTGGGCCCGCCCCAGGGACCTCTGTATCTCACCCCTTACCCATACACATCCTGACCAGGGCCTCTCCCCCAGCCTGGGAAAACCTTTCAAGCTTGGCCCTCTCTCACCTGGGCTCTCTCAGCCTCCTGCCCTCCCCCATCTTCCCTGCTCCCAGCCTCATGCTGCCCCAGGCCTCACCCCATCAGAGCTAAAAGGACCCCAGGCTGGGCATCTGTAGATCAGGGATCTGGTCTCCCTCTGCCACTACCTTTTGGGATGACCTTTGGGAAGTCATTCCCTTCTCTGAGCCACAGTTTCCTCATCTGGCCTGGGCTGTGGGCATAGAATCTGCAGGTGAGGGCTCTAATGGGTGAGTTTCAGGCCAGGCTGAGACTTTTCACATTATAACACTGAGGCACCCAGCACCTTGACTACCACTCATCCTGGGGACTTGGGAAGGGACAGAGGCTGGGATTGGACAGTAACAGCCAAGACCTTCCCAGGGCACAAACGCTGCCTCCCTGAAGCCTGCCCTGACTGTCCATGCAGGTCACTCCCATCACTTCACCTCCTCCTTCCCTCCACTCAGCACCAGCCACCACTGGGTCACATCTATGTCCCTTTGGCTCTGCAAGAGCAGCCTGGACCCCTGCATCCCCTACCCCAGCACAGGCCTGACACCAAGCAGGGGCTCAACAAAATATGTGTTGAAGGCCAGGCACAGTGACTCATGTCTGAAATCTCAGCACTTTGGGAGGCCAAGGCCAACAGATCTCTTGAGTTCAGGAGTTCGAGACCAGCCTCGGTAATGTGGTGAAACCTCATCTCCACAAAAGATACACAAAATTATCTGGGTGTGGTGGCATGCACCTGCAGTCCCAGCTGCGCGGGAGGCTGATGTGGGAGGATTGCTTGAGACCAGGAGACGGAGATTGCAGTGAGCCAAAATTGCACCACTGTATTCCAGCCTGGGTGACAGAGCAAGACCCTGTCTCAATGTCTCTCTCTCTCTCTCTCTCTGTGTGTGTGTGTGTGTGTGTGTGTGTGTGTGTTGAAAGAATAAAGGCAGAGAAAATAACAAGTGTTGGTGAGACTGTGGCAAGATTAGAGCCCTCACACTCTGATGGCGGGGATGTAAAATGGTATCACCTCTGTGGAAAGCAGTTTGTCAGTTGCCCAAAACGTTGAACACAGAGTTACCATGGGATTCTGCAGTCCCACTCCCAGGTAAATAGATGTTCCAAAGAGTTGAAAACATCTGATCACACAAAAACTTGTACACAAATATTCATACAGCGTTATTCTGGATATTATTATAACAGCCGAAAAGTGGGAACAATGTCCATGTCCATCAACTGAGGCACAGATAAGCAACATGGCCTAGCCACACAATGAGCTCTCATTCAGCAGTGAGAAGATGGGGCGTCCTGGTTCAGGCTACCACATGATAACCCCTGAAAACAGTATGCTAAGTGAAAGAAGTCAGACACAAAAGGTGACATGTACAATTCCATTTATATGAAATGCCTAGAAGCTGGATGCAGTGGCTCACGCCTGTAGTCCCAACTATTTGGGAGGCCCAGGCAGGAGGATTACTTGAGCCCAGGAGTTTGAATCCAGCCTGGAAAACATAGCGCGACCTCATCTCTGAATAAATTATTTAATTTAATTTTTTAAAAAATGTCCAGAAGAGACAAATGCATAGAGACAGAAAGTACATTAGTTGGGGGACAAGGAAAGGGGAAGTAACTGCTAACAGGCACGAGGTTTCTTGGGGGTGATGGAATGTTCCAGAGTTAGCTAGAGGTAGGTGTCATAGAGCATTATGAATATACTCAAAACCACTGCAATGTGCATTTTGAAATGGCAAAATTTGTGTTATATGAACCTTTACTCAATAAATACATAAATAAATAAATAATAAATAAATAAATAAATAAATAAATAAATAAAAAGGCAACAACAGCCACCCCAGGGACAGGTTTGGAAAGCCAAACTTGTCTGACTGGCTGGGTGGCTTGTCTATTTGTGTGTTTCTTAAAACAGCATCCTACAGGAGAACTATTCTTTGCTCAGGGAAACCCCCACCCCCTCACTCCACTCCTACCTCGAGACAAGGCCTCTGAGGAGCAGATGGGAGGAGAGGGGCTCTGGGGAAACATAGGGGGCATTGCAGTGGGGTGCTGCCCTCTCCTTGGGCAGGTGCCCCCATGATGAGCAGACTCAAGGTCCAGCTACAGTCCCAGCTCTGGTACAGGTCCTGTCCCTTTCCTCAGTTTCCCCATCTGCAGTCTGCCTCCCGGGGTCTTTCTGAGGTCAGTATGTAGCATGACAGAGCCTGAGAACTGCCAAACTGCCATGTTCTCTCAGAGACCCCTTTTTGGCATGCATTCCAGATGTGGGACCAGAGGTTGGGAAGTTCTTCCTTTGGTCTGACCACAGTATTCCACTTGGAGACAGCAGTGGGAAGAGGCCTTCCACTGAGTCACCCTGACTCAACTTTCATCAGCTTCAGGCCCCCCGTGGGGGTCCTTCCCCCACCGGATGCTCACTTTGCTGTAATGGGGCAGGATGTGGGTTCCCTGCTGTGGGAGAGCAGCCCCCACAGCAGCTGCTCCCTAAGATGGTTCTGGCAGGAACCAATGAGAGGAGAAAGCTGATCCTCAACCCCTGCAGGGGCCCTGCAGCCCAAGCAGAGGGCCTCTCAGCCCACCTCGGTCCCAAGTAGGACAGATTGACAGGTGACCTCCCTGTCTCAGAGCCTCAGGGTGTCTTGGAACAAGTGATCCCATCATCTTCCTCTGAGGTCCAAGACTCGGGTGCTAATGGACTCTGTGTAGGGAACCCTGGTCACTGGGGCAGACTCTGTCCCAGACCTGATCTTTGCCATTTTGCCAGAGTGGCCCACCTGACTGCTTCTCTCTGCTGTGTGTATCACTTGTATTAACCGCGAACCCAGCAAAGAGAGCAGGAGCTTGGGCCGGGCACAGTGGCTCACACATGTAATCCCAGCATTCTGGGAGGCTGAAGCAGGTGGATGACTTGAGGTCAGGAGTTTGAGACAAGCCTGGTCAACATGGTGAAACCCCGTATCTACTAAAAATTAAAAAAAAAAAAAAATTAACCAGGCGTGGTGTAATCCCAGCTACTCAAGAGGCTGAGGCAAGAGAATCACTCGAACTCGGGAGGCAGAGGTTGCAGTGAGTCAAGATCGTGCCACCGCACTCCAGCCTAGGCAACAGAACAAGATCCTATCTCAAAAAAAAAAAAAAAAAGTAAAAGTAGAACCCCTGTTTCTTGAGGACAAAGATTAGATGCATCTTTTTGTTGTGAAATTTTGGTAAACTACTTACTCTTTCTCAGCCTCAGTTCTTTGAACTATGAAATGGAGACAATAGTAATAGTATCAACCTCAAAGGGCTGGTGAGAAAACTAACCAAGACAATTCACACAAAGTTTCAGAACAGTCCCGGGCAGGTGCGTGACTTACGCATTTGGCTTTTGTTCACCACTATTACTACTTGCTTATTGAAGCTGAGCCAGGTGGCTGAGCAATGTCCCTTTCTGGCAAGGAGGGTGGAGGCAAGTGTCACATTTCAGAAAGATCCCTGGGCTCCTGTTGAATCTGTCCCCACACCAAAACATGCCCGTGGGGGCTCTAGCTCCTGCCCCAGCAGCGAAAGGGGCTCCTCCTTCTCTGGTGCCCAGTCCTAGCTCACCTGCTCTTCACAAGCCTCCTCCCAGCACAGCCTGCACCACACAGGTGCTCAGTAAGGGGGTTGCTCTGAACAGGGAGCAGGCCCACATGCTGAGAGTGGTGGAGGCGTGCAGGCTCTGATGACCACCTGAACCCAGACTCCAGGGCAGGACAGGTCCTTACAGACCGTAAGGGCTTCCTGCCTACCCTCTTCCCATGCAGTTACCTCAACCCTGGGACACCAGGAAGGTTGAGCATTCCAGGAAAGCCCCGACCCACCCAGGAAACCCAAGTACCTGGTGGGGCCTCATCTGGCCCATTGTCCTGAAAGGACAGGAATAAAGGCTCTCTCCTCATGGCCACACACCCTAGGGACGTCCAGCCTCCAGCTTTCTGTGGGTGGGGCAAATGACTGAGGAGGCTTCCCTCCCTGCAGGCGCCTCCCTCTGGGGCCTCCTGTGGTCCAGTCGTCCCTGGTCCCCAGCTCTCAGGTGGGTCATAGGGCATCTCAGCAGGACCACCAGGAAGAGCATCAGGAGGGGAAGGAGCCAGAGAGCCCTCCAGGCCAGTGCACTGCTAACTCAACATCTCATCTTCCTATCTCGTCCCTTCTGCTCACCTCCGGAGACTCCCCCTCCCCTCTCATGCTCTTCACTGGCAGGTTATGATGGCCCAGAGATCCCCACCAGAGTCCCAGATATCAGTGGGGATCCCAGCCTATTCCTCCAAGCTCCCAGTTGCCAGTGACAGGGAGGCAGAAACAGCCTGGAAATTAACTGTGGGTTCTCCCTGAGCCTGTGGATACATGGAAAGAGAGCTTCACCACCACCCCCTTCTCTGAATATACATACAGGATCTGAGGAGGGAGGATTCTGTGTGGATGCATGTGTGCACAGATGTGCATGTTTGTACGTGTGTATGGGTGAGCAGGTCATACGTGTGGTCCCATGTGCCCACCTGTTGTATATATGCATGCTTGTTTTGTGTAAGTGAGCATAAGAGGTCAAGCCAGAGAGAGAAATAGGAACAAGGAGAGACAGAGAGAGAGAGAATAGAAACAGAGACCAACAGGGAAACAGAATGAGACTGAGACAGAGAACAACAGAAGGCCAGACAGGTAGACAAGCCACAGTTCCATCTTCCCTGGTGCTGGCTGCCAAGGCAGACAACTCTCCTCTCACTTCATTGATGTTCTGCCTGTGTTTATACCCATGATTGGGGTGGAGTTCAGGAAAGGATGTATCAGGGCTAGGACGCCCCCACCTCCACACTCACAGGGCCAGTCAGGGCCCTCTGCAGGGGCTGCCATTTCCTCAAGCTGAGGAATGGGCTTGGATCCCTCGGATGCCTTCCAGGGTGCAGGGGCGCTCCCAGTGACTGGGCTCTTGTGGTGGCTGGGGAGGGGGAGCTCCTCTGACAGGCCCCATGCTGGGGGAAACGTCCTGAGACTGACCTATCACGGGCTGACATGCACACCAAGGAGGTCTCACATCTGCTGGGAAATGAGGGGCTGGTGGAGGTGAGAAAACCTCAAGTTCTAATGCCTTCCCAACACCTTCACCTCACCTGAGAAGCTTCTAGATTCCACCCACCCCTGTTTCCTTGGGGGAGGGTGTTGTGTGGAGGTGGGAAGAGGCAGGAGTCCAGGTTCTAGGCCAGGCTCTGAAGGGGCAGGTAGCTCAGAGCAAGAGGCTGGCCTTGCACCTGCTCTGCCTAATGGGACAGTAATGCCCACGATGGCATTCCGCCTCTGAGGGCTGTGGTGAGGCTGTGGAGAGATGTCAGGGACAAGAAAAGGCCTTGGAAACCAGCTGTGGGAAGAACAGCCCATGAGCTCAGCATTTCCCCTGGCTTCCCCGAAAGCCGGCCCCCAGGAGAGGAAGGTGACTGTGACTTCTGCCGCCACCACTTCCTGCAGCTGGGACCCTGCTCACTCAGAATGTGGAACCGTCATGGGCCAGCAGTGTCACCTGCACACTCACTCCTGCCACCAGGAAACCCTTCTGCAGGGCAGGTCCCCAAGCCCCGTATCTCAGGTTCTGACCAGGATGTGTCCTCAGCAGTGGTCGCCCGACATTGATGGGAGGGACGGGTCCCAGCTGGGCATCAGGATATGGAGGGTTTCATTCCAGCTCTGCCACCAAGGTACTGGTTGCCTCGAGGCATTCCCCTTGCTGGACCTCATTGAGGAGACTTCCTGTATTGCTAAGCAGGCAGGAACCCCAGAAGCTCAGAGCCGGAAGGCACCAGGGCTTCCCACAAGATGTGGAGGACCCAAAACAGGGAGACAGGCCCTGGCACCTAAGCGTTCCTTCTGGGCTCTACACAAGGTGTGGGTGGCACCAGAGCTACTGCAGGCTACTTGATCCAAGGGGCAGTCCTGCTCCACCGTGGGCTGGACGAAGACATCATCTACTCCAGGGCATCCACGCGTGGGGTGGGAGCCAACAGACCTGCGGTGCTGCCTTCCAGCTTGGGACTGGCCCCCGTACTCCATCCCGTGCACCCAGCCCTTCCGGCTCACCCCTTCCATGGCATGTTGTGCTCTCTCGCACCCCATGCTTTGCATGTGCTGGTTTCATTACCTGCAACACCTTCACCCCACTTGTGTCTGGCTAGCGTCCCCTCCAGAATGGAGAGTGGACAAAACATGGGGTCTGGAATTCCAGGGGTCAGGGCCCAGGCTGTTAGGAAAGGCAGAGTGTGAAGCAGACCCTCAGCAGGCCTCACAGCAGGGAGTGCTGAGCTCAGGGTTCTCAGGGGCCAGGATGGGACAGACGCCGAGGAGATGGGGGTCGGTAGCTGGGGCAGATTGTGCAGACAGTCTGGATTGTGGAGGAGCTGCCGGGCGCAGGGCCCCACTTGGCGCGGGCGGCTGTGGGGGAGGCTGAAACTGCAGACTATTTTTAGGCTCCTGCTGAATTGAGAGATGAGGATGCTCTGGGCTACAAGCCCTCATTCGCTGGGGAAAGACTAAGGGGGCCCCAGTTCCCCCGATCTGCCCCCAGAGCTCAAAGTCTCCAGAGCTTCCTCTTTTGTCTCTAGGGACCAAGGGCTGGGGTCAGGAAGTGGACTGGAAGTATCCCCAGCACCCTAGATAGGCAAACACCCACAAGAAGTGATTTCCATACCATTTGCACACTGCCCTGCTTCCTGATCAGAAGGAACGGAAACGTTCCCTTTCAGAAGACCCTCAGCGGAGCAGTGCATTCACCAGAGTCCACTTTCACCTGCCCCACTGGGTATCAGGAGAGTCCCAGGAGAGCGACACAAGCTCTAAAGTCAGAAAGCACAAACGGGGGTTGTTAGCACTGTGGTGTAGCATCCGCTAGGCTCGGGGTAGCAAATAAGTTCCATCTGATCAATTGCTGGTGACTCCTAAGGAGAAATGCTGGTGAGGATCCATTCATTCATTCCACAAATAATTTACTGACCACCTACTGTGTGCTAGGTGCTACTCTAGGTGCTATGAAATTTAGCTGTGAACAAAAAAAGACAAAATTCCCTGCCCCCGCAGAGCAGATATTCCGTAACAGTGTTGTCCAACAGAAATACAATATGAGCCACACACATAATTTAAAATGTTCCAGTAGCCACACTAGATAAAAGTTAAAGAAGACCAGGAGCGGTGGCTCACGCCTGTAATCCCAGCATTTTGGGAGGCCAAGGCGGGCAGATCATTTGAGGTCAGGAGTTGGAGACCAGCCTGGCCAACATGGTGAAACCCCGTCTCTACTGAAAATACAAACATTAGCCGGGCGTGGTGGCGGGCGCCTGTAATCTCAGCTACTCGGGAGGCTGAGGTAGGAGAATCGCTTAACCTGGGAGGCGAAGGTTGTGGTGAGCCAAGGTCCTGCCACTGCACTTCATTCTGTGCTACAGAGCAAGACTCCATCTAAAAAACAAAACAACAACAACAAAAAAAGTTAAAGAAATAGGTGGAATTAATTTTTGTATGTTATCTAGCCAAATATATCTTATATCTGAAATATTATCATTTCTTTTTTTCTTTTTTTTTTGAGACAGAGTTTCATTCTTGTTGCCCAGGCTGGAGTAAAATGGAGCAATCTCAGCTCACTGCAACCTTTGCCTCCCAGGTTCAGGCGATTCTCCTGCCTCAGCCTCCCAAATAACTGGGATTACAGGTACACGCCACCATGCCCACCTAATTTTTGTATTTTTAGTAGAGACAGGGTTTCACCATGTTAGCCAGGCTGGTCTCAAACTCCTGACCTCAGGTGATCTACTGACCTCAGCCTCCCAAAGCTCTGGGATTACAGGTGTGAGCCACCACGCCCAACCTCTAATATTATCATTTCAAAGTGTAATCGATGTAAAAATTTAAGGTCATTTTTTTCATATTATGTTTTCAAAATCCAGTGTGTTGTTTATACTTACAGCACATCTCAATTCAGATGAGCCCTATTTCAAGTGCCCAGTAGCCCCCAGAGAATGCAAGTTCTGAAGAAAATCACTCATATGAGCTCAGGAAAGGAATGCCACAATTGATCAGCAATGCCTGCTCCAGGCATAGGCTACAGCTGAATCAAGCTGCAAGCCATGTGTTTCCCCACCATGATATAGGCTCAGCCCCAAAGGACGTGTTCACCTCTACCTAAGCCCTTCTGAGCTCATTTATTTTGCCCAACTTGAAAGAACTGCCAGAGTTCTGGGACCTTGACTTGGTTCGAGTGCAGCGGTTCTGGTGTGAACACCACCCTACAGAAACGCCCCAGCATACTAACAGGGCCAGCGCCTCCCGAGTGTGGTTCTGTGCTCCTTCCCTTGGTGGGGGCTGACTCATGGCCATTGGTGACCCTGAGAATGTGGATTTTGTTTTTGTTTTTCTCCCAAGGTCTCTTCCTCCCAGAGTTAACCAATATTGAGATAAAAGTGTTTCCGAGCCAGATTTAGCCATTTCAGCCCCATTCCACTGGCCCAAGCCTACAGACCTCCTGTCTGGCACTGTAGCCAGGATGGCTGCACTTTCTTTTCCAGTAAGCAGAAGGCTAAAATTGGACCATTTAAGGAGCTAGAAACACCTGGAAATGGTGAGGAGTGGGTCTTTGGTGTAAGAGATGGGGTGTAAGAAAACACGGATCTCAGGCTCCCATTATCCTCACCATTATTATCATTATCATCTACCCCACCCCTGCTCAAAATCCTTCAATTGCTCCCTAGTGTCTGCAGGATAAAGATCTTGCTTTAGTTCCCAGGATCGGGAACTGCTGGAGTCATCCAGTCTCACCTCTAGATACTCTCCCTTCTCTCATCTTATTCATTCATTCAGTAAGAATGTCCTGAGCACCTAATATGTGCCAGGCACTGTTCTAGGTACTAGAGATACAGCTGTGAACAAAACTGCCAAGGATTTCTGGCTTCATGGAGCTCACTTTACTCCAGCGAGCCCATAACACCCCAGGCCCTCTCACACTCCCAGGCCTTTGTAAATGCTGTTCCCTCTCCATTCAGTCACTCTCCTCCTGGGGAACTTCTACACATCCTCTAAGGCCCTACTCAAAGCCTTCCCTGAGCACTCCGCTCAATGGGTTAGGTTCCTCCTCTGAGCTCCCACCTCCCACCTAGGACCGTCACACGTATGGTCACTGTCCAGCCCACAGCCCTTCCCTACCAGGCTTTAAGTGTCTCCAGGGCAGGGGCTGTGCCTTCTCCCCCAGGGACCCCAGAGCTTGCTTCCAGGTGCACCCTCCCAAAGATCAGGAGTGAACAGGCTGAGGCATTAGTGTAGGGGGGATCCAGGATTCCTCTGGAGAATTCCATGTCATTCTGAAATCTTTGCCTGGGAGCATCTTCCTCCTGGCATTCCAGGGGAGGGAATCACAGGAGCAAATGCAGAGCGGTTCCAGCAAAGGAAGGTAGAAGTCTGAGGAGAGATGGGAAGGGTATGATTTGATGTAGCAGAGAGACAAGAGGACAGCAGCCTTCCCTCGGGGAGAGAGGATGACAGGACATGTGGATGGGGGATAAACCGTAATGACTCTACATTCCTAAAGTGGGAGGGAGGCAGAACGAAATCTGCAGTTCCCTGCTGCCTTCCCCAGGAGAGCTGAGCTTTCAGTCTCGTCCCTCTTCCTCCTCCCCAACGAGAATGCACAAGAGAGGGGAGAAGGATGGGCCTGGTTCCTGCCCCTGGCCTGGCTCTGGTCCCTGGCCTGGCCCTCAAGAAGCCAGTGCTGGGACTGTGGATATCGTGTGGTTATGGCTAGAGCAGATCCTCCCACCACCCGGGCCCAGCCTAACCGTCCTGCCCACACACCGCCAGCTAGAGGCCTGCTGTGCTGCTTGTCCATTGGGGAAAACAGGGCAGGAGGCTTGTGCCTGGCTGGCCTCATCCCTGCCAGCTCATTTACATGGAATTTACACGGGCTCATTTCATGCCTTAATGCACACGGCTTCCCTCCCAGCCCAGCCTCTCCTGGTGCCTCCACAGAGACAATGGAGTGGGTTCCATCACTCAAATCCCCTGCCATGGACCCATCAGAGCACCAGGAGCATCTCTGGAAAGAGGGAGGCTGCTGAGGCCCAGAGAGGACAGGGAACTCAGTGGAGACCACCAGCAGCACTCCAGGAGGGACCAAGGCTTAAGCCCACACTTTGTCCACTCGCCGCTCAGACCATTTGGGGCTGGAATTCACTCCCATCCTTTGCTTTGCCACCAGCCTCCAGCTTGCTGAGCAGGAGCCTGTGAAACCCCCATCCTGATGCCGATGCTTGGCTGTGCACTGGAATACAGACGGACTGGGACAGACGAGATGTGCAGGAAAGGGTCCACAGAAGCCCAGGTCCAGCCCTGCCTTTTACACAGGAGAGAAATGAGGCTCGGGAAAGGCGAGGGTCTGCCCAGGACCACAAACGCCAAAAATGGTGGCAGCAGCCCCAGGTCTCTGCCCCAGCTGCCCAGGGCTCTTCTGGGTCCCCCAAACTCCCAAAGACCCCTGGTCCCATGTACCTGCTGAGACCTTGGTCCCCCAGGGCATGCCGAGTGTTGGGGGAGAAAAGGATGGGGAGAATCCTCAGGAATGGGCTGGCTATGAGAGTGCAGAGCAAACTGAAGTGGGAGGGAGCACTATGGGTGGGGGCAATTCCAGTCCTGTGGGGTTTGCCAGAGCCAACCAGAAGCTGGGCTCGGACAGAGAAGTAAACTGCCCCAAGTCTGCCATGGACCCCTCCAGCAGTCACTGCTCAGGAAAAACGCCTAGCAGACCCCAAAGGCCTAGGTCCTTGCCTCCAGGGACAGGGGACAGAGAAGGGAACAAGGGGGAGGGGAGGCCTCTGGGCTTCTATCTGGACTTCTATCTGCAGTGCTCCCTACTGTCCCTGCCCTTCATCCCAGGACCACTGCTCTCATCCTGACCTCCACCCGCCACCAGACAGCCTCCTAACTAACTCCCCTGCATCCTTCCACCCCAGCCTCAGAGGCTCCTTCCTGCATAAACTTCTGTGTTCTAAAACCTATTTACTTGATCTTGGAGGGAGTCCTGAGTTTCTACAACTCAAATCCTACCTCATCACTCATAAACCCTCCCCACAGGTCCCTCCCTACTCTCCAACCCTCACCCAGACCCCTACCCTGCCTGGAGCAAATCCCATTCCCACATCTCTTCAGCCGGCACCAGCCTCCTGCACACACACTCAAGGCCACAGCATCCCACAGGGTCGCATTTGATCAGCTTGCCCTCCAGAACTGCCCCTTGAAGGCAGGGAGTCCTGAGGCTGTTTCTAGCATGACCCAGGCCAGGCCTTCCAGGGGGAAGTGGTGGGAGGTGAAGGCTGGGAATGGGGAAAAGGGGTGCACGTGCTATTGGGGCTCTGGGGTCAAGGCTCGAGCAAGCAGCACGCTGCTGAGGAGTCGTGGGTTCAGGTCCCCATTCCTGCCTCTCACTAGCTACAGCCCTGCTGAGCTGGCTCCTGGGCCCTAACCAGGACATGAAAGAATGCATGTGATGCTCACGCAGCCAGGGGGTGGCGAGTAATAAACAGGAGCCCCCACCAACACCCCCTGACCAGGACAGCTTTGCAGGCAAGGAACAGGCGCAGGTAAATAAATAGCTTGTTTATTAGTAATATGTTACATTATTAAAGTGCATTGAGAAGAGGTGCAGGGGCCAAAGCTGGAAGGCCACTGGCCCCAGCCACTGCCCTGGGTGGCCAGACACAGCCGGAGAAGGGCCCAGCTCCCCCCTGAAATGGATGGACAGGGCTGGGGGCAGGGCCGCCTGCCTGGAGAGCTCGGCCCAGGCCATCCCCACCGGAATTTTCACAGTTTAGCCTAAGTTATAACATGTCCTGAGCGAAGGTGGGAGGCTAGGAGCATGGAAGCACAGCCCCTGGGGAAGGGGGCTGAGAGGAAGGGAGGAGGCCCCCCGCCCCCCAACCCTCAACGCCAAGGGCAGAGTCCTGGAACCTCCCCCTGAGGACCCGGCTCGTCCTTCCAAATGAACACGGTGAAACTAGGGCTCAGTTTTCTCCTTCATTCTCCCGTTTCCCTCACCCCACCCCCTCCCATAACCACCCCCAACACTAGGGGCTCCAACAACGTCCCCCTCAGACCGGGCTCCCAGGGCAGAGCCAGCTCATGCCACTCTCCAAGAACCCATGCCCGTCTCCAGACTCTTATCTCATCCCCGGGAGCCTCAGACTGGGATCACCCCCGCTCCCCAACCCATCCCTTCCCAGCCCCTCCCTTTCCCACCCACCCCCCCGCATGTAGTTTTGGTATTTTCATACAGATGCAGTCGGAAGTAGCTATACATGAAATAAGCCTAACATAAAAATAGAGCTTTTTCCGTCCTTCCGTCCGGAAAGCAAACATCCTTCAATAAACATGCAAGGCGGCTGTCCTGTGGGACCCAGGACCAGAGAGGGAGCTGCAGAGGACAGGGCTGGACAGAGGGTAGCCCTGGGTCTTCAGGAACACCAGCCACCCAGCCATGAGAGAGGGAGGGGAAGGAGGCAATGTGGGTACCAAGAGTCCAGAAGGACTCAGGCCTCAGCCCCAGGGTCGAGATGGAGTCCCAGCTCTCCTATCCAAACCCACTCCCCGACCCATGGGCTCTTGGGCTGGGAGCATCGCTGCATTTAGTCAAGTTTGAGGAGTCTGAAAAATATTTTCCAGAAGATAAAGTCTTGGGTCATCGATGCCCCAGCTTCACAGTCGGTGCCCTCATTCTCAGCCCCTCACCATCCGTGCGCCACCTGGGGCCCAGCAGCCGCCTGCGGCTGGACGTCTCCAGGCCTGGCATCCTCCACTGGGTTATTCTGTCCCCTGGAAGAAGTGGCAGGCAAGGAGCTCCCGGGCCAGCCGGCTCTGAGTGTGAGACGTTCTAGTGCCCTGGGCTGCAGAAGCCTGAGGCATGCCCAGCCTCGGGAGGCCCTAGTGGACCAGCAAGCCAAGAGTGAGTGTGGGCAGCACCCCCAGCCAGAGGGAGGCGGCCAGGGCACAGGCATGACCCAGCAGGTGCTCGGCCATGATGCCGTCCTCGGGCAGCAGCTGCCAGTGCTGAGCCTCGCGGAAGTAGGAGCCCTCCTGGGCCTCGCAGAAGTAGTGGCCGTACTGCTGCGCCGTGAGGTTCTCGATGAACAGGATGCAGTTGGGGCTCTGGTGACCAGGTTCGCAGCTCTGCTCCACGTTCTCCTTGTGGCGCCATGAGTAGGTGGCGTGGCGGGATTCCATGGGGCAGCTCAGGTAGTAGCGAGAGTTTGGGGCCAGGGAAACCTTCTGCAGTGGGGCCTTGTCTGGGGAGGCAGTGGGGAAGCAGCCGTGAGGAGGGACAAAGAGCTCCCAGGGGAGGATGTGTCCTCCCCACGGACTGGGATCCCAGGACAAGGCTTCTGAATGAACGTGGGGAACCCAGCCCTCAGCGTCCTCCTTTTTTCTCCCGTCTCGCTCATCCCACCAAGAGGGCTCCCTCTGCAGGACTGTATCCTGCCCCATGTACCTGGGGCCCACAGGACAAGGCCATGTCTCCCTCAGACCAGGACAATCAGGGCAGGGCAGTACCCCACTCATTGGGCCACAGCCGCCAGCAGGGCCAGATCAGGTACCTGGTTTGGGGTTGGGACACTCCTTGTGTGGCTCGGCTGGATTAATGGATTGCAGCACTGACCTGGAGTGGGAAGGACGAAAGAGGATCAGCAGATACAAGGCTGCAGACCTGACCCTCCTATCCTTACCCCAGTGCAGTTCCAGCAGAGAGGAGGGTCCCACAAGAAAGGCCCAGTACCGCCACCTCCTCCAGCCCGACAACACCTCCCCCTCTCCCATGCCCACCTTCTCCCAGGGACGAGGGATCCCGGCCAACGTACCGTTCGGAGCTGTAGATGGAGATGCAGCGGCCTTGGTCCCAGCCGCAGTAGGGGTCTCGGGACATGAGGCAACCGTGGCAGCCCCCGCCATAGACCTCACACAGGTCCAGGGGCACCTGGCTCACCTCCCACTGGGAGCTCACATACAGCTTCCTCTGGAAGGACAGCAGGATTGGGTCAGGCCCGGGCCCCACCCCACACTCAGTCCTAAATGTCCAGGCCCTAAGGCCTAGAAGCTCTTAAAAGAACACACAAATCACATGCAAAGGAGCCCTGTCCTCAGCTGCAGTCACTGCATAGCCCATGGGACGCAGTGGGGGAAGGCTCACCCGCTCAGCATCCAGCGACATGGTCTGGATGGCAGCCGCGCGGCGGAAGGGCTGGATCTCCATGATGTTGAAGGCGAAGCTGTGCTCCTGCTCCCCCGGTTCCACCACCTTGTGGATAGTGCCCCTGTCTGTGTATGGTGGACAGAGGGTCAGTGGGCGGGAGTCCCACTGAGGGGCCAGGCAGCTTTCCTCTAGGCCGGGGAGGGGTGGGAAGTCACAACTCAGGCAAGGGTCACAGGACTGGTGTGGGCAGGGCGAGGAGAGCGTGACTGGGGAAGAATGTGGGAGCCTAAGGGCAGCCTGGAACCTTCCAAGGCTGATCCAGAGAGGCCATCCCAGGAGGCCCAGGGGTCCCTGGATACGGCCTCCAACATTCCCAAGGCTGCACGGGAAGAACAGAAGCAGGAGCCCCACACCAGCAAGGTCAGTGCGGCTGCTGTCCATGCATCACCTCGTTTAACCCTCCACAGCCCTGCGAGGTGGCTGTCATCTTCCCCACTCCACAGATAAGGAAATCAGGCTCAGAAAGGCTAAGCCACTTGCTCAAGGTCACACAGCTGGTGAGCAGCAGAGACCGAGTTGGAACCCAAATCTGTCAGAGCCCAACCACTCAGCTGCTTCTACAACTCCCCTGCCTCCTGGACTCTTAGGGAATATATTTACTTTAAATACATTTTTTTTTTATTTTGGAGTAATTTTAGATTCCCAGAAAAGTTGCAAAGATAGTACAGAGAGCTCCAATCTACCCTTCTCCAGTTCCCCCTAATGTTACCATCTTACATAACCACGGTATATTTGTCACAACTAGGCAACTGACATTGGTGCATTACTATTAACAAAACTACAGACTTTATTTGGATTTCACTAGTTTTTCCACAAATGTCCTTCTTCTGTTCTAGGATCCAATTCAGGACTCCACGTTGCATTTGATCTTAGGGGATATCTTAATTTTATAAAATCTTAGATCTAAAAAGGATCTTGGATTCTAAATCAAGAGTTCCCAAGGTCTTATAACCGAGCTGCCTGCCTCCTAGACCAATGCTCTCTCCGTTCACAATTAGGGACCAATGGGCACCCTGACCCCTGGTCCTCCCAATCCTACCTCACCTGCTCTCCCAGTTTCTAGAATAGCCTACCTCCCTCTCTCCCTCCCTCCCAATTTCCCAGGGCATCACCTGCCCCAAAAAAGCAGTCAGATGATTGCCTGCCTAGGATGTTTCCTCTACACATCCGTGATCCTCATCTGTGGACTCTGAGATGTGGCCAGATGCTCCTTGGGCCTGATAAGGCCCCACCCCAGCCACTGCCTTCACAGACATACTGCCCTATACCTCCTTCCAAACCAGCCCCAGTAACAGCATACCCTTGGCAAAATTCTCAGGAAAAGAGCCAATACTTCTCCCAGTTGTGAGAGCCTCCCATTCTCTGCAGAGGACTTAGAAAGCTCTATTTTTCAGTCTAGCCCAAATACGAATGATGCAGGCTCCAAAATGGTGCCTCCTCCACTGCCCTTAGAACGAAGACACCTTCTCTAATCACTCAAGTGTGCTCACCTCCCAAGTCTGCAGGAAGGGAATCCATGGCCCAAGTCCAGCCTTCCTTGTCCTAGCTCCTGCTCCCAGTTCCGCACTGTGTGACCTCTCCTCTTCTGCTCCCCAGTGCCCTGCCATCCCTGGCTGACCACAACAGCTGTGCCAGCCACTACTGGAGCCAAGCAAGGATGGGGGCCCAAGGGTGTAGCCGGGATGAATAGGGAGTAAAGAGGCAGGGAATCAGGACCCAGGCCCTGCCCTGTGGGAAATTCCTCTCCCCAAGGCTTCCAGGAGCCAAACAATGGTGCTGGGGTTCCAGTTTCCTACAAGGTCACCAAAGCCGAGACAGTTCCAAGGTGAAGCAGCAACAGGAGATCACATGGGGAATGTGAACAACTGAGGTTGGGCGCCTGGGCCTGAATTGAATGGCCCCAGGGGTGCTAGAGGCCCTTTCCAGTCTCAAGGAAGGCAGCTGGCATGGGAAGCTGCGACAAACCCAACTCAGGACTGGCTCCTCCGTGTCCTGTGGCTTTCCAGAAAGCAGGAGCATCTCCCACGGCATTCCACCCAGCTTCCCCCAGCAGGGCCTACTCCAGGGAAGAAGAGAAGCTGCCCCTGTCCTCTGTGAGATGGCAAAGGTTCTGCCCCCTGGAACTCCTTCCTCATACCTAATTTGTGCCCCATCAACTCCTCAAATGTTTCCTCTCACCTGCACAATCCCAAAGACAGGCGCAGGGCCTGACTCCCTCATTCTGCCTGGCAGAGGCCAGTATCCCTGTGGTTCAGGCCCCTCCTCCTCATTTGCCACGTCTCTTCCTACCATCTTCTTCCCTGAGTCAGACATCTGGACCAAAGGTGCACCTGGCTTTGCTCAGACTCTCCAGATTTCCGCCTCCAAATCCCAGTGCTTGCTTTTCTCCCATCCCCCTTTCCCTCTTGCCCCTACCTCCTCCAGGAAGCTCTCCCTGCCTGACTCTTCCACACCCACACACATTAACCCCTGACAACTCCAGTCACTCAATTATTCCTTCCACATGTAAAGATCCAACCAGATGTTAACTACATTATTCCTTACACCTTTCATGCCCGTTTTTACAAAGCAAACTGAGGGTCCCGGGGTAGCCTCTCACCTGTAGTTAGGTAAAGCACATGAAAGGTCTCCCCGTGGCTGGCTTGCATGCGGTGGACGGCCACTTTCTGGTAGTGGTATTTAGAGTGGAACAATGGCGTCTTCAGAGGCCCCATGGGCTCCACCCTCTGCGCCACCTCTGGGTGACGGTCAGCCACCTGGAAGGTCTCTGTGGGTATCGGCTGCTGGTCTGGGAGGCACTGGGCAAGGAGAGCAGGCCCAGGTCAGTGGGGTGGTGGGAGGTGAGGCAGAAGGAGGGCTGGGCCTGGGCCACGGCTGGTGTCACGCTCACCTTGCCAGGCCGCGGGTTGGGAAGGCTTGAGTGGTAGCCCTTGAGTGAGGAGGTACGGAAGACCTTGTCAATGTCACCGAGGGAATACACACAGACGGCTGAGTAGTTCCTGCAGTGACATGGAGACCAGCTCAATGGGGGGCCCAGAACCCACCCATCCACCTCCACTCACCCAGGCCAGCCTTGTGCCTGGCACTGAGTTGCCAACCACCACTGAAAATGGGGAGGGATGGAGAGGAGGAAGGAGAGGAGTTCAGCCTAATTTCTTTGTGCTGCAATTTAAAACCACAAACTTGTATCCTGTTACAGAATCACTGAGTCTAGAGGCCATCTGCTCTACCCAACCCCAAGGCAGGAGGAACCCCATCATAGGCTGAGCAGTTCTCTAGCCCTCCCTGGGCACAGGCTGTGGGGTGCTGATGCCCCAGGAGGCCAGACCCCCAACCCCTTCCCAGCCTGGGGGACCCCACTCACCCAGGAGCCACAGAGCAGGGTCTTGGCTTCCTCCACTCTATCCCTAACTCTCCCCACACACACCCAACACTTCCGCCTGCCGTGTGTTCAATCAATGAGAGTGATTAAGAAGTGTGAATTATCGGGCTCAGGCAGTGCCTGAGCAGGTGTAATAGCACCCAGCTCCCCGAGAGATGCTTCAGCAGCTTCCTCCTGGGCCCAGTGTCCACTCTCGGCACAAGCAGGTGGTGGGACACACAGGCACAAGTGCAGTCATGAGTGTGCATATAGGGCATGCACACACACCCATGAGTGCAGACTCACTCACACAACAGTACATACATCGCACTGGCTGTCCCCCCACCCCACACCCAGCAACAGCCCAGCCTCTTGAGCCTGCAGCCCCTGCTCCTGCCACACCAGGGAGGCCCTCAGCAGGGCCCAAGGCCTCCTGTCCCTACTGGACACTGAACCAATGCCAGCCCCGGCCCCAGGACAAGGGCCACTCACCAGGGGTTGGAGAAAACACCATAGACCCTGGTGTCCCTCCACTGGCCGCTGGGGTCAGGGAGCAGGAAGACGTCTTGCAGCCTGTTGAAGTTCTTGTTGGTGGCAGCATCACTGCATACCAGCATGGCTTTCAGAAAAGTGTTCCACTTGGAGACTGACAGTGAACTTTCCCCACCCTGGTCCCCCTGGAAGGGTAGAGGGGAGAAGAGGCCCCTCAGCACCTGCCCGGGCTTCCCCACACACCCCAGGAAACCACTGCCAGCAATATCAACACCTGGGCCCAGAGGAGGAAGGCAGGCTGTGAGGGGCCAGGACCTGCCGGGGGTGCCCCAGGACTCAGGGCAGGTCTCCAGATGAGACTCCAGCAAGCAGGCCTGGCTGATCCAGAGCCCAGGGCCAGCAGTGCCCAGGGTCAGGGCAGGTGAGAGTGCCAGGTCCCCACAGAGCAGACGGACTCAGACACACATTTACTGACTCACACACCCACACACGTGGCACAGCACATTCACACAGGCAAAACACACACACACACACACACACACCCCATCATACACACGCTCACACGCCATCATACGTGCACAGGAGCTCAGCCACCTTTACCCACACACAGACACATGATGCTCCATGCACACACAGCTGCTCCCACAGTCCCTGACACAGACCCACTCATACATCCACACAACTTCTACATGCACACGGACACACAGAACTCACCCTCACTCAGGCCTATTCATGCACAGACACGTAGCCAGCAGCCCTCACGCCCCTGCTCACCCTGCACAACTGGGCCACACGGGACACATTGAGAGGAGCCTCAGGATTCTTGTCAGGATTGTCCTCTCGGAAGAAGTAGTAGATCTTGTCATCGTAAGCCTGGTCTTGGTGCACGATGGTGGCTTTGATGAACTGTGGGTCTGCCAGGGACAGAGGCGAGTGGGCGTAAGGCTGGGAAGCTTGCCCGGGAGACCATCCCAACCCTGCACACTCTCCTCCCTCCTTCGGGTCTGCACAAACCATGGCAAATCAGATCTGGAATAGGACTCAGAACATCAGGTCCAACTCCCCGAGGGGCCCTAGACCCTGCACCTCCACCCCACACCTGTTTTGCCCTCTTCCTACAAAGATGTCATCGGCCCAGGAGCAATGACTTCATGCCTGGGGACTGGGGGAAGGTCCCTGGGGGCCCCTATGTCACTTCTGCTCAATTGGCAGAGCCCTGATGAGGAGGGAGTTGGGGGCTGCCTCCACGTGAACTCAGCAGAGGATAAACTTTGGCTCCTGGGGACCCTGCACTGGGTCTGGGGCTCCCTCTGTTTGTGTTCCTGAAGAGGGCTGGGCCCATCCCACTGCTATACCTTGTCTGTTCCTCTGCTCCCAGCCAACCCTAACTTCTCAGGCCTATACCAAGGTCCTGCTTTCCTGCATGGCCCCAGCGGCCCTCAGGGAGCCCTCCCAGAAACATCAGGATCCCATCTGCCACCTTAAGTGCTCACACCCCCTTGCCCACCCTCAGCCCAGCCGGAGCCTGACTCACTCTGCATGACAGTATCACTGGTGTACAGCTCACTCTCGCCCCGGATGCGGCGGAACCGAGGGATCTTCCCATTGTATTCCTGCTTCCGGATGGTGGAATACACCTCGTCCCCTGGGGTCAGTGGGAGGGAGAAATGAGTAAGGGCAGGCAGCTCCTGGAAGTCCCTCCTCCGGACACTGGACAAAGAGCTGACCACTCCTCTCCCAGCCCAGTTCAGAAGCATCCCCCTGGGGCGCCTGCTCCAGCACTGCCCTACCTTCAAACAGAACCAGGGAGTTCTCGTCCGGGCTGAAGGGGGCGTAGCCTCTCATCTCGCCAAGTGGCACCACAGTGCCATTCACCTGTGGGAGATCCAGAGGGTTGGATGGCCACATAATCCCACAGCCACTGCCTCCCATGACGGCCAGTTTCTCGGCCAGGAGCCCCATCCTCCCAGGGCAAGGCCAGCATTGGAGTCTCGCCATCTCCTTCCCACCATGAGGGGCAGAAGCCCACGCAGTAGAAGGTGAGCTGATCAGGCACATGGGGAGCAGCCTTCTCACCAGGTTCCAGCAGCTGGGGTGCCGGGCGTTGGTGCCACAGGCCAGCAGCCCCTCACTCCGCCTCTCCAGGAGAGTGATGTAGTTCTCGCAGTCCTGCCCGGGGAAGAGAGAAGGGAGGAGAGAAATTGGTTGCTGGAAGGCCCTGGCAAGCCTAGCACTAGGACCCCCAGGATCAGGGAAGAAGGTGTCAGAAGGGCTTAGCATAGGTGACAGCCTCCCGGGACAGCCCAGAGTGTGTGCAGCTGACGCCATCCCCTAAGCACAGAGGACCACGTCTCCCCATCAGTCTGGGACTCGTGGGGCAGGGCCATGCTTCCTTCCTTAGACCCTCAGGGTCTCCTCTCCCTTTACCAAGTGGCTCAGACCCCTCCATACCCCCTCCCCCACTCACCCGCTTATCCAGACAGGACCCCTTTGTGGAGCCGATATTCACCTGGGGGAAGGGGAGAAGCATTAGTTCAATCTGCCAGGGGTGAGGTACCCCTGAAATGCTTTCCACACAGCCTCAGGATAAGCCCCAAAGGAAGCAACCATTATTCTCATCTGACAGATGAGCAACTGGGGCTCTGAGAGGGTGAGTGATCTACCTGAGGTCAAACAGGGTCTCATATCCAGAGCTGAGGCCCAGAGGGTTCAGAAGACCAGGCATGGGCTCTGGGGCCCAGCTTCCAGCCTGGGCTTTCCGCAGCAGCGCTGCCCAGCTGGCCAGGCCCATTAGCTCCTGTTTTTCTCCACACCGCCCCAGCTCCCCACTCCAATCTGGACTACCTTTAGGGAGCCTCCCCCAGGAGCCATTTATAGGATACGGAGGTGGGGGCAGTTTAGGAAGAGAAGCCAGCTCCCTCGGATTCCCTGAGGACCCTTGGCAGGGCCAGAGGGGAGATAAGAGGGTAGGGGGGGTGTTGGGGGAAGAGAGAGGCTCACCGTGCGCACAGATGCGTTCTTGCCCTCGGGGAAGTCAAAGAGGTAGACCTTGCCACGTCCTCCCACCCACACAGAGGAGCTGCCTGGCTCGTGGAAAAGCACCGTGTGCGGCTCAGTCTGGCCAAAGTCCACCCGGTCCTGCCCTACATGGCCTGAGGAGGAGACAATTAGTAGAAACATTGAAGCCAGGTCCCGAGAGAGAAGACTCTGGGTCCCCTCCACATGGCACACTGGAACCAGTGCTTGGTGCTCAGGGTCCTGGCAGGGCGTCAGACAAGCTCTGGGCTGGGGTGGTACCCAGACTCAGAGAGTCAAGGACAGGAGAAGTAAGAGATCCTCCGGTGGGCTCCAGCAACCAGCTGTCCTCACCCACAGCACGGCCCCTCCCCTAGTGTGGCAGCCTCTCCTTCCTTCACAGTATGTGTGATCTCAGAGTGGGGAAGGATTTAGGGACCTCTTGGGGGAACAGACCCCCTCCTCTGGCACACACTTTTGAGGGCTGGGCTAAGGCAGGAGGACCAGGGCTCCTTGGCCATGCTCTGGGAGGTTCTCTGCTGCCCTAAGCCAAAGCAAGCAGCGCCCCCCAACCCCGGGCCTTTCAGCAGGCAGCAGGGCCTTCAAGCACCCCCCTTGGAGTCCAGGTTCCCAGGAATCACAATGCTCAGAACCCCTTCTCCTCCTTCAGGAATCCCTCTCCAACCTCTCCTGGCCCATCCCCAGCCCCTTAGTGAGCACTAGACTAGAGGAGGAAAGGAATCTCAACATCTACTCCGTCCCATTTCACAGATGGGAAAACAGAGGCCAAGGGAGGGGCAGCCCAAGGGCACACGGAAGCAGGTCAGTAGCAGACCCTGAACCAGAGCCTGCACTCCTGCCTACCAAGCTGGACTCTATTCCATGGCCCACTCTGGCCTGGTTTCACCCATGAGGATGCTAGCTCTCCGGGGGGTGAAGATCGGCTCTTCCTCCCCAGCAACTCTGGGACAGGGGAACCTTCACAGAGCACAGCCTGGGACTTTCAGCAGAAGGGCTGACCGGGAAAATTTTCCCCAAAAAAGAAACTGACTGCAGCCACTGCCTCTGGGGAGGTGTCTCATCTCCAGTGACACTGCTGAGGTTGTCCTGGTTGCAGGAGTAAATTATAGGGATGGGATGGCCTGTGGTTGTGCCCCCAGCAATCAGCCACACCCAGCATCTTCCCACCTCTGACCAGCCTGGGCCTCACCTAGGAACTGGGTCTGACCACTGTTTTTTCAGCTGCAGGAAACTCTGGGGCAGCCAGCTTGGCAGTGACACCCAAGCTCCAGCTCTGACCAAAAAGAACTACCATTTCCTCAACTCTGCCCCCGATCCCTCTTATTCCCATTGGAGCCATCCCTATTGATTCTGCATTTAACAGGGGCAAGGAGCAGCTGGACCACACACTGTGCCACCACACCTTCATTCTTTAAGAAACATCCCTTCATGGCCAGGTCACCCCCGGAAGTGAGCATTCTTCACCTCTTCTGTGGCCTGGCGCACTGTGCAGAGAAGAATGCTGAGGTACCCTGGGAGACATGCCAAGGTCACACCAGCAGGCAGGACACATTAGCTTGTCCCAGGCTGCAGTATCAGTTCTCAGCAGCATGGCAGGCTACAGAGAGAAGTGCTGAGCTCACTGTCCTTGGGTGGTGTGGCTCTCCTGGTGCACATCACAAACAGCCCAACTGAACAGCTCCGGGGATATCAGCCCTCCCTGGCCCCCAAGCCTCCCTCCCTGTAGGCCCGAGATGTGCAGAGCAAGGGCTGAGAGGTACTGGCACTTCGGTGGGAGGGAGGGAGAGCTGGCAGGTCTTGGGTGCTGCCCTGCTCCCCCTCCCTTCCTGGGATAAAATTAGAGTGCTGGGGTCACAGACACAGTCTTCCTGACTCAGCTCCCGTAACTCCCCTTCCACCCGCAGCCCAAACTGCAGCCACCATCCTCTGTGGCCCAGCCAGAGATCCAGACAGTCTGCCGCCCCAACTCCCCTCCTGCTCCCCTCCCATCCACCGATAGCCAGACTGGCAGCCAGGAAAAGGTGCGTGTCTGCATCTAGAGATGCTGGGCTAGGACCTGAGATCCATAGTCCCTGGGAGTCAAAGCAGAAAAGTTCTAGCCGTCAGACTGTGCTAGCCACCTTCATCAGTCACCTTAGCCCCACTCCTGCACCAAGGCCACAGGCCCAGGTCTCCGAGGGGGCCGGCAAGGCCAATGTACAACTACTCAAGGGAAAAGAGGCACCAGACAGGACTCTGGGTGGGGGCACCCTGGTCTAGGAATTGCAGGGCTGTTGAAGAGAAGAGGAAAACAGTCCTGCCCTGGGGAGTCGAGCCTGATGGCAGAGACATGACTGGGTCCTGGAGAGCAAGGTCTGAGGGGGAGGTCTGGCCCTACCCTGGGAATACATCTGAGGGGTCAGACAGCCACACCACAGAAAACTTCCACAGCTCTCCAGCAAAACTGTCTTAGCATGGACCCCAGGGCTGCCCACAAAGTATCTGCTGAAGACATGAAGGGAGGGTGAGGGCTGCTGGCCCCTGGGTAGGAGCTGCAGCACTAGGGCCCGGACAATCCCATGCGGATCTGCAAGCCTGAGCCCAGTTCCCTTCAAACCCTAGCCACAATGGCTAGGGTGGAGGAAGCAGGGACTGTTCGTCCCATTTTGCAGGAAAACGAACAGGAGCCCAGGACCACGGCCTCCCATGACCCCCAGGTTCCTGGCCCTCCCACCTCTGTTCTTGGTGATGCGTATGGACTAGAGGGAATGACACCAGCTCAGCCCCAGGACAAGGCCTTGGCCCATTCTCCACCCCAGCCCCAGCCTGGGCTCCCGCACCGCCTGAGGCCCTCAAAAGGCCTGATTGTGCCCGGGAAGTGTCGAGCAGCAGCAGCTCGATGAATACATGAAAGGAAGCTTTGTTCAGGTTGGCAGGAGCGGGGGCTGGGGGCTAAGGGGCAGGAGGGCTGCCTGGAAGTGAAGGCAGCACCAAGCCATCAGGGCCAGGCCTCGAGTCTCTGCCCAGGCAGGGGCTGAGCAAGGCCAGGGGCTACCCCTAAAAAGGCCAGGCCAAGGGAGTATGTATCATATCCCTGAACATTTTCTTTGTGATGCTTTATGAACCCAAACGGAGAGGTGAGGTAGATAAAAGCTGGATGGGCCCTGAACAGGCCGGGAGGGAAAGCCAGGCAGAGGACGCAACCTGAGCAAAGGTGGGGAAGGTGGCTGTATGGAGGACAGAGGCCATGCGCTGCAGCCTGGCAGAGTCCTAATGAGAAGAATCGGGAAGGTGAGCTGAGGCCCACGTGTGATGGGGGAGGGAAGATGCAGCCTGTCCAAGGACACACTGACCCACTGCCCACCACTCTCCCCTGCTGCCTGAACCTACGAGCAGGGCCAGGAGTGGAAAATGCCTCCCCATCCTCTGGCGTCCCCCACCTCCTGGCTCCCCCTGCTTCCCATCCTGCTTGTCTAAAAGGAGCACCGTCTGGCACCGTGTCCCCCCCTCACTCCCCAGCCTGACGCATTAGTGGCTAAGTGGTAGCTAAAAGCTCCCAGAATAACCAGGGGCTCAGGTAGGGGAGGGGGCTAGGGACATATGGGGAGGGCATAGCCCAGAGGCAGGCCAGGAACAAGACAACCCACCTCCCGCCCCATGTGATTCCGAGCCAATCCTCACTCGTGCTGGACCAAGAAAGCACATTCAGGCTGCCCCGTACCCAGCCGGACTCCATAGTTCCCCTGAGTACCATTTCTCATGGTGGCAGGGCCAGCAAGGCCCAGCTCCGGCCAGATAGGAGGGCTGCAAGGATGGCTGGGTTGTAGGAGATAACCTCCACCAGACACAGCCGCAGGGCCGGGTGCTCACAGGGCTCTGATCCCATTGGAAAGAATGGGGCCTGACTCCTTAGGGACCCTACCCTCGATCACCACCCCAGCAGCTGACCGACTGTGGCAAGTCTGGGCCTCTGGCATGCATTTCCTAACTCAGGCCTGCCTGGTGGAGCACGTTTCCTCTTCTCATTCACTCTGGTGCTGTCACCGTCTGGCCCGCTGTCCCCATACTCTTGTTGTTTGTGAAAGAGGAGTGCAGCTCCAGGGGAGGGCAGAGTGGGAGGTGTTGTTGTCCATGAAGGGGCTGGGTCCCATGCTCTGGTCTGGCAAAGCCAGCCTTGCAACCTGACCCACTGACCCAGTGGGCCTTGAATGTAACCTCAAGGAGCCTTTTGAAAGTGGGCAGAGAGTCAGGCTCTGAAAATGGCAGGAATGTGGGCACCCCCACAGAGAATGCCTAAGTCAGGCAGTCAGAGAGGCCCCGGGCCAAAGAGCAGAAAGCAGGCCGACCTCAGGTTGGAGAGCCAGCACATCTGGCAGGAGCGTCCTCCCACAGTTGTGCCCCCACCCCTGCACTGCCAGGCCTACCTCACACCCTCGCCCAACTACGTGTCTGGAAAAGAGAGTAGAGGGAAGGCCCACGTGATGCCTAGGAATTAGCCTGCAGCCTCTCCACCCTTTGGAATCCCACATCCACATGTCAAGGTGGAAGGGAGAGGATCTAAACAGTCATTGAACTGAAGGACACAGAGGCCAGAGAGGCTGTACCACCGGCCCAAGGACACAGAGCGAGGGAAGCTCCAAGTTTCCAGTACCCATTACCCAGCTGCTTCTCTCCAGGATCACATCCTGGGCTTCCTGGAGAGCCTCTGATTTGCAAAAAGCTGTATATTCAGCCTCTCCCTACTTCCCTGAATCATCCCTACTCTACCCTTCCCTCTCTTGCTCACTAGGTGCCGAGTCACTAACCTGATAACTAAAGGGAATCACCCGCCCACCCACCTTCCAGGTGAGGCCCTGATCTCCTAGGGGCCTTTAGTGATCAAAGCCTTAAATCCAAAGGAGTGACTAATGGTGGAAGTGTAGGTGCCGTGCATGTCAGAGTGGTAGAGGAAACCCTTCCACTAGGGGTGGGAATACAGGAACAAATGTTTCTGTCTCTCCTGATATGGCCAGGAAGAGGGTGTGAGAAGCCTGGTTTCCAGGGTGGCACCGGCTCGGTGCTAAGGATAGGTCATGGTTGCAGGTGGGTCCTGGCAACTCTCAGGCAGGGTTAGGTTCTAGATTAGCTAGTCGCCTGGCAGGGGCAGAGCCTGTGTGCTGGGGCAGGTGGTGGGGCCTCGAGACAGCACTCAGCTCATGGAGGACTGAGAAGTCTAACTTGTTTATGAGCTATGAGAAGAGCGAGCTGTGTGCTGGGCCAAAGGGGAGCATCCTCCCACCCACCAAGGTCAGCTGTGGGTGGGAGGGGAGTATATCTCATGTGTGGCTCAGCCCTGGCTCCAAGAAGCCTCATTATCTCTTTGGTGGCTGGACAGCTGGCTGGCTGTGACGGTGATTGGGGCTGGGCCTTCCTGGGTTCATTTTCCTCCCTGTGGATTAGCTGGGTGCGAGTCAGGGTGGGTGCTGGTACTTGTTTGGGCCTGGGTTTTATGACCCACCAGGATTCTTGAAACAAATCACAAAACAATCAGGGTGAAGTCCATGGGTCTTTTTGGGAAAGTGTGACTCTCTGAGTGCCAGAGAAGTCAGACAGTTTTCTGGAAGTGGAGGCAGCAGAAGAAACTGACATTCTCATCTGCTTCCACTGACCAGCCCACCAAACCTCCAGCCACCCTGCAAAGAAGGCAGGACAACCTGTATTGCCGTTTTACAAACAGGAAAACTAATGCCCTTCCAAGCCACCAAGGTCTGGATGCTCTCCCCATGGCACCACTGTGCTCAAAGGACCAGAAGAAGGTTTGGCTATTGGGGAGACTGTCTGGGGCAAAGTCCTAGGGAGAAGGGACAGTGTGGAAAGCAAGCCCCTTGGTGAGAGGCTGTGCTGAGCAGGATTCAGGGACTCAGGGAAGGAAGGCTGGCACTGAGGCCCAGCTGGAGTGGGTAAGATGCCCTGAGCCCACGCCCAGGGAAGGCCGGAAGCCCAGGACAAACATCATGTCCCATCTACCTTCCAGCTGTTCTCCAGCCCAGCAGGTTCCAAAAGCCCCAGAGTGGGGCCGAAGTCGCTGGTGGCTCCTTCAAAGCAGACAAAGGGTAGCGGTGCAGGGCCTGCCCTTGGGCCCACAGCCAGGGCAGGGGTCGGGGAGAGGGCGGAGAATGGCTACACAACCCCAAGTGGAGGGAGGGAGGCAGGTGGAAGACTGCTGAGAAACAGAAGGTTCCCCAGTCTTAGCCTTAGCCTGAACCAGCAGGGGAGACTGAGCAAGGGCAGCCAGCCAGCAAAGCCCATTAGGGAGAACTGGCAGGGGCTGGGCTGCCAGGGCTGCATTCCATCAGAAACCAGAGATGCCAGAGGAGGAGGAGGAAGATGATGACGACGATGATGATGCCCCTACCACCCAACCCTTCCATCGCATTTACTACGTGCCAAACACTATTCCAAATGATTTTTAGATATATTAACTCATTTAATCATCACTGAACTCTCATGAAGTAGGTTCTTTTATTATCCCCATTTTGCAGATGAGGACCATGAGACACAGAGAAGCTGAGTAACTTACCCAGCATTACACAGCTAGTAAGGGGTGGAGCAGAGGTTCATACTCAGGCAAGCTGACTCCAGAATCTGTGCTTATAACATCGTATTCCAGAGATGAGCCCTTGGAGGCTTCCAAGGTCAGCCCTTCCCAGACAGATGAGGAGACCAAAGCCTACCGAGGGTGAGGCCCAGTTAGAGGCTACTTGGCTAATGAAGTCCTGACCTCTGCCCGTAACACCCTGAAGACAGTGTGTGCAAGTGAGCACAGGTGTGCAGGCCCAGGTGAATGTAGTGAATTCCTATGCTTTGATGTTGCCCTGGCATCCGTTTTGAATATAAGCTGGGTTTTCTCACACTAGAAGCAGGGCTCAGTCAACCTTGACACCGTTTCCAGCTCCCCACCTCCTCCCAGTTCCTCCATGTGCTCAATCCAGATATCTACCGTAGACAGTCGTCTCCTGGTGACTGCTTCCCTGTGGGATGGCTACATACAGCCCACTTGATTGGTCCTGCTGACCTTGTCCCACAGCCCGCATGGACTGTGCAGATAGGCCAGTGACCTTGTCTCAAGTCACAACATGACCTCCTGGAACTCATGACTGCTTGCTGTAAACCCACCAATTAAAACTCCCCATGGAGGCCAGGCACAGTGGGTCATGCCCATAATCCCGGCGCTTTGGGAGGCTGAGGTGGGCAGATCATTTGAGGTCAGGAGTTCGAGACTAGCCTGGCCAACATGGTGAAACCCCATCTCTACCAAAAATACAAAAAAATTAGCCAGACATGGTGGTGTGCGCCTGTACTCCCAGCTACTTGGGAGGCTGAGACAGAAGAATCGCTTGAACCCAGGAGGCAGAGGTTATAGTGAGCTGAGACCACGCCACTGCACTCCAGCCTGGGTGACAGAGCAAGACTCCATCTCAAAACAACAACAACAACAAAACAAACTCCCTGTGGAAAACTTGTTTTAATAACACCATGGACCCCATAAAGATGCTGGCCCATAGATCCCCCCACCCTGCACATGCTCCCTGACCTCCACCTGTGTGTGGCTTCAGGTACACCAGGTATCCCTCAAGACCTGTTAGTAACAAAATCTTTATTTCCACCTGCCTCTCTCTTAATCATGGAAGAGGTGCTCTCCATCTTAAAGATCCTAAGTTACAACAGTGGGGCAGGAATCTTCTCGAGGTGCAGCGTGGGGCCCCGGTCCTGAGTGACTGATTAGAAAGACAAGTCTCCCAAGATCTCGCTCAGAACATAAAGTACTCTGTGGGGCCGGGTGCCATGGCTCATGCCTGTTATCCCAGCACTTCGGGAGACCAAGGCAGAAGGATCACATGTGTTCAGGAGTTAGAGGCTGCAGAGAGCTATGAATGCACCACTGTACTCCAGCCTGGGAGACAGTGAGATCCTGTCTCTAAGAAAAAAAGTACTGCATGCTCTGAAGCTGACCACAGTGAAGGGCAGAGTGTGCTCACCAGCCAGGTCCCCACTCAGCCAGCCCTGGCGAAAACACTCACCTCCACTCCTCAGCTCAAGGACCCACCATGGCTCCTAACTGCCCATCCAAGCAGGGCCCAAAACCTCAGGGCAGGGCAGTCAAGGCCCACCTCATCTCTGCACAGCTCTGCCATGGCTCATTTCCATCTCTGCACTTTGCTCCTGTTCTCCCCTCCCTGGATTGACCTTCCTCCTTTTCTCTGTGCACATGGATCTTACCTGTCCTTGAAAATGTAGCTAAATCCCTTGGATCCAGGAAGTATTCCAGACTGCTCCAGCCCTCACTGCCCGTACCTTCGACCTTGTACCACAAACCATCTGGCACCACCATCTTCGCTCAGATCATGCTGTCTGATGGGATTTCATCTGGCCTATGGGGCCCTGAAGGTGAGGACCAGGCTTCCTCTTGCTCCAAGTCTTCCATTCCCAGGGAGCAGCTCAGACAGTGGAGAGAAGCAAGACTGGGGCAGGCCAAACTCCCATGCCAGAGGGACAGGTATCTTAGAACAGATTCCTGGGCCACCAATGGAGTGCAGAAGTCATCACAGTGACCTTCCTTCCTCGACAGGCTGGGCCAGAGCTCCTGCCTCAGCCTCCCAAGTAGCTGGGATTACAGGCGTGTGCCACCACACCCAGCTAATTTTTTTGTATTTTTAGTAAAGACGGGGTTTCACCATGTTGGCCAGGCTGGTCTCGAACTCCTGACCTCAACTGATCTGCCTACCTTGGCCTCCCAAAGTGCTGGGATTACAGGCGTGAGACTCTGTACAAACAACAATATGAATAGCTGTCTATGCTGCACTCTGCCCCCACCCTATGCTCCTGCCCCTAGCTCTAGCCTGGCTCCTCCTCCTCCCCCAGGAAGCCTTCCTTGATTGCACCATCCCACACTGACCTTTCCTGCTCTCACCTCCTGTCACAGTCCTAGGCTACATCTGCAGGTCATTCCTGACCTCCCCAGGGGTCCGCCCTACTTCACAGGCAGAAGACTCACCTCTCCAGGAATGTGGGGGCTCCCCAAGGGCAAACCCAGGGCTTCTCTTCCTGCCTCTCCCCCAGAGGAGCCGAACACAGACCTAGGCTGGCTGCCCTCCATGATGAGGGGTCACCCAGGGGTGCTGGCACAGAGCCCAAGCCTCTGGCTGGAAGCATGGGGTGCAGAAGGCATGGCAGGATCAGCATAATCCCAGGCTGTCATGACAGTTAAAACCTGATTAGCCCGAGCCGGGACACAGATCAACCTGTCCTTGGGACCTGAGGCCCAACCCACCTGAGGAAAGACCAGAAGAGGTATATGGAGCTGGTCCAAATCCAAGGTCCTGAAGAGAGGACACTCACAGCTGGTGTGGCTCCTGGGAACAGACAGCACTGGGGCGGGAAGAGTCTGGGCCCAACTGGGCTAGCAGAGGAGGAAAGGCACTGAAGGGGCCCCCAGCCTGGGACAGAGTATGATGGCAGACAGAAAGCTGGAAACAGGCTGAGAGCTGGGGCAGAAGCAGGCTCAGACGACTCAGCCCCGGTCCCAGCTCTGCCTCTTTGGGTGATCTCGGGCCAGTCCCTGTCATCTCTGAGCCTCAGTTTCCCCATCTGTGGAATGTTTGGCTGGCCCAGCTAATCTCTGACATTTCTTTTCTGACATCCTAAGCTCGCGCTGTCAGGCTGTGTGGGTTGGGGTCATCCAAGAAGGTTCCTCAGAGGAACTGAGAAAGAACCAGCAGCCTCCTTTCTGGGCAGAAAGGAGGAGGAGGGTGAGTGGGGTGCAGAGAGGAGGCGGAGCCAGGGAGCAGTGAGGGAAGAACTGTGGGAGTCTAGGAGGCAGTGGGGCCAGGCCACCATGCAGGGCCTGGGGAAGGCGGCAGCTGTGTGCCATGTGTTCTGGATGGGGTGCAGCATAGGGACAGAGGTCCTCCGGGAGGCTGGGCACAGATCTGGAGAGATGGCAAGGCCAGGGCCAGGGAGAATAAAGGGCTTGGAGAGCCACCCCATACCATTCGGGGCAGAGAGGGGACAGTCCCTCAAGGCCTGGCTGGCTAGGGAAGGGGGAACTCTGTCCTCTGAGGAGGCAGGGCCCAACAAGGTGCCGTGGCCCTCCATCCCCCTGCTTTCTTTCTGGCCTGCCTGGTTCCCTGAGGACAGGACAGCTGGCCATACACCTGGTGGCTGGCCCTCCCTGCAAGGGTACGGAACCCTGGCTCTTCTGAAGGCAGGACAGGTTAAGGGCCCCTTCCTCCCCCAACCATGGCGAAGGAAGGCTCCTGGGGCAGCCACGCTGGGCCAAAAAAGGAAATCAAGAGAAGTGGAAACTTTTCAGTCCAGAGCTGCCGACCAAAGCAGGGGAAGTGCAGTCAGTCTCTTGTGACAGAGCCGTGTGAAGCTGGGGGTGGACAGGCTATCAGCTAGTGGCCCATCTACTCCAGCTACTGCCCCCTGAGGGCTGCCAGACCTGCCCCCTGGGCTGAGCTTCACATCCCACCTTGCTTGGCCCTCCTCAAAAAACAGAGCCCAGCTTTCCCTGCTTCCCCCAGGGCGCCACCCTCAGCCCAGATAGTGACCTATCCATGCCACCCCCACCCTGCCACCTCCATGCTCCTTCCATCTCTGCAGAGGAAGAGCAGGAGAAGACAGAGCTGAGGGACAGACCTTCTCACCTGGAGACTGTCCTGCGGTCAGGAGTCAATGGGGAAAGCCATGGTCTCCCTGGACCCAGAGCCAGCCTCCCACCAGGGAACTGTGACGGGGCTATGGCCTTGCCAGCACTCGAGAGGCCTTCCCTGCCTGCCACGGCCCTTCTCCAGTGGGTGCGTCCTTCCTCCTCACTGCTGCGCCAGTCATAGGATGACAGGTATCCCCTCACCTATGCCCATCTGGACAAGTTTCAAACTTTTCGGGAGCCCCCAGGCCCAGGCTGACTCAACGCCTCTTCACATGGGGGCCCCTCACATGGCTTCTCTCCTCTCTGTGGTCCTAGCTGTAAGTTCTTGGGTTTAAAATCCTACTAAGTGGGGTGCTTCCTCCTGTTCCTTCCCTCCCCCAGCTGGCTCCTCCTCCTGCCATTTCAGCTTGCTCCCTCTTCCAGGAAGCCCTCCCTGATTGGGAAAATTGGGTTAGGCATCTCCTCAGTGCCCATAACTGCTCTCTGTTACACATTCTGTTGTACCTGCAGGTTTATCTGCCCATCTACATCTACACTGAGAAGTCTACAAGGGCACGGAATCATCTTGTTCCTCATCACCAGATCCCCAAGCTCATCCCCAAGACCAGCACAAGGGTGGCCCCGGCAAATGTTTGCTGAATGAATATGTCCACCCTTGAGGGCACATGCTGATGATCCATTTCCTCCAAATGATCCTCAGCCTTTGGCCCACGAGAGAAAAAGATAGGAAAGAACGCGAACTTAAGGGTTTCCCCTGACTTCCCAGGTTTCAATTTCTCCTCCAGATTTCTCGAAATCTAAGATTTAAACAGGCCACCACAGACTCTGCCCAGCCCCTCCCATCCCAGAGAGAGAGAAATCCTAAGACATTAAATCTCAGAAAAGGATGAGCCCCCTCCCCTACCCTCTTTGGGCATTTGGGGAAACTGGGGTTCAGTAAAAGGCAAAGACTTGCCCAGTCACAGAGCAAATTAGGTCACAGCCTGAACCAGGCTCCCGACCTCCCAGCTCTCTCCCCTATACCATGGTCATCATTGGACCTGTGCCAGCGTCCATTCCACCGGACCTGCTCTCAGAATCTTCACTGTCCAGGACAGAGGGGTCACAGAGCTTGGTAGGAAGCTCCTGGTGACCTCACCAAGCATCTCTCTTGGCTTAGGAAACTCCCCCTCTCCTCCGGGGAATTGCCCCCCCACCATGAGACTCTGTGGAGGGAGTTCACCTTGAAGGTGATGAACACATCTAAGTCCCCAAGGGGGCAAGGATTTCCACTGGAAATGCTGATGCTTGGGAAGCCCCAGATGTGACCTCATCCCCTGGAGGAGGTAACAACAACCTCCTGCCCTGGGGAGCAGCCCCAGAATGGCTCCCCAGCAGCCACCAAGTCAACAATAACATCCCGTTGTTTCACTGGACAAAAGCGAGGGAGGGCAGAACCAGCCGGGCAGGTTGAGACTGGGGATATGGGTTCTGTTTCCCCATGGACAGGCTGGTTCACCTCTGACCTTGGGGTTCCAAGCCTTCTTTAGCTCCTCCAACCACTGATAAAATGGAAGAGGGGTGCACAGCTTACAAACGCATGCCAACCTCCTGCTAAGCCCCAGCCCTCACCTGCAATCTACTCCCTTACAGTTCCTGCTTACAGGAAGATCAGGACCACACATGCACATCCTTGACTGGCCCATGTGTCAGTGACAGCCCTTGGGGGACAATCCCTACAGCCTTTCTTGCTCTGGCAGGCTCTAAGGGTCAAAGACAAGTGTGGAGCTCAAGGACACCCAGCAGGTACATGATGGCCCATCTCTCTCCCTGGCCTGAGCTACGCTGTGCCAGACTTTCATCAAGCTGCAGAGGCAGCAATCTCCCTGATCAGTGCAGGCTGGGCCCCTCTCAGAGTTCCCTGCTTTAATCTTTCTCTAGAACTTGGGGATCCAAGCAGCAGAAAATAAAGAACTTTCCATACCTATTCCAGTCCCCACAGCTGTCCTGACTCAAAACTAAAACCCCCATCTATGCCTCATAGAGAAATGGCTCCAGAACCACCACCATCCCTGATTTTGTCATTCCTGGATACCACCATACTCCCACCCACCACTGGTAGACAGAGCTCTAGGCTTCCAGAAAGACCCCCTCTTACCCTGTTCCTGGGTTTGTCCTACCCAAGCCCATTCCTGTCCGATTGCCATGTGTCACCCCACAGGAGACAGGAGGCAGCTGTCAGTCGGGCACACCATCACCAGCTGGTGGCCCTGGGGGTGGGGGGCAGGTGAATGGCAGGGCCTGTCTGGCCAGTGGGGCACCTGGCACTGGTGAAGGAGACCACAGACTGTCGTTGGACAAGACTGGTGAACGGTTGGCAGACCCCAGCCAGCGGGGCTCAACAGTGCATTACTAAGCAGAGGGCACAGCCAGTGTGGCTACAGCAGTGAACTGCGGGCGGGGGGGTAGGCCATGGAGCTGTGCTGGGAGCTTCGAAAAGTGGGTAAGAGGACTGAAAGCAACTTTAAATAGCCTCAGGGTGGGAACTAAGTGCCCAGGATGGGATGTATGCATTAAGTGCTAAGAAGTGGGTGTGCATTAAGTGGGGTGGGGGTGGGGGGTCATGGGAAGACTTTGGGACAGGCAAACAGAGTCAAAATGCAAGGGGTTTGATGGAGGGAAAGATTCCAGAACACTCAGATGTGGCCATTTGTCCCCTCCAGAGTGCCCACACGCTATGATGTCCAAGACAGCCAAGGAGACTGAGGGAAGGCAAAGCTGCTGGGAGGGCAAAGGAAGCTTGGGCTGGAGCTGGGATGGCAGAGGGGTGTGCAGGCCTCCTCCATGTACAGGCGGCCGGAGCTCTAGCAGCACTGCTCGGCTTCCTCCAGGAGCACCTCAGGCTGGGTAGCCGAGCTGGTCCCCAGAGCACCTCATTCATGGTCCCTGAACCACCTAAATCCTTCTCCCCTCCCTAACCCAGAACCTGGACTGGTCCTGTGCCAGATCAGAGCCCCTGCCTGCACCTGGGCTCCCACACTGCTCAGTGACCTTGGGCAAGTCACATTCCCTCAGCTACTGCGGCAGTTCGGGCCACTCGTTTTGTGTATGGTTTTTTTTCCCCTCTGCTAATAATACCTGCCCCAGATAATGCTCAGACTCCCGCAATCCCTGCAAACTGCCAAAGGCATCAAAAGGCTCCCGGTGGGGCCAGACCCGACCAGTTCCCCCAGCCCCCACTGCGAGTCCCCCACCATCACGACAGGGGGGCCGCAGACACGCCAAATTTGGGGACAGAGCCGAATCGGACTGGGGGCGGGGAGGCATTTGTGTGCAATGCAGGGGAGGGGAGATCAGTTCCTCGCGGCAGAAAGCCTCAAACCCCCGCCTAACCGGCTTTCTGTCCCATAGTACAGGGTCTAAACTGAGGTGCCCTGGGGGAGACTCCAGTCCCCCAGGTTCTTATTATCTACCCTGGCCTAAAGGCTGCACCCCCGCCCTAGATCCACCGCCTGGGGGTCCCAACGGCCGTGCCCCACCCAACGGGCACTGCCCCCCAACGCTGGAGCCGATTTCTGGTGACAACTGCCACGTGCGGGCAAGGGGGGAGCGGCCGGTCCCGGCATTGCTGAGGCAGCGCCCTGGTACCCCAAGCCGCCGCACCGCACCATGTCCCGCCGCTCGCTGCAGGATGCCCACCCCCTTGCCTGGCCCGAGCTCCGGGCCGGGGCGGGGGCGGGGGCAGGCGGCGGGGTCTTTGTTCCCGCTGCCGAAGCGCGGCGGCGGCGGCAAGGGGTCCGCGCCCCCCTTGCCGGCCCAGCCTGCGCCCCGCGCGCCAGCAGAGCCCGCAGCTCAAAAGGAGGGTACCCGGGTTGGGGTCCCAGGCGGGGAAAGGTCCTCCGCCGAAGCCCCCGAGCCAGAGGACCCAGAGTGGCTCGGGGCCGAGAGAGGGGCCCGCCCCCTCCCCTGGCGCCCGGGCGTTGCGGCTCCTGGCTGCCAGGGACTTGGTGCGACTTAGCCGGGGCTCCGGCCCCCGCCGCTCGCTCGCCGCAGCGTTACAGCCGGCTCTGGTGTGCCAGCGTGTACACTCACACACACTCACCCAAACCCACACGCTCCACGCGGGGACAGCGCGGGGACAGCCCGGGACCCGCAGAGCTGCGCGCACGCACTCCCTCCGGGTGCAGCACACTCCGCACCCGCCCCGCGCAGCGTCTGATCCCGCGCCTGACCGGCCGCGCGGCGCCGCCTACCTTTCCAGACGGCGAAGATGCGGGGTCCGCTCCTTAGGTGGCCCTGGGCGGAGGCGGCGGCCGCCCAGAGCAGCAGCAGCAGCCGCAGCCGCAGCGGAAGCCCCAACCGAGCCGGCGGGCCAGGGACGCGGGCGCGCGGTGCGCTGGGGGCGGCACGTCCGGGCGGAGGAGGCGTCATCCCGTGGCCCCGGGAGCGACAGCGGCAATCAGCCGAGACTGAGCCAGCGCCCGGCCGCAGGCAGACCCAAGCGCCAGGAGGCGGAGCCAGCGCTGACCCCACCCCGCCCCTCCCCCCGCCCCTCGCAGCCTTTTCTCGCCTCACTGGCTTTCCTGAGCGAGAGCGGAACTGCTGGGGGAACCTTCGCCACCCTCTCCCGGGCAACTCTACGGGGAAAGCCCAGCTGCGGACAAGCCAGACTTGTGGTCTTCTGCCAGGGGCGGCAGGCCCTATCCCCTCTCTGGGCCTCAGTTCCACTCCCCGCACCCCGTAAAAAGATTGGCGTAGAAGTCGTGGAGGACCTCTCTCCAAGGGCGCAGAGGAGTCCAACACCCAACAACCTTGCTATGGCCAGCTAAGTGGTTCGCACCCTGAGGACTATGGTCCTCGGAGGATGCGTTCGCCTAAGTGGACACGGCTCCCTGCTGAGCCTACCAGCAGGCACAACGATGATATGTGGGGAGCACTCAGGGACCCGCTGTTGCTTTGCCTGGGAGAACACTGGAAATTTTTCATCTTGGCCTGGCTCCTTCCCCTCCCTCTCCTTTCTCCTCCCTTTCCCAGCCAGCAGCCTTCTGGGCTGCCTCCCCCCAAGCCAGCTGGTGTACGCTCAGAAAATCCAAACTCATTTCCATGTGAGTGGAGGGGGATATAATTAGGAAGGCCCCTTCCCCAAGTAGAGAGGGGAGCATCCCCCGTGCCCCACTCACTGTGGGGGAGGGAGGGTCAAAGCAGCTTAAGGGGATCTCTGCCCGCAAAGTGCCTAGGGCTCAGCTATCTCAGGCAACCTGACCATTCAGTGGGGACTCCCTTGGGGGGTCCAGGCCCAGACCCTCTGCAGTTACCTGAGCAGTCCAGCCAGCTCTGCCATCAGCTCCTCCTCTCAGAACTACGTGCCTGCCCTTTGTAAAAGGGTCTCCTCTCTCTAGACCAGACAGGGCCCAGACCTACCACTTCCACTTGTGCCCCAGGGAACCATGAATGGAAAATCCACCCAGCTCAGTAAGTACTTATCTAGTGTTTACTGGATGTCTAGCTGCACTGAGAGGAGACAGGCCGAGGAAGGAGTAGAGGTGAACATCCAACCTTCAGAACTCACAGACCTAGACACGATTCACGCACTGCAGACACCAGCAAAGGCGGTGGGCTGGCTGCCCTCTGCCCTCTGCCCTGCTCCATGGGGCCAGGACCATTTGGTTGTTGTTTTTACCTCCTGGAACCAGGAAAGTTTTGCTACCAAGAAGTTTGGCTTTACCATTCTACATTTTGCTTCCAGTTGTCCCCTCCTTCTTCCCTCAGAGTCCTGAGGCACCCCAGCAGGCCAGGAAGGTAAACTCAAGGTACCTCCAGAGACAGTGCAGAGTGAGGTTCCTGGCCCACTGGGTGAAGCCAACAGCCTCCTGATACACAGGGGCACACTGCCCCAGAGAGGGAGGCTGTGGACAGTCTAAGAGCTCCTCCTCAGGCCTGCACCTAAGCCTGTGGCCCTGAAGCCAGCAGTGGAGCCTGGCCCAGGCCAGCCTCTAAGATGGACATTCGGTTTCACCTGCTAGACAGGTATTGCCCTCAGTGTCTGTCCTCTCTATGCAAAGCTAGGGCAAACTAAGAAATCACCTGTCTCTGCCTTTTGGAACTAAGAATTCAAATGGATTCAAAATCAATGATAACACTGCCCATGTGCATGGCAACTCACAACACATAACCCACATTCACCTACCTCATCTCTGCCAGTCCTCCACTCTCTTCCTCTCACTGAGGGAGGGAGCGTAACTCCACTGCAGAGAAGAAAACTGAGGTACAGGGAGGGACAAGGACGGACCTGCCCGAGGTCAACCGGTAAATGGTAGAACGAAGATGGGTTTTCTGACTGCAATAACAATTGCTAACACTGTGGTTCCTATGTGCTGTGCCATCTCATAGCCTCTCCCAACTCATTCAATCTTCGCACTCCTATGAGATAGGAGCTATTAGTCACCTCCCTTTACAAATGAAGAAATCAAGGCACAGACAAGGGATGTGAAGTGCCAGGATCGCACAACTAGAGGCAGGACGGATTGAAACTCAGGTGGTTTCTCAAGGACCCACACCCTTGACTTCTCTCTGTGTGATGTACCCTGGCACTGCTGCCTCCTGTCTGTGGCTGAAGTCTGGGTCCAAACCATCCCCAGAAGGACCTAGATAGGGCCCAGGTCACCAGGTGCTGAGTAGGAGGGCAGACCAGGGAATGGGCTCAATCTCCCAATCAACAGAGTAGCAGATGGAAACTGGGGTAGATGCCAGATAATTTTTTTTCCAGACTGGGGGGTAGGGGGGAAGGAAGTAGTACTTAAGACCATCCTCCCCACAAGCCAGCCAACCTGGGGACAAAGGGCCAGGCGAGATGGCAGCCCACTCTCTCGGTTGGCTGCAGGCAGCCAGGGGAGGAGAGAACTAAGCCCATGACTTGAGGCAATAACTTTATAAAGGGAAAGGCAGCTAGACTGTGGGGCAGGCACTATGACCAGAGTTTAGGCATGGACTTTCCTGCCTCAGGCAGCATAGGAAAATCAAGTCAGAATGGTATAGGTGGTGTCAGAGGCCTGCCTGCCTCATTGGAGGCCAAGGCTGGCTCTTGAGCCTGGACCAAGAACAGGGGCACAATTCCCACTCACAGCCAGTGATGGGAAGTGGACCAGCAGAGGAAGCAACACATGTGGATGCTGACACGTCTGATGGGGAGGCACATTCTTGTCCCTCCCTTCTCCATGATTCCACATTCAGGGGAGGGAGGAAGAAATGATGCAGGGCTTCTATCGATAAGAAAAATACCTTGAGAAGGATCACTTCCTGAGCCCCATGGACAGCTGAGGCACAGCCCAATCCAAGAAGGCTCCTTTTGGAATGAAAGAAATGGATACACACAGACCTGAGATTCATGGTCTTGAAGCAGTGGCAGAAGCCCCGGGCAATCCCCCCAACATTCCAACTAAAGCCTCTCACCTTTCAGGGTCCAACTTAACTCATCCTTCCATTCTCCAGAGTTATCTGACCTCCTCCTCAGCCCTGATTCCATGGCTACACATGGCCTTCACAGGAGTGACCCACCTCAAACAAGAGGCCTGTGGGAGATAGAAGGATTCCGTGAGGAGATAACATATGCAGACGTGAGGTCACCCACACACAGTTCACTTCCTTTCACAGATACGATGATCCAAGAATCCCAATTCTTAGGATTAGAAGTAGCTCTCAGAGGGCATTCAATCCCCAACAGCCCCCTCCATGCTAGATCCCACCCCTTCTTTGAGGCCTCAGAGCTTGGTGGCCATTCAGACCTCCTGGCTACTAACAGCAGCAACAATTCCTATTGCCTACCACCATTACTACCTATTGCAGGGGGCAGAGACTTGGAACTGATGAGAACGAGGGGAGTGGGTGGGCTGGGGTCTGCAGAACCCTGTGCTGTCTATAAGGCAATTTCGACTCAGCTCCAGCCCATGGAACCATGAAGAAGTAAACCCAGTAGTGAAAGGTAGTATGATTTTCAAGAGAAGCTGAAAATTGAGGGCTGGGCACGGTGGCTCATGCCTGTAATCCCAGCACTTTGGGAGGCCAAGGCAGGTGGATCACCTGAGGTCAGGAGTTCAAGATCAGCCTGCACAATATGGTGAAACCCCATCTCTACTAAAAAATACAAAAATTAGCCGGGCATGGTAGCGAGCGCCTGTAATTCCAGCTACTTGGGAGGCTGAGGCAGGAAAATCACTTAAACCCAGGAGGCGGAGGTTGCAGTGAACCAAGATCGCACCACTGCACTCCAGCATGGGACACAAGAGTGAAACTCTGTCTCAAAAAAAAAAAAAAGAAAAGAAAAGAAAAAAGAGGCCAGGGGTGGTGGCTCACGGCTGTAATCCCAGAACTTTGGGAGACCGAGGTGGGTGGATCACAAGGTCAATGATTTCTGTCCTAATCATTCTACATGCATTTTTATCTGACAAGGTCAGGAGTTCGAGACCAGCCTGGCCAAAATGGTGAAACCCCATTTCTACTAAAAATGTAAACATTAGCCGGGCATGGTGGCACGCAACTGTAATCCCAGCTACTTGGGAGGCTGAGGCAGGAGAATCACTTGAACCTGGGAGGTGGAGGTTGCAGTGAGCTGAGATTGCGCCATTGCACTCCAGCCTGGGTGACAGGGCGAGACTCCATCAAAAAAAAGAAAAGAAAATTGACTCTTTGTTGAAACTCTCTCTTTTAAAATATTGGCAAATAATTCAAAAGTTAAGGAGGATGGATATGGGCAAATAAAAACAGGTCTGGGGCCCATATCTGGGACCCCCAACATACCATGTGCCCACTGTGACTATCTCACAGGCACAGGCACGACAGTCACTATACCTGGCCCAACTCTTGGCAGACCATGTCAGGCAAGGAGTGCCAAGAAGACACTTCTCAGGCTGCCCAGGCCATGCCTCACCCTCCCCTCAGTGCTCTGCCTGCCTCCAAACCTCAGCCAGGACATTCCCCTCAAGTGCCTGCCTCTTCCTCCTAGACCAGTTCAGAGATCACCACCTTCCATACATCAGTTCAGCCCACTGTGAATGGAGAACTTCTCAGAACTGCCACCACCTTCTTAGCCCTGAGGGTCGTGCTCCCAGCAGCATCCCATGCCTACATCTCTGCTTTCTATCCTAATCATTCTACGTGCATTTTTATCTGATCAACCCTACCTAAATTGCTAAGATCTAAGTAGGGCCAGCCAAGTTAAGTAAGACAAAGGAAAAATCCAAAGAGGAATATTCAGTCAGCAGAGAAGAGACAGATTTTTTTTCCTTCTAGCAGGGCACTCAGCTCACCTGAAAACACTACAGGTCCTGTGCCTTCCACAGACAAATCAGCAACATCCTTAGCCCCAAGCCCCAAACTTGGCCAACGTGGCACTGGGCTTGTGGTGGGAGTGCCACCTGGTGGCCACTCTGGAACAGAGCCGAGTCTTAGCAAAGACCAAGTGCATCTCTGCTCTCTGTTCTAGTCATACATTCTACATGCACTTTTCTGTGATAGACACTCCCCAGACTTTCTGGAGACAAACTTCTCCCTCCCATTCCTATGCCCCTAATCCATCTCTGAGCCTCTATTCTCACTGTCCAAAGCCTGAGGCAGGGCAGAATCTCATGGATGTCACATAGAATCCATCTAGACTAACAAAATCTCCTGACTAGACATGGCTGGGAGGCCAAAGATGAAGTCTCAGCCTGGATACTGACTCAAGCAAGGCCCTGACCCAGTCCAGGCCTCTGTTTCTTTGTGTACAAAATGAGAAAGAAGAGCTAAAACTCCATCTCTTCTCCTGGTCTATCTTCTCTCTGTATCAGAGAGAGACAAAGCTTTCTCATTCCATCTTCTGCATTTCCTTCTATAGGATGAATTAAATATGCTTTTAAATGATGTCGGCCAGGCATGGTGGCTCACGCCTATAATCCCAGCACTTTGGGAGGCCGAGGCAGGTGGATCACCTGAGGTCAGAAATTCAAGACCAGCCTGGCCAACATGGTGAAACCCCGTCCCTACTAAAAATATAAAAATTAGCTGAGGATGGTGTTGTGTGCCTGTAATCCCAGTTACTCAGGAGGCTGAGGCAGGAGAATCACCTGACCTAGGAGGTGGAGGTTACAGTGAGCCGAGAGTGCACCATTGTACTCCAGCCTGGGCAACAAGAGCAAAACTCCATCTCTAAACTAAACTAAACTAAAATAAAATAAAAATAAAGTGATGTCTATAGGAGAGAAGATGTCCCAGGACCCTCCCAGCTCTGATGTGATCCTTGGGCCTGCTGAGGCCACTTCAGTGAGGAGATACACATGCAAAAGGGTGGTTACCCACAAACAGTTCACTTTCTTTCATGAATATAATGATCCAAGAATCTCAATTCCTGGAGTTAGGAGTAGCTGTCAAAGGGGATTCAGTCCTACCTGAGAGCCACTCACAAGACTCCTTATGGTGGCCATGCAGGTTCTGCTTACATACCTCCAGTGATGATGAGCTCCCTCACAAGCCAGCGTTGCCCATCTTGTTTAGCTCTGACACAGAGCTTTCTTCCCCAGTGGAAGACTCCCAAACAGTGGTCCTAAATCTGCCCTCTGAGGCAACAAGGACATGTCTAATCTCTCTTCCTGGAATACGGCCCTTCAGTGATTTCACAGAGGTCACATCCTTCTAAATCGGCTCTTTATTCAGGGTAAATAACTCCAGTTTCAAATAGATCCCTCATGGGGCTTTCCTTGAGAGGCTCTCTAATCCTGGTTGATTTCTAAGACACGATCAGTCCGTCATTTAGCAAACTTTTACTGACCCCTCCTAGGTGCTAAACAGTCCAGATTGTGTCTCTCTCTTTCAAAGATCAGGCCTCAGATCAGAACACAACACCTAGTGTGGAGGCTGAGCAGTAAAGGGCTGAAAGACTAGCTTCCTTCCTCCTTATTCTAGCACCTCTAAAGGCACTCTTAATGGGTTGAGACAACACGTTGTTAAATCCTCTTGATCTCAGCCCAGGGTTATCCCTGGGCCAATTCTCAACCATCAGTAGTGGCTCTCTGGGATGCTCATTTGAGAAAGATTATTGAATCTGGGCCCAGGAGAAGAAATGAGACTCGATTCTGCATAAGAGCAATTAATTTTCTGGTCCCCCTTGGCCGGGCGCGGTGGCTCATGCCTGTAATCCCAGCACTTTGGGAGGCCGAGGTGGGCGGATCACGAGGTCAGGAGATCGAGACCATCCTGGCTAACACGGTGAAACCCCATCTCTACTGAAAATACAAAAAATTAGCTGGGCGTGGTGGCGGGCACCTGTAGTCCCAGCTACTCAGGAGGCTGAGGCAGGAGAATGGTGTGAACCCGGGAGGCAGAGGTTGCCGTGAGCCGAGATTGCACCACTGCACTCCAGCCTGGGTGACAGAGTGAAACTCTGTCTCAAAAAAAAAAAAAAAATTTCTGGTCCCCACTGCAGGACCTTAGACTTTCTTTGCTTCTGTCCTTGTTAGGGTTACTTCATTGTCTGGGCCCTGATGCCATCTAGAACATTCACTGGCCCAGCTCTGAGTGCCTGGCATCTCTGATACACATACTCAATATCCACTTATAGAAATTGAGGGAAAACGTCAAACAAGGCACAACTGACGCTCCAAGAAGTTAGGTCATATGTGGAAAAGCAATCTAAACCTCAATCTGACTTAGAAGCCTAAGTCCCCTCCAAGACCTGAGCTGCCACTCCAAAGGTAAGTGGTTAGGAGACCCTTCGGCCAGCCAGGCACAAGGCCCCAGGTGGGTGCACTGATGGAATCATGCTGACACAATCCCACCCAAGCCCTAGAAAGGCCACTTCCCCAGCATACAGGAAGCACTCCTCTGTACATGGGGCTAATAATATCTAGTTTTCAGAGTCGCTATGAGGATTAACTAAGATGGCACATGTGAGTGCCTAGCTCAATGCCTGGCACAGAGAGGATGCTTGATAAATAAGCACTACTGTGCTGTGTAATGTACTATTAATATTAGCTAGTTTTGCCAAGATAGAGTAGGCCAGTGCCTGGGTTGCCACGAAAGCATTTCTAGCATAGAAGTTGAATTCTATTCCCAGCGATCTCAGAGCCTATGAGAACGAGACAGGCCCAGGCCCAGAGGAACTAGGGGCACAGCTGAACTGACCTGAGCCCAGCCCAGGGCCAGAGGGGACCCCACCTGCTGGAGAGGCTGGGTAAGCAGAAAGAGGGAGGCCTGAATAAACTCCCCAACATCCTCAACAAACACCCAGGGCCAAAGTCTGTGGCAACAGCAACAAGAAGCCACCTCAGGGTAGGGCTCTGTGAGCTTGGTCTGGGGCCCAGGCCAGATGGGACTGAGGCGAGGAGCAGATCTGGGGCCCATGTGCCCAGCAAGCTGTGCCAGCCCAGCCCATACCAGCCCAGCCAAATTTGAGTTATATCAGGAGAACGGATCTGTTAGAAAACTCACCCATCTCTACATATTTGCATATTCTATTTTGGGGTCTTTTCCTTTTTTTCCCTCAGCTTCCTAGAAAAGTTCTTGTGATCACTTCCAACTTCACCTCTGCTGAACTGCAAAAACTCACACTCAATCCCATCTCTCCTCTAACTACTATCCTCTCCCTCACAAGCAAGGTCCCCTGCCCTCTCTGCATCCACTGCCCCTCACCTATTCAGTCCTCAACCCCTGCTATCTGGCTCCGGTTCCATTGGAATGTCTCCCCAAGGTCACCAAGGCACAAGTCAACAAGTCCAAGGTCAGCCCTTCTGTTACTAGGTTTGTCTGTGGCATCTGACCCCACTGAGCATGCCCTCTTTGTCCAGGTCCTTTCACTCCCTCAGCTTTGCTGACTCCTGCTCTCACCTTCCCAGAAGCAGCAGATCCTGCGCCCGTTCCATGCCTCACATCTATCAGTCACCATTTTCTATAAAGCTGAACTCCTTAGTGGGTATCCCTTTTCCTCTACCTTTCTCTGAAAAGCTTAATTGCCTTCTCACATGACACAGGCCCAGTGTTCAACTTAGAACTTCCTGATCACTACCTCAGCCCAAAGACATCCAACTGTCTTTAATTATACACATCCCCACCTGGCTGTCCTATGGCACCTCATTCCAAATTGTCACCCCAGTCCCTTATTCTTACTGCTGCACCACCATCCGCCTGCTCACATCCTGCCTGCCTCCCCACTTTCAGCCCCCAGAGCTAGTCTGTCCTTCACACCTAGCAGCTCCCCTCCACCCAGCTCCCCTGCAGCAGCTCCAGTTGAGGCCCCCTCCATGTCCCATCTGGAGGATCCAGCCAGCCTCCTAGCTGGTCGCCTACCCCATCTCACTTCCCACAAATCCAGCCTCCACACAGCTGTCAGATTATCTCACACACAGATCTGGTCCCCCACTGCCCTGCCTGCAGCTGCCTCAGGGGTGCTCTTTGCCCTCAGGATAAAGCCCTAGCTCCTCAGCCGGATCTAAGCCCTCATCATCTCCCATTCCTCCACACTTCAGAGGCCAAGGGCAGTGGGAGGAAGGGCACCAGCTCTGGAGTAAGACAGACCTGAGTTTCTGGGACCACTTGTCCACTTCCTGCCCATGAGACTGTGGGCAGATGATTTCAACCCTTGGAACCTTGGTGTCCCCATCTGTTCAGTGGAGACAACAGTATACTCGCCTTTCCCAAAGATCTGGTATCAATTCTAACTCCTAAAGCCTCTCTACCTCCTCCTCTCCTTCCCCACTGCCACGCCGTCAGGTCAGCCTACCAGCAGCTCTAAGTGGATCACTGCCACAGCCTCCTCCCCGGCTTCCTCATGCCTGCCCTCCCTCAGTCTTCTACTCCCACTATACTCACCACACAGCAGCCAGAATGACCTTTCTAAAACACACATTGGACTCTCTCCCGATTGCCATTCTGTGACTCCCATTGTCCAGGGTAAGTCTAAATTCCTTACATAGCTTCAAATGATCTAGCCTCTGCCCACCCACTTGCCTTGCAAGCCACCCTGACAAACAGGGCTACAAAAGCCAGGTTTGCTCCCCACTCCCAGCCCCCTCAGTACATATACCTTCGTGCCCAATTCTCCCTTACCCTTCAGGTCTCAGCGTAGTGCCACTTTCTCCATGAAGCTTTCCCTCACCCTCACACCCCCACCCCTAGCCCACGTTAGCCCCCTCTCCTGTGAGCGCCACAGCCCCTAGACTTGCCTCGCCCAGTTCTCATTAGGCTTTAATGCAATCATCTGTTTGTCCATCTTACCAACAACACAGCATTGTCAGAGCAAAGATACCGTCATGTTTATCTGGCAGAGAGTGGAGGCTCAGTCAATGTTTGTTGAAAGGATGAAAGGAGGCCCGGCGCGGTGGCTCATGCCTGTAATCTCAACACTTTAGGGGACCAAGACAGGTGGATCATTTGAGGTCAGGAGTTTGAAACCAGCCTGGCCAACACGGCGAAACCTCATCTCTACTAAAAATACATAAATTAGCTGGCTATGGTGGCACATGCCTGTAGTCGCAGCTACTTGGGAAGCTGAGGCAGGAGCCCAGGAGGTGGAGGTTGCAGTGAGCTGAAATCGTGCCACTGCACCCCAGCCTGGGCGACAGAGCGAGACTCTGTCTCAAAAAAAATAAATTTTTTTAAAAAAAATAATAAAAATAAGAAGAAAGGATGAAAGGGACAATGGTGAGGAAAGAGTCCTTGGCTCATGGAAAGCCCCAGGCTCAGTGGGGGCACTTATCAGACTCAACATAGACTACTCAAAACATGGCCACAGGAAGCAAAGCCAACTTGCCAAGCCCCTGGAGGAAAGAGCCAACAAAGAAGGGAAAGGGAAACCGTGGGGACGGCTCTGTTCTGGGAACTGGTATTGGGGGTTGGTCCAAGGGATAGGGCAGGGTGACCCAAATGTTCTGCAGCATAATGGGATAGGGGAGTTAAGGAACCCCAGCACCTTTGAAGGCAGTCCTCAGAGGCAGGGTGAGAGCTGCCACAGAATGGAAACGAGCTCTGGGCAGGCTGTATCATGGGCACAGGAAGGGCTGTGTCAGCCCCATTTGACCAAGACAGACCCATGAGGATAGGACTGGCCTTTGTTTCCACCACAAACAAGCAAGAGACACTGTGTACAAAGACAGAGCTTCCTGGTCTTTGCTCTCAACCACAAGTAGGCAGCTGGGCTCCAGGCAGACCACTGAGGCACACAGAGGCCTGGCATTGAGAAGCCCAGTTCTGAGTCTTTTCTGTCAATGCACATAGAGAGACTTCTCAAATTTTCTGGAAGAGGCAAAGAATAACATCCTGTTCGGGCCATATCTGGACGTTAAGAGTATCACTGATACACTGGAGGTCATCCAGAAAAACGAACAGGATATGCTGGGAACCAAAACCATGACAGGTCAAAGGGGCAAGTCAATGACCCACCATGGCATTCCGTAAATAACTAAAGCCCTGCTAAGGTAGAAGAGGAAGCAGGCTTGTTCCGAGTGGTTCCTTAGGGCAGAGAGGGGACCAAGGGGTAATGCCCTGGCAAATAGTTAAAGGACAGAATAGGTTGTAAGTGGTAAATCTTTTGTTCCTGGAGGAGACAAGCAGAAACCAAATGACCATGACTGGGAATGGTGGAGATGAAACGCCTGCCAAGGCAGAGGGCAGGAGCACATCTCTGAGCCCCTTTCCACCCATGTTATTCCCAAATGAACCAAAACACCATCTGAGGGGAAGAAGTGTTCTCCCAACGAAGTATTCAAAGCATTTAAAACCCACTTTCTCAACTTGGACATGTCTGCGATGCCGCAGGGAACATCACAGGGAACGCCATGCCAAGGGGAACATGAGTGAGCACAGGCAGATGGAGCAACAGCTTGGGGGTTGGTGCCCTCTCTTCAATATTAAAGCTGAGCCCTGTTCATGTTGGTGTTGTTTTTTAGTATTGCTATTTAACTGCTCTTGTATTTATGCCTTCAGGACAAGGAGGGCCCTACCTCCTGGCGAAGCTCTGAGGCCTGGATTCTGGAATCATTACAGAACAAGCATCAAAAAATGCTTGGTGAGAATAGACTGGTGGGGTGGACAAAGAAATCTGTGGAAGCCATTGAGAGAGAGAGAAATGTGGAAGGCAAGCTGCCTCCATGTGCTTCCCCTGAAAGTCCACCCAGCCACTCCATAGACTGGACATCTCGGAAGCATAAGCCTCTTCTGGGCACAGCTGTAATCCAGCAGCCACCCTGAAGATTGGGTGATAGCTCTGCCTAGACTTCGGCACATCCTGAGGCTCCCAAACTCCAAAGCCCCAGAGAGTCTGGGGGCTACGGCTGGAAACTTCTCCCAGAAGTTAACATGGGTATCTCACAGCATCCCATGATGTAGGGTCTAACATCCTCCATCCAGGGCCCAGAACTAGGGGCCAGCCCTGCTTTGATGCCACAGCATCAAGACCAGCACACCTTGTTTGCCCCACTGCCTCCACCAACTCAGATCAGCCAGAAAGGTCAAGAACTGGACAAAGCAGGAGAGTTGACCATCAGGTATATTGGGGAAGGGAGAGATGGAGGCACCTTCATGAGTGCCTCCCAAGGGCAGTAGCCTCTGCAACTTGCTGGGGGTTCAGGGGAAGCAGGGAGTTCATGGGGCTCCTCCAGCAAAGATGAGCTCCAGGGCTGCTTGGATGTCCCCACCGGTGGCCTGCAGGGCCCGCAGGCTCAGCTCATCGTCCTGGATGCCCATGTCACGTAGCTGCTGCAGCTGGGGCTGCCACTGGCTCTGTGGAAAGATAGGAATGGGCAGAAGCTGTTAGCTGGGATCCAGTGAAGACTCACTTAGGTCTGTGCTTTCCGGGGAAGGAAAGGAAGATGGGGGAGTCCTCAGCAAAGCTGCTGATGCTGAGTTCCACAGAACACGGTGCTTCTAGGAAGACTAAAAGATAGGCTTGAGGGTTAAGAGAACAAATCCAAAGTTTTACAATAAAAAAAGGAAATTCTTGGCATAAGGATCAAAAGAGAATGTACAAATTATTCACTGTCTGAATTCCAAGAGGCTAAATTACTTTCTTTCTCTTGCTATGTGTACACACACAACAGCAAGATTTTGCTCTTTATGTGATGAGTGTTACAGATTTTTTTCCCAGTTTGTTAGCCTTTGGACTTTGCTTCGGTTTTTTGTTTGGTTTGGTTTGCCACGCAGAAATTTTCACCTTTTTTTAAATGTCTTAAATTTTTGTGGTATATAGTAGGTATATCTATTTGTGGACTGTAAGAGATGTTTTAAATTTTTCGCTTTTACAAACCCAAAATGCATAACTTTTATTTAATGGCTCCTGGATACTGAGTTTCAGCCAAGAAAGCCCTTCCCTACTATAAGGATTTGAAGAAATTCACCCATATTTTCTTCTAGTACTTTCATAGCTTCATTAATATCTCTATTTCATGACAGCAGGGATGAGCACAATTTAGGGAAAACAACGTGTTCACATGTGGGAAGAAGGCAATGCAAAGGGGAAGAAAAGCAAAGTCAAAGAGGCAGGCAGTGATGAGAACATGGAGGGCTTAAAAAAAATGCACACAGATCAATTTGAATTCATTTTACAGGCCAGGTGGAACCAGTGAAAGCTTCTGAGCTAGGGAATAAAGTAAACAGGCATCTAGCAACAGGGGAGATGCAAGAATGGAGAAGACAAGTTGTTCACGAATCCTGCTTCTGTTCCCTCACTGTCTACAAGGACCACATGGAACAGTGAAAACCACACAGGCTTGAACCCTATCGTTACGACTTCATGGCCTTATGACCCCAGACAAGTTCCAGGGATGATGCTCTACCCATAGGCTTACTATGTGGAATAGAGGAAAACAGACGTGAACCAAACTGCTCATGCATGGAGCTGTGAACTACAATGCTGGCCCCTCAGGTATTCCACTTAGCTGCTAGGGTGACCTTTCTCCTCCTTAAAGCCTCCCATGGGCCAGGTGTGGTGGCTCACACCTGTAATCCCAGAACTCTGGGAGGCTAAGGTGGGTGAATCGCTTGAGCCCAAGAGTTCAAGACCAGGCTGGGCAACATAGGGAGACCCCCCCATCTCTACAAAAAATACAAAAAATTAGCCAGGCATGGTGGTGCATACCTGTAGTCCCAGCTACCCGGGAGGCTGAGGTGGGAGGATCACCTGAGCCCAGGAAGTTGAGGCTACAGTAAGTTGTGATCACACCACTGTACTCCAGCCTGGGTGACAGAGTGACACCCTGTCTCAATCAATCAATCAATCAATCAATGCCTCCCAGGGATCCCTGGTGACTGCTACATCAAGTCATCAAGTCTAATCTCCGCAGGTTGGCATGCAAGCCCCTCTCGTAGGCTCCTGCTCTTTCTCTGGCCCCATCTGCGGATCTTCTACACTGGACACTGCATCCTAGCCTTGTAGTTTTGAGTATGTCACATATACCTCCACACATGTGCACAAACAGGTAGCTGTCTTCACCTGGAAATCAGCCCCTTCCTACCTCAAACCCCCTTCCCTGGCTAGCTAACTTCTAACTAATTCTTCTGACAATCAGCTTAAATACCCCTCTCTCAGAAAAGTTTTGTCTGACCTAGGCCCTTACTTCAAGCAGCTGGGTTTCTTGCCTTGTTGCTCCCCAGCTCAGTGCCTGCCTGGTGCCCCTCCATGGCAGGGATGAGAACCAGCTTGCCACTAGCCCAGCATCTGGACTCAGGCCTAGTATACACATGCTCAGTCAATGATCACTGAATGAATGAATGAAATGGCCATGATTATCTAAGCCAGGTGGTCTAGGGAGTCAGGCCATGGTCACTAGGGGCAGGAGAAGCCTAGTGACCACTGTGTATGGTCTGAGAGTGTGCCCTTGCTAGGAACACTCTGCACCTGTCCCACTGCCATGCTCCAGCTGTTCCTAGAATGAAGCATGCCAGGTGTGAAGGACCGCCAGAGAGCAAAACAAAGGCTGGGCATCCAAAATAACAAGGAAGCCACATGGAAACCAAGACGTGGGGAAGACTGACCTGAAGGCTGGGCTGCCCAGAGGCCTGAAGGGCATGCTGTAGGGCTTGGCTGAAGAGATCATTGGTGATGGGCGTCCCTGACTGGACACCAGAGGACATTGGTGAGGTCCCTGAGGAATGACCCTAGAGACAAATTAGTGGTCAGTGCCACCCTCAGCGCCATCTCAATCTTATAGCAGATGCTCGCTGTTGTCATATCACCTCACAGCACTCCTGAGGTACCCAACTTCTGCCTCCCAACAAAGACCTGCCATAAGACAACCAAACAAAGGTAACTAGAAGCTCTCTATGTGGGCAGGAAAGGTTCCATTCTCTTCTGCACTGAGCCCCTTGTCCCAGCCTAGGACCCCAGCACTGCAGCACTGGGAGAGATGGCCTTGAAAGCTGAAGTGACTTGTCACCCAGAAATGCTTAAGCTGGTGATGTCTGCTCCCTGTCAGGGATGAGGAAGGGCATATTGTGTGCAGGAAGAGTCTTCTGAACTAATAGGGGGGACTACACGGGACCATGTTAAAATCTAGACTTCTGAGTCCTCAAGGCAAGTGAAGGGGAGGTCACTCAAGCTGCAGTAAGAAATCCCCACCAGGACTCCAGGGTTCAGCTTAAACTAGATCTAGCACCAGGGTCAGCAAAGGCAAATCTACTCTACTGCTGGGGAGCTTGTTCCTTGGGGGCCCAGCCTTGATCTTCCCGGCCCCGTCTTCATACCTGGGTGCCAGGAGTCGGTGTGTGAGAGCTGCTCTCCGGAGTGCTGGCCAGGGCCAAGGCGGTGGCCAGCTCACTCTGGGTGATGGGCCGGGGCCCAGCAGCTCCACTGTACCCCAGGGAGGCTGGGCGGGAGCTGGGAGTACTGCTAGAGGGTGTGGACCTGGTGTTCTGGAGAAAGAAGACACTCAGAATCAGGGAAGCAGTACTGTGAAACTCCCAGATGAACTCCACCCACCTCCAGCAATAGTTCTTGGGGAAACTCTTAAGTTCCCAGGTTCAGAAAGGAATCCAAAAGCAGAAATAGTATGACATGGTCTTGGCCCCCCAATGGCGTATGTCCATCTCCCAGCCTTGGGAGTGCCAGGTCCCAGGATGCAGCTCATTCCCAGCACCATCTCCCCCACATGTCAGCATGTCAGGCAGGCAGGCAGGCCACTTACTGGGTGAAAGTCATCCTCATCATCTGAGAGCCCTTCAAACAGGAAGCCACCTGGAGGAGGACGAACAGATTTCAGGAGGAAGAACAGAAAGGCACAGGCGCAGCTCCAGAATCTCAGCTCAAGTTACTCTCCAAATTCATATTTTCATCTCTCCCCTCGGAAAATTACAGGACAGATGCACTTCCTGACTCAAACCGAGAGTTCCCAAGGAACGCCCTCTGCCAACGCTATACATAGCTGCTGAGTAAAGCAAATTCCTGGGCCACTGCCGGCTCCTGAGGGGCCCACATTACACTTTTCAGGCGCTCACCTGGCATATCCCGGTATGAGCTGGAGGGCATGCTCCGGGAAGAGGAGTCAGTCCCAGGCATTGGGGCACTGCCTGCTACGGAGTGCAGAACCAGGACAATGGCATTGACGAGGGCTGGGTGAGCAGGCACCAACCTAGGATAGAAGCAGGAAGAAACCCAAGGGTGACTCCAAAAGAGCACCCTCAGCCATAACAGGAGTTCTGGGTGCCCCCTCACAACAATGCAGCCACCTGTGCCTGCTCTCAAATTCCTCAGTCTTTAGCATCTTCCACCAGGAAGCTTTATCCTCCTGCTGATCTGCCCCCAGCAACGGGTGCAAGGCCTTCAAATTCCTGGGGTCCGCTGCAGATTCTTCACCCTCTCCACAGGCAAGGCATGATGGGAAAGGTGCAGCCTGGGAGGCTCAGGGTTCTGGCCTGAGCACATGAGGAGTGTCTGGTCTAGGCACCACTACTACATCAGGCAACCCTGGACTGGTCCCTTCTCTTCCCAGGGTGGGGCTGTTTTCTTCACTTGCAAAATGAGGACATGTCCCTTTTAGCTTTGACACTTTACGGATCTGTACACCTGCTTCTCCTTTTGCCAGCTTAAAATCCTTGAAAAGCTCCCTAATTTCTACCACACGAAACCTAAACTGAGCCTGGCAGACAAGACCCTTTCCCTCAGAATCCTGCTTCCTCCCAGCACTCTTGACAAAAGCCCTGCTCTTGGGCTTTGCTCTTTCTCACCCCCTGACGTATCTAAGGGGTAGACTTGGTGACAGACTATGGATGGGCTCCCAGAGCAGACTGCAGGGTGACAATTAGGCTTCTGGCCTGAGCACGAGGAGAGAGAAGGTACCCTCTAATAGGACAGGTACACTTACGTATCAAGCATATTGGGATCAGCGAAGACAGAGAAGAGGTCCTTGTCCTGGAGAACCCCTGAAAAAGAGCAGAGCTCACCTCAAAGAAAGGAAATCAGCCAGATCCAGGAGGGAGAAGAGGCTTTGCGTCTCAGAGCAACCAGCTCAACAGGGACACAGGACAACAAGCCAATCTTCATGAGAAGTAGAGGAAGCAAAGCGCCAAGCAATACAATTCAGGTACTCCTCATCTTGGTCTAGTGAGGATGGTCCCCTGCTCTCCACCTCCCCTGCACTTTAGTCACATCACAGACTGGGTACCAAGACACCTGTCTCTTTCTCCCGTATCTCTGGGTTCTTCCCTTACTCAGGGTGTGCAGGACGCCTTCCCTGATTGCTGTGATGTGGGCTAACTGCTATCCTCATTTGGCATCCTCATACCCTTATTTACGATGTTAGTTAGGCCATTATCTCTCTGTGGGACTGAGAGCTCTTAAAGGGCTGGGGATATCAAACACACCTTGATTACTCTCCCTCTTCCCACAAGACCAGTCATTCTTCAAAAGATAGTCCAAGTCTCTTTAGAGGAATTGTCTTCTCCTGTTTTCTCCTTTTCCGACAACTCCTATTTCCTCAAATTCAGTCCTGCACTTACCAAGAGCAATAGGGTCACTGCTGAGGCCTGGGGTGGCCACAATGATCTGATCCAGAGACTCCTTATTGCTGAGCATCTTAAAGACCTGCAGGAGAAATGGCGGGGGCTGAGCACTCCAACCAGCTCAATGTACTCATCAAATGCCCACACTCTGCCAAAGGACTTCCTCCCTCTAAGTGCTTGCATGTACATCACCACAATGGAACAATAGCCCCAGAAACAGATGAACCTCTTTTTGCTCTAAGATCTTAGCTTACTGGAGGGGAAACAAACAATTTAAAAAAAAAAAAGGCAAGACCACAGTAAACCTTCAAATCTCTGTGCTCCTTTTCCCCACCTACAGTTTAGTGCTTCCAAAATAAAAGCTCTCATTACAAGCCCGGTAACAAAGGTTTCTCTAGGTTCCAATCCAAAAGTCCTTTTCAATCTCTGTACAATTACTATTTCATATTTGTATATATCGCTAAGTTCACAGCTATACTAATTTTGCCTCTCAACTCTCCTACAGAAAGACATCAGCCCACTTCCCCAGTGAGGACATCTAGGTCAAGGGGCAGTAAGCAGGCAGTTCAGCCAAAGTCGAAGAATGAGGCCCAGCAGAAACAGTATGAGGATCTTTTGGCTGTCACCATACGGGCAGGTTGTATTATTATCATTAGAGGGAATCAACAACGCCTGACTGAGACAGGCTCTTTGGGGAAAGACAGGGCTCTACTGAGGCCCACAGACATGGCAAAAACTCCCCAAGGAACTCTTGGTTGCCATGGCAACGGGCTTCCAGCTCCCACTCCACACCACTCGCCAGCCAGCGTTCACACCCTCTCCTACAGTCCTGGCTGGGGGCCGCAGCACACACTCACCGCCTCCCTGTAAGAGGAGCTGCTGTGCAGGGCAGTGTGCAACACCCGGAACTCTCTCATGGCAGCCACTTTGTCCACAGGTTCTGGGGGACAAGACATTCAGAGTTACCCTATAGCGCAGGTCCTGTCTCTGCCACAGACATGGCAACATCATTTCAGCATGTGCCAAGGAGCAGCCTGGTCTGTGCATTCCCTTCCCTCATCACCCCTTAAGAATGTGAGTGCCTGCTCAGAAAAACCCATTTGTGCCATGGATGTGAAAACTGCTAGTAAGCATCTTTACATTCACTTGTAAGCATCTTGCACAGATAAACAAACAAATTCAAGTTGCAGCAGAGGAGACTCTTACCACATGAAAAACGGTGCTCTGATCAACATACCACTGCAGGAATTCTAGACTAATAACATTTGTTTTTTGGTGTTTTTGCCTTTGTTTTTCAGACAGTCTCACCTCTTGCCCAGCCAGAATGCAGTGGCGCAATCTCGGCTCGCTGCAACCTCCACCTCCCTGGTTGAAGCAACTCTCGTGCCTCAGCCTCCTGAGTAGCTGGGATTACAGGTGTGCAACACCACTCCTGGATAATTTTTGTATTTTTAGTTGAGATGGGGTTTCACCATATTGGTCAGGCTGGTCTCAAACTCCTGACCTCAAGTGATCCACACACCTCGGCCTCCCAAAGTGCTAGGATTACAGGCGTGAGCCACCGTGCCCAGCCCTGGGTCACACTTTTTAAAGTATGGTTATCCTCACGAAGGACCACTACTTGTGACTGTACTGACTGTGTACTGCCCAACTCCAGGGCACCACTCCCAAAGCAAGGTGAATAGCACCCCTGGGGTTCAGGGTGGCAGCCACATCCTTATCGACAGTCCTGATCATGAGGCTGTCTTTTGAAAAACAGTCATCTTAAGTAAATTACCTAATTTATTCATTCAACAAACATGTACTAAGCATTTACTCCATGCCTGGCTTTAGGCAAGGAACTAGAATATGAAAAATAAGAACCCCTGCCATCAAGGAACTCTTAGGGCAGGAGGAGAAATGAGACTACATCAAATACACAATTACAAAATGCCACGTTGAAGACCTCAACAGAGACGTGGATCCCAGCTAGGGTACCAGGAACACAAAGGCAGACAGGCACCACTGAGAGGGAGGGTGAAGATAGACAGCTGCCTCCCAGAGGAGACCATTTGAAATGGGTATCAAAGAGAGAGCTGATATTTACTGGGGGGGTGAAGGTATTCCAAGCCTGAATGAGAACATGTGCAAAGGCATGGGAGAATAAAAGAATGTGGTGCTTTGAACAAACAGCAAGTCATTCTTTGTGGCTGGAGCTTGGGGTACACATTCCAGCTCAAACAGCAGGTTAAGGTGACGTCCTGAAGGGATTTGTAACCCGCCATGGAGGACTACCAAAGAGATCCAGGTGGGAAGACAGACAACAATGGGTTCTTCTCCTATAGGCCCTAATCTGTGGGAGAACACAAAATGTGATTCCTTTGTGAAGAAAAGCACTCAAGGAGCAAATATCTAAAACACTGTCACAAAACAGTTTCTTTACAGATCTAAAAGTTTATTGTAACCTTCCAATAAAAAGGTCATTTGTTTCAAAAATAATCCTCCAGGTAGAAGGTGGGAGGAAAAGGACTCTTAATATCTTAAGCCATTATTCAGCTAAGAGCCATGGCTGTCACTGTAAGATCTCTGAGCTAAATTCATCCTTTAGAAGTGGAACGCAGCCAGCCCAGTGGAAATGGTTTTCCTCTTGAGCCAGGAAAACCCCTGGTCCATATCCCAGCTCTTGCATTCACTTTCTAAGTAGCTGACCTTGAATAAATGCCCTAACCCTTTTCTTCCTCCATAAGATGCTAATGCTGTTACCTACCCTGCAGGGCCACTGTAATGATTAAATGAGGTATAAAAGGGAAAAAACCTGGCTCACAGAAGCCACAAATGTTATTTTCCTTCTGTTAATGCCCTCCAGCCAAAGAGCTGAGGGGCATATCTGTATTTAAACAAGTTGGGTTTACTGCTCAGTACAGAGAGAAGAATGCACACCACAGGAAACCGTGGGCTGTCTCAGTAAGAGGATATTAGAAAGGACTTTTTTTTTTTTGAGACAGAGTTTCGCTCTTGTTGCCCAGGCTGGAATACAATGGCGTGATCTCGGCTCATTGCAACCTCTGCCTCTTGGGTTCAACCGATTCTCCTGCGTCAGCCTCTCAAGTAGCTGGGATTACAAGCAGGCACCACCATGCCTGGCTAATTTTGTATTTTTAGTATAGACGGGGTTTCTCCATGTTGGTCAGGCTTGTCTCGAACTCCCAATCTCAGGTGATCCGCCCACCTCGGCCTCCCAAAGTTCTGGGATTACAGGCGTAAGCTGCTGCACCCGGCCAGAAAGGACTTCTTACAGGATTTTGGTTTTGTCTGGCTGATTTGGGGAAAAATTTAAAGAAGTGAGGTTTTACTCTGGATAGGATGCTTTCAGGCAGTGGGAGTGATTTTATAATTGAGTATCTTAATAACTCTTACCTAGAAGGAAGGAAAACTAGAGCAAGGTGGAAGCTGTAATTGGCCAAGAAGCAGCTGTTACTCTCATCAGCCAAGATAGAAAGATACTTGGTCACCTTTGTGGTTTGGATAATGCTCATGTTTTTGTGTTTCTGTTCAGCAATAATAGGGATCTTGTTTTTGTCTTAATCCATAGTGGTCTCAGAGTGGCCTTGACTGCTACTGGGGATCTGTACAATTGTTCATGATCCCCAAAAGGATTCCAGGGCCTGGCTGTGAGTGCCAGGCCAACCTCTGGATGTCAGGAACTCTGTTCCTCTTTCTCACTTCCCATCAGGGTATGAAAGACATTTTTGTCTTTTACAGTTAGAACTGAAAGGGGGGTAAATTTCAAACTGATAACTAGTCACAGCAATCATGAACATTATAAAAAGATGTCAACCTGCCAGTGTAACAAAGCTAATCTCTTTTACACAGCTTAGCTTTATTCTTAGGGAGGCTTTTAAAACACACATGCAAAATTTAAATCATGAATTCCAAGCACCTTCTATTTATAAACCAAAAAGGCATCTGAGGCTTTGTATATTTTCTCCAAGAGCTATTTAAATACTCTTTGAATATCTTCAGGAAAATACCAGTATAGCAAGAGCAGTTAGCTAACTGAACAAATCACCACCTGAGGCAGTTTGTAGGAAGATTTGTTAACAAGGGAATAAACTGCAGCATTAGGAAAGTGCCAAAAGTTTCCAGCTTTTTTCTAATGAGAACAACGATAATAACAAAAGGATACAAAGTTTACTTTGTATCACTAAAAAATAAACTGTTAACTTAAAGGAGTTTAAGTAGACACAAACTCCCTGTCCCATTAGGAAACAGTGGATGACAAACTTAGAAAGTGGAGAAACAAGCCAGGAATGGTGCCTGTACTTTGGGAGGCTGAGGTGGGGTGGATGGCTTGAGGTCAGGAGTTCGAGACCAGGTTGACCAACATGGAGACACCCCGTCTCTACTAAAAATACAAAAATTGAAGGCCGGGTACAGTGGCTCACGCCTTTAATCCCAGCACTTTGGGAGGCCGAGGCGGGCAGATCACAAGGTCAGGAGATCGAGACCATCCTGGCTAACACGGTGAAACCCCGTCTCTACTAAAAAACACAAAAAAAATTAGCCAGGCTTGGTGGTGGGCGCCTGTAGTCCCAGCTACCTGGGAGGCTGAGGCAGGAGAATGGTGTGAACCCGGGAGGCGGAGCTTGCAGTGAGCCAAGATCACACCACTGCACTCCAGCCTGTGAGACAGAGTGAGACTCCGTCTCAGAAAAAAAAAAAAAAAAAAAATTAGCTGGGCATGGTGACTCATGCCTGTAATCCCAGCTACTCGGGAGGCTGAGGCATGAGAATCACTTGAACCTGGGAGGCGGAGGTTGCAGTGATCCAAGATCAAGATTGTGCCACTGCACTCCAGCCTGGGCAACAGAGTGAGACTGTCTCAAAAAAACCAAAAAACAAAAAACAAAATGGAGAAACAAATCTTCCATTAGTGATGCCGGCAGTAAGAAGGTCAAAATTGGACTCTGTTTATCAGCATGGTCTAATCCAATAAGTAATAAAGATATCATTTATCATCAGCTCAGTAAATCATCCCTTTGTTCCACCCAGGCTTGTGCCTCAAGAACACACAGATCCTTCCCTTGCGGATATTACAGAAACTCTGCCTGCCTAAGGGCTGCCCCTCACTCACCCGGTTTCTGATCAGGTTCAGGCCAGGACTTTCGCAGAACATGGACAGTGGACCCAGGTTGAATGCCATAGAAGTCAAGTGTCTGGTCATCTTTTAGCTTCCGACCACAGTAGATCAGATCTAAAAAAAGAACTGTCCACTTATATTTTGCTCCTCAAAACAAATTTACATGGTTTTTGTCCCGAGAACCTTATTTTGATTAGATAGCTGGAGAATGATACATGTTTTAAAAGATACTCTTATTCAATAACTTAACAAATACTTTTTTTTTTTTGGAAAACAGGGTCTTACTCTGTTGCCCAGGCTTGAGTGCAATGGCACCATCACGGTTCACTGCAGCCTCAACCTCCTGGGGTCAAGCAATTCTCCCACCTTAGCCTCCTGAGTAGCTGGGACTACAGGCACATGCCACCACACCCAGCTAATTTTTGTAGTTTTTTGTAGAGACGGGGTTTTGCCATGTTGCCTAGACTAGTCTCTTAACTCCTGGGCTCAAGGGATCCTCCTGCCTTAGCCTCACAAAGTGCTGGGATGACAGGCGTGAACCACCATGCCTAGCCAATTAAATACATTTCAACAACTATTTGCAAATATAAACTCATAAAATGGACTTACATCGAATCTGGCCAGATGTGGTGGCTCACACCTATAAACCCAGCACTTTTGGAGCCTGGCCGACATGGCGAAACCTGGGCCATGGCGAAAATTAGGGCCGGGCACGGTGGCTCACACCTGTAATCCCAACACTTTGGGAGGCCGAGGTGGGTGGATCACCTGAGGTCAGGAGTTCAAGGCCAGCCTGGCCAAGATGGTAAACCTCGTCTCTACCAAAAATACAAAAATTAGCCAGGCATGGTGGCAGACGCCTGTAATCCCTGCTACTCAGGAGGCTGAAGCAGGAGAATTGCTTGAACCCAGGAGGCGGAGGTTGCAGTGAGCCAAGATCACACCACTGCACTCCAGCCTGGGCAACAGAGCAAGACTCTGTCTCAAAAAAAAAGAAATATATATATATATACACACATACACACAAAAATTAGCCAGTTGTGGTTGTGCGGGCCTGTAATCCCAGTTATTCAGGAGGCTGAGGCAGGAAAATTGCCTGAACCTGGGAGACAGAGGTTACAATGAGCTGAGATCTCGCCACTGCACTCCAGCCTGGGCAACAGAGCAAGACTCCGTCTCAAAAAAAAAAAAAAAAAAAAAGGATTCACACAGAATCTATCCACAGAAAAACTCTGGAGTTTAACATTGTGGAGGCTGCCCAATTTAAATCAATGGAAAAACAACAAAATAGGATGAACCCAATCCAGGTATGACTGAAAACATCTTTCTTGCCAGTTGGATCCTTTAGCTATTAAAAATTACCTTTTCAGTGTAATTTAATTATATTTAAATTCCTCCCTCCTCCACCTGGACTGCCCACGCCACTTTTTCTTTTTTACTGCCTTTCCTTTACTCAGTCAACCAAGCAAAAATCCTTCTAATCATCCCTGAAGACCTACCTCAAATATACTGAGGAGCCTCCCCTGACCAACTTCTCCTTTCCTAACTCATCCCAAACTTCTGTTCTTTCAGAAAAAGAATTCACAATGTTGGCCAGGAGCGGTGGCTCATGCCTGTAATCCCAGCATTTTGGGAGGCTGAGGCGGGCAGAATCACAAGGTTAGGAGTTCAAGACCAGCCTGGCCAACATGGTGAAATCCCATGTCTCTACTAAAAATACAAAAATTAGCTGGGCATGGTGGTGTGTGCCTGTAATCCCAGCTACTCGGGAGGCTGAGGCAGAATTGCTTGAACTGGGACCCAGGAGACAGAGGTTGCAGTGAGCCGAGATCGCACCACTGCACTCCAGCCTGGGCTACACAGCAAAACAAAAACAAAAACAAAAAACAAGACAATGTCATAAAGAACCTGGTGATAAGGTAGTTCAGTATAATACATGGCTGAAATGGCAACCAATAGTTTCATTATATGATTTGTGTTTCTATTTACCCAACATTCACTTCCCTGGAGTGTTAACATTATGAGGCAACAAATCCCAAGCCCTTACTTTACTCTTGTAATTCCAGAAGTATCCTCCCCCAAAAGAGATCAGAGCAGCAGCCCAACCCCAGTCCAGAGAGACTCACCAATCAGCTCAGGGTCTGGAACAGACTCCTGGAGTTTGCCAGCAATAAGCTGCTTCAGAAATGAAATACTATAGCCCCCTAGCGAGTATTCTCCCAGTTCTGTCTCTGGCAACCGAAGAATAGACTTTGGAGTAAGTGGCTGGTCAGCCAGCTTCACCGCCAGGTGCCAGTCTGAGAGAGACATCCTCTCTCTTTCGCGCTCTCTCTTTCTCCCTGTAAAAGAACAAAACCTCAGTGGTTAAAAGACAGACCACCACTCTACTCCACCCCCACCCACCAAAGGGTTGAATGAAAGACAATTCAATGTGACACTGTTGAAGAGGCATAGGGCGTACCATCAGGAGGCCAGAACTAGAATCTGGGGTTCTCTCTCTACTCATACTGTGATGGACAGCTCTCTAGGCCTCAGTTTCTTCATCCCTAACGTGGACATAAAAACGCCATCCAATCTAATAGGAATGTTGTGAGAGAGATCATCTAACCCTCTCCCTTCTGTATGCCCCTTTTTCCAATTTTCTTCAACTGTTGCTTGAACCAGTAGAACAGCTTTATAACAAGTTCCCTGCCTCTTGCCTCTCCCTATCAAATATCTATGCTGCCACCTAACAACACCCATCATTTTTTTTTTTTTTTTTGAGACGGAGTCTCGCTCTGTTGCCCAGGCTGGAGTGCAGCGGCGCGATCTCGGCTCACTGCAAGCTCCACCTCCCAGGTTCACGCCATTCTCCTGCCTTCCTGCCTCAGCCTCCCAGGTAGCAGGGACTACAGGCACCCGCCACGACGCCAGGCTAATTTTTTTTTTTTTTTGTACTTTTAGTAGAGACGGGGTTTCACTGTGTTAGCCAGGATGGTCTCGATCTCCTGACCTCGTGATCCACCTGCCTCGGCCTCCCAAAGTGCTGGGATTACAGGCATGAGCGACTGCGCCTGGCCACAACCCATCATTCTAAAACACAGATCTGACCAAGTCACTTCTCTGCTTAGAACTCTTCCAATGTCGGGCTGGGCGCGGTGGCTCATGCCTGTAACCCTAGCACTTTGAGAGGCCTAGGCGGGCGGATTGCCTAAGCTCAAGAGTTCAAGACCAGCCTGGCCAACATGGTGAAACCCGTCACTACTAAAAATACAAAAATTAGCTGGGCGTGGTAGTGCGCACCTGTAGTGCCACCTACTCGGAAGGCTGAGGTTGCAGTGAGCCAAGATCACGTCACTGCACTCCAGCCTGGGTGACAGAGAGAGACTCTGTCGCAAAAAAAAAAAAAAAAAAAAAAAAAAAAGCCAGACGCGGTGGCTCACACCTGTAATCCTGTCACTTTGGGAGGCCGCGGAGGACGGATCACTTAAGATCAGGTGTTTGAAACCAGCCTGGCCAACATGGTGAAACTACATCTCTACTATAATAGAAAAAATTTGCAGGGCGTGGTGGCAGGCGCTTGTAATCCCAGCTACTTGAGAGGCTGAGGCAGGAGAATTGCTTGAACCCGGGAGGTGGAGGTTGCAGTGAGCCGAGATAGCGCCACTGCACTCCAGCTTGGGCGACAGAGACTCCGTCCCTCCCTGCCCCACCCCGGCCCCCCAGAAAAAGACCTCTTCCAATACCTCTAAACCATCTATATAAATTAAGTCTAAACTTCATCGCCTGGCTTACAAAACTCCCTGCCAGCCTCATTCCCCAACAGAGCCCTACCCCTGCAAAGGACCTCCACAACATGTAAGTACACACTCATAACAAAGCTCTCCCCTATTTTACACCTCTGCTCATCTAACTCTGCATGTAATTTCTCTTCCCTTTTTGGCCTTTTAGCAAACTCCTACCGAAACCAACACAGATTCAATAACCTCAGTCCCCTCTCTTTCCTCTGTTGTTCCCACATCCCCTCAGAACAAAAGGGCTACAAATATCTGCTTGCCCCCTCCTCCACCCCAATTCTTGAATGCCCTTGAAAACAAAAGACTAAAGTTTTCTTCATCCTTGTCCCCATACCTGGCATACATGGAACCCCAGAAAATAAATCAGAAACTCTGACGGCGGAAGAATCTTGCAAAGCAAGATAAGTTCTTGTTATAGTCATCATTATTGCTTCCAAAGAGACCTCTGATAGAGAAGAGGAAAGAAAAGGCTGTGAAGCTGCCTAGCAGACCTTCAAGCATCCTCAAGGTATCTTCCACCTCAAGTTTATGCCAGAAGGAGGTCGTTTTATATACCATGTCTCACTTAATCCTCACAACGGTTCCCTAAGGCAGGCATTAGCCACATTTTAAAGATGAGGGAAGCAAGACTCAGTAAAATCACTGGCCCAAGGTCACAGATCGCTAGTAATGGGGCAGGAACACTATCCGGTGGCGACCTCACCGCTCCAGTGGGACCAGCTACTTGGCTGACACACATCGAGCCCGCGCTGCCCAGGGCCCCAGCGCCCTCACCCGTCCCGCGGAAGGAACCCGGCCGCACTGCCGCCGGTGTAAACACTCACTCTGGCCCTCTCGCCGGAAACCGGAAATTCCGCGCTGCATTCTGGGAGTTGCAGTTCCCGCTGTGGCCCCCCGCCCCCTTATAAACAGCCAGTCTACAAGAGGCGCTAGTTGCAAAGCTTCCGGTTCTGGGGGAAGGCGTGGCTTCCGCGCTCTTTGAAATGTCCGGCGCCGGAATGTCTGGGTGCTTTGGTTGGAGAGGGTCCCATTTCCAGTCATTCTTCAGCCTGGTGATTCCCGCGCTCCCCTGAGGAGCATATGAAGTACGTCGGTTCTGCCAGGTTGGAACGCGCTGCTGGACACTCGGCCGTAAGGCGGATCCCGGATCCCCTCCCACTCCGACCCTTCCCTCCAGAAGGGCCGGTTCCCAAACGGCCCCTTTAGACACATCCAAGCGGTTGCCGACGGCCCTCACGATGAAAACTGCTGTCCGTTGGTGAAGGCAGCCTCTTCTGTGCTCCTCGCCGCTGACTTCCTGAGGCGGACCTACCTGTGGAGGCATACCAGGAACCAGACGATGACCCCCTCCAAAAGTTGGGTCTTTGAGGAGAGCTACTAACTTGGGTTCCTGGTACACCCTCTACATGCAGTGGTGAAGCTTATCTAACAGTCATTCATAGAATCAGTTTGGGAAGGGGAATTTTCACTGAACTCTCATAGAGAAACTGTGTTTTAGATAACAGAAAGTTCTGCACGGTTAAAATGGAACAGAAATTTTTTTGCACAGAAATTAGGATTACCGAAAATACTGAAGAAAGACTACCTCTGATTGGACTCTTCTCAAGGAATTAATAATTCAAGAACTAAGGAAAGAAAAAAGTGATTATATGAAAATACTGAAGTTGATCGTAGCAGCTGAAGGCTGATCCTGTGTGGGTAAATGTAAACGCTGAATTCCCACATTCCAATGTGCGACCTGGGATTAAGGCAGCAATTGAGCAGGGTAATGTTACTGAGGAGAGCGAACAGATCGCAGGATCTCAGAAGGCCTAACATTAAAGGCAGATCACCCCTCTGTTCTCATAAGTTATATGGGGAGTTTTGAAATGGCTTTCACTGTCTTCAGGGAGTTTATCTTCAGGATAACTCCCATGTATGTTGTGGGCGCATTAGGAACCCATGGCTGTTCCCAAAGTCTCCCTTTCCCATCCTACCCATTTTTAGATATACCCCCTCTTTCAGTAATCCTTCCTAACTAGACTTCTTTAGACTCCTTCCTCTCCTGCCTACTAAGTTACTTGCACCTGAGCTCCATAATTTATCAAAATTATATATTGTGAATACTTTCCCAGTTCATGATTTTTTTTTTACTCTTAATGGTATTAGATAATTTAATTTCATTTTAAAACTTTTTTTTTTTTTTGAGACGGAGTCTTGCTCTGTCGCCCAGATTGGAGTGCAGTAGTGGCCGATCTCGGCTCACTGCACCCTCCGCCTCCCGGGTTCAAGAGATTCTCATGCCTCAGCCTCTTGAGGAGCTGGGGCTACAGGTACCTGCCACCACGCCCGGCTAATTTTTGTATTTTTAGTAGAGACGGGGTTTCACCACGTTGGCCAGGCTGCTCGAACTCCTGACCTCAGGTGATCCCAAAGTGCTGGGATTACAAGCGGTAGCCACCACGCCCGGCCTGAAATTTTGTTGTGATGGTTAGTGCCTTTTGTGTCCTATGTAAGAAATCTTTGCCTGCCCTCGTTATGAAGATACTATCCTAGGTTTTCTTCTGTGTTATTTTATCTTTCACATTTAGGTCTATGATTAATTTCACATTAATCTTTGTATATGATAGGAGTTAGACATCAAGATTCATCTCTTCCATATGGGTGTACAATTGATCCAGCACTATTTAAAAATTTTGTTCCCACTGAATTTCAGTGGCAGCTTTGTCATAAATCCGGTGACTATGTATGTCTGGGTCAATTTTTGACTCTTATTCTGTGCCATGGGTGTATTTTTCTGTCATTGTGCCAATGTCACACGTCTTGATTTCTCTAACTTTAGAGTAGGTCTTGATATCTGCTAGCCTTTTGGCTTTAAGAGGGGCATGGCTATTCTATCACCAATAGATGACAATTGTTAACTTTGTTTTATGCTTCTAAAAGTATAATTTTACTGAATCTTAAATATGTATATTCAACAAAATTTAGATTACACTGTACATTTGTTTAGTAATCTACATATTTTACCTAGCTTGAATATTTCCCCTGTGCTCAAATATTCTTGAGACTTTTTACTTTGAAATAATTTCAAGTTTACAGTACAGTTGCAAAAATATTACAAAATAATGCCCTCATACCCTTAACCCAAAGTCCCCAGTTGTTAATAGTTTACATTTACCTCATCATTCTTTCTCTCTCACTCTCTCACTATGCATATTGTTCTTTTGTTTTTCCACCCGATCCGTTTAAGAGCCAATTACAGACATTACCCAAAGTATTTCTGTATTTCCTGAAAACAAGGATATATTCTATGTCACAGCCACAGTACAACCCAGCAAAATCAAGAAATTAATAAATACAATAATACCATGTAACTTACAATCTCATTCAGCTTTCATCAACCATTCCAGTTGGGTGGAGGCTGATCATCTCTCTGCCATTTTCATAAGTTATGTCATAGATTTTCACATCTGTCACATCATTCATTTCTCCAAAGAGCCTTAGTTCCTTTTAGTAAGGAATGGTATTTAGAAGCCAAGTTTGGATGCTAGGTGTGTTTATTGCTACTGAGATGTCATTATTTCCAGTCTATTTCAGTGACTAGACCTAGCAAATAAATGAATATTGATATACACACCCATTCATCTATATTTCTATGAAATATATTTAAATATGTGTGCATATAGATGTGTATATGTATATATAGATCTATGTATATGTGAGCATATATATGTGCACATATATCAAAATATATATGTATATATAAAATATGAGTTCACACCAATACCTCAAATTCCAATCCAATACCACATATTTTCCTCTAGTCTTCCTCTTCTCTATAATTTTACCTCCCTTCTGCAATAGTAGGAAACTTGATTCTCATTTTCCACAATATACTTGTATTTTCTCATGTTGACATTCATGGTACCTGATATGGTTTGGCTCTGTGTCCCCACCCAAATCTCATGTTGAATTGTAATCCTCAATGTTGGAGGAGGGGCCTGGTGGGAGGTCATGATGTTTGGATCATGGGGCAGACTTCCCCCTTGCTGTTCTCATGACAGTGAGTTCTCAAGAGATCTGGTTGTTCAAAAGTGTGTAGCACTTCCCCCTTTGCCCTCTCTCTCCTGCTCTGCCATGTGAAGATGTGCTTGCTTCCCCTTCACGTTCTGCCATGATTGTATGTTTCCTGTGGCTTCCCCAGCCATGCTTCCTGTATAGCCTGCAGAACTGTGCGTCAATTAAAGCACTTTTCTTTATAAATCACCTGGTCTCAGGTAGTTCTTTATAGCAGTGCAAGAACAGACTAATACAGTACCATAACAATGGAGCCTCCTCTTCAACTTGATTCTTGAGTCCTTTTGACATAACCCTGGAGGTTTTTGATAGCTCCCTGCTATCTAGCATGACAAGAGTTCCTAGCTAATCTTGTACTTCCTGCCCTAGGCATAAAAATTAGCCATTTCTTCAAGAAATTCATATGGTTTTCTGTGGGAAATGGTATATTAAGACCACAATCTGGGCACTAGGGATGCTTATTGCTACTGAATTGTTTGTTACTTGTAAGCCACATTAGTGGATGGAGCTAGGGGGAGATCTATATCCATAGAGATATAAATAGAGAATATTTATACTGCTACTTCAAATTCAAGACTACAGAGGTTGGGTTTGGTTTTGGCTTTTGGTTTTATGGGTTGCTTTTTGTTTTGTTTTTTTTGAGACAGGATCTCCCTCTGTTGCCCAGGCTGGAGTACAGAGGTGCAATCATGACTCACTGCTGCCTCAAACTCCCAGGCTCAAGCGATTCTCCCACCTCAGCCTGCCAAGTAGCTGGGACTACAGTTGTGCACCACCATGCCCAGCTAATTTGTGTATTTTCTGTGGAGGCAGGGTTTCACCATGTTGCCCAGGCCGGTCTTGAATTACTGGACTCAAGCAATCTGCCCACCTCAGCCTCCCAAAGTAAGACTGCAGAATTTTAATTTAATATTTTCTATATTACATCTTTATTTCCTTTCTTCCACACTGAGAATACTAGTTCTCAAGAACATAAGGGACAACAGTATTTAAATATCTATTTTCATTTCCTTTATCCCATATCACATACCCAACTGTCTCAAAATAACAATACTAATGATACTATCACCACCAATATAATTATTGAGACGTTTAAAAAAATGTTTGCATATGCCCTTCTCATTCTATCCCCTCCATTCATTCTCTCCATTTTAACAGATGTGCTGTATATTATCTGAGCCTATACTCATTACTCTACCTTCCTCTTTTTAACTCTCTTAATACTACAAAGAATTCCATGTTTAGGCCAGGTGCGGCAGCGCACACCTGTAATCCCAGCACTTTGGGAGGCTGAGACAGGCAGATCACCTGAGGTCAGGAGTTTGAGACCAGCCTGGCCAACATAGTGAAACCCTTCTCTACTAAAAATACAAAAATTAGTGGGGGTGTGCTGGCGGGCACTGTAATCTCAGCTACTTGGGAGCTTGAGGCAGGAGAATTGCTTGAACCCAGGAAGTGGAGGTTGCAGTGAGCCGAGATCACACCATTGCACTCCAGCCTGGGCGACAAGAGTGAAACTCCATCTCAAAAATAAATAAATAAATAAAATCAGAATTCCATGTTTAATGCTTTCCACTGGTTTTTGTTGCTGTTGTTGTTGTTGTTTTGTTTTGTTTTCTGACACAGAGTCTCACTGTATCACCCAGGCTGAAGTACATTGGTGCAATCTTGGCTCACTGCATCTCCACCCCAGGTTCAAGCGATTCTCCTGCCTCAGCCTCCCAAGCAGCTGGGATTACAGGTATGTAGCACAATGCCCGGCTAATTTTTGTATTTTTAATAGAGACAGAGTTTCACCGTGTTGGCTAGGCTGGTCTCAAACTCCTGGCCTCAAGTGATTCACCCGCCTTGGCCTCCCAAAATGTTGGGATTACAAGCATGAGCCACTGTGCCTGGCCCAGTGGTTTTTATTACTGAACCCGTTCTTTAGTGGATTTCCTGGAAGGACTACAATATTCTCTGTGAATGATATTCCCTAAACTTTTGCATATTAATAGCAGTTTATTTCTGGCCTTTATGCTTGAAAATCAGTTTGCTAAATATAAAATTGTTGGCTCACATTTTCTTTCTTAAGATATTTCATTTTCATCTGATGACAGAAATCTAATTTTCTTTCCCTTACAAGTTACTTGCTCTTTTCACCAGGTTGCCCAAGTAGTTTTTAAAATTTTTTGTTTAATTTCCAGTCATTTTACCTGACTACATCTTGGTGCTGTTTGTTTTAGGTCAGTAGTCTCAGTTATGTGGTATTCTCTTCCAAAATGTAATTTATATTTTTTTTATTTCAGTAAAGATTGATTTTTGAATTACAGGTTTTAGAATAGTTCCGTTCTCTTGCCTTGGTTTGGTTCTTAAGAGGACTCATGTTAGCCATATGTTGTATCTTTGTTGTTTCTCTTCAATATCTGCCACTTTTCTCAAATCTTTTCTCTTTCTTCATTTTTAAAAATATTTTTTAAATGTTCCTCCTTTCTACATTCTACTTAAGGCATCATCTGTTGTATTTATTTCTTCTGTGTTCCTTTTGCTTTAGTCTTCATTTTGTATTTATTTTTTATTTTTTATTTTTTGAGACAGAATTTCGCTCTGTCGCCCAGGCTGAAGTGCAGTTGCGTGATCTCTGCTCACCACAACCTCCACCTCCCGGGTTCAAGCAATTCTCCTGCCTCAGCCTCCCAAGTAGGTGGGATTATAGGTGCCTGCCACAGTGCCCGGCTAATTTTTATATTTGTTAGTAGAGATGAGGTTTCACCATGTTGGCCAGGCTGGTCTCAAACTCCTGACCTCAGGTGATCCACCTGTCTCAGCCTCCCAAAGTGCTGGGATTACAGGCATGAGCCACTGTGCTTGGCCTATTTTTTTTCTTTTATTTATAAGTTTCTTTCCTGAGTTCTGTCACCTCATTTCTGAGTTCTCCAAGTTCTTTTTGATGTTGTGTTTTCATATATCATTTTCTTTCTTTTTTTTTTTTTCTGAGATGGAGTCTCATTCTGTTGCCCAGGCTGGAGTGCAGTGGCACGATCTCAGCTTACTGCAACCTCTGCCTCCTGAGTTCAAGCGATTCTCCTGTCTCAGCCTCCCAAGTAGCTGGGATTACAGGCGGGCATCACCACACTCAGCTAATTTTTGAATTTTTACTAGAGATGGGGTTTCACCATGTTGACCAGGCTGGTATCAAACTCCTGGCCTCAAGTGATCCACCCACCTCAGCCTCCCAAAGTGCTGGGATTATAAACGTGAACCACTGCACCTGGCCATATCATTTTCTTAATACATTTCAGTTTATTTTGAAAATAGATGATTATAGTTTTTATCTGTTCTCTGTTCACATCTTATTGGTATGCTTTTATTATTTATAGAAATATAATTCTGCTGCTTATTCTCTTATCATAATTTTGTATGATATTTGGCTTATATATTTTCTGTTATTCATTTTTGTGTGAAATTACTTTTCCTATGCTTTTAAAAAGAGATGTGGTTCAGGGTAGCATTTTGAACTTGAGAGAGCTTCCTCCTCTATTGTTTTCATGTAGTGTTAAAAAATATGGCAGCTTGCTTTCTGAGATTCTTTAGCTCTATTAGCCTTCCTAATTTTTTTTTTTTTTTTTTTTTTTTTTGAGACAGAGTCTCACGCTTTCGCTAGGCTGGAGTGCAGTAGCAGGATCTCGGCTCATTGCAACCTCCACCCTCCCGGGTTCAAGTGATTCTCCTGCCTCAGCCTCCTGAGTAGCTGGGGCTACAGGCATGCACCACCACACCCAGATAATTTTTGTATTTTTAGTAGAAACGGGATTTCACCATGTTAGCCAGATGGTCTCCATCTCTTGACCTCGTGATCCGCCTGCCTTGGCCCCCCAAAGTGCTGGGATTACAAGCGTGAGCCACCGCGCCTGGCCATTAGCCTTCCTAATTTTTATCTGGATCTTCTCTTTTCTTCATCTTTATTTATGTCTGTCCTGATCAATTTTGATTCCATTTCTAGCAGTTTTTCCTCAGTATGAGACCCTGTTCTGGAGGGAAACCCTGGCATGCCAGCTTTAGGATTCACATAGGCCGAGCTGCTCTAGTCCTTTAAGACGTTAAAGCAGTTCCCTTGCATTTAGTCACTATTGGGCAAAAAACCTCCCAGTTTCAGCTGTTGTTCGCAAATTAGTCAAGCTTTCTAATGAATGCCTGCTGGCTAGTTAGAGGAATTCCTATCCTCAGATCTGTTAGCTGTAGCGTTGCTTCCTTCTGCTTCTTTCTGCACAGCTGATGATGCCACACAAGTCTTGCAGCTGCCGATAGTTTGTCCTCACCAATTTGGATTTTGCAGTTAATGGGGATATATCATCACCTGATATTAGTCTGTTTAGGCTAATATAACAAAATACAGACTGTGTGGCTTAAACAACAGAAACTTATTTTCTCCCAGTTCTGGAGGCTGGAGAGTCCAAGATCAAAGTTCAGCAGTGTTCAATTTCTGGTGAGGGCTCTTTTCCTGGCTTGCACATGGCCACCTTCTTGCTCTGTCCTCATACAATCTTTCCTTGATGCCTGTAATGGAAGAAAGAGAGATCTTCCCCCTCTTATAAGGCCACCAGTCCTATTGGATTATGGCCCCACCATCATGACCTCATTTTTTTTTTTTTTTTTTGGGACGGAGTCTCGCTTTGTTGCCCAGGCTGGAGTGCAGTGGCGCAAACTCGGCTCACTGCAAGCTCCACCTCCCGGGTTCACGCCATTCTCCTGCCTCAGCCTCCCAGGTAGCTGGGACTACAGGCACCCGCCATCACGCTCGGCTAAATTTTTTTTGTATTTTTCGGTAGAGACGGGGTTTCACCCTGTTAGCTAGGATGGTCTCAATCTCCTGACCTCATGATCTGCCCACCTCGGCCTCCCAAAGTGCTGGGATTACAGGCATAAGCCACTGCGCCTGGCCAACCTCATTTAATCTTAATAACCTCCTACAAGCCCAATCTCCAAATCACATTTGAAGTTACACTGGGGGTTAAGCCTTCAATATATAAATTTGTGGTGGGTAGGGGGCAATTCAGTCCATAGCACCTAGGTTTTTTTTTTTTTCTCTTTTTTTGAGACAGAGGCTTGCTCTGTCACCCAGGCTGGAGTGTAGTGATGCAATCCTGGCTCACTGCAACCTCCACCTCCCGGGTTCAATGATTCTCCTGCCTCAGCGTCCCGAGTAGCTAGGACTACAGGCATGTGCCACCACACCTGACTAATTTTTGTATTTTTTGTAGAAACAAGGTTTCACCATGTTGGCAAGGCTGATCTCAAACTCCTGACCTCAAGTGATCCACCTGCCTCGGGCCCCCAAAGTGCTGGGATTTCAGGCCATAGCACCTAGTTATTTTGTAAACACTGTCCATGGATTTTTTGTTTTGTCACCCAGTTGCTATGCTTTTAATTGTGGATCCAGAAAGATTAAAAAGCTTGGCCGGGCGGAGTGGCTTATGCCTGTAATCCCAGTACTTTGGGAGGCTGAGGCAGGAGGATCACTTGAGCCCAGAAGTTTGAGACCAACCCAGGCAATGCAGTGAGATTCCATCTCTACAAAAAATTTAAAAATTAGCCAAGCATGGTGGCATGTGCCTGTAGTCCCAGCTGCTTGGGAGGCTGAGGTGAGAGGATTGGTTAAACCTGAGAGGTCAAGGCTGCAGTGGGCCATGATTGTGCCACTGCACTGCAGCCTGGGCAACAGAGCAAGACCCTGTTCTCAAGAGAAAAAACTATGTCACTTAATATGCTAAGTGAAATAAGCCAGTCACAAAGGACAAATACTGTATGATTCCACTAATGTGAGGTACCTAGAGTAGTTAAAATCATGGAGACAGAAAGTAAAATGATTGTCGTCCAGGACTGGGGTTAAGAGGGAATGAGGAATTATTTTTTGTTCAGTGGAACAGAGTTTCAGTTTCGGAAGATGGAAAAAGTTCTGGAGATAGACATGGCGATGGTTGCACAACAATGTGAATGTGCTAAATATCACTGAATTGTACACTTAGAATGGCTACAATGGTCATTTTTGGTTATGTGTATTTTACTCTAATAAAAAAGGAAAAATAGAAACACATACAACAGCAGTCCCCAACCTTTTCAGCACCAGGGACTAGTTTTATGGAAGATAATTTTTCCACAGACCAGGGTAGGGAGATGGTTTCAGGATGATTCAAGTGCCTCACATTTATTGTGCACTTGATTTCTGTTATTATTACATTGTAATATAAAATGAAGTAATTATACAACTCACCATAATGTAGAGTCAGTGGGAGCCCTGAGCTAGTTTTCCTGCAAATAGATGGTCCCGTCTGGGGGTGATGAGAGACAATGACAGATCATCAGGCATTAGATTCTCATAAGGAGCAACCTAGATCCCTTGCATGTGCAGTTCACAGTAGGGTTTATGCTCCTGTAAGAACCTAATGCTGCCACTGATCTGACAGGAGGCAGAGCTCAGGCAGTAATACGAGTAGTGGGGAGCAGCTGTAAATACAGATGACGCCTCGCTCACGCCGCTCACCTCCTGCTGTGCAGCCTGGTTCCTAAAAGGCTTCAACCCCAACCCCCTGGGGTTGAGGACCCCTGACATAGAAGACCCCAAAAAAGGACCCCATCAAAATTTGAATGATTCCACCCATCAATCACTGTGCTGGGATTCCACCAACCCTTCACTTGACTGGAGAATAAAGAATAAAGACTATGAGTCCACTAAAATGATTGTGAAATATAAAGATAGGTCTTACCACATCTGTAAGTCTTTTTCTTCTCCTGTAGCCTGAAATAAAAATAGACAAAGAGACTGGGCGCGGTGGCTCATGCCTGTAATCCTAGCACTTTAGGAGGCCAAGGCGGGCAGATCACGAGGTCAGGAGTTGCAGACCAGCCTGACCAACACGGTGAAACCGTTAAGTTAGGAAAGAACCTAACTTCTTGATTTTGTATTCTCTACTGAAAATACAAAAATTAGCCAGGTGTGGTGGCACACACCTGTAATCCCAGCTACTCAGGAGGCTGAGGCAGGAGAATTGCTTGAACCTGGAAGGCGGAGGTTGTAGTGAGCTGAGATCATGCCGCTGCACTCCAGCCTGGGTGACAGAGCGAGACTCCATCTCAAAAAAAAAAAAAAAAAAAAAAGGACAAAAAAGAAATGTCTACCTTTATGGCTGAAGTTTTATTTCACAAATATTCAAGTGCCTATTATATGCAAGATATTATGTCAGGAGCTGAGGAAAATGTGAGAATGAAGCATATACAAGAAGCTCAGAATCCTGAAGGGGATATGTACATGCATAAGTTTTTCCATGAATAATTTTAATACAAGAGAAAATATGAAGTATGCCCTGTTCTGTGCCCCTAAGGTGCTCTGTGATCACAGCTCACTGCAGCCTCAACCTCCTGGGCTCAAATGATCCTTCCACCTCGGTCTCCCGAGTAGCTGGGACTACAGGCACATGTCATCACGCCCGGCTAATTTTTTTATTTTTAGTAGAGATGGGGTTTCACAATGTTGCCCAGGGTGGTTTTGAATTCCTGAGCTCAGGCAATCTGCCCACCTCGGCCTCCCAAAGTGCTAGGATTACAGGCGTGAGCCACTGTGCCCGGCCTGATGCAAAGTTGTTTGTTGTTGTTGTTGTTATTGTTTTTGTGGTTTGAGACAGGGTCTCACTTTGTCACCCAGGCTGGAGTGGAGTGACATGATTTCGGCTTACTGCAACCTCGACCTCCTATGTTCAAGCTATCCTCCTCCCTCAGCCCCACAAATGGTTGGGACTATAGGCGCACACTACCATGCTTGGCTAGTATTTGCATTTTTTGTGGAGACGGGGTGTCACCATGTTGCCCAGGCTGGTCTTGAACTTCTGAGCTCAAGTGATCCACCTGCCTCGGCTTCCCAAAATGCTAGGATTACAGGTGTGAGCCACTGTACCAGGCCTCAAAGTTCTTTTTCATCTTTAGCATCTCTTGCTGTGAGCCTCATGACCTGCCTAGCTGCCCTTCTGATCTTGTAGAAGAGTCTATGAAGCAGACTTGAATCTTACATGAACAGATACTTCACCAAAAAGGATATCTAAATGTTCATATGGAAATTTACTCATGCTCACTAGTCATAAGAAATATGTAAATTAAAACAAAAATACTACTATACACCCATCAGAATGACTACAATTAAAAAGATCAATAATACCAAGTGTTGGCAAGGATGTGAAGAAACTAGTACTCTCGTGGTTCTGGTAGGAGTGTAAATTAGTACAGCTACTTGAGACGTTTGGCAATATGCACTGAAGCTGAATTTACACTTATCCTATATCCCAGCAATTCTATTCCTAAGTATGTAGATAACAGAAATGCACACGTGCTCACAAAAGACATGTGCAAGAATATTCATTGCAGCACCATTCCTGATAGCGCTAAATGGGAAATAACACAAATATTCACCAATAGTAGAATGAATGAATACATTGTGTTATATTCAAACTATGGTGCACTATAAAGTAATGAGAGTTATGGAGCCACCCCTATTCACAATAACCTGGAAGAATCCCATTAATATAATGTTGAATGAAAGAAGCTAGACACAAAAGGCTATAGATGGGGTCAGGCACCATAGCTCACACCTGTAATCCTAACACTTTGGGAGGCCGAGGTGGGTGGATCGCTTGAGGTCAGGAGTTGGAGACCAGCCTGGCCAACATGGTGAAACCCCATCTCTATTAAAAATACAAAAAAATTAGCCAGGCATGGTGGCGGGTGCCTATAATCCCAGCTAATCTGGTGGCTGAGGCAGGAGAATCACTGGAACCCAGGAGGCGGAGGTTGCAGTGAGCCGAGATCACGCCACTGCACTCCAGCCTGGGCAACAGAGTGAGACTCTGTCTCAAAAAACAAACAAACAAAACAAAGCAACAAAACACATGGAAAGCCAAATATAATCACAAGCCTGCCTGGAGAGCTAGAATCAGAGCACCACAATGGGAGAGGGGGTCAAGGGAGAATAAGAGTGTGCTTTCAAGACCCTCACAGTAAAGATGGATCTGCCGCTAGAATTGCACAGGATGTGACTTTGGCCCAGGGCTCCCTCTCCCCCAGCAGTGTTCAGATGAGCATCACCAGTGTCACCTCAGGGACTGTCCTGGGTTCAGCCTCTCCAGTGGTAACTCATCCCCTTTCTTGTCTCTTACTTCAGCTATGCTGGAGGACATTTGTTGGTTGTCTTATCCATTTTCCCACATCACTCCCAGAGATCCCTGGCCTCTTTTCAACAGACCATACTTTCCCTTTGGGGATCAATCCATGTAGTTCCTGGGATGTGGCTTCACATAAGCCAAGCCATTCAGCACAGTCCATCCTCTGAGCCCAGTGATGGGTTCAGCATGTTAGCCACAAATGCTAGGATGCTGAAACTATATTTTTCACTGGGCATGAATGAGAAAGCACATAGCCATGGGGGCTTTCTGAGGACTGTAAGGGGAGCCAGCCTCAGAGTATTCTCACATGGACTAAGGCAGAAGGGAGGGCTGGAAAGAACCTAACTTCTTGATGATTTTGGTAAACTGCTGGATCAAGTAACAACAACCCCTCTGAACTTTTCAGTTTCTTAAGCCAAGAAATTACTTCTTGTGTATAAACCAGTTTGTAGTGGTCTGGCAGACCTAGTTGACTATGCAATATCTATTCTTATTTATTTATTTATTTATTTATTTTTGAGACAGGATTTTGCTCTGTCACCCAGGCTGGAGTGCAGTGGTGTAATCACAGCTCACTGCAGCCTTGACCTCCTGGGCTCAAGTCATCCTCCCACCTCAGCCTCTCAAGTAGCTGGAACCACAGGTGCACACCACCATGCCCAACTAATTTTTTTTTTTTAATTTTCTGTAGTAGGCAAGGCACAGTGGCTCATGCCTATAATCCCAGCACTTTGGGAGGCCAAGGCAGAAGGATCACTTGACCCCCAGGAGTTTGAGCCCACCCTGGGCAACATATCAAGACCCCATCTCTGTAATTAATTAATAAATATATGTTTTGCAGTGATGGCGTCTCAATATGTTGCCCAGGCTGGTCTCAACCTCCTGGGCTCAAGAGATCCTCCTACATCAGCCTCCCAAAGTGCTGGAATGACAGATGTGAGTCACCACACTGCCTGGCCTATTCTCTCCTTCTCACAGAACCCCCATTTTATTTAGAGTTTTTAGATATTTATCTCCCCACATTCTTCCAGAGCTAAGGATGTCAATGTGGCCAATAAGGTACAAGTGAAAGTCACTGGGTGGTATTTTTGGAAAAGCAATTGATTACCTGATTCAAAAAGAAGAAGAAGCCAGTCTCAACTGGCACATGCATTCTGCCTTCCCCTACCCACTTCTTCCTACCTGCAAACCAGAAGAGTTACAGCCACCTTGTGATCATGAAGCCAAAAGACACACACTAAGGATGGCTGAAGAAGATAAAAAGAGCCAGATTCCTTGAGCTGCTGCGAGAGTCCTGGACTGCCTATCCCAGTCTCCTCGTAATGTAAAAAAAGTAAACCCCTTTCTTGTTAAGCCTTTGCTTTGCTGGGTTTGTTAAGTGCAGCCAAGCGCATTCCTATCAAATAGAGAATTAGGTCCACTGAAGTGGGGTGCTGCACATAATATCATCTGAAACGTGGACTTCGTTGAGTGGTAGAGACGGAGCTTTGGGCAGTGGGGGCACAGATACTGCAGACGGGAATGCTGACAACCCTGCTATGCTGTGGGAAAACATTTGGTCGATCTGCTATTTTATGGGAGACACCCCACATACCAGCCAAGTCTGTAGTGATAGGGTAAATGGCTAGAATAATTCAGAATGTTGGCACATGCTGGTGACTTCATTCCACTTTCGATGAATTCTTGAAGGAGACCAGTGAACTTGAATTATCCAGGCTGAAGGAAAAAAGGAAGGCAGTGCTACTTCACTAAGTAGTACTTCTGCCTATGGCCTGCAAATCTACTTTGAAGGAGCATTTCATAATTTGGAGAATTGCAGGGCTGAAAAAGACAATTGCTCTGGGCCAGGCATAGTGGCTCATGCCTGTATTCCTAGCACTTTGGGAGGCTAAGGTGGGCAGATCGCTTGAGCCCAGGAGTTTGAGACCAACCTGGGCAACATAGCAAGACCGCGTCTCTACAAAACATACAAAAACTTAGCCTGGTGTGGTGGCATGTGCCTGTAGTCTTAACTACTTGGGAGGCTGAGGCAAGAAGATCACCTGAGCCTAGGAAGGTTGAGGCTGCAGTGAGCCGTGATCACACCACTGCACTCTAGCCGGGGCAACAGAGCCAAACAAGACCCTGTTTCAAAAAAAAAAAAAAAAAAGATAATTGCTCTTTTCTCCATATAGGAGTAGTGGCTGCCAAGCAATATGGTAGAAGAAGGTAAGACTGGTTGGTATCTTGGGCCTTTCCTAAGCACCTTCCTCTAAGAATTCATTCAGCAGAGGAAGTGGAGTCCGCAAAGTGGTTTCTTCCCACTAGAATCTTTTGTTTCAAATTGTCTCAAGTCAATAATCATTAAGTTAAAGGCTAAAGGGACAGGCAGGACACAAAGGCCAGTAGCCAACAAAGGAAGGTTTTCAGGTCTAAAAGACTATGGCCATATAGGAGATTTGGCTATGGCGACTCAAACGTAGGATCAACCAGAGGCAAATACACTGAGAGCCTACAACAATTTTTAAGGAATCATATCACCAAAAATGAAAATTTAAAAACCTGGCCAGCAAAAGCGTATAATTCTTCAATCCCAGGTTCCTAAACTCACACAACAGAAAGCATATTCTCCCCAAAGTTCACTTCAGATATGGTTAAGAGGATAATGAACAAGAAGCCGTCTCAAAAGAAGATGGAACTTGGACCACAGAGTACAATAGAGAAGGGAATTCCTCCTAGAGAATAGGTTGGCTGAACAAGGAAATTATTCCCTGCCTGGAAGGGAGTCCTGGCCACTCCTGTCTAGCAGGATCTGACATTTGTTATAGATCCAATATTTGCAATAGCTTTGACATGCTTAAAACAGAGAGATTCTTTCCTTTATTCACATTCTTCCTTGTCCTACATTGAAGTTTTATTCTGTTCCTTCTCCATTATTGTATATGAGACATGCTGGGGGAAGATAACTTGCCTTTTAGCTTACAGATTACTGGACTGTGAAGATTCACATCAAGACTAAATGGAGAAAGCTGTATATCAGCTGCAGATTCTGGGTTTTGAGATGGATGTAGGCTCTGGGTGAGACTTTGGCACTGTCTACCTTAGAAAGGGAGTATATTCTGTGCATGTGAGGATGGATAGCCAAGGGTGGGCTATGGCAGTCACTGCTTTCCTTCTACCCAATGACTGGTCTCCTTTTCTTCTTGACTAGTACAACCCTGAATTTGATGGAGGAAGTAATGTGTATTTGTCCATTTTTCATGCTGCTGATAAAGACATACCCGAGACTGGGCAATTTACAAATGAAAGAGGTTTATTGGACTTACAATTCTACGTGGCTGGGGACACCTCACCAACATGGCAGAAGGTGAAAGGCACGTCTCACGTGGCAGCAGACAAGAGAAGGGAATGAGAGCCAAGCGAAACAGGTTTCCCCTTATCAAACCATCAGATCTCGTGAGACTTACTCACTACCACAAGAACAGTATGGGGGAACCACCCCCATGATTCAATTATCCCCCACTGGGTCCCTCCCACAACATGTGGGAATTTTGGGAGTACAATTCAAGATGAGATTTGGGTGGGGACACAGCCACACCATATCACAATGTGTCCAGCTAAAACATTACAATTCCCTGCCTCCCTTGCAACTGGGGATGACCTCGACCTCTCTGGCCAGTAAAACGCTGCCAAGGTTATCTGGAAAAGCTTCGTCTTCCAGTTGTAGGTGCTACTCCATCTCTCCTTTGCACCCCTTTGCCAGAACCAGATGGAAACTGGAATTTTCAGAAAAGACTGTTGAGCATCAGAAATGGTTAATATGTGCCTAACCTTGTTTAAACAAAGTGAGTGAAGTAAGGACAAATTTATAAATATGTGAAAAGACTACTTTTTCCTCTTAGTTTCTTTAAAATGCATGCAGCCGTTTAAAAATAAGTAGAAGCTTTCTTTTTTTATGCTCTGGAACATTTTAAGTAGCTGTGAAGGTTTGGTAAATTCTCCTGTGAATCCATCTGGGCCTTGTGACTTGTTAAAGAGCAATTCGTTAATTTGTTTAAATGTTCTGTGTTTACCAGGGTCAATTTGGGTAAGTAATATTTTTGTAGAAAATTATTTATTTAATCTAGGTTTTCAAAGGCATTTGTCTAGGCTTGAGAAAAGTAGTATCTTAGGATTTGTAAATTGTCTTCTGTTTCAGTGGTTGTCCTCTTTGTCATTTCTTATCTTGCACACTGATGCCTTTTTCCTTTCCTTTTTTAAAAAAAAAATTATGAATACATAATAGTCATAAATATTTATGGAACGCATGTGATATTTTCATAAAAGCATACAATATGTAATGTTCAAATCTGGGTAACTGGGATATCCTTCACCTCAAATACCATCTCTTTGTGTTGGGAACATATCCTTTTGTTCTTGATTAGGTTAGCTAGCAGTTCGTCTACTTGACTGATTTGTTTTCTCTAAGAAACAGCAGTTCAGTTAATTTATGTTTTTTATATTTTTTCTTTTTTTTGAAACAATCCATTTTTTATTCAAATAGAATAATATTTAACAATCAAGGTCATATGACTTAAAATCTTCTGAGCTGGGTTTAGGATTCAGATAGATAGTTTATTGTCAGTTGACATTAAAACAATGTTCTTGGCCAGGCACAGTGGCTCATGCCTGTAATTCCAGCACTTTGGGAGGCTGAGGCAGGTCAATCACCTGATGTCAGGAGTTCGAGACCAGCCTGGCCATCATAGCGAAACCCCGTCTCTACTAAAAATGCAAAAATTAGCTGGGCATGGTGGCGGGCATCTGTAATCCCAGCTACTTAGGAGGCTGAGGCAAGAGACTCGCTTGAACCCGGAAGGCAGAGGTTGCAGTGAGCTGAGATTGCACCACTGCACTCCAGCCTGCACAAGAGCAAAACTCCGTCTCGAAAAAAAAAAAAAAGAAAAAAAGAAAAAAAATTATTTGCATCAAAGTTATACAAACAGGTTTTTTTTAGTTTTAAAATCAAATTTATGGCCAGACACAGTGGCTCACACCTGTAATCCTGGCACTTTGGGAGGTCAAGGTAGGTGGATCACCTGAGGTCAGGAGTTCGAGACCAGGCTGGCAACATGGTGAAACCTCATCTCTATTAAAAATACAAAAATTAGCTAGGCGTAGTGGCACACACCTGTAGTCCCAGCTCCTGAGGAGGCTGAGGCACAAGAATCACACTTAAGCCCAGGCAGAGGAGGTTGCAGTAAGCTGAGATCATGATACTGCACTCCAGCCTGGGTGACAGAGTAAGACCCTTTCTCAAAAAAAAAAAAAAAAAAAAAACTTTATTTAGGCCTAATTTCCATGCAATAAAATTATTTTAACTGTACAATATGATGACTTTTGACATATATACACAATAGTATAAGTACTACCACAATCAAGATTCAATTATAACTCATGCCTCTTTGTCAGCACTTTTCATCCCCAATTTCAGCAGCTGGTAACTTTAAGGTTTTGCCTTTTCCAGAATGTCACATAAATGGAATCATACTGTGTCCGGAATTGGTGGGTTCTTGGTCTCACTGACTTCAAGAATGACGCCATGGGCCCTCGCGGTGAGTGTTACAGCTCTTAAGGTGGCGCGTCTGGAGTTTGTTCCTTCTGATGTTCGGATGTGTTCGGAGTTTCTTCCTTCTGGTGGGTTCGTGGTCTCGCTGGCTCAGGAGTGAAGCTGCAGACTTTCGCGGTGAGTGTTACAGCTCTTAAGGCAGCACGTCTGGAGTTGTTTGTTCCTCCCGGTGGGCTCATGGTCTCGCTGGCTTCAAGAGTGAAGCTGCAGACCTTTGCTGTGAGTGTTACAGTTTATAAAAGCAGCGTGGACCCAAAGAGTGAGCAGTAGCAAGATTTATCGCAAAGAGCGAAAGAACAAAGCTTCCACAGTGTGGAAGGGGACCCGAGCGGGTTGCCACTGCTAGCTCGGGCAGCCTGCTTTTATTCTCTTATCTGGCCCCACCCACATCCTGCTGATTGGTAGAGCCAAGTGGTCTGTTTTGACAGGGCGCTGATTGGTGCATTTACAATCCCTGAGCTAGACACAAAGGTTCTCCATGGCCCCATCAGATTAGTTAGACACAGAGTATCGACACAAAGGTTCTCCAAGGCCCCACCAGAGCAGCTAGATACAGAGTGTCGATTGGTGCACTCACAAACCCTAAGCTAGACATAAATGTTCTCCAAGGCCCCACCAGAGTAGCTAGATACAGAGTGTCAACTGGTGCACTCACAAACCCTGAGCTAGACACAGGGTGCTGATTGGTGTGTTTACAAACCTTGAGGTAGATACAGAGTGCCGATTGGTGTATTTACAATCCCTGAGCTAGACATAAAGGTTCTCCAAGGCCCCACCAGAGTAGCCAGATACAGAGTGTCGATTGGTGCATTCACAAACCCTGAGCTAGACACAGGGTGCTGATTGGAGTGTTTACAAACCTTGAGCTAGATACAGAGTGCCGATTGGTGTGTTTACAATCACTGAGCTAGACATAAAGGTTCTCCAAGGCCCCACCAGAGCAGTTAGATAGAGTGTGGATTGGTGCACTCACAAACCCTGAGCTAGACACAGGGTGCTGATAGGTGTGTTTACAAACCTTGAGCTAGATACAGAGTGCCGATTGGTGTATTTACAATCCCTGAGCTAGACATAAAAGTCCTCCAAGGCCCCACCAGACTCAGGAGCTCAGCTGGCTTCACCCAGTGAATCCCACACCTGCGCTGCAGGTGGAGCTGCCTGCCAGTCCCAGTGCCATACGCCCGCACTCCTCAGCCCTTGGGTGGTGGATGGGACTGGGCGCCGTGGAGCAGGGGGCGGCGCTCATCAGGGAGGCTCAGGCTGCACAGGAACCCACGGAGTGGGTGGGAGGCTCAGGCATGGGGGGCTGCAGGTCCCAAGCCCTGCCCGGCGGGAAGGCAGCTAAGCCTCCGTGAGAAATTGAGCGCAGCGCCGGTGGGCTGGCACTGCTGGGGGACCCAGTACACCCTCCGCAGCTGCTGGCCCGGGTGCTAAGTCCCTCATTGCCCGGGGCCAGCAGGGCTGGCCGACTGCTCCGAGTGCGGGGCCGCCAAGCCCACGCCCACCCGGAACTCCAGCTGGCCCGCAAGCGCCTCACGCAGCCCCGGTTCCCGCTCGCGCCTCTCCCTCCACACCTCCCTGCAAGCTGAGGGAGTGGGCTCCAGCCTTGGCCAGCCCAGAAAGGGGCTCCCACAGTGCAGTGGTGGGCTGAAGGGCTCCTCAAGTGCCGCCAAACTGGGAGCCCAGGCAGAGGAGGTGCCGAGAGCAAGCGAGGGCTCTGAGGACTGCCAGCACGCTGTCACCTCTCAATACAGTATGTAGCCCTTTGAGTCTGTTTTCTCTCACTCAGCATAACGATTATGATATTTGTCCATGTTGATGTGGGCATCAATTTATAAAAACAATTTTAATGCAAACATTCAATAGGGCTTCTTTCCCATTTTCCCAAGATTTCATCTCTCTCTCTGCTATGGACACAGATGGCTTCACTCCATCCTGTATTCTTCGGACCATGATAAAATTCCAGACTCTCGGTAGTTTTTGCGTTCCAAGAAGTAGAGCCTAGAGTGGTGGCCTATAATTACAGTTACTCAGGAGGCTGAGGCAGGAGGATCCTTTGAGTCCAGCAGTTTGAGGCCAGCCTGGACACCACAGCAAGACCACCAATAAATAAATAAATAAATGGAACATGTTTCCCTGTCATGGTCATTTTCATCCATTCCTCTGGTAGAAGCATCAGATTCCTTCAAGCAAGGGTTTATGTTGGGGTCTCTCAATCTCTGCGTTAGCACAGGCATCCAGTCTTCTTATGGAGGGGGACGGGGAGGTGGAATGGAGAAACGAGAGAGGCGAATCAGAGACCTCACTGCCTTCTGCCCATTGGTGCTGCCCGTGGACGGCTGGCACAGGGGAGCACCCCATGCTTCTGCCTTCAATGGTGCGGGGAGGGGCAGAGGACAAGGAAACGCAGGAAACTAGGAGTGGGGCAGGCAGACATGCTTCAAAGGCTGGAGCCAAGGAGGGTGCAGGGAGAGTTGGGAGTTCCTGGACCAGGCAGGGGTCACCTCCTCACCACAGCCAGAATAGCTCTACCAGTGCCCATGCCATCTCCAGCTCCAAACACCGTTTTTTCTGTTTCCTAATTCATTAATTTCTTTCTTTTTTTTTGGAGATGGAGTCTCACTCTGTTGCCCAGCCTGTAGTACAGTGGAACAATCTCAGCTCACTGCAACCTCTGCCTCCCAGGTTCAAGTGATTCTCCTGCCTCAGCCTCCTGAGTAGCTGGGATTACAGGTACGCGCCACCATGTGCCTGGCTAATTTTTGTATTTTTAGTAGAGACAGGGTTTCGCCATGTTGCCCAGGCTGGTCTCGAACTCCTAAGCTAAAAGTGATCACCTGCCTCAGCCTCTCAAAGTGCTGGGATTACAGGCGTGAGCTACTGCCCCCGGCCCTCACTTATTAATTTCTATTTATGTCTATATTCATTCCTACCTTCTACTTTCTCTTGGTTTACTTTGCTTTTTTCCTTTTTAGTTGATGTTTACTTTTACTGATATGTGTATTTGATGTAATACATTTCCTAACAATGCTTTTGCAGTACCTCATAAATTCAGATAAGCTGTGTTTTCATTATTGTTATTTTATAAAATTCTGCAATTTTGGTTTGTATTACCCTGTTGACTCAAGAGTTGCTCGATCGAGTTCTTTAAAATTTCTAGGCTGGGCATGGTGGCTCACACCTGTAATCCCAGCACTTTGGGAGGCCAAGGGGGGCAGATCACTTGAGGTCAGGAATTCAAGACCAGCCTGGCCAACATGGTGAAACCTCGTCTCTACTAAAAATACAAAAATTAGCTGGACGTGGTGGCAGGCACCTGTAATCCCAGCTACTTGGGAGGCTGAAGCACGAGAATTGCTTGAACTCGGGAGGCAGAGGTTGCAGTGAGCCAAGATCGCGCCACTGCACTCCATCCAGCCTGAGAGACAGAACGAGACTCCATCTCGGAAAAAAAAAAAAAAATTCTAGTTCGAAAAGTCTTTTTACTTTTAATTTTGTTAATTTGTCATTGTATTGCATTTTGTGATCAGAGAATGTTGTTTCTGCTATTGCTAGTTCACGAATGTTTCTTTCAATTACTCAGTAGACAGTTCTCTGATCCACCAATTCTCAGGATACGGTCCTCTCCTTCTGGGGCTAATTCTAGCCAATGCTATCTGTGTGCTGCCACCTCCAGGACCTGGCTGCACTCTGCTGTCTTCCACACAACCCTCCTGACTTCCCGTTCAGAAGTGAGCTCTAGACCTAGCTCTGCTGGTTTCAGATATTTATCTCCCCATTTATATGTAAATTGAAGTTTGAGGTATGCCCTGTCTCCTAGTGATGCTGTGAGGGATGGGGTGATTTATTTAAGTTGCTTTCATTGTCAATCTGTATGGTTTGTGAAGGACTGTGAAGGGATTTTAGGCATCTGCCATTATTCCACGAGAATCAGGAAGCTTTGTGCTTTCTTTTTATTGTATCTTTGCTGCTTTTTCTTCATTCCTGCCTCCCATTGGCTTAATCAAATTTTCTTTTTTGCCCTTCCCTTCCCATCCACATTGAAGTCATAGTTCCATTTCGGTTCTCTCAGTGGTATCCCTTAAAAGCACAGCATCCACATTTAGCTTAGCAAACTCTAAAGTTAATCAGTATCACCACCTCCCTCCCAAACAGTATGAAGATCTTAGAATGCTCCAATTCCCAGCCAGGCATGGTGGCCCATGCCTGTAATCCCAGCTCATTGGGAGGCTGAGACAGGAGGACCTCTTGAGGCCAGGAGGACCCCTTGAGACCAGCCTGGGCAACATAGCAAGACCTTGTCTCTACAAAAAATAAAAATATTTAGCTGGGTGTGGTGGCACGCATCTGTAATGTCAGCTACTCGGGAGGCTGAGGTGAGAGGATGGCTTGAGCCCAGGAATTCAAGGCTGCAGTGAGCTATGATAGTGTCACTACACCTCAGCCTGGAATCCTGTCTCTTACTAAAAAAAAAAAAAAAATTGCTTTTTTTTTTTGAGATGGAGTCTTGCTCTGTCGCCCAGGCTGGAGTGCAGTGGCATGATCTCGGCTCACTACAACCTCTGCCTCCCGGGTTCAAGCGATTCTCCTGCTTCAGCCTCCCAAGTAGCTGGGACTACAGGCATGTGCCACCATGCCTGGCTAATTTTTTTTTTTTTTTTTTTTAGAGACAGGGTTTCACCATGTTGGCCAGGCTGGTCTCCAACTCCTGACCTCAGGTGATCCACCCACCTCAGCCTCTAAAAGTGCTGGGATTACAGGCGTGAGCCACTGCACCTGGCCAAAAAGAATGCTTTGACTCTCATCATCTCCCTCTCACCGTATTATTAATTCAACAAACATTTGTGAGTGCCTACCACATGCCAAGTTGATACAGTAATGAAGAAAAGAAGAGGAAAGGGAGGGAATGGGAGAGAATCTCTGTGCTAATGGATTACATTTTGGTGGGAGAGATAAACAAGATGCAAAATTAAAATCTGTAGTGTGGGCCAGCAGTGGTGGCTCACATTTGTAATCCAACACTTTGGGAGGGCAAGGCGGGTGGATCATTTGAGGTAAGAAGTTCAAGACCAGCCTGGTCAACATGGTGAAACCCTGTCTCTACTAAAAATACAAAAATTAGCTGGGCGTGTTGGTACATGCCTGTAATCCCAGCTATCCAGGAGGCTGTGGCAGGAGGATCACTTGAACCTGGGAGGCGGAGGTTGCAGTGAGCCAAGATCACGCCATTGCACTCTAGCCTGGGTGACAGAGCAAGGCTTTGTCTCAAAAAAAAAAAATTTTTTTTAGTAGGTTGCACAGTGAAAAGTACTAAGGTGCAAAACACTAAAGCAGGGTAGGAGAATATGAAGTGATGTGGCCACGAGAAGCCTCACTAGAAAAGTAAATTTTTGTTGTGTTTTGGAGACGGGGTCTCACTCTGTCACCCAGACTGGAATGTAGTGGTGCTATCACAGCTCACACAGCCTCAACTTCCCCACCTCAGCTTCCCAATTAGCTGGAATTACAGGCACATGCCCCACACTGGGCTAATTTTTCTATTTTTTAGAGATGAAGATTTCCCCATGTTGCCCAGTTGCCCAGGCTGGCCTCAAACTCCTTGGGCTCAAATGATTTGCCCACCTCAGCCTCACTGGGATTACTGGCATGAACCACTGTGCCTGGCCTGAATGTTTTCTTTTCTTCGAGACCGAGTCTTACTGTTGCCCAGGTTAGAGTGCAATGGCACAGTCTCAGCTCACTGCAACCTCCGCCTCCTGGGTTCAGTTGACTTTCCTGCCTCAGCCCCCCGGAGAAGCTGGGATTACAGGTGCCCGCCACCACACCCAGCTAATTTTGTATTTTTAGTAGAGATGGGTTTCACCATGTTGGCCAGGCCAGCCTCAAACTCCTGACCTCAGGTGATCCACCCGCATCGGCTTCTCAAAGTGCTGGGATTACAGGCATGAGCCACTGCGCCCAGCTGAATTTTGTTTGTTTGTTTGTTTGTTTATTTTGAGATGGAGTCTCGCTCTGTTACCCAGGATGGAGTGTAGTGACGCGATCTTGGCTCACTCCAACCTCTGCTTCCCAGGTTTAAGGGATTCTCATGCCTCAGCCTCCTGAGTAGCTGGATCTACAGGCACATGCCACCACGCCCAGCTAGGTTTTTTTGGTAGAGACGGGGTTTCACCCTGTTGGCCAGGCTGGTCTCAAACTCCTGCCCTCAAGTGATCCGCCTACCTTGGCCTCCCAAAGTGCTGGGATTATAGGTGTGAGCCACCGCACCAGGCTTATTTTTTATTTTTATTTTTTTTAGAAACAGGGTCTTACTCTGTCATCTAGGCTGGAGTGTAGTGGCATGATCATAGCTCACTGCAACCTCAAACTCCTGAGCTCAAGGTATCCTCTGTCTCAGCCTCCCAAGTAGCTGAGACTACAGGAATGTGCCACCAAGCTGGCTATTTATTTTATTTTCTGTAGAACCAAAAAAGGTCTCACTATGTTCCCTAGGCTGGTCTCGAACTCGTGGCCTCAAGCAATCCTCCCACCTCAGCCTCCCAAGCACTGGGATTACAGGTATGCTCCACCTTGCCTGGCTGAAAGGCAACTTTTGAATTAAGACATGAAGGAAATGAGAGCTAGCCATGTAGATATCTTGGAGAAGAACATTCTAGGCAAAGAGAATAGCAAGTACCAAAGACTTAAAGCACTTTTTGACATGTTTAAGGAACAGCAAGGAGCCCTATGAGGCTACAGTGAAGAGAAGGAGGAGAAGAGTGATAAGATTTTTTTTTTTTTTTTTTTTTGAGCCAGAGTCTCGCTCTGTCGCCAGGCTGGAGTGCAGTAGCGAGATCTCAGCTCACTGCAACCTCCGCCTCACGGGTTCAAGTGGTTCTTGTGCCTCAGCCTCTTGAGTAGCTGGGACTACGGGCACATACCACCATGCCCAGCTAGTTTTTGTATTTTTGGTAGAGATGGGATTTTGCCATGTTGGCCAGGCTGGTCTCGAATTCCTGACCTCAAGTGATCCGCCCGCCTCAGCCTCCCAAATTCCTGGAATTACAGGTGTGTGCCACCATGCCAGCTAATTTTTGTATTTTTATTAGAGGCAGGGTTTTGCCATGTTGGACAGGCTGATCTCAAACTCCTGACCTCAAGTGATCTGCCCACCTTGGCCTCCCAAAATGCTGGGATTATAGGCGTGAACCACCACACCCAGCCAGAAGAGTGATAGGATTTTGAGGTCACAAACCTAATATGGAGACCAAAGTAGAATCGTGTGGTCCATATTAAGGATTTTGGTCTTTATTATGAGATAGAGACCCACTGAAGAGTGCTAAGGGACATGGTTTGGCATATGCTGTATCAGGATCATTCTGGTTGCTGTGTCAAGAACAAAATGACCGGGCACAGTGGTTCACGCCTGTAATCCCAGCACTTTGGGAGGCCGAGGTGGGCGGATCACCTGAGGTCGGGAGTTCGAGACTAGCCTGACCAACATGGAGAAACCCCATCTCTAGTAAAAATACAAAAATTAGCCGGGCATGGGTGGTGCATGCCTGTAATCCCAGCTACTTGGGAGGCTGAGGCAGGAGGATCGCTTGAACCTGAGAGGCGGAGGTTGCAGTGAGCCAAGATCGTGCCATTGCACTCCAGCCTGGGCAACAAGAGTGAGACTCCATCTCAGAAAAAAAAAAAAAAAAGAACAATGCTGGAGAGAAAGCCAGCTAGGAAGTTACACTAATCCATGTGAGAGATGATGGTGACCTGCCCAGCATTGGGAAGTAGGAAGGCATGGGAAGTGCTTGAATGCTGAGTGTGTTTTGCAGGCAGAGCTGACAGAATTTTCTGACTGACCAATGGGGTGTGAGAAGTGAGAGGCCAAGGAGGACACCCAGTATTTTGAGCAACTGGAAGAACAGAGTTGCCATTAACTTCTTGTTGACTAGAATTTAATCACATGGCATAGGAGGCAGAATTCTAAGAATTCTTCCTATGATCCTTGCCTTGGCATAATCCCTTTCTTCCTTTTTGAGGATAGGTAGAAATCAACATGATCTCACTCCTGAGATTATGTTCTGTTATAAAGCAAAAGGATTATCCAGGTGGGTGTAATCTAATCACAAGCCCTTGAAAATCAGTTTTTCTGGCTGCTGGGCAGAAGGGGAAGACAGAGAGTGTATTAATCAGGGTTCTCCAGAGAGGCAGAACCAATAGAAAGGATGGATGAATAGATAGATAGATTAGATAGATAGATAGATAGATAGATAGATAGATAGATAAAGGGGGTATTTTTTAAAAAAGAGATGGAGTCTCACTAGGATGCCCAGGCTGTTCTTGAACTCCTGAGCTCAACTGATTCTCCTGTGTCCACCTCCCAAAGTGCTGAGATTACAGGCATGAGCCACCACACCCAGCCAGAAAGTATTTTTTAATTAAGGTGTGTACTATGTTTTTTTTAGGCATAATGAATGCTATTGCACATGTAATAGATTACAGTATAGTGTAAACATAACTTTTACATGCACTGGGAAACAAAAAAATGTGAGCCAGTGCACCTGGCTGAGAGGGGATTTATTAGAGGAATTGGCTCATGTGATTATGGTAGGCAAAAAGTCCCACAATGAGCCATATGCAAGCTGGAGACCCTGGGATGCTGGTAGCATGGCTCAATCCAAGTCTGAAGGCCTCAGAACCAGGGAGGCCAAGGGTGTAACTCTCAGGCCGAGCCCAGAGGCCTGAGAACTCAGGGAGGGGAGCCACTGATGTAAGTCCTGGAATCCAAAGGCCGAGAAGTCTGGAGTTATTGTCCAAGGACGGGAGAGGAAGAGTGTATCCCAGCTCCAGCAGGTAGATCAGCACATTCATTTTTGCCCTGGTTTTTCTTCTCTCCAAGCCCCCAGCAGATTGAATGGTGCCCACCCACATTGCAGGCAGATCTTTCCCACCTAGTCCACTGAGACTCACACACTAATCTCCTCTGGAAACACCTTCACAGAGACACTCAAAAGAATGCTTTAGTAGGTTTCTACGTTTTCCTTAATCCAGTTAAGTTGACACCTAAAATTAACCATCAGAGAGAGATTCCAAGCATAAGAAAGGCACTGCACCAAGGCTGCCTTGAAGATGTAGGGGACTGGCCAGGTGCAGTGGCTCACACCTGTAATCTCAACACTTTGGAAGGTCAAGGAGGGCAGATCACTTGAGGTCAGGAGTTCGAGACCATCCTGGCCAACATGGTGAAACCCCATCTCTACTAAAAATACAAAAATTAGCCAGGCGTGGTGGTGCACACCTGTAATCCCAGCTACTTGGGAGGCTGAGACAGGAGAATCTCTTGAACCCAGGAGGCAGAGGTTGCAGTGAGCCAAGATAGCATCACTGCACTCCAGCCTGGGTGGCAGAGCAAGACTCTGTCTCAAAAAAAGAAAAAAAAAAGAAAGAAAAGAAAAGGTGTAGGGACCACAGGAAGTATCCCGGCAGCCTCTGGGAACACAGAGCAGCCCCCGCTGCTCACAGCCAGGTAGGAATCAGGATCTCAGATCTACAGCCACAAGGAACTGGATTCTGCCAACCTGAATGAGTCTAGAAGTAGATTCTTTTCCAGAGCCCAGCCCATGGACACCTTGGTATCAGCCTTTTGGGACCCTGAGCAGAGAACCCAGCCAAGCCCAGACTTCTGACCTACAGAACTCTGAGATAATAAGTGGGTGTTGTTTTAAGCTGCTAAGTCTGTGGTCATTTGTCACACTGCAATAGAAAACAAACACATATGGCCACTCCTAACTGAGAGAGGTTGGTAAATGGTGTCTCAAGCTGGATATTCATGTGCATTGCTAAACTTGGAGGAGGAGTTCTATGATGAAAGAAAGAGAAGCATGAATATTAGGGAGATGATAAGACATTCTTCCACACACTGTAAACCTGCCCTGTCCAATACAGCACACACTAACCACATGTGGGTATCTTTTTTTTCTTTTTTTTTGAGATAGAGTCTCACCCTGTCGCCCAGGCTGGAGTGCAAGGGTGTGATCTTGGCTCACTGCAACCTCCACCTCCCAGGTTCAAGCAATTCTCCCACCTCAGCCTCCAGAGTATTTGGGATTACAGGCACCTGCCATCATGCCTGGATAATTTTTGTACTTTTGTAGAGACAGGGTCTCGCTCTGTTACTTAGGCCGGAGTGCAGTGGTACAATCTTGGCTCACTGCAACCCCAACCTCCTGGGCTCAAGTGATCCTCCCATTTCAGCTTCCTGAGTAGCTAGGACTACAGATGCACACCACCACGCCTGGCTAATTTTTGTAGAGACAGCCTCTTGCTATGTTTCTTAGACTTGTCTCGAATTCCTGGGCTCAAATGATCCACCAGCCTCAGCCTCCCAAAGTGCTGGGATTGCAGGCATGAGCCACTGCGCCTGGTCTAAAAACACCCTTTTCATTCAGCACTATAGGTTTTAAAAGGCAGTGTTCCCATAAGAAATAATGGCAAAGAAAGGAACTCCCAGTCACATTCAGCAAACCTGTTTTCCCAGCTACATTCATGCACTGGTTGATGCAGGTAAGTGTACAGGGGAGGTTGATGGAGAGATAGGAGGGTCCTGGAAACAAAGGAAGACTGTGACATTAGATGACTGCAATCGTGGAGACTCAGATGGTGCTTGTACTACCACGGTTCATCTTTTGAGTATGGGCATGTCATAGTCTGGACCAGAATCTAAATTCTAGTAGCAAAGCAGGTAGGGTGGTTATTGCATAAGGAGGTATCACAACCTGTCATTTGGGGAGGGTGAGGGAAGGACTGGCTGTCACAGCTTAGCCTCACCAAGGACGTATGTGTAGTGCCCTCTGGTGGCCTGCAATGGCACGCAAGCCAGCCAAATCAGAATCCCCCATCTCTCACCCCCCACACCCCCACCCTCCTCCCAGCCACCCCCATCTCAGGCAAGACAAAGCCAGAGTCCTAACTGGTCTCCCTGCTTCCACTCCTGTCCACCAGAATGATTTGTTAAGATCATCAGATCATGTCACTCCTCTGCTCAAAATTCAGGGTAATTTCCCTTCTCCCTGAGTTATTTAGCCACAGTACTCACAGTGGTCTCCATGGCTGTACTCGGTATGGCGCCTCCCAGCAACCTTTCTGTCTCCACTTCCTGCCCCTCTTCCGGCTGCTCACCCTGCTGTAGCCACACCGGGCTGCCTGCTCTTCCTCTGCCAGCATAACCCACCAAGCACACTCCCACCTCTGCATTTGCTGTCTCCCCCACCTGGAATGCACAGATGACTCCTTCATGTCCTTCATATATGTGTCAAATATCACCACATCATCTTTTGCACTAAATTAAAAAACAGCCCTCCTCCCAGCACACTATATCCCCTTTAGCTGGATTCATTTTTTGCCATAGTATTTAATACCATCTGACGTATTACATATGTATTTACATATATATATGTGTGTGTGTATTTATATTTATTACCTATCTCCTACTACTAAACTTTCTGCTTTTTTGAAAAAGCAGAAACTTTGTTTTGTTCCCAGTTGAATCCCCAGGATCTAGAACAGTGTCTAGCCTATAGTAGGTGCTCAAATATATATGTTGGGGAAATAAATGAATCAAGATCTGAATAATGAGCAGGCATTGTATGACCTTCATTGTTTCTTTCTTGAATATTAAGACACTATCACAAAAAGGACAACTCTACAAATATATATAAAATTCATAAAATTCCTATTATATCCCAGCAGCTGGGGCAAAGAAAAAAAAAGAAAAAAATTCCAGTATAATCCCAACAGTTTTTTTTTTCCCAACCACCCCAGATACATCAGACAGATGGTATACATCTCTTCGTGACTCAATCTGCTGAACGATGCAACTGTCACAGTATCCAACAGGTTTCTTTTTAATTGGATTAAATTATCTGATGATTTATTTGGAAAGAATAAAGTACTTGTAAATAGCCAATAAATGTAGAAAGAAGTACAGTAAGGGTGCACTTGGCTTACTAGATCTCAGAAGACACTATAAAGATACCACAATAGCATCAATATAATATTGGCCTGGGCATAGACAAATAAACCAGTGGAATAGAAAAGAGAATCCAGGAATAGATATCTGTTTTTAAGAACATAAAATGTGAACAGTGCAATTTTAATTCAGTGGGATATGGATGGATTATATAATAAATGATGATATCTGTCAGGAAAATAATTGGACCTCCATTTTATATCATACAAAAACAAGTTCCAAGTAGATTAAATACTAAAACATAGCAGGTACTTTTATTTATTCATTTATTTATATTTATATTTATATTTTTGAGGCAGGGTCTTACTCTGTCACCTGGCCTGGAGTACAGTGGCACAATCACGCTTCACTGCAGCCTCAACCTCCCTGGCTCAAGCGATCTTCCTACCTCAGGCTTCCAAGTAGTTGGGACAGGTATGTGCCACCACGCCTGGCTAATTTTTTGTATTTTCTATAGAGACAGGGTTTTGCTATGTTGTCCCAGGCTGGTCTCGAACTCCTGGGCTCAAGTGATCCACCCACCTCAATCTTCCAAAGTGCTGGGACTACAGGTGTGACCCACCATGCATGGCCAGCAGGTCCTTTTAGAACCCCAACTAAGTTCAGAATATAGTTAATTTGGTCCTCAGGCCTATATGAAGAAATATTACTGATTTCATCAAAGTCACAATTTATAGTGTACATTCTTAATCTTTTGGTTGTAAAAAGTCCCATTTCACAACTGGGCTGAGAGTATGAAAGCCCAGATTGAATGAAGAGGGAGTCCGTGGTGTGGAGAGGGGGACTGGTGGTGGTAAGAATGGGGTGCTGGAGCCCAAGCATGAGGAGAGTTTCCATAGGAAAGTAGGGGTGGTGACTCTAGCTGCCCAGCTGAGAATATCAGAGTCCAAGCCAGGTAAGGAAATGGTTCATGGAGGGGCAGGACAAGAGATTGATCAAATAAGTAAATATTTTGAGAATAATGGGAGTGAAGCTTCTATTTAAAATGAAAGAATAAATATAGTAATGAGGAAACTAGAATAAACCCTGTGGCATTAGACTGGAATTGAAGGTATTGGGGGTGGATTCATGGTTTTCTTTTTTTCTTTTCTTTCTTTTTTTTTTTTTTTTTTTTTTTTTGGAGACAGAGTCTGGCTGTCACCCAGGCTGGAGTATAGCGGTGCAATCTCAGCTCACTGCAATCTCCGCCTCCTGGAATCAAGCAATTCTCCTACCTCAGCCTCCTGAATAGCTGGGAATACAGGCACGTGCCACCACACCCGGCTAACTTCTGTATTTTTAGTAGAGACAGGATTTCACCATGTTGGCCAGGCTGGTCTCGAACTCCTGACCTCAAGTGATCTGCCCACCTTGGCCTCCCAAAGTGCTGGGATTACAGGCGTGAGCCACCGCACCCAGCCCATGGTTTTCATTTGATCTAAATATCTTCACCATGTTGAATCTAGACAAGAGGATACATCAGACAAACGCAGATCAAGGGACATTCTATAAAATAACTGGCCTGTTATCTTCAAAAGTGGTCATGAAAGTAAAGGAAAGACTGAGGGACTGTTCCAGACTAAAGAAGACTAAAGAGGGATGAAAACCAAAAGCAGTGTTTTGATCTTGGGTTGTATTCTTTTGCAAGGACATTATTGGGACAATTGGTGAAACTTGAATGGAGTACATTGATGCGACTGTAGTAAAACATCATTGTCAGTGTCCTAGTTTGGATGGTTGTATTATACTTAGGTAAGGAAATGTTGCTGTTTGTGAGAAATACACACAGTAAAGTATTCTCGTGGGCAACAGGGCATGTTGTTGGCAACATACTCTTAAATGGCTCAAGGCAAAAAAAAATTTTTTTGCCCTTGTCTTGCAATTTTTCTGTAAGTTTAACATTATTTCAAAATAAAAAGAAAAGGAAAAATTATTGTTTTAACTACTAACCCAATGAGGAAATAAACATAAAACAAAGCTGCACATGCACGATTAGAACTTCTAGGCTAGGCAGGGTGGTTCACACCTGTAATCCCAGCATTTTGTGAGGCCAAAGCAGGCAGATCACTGAGCCCAGGAGTTTGAGACCAGCCTGCATGCGAAACCCCATCTCTACAAAAAATACAAAAATTAGCTGGGTGTGGTGGTACATGCCTGTAGTTGCAGCTACTCAGGAGGCTTAGGTGAGAGGATCACTTGAGCCTGGGAGGTGGAGGTTGCAGTGAGCCGAGATCGAGCCACTGCACTCCAGCATGGGCAACAACTTCTAGTTACATGTACCTGTATACATACTTCAATACAAAATAATTGTCAACTCCCAGAAAGAATGATTTGATGTATTTCTAGAAAGAAAGGAGCACTGGGTGCTGAGCGTGGTGGCTCATCCCTGTAATCCCAACACTTCGGGAGGCTGAGGTGGGCAGATCGCCTGAGGTCAGGAGTTCGAGAGCAGCCTGGCCAACATGGTGAAACCCCATCTCTACTAAAAATACAAAAATTAGCAGGGCATGGTGGCGCGCGCCTGTAATCCCAGCTACTCTGGAGGCTGAGGCAGGAGAATCGCTTGAACCCGGGAGGCAGAGGTTGCAGTGAGCTGAGATTGCACCATTGCACTCCAGCCTGGGCGACAAGAATGAGACTGTGTCTCAAAATAATAAATAAATAAAGTAAAATAAAATTAAGCAGAACATTTGTTACTGCCCATTAGTCTATATATATATATTCTAGTTTAAGGTCACTTTTCTTTCAACACAAAGTGGATCACCAAAGTGGATCTCCCAAAGTTCTGCTCCTGGGAGAATTCCCCTTCATCATTGTCTTTCAAGACTGTCTCAGAGTAATGCTGTCCATTGCCCACTTGTTTCCTGCATCTGGATACTAAGCTGACCTGCTGTAAAAAAGCACAGGCTTTTTTCTCCTCCTTCAGCTCCTTCATATAAGACTCCTCATAAAGTCAAAGACATGAATTGAGGGAGAGTAATTGGTTCTACAGTGGTAGGGACCATGGGAGTCTGGGCTACCTGCTCATGCAGCTTTCCCAGGTCCTCTGGTCCTACTTGTGACTGATACTAGACATACCGCATCAATGGTTTTGTTTTGTTTTGGTTTGGTTTTTGGTTTTTTGTTTGTTTGTTTGTTTGTTTTTGAGACAGAGTCTCGCTCTCTGTCTTTCCATGCTGGAGTGCAGTGGTACCCTCTTGGCTCACTGCAACCTTTACCTGATCCTCCCGCCTCAGCATCCCAAGTAGCTGGGATTACAAGCATGCACCACCACATCCAGGTACTTTTTGTATTTTTAGTAGAGGAAGGGTTTCACCATGTTGGCCAGTCTGGTCTCAAACTCCTGACCTCAAGTGATCCGCCCACTCAGCCTCCCAAAGTGCTGGGATTACAGTCATGAGCCACCACACCTGGCCCATGTCACATTCACTATTATGATGGAGTGTTGCTGTGCACTGCTGACCTTATGAATTGGCTGTTCTGAGAGGACTCAAACCATAACGGGAAATTCCAGCTGTGCAGTCATTTGGTCATGATCCACCATTTTGTTTCTTCTAAGGGCCAGTAGCATACCAGAGTTGCTTTTCTGTGGTGTTTTGTTTTTGGGACAGAGTCTCGCTCTGTCACACAGCCTACAGTGCAGTGGCGCGATCTTGGCTCACTGCAACTTCCGCCTCCCGGGTTCAAGTGATTCTCCTGCCTCAGTCTCCTGAGTAGCTTGGAGCACAGGTGCACACCACCACACCCTGCTAATTTTTATATTTTTAATATAGACGGGGTTTCACCATGTTGGCCAGGCTGGTCTCGAACTCCTGACCTCAAGTGATCCACCCACCTCGGCCTCCCAAAGTGCTGGGATTACAGGCATGAGCCACCACACCTGGCCCGGAGTTGTTTTTCAACAGCATGTTTAAATCTTCACTGCAGATGGTAGGGTCTTGCTCCAGAGCCCCAGTGCCACTTCCAAAGCTTGACACAAATTATACATAGCATCTTCTCCCACTTCTGATAATCTGCAGCACCATAGGATATGCTGAATTGTATTGTCCTAGGAGTAGGACTGTTTACACTGTAGCCTGTATCTACTGCAAAGCTCTGTCATGCTCTGGGCCCGCTTTAGGCCTTGCTCAAAGCTTCCAGTCTTTCGTGACACCTGGTATATAGACTACAGCAGCATCCTTAGGTGTAGAATATGCTGACTCTAGAATCTGAAGAGATCCACCAGGTGTTGCGCTTCCTTTTTTGTGGGAGAAGGCATAAAATGCAATAATTTGTCTTTTACTTTGAAGAGGATATCCCAACATGCCCCTGACAACTGTACTCCTAAAAATTTTAGGGATGTTGGGGCTTGGCGCAGTGGCTCATGCCTATTATCTCATCACTTTGGGAGGCCGAGGTGAGCAGATCACCTGAGGTCAGGAGTTTGAGACCAGCCTGGCCAACACAGCAAAACCCCCATCTCTACTAAAAATATTAAAATTAGCTGGGCATGGTGATGGGTGCCTGTAATGCCAGCTACTCGGGAGGCTGAGGCAGGAGCTGGGAGGCAGAGGTTGCAGTGAGCAAGATCGTGCCACTGCACTCCAGCCTGGGTGACAGAGCGAGACTCCATCTCAAAAAAATAAAAAAATAAAAATTTTGCTGGGCGCGGTGGTTCACACCTGTAATCCCAGCACTTTGGGAGGCTGAGGCGGGCGGATCACGAGGTCAGGAGATCGAGACCATCCTGGCTAACACAGTGAAACCCCGTCTCTACTAAAAATACAAAAAAATAGCCGGGCGTGCTGGCGGGTGCCTGTAGTCCAAGCTACTCGGGATGCTGAGGCAGGAGAATGGCGTGAACCCGGGAGTGGGAGCTTGCACTGAGCCGAGATCACACCAGTACACTCCAGCCTGGGCAACAGAGTGAGACTCTGTCTCAAAAAAAAAAAAAATTTATAGATGTAGAAGGTCCCTGAATCTTCACAGAGTGCCCTCTGAAGTGCCTGTCTTATTTACCAAGGCCTTCAGTGTATTATCCATCTCTTGTTCATCTGGCTCATTAACATATTGTCATCAATGCAATGGATCAGCATGAAACTCTAAAGTATGTCCAGATAGTTCAGAGGTGTACAATCTTTTGGCTTCCCTGGGCCACATTGGAAGAAGAATTGTCTTGGGCCACACATAAAATACACTAACACGAACGATAGCTGATGAGCCAAAAAATAAATCACAAAAAAGGCTAGACGCAGTGGCTCACGCCTGTAATCCCAGCACTTTGGGAGGCCAAAGTGAGCAGATCACTTGAGGTCAGGAGTTTGAGACTGGCCTGGCCAACATTGCAAAACCCCGTCTCTACTAAAAATACAGAAATTAGCTGGGCATGGTGACGGGCGCCTGTAATCCCAGCTACTCGGGAGGCTGAGGCAGGAGAATCGCTTGAAGCTGGGAGGCGGAAGTTGCAGTAAGCTGAGATTACACTACTGCACTCCAGCCTGGGTGACAGAGCAAGACTCTGTCTCAAAAAAAAAAAAAAATTATAATGTTTTAAGAAAGTTTCAAAGCTCTCCTGTGCCATGTACAGCCTGCAAGCCGTGGGTTGGACAAGGTTGAGATAGTCCAAATCTCTTCAGACTGTATTTTACATAGAGTGGAAGGCATAGCCCTGGGAGGAAAACCTCACATGTATATTGTTGCCCATTCCATGTAAATGCAAACTTTTTTCTGACTCTTTTTCTTTTTCTGATTAGGATAAAAAAGAACACATTTGCCAAATCAGTGGTTGTATAATATGTTCCCGAGGCCAAAGTAATCTGCTGTAGCAAAGATACTACATCTTACATAATGGCTGTAATCGGGGCTATAGTACTTGGTTGAACTCATGGCAGTCTACAGTCACCTTCCAGGATCATCTGGTTTCTATAAGGTCAAGAGTGGTGAATTAAACAGATACATGATAGAAACCACCATCCCTGTATCCTTTATATCCTAAGGATGGAACTAATTTCTGCTGTACCTACTCTCAACACTTTTCTTTGTTGTCCCCCAGGAGTAAACCAATCCTGGTTATGAACTCAGAGACTGGGAAATGACCACTGAGTGGCTCCAAGGACCCAATGGCTGTACTGTAAGCCAGGCCCAAGACAGGATTTCACTTACAACCTGGCCCCATGTGCTTCCTGCACTCTAACAAGGAGAGGTTATGATGGTGCTTCAGGCCTCGAGCATCATTGTCATCACAGACCCTACATCCAACAGACCCTGATATGTCTAGGTATTTTTCTTTCCCAGGTGCACAGTTACCCAAATAAATGGCCATTGGTCTTTTTGAGAAAGAACTGAGGGGATCATTATCACATATTCTTGTTATAGTATTGAGGGTCCTTCCTCCTAGGGACCCAGCCACCTCTTTAATCATGGGATTCCAAGTCTCAAGCTGGCTCTAGTCTGAACACTAGGAAAGGGATTGTGAATTTTTCTTGGGCTATGGCCTTCAGTCTTCTAGTCATCTTTCCTTAATTTCTTCTGCTAGTACAAGCTGAGTAGTACCCTTAACAATTGCCCATCTAATTTGCCCCTAGGGACATTTTGCTTTATTAGTCATCTCCATAACTCTCTGTTGGCCAGGTGTTCCTGGCTGCCACTCAAACCTCACCAGCCATGATGATAATTGCCATTGCCTAGCTTCCGGAAGTTAAGCACTGCCATCTGGACTTTTGTTTGTTTGTTTGTTTCAGTGTCCCATTATCCTCATTGCTATCAGTAAGTCAAGTTCTGTACTAGTCTCTTCTATTATCAGTCCTAGCCTACAGAGGAGAGCGAGTACTTATCTTTTTAGTACTTTTTATTCTGGTGAGCCTCTCACCAGCAAATTCTTTCTTTTTTTTTTTGAGTCAGAGTCTTGCTCTGTCACTCAGGCTGGAGTGCAGTGGCACGATCTTGGCTCACTGCAACCTCCGCCTCCCAGGTTCAAACAATTCTCGAACCTCAGCCTCTCGAGTAGCTGGGATTACAGGCACCTGCCACCACACCCAGCTAATTTTGTGTGTGTGTGTGTGTGTGTATATATATGTGTGTGTGTGTGTGTATATATATATATATATATATATTTTTTTTTTTTTTTTTTTTTGAGACAGAGTCTCGCTGTTGCCCAGGCTGTAGTGCAATGGCAAAATTTTGGCTCACTGCAACCTCCGCCTCCCGGGTTCAAGTGATTCTCCTGCCTCAACCTCTCAAGTAGCTGAGATTACAGGCATGCACCACCACACCCAGCTAATTTTTGTATTTTTAGTAGAGATGGGGTTTCACCATGTTGGTCAGGCTAATCTCGAACTCCTGACCTCAGGTGTTTCACCCGCCTTGGCCTCCCAAAGTGCTGGGATTACAGGCATGAGCCACCAAACCCAGCCCTTTTTTTTTTTTTTTTTTTTTGAGATAGAGTCTCGCTCTGTCACCCAGGCTGGAGTGCAGTGGCACAATCTCGGCTCACTACAACCTCCGCTGCCTGGGTTCAAGCGATTCTGCCTCAGTCTTCCAAGTAGCTGGAATTACAGGTATACACCACCATGCCTGGCTAATTTTTGTATTTTTCTTTTTTTTTTTTTTTTTTTTTTGAGAAGGAGTCTCGCTCTGTCTCCCAGGCTGGAGTGCAGTGGCACAATCTTGGCTCACTGCAAGCTCCACCTCCTGGGTTCACGCCATTCTCCTGCCTCAGCCTCCCAAGTAGCTGGGACTACAGGTGCCCGCTACCACGCCCAGCTAATTTTTTGTATTTTTTTTAGTAGAGACGGGGTTTCACCGTGTTAGCCAGGATGGTCTCGATCTCCTGACCTCTTGATCCGCCCGCCTCGGCCTCCCAAAGTGCTGGGATTATAGACGTGAGACACTGCGCCCGGCCAATTTTTCTATTTTTTAGTAGAGACGGGGTTTCACCATGTTGGCCAGGCTGGTCTCGAACTCCTGACCTCAAGTGATCCACCCACTTTGGCCTCCCAAAGTGCTGGGATTATAGGCGTGAGCCACCACGCCCGGCCTAATTTTTATATTTTTTTGGAGAGACAGGGTTTCACCATGTTGGCCAGGCTGGTCTCAAACTCCTGACCTCAAGTGATCCACCCACCTCGGACTTCCAAAGTGCTAGGATTACAGGTGTGAGCCACCATGCCGGGCAGCAAATTCTTCACGGCCTTGATAAGTAGTGTGTTGTTATGGTTTGAATGTGGCCCCTAAAAATCTGTGTGTTAGAAACTTAATTGTTCTCCCCTCATAAATGGATTAATGTCAGTTCTGCCCTCATGAATGAATATATGGAGTAATGAGAGTTCTGCCCTCTTGAATGGAGTAATGTCATTATCATGGGAGTAGGTTCGTTATCACGGGAATGGCTTTGCAATAAAAACAAGCTTTGTTTTTTTGTTATAAAAGCAAGCTCTATCATGGGAATGGCTTTGTTATAAAAGCAAGCAAGAGTAACCAGAATCTTTCTGGTTGCCCTCTCACCATGTGATGTTCTCTGCTATGTTATGACACAGCAAGAAGGATCTCACCAGATCCTGACTTCAGGCTCTTGGGCTTCCCAGCCTCCAGAACCATGAACTCAGTAAACTTCTTATAAACTACCCAGTCTGTGCTATGCAGTGAGAGCAACAGAAAACAGATGAAAACGTGTTCTCTGGGCCTTCTCATGAGGCATAATTAGCTAGGAGATCTTCTGGTTACCTATAGTCTATCCATTCTGGCACACCTATTTCCCTGAGTCTTTTCATTCTACCATCACTATCTGCCATAGCAATTCCGGCATGTAAGCTTTCTTTGGCATAGGTCATCACTTTTTCCATGCTTCTAGGATCCATCCTGGTAGTAAGATTGTACCATCTCCTATTGTCCTTGCCAGGATGTTAAATCTTGTATTTTGAAAGAGAGATTCCTGCCGGGCGCAGTGGCTCACACCTGAAATCCCGGCACTTTGGGAGGCCGAGGCAGGCGGATCACAAGGTCAGGAGTTCGAGACCAGCCTGGCCAACATGGTGAAATCCCGTCTCTACTAAAAATACAAAAATTATCTGGGCATGGTGGCACGTGCCTGTAATCCCAGCTACTCGAGAGGCTGAGGCAGGAAAGTTGTTTGAACCCGGGAGGCAGAGGTTGCAGTGAACTGAGATTGCGCCATTGCACTCCAGCCTGACAGGGTGAGACTCCATCTCAAAAAGAAAGAAAAGAAACGAAAAGAAACAAAGAGGGATTCCCAAGTCAATAAACTCTTCCCTATCCAATTTTATATTCCTTCTCCTTCATCAAGCACTCTCAGAATCCAGTTCCACATGTATCTCCCTGGCTCCTGCCAATACATGCTGGCTAGGTCTTGCTATTTCTGTGGCATATAGTCCCTTTCCACCCCTATCATACCCAGCACCTCTCCAGCTGGGTTATGCTGTAGCTAACCTAGTATAGGCTAGGAGGCAATGTGGGGGCAGATTCTGAGGGGGAGCTGTTGCTTTGTGGAGAAAGGCACTGCATTGTCCCTCAGCAGGGAGAGAGTGGTAGTTCTTACTAGGGAGGAGTGGGCCAATTCTGTAGGCTCAGGAGATTCAGAGGAATTTGTGGAGTCAAAATATTCAGGAGAGGCCAAGGCGAGTGGATCACTTATGGTCAGGAGTTCGAGACCAACCTGGCCAACATGGTGAAACCCCGTCTCCACTAAAAATACAAAAAAAACTAGCTGGGCATGGTGGTGCATGACTGTAGTCCCAGCTACTTGGGAGGCTGTGGCAGGAGAGTCGCTTGAATCCTGGAGGCAGAGGCTGCAGTGAGTCAACATCACACCACTGCACTCCAGCCTGGGAGACAGAGCGAGACTCCGTCTCAAAAAAAAAATCTTTAGGAGCATCCACTCTGATATCTCCATTCCACGTGTCAGGGTCCCAAGCTTTTCCAACCAGGACTTTGACTTTAGCATAAGAGATGTGCCTTATTTGGACATTTAACTGTCTTTGAAGTCAGTTGCTCAGATTATTATTATTATTATTATTTTAGATGGAGTCTTGCACTGTCCCCCAGGCCGGAGTGCAGTGGCACGATCTCCATTCACTGCAACCTCTGCCTCCCAGGTTCAAGCGATTCTCCTGCCTCAGCCTCCCTAGTAGCTGGGATTACAGGCGCACGCCACCATGCCCAGCTAATTTTTTGTATTTTTAGTACAGACGGGGTTTCACTATCTTAGCCAGGCTGGTCTTGAACTCCTGACCTGGTGATCTGCCCGCCTCAGCCTCCCAAAGTGCTGGGATTACAGGTGTGGGCCACCACGCCTGGCCAGTTGCTTAGATTATTAAGTCCTAGGCTTTGTCCTTGCTTTTCTCCACCCTTTCACTGCTAGAGATGTTGGCTTATTTGTATAAACCAAAGAGGCCTTTTCCTTTTCATAACCTGGATTTTTTTTTTTTTTTTTTTTTGAGATGATCTTACTCTGTTGCCCAGGCTGAAGTGCAGTGGCACGATCTTGGCTCACTATAACCTTTGCCTCCCGGATTCAAGCAATTCTCCTGCCTCAGCCTCCCAAGTAGCTGGGACTACAGGTATGTGCCATCACGCCTGACTAATTTTTGTATTTTTAGCAGAGATGGGGTTTCGCCATGTTGGCCAGGCTGGTCTCAAACTCCTAACCTTAGGTGATCCACCTGCCTTGGCCTCCCAAAGTGCTGGGATTACAGGCATGAGCCATTGCACCTGGCCCCATAACCTGGATTTTAATGCATGTTACTGGCCCTAAGTTGTTTATTATCCTGTAGCACATCCATGGAGCTTGGCAATAGCCACCAATTCCATCATCCTCATAGCTACTACTCCCTCCATACATCTCAAGTACCTGGCACATTGTGCCCTTAGAGTATCCAGTTCTACTGGTACATTCTCCCAATTTGCTGCCATTTGTCTGTGCTCTGCCCACCTCCACTAATGGGATCCTCATCATCAGATGGGTGGTGATCCAGTTCCAAACCCCATCTTACCATCTCCTTTCTCATCTACTTTGGTAGCAACTGTGGAAGACCAGATTCTCAAGAAGGAGATGCTGAGATAGAGTTTGGGAGGCAAAATGTTTATTAAGGACCCATACCTGTGAAAGGAAGGAAGAAAAAGCAGGACTGGGCAGAGGGAAAGTCAACCTGTGCTGCAGGCTCGACCAAGCTCAGCCGATCAGCAGGTCACTCTAGAATGAGAAGTGCTCATCAGGGCTTTCCAGCATCAAGTTTAAATGGCTGGACCTTTATACCTCTGCCTTGCTCAGTCACCAAATGTGGGCTACCCCAGGAAGGGCATGACCTCAGGTGAGGCAGCCCTGCAGCTGAAGCAGGCTCTGAAGGAACTGAAAGCTGGTATTGTCTGCTGCCCTCTCTCTGCAGCTAGGCAGCATGTCCTTTCTTGAAGGCGATCTGGGCAACACATCACCATGTGTCTCACAATGACATACAGACATGAAGGGACATAAATCCTAAGTATACAATTTGGTGAACTCACCCAGCTCAAAAAGTAGAAATGATCTGCATCACAGAACCCCCATTTATTCCTCTTCTCAGTCAATCTCTCTTCCCAAGGTAACCACTATCCTTCTTCTATCACCATAGACTCATTTACCTGCTTTTTAAATTTTTAACTGTGGTCAAATACACATAATATAAAACTTACCATGTGAGCCATTTTTAAGTGTGCAGTGCAGCCGTGTTAAATACATTCACATTGTTGTGCAACCAATCTCCAAAACTCTTCATCTTGCAAAACTAAAACTCTGTACCCATTAAACAAATCCCCATTATCTTTTCCCAAGCCTTTACTAACTACCATTCTACCATTCTACTTCCTTTTTTTTTCTTTTCTTTCCTTTTTTTTTTTTTTTTTTTTTTTTTGAGAGAGAGAGTCTCGTTCTGTCGCCCAGGCTGGAGTGCAGTGGTGTAATCTCAGCTCACTGCGACCTCTGCCTCCCGGGTTCAAGTGATTCTCCTGCCTCAGCCTCCCGAGTAGCTGGGACTACAGGTGCCTGCCACCATGCCCAGCTAATCTTTGTATTTTTAGTACAGACAGGGTTTCACTTTGTTGGCCAGGCTGGTCTTGAACTCCCGACCTTGTGATCTGCCCACCTCGGCTTCCCAAAGTGCTAGGATTACAGGCGTGAGCCACCACGCCTGGCCTACCATTCTACTTTCTGTGTCTATAAATCTGACTGCTCGCCGGGCGCGGTGGCTCACGCCTGTAATCCCAGCACTTTGGGAGGCCGAGGCGGGTGGATCATGAGGTCAGGAGATCGAGACCATCCTGGCTAACAAGGTGAAACCCCGTCTCTACTAAAAATACAAAAAATTAGCCAGGCGCGGTGGTGGGCGCCTGTAGTCCCAGCTACTCAGGAGGCTGAGGCAGGAGAATGGCGTGAACCCAGGAAGCGGAGCTTGCAGTGAGCCGAGATTGCGCCACTGCAGTCCGCAGTCCGGCCTGGGTGACAGAGCGAGACTCCGTCTCAAAAAAAAAAAAAAAAAAAAATCTGACTGCTCAAAGTACTTCATACAAATGGAATCATACAGTATGCATCTTTCTGTGCCTGGCTTATTTTACATAGCCTAATATCCTTAAGTTTCAGCCGTGGTGTAGCATGTGACAGGATTTCCTTCCTTTTCAAGGCCGACTAATATTCCGCTGCATCTTGCTGGGCACAGTGGCTCATGCCTGAAATCCAAGCACTTCGGGAGCTTGAGGTGGGTGAATCACTTGAGGTCAGGAGTTTGAGACCAGCCTGGCCAACATGGTGAAACCCCATCTCTACTAAAAATACAAAATTAGCCAGGTGTGGTGGCGCATGTCTGTAATCCCAGCTATTTAGGAAGGTGAGGCAGGAGAATGGTTTAAACCCAGGAGATGGAGGCTGCAGTGAGCTGAGATGGCGCCATTGCACTCCAGGCTGGAAAACAAGGGCAAAACTACATCTCTAAAAAAAAATAATAAAAAAATTCCACTGTATCTATATGCCACATTTTGTTTATCCATACATTCATCAGTGGACACTTGGGTTACTTCCACCTTTTGGTTAGTATAAATAATATTGCTATGAACACAAGTAGATTGTTTACCTGCTTTTGAGCTTTTCATATAAATGAAATGAATTCTACCATGTGTATTATTTTATGTTTGGTTTCTTTCCTTCAACATTGTGAAATTCATCCGTCTTATCGCATGTAGCAATAGTTTACTTTTCTCATTGATATATAGTAGTTCATTGTATAATCACATCCCAGTCTGTTTATTCCGTCTACCAGTGATGGACATTTAGGTTGTTTCCAGGTTGTATCTGTTATGAATAGTGCTGCTATAAACATTCTTGTTGGTGTCTTTTATTATACGCATGTATGCATTTCTGGATGTAAACACCTAGGAGTTAAATTGCTGGGTCATAGATTATGTTTGTTTAGTTTTACTAGACACTGCCAAATAGTTTTCCAAGATGACTATACCAATTTACCTCCTCCGGAACACTGAATGAGCATTCCAGTTGTTTGGTATCCTCAATAACACTTGATGTCATCGGTTATTTTAATTTTAGTCATTCTCATTGATGTAAAGTGGTATCTCATTGTGGTTTTAATTTGTATTTCCCTAATGACTAATGAGGTTGAAAGACTTTTTATGTTTATCAGTCAATTGGATGTGAAGCGCTTGTTCATGTTTTCTGTGAAGTGCTTGTTCATGTTTCTTGCCCTTAATTTAGTTGTCTGTTTTTTTCCTTATTGATTTGTAGTATTGTGGTGTATGTATGTATTTTTCCAAGGGTGATTCTCCAGATGGCATGGGCTTGCTCCAGAACCCCAGTGACCCTGCTAGGACTTGCCACAAATTACACACAGTGTCTTCTCCCATCTCCCACACAAATGTGTGGGTGTGTATGTGTATGTATTTTTTGTTTTGTTTTGTTTTGTTTTTAAGATAGAATCTCATCCAGTTGCTTAGGCTAGAGTGCGGTGGTGCAATCATAGCTCACGGCAACCTTGACCTCCTGGGCTCAAGTGATTCTCCCACATCAGCCTCACGAGTAGCTGGAACTACAGGTGCCCGCCACCACACCCAGGTACTTTTAAAAAAATTTTTGGACTGGGCACAGTGGCTCATGCCTGTAATAGCAGGACTTTGGGAGGCCAAGGTGTATACATCATCTGAGGTCAGGAGTTCGAGACCAGCCTGGCCAATATGGTGAAACCCCATCTCTACTAAAAATACAAAAATTAGCCGGGCGTGGTGGTGGGCACTTGTAGTCCCAGCTACTTGGGAGGCTGAGGCAGGAGAATCGCTTGAACCTGGGAGGCAGAGGTTGCAGTGAGCCGAGATTGCACCACTGCACTCCAGCCTGGGCGACAGAGCAAGACTCTGTCTCAAAACAAAACAAAATAAAACAACAACAAAAAATTGTTTTTGGAGAAATGAGGGTCTCCCTATGTTGCCCAGGCTGGTCTTCAACTCCTGGGCTCAAGTGATCCTTCTGCCTCAGCCTCCCAAAGTGCTGGGATTATAGGCATGAGCCACCAGCCTGCATGTATTCTTGACAAGGGCTCGAAGTTTAACATGAGGATTGCAAATATAGTCTCCCTCTCTATGGTTTGCCTTTTTTCCCTCTTAATGGTGTCTTTTGATTAGTTCTTCATTTTAATCAATTCAAATTACCAATCTTTTTCTTTATGACTAGTGCTTTTTGTGTTCTGCTCACTAATTATTTTTAAAATACACATAAGAATAAACATATACTCATCGACATAAAAATATTCTTCTGTGAACCATCTACGATCATATTGTGTAACACTACTGACCTCTTGGATGAAGCCCAACTGCCTACTGTGAAACACCTGATCAAGCCCCTGCCAAGCCCTCCAGCCCCGTCCCACTGCTCCCTGCCCTGCACTTCATCCTTCCACTAACCAAGCAGCTGTCACACAGCATGGCATTGCTAACCACCCTGCCTTTGCACCGGCAGTGTGGAAATAACAGTGTGTCGGACACTGTGGCCCACGCTTCTTCTCCCCTTTCCCACCAGAGCCCTGACTTTGCATAGGTGTCCACTCTCCCCCACATAGCCCTGTGCTTCAGGGCAAGATGCCCCCACCTCAGCCACAGGAAGGGCATCCTGATGGCCTAATCCAATTGTGGTTCCACATTCCTCCTGCCATGGACATAGGACTCAATTCTAGCTAATGAGATGCAAGAGGCTCCTGGGAAAGTCATCCTTGTTCCTGCCAAAGAGAACAGGAAGAGTTAGATCATTACTCATGTTGGATGTTGTTAGGCTGGATGATAAATCCCATACACTGAGGACAGCACTGAGACTTGTCTGATAGAAGCTGGGCCTTTGGTGACATGGAGTGCCAGTGATCATACTCTGCCTAAAGAACAACCTTCTGGCTGGGCATGGTGGCTCACATTGTAATCCTAGCACTGTGGGAGGCCAGGGCAGGAGGATCACTTGAGCCCAGGAGGTGGAGACTGCAGTGAGCCATGTTCGTGCCACCACACTACAGCCTGGGCAACAGAGCAAGACCCTGTCCCGAAATAATAAAATAATAATTTTTAAAAACACAAAAATTAGTCGGGTATGGTGGTGCATATTTCCCAACTACTTGGGAGGCTGAGGCAGTAGAATCACTTGAACCCAGGAGATGGAGGTTGCAGTGAGCAGAGATCGGACCACTGCACTTCAGCCTGGGTGACAGAGCAACACTCCATTTCAAAAATAATAATAATACTTTAAAGGCCAGGAGCAGTGGCTCATGCCTGTAATCCCAGCACTTTGGGAGGCTGAGGTGGGCGGATCACTTAAGGTCAGGAGTTTGAGACCAGCCTAGCCAACATGGTGAAACCTTGTCTCCACTAAAACTACAAAAATTAGCTGGGAGTGGTGGTGCGTGCTTGTAATCCCAGCTACTAAGGAGGCTGAGGCATGTGAATCGCTTGAACCCAGGAGGCGGAGGTTGCAGTGAGCCGAGATCGTACCACTGTACTCCAGCCTGGGCAAATGAGCGAGACTCCATCTCAAAAAAAGATAAATATAAATAAATAAATAAATAAATAAATAAAAGTGTAATCTGAAGCTCAGCATGGCATGGTGGTTCACACCTGTGATCTCAGCACTTTGGGAGGCCAAGGCAGGTGGCTGTCTGAAATAATAATAATAATTTTTAAAAACCAACCTTCTGCTGGTCTATATTTCCTTATGATTGAAGTCAGTTTGAATCATGGTTTCTGTCCCTTTTAACTGAAAGCACCTCACTAGTAGGACCTTAACTGACCTTGGATGAATTACTGAATGTGGATGTATTTGGTGTGTTATGATGTTTAGGACCAGCTTCACGGGTGTGCAACCTGTGCTGTCACACCAGGCCCACACTTAGTAGGGCCCCACGCTTGGTTTAATGTTCTGCTTTCATGGTTTTGAAATTCTTTTATATATATATATATTTTTTTTTTTTGTATTATACTTTAAGTTCTAGGGTACATGTGCACAATGTGCAGGTTTGTTACATATGTATATATGTGCCATGTTGGTGTGCTGCACCCATTAGTCATTTACATTAGGTATATCTCTGAAATTCTGAAATTCTTAATAACTTACGAACAAGGAGCCCTGCATTTTCTTTTTTCTTTTTTTTTTTAATTTTTTTTTTTTGAGATGGAGTTTTGCTCTGTCGCCCAGGCTAGAGTGCAATGGCACGATCTTGGCTCACCGCAACCTCTGCCTCCTGAGTTCAAGTGATTCTCCTGCCTCAGACTCCCGAGTAGCTGGGATTACAGGCATGCGCCACCACACCCAGCTAATTTGGTATTTTTTAGTAGAGATGGGGTTTCTCCATGTTGGTCAGGCTGGTCTGGAACTCCCGACCTCAGGTGATCCGCCCGCCTCAGCTTCCCAAAGTGCTGGGATTATAGGCGTGGGCCACCGCGTCTGGCCTGGGCCCTGCATTTTCATTTTGCACTGGGCCCTCCTAATTATGTAATTGGTCCTGGTGATGTGACATTTCTTATCTCCTTGTGTTTCTTTTTCTGCCCTTTCAATCTTTGAATCTGCACAGCTTCATCCACAAGACTCTAATTCACATGCTTCATCTGCCAAATCCACCAGCTTAACTGCAAAATGAGGAGGTTGAACCATTATCTGATCTCTATGGATACCTTTTAGAACTGTTAAGAATTCACCACTGGGCATGGCGGCTCACACCTGTAATCCCAGCATTTTGGGAGGCTGAGGCGGGCAGATTGCTTGAGCTCAGGAGTTCGAGACCAGCCTGGACAACATAGCGAGACCCCATCTCTACGAAAAGTACAAAACTTAGCCAGGTGTGGTGGTGTGTGCCTATAGTTCCAGCTACTTGGGAGGCTGAAGTGGGAGGATGGCTTGAGAGGTTGCAAGGAGCCGAGATCGAGCCACTGCATTCCAGCCTGGGTGACAGACCAAGAGCCTGTCTAAAAAAAAAACCAAAAAACAAACAAACAAAAAAACTTAAACTTTCTTGCAGATGAGCAGTCTGTGTTAAAAAAGAAAAAAAAAAAAGAAGGAAAAAGGATTCAACTTTCTCCCCAGCCATTTTGGTAAGCAATGACTTTTCAGTATTCCAGAAGGCAAAATTCAAGTGCCCTGGCCTGGCATTCAATATCTTGTTCCATATATTGTTCTTGTTACTTTCTGACACCAGCACCCATTACTCCCCAGTAAGAATTACCCACTTTAACTAAAAAGAATGATGATGATAATAATAATAATAGTAACAATAATAGTGAAAACAATGCATTCAAATAATGGTTTATAGACCGTATTCATACATATTTACGTTTGTTCCTCACAATAATTCTGTGAGATATCATGTGAAAAATAATTACTCTGGACCTTAATTCTATTACAAATAGAATTTACTAACAAGCACTATATCTCATGCAAAAGTTCAGAAATTTAATAAGTGTAGTTAATTACTAGTCATTTATGACAACTTTTTTTTTTTTTTTTTTTCTGGAGACAAGAATCTTGCTCTGTTGCCCAGGCTGGAATATAGTGGCAAGAGTGATCCTCCTGGGCTCAAGTGGTCTTCCTGCCTCAGCCTCTCAAGTAGCTGGGACTACAGACATGTGCCACCATGGGTGGCTATTTTTTAAATTTTTGTAGAGACAGAGTCTTACTATGTTGCCCAGGCTGGTCTCAAACTCCCGGGCTCAAGCCATCCTCCCACCTTGGCCTCCCAAAGTACTGGGATTACAAGTGAGCCACTGCACCTAGACTTATTACAACTTTTTATTTGAAATAATTTCAGACTTACAAAATGATTTCAGGAAAGGTCAAAGACATCCCATGTACTTTTTTTTTTTTTTTTTTTTTTTGAGACAGAGTCTTACTCTGTAACCCAGGCTGGAGTGCAGTGGTGCGATCTCGCCTCATTGCATCCTCTGTCTCCCAGGTTCAAGCAATTCTCCTGCCTGAGCCCCCTGAGTAGCTGGGATTACAGGTACCTGCCACCATGCCCAGATAATTTTTGTGTGTTTTTGTTGTTGTTGTTTTGTTTTGTTTTGTTTGAGACAGAGTCTCACTCTGTTGCCCAGGCTAGAGTGCAGTGGTGCAATCTCAGCTCACTGCAATCTCCACCTCCCGACTTCAAGCAATTCTTCTCCCTCAGCCTCCTGAGTAGCTGGGATTACAGGCGTGTGCCACCACACCCTGCTAATTTTTGTATTTTTAGTAGAGACAGCGTTTCACCATACTGGCCAGGCTGGTCTCGAACTCCTGACCTCGTGATCCGCCCGCCTCGGCCTCCCAAAGTGTTGGGATTACAGGTGTGAGCCACAGGGCCCGGCCTGTATTTTTTGTTTTTTTGTTTTTTGTTTTTTGTAGAGACGGGCTTTCACCACGTTGGCCAGGCTGGTATCGAACTCCTGGCCTAAAGCGATCCGCCCGCCTTGGCCTCCCAAACTGCTGGGATTACAGGCGTGAGCCACAGCACCCGGCCCCATATACCCTTTATTCAGATTCTCAAAATGTTAATATTTTACCACATTTGCTTTATCATTTTCTTTTTTTCTTTTTTTTTCCCAAGACGGAGTCTTGCTTTGTCGCCCAGGCTGGCGTGCAGTGGTGCAGTCATGGCTCACTGCAACCTCAGTCTCCCAGGTTCAAGCAATTCTCCTGCCTCAGCCTCCCAAGTAGCTGGGATTACAGGTGTGTGCCACCACACCTGACTAATTTTTGTATTTTTAGTAGAGACAGGGTTTCATCATGTTGGCCAGGCTGGTCTTGAACTTCTGACCTTGTGATCTGCATGCCTCGGCCTCCCAAAGTGCTGGGATTACAGGCATGAGCCACCGCGCCCGGCCCCATATGACGTTTATTAAGATTCTCAAAATGTTAACATTTTACCACATTTGCTTTATCATTTCTCTCTCTCTCTCTCTCTCTCTCTCTATATATATATATACATATATATATATACACACACACACACACAGGTAATATATATGCATACAGACATATATACACACACAAATATATGTATGATATATGAAATTATTTTTCCAGAACCATTGGAGAATAAATTGCAAACAGGATGAAATTGTATCTCTAAATACTTAAGTATGTGTTTCCTAAAACAAGAATATTGTATTCTCTTGTATAACAGTAGCACAATTATAAAATAAAAATAATAACATTGATATAATAATATTACCTAACCCAGAGACCTTATTCAGATATCCTCCACTGTCTTAATAATGTTTTCCACAGCAAAAAGAAAAATTATTTTTCTAAGGTCAGGCATGGTGACTCATGCCTGTAATCTCAGCACTTTGGGAAGCCGAGGTGGACAGATCATCTGAGGTCAAGAGTTCGAGACCAGCCTGGCCAACATGGTGAAACCCTGGCTCTACTAAAAATACAAAACTTAGCCAGGCGTGGTGGTGCGCACCTGTAGTCCCAGCTACTCAGGAGGCTGAGGCAGGAGAATCACTTGAACCCAGGAGGCGGAGGTTGCAGTGAGCCGAGATAGCATCACTACACTCCAGCCTGGGCGACAGAGCGAGACTCTGTCTCAAAAACAAGAAAGAAAAATTATTTTTCTGGCTCAGGATCCAATCCAGGATCACACACTGCACTTAGTTGAGAAATCTCTTTAGTTTCTTTTAATCTGGAATAATTCCTCAGTCTGACTTTGCCTCCCACGATCCTTTGTCACTTGAAGAATACAGGCCAGATATTTTGTATGAGGTTCTTGTTTTAGGTTTATCTGTTTTTTCCCCTCATGATTAGATTCAGGCTATACATTTTTGGCAGGAATATTCTAAAACTGATGCTGTGTTCTTGGTTTATTAAATCAGGAGGCACATTACTGACTACTGGTGATGTTAATTTTTATTTTTAGGTCAAGGTGGTGTCTGCCAGTTTTCCACTTTAAAGTTATTCTTTGTCGATTTTTAGTTAATAAGTATCTTTTTTTTTTCTTTTTTTAGAGACAGGGTCTCACTCTGTTGCCCAGGCTGAAGTGCAGTGGCGCAATCATAACTCACTGCAGCCTCAAATTTCCGGGCTCCAGTGATCCTCCCACCTCATCCTCCTGAGTAACAAGGACTACAGGCACGCCACCAGGCCTGGCTAATATTTTATTTTTGTAGAGACAGGTCTTGCTATGTTACCCTGGCTGATCTCCAACTCCTGGCCTCAAGTAATCCTCCCAACTTGGCCTCAGCCTCCCAAAACTCTGGGATTATAGGCATGAACCACCATGCCTGGCCAATAAGTATCTTGTGGGGAGATATTTTGAGACTATATCCTGTTCCTCATAAAACTTTTACCCACTAATCTTAGCATCCATTGCAAAAATTACAAAGTCTTTCATTGAAAAAGTATACACAAGCCAATGGTTAAAAAATTCAAAACAATACAGTGAACAAGTATGTATACATACTCACTTTTTGTTGTATAAAAAAAGAGAAATAGAGTGAATAGTATAGTGAAAAGTAAATCTCCTGATATTAGATCCTCAGGACCCTTCCTCCTGTTACTTGTTTGTGTCTTTGTGGTAGACACGATGCCATATGATACTGAACCTCATTTCATTTCCTTTTTTCTGGGCATAAAGGATGACAACATTTCCTGTCCTGCTTTGCGGTGAGGCTGAGACCATGAGACTAGTTCTGGCTCAAGGGCTATGAACAGAAATGATATTGGGCACTCTTGGGCCAAAGCATTTAGTGCCATTTTATGTCTCTCCAGCTCTCTCTTCCCCTGCTGCAGCAATTGTGAAAGCCACGCATTTAGATGGTGAAGCCACAAAATGGAAACAGCCTGGATCCCTGAGTCACCAGATGCAGAAACAGCTGCCCTGAAAAGTTGTCCATCTTGCACTATACATGCCCATGTACGAGAAATACAAGCCTTTTCTGGCCGGGCGCGGTGGCTCACGCCTGTAATCCCAGCACTTTGGGAAGCCGAGGCGGGCAGATCATTTGAGGTCAGGAGTTCGAGATCAGCCTGGCCAACATGGTGAAACCCCGTCTCTACAAAAAATATAAAAATTAGCCAGGCATGGTGGCAGGCGCTTGTAATCCCAGCTACTCAGGTGGCTGAGGTAGGAGAATCGCTTGAACCTGGGAGGCAGTGGTTGCAGTGAGCCGAGATTACACCATTGCACTCCAGCCTGGGTGATAAGAGCAAAACTCTGTCTCAAAAAAAAAAAAAAGGCCTTTTCTGTGGTTAAGAAATGAGAATCAAGTTTAAGATATTTGAGATTTTTCTTTTTATTATTTTTTTCCTTAGAGGTAATTGTGGGGTGGAGGTGGGGGTCTTGCTATCTTGCCCAGGCTGGACTCAAACTCCTGGGTTCAAGCAATCCTCCAGTCTCAGCCTCCCAAGTAGCTGGGACTATAGGTACACACTACCACACCAGTTTCTTTGAGATTTTTGTACATCGGGATATATAGCTCATTCTTTTTAAGATTTGCCAAGTGTTCCATTGTATGACTATAATATATTTAGGAGGTACATTTCTTTAATTTAAATTTTTGAATTGATATTATATACCATATGGTTTTAAATTAAAATGGTTCAAAAAAGTATATATGTGAAAAATTCTCACTCTCATTGCTGCCCTGAGCCAATAAATTCCCCACCAAAGGTAACCAATATTTCCTGTTCCTTATGTGTACTTCCAGAGTTATGTCATACATAGGATATTTAAAGGAACCTCACTCGTCTCAAGTTTGGCCGAGACACCAAAACAATAAGGTCACACTTCAAAGTTACGGGCAAGTCCACCAATACAGGATTTGCAAAAGAAGATTATAGAAAACCAATTTTCATGCCGGGCGCGCTGGCTGACGCCTGTAATCCCAGCACTTTGGGAGGCCGAGGCAGGTGGATCACGAGGTCAGGAGATCGAGACCATCCTGGCCAACATGGTAAAACTCCATCTCTACTAAAAATACAAAAATGAGCTGGATGTGGTGGTACGTGCTTGTAATTCCAGGTACTTGGGAGGCTGAGGTAGGAGAATCACTTGAACCCAGGAGGCAGAGATTGCAGTGAGCCAAGATAGTGTCACTGCACTCCAACCTGGCGACAGAGCAAGACTCCATCTCAAAAAAAAAAAAAAAAAAGAAAAGAAAACCAGTTTTCAATCTTCATTCACTACCCATCCGCAGCCTGCAAAAGATGTTGAAGAGATTGAAAAAAAAAAAGACTCAAGGTTTTAGAAAAAGCTATTGCTGAACTGAGTCACTGAGTCATTGCCTCCAACCTCATCCTAAGGGGTACATGCCCCTCACCTCACACTAATAAAACGAATTTTACTGGGATCACATAGTAGAATATGTGTTTCTTCGTCTTTGAGAGGCACAGTGGGCTGAAGTCTGAGTTGTCTGGGATGTGTAAAGGGTTAAGGGTTAATGCAGGCATCCTGTGGGGTAGAGAAGAGGTTGCGATTTGGGATATAGCAGCACTTGCAACAATGGGTCAAATGAACATATTTTCTCTAATCTAAGTATGATACAAACATGCAAGAGCTCTGGAGAAGCATTGCCTTGGATCCTGTTCAAGAAAGCTGCCTGGAAAGTAAGTGGACTTCAGCAGAAGGAAGGTGGAGGCGTAGCACCAGATGCCTAGAGTCTCGAGAAAGAATTGTAAATAAACAACTGTAAAAGCCATGTATTCATCTATGCAGGAGAAACTGCAGGCCAAGTGTGGTAGCTCATGCCTGTAATCCCAGCACTTTGGGAGACCAAGGCGGGCAGATCACCTGAGGTCAGGAGTTCAAGACCAGCCTGGCCAAGATGGTGAAACCCCGTCTCTACTAAAAATACAAAAATTAGCTGGGCGTGGTGGTGGGCATCTGTAATTCCAGGTACTCAGGAGGCTAAGGCAGGAGAATCACTTGAACCCAGGAGGCAGAGGTTGCAGTGAGCCAAGATCGCACCACTGCACTCCAGCTTGGGTGACAGAGGGAGACCTCATCTCAGAAAAAAAGAAAGCTGCCGGGAAAGTAAGTGGACTTCAGCAGAAGGAAGGTGGAGGCGTAGCACCAGATGCCTAGAGTCTCGATAAAGAATTGTAAATAAACAACTGGAAAAGCCATGTATTCATTTATGCAGAAGAAACTGCAGGCGGGGCACGGTGGCTCATCCCTGCAGTCCCCACACTTTGGGAGGCCAAGGCAGGTGGATCACTTGGGGTCAGGAGTTTGAGATCAGCCTGGCCAACATAGTGAAACCCCAACTTAAAAAAAAAAAGAAACTGCAGAGATGAGATCCCCAATGATGGGAGGAGGAAGCTTTAAGGAACTCAGAAATACAGCCCACATACAAAAAGAGTAAGCCTTAAACACCTGCCAGAGTACAGATGCCATTCATGACAGTACTAGTCAAGTGTGAACTTTACCGTCTCCTTTATTACTTTCTCCATATGTTCCAACCTTAACAGGCCTTATGGCTGTGTGATTCATTCACTGCTAAAGGGTGCCTAAATGAAGGCGCATATGGTGGCTGCAACCCAGTCTGGGTTCCATTCTCCAAACTGTATGCCCTGGCATGGGGTTTTATCTATTTGGAATAAGAGCAGTGTTTTCCTAATTCACACAGAGGTACAGTTCTCTCACCATGGGGCTGCATACACCCAGAAGGGGAACATATTCCTAATCTACAGAGGCACCAGATGGACTAGCAGCCACCCAGTTTGGAGGGTCTCAGAGACAGTGACTAGCAAGAGGAGGAGAGGAGGGGAAGCACTGAATGAGGAAGGAGCTGAGCTGGCCACACACTCCTTTTCCATAGTAGGTAACCCACCTCGTAGAGGCCCAATCTGGGAAAGAGGGTGGAGCCTCTGTATAAATGAATTTTACAGTAATGGATGTTAGAGGGGGCTGGAAGTTTTTTTTTTATCACTTAACTGATATTATTTGGGAAACTAGCATGACAGGAGAACTTTTTTTTCTTTTTCTTTTTTTTTTTTTGAGACAGAGTCTCACTCTGTTGCCAGGATGGAGTGCAGTAGTGTGATCTGGGCTTACTGCAACCTCCGCCTTCTGGGTTCAAGCAATTCTCCTGCCTCAGCCTCCCAAGTAGCTGGGACTATAGGTGTGTGCCACCACGGCCAGCTAATTTTTGTGTTTTTAGTAGAGACAGGGTTTCACCATGTTGACCAGGATGGTCTTGATCTCTTGACCTCATGATCCACCTGCCTTGGCCTCCCAAAGTGCTGGGATTACAGGCGTAAGCCACCTCACCCGGCCAGGACTTTTTTTTTTTTTTTGAGATGGAGTCTCTCTCTGTCACCCAGGCTGGAGTGCAGTGGCGTGATCTTGGCTCACTGCAACGTCCACCTCCTGGGCTCAAGCGATTCTCCTGCCTCAGCCTTATAAGTAACTGGGATTACAGCATGTGCCACCATGCCCAGCTAATTTTTGTATTTTTAGTAGAGATGGGGTTTTGCCTTGTTGGCCTGGCCGGTCTCGAACTCCTAACCTCAGGTGATCCACCTGCCTCAGCCTCCCAAAGTGCTGGGATTACAGACATGAGCCACTGCGCCCAACCTAGGAAGACTTTTAATACTTATGAGTAACCAGAAAAGTTGAGGGATTTGACCATGGTTTCACCTAAGGGGGCACGGGAAAACTAGCCCCAAAGAATACATTAAAAGGCCAGTGAAAGATGAAAGTTAAGATTTTTCTGATTCATACGCGGTAGCGGAGACTCCCTACTAATAGGCATTCTATCCTTTAGGCACAAAGCTAGGCTCTGTTTCCCAGCATACATTGCAGGTTGGTATAATCTTTTGTTTTGTTTTGTTTTGTTTTGAGACAGAGTCTCGTTCTGTTGCCCAGGCTGGAGTGCAGTTGCTAGATCTTGGCTCACTGCAACCTCCACTTCCCAGGTTCAAGAGATTCTCCTGCCTCAGCCTCCCGAGTAGCTGGGATTACAGGCGTGCACCACCACACCCGCATAATTTTTGTATTTTTAGTAGAGATGGGGTTTCACCATGTTGGCCCGACTGGTCTCGAATTCCTGACCTTAAGTGATCACCCGCCTTAGCCTCCCAAAGTGTTGGGATTACAGGCTTGAGCCACCACGCCCAGTTGGGTATAATCTTTTTATTAAATTTTTTCCAGTGAAATGCAAAACAGGTTTGGGTTAATACGATGGGTATGACTTGCAGAACTGGCCTATAACTGCACCCCCACCCATAACACTCTTCTATTTTTTCCCACCTTTTGCCAACTTAAAGTAGATGATGACAAGGGCTCAAGTGATGACAGATAGAAACCTGGGTCTGTGGATGATGGCAAAGAGGAGAGCTGCCCCACCAAGCCAAACAACTGTCCAAGACTACTATGTGAACGGGAAATAAACCTCTATTTTGTTAAGGCATTATATTTTAGTTTTGCTCATGTTAAAAGAATCACAAATCCTTCAGATCTAGAAAACAAAAGTAGAATTCATTTCTTGCTGGGCAAGGGAGAACTGCAAAGATACATGTAATCCCTGTGAACAAAGTAAAAAATAGGTTTATATGGGATTTTAGGAAAATATAAGTGATTGGTTTTGGCTCAAAGTGAGTAGGGTTAGTCACTGATTAGATAGGTTTCAAGAACAGGTGACCTATTGATGTAAGGTTTGATGACTGCAGGTGATTCAGCCCAAGACTGATATTGATTCATCTTATAGTTTCCTGTGTAAATGCCTGCAGACATCAGCTAGGTTCTTCAGGCAAGAATGGAATTTTCTATTGTCATCTCCCATTTTGCCCCTGCTTGACAGGTCATGGAAGAGGCCATTAAATATTGTCTAGAACAGTGGTGGGCAACTGTTTTTCTGTAAAGGGACAAAACGTAAATATTTTAGGTTCTGTGAGCCCTACTGACTCTATCGTAACAACTTAACTCTGCTGCTGTCACACAAAAATAGCACAAATGATTCGTAAATGAATAGGTGTGGCTGTGTTTCAATAAAACGTTACTTAAAAAAACAAGTGGTGGGCCAGACTTAACTCATTGGCCATAGTTTGCTAGCCCCTGGTCTAGAACTCTAGATGTAGTCCACTGACATGGTTTTCCTTCGGGGGTGAAATGGTGGCTGTGGTGATCATCATGATTTCATTTTGTTTTTGATTCAAGATCATCTGTTGCACCATCTGATGAGACAGCCAACACACAGTAGAGTTTAAAATTCTGGACACCAGCTAGACAGTATATAAATACAACATTAAAATATATGCCAGGCACAGTGGCTCACGCCTGTAATTCCAGCACTTTGGGAGAACGAGGTGGGCAGATCACTTGAGGTCAGGAGTTCGAGACCAGCCTGGCCAACATGGTGAAACCCCGTCTCTACTGAAAATACAAAAATTAGCTAGGCGTGTTGGGGGGCGTCTGTAATCCCAGCTACTAGGGAGGCTGAGGCAGGAGAATCTCTTGAACCCAGGAGGCAGAGGTTGCAGTGAGCAGAGATCGCATCACTGCACTCCAGCCTGGGCAACAGAGCGAGACTCTGTCTTTTTTTTTGAGACAGAGTTTCGCTCTTGTTGCCCAGGCTGGAGTGCAGTGTCGCAATCTTGGCTCCCTGCAACCTCCGCCTCCCAGGTTCAAGTGATTGTCCTGCCTCACTCAGGCTCCCGAGTAGCTGGGATTACAGGCATCTACCACCATGCCTGGCTAATTTTTTGTATTTCCAGTAGAGATGGGGTTTCACCATGTTGGCCAGGTTGGTCTCAAACTCCTGGCCTGAGGTGATCCACCCGCCTTGGCCTCCCAAAGTGCTAGGATTACAGGTGTGCCCGGCCGGAGACTCTGTCTTTAAAAATACACACACACACACACACACACACACACACACACACACACACACAGGACTAGATTTTTTTTTTTTTTTAGAGTCAGTCTCACTCCATCACCCAGGCTGGAGTGCAGTGGTGCGATCTCAGCTCACTGCACCCTCCACCTCCTGGGTTCAAGCAATTCACATGCCTTAGCCTCCCTAGTAGCTGGAATTACAGGTGCGCCACCACACCCCGCTAATTGTTGTATTTTTAGTAGAGACGAAGTTTCGTCATGTTGGCCATGGTGGTCTCAAACTCCTGACCTCAGGTGATCCGCCTGCCTTGGTCTCCCGAAGTGCTGGGATTACAGGTGTGAGCCACCATACCCAGCCTACAACTAGTAGAATAAGGAAGGACTGGAAAGTGCACCAAAATCATGATCCAAGTTTTCACAGATTAAACCCTCTTTTTGACCTGAAGTATGGGGATAAGACAAAGAAATGTTTTTTGTTTGAGATAGAGTCTCATTCTGTCACCCAGGCTGAAGTGCAGTGGCATGATCTCAGCTCACCGCAGCCTCGAACTCCCAGGCTCAGGTGATTCTCCCACCTCAGCCTCCTGAGTGAGTAGCTGTAACTACAGGTGTGCACCACCAAGCCCAGCTAATTTTTGTACTTTTGGTAGAGATGGGGTTCCGCCATGTTGGCCAGGCTGGTCTCGAACTCCTGGGTTCAAGGGATCCACCTGCCTCGGCCTCTCAAAGTGCTGGGATTACAAGTATGAGCCACCGTGCCTGGCCCAGACAAAGGAATATTGACCAGGTTGTTATCATTTGAAATTTTTTGAAGTTTCTCTAATCTCTTTGCTAATGTTGAAAATCTCTGAGACATCTTGGGAAATACAAGTGCAATATTTTCCTTTAGCACAGCACAAGTTCCTTTTGGTGAGATAAGGAGAATATGTCATGGGCGCTCTATTTTGGCTGACTGCCTTCTTGCAATAAGTCTAAAGCTTAGAAGGTCTTTGTTAAGCTTTCAGTCATTTGTACAGTCATAAACTTGAAGAATTCTCTCAAATATATGTGCCCCCTGTAAAGCATGGTGTGAAGCTGTCTGGGGACAAAAAAAATTTCAAAATTCTCTTATGCCAAGGTTTAATTGCTTGTAACAGAAATGAAGGGACCGGATGCAGTGACTCATGCCTGTAATTCCAGCACTTTGGGAGGCCAAGGCGGGTGAATCACCTGAGGTCAGGAGTTCGAGACCATCCTGGCCAATATGGTGAAACCCCACTCTACTAAAAATACAAAAATTAGCCAGGTGTGGTGGCACACACCTGTAATCCCAGCTACTTGGGAGGCTGAGGCAGGAGAATCGCTTGAACCTGGAAGGCGGAGGCTGCAGTGAGCTCAGATCATGCCATTGCACTCCAGCCTTGGCAACAAGAGTGAAACTCCATCTCAAAAAAAAAAAAAAAGAAAGTAATGAAAGGGTTTCCCTTTAGGCCCGGTACAATGGCTCACACCAGTAATCCCAGCACTTTGGGAGACTGAGGTGGGAGGATTGCTTGAGCCCAGGAGTTTGAGACCAGCCTGGGCAACATAGCAAGACCTCATCTCTACAAAAAACGTTTAAAAGTTAGCCTGGCACGGTGGCCTACGCCTGTAGTACCAGCTACTCAGGAGGCTGAGGCAGGAGGATCACTTGAGCCCAGAAGGTCAAGGCTGCAGTGAGCCATGTTTGTGCCACTGTACTCCAGCCTGGGTAACAGAGAGACCCTTTTTTTTTTTTCTGAGACAGTCTTGCTCTGCCACCCATGCTGAAGTCCAGGGGCACGATCTCAGCTCACTGCAACCTCCACCTCCAGGGTTCAAGCAATTCTTCTGCCTCAGCCTCCCGAGTAGCTGGGACTACAGGTACGCACGCCACCACGCCCGACTAATTTTTGTATTTTTAGTAGAGACGGGGTTTCACCATATTGGCCAGTCTGGTCTCAAACTCCTGACCTCGTGATACGTCCACTTTGGCCTCCCAAAGTGCTGGGATCACAGGCTGAGCCACCGTGCCCAGCTGAGACCGTTTTTTTAAAAAAGGATTTCTCTTTAGATAATTTTGACCAAAAGGGTCTAGGAGTGAGGTCCTGAATTATTATTATTATTATTATTATTAAGGGTCTATGAGTGAGGTCCTGAATTATTATTATTATTATTATTATTATTATTATTATTATTTTGAGACAGGGTCTTGCTGTGCCCAGGCTGGAGTGAGTGGTGTGATCTTGGCTCACTGCAACCCCAGCCTCCTGGGTTCAAGTGATTCTCCAGCCTCAGCTTCTCAAGTAGCTGGGACCACAGGCACCACCATGCCCAGCTAATTTTTACATTTTTAGTAGAGATGGAGTCTCGCCATGTTGCCCAGGCTGGTCTCAAACTCCTGGCCTCAAGCAATCTGTCTGCCTTGGTCTCCCAAAGTGCTGAAATTACAGGCATGTGCCACCGTGCTCGGCCATGAATGATTCTTAATACAGGAATCAGTTGCCATAAATAGAAACATATCACCAATTTTCAGGGAGTAACCAGGAGTTCTTTATTCCACAAAGCAAGTACCACTCATTAGGAGTCACCTAGGAACTGGGTTCAGGCCAGGAAAATCCAGAACTCTCATTATGGATCCTGGCAAAGATAATGAATCTGAGTCTACTTCACTTTAAAACTAACTTAAAATATCTGAAAATAATGCTTTGGTATGCCTTTGTGGTAAGAGTTGTACAGGTTATGCATTTTTTAAGATAAACCATACCAGTGATTCTTCCCCTGGGCTGTCAGTGCTACAAAAATTTGAACACACGAACTGGTCCCCACCTTAGGCCCTTTAGTTTGATTTCTGTGTAAGCAAAAATGTCCTACTTTAGGCATGACAATATTGGTATTGGTGGCTTAGAAATATAAGGTTTGTGATGGTGATTATCAGTAATTATGTTAAGAGTTCATAATAACTTCATTCATTATGAAGTCATTGATATCACTTGAGGGGATTACTACCCAAAAGAATTATACAACCTAAAGGGAAGTGAGTGCAACCCAGCAACTGAATCTGGCTAGACTGTGGGCTAACTGTGGATAAGTAATTGTTGTATAGGAGGAGTTTACTAAAGGCAAGAGTATCAACAACAGAAACAGGAATAATAAAAAGCCCGTATACAGTAGACACAGTGGCTCACACCTGTAATTCCAATACTTTGGGAAGCTGAGGTGGGAGGATCTATTGGGCCCAGTAGTTCAAGACCAGTCTAGACAAGATGGTGAGACCACCTGTCCCACCCACAGTCTCTACAAAAAGTTTTTAAAAAATTAGCCAGCTGTGGTGGTGTGTGTCTGTGGTCCCACCTACTTGGGAGGCTGATGCAGGAGAATCCCTGGAGCCCAGGAGTTCAAGGCGACAGTGAGCTATGATTGCACCACTGCACCATTGCACCACTGCACAGAGCTAGACTCTATCTCTTGGGGGAAAAAAAAAAAAAAAATATATATATATATATATATATGATCTTGTAGTATGCTACCTTCCCTTCTGGGTAAGAAATAAAAGGGGGAAATAAGAAAATACACATGTATATATTCATTTGTGCAAAAAGAAACACATGACAAACTGGGTTCAGTGGCTCACAGCTGTAATCCAAGCACTTTGGGAGGCCAAGACAGGGGGATCACTTGAGCCCAGGAGTTGTAGACCAGCCTGGGCAACAGAGTAAGACCCCATCTCTACACAAAACTTAAAAATTAGCCAGGTGTGGTGGCGCACACCTATAGTCTCAGCTACTCGGGAGACTGAGGTAGGAGGTTGAGCCTGCAGTGGGCCATGATCACACCATTGCACTCCAGCCTGAAGAACAGAGGAAGACCCTGTCTCCAAGAAAAAAAAGAATGGGCTGGGCGCGGTGGCTCATGCCTGTAATCCCAGCACTTTGGGAGGCTGAGGCAGGCGGATCACCTGAGGTCAAGAGTTCGAGACCAGCCTGGCCAACATGGCGAAACCCCGTCTGTACTAAAAATACAAAAATTAGCCAGGCTTTGTGGTGCACACCTGTACTCCCAGCTACTCAGGAGGCTGAGGCAGGAGAATCACTGGAACCCAGGAGGCAGAAGCTGTAGTGAGCTGAAATTGCACCACTGCACTCCAGCCTGGGCGACAAGAATGAAATTCTGTTTTTAAAAAAAGAAAAAAAAAAAAGAATGAGGCTGGGCGCAGTGGCTCACACCTGTAATCCCAGCACTTTGGGAGGCTGAGGTGGCGGATCACTTGAGGTCAGGAGTTCAAGACCAGCCTGACCAACATGGAGAAACCCCATCTCTACTAAAAATACAAAATTAGCCGGGCATGGTGGCACATGCCTCTAATCCCAGCTACTTGGGAGCCTGAGGCAGGAAAATTGCTTGAAGCTGGGAGGCAGAGGTTGTGGTGAGCCGAGATCGCACCATTGCACTCCAGCCCGGGCAACAAGACCGAAACTCCGTCTCAAAAAAAAAAAGAAGAAAAAGAAAAAAGAATGATAGTGACATGTCAAAGTAACACAGAAGGCAGCTTGAAAAGGTAGCCAGATCTGCCTGTAAGAGATTAGAATCAAGTATGGGTGGAGGGACTCCTAGTTATATGGGCCTGCCTGCCAGTGGCCGAATCAGAGGGAGACAGTCTATGGGTTCCTGAATGGGCAGAACACAGAGTCATAGAGCAAAGGACAGTATTTAAGGCCATGGGAACTCAAGTGTGTCTGATAATTTAGTTAATTTAAGCTTAGTACTCCTTTTGTGGTTTTGACTTTTCTAGATGATTGAGAGTGGTAAGGAGCACGAGGCTTTGACATGACAGGCAATGCTTTACATAGCTCAAGAATGATTGCCCCAGTAAAATAAGTTTATCTATCATTACACAATTAAATTAGAATAGCTCCTGTAGGGAATACAAAGTCCATTAGTTTCTTAGCCACTTTGAGTGTCTCAAAAAAAAAAAAAAAAGAGTTTTAATCACCTCATGGTTCTGCAGGCTGTACAGGAAGCATGGCAGCATCTGCTCCGCTTCTGGGGAGGCCTCAGAAAACTTACAATCATGACAGAAGGCAAAGCGAGATCAGGAGGCTTACATGACAGAAGCAGTACCGAGTGTGGTGGGGAAGTGCCATGTACTTTTAAACAACCAGATCTCATGAGAACTCACTATCATGATGACAGCACCAAGGGTGATGATGTTAAACCATGAGAAACCACCCCCATGATCCAATCACCTTCCGTAAGGCCCCACCTCCAACATTAAGGATTACAATTGAACATGAGATTTGGGTGGGGACACAGACCCAAACCATATCACCCCCACTGCGGTAAACTGTTCTATGGAGAGCTTTTGTAAGTGTTCGTTTGAACTTTTCTGGTGCTACATGGAGGCTGTCCTCATGGATCTTATAACCCAATAGTGTGCATAGATGATGGAATTCTTGAACCTCTCCATGGGCTCATCATCATTCTGTTGCTAAAAGAACTCACTTTTAAAGACTTCAGACAGAGCAACTTATAAGTATAAAGATCTGCTAAAGCATTTCTTCTCATTTTTTTAAAGTGTGGGCCTCTGCTTAATGACAGCAATTTCCAAGACATCATGAAACTCATTTATTTGTTGTCTATTTTTAACAGGGATACCAATTGAGAAGGAAAATTTTCTGTTTCTTTCCATGGTATTCTGAAGCCATGGCCCATGAGTCAGAATGTTCATGTGTGTTAGTCATTCCTTGCTGTGTTTAACAAGATATAGTAAGAGATAAGCTCAGGTAAGAACATACTGACTTGCAGGTGAAAGGAAAAGGAATAGAAGGAGTCCAGCAATGGAGCCTTGTAGGGTTGGAGAAGCTGCTGAACCCCAACAACAGGAAAAAAGACTGAAAAGGCTTTGAGAAACACAGGTCCACTAAGGTATTTCAATTAAACAGAGGAATTCAGCACTACTGCAAAGAACAGTTTAAAGGTGTTTTCTCTTACCTAAACCTATTGTTTCCTATGGCCTCACTGTAACTGCCATTAAGTTGAGAGAGAGAGGCATGGAGTGAAGAAAGAAAGAGATAAGCAAAAGTTGATATTTATGTCTTGAAAAAAATCCAGCCTGGCCAACATGGCAAAACCCCGCCTCTACTAAAAATACAAAAATTAGCCAGGTTGGCCGGGCGCGGTGGCTCACGCCTGTAATCCCAGCACCTTGGGAGGCTGAGGCAGGCAGATCACGAGGTCAGGAGATCGAGACCATCCTGGCTAACATGGTGAAACCCCGTCTCTACTAAAAATACAAAAAATTAGCCAGGCACGGTGGCAGGTGCCTGTAGTCCCAGCTACTCGAGAGGCTGAGGCAGGAGAATGGCGAGAACCCGGGAGGCGGAGCTTGCAGTGAGCTGAGATCGCACCACTGCACTCCAGCCTGGGTGACAGAACGAGACTGTCTCAAAAAAAAAAAAAAAATTAGCCAGGCATGGTGGCAGGCACCTGTAATCCCGGCTGAGGCAGGAGAATCACCTGAACCCGGGAGGTGGAGATTGCAGTGAGCTGACATGGTGCCACTGCACTCCAGCCTGGGCGATGGCATGAGACCCTCTCTTTAAAAAAAAAAAAAAAAAAAAAAAAATATATATATATATACATATATATATATATATATATATATATATGTATATATATATATGTATATATATATGTATATATATACATATATATATATATGATGGCATAAGACCCTCTCTTTAAAAAAAAAAAAAAAATATATATATATATATATTTTTTTTTTGGCACAAGATACTGTTGTGGCACAAGATACTGTTTGCTTTGAGGCAAATCGATCCAAAAAGTTTCTGAGTGAACTGTATTGCCAAAAAATTCCCCAGCCTGGTCCGAATAAATAAGTAAAACCATAAAGTAACACTTGGAAATCCAAAGTTGCACCATCAGGAAGGAGGCTTTCAAGGCTGTGTAGTTCCCAAGGAGGACAGGCACCCCACTTCACACAAAGCCAGGAAGAACAATGGCTGAGGAAGAACTTGCCAGAGGGCAGAACAAGGGTGGAAGGAGAACAATGCCAGGATAATTTTTCCTAAAGAGCAAAATCTGGTCTAATCTAGGAAATTCATCCACTGCCAGGAAAGGATGTCTTCATAATGCATATCTAGCAGAACTCCATAATTGCTTTGGACAGGAAGGTTGGGTTTTTCCCATTCTCCCTTTTCCAAATAGGATTTGCTATTGCCCTTTTCCTGTCTCTGCTTCATCATTGTAGATGGGCAGGTGGGTTTATTGGGGTGGGGAGAAAGTGGCAACCACTTGGCTTTTAGTTCATAGATTGCTAGACCATGAGGAAATTCACTCAGGCCAATTACAGAAGACCACAATCCAGATTCTGATATGAATCCTATAAATGAATGGAAGTTTTTGTCATAGCTCTTGGGAGAAGGGTGAATATGAGATTTGCTGGTCAGAGAGGCTGACTGTAGCAGCGACCCCTTGCTATCTACCAAAAGTCATTATTCTCTTTAGGCACACAACAAGACTGTTTCCCATACTCCCATTCAATTTGAGTGTGGTCATGTGACGGTTTTCTCCAATGTAATGTGAGTGGAACCAATGTGTGTCACTACCTGATCCAGGGGATAATAGATGGACAGCTTCTGGGCCCCTTAATGAAAAAAGTGGAGGAGAGTGGCCCCATTGACCTGAATATCCGCCCGGGACTGTTAGGTGAGCAAGAAATTAAGTATTTTACTGAGTCATATTTTGGATCTATTTGTCACAGTAGTTTAACCTATTATTAACTGATACACACCCCATGAGTCATGCTTGTTCAACATGACTATATATGCATATCCTTTTAAACAATAATTATTAATGGTAACATACTAAACACCCTGTAGTGAACCTTGTTTTTTTGTTTTCTGTTTTTTTTTTTTTTTTTCATTAAATTTCCTGCTAAGTGTTCTGTATCAGTACATTAATAACTCCTTTGCCGGGCGCAGGGGCTCACACCTGTATTCCCAGCACTTTGGGAGGCCAAGGCAGGCGGATCATGAGCTCAAGAGATCAAGACCATCCTGGCTAACACGGTGAAACCCCATCTCTACTAAAAGTACAAAAAAAAAAAAGCCGGGCGTGGTGGTGGGCACCTGTAGTCCCAGCTACTCGGGAGCCTGAGGCAGGAGAATGACGTGAACCTGGGAGGCGGAGCTTGCAGTGAGCCAAGACTGCGCCACCGCACTCCAGCCTGGGTGACAGTGCAAGGCTCCGTCAAAAATAAATAAATAAATAAAATAACTTCTTTGTTTTTATTTTCTTTATTTTTGCTTTTTTTGCGGGGGGCGTTGGCAGGGGAGACAGGATCTTACACTGTTGCCCAGGCTGGAATGCAATGGTGCCATCATAGCTCACTGCAGCCTAA